>NC_000003.12:146205574-147455574 GCF_000001405.40 Homo sapiens
TAACCAAGATGTGACTCTGGGTCTGTATACTATGGATAACATCTACAGCGTGGATACACTGGACAAAGGAATGATATATGTGCCAGGCAGAACACAGCAGGACTGTGCAAGATTTCATCATGCTACTCAGAATAAATTTAAAATTTATGAATGGTTTATTTCTAGAATTTTCCATTTAATATTTTTGGAACCTGGTTGACCATTGGTAACTGAAACCGCAGGAATCAACGCCACAAATAAAAGGCGTCTACTCTGCCAGCTTTATCTTATTTTCATTAAGCAGGTTTTTTAGTTTCAGACATGGGTTTTTAAACAAAACTATTTGTGCACAAACTTCCCATATTACCCCAGTTTTTGATCTGCATGTCCTGGTGGCAGCAGAATATCTACATAGATGTTAATTAGGGAGTTATTGTGTTGTATGAAGGGGGTCTCTGGAACTTGGCCTGAAGCAATATTCTTTGTAGGGTCCATTATTTTTATTTATATTGTTTGTTTTTGGGGGTGACAAGAGTAGCTAATGAAAATGATGGGTGGTGGTAAAAAGCAATGGGCTAAGGCACTCAGTAATTTACCCACTGTATTGTGTTTTGTTCTCTTTTGTGCTTTTTTTGATGTTAACTGTTTACTTCTAAGCAAATAACACAACTATCCTCTATGATAGTTTTTCTATTTCCATTTGTACAATTCTTTCAAGAAAACATCTTGAATGCCTTGAAGTTCAACATAAATCCTTATGAAAAACATACTCATCCCACTATAAACATCCTTGTACTTGCTGTTTCCCCTTCATATTTCTGAAACTGGTATCACTGTTCTTATAGTTTCACAAATGGCATCTGTCATCACTGACCCATCTCCTTTATTCACTCTGGTCTGCTTTTTTTCTCTCTTTGTTGGATCCCTATGGTCACATTTCATAAGAAAATAATTTGTATTTTCATGGAGTACCTGAACTAAGTATTCCAGACCAGGAGGGCAGTTTGCCATAGGAGTTGGCCCTGGCATCCATGTTATTGGAACAGACTGATTTGGCATAGGATATTTGCCAGGCTGATACCGGACAGGATGGATACCACCAACTGGCTGGTACAAAGGGAAGGTACTGGGTTGCTGTGGACTGTAGTATCCCATAGGCAAGCCTCCTGGGTAGCCAGTAGGTGGAGGGACAGCTGTTCCAGGGGGTCCTGTGTTCAAAAGAAATCAAAGTGTTATATATTATTAACACTAAAGTTAGCATAACTTTTTACATGCGATGAAATAGATCACACGACATCCACTTAAATATAACAACTTGTTCCATTTTTGATTCACACTTTATGCAGATCATGGTTGCATATGACCCAACGATGTATTAGGGAGACTTATTTACATATTAATTCATTTAATCCTCTTAAAGCTTATAAGATAATTATTCCCATTTCAATGGTACAAAAATAAGTTTTGAAACATTAGAAGAAACATGTTAGCTTCTTAATAAATTAGGTTCCTCCTTGGAGATAATAAACTTACCTAATGAGGTTGTAGTGGGATTAATTACTAACGTATTAATTACTAACGTATAATTACTAACATATAATTACTCCTGCAAATTTTTGTTATTATGTCTATTGTTATTGTTTGTGGTTACATAAATAATGTCTACTTCATTTCAAAGGAGTGCTTTTAATGAATATTTTAGGTTGCCTTGACCCAATCGCTTGTACATATCTTCATCATCGAGTTCTCAGACTGGTCCCCAATCCTGACCTCTTTTAGATTCAATTTCTTAAAGTTATTTTCTTAGTAGTTATGCTGCTATAACAAAATAAGCACAAACTGAGTGGCTTAAACAACAAGCATTTCTTTCTTATAGTTCTGGAGGCTGGGAAGTTCAAAGATAAATGTTAGCATGGTCAAACCTGGTGAGAGCCTTTCCTGGTTTGCAGATGTTCACCTTCTTGCTATATGCTCACAGAGTGAAGGGGGAGAGAGAGAGACAGAAAGACAGAATCCCTCTCATGTCTCCTCTTATAGGGTATGAGTGCCATCATGAGGGCTCCACTCTTTTGATTTAATTTTCTCTGAAAGGCCCCACTTCCAAGTAACATCACATTGGGAAATGGGACTTCAATATGTGAATTTGGGAGGGATATAAACATTCAGCCCACAGCACTTATCCCTCTATCATTTCTCCCCATTCCACCTTCAATCAGAGATCTGATGAATTATCTTTGTCATTATAAGTCCATCAAGGAACCTAGATTTCCTTAAATGGATACAAGATTTTATCATGCTTTAAGAGCACAGTCTACATATTCAATGCAATTCCCATCAAAATACTATCACCGTTCTTCACAGAACTAGAAAAAACAATCCTAAAATTCATATGCAACCAAAAAAGAGCCTGCATAGCCAAAGCAAAACTAAGTAAGTGAAAAGAACAAATCTGGAGGCATCACATTACTTGATTTCAAATGATACTATAAGGACATAGTCACCAAAACAAGATGGTACTGGTATAAAAATAGGCACATAGACCAATGGAACAGAATAGGGAACCCAAAAATAAACCCAAATACAGCCAACTGATCTTTGACAAAGCAAACAAAACACAAAGTGGGGAAAGGACACCCTATTCAACAAATGGTACTGGGATAATTGGCTAGCCACATGTATGAGAATGAAACTGGATGCTCATCTCTCACCTTATATAAAAATCAACGCAAGATGGATCAAGCACTTAAATCTAAGACCTGAAACTATAAAAATTCTAGAAGATAATATCAGAAAAACCCTTCTAGATATTGGCTTAGGCAAAGACTTCATGACCAAAAACCCAAAAGCAAATGCAACAAAAGCAATGATAAGTAGGTGGGACTTAATTAAACTAAAGAGCTTTTGCACAGCAAAAACAACAGTCAGCAGAGTAAACAGACAACCCAAACACAATCTATACATCTGACAAAGGACTAATATCCAGAATCTGTAACGAACTCAAACAAATTAGCAAGAAAATACAAACAATCCCATCAAAAAGTGGGATAAGGACATGAATAGACAATTCTCAAAAGAAGATACACAAATGGCCAACAATTGTATGAAAAAATACTCAGCATCACTAATGATCAGGGAAATGTAAATCAAAACCACAATGTAATAACCCCTTATTCCTGCAAGAATGGCCATAATCAAAAACTCAAAAAATAACAGATGTTGACATGTACGGAGAACAGGGAACACTTCTACACTGCTGGTGGGAATGTAAACTAGTATAGCCACTATGGAAAACAGTGTGGAGATTCCTTAAAGAACTAAAAGTAGAACTACCATTTGATCCAGCAATCCCACTACTGGGGTATTTATCCAGGGGAAAAGAAGTCAAAAAAAGATACTTGCATATGCATGTTTATAGCAGCGCAATTCACTGCTATAATACGGAACTAGCCCAAATGCCCATCAATCTACGAGTGGATAAAGAAAAATGTGGGATTACATATATATATGATGGAATACTACTCAGCCATAAAAAGGAATGAATTAATGGCATTCACAGCAACCTGGATGCGATTGGAGACTATTATTCTAAGGAAAGTAATTCAGGAATGGAAAACCAAATATTGTATGTTCTCACACGTAAGTGGGAGCTAAGCTATGAGGATGCAAAGGCATAGAAATGATACAATGGAATGGACTTTGGGGGCTCAGGGGTAATGATGGGAAGGGGGTGAGGGATAAAAGGCTACAAATTGGGTTCAGTGTATACTGCTTGGGTGGTGGGTGCACTAGAATCTCACAAAATATCACCACTAAAGAACTTACTCATATAACCAAATACCACCTGTTCCCCAAAATCCTATGGAAATAAAATATTTTTTAAAAAGAGTACTCATAAAAATGAATAAGCACACAACAGCTAATGTTTGACTTTAGGAATTTTTTTATCAAGGTCTCTTAAGATAAGCAGTGGTAACTTTGCATTTCACTATGTTTTTTTAAAGTCAAAGAATTGCCAACAATAAGTATGAGAATGCCATTACTGCATATCTATCTAGGTCTGGTTACCAGGAATTTTTTGAATAACTTTGATCATTACTAATTTATTTTTGTTTCACTTTCCAAGTTTTTAAGATTAATTAATTAAAATTTATAAATAACTGGGTCTTGGTTGTCTACCCAGAAATATGCAACAGACCCTAACTTATTGCTAAGGTCTTGTAGCTCTAACTGAAATCCTGTGAGTAGTAGAGCCACAAGCAGCCCACAAGTGATGTTGTCTGAACTGTCAGGAAGGCCAGGCTCAGATAAAGAAAGGTTTTTCTCCTTTAAGAGAGAATTTAAGGAATAATGTCCTGTGGTTGAAAACAAAATAAGTTATGTAAGTCAAGATATTTTATGTTAAGATTTCAGTATAGTCGTCCCTTGATATTCATAAAGGATTGGTTCCAGGACTCCCTCAAATACCAAAACCTACAAATGCTTAAGTCCCTTATATAAAATGGTGTAGTATTTACATGTAACCTACTCACAGCCTCCCATATACTTTAAATGATGTCTAGATTACTTACAATAGCTAACACAATGTAAATGCTAATATAAATTGTTTTTGTGTTATTTTTATTGTATAATTTTTATTGTCATTTTTAATTGTGCTTTTAAAATATTTTTAATCCACACTTTTTTGAATCCATGGATGAAGAATTCACAAATATAGGGGTCCAACTGTGGATCTATTTTAGTTTAAATTAAATAAAAACAACTTTTTATGAGCAGGGAATACCAGCTAAGACTTGAACTGTAAAATCTGAAGCCTTAGTGACAAGACATGAAGGCAATTTTTAAAAATGGAACTAGATTTTTCAGATTTTCAAAGGCAGATGTTTAAATTTAGAGAAAAAAATCACCTCAACATATTGTTTCTTAAATTGTGGCTCAATATACCAAGTCCTTCAAGATAATCTGGAGTTCTTAGTAAAATTCCAGATTCTGAGCCTCATTCCAATCTATTGCAACAGGATCTCTATGGCAAAACTTGAGATTAACAAAACATTTTATTTCATTGATCCTTTTTTAAAATGTACAATGTAGTGGTTTTAAGTATATTCTCAAAGTTGTGCAACCATCACTGCTACCTAAACCCAGAATTTTCATCATACCAGAAAGAACACCCATACCCATTAGCAGCAATTTCCATCTCCTCTTCCCCACAGTCCCTGAAAACCACTACTATCTGTGGATTTGCCTAATCTACACTTTTCATGTAAATGAAAACATACAATAGGCCTTTATGTCTGTTTTTTTTTTTACACTTGGCATGTTTTCAAGGTTCATCCATGTTGTAGCACATATAAGTACTTAATTCCATTTTATGGCTGAGTAGTATTCTATTGTGTGGATATATCACATTTTAGGTATTGTTTAATCAGTCAATGGACATTTAGGTTGCTTTCACTCTGGGCTATTATAAATAACACTGCTGTGATCCTCCATGTACAAGTTTTAGTGTGGACATGTTTTCAGTTCTCTAGCTATGAGTGAAATTAGCTGAAATATTTAGTAACTCCATTATTAACTGCCAAACTGTTTTCCAAAGTGGCTTTACAATTTCATGTCCACTTGCAAATATGAGAGTTCTACTTTCTCCACATCCTCCACCAATACTTGTTATTGTCTGTTTTTATTTTAGTCATCTTAGTGGGTATGAAGTTGTATCTTATTGTGATTTTTATTTGCATTTTTCTGATTACTAATGATGTTCAGCATCTTTTCATGTGCTTATTGGCCATTTGTATATCTCCTTTGGAGAACTATCTATTAAATCTTTTGCCTACTTTAAAACTGAATCATTTGTCTTTTTATTGTTGCATTATAAATGTTCTTTATATATTCAAGATAAAAGTCTCTTGCCAGATAGTTTGCAAGTGTTTTCTCTCATTGTGTAGGTTGTCTTTTCTCTTTGATAGTGTCCTTAGATATACAAAACTTTTTAATTGTTATGAAGTCCAATTTATTTTTTGTTGGTTGTTTGTGCTTTAGAGTGTCATATCATATCTAAGAAACTATTGCCTAATCCAAGGACATAAATACTTACATCTATATCTTGTAAAAGTTTTATAGTTTTCACTCTTAGACATAGGTCTTTCAAACACATAGATCTTTGATTCATTTAGAGTTTTTGTGTTTAGGGTGAGACAGTTTCAAATCATTCTTTTGTATGTTGATATTCATTTGTCTCAGATCCTTTGTTGAAAAGAGTATTCTTTCCCTATTGAATTATTTTGACATGCTTGTAAAAAATCAGTTGGCTACAGATGTTTGGGTTTATTTCTTAGACTCTCAATTCTATCTCATTGGTCTATATGTCTATCTTTATGCTAGTACTGTGGTATTGACTTCTGTAGCTTTATAGTAAATTGGAAATTGGGAATTGTGAGTCCTCCAATTTTTTTTCAAGATTGTTTAGGCTATTCTGAATCCTTTACATTTCCATATGTATTTGAGGAATAGCCTGTCAATTTAAAAATTCCACTGTGATAAGAATTGTGTTGAATCTGTAGATCAATTTAAGGAGCATTTCCATTTAACAATATTTACTTTTCAAATCTGTAAAATGCCTTTCCACTTACGTAGTCTTCTTTAATTTCTTTCAACGTTTTATAGTTTTCAATATGAAAGATATTTTACTCCTTTTATTAAAGTTACTTCTGGGTATGTTATTTTTAATGTTATTGTATGTGGAATTATAATTTTAATTTCTTTTTACATTTTTCATTGTTAATATATAGAAATACTTTTGGATTTCTGTATTATGATCTTATATCCTAACACACTGCTGAACTTGTTTATTGTGCTGTTTGTGGGTATATATGGGTTTTTTTGTTTTGTTTTTTTTTGTTTTTTGGGTTTTTTTTTTTTTAGACAGGGTCTCAGTCTGTCACCCAGGCTGAAGTGCAGTAGTATGATCATAGTTCACTGCAGTCTCAAATCCCTGGACTCAATTGATCCTTCTACCCTAGCCTCCAGGTAACTGGGACTACAGGAGTACAGGAGTGTACCACTGCACCCAGCTTAGACTTTTTACATATATAGGCTCATGTCTTCTGCAAATGGAGATGGTTTTGTTTCTTTCTTTCAATCTGGATGAATTTTCTTTCTTTTTCTTGACTAATTGCTCTGGCTAGAACTTCCAGTACAATGCTGAATAGAAGTGGCAAGAAAGATACCCTGTCTCATTCTTGATCTTAGATGAAATGAACGTTTTCAGTCTTTACTCCTAAACATAATGTTTGGTGTGAGTTTTTCATAGGTACTCTTTTATCAGATTGAGGGAGTTCCTCCTATTTCTAGTTTCTTAAGTGTTTTTATCATGGAGGATGTTGTATTTTGTCAAGTGTGATTTCTGTGCTTACTGATGTGGTCATGTGGTGTTTGTACTATATTTTATTAATATAGTACATACATTGATGTGTTTTAATATGATATTTAATGTGATAAACCAATCTTTTATCCATGGGATAAATCCCACTTGGTCATGGTGTTTAATCCTTTTTTATGTTCCTAAATCTGGTTTGCTAGTAATTTGTTGAGAAAGTCCGATTCTATATTTATTAGGGATATGATCTTTAGTTTTCTTTTCTTGTAACATCTATGTCAGATTTTGCTAATTGGGTAATACTGGCCTCTAGAATTAGCTAGGAAGAATTCATTCTTCTTTCATTTCTATGGAAGACATTGTAAATGACTGGTATTAAAACCTTCATGCAGCATTTAGTAAAATTTCCTTTTTTTTTTTTTTTTGTGATGTAGTCTCAACTGTCACCCAGGCTGGAGTACAGTGGTGTGATCTTTGCTTACTGCAACTTCTGCATCCCGGGATCAAGCCATTCTCCTGTCTCAGTGTCCCAAGTAGCTGGGATTACAGGCACCTGTCAGCTAATTTTTGTATTTTTAGTAGAGATGGGATTTCGCCATGTTGGTCAGGCTGGTCTCAAATTCCTGACCTCAGGTGATCCACCCGCCTCGGATTCCCAAAGTGCTGGGATTACAGGCGTGAACCACAGCACCCGGCCAAATTCACTATTGAAGCCATTTGGGCCTTAGCTTTATTTTGTGGAAAAGTTTTAAATGACGAATTTAATCTCTTTACTTGTTATATAAGTCTGTTAAGGTTTCTGTTTCTTCTTGAGTCAATTTCAATTGTTTGTATCTTTCTAGGAACTTGTCCATTTGTCTAGGTTTCCTATTAGCATACAATAAATTGTACACACAATTGTTCATGTTATTCCCTTAAGATACTTTTCAATTTCTCTATGGTAAAAGCCTCACTTTCATTCCTGATTTTAGTAATATGAGGTGTTTTATTTTTATTTTTATTTTTGGTTAGTTTGACTTAAGGTTTCTTAATTTTGTTGATCCTCTCAAATAACAAATTTTTGGTTTTGTTGATTTTGTTTATTGTTCTTTTTTCTATTTCATTTATTTATGCTCTAATCTTTATTATTTCCTACCTCTTGGCTTGGTTTTCCCTTAAGGTGGAAAGTTTGATTACTGATTTGATATCTTCCTTTTTTTTTTTTTTTTTTTTTTGAGACGGAGTCTCGCTCTGTCGCCCAGGCTGGAGTGCAGTGGCGGGATCTCGGCTCACTGCAAGCTCCGCCTCCCGGGTTCACGCCATTCTCCTGCCTCAGCCTCCCAAGTAGCTGGGACTACAGGCGCCCGCCACTACGCCCGGCTAATTTTTTGTATTTTTAGTAGAGACGGGGTTTCACCGTTTTTTAGCCGGGATGGTCTCGATCTCCTGACCTCGTGATCCGCCCGCCTTGGCCTCCCAAAGTGCTGGGATTACAGGCGTGAGCCACCGCGCCCGGCCCTCTTCCTTTTTTTTTAATGGAGGTGTTTATAGCTATAAATTTTCCTCTAAGCACTTCTTTAGCTCATATGTTTTGGCATACTGTGTTTCGTTTTCATTCATCTCAAAGTATGTTCTAATTTCCCTGTGTGTGATGTTTTTTTTGCCCCTAGTGTCATTTAAAAGTATTCTTCTACCACTGGGGTAGAAGAATATACTCTACATGATTTTAATTGTTTTAAATTTGTTGAGACTTGTTTCATGACCTAACCACAATACTGTAGAATGCCATATGTTTCAAGAAGAATGTGTATTATGCTGTTGTTGGGTAGAGTGTTCTATTATGCTATTACGTCTAGAGTGTCTGTTGTAGATTGTCTGTTGTGCCCAGTTTGGTTTATAGTGCTGTTCAGATCTTTCCTTTTTGATCTTCTGCTTAGTTGTTCTATCTATTATTGTAAGTGGGGTATAACAGTCTCCAACTATTATTTATTGTATTATCTATTTCACCCTTCAATTCTACCAGTTTTACTTCATATATTTTGGAGCATTGTTTTTATGTGTATATATGAAT
The DNA here is from genome assembly GCF_000001405.40 of Homo sapiens. NCBI lineage: Eukaryota > Metazoa > Chordata > Mammalia > Primates > Hominidae > Homo > Homo sapiens. Next base: position 146,214,976 of record NC_000003.12, read on the forward strand.
ACACTCATTCTGTCTTGATGACTGACACTTTTATTATTATAAAATGACCATTATCTCTAGTAATAATTTTTTCCTCAAAGTATGTTTTGTCTGATATTTCATCAATTCTTATCAACTACTAAGTTTGAGAAACTCTGTTTTGATACAGCATTTTACAAACTGAAGATATATTCAGAGTATTAAAATCAATTTAATAATTCAAATATTAATTTTTGAAAATATAGTCAACTAGAGAAGAATAAAATAGAAAATATGAAACTGTATTATTAGTATACTATCTACTCACTTTATATTCAGTATTGTCTGGTGAAACTCGTGTTACTTATACATAAATATATTGAATATATATGTATGTATTATTCACTATGTGTTATATTAGATTATCATCAAGAATATTTGAAAGCCAATGATTTAAAGATCCTTTTATTTAACTAATATAAGGACAGCAAAGATTCTATTCTGAAATGAAAAAGATGGAATCAATGTTGCAACACTGCAATGTATAATCATGTAAATTCTTGTTTTTACTATGGTTGGAGATTTTTCTCTGTAGATTTCCACCTTGAAGAAAAAAATAATTTTTACCTAAATATAGGTTAAACTGTAGTTTCTTTCTGAAAATTACTGCTTTTCCTTGTAATGTGTGTATATGTATGTATATGTTTTTTTTGTGTTTCTGCCCAAAAATTGTTGGATTTTCAGTTCAGATGACAGCTGAAAGATGTTAGAAGCTGAGATTCACCTCATGTCCACATAAGTGTGCAAAAATGAACAAGGCTAGAACAGTAGAAGCCCAATTTGGGCTGTGTTGTTAAAGCTCCACAAATGGTGTTATGTCTCCCTAAGTAAACACAGTTTTGGGAACTGTAGGTCTACAGGACTAGCAAATTTTCTGTCTTTTGTAATCAAAGAGCAATGCCACATAGCTTTGTAGGGAAGGGATTGACATCTCCTGAAAAATGCAGACAGTCCCGGCTGGGCACTGTGGCTCACGCCTGTAATCCCAGCATTTTAGGAGGCCGAGGTGAGTGGATCACCTGAGGTCAGGAGTTTGAGACCAGCCTGGCCAACATGGTGAAACCCCGTCTCTACCGAAAATACAAAATTATCCGGGCGTGGTGGTGCATGCCTGTAATCCCAGCTACTCTGAAGGCTGATGCAGGAGAATCATTTAGAACCCGGGAAGCGGAGGTTACAGTTAGCCGAGATTGCATCACTGTACTCCAGCCTGGGCAACACGGCAGCATTCTGTCTCAAAAACAAACAAACAAACAAACAAAAATGTAGACAGTCCCATAGGCAGCCAGTTTTTGAAAAGGTCACTCTTGCATAATGAAAAATTCACTTAAATGTGATAAGGTGGAGATTATGGTCTCTCTCAGAGCCCCCAAATAACTGGGTCCTGGATACTACCCAGATCTGGAAGAAAGTCCTGTTAGAGAAAGCTATGTTGATTAAAAAAAAATAAAAAGAAAGATAATAACTAAAACTTATTGAGCTCTCATCATATTCCAGCCCTTACTCTAACAACGTTACAAGTACTAAACCTTGTAATCTTTACATCAACCATATATAGTAGATACTATTATTATCCTTAATTTATAGAGAATAAAACTGAGGCATAAGGAGGTTAAGTAACTTGGTGAAAGTCATTAGCTGACGTATCAGGAGTAGAATTAGAATTCCAGCATTCTGACTGCAGAAACGTCCTTAAATACATCATGCTAATACTCCCCCTAGATCAGAGACAAGGAAGAAGAGCACCCCAGGCGTGATTCTATGGAGGGCTTTGGGCCTATACACTGGATTGGCATCTCTAGCTAGCAGCTATTTTTAAGTCCTTAAGTTCTACCCTTTCACCTCCATGGGACATCATGGGACAATGCAGTGGTCTGGGGTCAACCAATAATGCAAAAGCCAGTCGCCTTTGAAGGTGATGAAGTCTAAGACATTTTGGTTACTCATAAAAATGCCACTCATAATAGTCATGAATCATGAAATTCTCCTAATACTATCTGAAAACAAGGCCATGAGATAAATCAAAGATTCTTTTATCTATGAAATATTCCTCAAGCCCATTTCAAGGACCAGCTTCTGTGCTTGCTGCTAGAAATATAAGACAGAAAGACATTCAAATGCATGCCTGTCTCCAAGGGCAGCAAGTTCTGTGGAGGCTACAAAGATGTATAAGAAAAGGTGAATGGTTGTCACGAAGCAAGTAATTGACATAATCATAGGTAGATGCATAGCATGTTAAGGGATTAGACAGGAGGGGTACCTAACCTATGCAGAGAAGGTATACTACGATATAGATGCTAACACACTAGACCTAGCCAGCATCTCCATGATGGGGAAAGGTTTTACAGGCAAACGGACAAGAACAGGCAGGTGCATAGAGGAGGCTCACTACTGCAGGACGAACTGCTGTGTGTGGAGATTTAGCAGACAAGGCTAGAAAGATAGGATGAAGATTATGAAAGACCTTGAACTTTATGCCAATCAAATGGAAAGTAAAGTGATTCATTTTACATTTAGAATTCTTTATATATGAGGTCAGATTAGGCAGGAAGTACTTGCAAGGGTCTGGCTAGAAGGCAAGGAAGGCTGATTTTGGTGAAAGGAGCAGAGAGTGGAGAAATGGTAATTGACATTTAAGATACAACATTGACTTTGAAGTGGACTGGATATGAGAAAAGATTCTCAAGTTTCTGGCTTGGGATCCTACAGGCCTCCAGTGTATGGGAAGAATGGAGAAAGAAAATAGAGTTTAGAAGCAAGATAACAAAGTTGGGCTGGTGATCATTGAGTTTGAGATTCAATGGTCTTTCATGAGAAGCAGTCTATAGGTGGTTGGAAGTGCAAGTTTAGAGACTATCAGACTGACATGATCTGTGGATATGTATTTCATAAGTGATGAAGGAAAAGGAAACCTTCAGTATTAACAAGATCACTTAGAAGAGTGTGTAAAAGGAAGGGTGACTGGGAGAGGAGAGAGAAGGAGATGGGGAAGGGCAGGGAAAACCAGGGGAGTAGACCAAATAATTTTGAGAACAGCACTTTTTAAGAGTAGGGACACAGTTTTTGACAGAAACTGACAGTAAGCAGACTAAAGGGAAAATAATGGTAACAGGAAACAATGTCAAATGAGAGTTAAGTGAGAAAAAAAGTATAACGTATTTGGAAAAAAGTGAAGGTAAGTATGTATTTAAGTTTGTTATGAAGAATATACTTTAATTCCTTTAAGAATTGTATTTAAGAGTACCCGAATTGGACTAGAAATCAGATATCCATACCTTCTTTTTTTAACTATTATTAAAAATAACAATGTAACTAAAAATCATATGAATTATCTCAAGAATATTAATCATTATATCACTTCAATGAGTTAATGATTAATTTACCATGTACTTTTAATATAAAAGCACCTCATGTTATAAAATTTGAAGATCAATAAATCAGAAAAAAATTGCCATTTAGATTTTGAGGCTATTCGTATAGAGATTATATTTTTTAAAATTAAATTTATATTTATTTTAAAATTAAATACATATTTATGTAATTGAACAATTTTTGTTATAAGTATGTATTATCCAGAGATAAAAGAAGGAAAACATATGATGAAATTATATGTGGGAAATTGGTATATTATACTTTCTTCTAAGCTTTGAAGTTTTCATAAGAGTTCTGATTGCTTCTGCAGGAAAACAAAGCAAAACAAAACAAAATATGTTTAACTTTGTGTAACTATAGCATCTCAGACTTACGTAAATAAAGACCTCTGTTACGGAGCGTTGTCCTACCAATACTGGTGTAAGACACACTGTCTGATAGGATTTGAGTTTTTTTAGTTATTTTGAACATCAGGAAATCATGCCATTTTCTCTTTAAATATACTAAATATAACAAAGGTTTCTTTATTCTCTTAAACAAGAATAGTGGATAAAATTATTTTTGTGGGAACACATATCCAACACCATAATGCAAATTGGAATTATGTAAAGAAATTGGGATAAATTCATTAACACTACATAATTCAAGTACAGATTTCAAGATTCTTAATTTGAGTCACAGAGACAATTTTTGTCAGTCTTCGTAAGTTTATAGTCCAGCCACCAGGTGGCGATCAGAGCGAAATTTTGCTATATTTTATAACTGAAAATTCATTAGTTGTGTGGTCTGCACTATAATATTTTTACAACTTACCTTGTCATTTAATTTGAAGGATGTAGCCTACTCTCTTGCTGAATTATTGATATACAGAAGAATAGACATACGCTTTATCAGATGAGAACATGATGTATAACCAAGGTTTTTCTCAGAAATGGTGAAGTTTCTGTTCTAGTAGGGTCTAGGTTTTTGGATATAGAGTAATTGGTAAATATAAGATAGATCTTGTATATCATGTTGGAAGTCACTGAAGTGACATATAGAGAAACGATAGATAAAGCATGATTATAATTTAATAATTTAATTTTTAATACCTTGGATTTAGGAAAGGTTGCGCTATTAATGCAGTATGTTATAATGCATTTTATCCTCATAACACACATACACATTAGGAAGAGAAAAAAGGAAATCCTGATGCTTTCAGAAAACACTGTAGGTGCAGAAGCCACCTGAGCTGTATGGATCATATGCCTAGAGCCAAAAAAAACCTTTGGCCGGGCACGGTGGCTCACACCTGTAATCCCAGCACTTTGGGACACTGAGGCAGGTGGATCACCTGAGGTCGGGACTTCGAGACCAGCCTGACCAACATGGAAAAACCTTGTCTCTACAAACAAAAAACAAAGAACAAAAAATAAAAAACAAAAATTAGCCGGGCGTGGTGGTGCATGCCTGTGATCCCAGCTACTCCGAAAGCTGATGCAGGAGAATCACTTGAACCTGGGAGGTGGAGGTTGTGGTGAGCCAAGATCGCACCATTGCACTCCAGCCTGGGCAACAAGACTGAAACTCCATCTCAAAAAAAAAACTTTTGCCATTATCTTGTGCCATTATCTTGTACATAGCAGGGTTTCTTTTCCCCCTTCAGAGCATAACACAATGGTTTCTACTTCTAAATATACGCTTAAATATGTATTTTAAAAAAATATTACTACAGTGTCTACATCATTATGTAAGTCATTAAAATGTGTTTAAAGACAATACTAACTATTTCCTTGGCCAAAAGTAAGGGCACTTTTAATTTTTAAAATTTTAAACTTGGCCAAATTGTTTTCTAACAATCATAATATCTCAAATTCACACTAGCACTGTATAAAGTATTCATTCTCCCAAGACATCACCAGTAGTGCACTCAGACTTACAAAAATATTTGCCAGAAAGATAAGCTCCTTAATCAGCACCCATGGCCATTCACTTCCATTTCTCTGCACATCTTCCATGTGTCTCATGCATGCCTCATACCAGATTTTCATGACCCTGTACTTACGGACATATGATTCTTTCTGCTAAGGATAGTCCTTTCCCCCTTTTCTTTGCTTGTGAAATTTTTATCATGACAGCAAAACTTGACCTCCTTAGTCAGGGCTTTCCTCAAATCCCTGGCAATGTCAAATACTGTCTTCTGTGTCCTTACAACACTCTCTTCATATCTCCATATAGAATGGAGAGAATGTCATCAATATTTGCACAACTTCCATCTAAAAGCCTGTAAATCCTATGGCTACAGGAATATATTCTAACTGACATATAGTAAACTATGTGGCACCCTATTGGCATCCAATATTTATTTACTTATTAAATCAGTCAATTAATTTGTTCGCTTAAAAAGCAATTTTAATCATTAGTATGGTTTTTAGCAAAGGAGAATATCTTTTATGAATATTTAACCCACCTGGTAAAAAATGAGAATTGTATTCAGGAGGAGCATCAGGCCTTGGATCTGGTGGTTTTGTTTGATTTTCCATTTCACCTGCAGGCTGTTCAGGGGCTGTGGGTACCACACCTTCAGGGGAAGACAGGGAACATGACTTACAAAGGAAACAATAATATAATGACAAAATGTATTCTTTTTCCTTTCTTATGGGAATGCATCAAGAAATATAATCAACTGGAAAATACACTCCTATATTTTTTAAAGAAAGAATTCATCATATATTAGACACTATTAATAAATTTCATGAATTTTCAAACTGAACATAGATTTAAAAATAGAACTAAACAATTATATTATGCTTGTGATCAAAGCAATGAGCTTTCATACTAGTGGTTCAACTGCCCCGATGCTAACTCTTATCTACAAAGTAAATTCCTGGCATAATAGCAAAAATTATTTTTCCCTTTACATAATATGGAGAACACAAGCATTTATAGAGTGAAGTTGATTTTTTTTCCTAATTATTTTTGGAAAGTGCTGTCTAAAAAGATTCACAACATAACACCATAAACAAATAATGGTTTAATAAACAGTGGTGTCACACACAACTGAATTAGCAATAGTTTAGTCTACATCTCCAGTGACTCACATTTTCACTGTATTCTTTCTAAAAGCAATCTAGGTCACAGTAATTGCTGCAAGGGAGGTACTGAAGTCAGTTTCATGATGTTGTACCTTGTCTTCTTATTGAGATTAGAGACTAATTTCTCTCTCTGCTTACTACAAAAAAAAGCTGAGTTTCCTAAACAACCAGTTGACTTTTATCTCCTAGCAAACAAAAATCCCATAAATGTGGTTTTTCTCTCTTTATGTAAGTTACTAGAAAATACAAGGCCTACTTTCATCCTCCTCTACCAAGGCAGGACCTTGCCACAGGCTCTTTATTACTACAACCTCTCTTTGCAGAACTGCTTTGCAAATCTTGCTTTTTTTATTACCTAATTTTCCCCACAAACTTCAAAGATTATTCAGTAGATATGTGTCCCACTGTAAGTCCCTTTTTAATCTTTTTCTGACAATGATAGGAATGTCTATATACATAAATAACAAATATATACATACATATATATATGCAAACACACACACGTATTTATATTTGCCAAATGTTAAACAAAAAAAAATCGAAATAAAGTCCCCCTTTAGGGAAAATAATCACAAAATTCACATTTGAAAATAAAGCATATTCAAATTTATTCACAAAAACTTACCTGACATTTTGAAGAATTCCAATTAATCCTGAAAAATAAAAAATGTTAATGCCTTTAAAATACATACATAATAAATAGTATTGCTACTCAGTAACACAGGTAAGGATTTCTGTAATTTTTTTAACCTCCAGTTACCTTACATTTGTCCCTTCATTAATTAAAAAAATACTTATTGAGCACCTATTATGTACGAGGCACTAATACAGATGTTGAGAGTACAGCAATGAAGCAGACAGACACTCTGCCACCTACTGTGCTGCAGTTTATATTGTAGTAGAATGAGATTTAAAAAAAGTCAAGAAATGTTAAAGTTTAACGTTAGATAGTACAGTTATGAGGAAAACAATGTAACAAGCTTAAGAGAAACACGGATGGTAAGTTCTAGGAGAGTCAGGGAAAGCCTGTCTCAGGAAGTGACCTTTGAGCTGTTTCAACTATGAAAAATAAACATCACACTACAATTGTGGGAAGAGAGTTCCAGGAAGATAGGAAATTAGTGCAAAGGGTCAGAGATGGCAGTGAGCATGGGATACTGAAGGGAGGAAAAGAGAAAGTGGTTTAGGAGTGACTGGGCCACAGTGAGTGAAGCGAACTGAGGTAAGACATGCAGATAAAGGTCTGATCTCATCTGAAGGCCATGGCAAGGGGTTTGGCATTTTTGGTATTTGCAACTGGGAAGTCTGGAGGATTCAGTCGGTGGAGTGATCAGATCTGACCGACATCATACAATGAGAGCAAGAGTAGAAGCAGGGAGCAGTGAGGGATGGCAGCAGCAATCCAGGTGAGAGCTGACACCAGCTTAGATGGGGGAGGTGACACTGCAGGTTAGGAGTGTTCAGAGGCATGATACGGTTTGGAAGCAGGGCCTCCAGGAGTCGCTGATGGACTAAGGTAAAGAGAGGAGTGGAAGAGGGTTCTGAGTCATAGCCCAAGGTAACTGAGTTGACGGTGATCCTATTAACAAAACTAGAGAGGAGGATAGTGGGGGAATAGTGGGGATGGAGGAGGGTAAGAATTGAAAGTTTAGACTGGGGCATGTTTAAGAAGAGACTAAAAGAAGTTAAACATTTAAATTAAAAATATGTATGGGAACATTATGAGAATAACTCAAAGAAGAAGACTAGAAGTTGAGACGAGATTTGAAACAAGGAATGAGGGTGAAGGTAAATTTTTCTGAATTCAGTCAGGCAAAAAAAAGGCTATTATTTGAGAAGGGAATTTCAATATATCTGAATTTCTGAGTTCTGAGTAATGACAAATAACAAAAAGAGTATCAACAAAGGCTATAATTTACTGAATGCTTATCAAGTGTTAGGCAAAGGGCCCAATTCTTTTCACATATCTCTGATTATAACAACTCTCTAATGTGTAAATGGCCAACCCTGCTAAAGGCAAGTGCTTCTAAATCCTAAGCCTATGTACTTTTCAATATGTGATCATGTTCATAAGAATACAGTCATTTGCGTTGTCCAAGTGGAGTAAAAAAGTATCAAGTTAGAGTAGGTCAAAAAAGCATTCAAACAACGTATTAGTGAGTCATCAATATGGACACTGAGCTGACTCAATGAAAACTGCCATGGTACGAGCCAGTATGCAGATTCCCAGCTGAAATGATTGTCTTGCCAAGACGGGTGAAAGTTTAACCAGTCTTGGACCATCTCCACTCACCTCTGGAGCTGGAGTTTGTTGTACGGTGCCCTATGTGTCTCCAAGCTTAAAAAATACATATAAATATATTTTAAAACATATATATTTACTTTTATATAATATATATTATGTAAAAATGTTTTAAATATATATTTAATATATATTATATATTTTTACATTTATATTTTAAATATATTAATATTTAAATATAAAATAATACAAATATATAATAATTATAAATAATAAATATTTATTTATTTATTTATTTATTCTGGGGCATACCAAAAAGTCAGACCCAATTCTGGGCCAGTAAAAGGAGTTCAAGGGGTTAGTCATATTCCTTAATGATGGTAATCCCTGTTGTTAAGGAAAATGACTACAGCTTTCTAGAAATTTAGACACTCCTAGTTATGTACCTGGAAGTGACTCTTGCACATGCACACAGGATATAGACAAGAATGTTCTTGATAACACTATTCATATTTAAAAGAATGAAAACTTGCCTAATGTCCATCAATGGTAGACTGAATAAATAAATTCTGGTACATTCACATGATACAATAATATCCTGTAGTGAAAACAAATTATAGCTGTGCACGTGGACAGAGATGTATCTCAAAATTATAGCACAACAGAAAAAGCAAATCACTGGAGAATACATGTAGTATTGTGTCCAGAATTGGTGGGTTCTTGGTCTCACTGACTTCAAGAACGAAGCCGCGGACCCTCGCGGTGAGTGTTACAGCTCTTAAGGTGGCGCATCTGGAGTTTGTTCCTTCTTATGTTCCGATGTATTCGGAGTTTCTTCCTTCTGGTGGGTTCGTGGTCTCGCTGGCTCAGGAGTGAAGCTGCAGACCTTCGCGGTGAGTGTTACAGCTCATAAAAGCAGTGTGGACCCAAACAGTGAGCAGCAGCAAGATTTATTGCAAACAGCAAAAGAAAAAAAGCTTCCACAGTGTGGAAGGGGACCCGAGCGGGTTGCCAATGCTGGCTCGGGCAGCCTGCTTTTATTCTCTTATCTGGCCCCACCCACACCCTGCTGATTGGTAGAGCCGAGTGGCCTGTTTTGACAGGGTACTGATTGGTGCATTTACAATCCCTGCGCTAGATACAAAGGTTCTCCACGTCCCCATCAGATTAGTTAGATACAGAGTATGGACACAAAGGTTCTCCACGTCCCCATCAGATTAGTTAGATACAGAGTATGGACACAAAGGTTCTCCAAGGCCCCACCAGAGCAGCTAGATACAGAGTGTCGATTGGTGCACTCACAAACCTTGAGCTAAACACAGGGTGCTGATTGGTGTATTTACAAACCTTGAGCTAAATACAGAGTGCCAATTGGTGTATTTACAATCCCTGAGATAGACATAAAGGTTCTCCAAGGCCCCACCAAAGCAGCTAGATACAGAGTGTCCATTGGTGCACTCACAAACCTTGAGCTAAACACAGGGTGCTGATTGGTGTATTTACAATCCCTGAGCTAGACATAAAGGTTCTCCAAGGCCCCACCAGAGCAGCTAGTTACAGAGTGTCCATTGGTGCACTCACAAACCTTCAGCTAAACACAGGGTGCTGATTGGTGTATTTATAATCCCTGAGCTAGACATAAAGACTCTCCACTTCCCCACCAGACTCAGGAGCACAGCTGGCTTCACCTAGTGGATCCCGCAGCAGGGCTGCAGGTGGAGCTGCCTGCCAGTCCCGTGCCATGCGCTTGCACTCCTCAGCCCTTGGGTGGTCGATGGGACTGGGTGCGGTGGAGCAGGGGGTGGTGCTCGTCGGGGAGGCTCGGGCCGCACAGGAGCCCATGGAGGGGGTGGGAGGCTCAGGCATGGCAGGCAGCAGGTCCCGAGCCCCGCCCCGCAGGAAGGCAGCTAAGGCTTGGTGAGAAATCGAGCACAGCACCGGTGGGCTGGCACTGCTGGAGGACTCACTACACCCTCCGCAGCCACTGGCCCAGGAGCTAAGTCCCTCATTGCCCGGGGCCAGCAGGGCTGGCCGACTGCTCCGAGTGTGGGGCCCGCCAAGCCGACGCCCACCCGGAACTCCAGCTGGCCCGCAAGCGCCGCACGCGGTTGCCGCTGGCGCCTCTCCCTCCACACCTCCCTGCAAGCTGAGGGAGTGGGCTCCAGCCTTGGCCAGCCCAGAAAGGGGCTCCCACAGTGCAGTGGTGGGCTGAAGGGCTCCTCAAATGCCGCCGAAGTGGGAGCCCAGGCAGAGGAGGTGCCGAGAGCGAGGGCTCTGAGGACTGCCAGCACACTGTCACCTCGCAGTATGATTCCACGTAAGAATGTTCAGTAGCAGGAATTCTAAACAAAATACTTCATCTGATAAATATATAGAGGAAAGCTTTAAAGAAATGCTAGGGAATTAAAAACACAAAATTTCAGAAAAGGGTTATGTGTAAAGAAGTGATGAGGGGTGGCTGTTTAGCTGTGGCCCACAAGGAACCCTAAGTTCCTGCCAACATTAAAATTCTATTAGGGTGATAAGAACAAGGCTAATGTCTTGTCATTAGTTTTTAAAAGGTATGTACATGTTTAAATATGCATATTTATATGCATTGCATTATTTCACAATAAACAAGAACCATTTGACAGTTATATGTTGAGTGTGACCTTCTTCTAACTAATGGTCTGTTGTTTGATTATATGTTAAGTTCTTGGGATTGCAAACTATCAAGGAGCCAGAGTGGAAACTAATTACAACAGATTATTTAATGTCTTAGTGAAAAGAGGCCAAATTATTATATCTATGTGTCTGTCCGCCTATCATCTATCTAGCTATCTATAGTGGCAAACTTTTAACAACTGCTGAATCTCAGTGCAGAAATACATTTGAATATTAATTTTTAAATATTTAATTTCAAAATAAAACTTGGAAAAAATATAGAATTCTGGACTCCAAACCTGAAGTAGCACCTCTGGGGTCCAGGCCTGGAAATCTCTACTTTTAACACAGTTCCAGGTGATCCTTATGATCAGGCATGTCTGAGACTAATTCAATGTAAAGAAAAGTAACAGTTCTCAACCATGCCAGGCATTATTAAGCATTCAAATCTAATTCAAGTAATTGAATGATAACTTGAAAAAATAAATAAAATTTTAGAAATATTTAAAGTATTACAAAGCAACTAATCTCAATGAGTTTAAAGAAAAGAAAACTAGCTACATATTGCCTCACAAGTTTCAGATACTCGAAGTCTGTTTACCTTCCATCTCCTTTGAGCTGCTAGTATTTTTTTCTCACCACCCTATATTCTATTCCCTTTCTTATAAAATTTTACAATATAGTTTTAGCCAAAATATTGTGCAAGGCAGGATAATTTCCAGTTAGTAGAAGCATGAATGTTGTTAACTTAATCCTCCTTTAATATTCAGTGAACTGCTTCAGATTTCCCTATCACTTAGCAACAGCAAAAAGTGCCGTATCTTGAAAAAATTGATTTTTGGCTTCATATCTGTCAGAAACCAGACTGGAAAACTGAGCTGTGTCTCCATAACAGGTTAGTATTACAAAGTCTGGAGAGCTGTTAATTGCAGAGGCCTTGGTATTTTGGGGGCATGATATGCATACAGGGGAATCTGGGCTGCCTGGAATGTAATTAAGAGAGAAAGGAGACATGGGCTAGACAGGACAAGGTTGCTGAGATTGAGGTTTGCTGCCTTGCAAGGCAGCCCTGTTATCTTAAATTGCATCCTACAGCAAGAGTGCTGTATCTTATTATATGCTATTATATGGATATCACCGCAGCACCCAACAAGCGCAGCTGTGTTATATGCAAGCTTTTCAATTTCACCACTGTAAACAGTGACAAACTCTCAGAACCTGATAAAACCACAAATTCTAGAACTCACACCAGGGATATTTGGAAATTCAATCACAAAACTCAACAGGATTAGCTCTTAGAGTAGAGTATTTACTGGAAGCTATCCTGGCCTCTCCACAAGGGAGGCTCTGGGCAGTGAGAATCTGCAGGCACAAGGCTTGGAAGCAGCATATGCATTCTAAAACTCTGGGTCCTGTCTGTCTCCAGTGCCTTTAACCCTGAGAGAAGAGAACAGAAAGCAGGTCAATGAGCAATTCCTTCTGCTTCTTAGCAGAGGCAAGAAAAATAGCTCGCTCCTGCAAAGTCCTACACCAGCTACCATGATATCCCTTTTGTGTTTATTATGTAACTGATAGGAGATTATATTCTTTGTCCATCTTAATCTTCCTTTAAGAATACCTGGAGAAAAGCAGAAGATTGTGTGACTATTAAATAGTGTATTCTGACACACTTCAGACAGTATGGACAGTGGTCCAGAGTGGGTTCAAATCTCAGATCTTTCTCTGATGGCTGTGTAATCCTGAATGACTGGTCTGTTCTTAGGTTATCCTGTTAATCATGGGGATGATGATGGCTGGATCAACCTCATAGAAATACTGTGAAGACTAAAACAATTACATTTGTATAGCACTTAAAACAGTGCCTGCCATATAAAAAATCCTCAATAAACTTGCATTATTACTACTATTTCACTAGTAAGACATACTGATGAAGAGACCAAGAATAAATGTGTGTGTTTAACAGCAGTATTTTTAAAAATCTGTCTGCCAGTCAGCAACTCAGCATGTATTACTGAGCATCCATATGTAAGATTCTACTCTGGGTTCTGAGCTGACACCACTAATTCCCATCTTCTATATCCAGTAATGTTCTAGCAAATGGGATTTCATGAGCATTGTTTGTATGAATTTCAAAGTGGAAGGAGTGGGGAGAAAAAAAAAACGGAGACATTGCCAAAGGGGTTTTCCTATTTGCAGCTAAATGAAAGACAAATGAGCTAGGGTACACCTTAAGAGGCTAAAAAATTTGCTTTCAGTTCAGGATAGTGACAATACTTATATTATTCAGATGATGGATGTATCTTGTAGTAAACTTTAAAAAGATCAGAAAATTAAGATTATATTAATGACATATTCCAAAAATTAAAAGAATATAGTGTTCATTCTATCAACATATAAATATTGAGTTTTCATAATTTTGTACTACAAAAATTGAGTATTTGTCTGTATTAGTACAGTACTTCATGGTATAAGATGCAACTGAACTAATATATGTGTAAGTGATTAGAATAAAACATTTTATTTATAAGAAAGTCTTTATGAAATTAAATAAAAATATAAATATTCTTTAAATGTTTAAATTTTATAAACCCTCTAATATATCACAAGTACCTAGGCTGGGTGAATATAAGTGCTAATAGGTCTAAGAAAATGTATACACCTTGCTTTAAAAAGAGGTATCTACTAGATGTTCCTAAATGTCTGATGTATTAACTATTTTCTTCTATCTCCATAGAAAGTAAAAGCTAATCAATTTTAGTTGTTACATATAACTTAGTATTGCATAATAGAGAATTATTCTGGTCTTTGCCCTGGGTTCCGGGAAAGCAATTTCTAAACTCTTGGAATTTGCAAGTAATAGCAGTGTTTCTGTTTTCCTTGGTGGGCCCTTGGACCTTACCTGAGATTTTGCTAAGGTGGCAACATAATAGGGAGGCCGATCATGCCAGAAAGAATCATGATGTGATTAGAGAATTGGAGCTTTGAGTAACATCATATTTGCCTGACCTCCAGGGGGGTGGGGGCCTTGAGACTGAGTTCAATCCATGAAGCCAATAATTCAAGTAGTCATGCCAGTATAATAAAATCCCCATAAAAAACCTGACTCTAGTTAGCTTCCTGGTTGGTAAACACATCAATGTGCTGGGAATGTGATGAATCCTAACCCCACAGAGAGAAGGCATGAAAGCTTTGTGTTCATGACCCTCCTAGGTCTCATCCCATGGATCTCCACAACTGACTGGTCCTGATTTTTATCATTTTATTTTTCATTTATTTATTTATTTATTTATTTATTTATTTATTTATTTATTTATTTATGAGATGGAGTCTCGCTCTGTCACCCAGGCTGGAGTGCAGTGGTGCAATCTTGGCTCACTGCAAGCTCCGCCTCCCGGGTCCACGCCATTCTCCTGCCTCAGCCTCCCAAGTAGCTGGAACTACAGGCGCCCGCCACCACGCCTGGCTAATTTTTTGCATATTTAGTAGAGATGGGGTTTCACCATGTTAGCCAGGATGGTCTCGATCTCCTGACCTCGTGATCCACCCGCCTCAGCCTCCCAAAGTGCTGGGATTACAGGCATGAGCCACTGCACCTAGCCAATTTTTATCCTTTATAATAAAATGTTAATTGTAAGTAGAGCACTTTCTTGAGTTCTGTGAGTCATTCTAGGAAATGATCATACCTGAGGGGTTGATGAGAACATATGAATTTGTAGCTAGTTGGTCAGAAGTGTGAGTGGCCTGGAAATCCTCAAACCTGTCTGAAGTGAAGGCAGTCTTGTTAGGAAGTAGGCCCCTAAGCCTGTGGAGTTGCAAATTCTGGGTGTTTAGAGTCAGACTGAATTGCAATACTGTACTTAGATTGCTAAAAAATAATAATAATAGTAATTGTGTAATGGTTACAACGGTACATACACATACATACATATTTCTGATTACAAAAGTAGTATGTTTTCCTTTTTAGAAAATCAAGAAATAAAAGTATAAAAATGTGACTATACCCTTAATTCAACTTTCTCAAAATAACTATTCTTAAAATTTTGGTGGATTTCCTATGTGTGTCTGTGCAGGTTTGTGTTTCTATGTGTATGCATGCAGGGATAATAATAAAAATTCTTAAAAACATATTGTGAACTGATCACATTCCTCCCTGGAAAGTGGCTCAAGGGGAGATCATATTTATGAAAGGGAGTGTTGGGGTCTTTGCCATCCTACTATGGCCCAACAAAGTCACTGGACCAAAAAGGAAATACTATTGTCTCTTTGTTGCTTGGACATGTTGCTGTGTAACAGAGAGAGCGAGGAGGAGCAGAAGAGGTGGGAAAGTGGAGAGGGAGCCTCCTGGTAAGGACAATGAGAGAGGGAAAGGAGAGGGACAGGAGGAAGAAAATTCGCAGCAGTAAAAGGGTAAACAGTTTTAAAGAGGTAAGAACCTTAAAGAGAATTAAATTGGATGGACGCTTCAGCTAGAAGATAAGCTCCATAAAGGAAGAAATTTAAGACATGTTTTAATGGTGTAGTCCTTTGTTATTATTTTTCCTTTTTTAACTTTTATTTTAGGTTCAGGGTGAACAAGTGCAGGTTTGTAACATGGCTAAATTACGTGTCAATAGGGTTTGGTGTACAAATGACTTCATCACATATGTAATGAGCACAGTAACTGACAGGTAGTTTTTTAACCCTTACCCTCCTCCCACCTTCTGCCCTCCAGAAGGCATTGGTGTCTATTGTTCTCCTCATTGTTTCCATGTGTACTCAATGTTTAGCTCCCACTATAAATGAGAAGATACAGTATTTGGTTTTCTGTTCTTGTGTTAATTCCCTTAGGATGATGGCCTCCAACTGCATCCATGTTGCTATATAGGACATGATTCCCTTCTTTTTTAAGGCTGCATAGTATTCCAAGGAGTATATGTACCATATATTCTTTATCCAGTACATCACTGATGGGCAACTAGGTTGACTTCATGTTGTTGCTATTGTGCTGCAATGAATATAGAAGTGTATGTATCTTTTTGGTAGAACAATTTACATTCCTTTTGGTATGTACCCAGTGATGGGACTTCTGGGTCAAATGCTAGTTCCGTTTTCAATTCTATTAGAATCTCCAAACTGCTTTCCATAGTGGATGAACTAATTGACATTCCCACCAGCAGTATATAAGCATTCCTTTTTCTCTGTAACTTCACCAACATCTATTATTTTCTGACATTTTAATAATAGCCATTCTGACTGCTATGAGATAGTATATCATTGTGGTTTTGATATGCATTTCTCTGATGATTACTGATGCTGACCCTGTTTTCTTATGCCTGTTGACCATGTTTATGTCTTCTTTTAAAAAATGTCTATTCATAACCTTTGCCCATTTTTTAATGGGGTTGTTTTTCACTTGTTGATTTGTTTAAATTCCTTACAGATTCTGAATATTCGACCTTTGTCAGATGTGCAGTTTGTATATTTTCTCCTATTCTGTAGGTTGTCTATTTACTCTGTTGATAGTTTCTTTTACTCTGTAAAAGCTCTTTAGTTTAATTAGGTGCCACTTGTCTATTTTTGTTTTAGTTGCAATTGCTTTTGGAGACTTAATCACAAAATGTTTGCCAAGGCCTACATCCAGAATGGTATGTCCTAGGTTTTCTTCTAGGGATTTTATAGTTTTAGGTCTTACATTTAAGTCTTTAATCCATTTTGAGTTGATTTTTGTATATGATGAAAGGACGGTGTACAGTTACAGTCTTCTGCATATGGCTAGCCAGTTATCCCTGCACCTTTTATTGAACAGGAAGTCTTTCCCCATTGCTTGGTATTGTTGACTTTGTTAAAAATCAGATGGTTGTAAGTGTGCAGCTTTATTTCTATTCTGTTGTTCCATATGTCTGTTTTTGTACTAGAACCATGTTGTTTTAGTTACTGTGGCTTTATAATACAGTTTGAAGTCAGATAGTGTGACGCCTCTGGCTTTCTTCTTTTTGTTTAGGATCGCTTTGGCTATTTGCACTCCTTTTGTTCCATATGAATTTCAGAATCATATCTTTCTAATTCTGTGAAAAATGACATTGGTAGTTTGATAGGAATACCATTGAATCTGTACATTGCTTTGGGCAGTAGAGCCATTTTAATGGTATTGATTCTTCCTATCCATGGGCATGGAATGTTTCTCCATGTTTTTATGTTATCTCTGATTTCTTTCAGCAGTGTTTTGTAATTCTCACTGTAGAAATCTTTCACCTCCGCAGTTAGCTGTATTCCTAGATATTTTGTTCTTTTTGTAGCTATTGTGAATGGTATTGCATTCTTGATTTGGTTCCTGGTTTGGCCATTACTGGTGTATAGAAATGCTACTGATTGTTTTACACTGATTTTGTATCCTGAAACTTTATTGAAGTTGTTTATCAGTTCTAGGAGCCTTTGGGCAAAGACCATGGCAGTTTCTAGGTACAGAATCATATGATCTGTGAAGATAGTTTGACTTCCTCTCTTCCAATTTGGAGTACATAGAGTCATGTCTGCATATAGTAGGTACCCAATAAACATTGCCTAAAGAGGTTTTTTACTGTGTGCAAACTTATACTACATCCTTTAAGAAAATCTACATTACAAGCTTGAATTATGCTTCCACATCTCTGGACATACTTTTGTTTCCCTGTATTTGACTACCTATAAATTCTGGATGATGATGTACCACAAGACTGATGAAGTTTACATACATCAATTTCTTTGACAAAAACAATGCTTTATATTTTTAAGTTTCAATTCTTTAAAAGCTTTTTTATCATTAGTGAATTTACATGGGAGATAGTTCCTTTGAATTTACAAATTTTGTCATTTTTGCATTTATCTATATTATTTCATTGTTCTGCTAATAATATAGATTACAAAATATAATTCTCTCGGCCACATACTATATTGGGAACCCTGCTATGTAGAAATAACTGGATATGTTAAATTATTTTTAACATATCACAATGTTATTTAATATGTTAAATTATTTTTAACATATCACCAAACCACAACACTAGAAAAGGTAGGTAAAACAGTCATATTTCAAAATTTTTGAACAGATAACTGTTGTTACATTTCAATTTAAAGCTAACTTGAATGGGGCCCCACGGAAAATGGGGATTCTTATAAATGAAAATTTCTAATATTTTTTAGAGAAGTTTTAAGGCATTTTTTAAAGGAGCAGCTGGCTATAAAGATGTTAAGGATTACCTACTGATTATGACTCCAAATGACCTGCTATATTTTAAACTCTCAGTTTCTTTAAGTTTTAGATATGAATTAGTAAACATCTATGATGTGTCAGGAACTTCATATATGCTGACAGAGGTGAATATTATGGTTTCATTATACAGGCCAGGAAACAGAAGCCCACAGAGTTTAAGCAATCTGTTCAAGGTTATAGCTCTATAACCTGGAAACTACAGTTCAAAAAACCAGCATCAGAGGCCAACTTAGTATTCTACAAAACAAACCCTACTGAAAATTACCTTCTATATAGTTGCTGCCTTCTCCTTCATACCCCATCACCCTCCTGTTGCTTTCAAACTATCAAGCACACCTCACTACTATACCCTATAATGGGAAAGTAGGCTGTTCTGCTGTGTTCTTTTTCAAATTCCACTCGGTAAGGGTTTTGAAATATAGTTCGAAGAGAAATTACCCATGAACTAAAAAACCCAAAAAACATAATAGGTCATATGTTCCAGTTATGGATAACATGCAGTAAACTGATACCAACCTGTCTCTCCCACTAAATACAATTAACCTAAACAGAATGAATGAACAGCTATTTGAAGACCCTGGAAATTAAAAAGTAGAAAGAACATGAAACAGAAGACCAGAAAAAGTACAATCAAACCAGAGTAAGCTTCACATTTTTCTCTGGTATCCCTGGCCCAATACTGGTTCAAGGCATCCTGAAACATAGTAGTAGACACTAGATGCAGAGACAGCTCCAGGAGAAGCCCTCTACTTCTGGCTTGAGCAGGGGAATGAGCATCCCTAAAGCTCAAAAACAGCTGGAAAATTCACAGTTTTTAAAAAATTTTTTTTATTTTCTCCATTCTGTCATGTCCCAGATCCTGGAAGTCTCACTGTGGAGAAAGCAGTAATTTTATCAGAGAAGGCCCACAGGTGTGGAAAACACTAAAGGAAAGAAATCTACCTCTTGACACAAGCAGCTGTGACTCCAAAAGAATGGGGTACACCCTGTTCCCTTTTTTTTCTCTCTGCCTTCCTGTGACTTGGCCTTGAATGCAAATGAATTTGGGGGACACACAGAGATGAAAAGGGTAAATAAAACCTCATTTTTTTTCTGGCTGAAAAACAAAATAGGAGAGACCCAGAAAATGGGTAAGTAGCAAGGAGATCATGGAGAAGATGCAGCTTGGGATTGTCCCTATAAAGTTGTTTATGAACTCCTCAGCTAATCCAGGAGAAATGAATGCATGGATCTGATCCTAAGCATCTGATCCTAACAAAGACTTTAAAACTGATACAAAAGAGATGACTGCTCAGGTCTCAGACTGGCCAAGGGTTGTGCACACACTAAAGAGATCTAAATATCATGGCAAAGACTTTGAATATTAAACTAACTGACATTGAAATCATAACTCACAAAAGGCTGGCCAGAACTTTTGGCCTCAATCCAAGTGGATCAACTGCCTGCCAAAACAATAAGAAAATCAATTAGCTCCATGGCATTTCGGTAATACTCAGAATCTCATAAAATAATATGCAAAATGACTACAACACAATATAGAATTATAGTTCAGAAAGAACCAGAAAAACCTCCACTGATGTGGAAAAAGAAAATCCAAAGATGATGATATGGTTCAGCTCTGTGTCCCCACCCAAATCTCATGTTGAAATGTCATCCTCAATGCTGGAGGTTGGGCCTGGTGGGAGGTGACTGGGTGATGGGGGTGCTTTCTAATGGTTTAGCACCATCTCCCTAGTGCTGTTCTTGTGATGAGTTCTCGTGACATCTAGTTGTTTAAAAGTGTATGGTACCTCTCCCATCTCTCTTTTCCACCTGCTCCAGCCATGTGAAGTTCTGGCTCCCCATTTGCCTTCTGCCATGACTGTAAGTTTCCTGAGGCCTCCCCAGAAGACAAGCAGATTGCCAGCATCATGCTTCCTGTACAGCTTGTGGAAGTGTGAACCAATTAAACTCTTTTTCTTTGTAAATTACCCAGTCTCAGGTATTTTTTTACAGCAGTGCAAGAATGGACTAATACAGAAAATGGGTACCGAGGAGTGGGGCACTGCTATAAAGATACCTGAAAATGTGTAAGCAGCTTTGGAACTGGGTAACAGGCAGAGGTTGAAACAGCTTGGAGGGCTCAGAAGAAAAGAAGAAGATGAGGGAAATATTGAAACTTCCTAGAGACTTGTTAAATTGTTGTGACCAAATTGTTGATAGTGATATGGACAATGAAGTCCAGGATGATGCAGTCTCAGAGGGAAATGACAGACTTCTTATTGGCAACTAGAGCAAAGGTACTTCTGTTCCTTAACAAAGCAATTGGCTGCACTGTGCCCCTGCCCTAGAGATCTGTGAGACTTTGAACTCGGGAATGATGATTTCGGGTAACTAGCAGAAGAAATTTCTAAGCAGCAAAACATCAAGATGTGGCCTGGCTGCTTCTAATAACCTGTGCTCATACGTGTGAGCAAAGAAATGACCTAAAACTGGAACTTATATTTAAAAGGGAAGCAGAGCATGAAAGTTTGGAAAATTTGCAGCCCAGCCATGTGGTAGAAAAAAAAACCATTTTCAGGGGAGGAATTCAAGCAATCTTGAGAAATTTCATAACTAGAAGGAAGGAAATTGCTACTAGCCAAGACAATGGGAAAAAATGCCTTGAAGGCATCTCAGAGACCTTTGAGGCAGCCCCTTCCATCATAGGACTGGAGGTTTAGGAGGTCCCCAGAGTCATCAATAAAATCAAAATGAGATAAAGAAGAACAGAAAGGAGAGCAAGCATGCAAAAATTCAAACATATCAATATTTACATTTAAAATCATGTACTAAGCGTATAAACAAAGAGACTGAGGTTAACAGAATAGTTAAATGCATATTTTTTTAAATGACTCTGATATTGTTTGGCTGTGTCCCCACCGAAATTTCATATTGAATTCCCAGGTGTTGTGGGAGGGACCCAGTGGGAGGTAACTGAATCGTGGGGGCAGGTCTTTTCTGTGCTGCTTTTCTGATAATGAGTAAGTCTTATGAGATTTGATGGTTTCATAAGGGGAAGTTTCCCTGCACAAGCTCTTCTCTTGGCCTGCCACCATCCACATAAGATGTGACTTGCTCCTCCTTGCCTTCACCATGATTGTGAGGTCTCCCCAGTCATGTGGAACCGTAAGACCGTTAAACCGCTTTCTTTTGTAAATTGCCCCATCTCAGGTATGTCTTTATCAGCAGCGTGAAAATGGACTAATACAGACTCAATTACATGCTCTCTAAAAGAAACTAACTTCAAATGAAATGATAAGGTAGAGAAAGATGAAAGAGAAAAGGGTTAAAGAAGAAAGGCTAAGAAAGATATACCATGTATACACTAATAAGAAGAAAGAATGTAAGACATATAGAAAACAAGTAGTAAAACATCTGATATAGTTCCTACCTTACCAGTAATTACCTTAAATGTAAATGGATTAAACAATCCAATCAAAAGGTAGAGACTGGCAGAATGGATTAAAAAAAGAAAAGAAAAAAAAGAGAGAAAACATGATCCAACTATACGTCATATACAAGAGACACAATTTATAAAGACAAACAGGTCGAAAAAGGAAAGAGGTGTACTTTGTGTTAACCAAAGAAGAGCTGCAGTGGCTATACTAATCTTATACAAATAAAACTTTAAGACAAAAACTATTACTGAAGACTAAGAAGAATATTTCATAAAGAGAAGAAAAAATTAATCTATCAGGAAGATATAACAATTACATACTTATGTGCACATCACAATACAGCCTGAAAATACACAATCAAAAACTGATGAAATTGATGGGAAATACACATACATTATGAACCAATTAGATCTATAATTATCTATGTAACACTGTAACTGACAATAGCAGAATACCTGATTTTCAAGTGCATATGAAACATTCTCCAAGATATAACATTCATTAGGCTATAACATGAGCCTCAATAAATTTTTAAAAACTGAAATCATATAAAATATTATCTGAACACAATGGAAAACTAAATTATAAATCAACAATAGAAAAAAGTTGAGGAAATTCAAAATATGTGGATATTAAACAAGTCTCTTTAATAAGCAATGGGTTGGCAAAAAAATCACAATGAAAATTCACAATGAAAAGACAAAAGGCCACAAACTTATGAAGTACAGCCAAAGCAATGTTTTGAGGCAAATTTATAGTTGTAAATAAAAATAATTTTAAAGAATAAAGCTCTTAAATAAATAACATAATCTTTCTCTGTAAAATATGTCTTAAAGAGCAAATTAAAACCAAAGCAAGAAAAAGGAAAGAAATAAAGATTAGAGTAGGAATAAATAAAATAGAGAATAAAAAAGAAAATCAAAAAAGCTAAAAATTGTTGCTTTGAAAAGATCAAAACTGACAAACTTTTGGATACACTAATAAAGAAAAAGAGAAAAGATTCAAATTACCAAAATAATGAATGAAAAGAGCCATATTAATACTAACCTTACATTGAAAAGAAAAAAGGATTATAGGGGAATACTACAAACTACCATATGCCAATTAGATACAGTAGATGAAATGGACAAATTCCTAGAAGACAGACACTACCAAAACTGACTCAAGAAGAAACAGGAAACCTGAATAGAACTGTAATAAGAGGCTAAATTAGTAACCAAAAAAACTTCCCACAAAAAAAAAAACCCAGGTACAGATGATTTACTTGTGCATTCTACCAAATACTTAATAAGGAATGAATATCAACCCTTCGCAAACTCTTCTAAAACTTATTTTATTTCAGTATGACCCTTATATCAAAATTAGGTAAAGACAACACAACAAAACTACACTAATAACCATGAAGAATACTGACACAAAAATTCTCAACAAAATACTTGAAAACTGAATCCACAATATACCACAATACACCATGACCAAGTGGGATTTATTGTAGTAATAAAATGGTTTATCAAACAAAAAAAACCTCAATCAATGAATATATCATGGTAATAAAATAAAGGACAAAAACTATGTAATCTCAATAGATGACAGAAAAAATATTCAAAAGAATCCACTACTCTTTATTGATAAAAACAATAAATACTCAACAATCTAGAAATATAGAACTTTCTTGATCTCGTAAGAAACTTGTGAAGCACTCCACAGCTAATGTCATACTCAACAGAGAAAGACTAAATGCTTTCCCTTAAGACCAAAACAAGACAAGAGTATGTACTGTTACTATTTCTTTTCAACATTGTACTGGATGTTCTACCCAGAGTGATTAGGTTAGAAAAAAGAAATAAAGCCATCTGAAATAGAAATAATGTGACATTTTTAAAGTCATATCAAAGTTTCTAAGGAATTCATTAAAAAGGAAGCATAAACAAGTTCATCAATGCAGCAGGATACAAGACCATTATACAAAGATCAATTGTATTTCTATACCCTGGCAATGAACAATGCAGGAAATCAATTACATTTATAATAGTACCAAAAATAATAAAACACCTAGAAATAAATTTAATTAAAAAGTGCAAGGCTTGTACACTGAAAACCATGAAATGTTGAAAGAATTAAAGAAGATCTAAATAAAAGATATCCCAAGTTCATCTTAATATTGTTAAAATAGCAATACTCCCCAAATTTATCTACAGATGAAACAAAATCACTATCAAAATACAAGTTGCCTTTTTCCAGAAACTAACAAGCTGAATACAAAGTTCTTATAGAAATAAAAGGGTCCCATAAAGGCCAAAACAATCTTGGAAGCAAATGAAAAATGGAAAACTCAGACTTCCTGCTTTCAAAACTTACTACAAATGTACTGCAATCAAAACAGTATGGCATTGGTCCAAAGAATAGACATATAGACCAAAGGAACAGAAATGAGAATCCAGAAACAAATCTTTGCATTTATGGGTAATTGATTTTTGACAAGGATACCAACAGGGGAAGGAAATGTCTTTTCAACAAATAGTGCTGAGACAATTGTACATCCACATACAAAAAAAAAAAAAAAAAAAACTTGGACCCCTACAATACCCAATACAAATAATTAATCAAAGTATATTATAAACTTAAATGCAGGCCAGATGCGGTGGCTAATGCCTGTAATCCCAGCACTTTGGGAGGCCAAGGCAGGAGAATCACCTGAGGTTGGGAGTTCGAGACCAGCCTGACCAACACGGAGAAACCCCACTTCTACTAAAAATACAAAAACAGCTGGGCATGGTGGCACATGCCTGTAATCCCAGCTACTTGGGAGGCTGAGGCAGGAGAATCACTTGAACCCGGGAGGTGGGGGTTGCTCTGAGCCGAGATTGCACCATTGCACTCCAGCCTGGGCAACAAGAGTGAAACTCTATCTCAAAAAAAGAAAAAAAAAATACTTAAATGCAAAAGATAAAGCTAATAAATGTTAGAAGAAAACGCAGGAGTAAATCTTCATGACATTGGGTTAGGCAATGGTTTCATTGATATGACATCAATAGTAAAAGCAACAAAAATAAATAAATAAATAAATTGGACTCATAAAAATTTAAAAGGTTTGTAATTCAAAGGACATCATCAAGAAAATGAAAACAGAACCCACAGAATGAGATAAAATATTTTCAAACCATTTATCTGAGAGACTTTTGTCCAAAATAAAGAATACTCCAACTCAAAAATAAAGACATCTCAATTGAAAAATGGCCAAAGAATTTGCACATTTCTCCAAAGAAGATATATGAATAGCCAATAAGCACATAAAAATATTCTCAATATCACTGATCATTAAAAAAAATGCGGATCAAAACTAATTAAGGCATTAAGGCCGGTCATAGTGGCTCATGCCTGTAATCTCAACACTTTGGGAGGCCAAGGTGGGAGGATTCCTTAAGGTTAGGAGTTAGAAACCCGGGTAACATCATGAGACCCCGTCTCTACGAAAAAATAAACATTAGCTGAGCAAGGTGGCATGTACCCGTAGTCCCAGCTACAGGAGAGGCTGATGTGGGAGGATTTCTTGAGACCAGGAGTTCGAGGCTGCACTGAGCTATGACTGTGTCTGCATACTGGCCTGGGTGACAGAGCAAGATCCTGTCTCTTGAAAAATAACAACAAAACTACAATTAGATACTCTTCACACCTAGTAAGATGACTATAATAAAAAATATAACAACACGTTTTAGGAGAGATATGTAGATATCGAAACCTTCATATGTCGCTGAGGAATGTAAAATGTTAAAGCTGCTTTGAAAATCAGTCTGGCAGTTCCTCAAAAGATTAAACATAGAGTTTCATTATGGTTAATACAGTTAACCATGTCCTCTAGTAATTTCTTTCTAGGTATATACCTAAGAGAAATGAAAATAAATGCCTTCACAAAAACATGTTCATAATAGCATTACACATAATAGCCAACAAATAGAAACAATTCAAATATCCATCAATCGGTAAACTGATCAATTTTTAAATATCCCTACAATGAAATATGACTCAGCCATACAAAGTAATTTTGTATGGCTATACATGCTATATCCTGGATGAACCTTGAAAACATTACACTACTAGAAAGAAGTCAGTCACCAAAAAAACCATATAGTACATGATTCTACTGATGTGAACTATCCAGAATAGGCAAGTTTATAAAGGCATAAAGTAGATTTGTGGCTTCAAGAAGATGGGAAATGACTGTTATTGGGCATGGGTTTCTTTTTGGAATTATGAAATTATTCTAACATTAGATTGTGGTGATAGCTTCACAACTCTGAATATACTAAAAATCACTCAACTGTACACTTTGAATGGGTGAATTTTATGGTATGTGAATTATGTCTCAACAAAGTCATTACAGAGAAAAAGAAAGCTGGAGTGGTTATACTAATATCTCACAAGTAGATTTCAGAGCAAAGAAAATTACCAGAGATAAGAAGGGCTATCACTTAAAAGTAAGAGACAATTTCTTAACAAGATACAGCAATCCTAAGCATGACTGATCCTAACAATGGAGCTTCAAAATACATGAAGGAAAAACTGGCAAAATTGAAAAAAATAAAGAGAAATCCACAGTTACAGTTGAGGACTTTTACACTCCATTCTTAGTAATCTACAAGAACAAGCAGAGGAAAAATCAGCAATGATATTGGCACAACTAGACAGCATCATCAACCAACACTGACATTTGTAGGACACCCACCCAACAGCATTAGAATAACCATTATTTTCAACGTACGGAACATTCACCCAGACAGACCACATTCTGGCTCATAAAACAAATCTTAAAATATTACAAAAAAATTAAAATAATACAGCTTGTTCTCCGACCATAATGTAATGAGCTAGGAATTACTAACCGCAAGATAACAGGAAATTCTCTAACCACATAAAAATAAAACAACACATTTCTACGTAATCTAAATCATAACCTGATAAATTAAATTGGGCCTAAAGCTGCCTCTGTAAATAGCAGACTGCAACTTGATTTGAGGTTGTATTCTTGTAACAAGTAGCTGAGTCTCAGCCAATGATGGTAGTGGAGCTTCAGCCAATCACGGGCTGTCAACTGATCAGACCATGTCCGTTGAAGGCAAATGCCTCATCACACCATGACCAAATAAAGCAAATACCAGGCTGGATCCAATCAACTGATTTATGTACGTCACTTCTTTCCTCTGTTTATGAATACTGCCTGCCCATGTTGCTCGGTGGAGCTCTCTGAAACTCTTCTGGTTCTGAGGGCTGCCTGATTCATGAATCGTTTTTCGCTCAGATAAACTCTGCTGAATTTGCCTAAAGTTTTTCTTTTAAGAGTTTCACATGAGAAGTCAGATCTTGAAGCAAACTTCCAGTGATCCCAGGAGCACTGAGTGACCAAGTTAAGGTACCCAGCATGCCCAGTGTACTCACTGCTCTTTCGCAGCAACTGGGGTCATGGGTGAGATTTTTGAATCTAAGCTTCATGAACTTCTGATTTGAGCTGAGTTTGAGCATTTTTGATCTACACTGGGTTTCAAAGTCATGCCAACAACAGGACTGGGCCCAGTAGGGAGGCCTCAGGTATTTGACTGGGTCAGACATAAACTCAACTCAGTTAGTAGGTAGGAAAGGTTAATAAAAGACATAGAATCATGGGTTTATCTGGTCAAAGGTTGCTAGAGCTTCGCCCTCT
The DNA here is from genome assembly GCF_000001405.40 of Homo sapiens. NCBI lineage: Eukaryota > Metazoa > Chordata > Mammalia > Primates > Hominidae > Homo > Homo sapiens. Next base: position 146,242,667 of record NC_000003.12, read on the forward strand.
GGAATTCTAGCCAACTTCATGTATAAAAACCAGAGACCCAGAACCTGTGCTTTTCGAGACGAATGGGAGAACCTTAGCAAAAGTAACTTAGAATGGCTACAGTGGGAAAATTCCTTACGAAAGGCAAACAGGTTTATGTCTTTACAGTTGTAAAGGCTACAGGGCCCAAGAGGATCCCAAAATAAAGAACCCTATGCCCCAAGATGTCTGCCTTTATGGTAAACACTCATGCAACTGGAAAATACATTGTCCACTTTTATATTAGCCATCTAATGGATCCACTACCTTTTGTCTGAACTATTTCTCCACCAGAGAAAGCCCCCAAAGGCTTTAATCCCAAAACAGTAACCCATCAATCTCTCAGGGAGGAAAAACAAATTCTGTGGTGGGGGTTTCAAATCAAACCTGGAAAGTTCCTAATTGACACTTGGACCATTTTCAGAAAAAAAATTTGTAAGAATTAGTTCTGTTATCTGTATTTCATCCTGCTTCTTCCATGGGGATCTCTCAATTGACTGAAACCCCTCTTCTCAAACTCCTGCTAACAATATGCTCTACCAACTGTATACATCTTTTTTTTTATTATACTTTAAGTTTTAGGGTACATGTGCACAACATGCAGGTTTGTTACATATATACATCTCTTTCTTATCATCATGATCCTGACTATGCTCCAAAACTCTTGAAAAACAAAAAAATAGAAAGCAAAACAAAAACTGTGTTGTCATTTATTCTTGAAAACAAAGAAATGAACAAAAAGGATGAACCAATCTCTAACTTTAAGAAAAGATTATAATATTCATGCAGAGTTCGGGCACATAAAATGCTGTATAGACTAAGCAACCCTAATCCAAAAGTCCAAAATCTGAAATGCTCAAAAATCCAAAACTTTCAGCACCAACATGATGTCACAAGTGAAAGATGATGAGGACACTGTTAAAACTGCAAAGTGCCTATAGATGACATGGTGAAAATATGTGATGGGTTTACTGAAGGACTCTAAGAGCATTCATTCATCACAGAATAAGAAATTGTGTCAGTCTGTAAAATCAACAGAGACTTCTAAGACAAAAACCATTGTTAATGAGACAGCGGACTCCAGAGGAAACATTCTGAAAAGTCATCCATCAGAATGCTTCCTCATTTGTAGAGAAAACACTTGCTGGTCACTTGGCTACTTCTGATATTTCTTCTCACTTAAAATAATAAAATTCAGTGAATGATAACCTTGTAATCAAAATACAGCATTGTAGGTAAAGAATGAAAGCCTGCCATTGCTTATTGGTGGCTTTCCGACACAGGCATTCTGGAGATACTACTGTGCTGCTTAGTTACCCTGAACGCATTCTCTTTTCACTGTACTAATGATACATCCTATTTTTTACTGTTAAGCACTTATTTGTGAGTAATGTAAGAAAATGATTACTTATCAGTAGCATAATGAATTTAGAGTCAGGAATGATGGTGACGTCAAATAACCACAGATTGTCCACATGGGTGATTGAGATACTGATACCTTTGCTTTCTGATGGTTCAACGTACGTAAACGTTTCATACACAACATTATCAAAAATATTGTATAAAATTATCTTCAGGCTATATGTTTAAAACATAATGGAACATGAATTTCATGTTTACTTGGGTCCCATTCTCAAGATACCTCATTATGTACATGCATGCCTTGTTTTACTGTGCTTTGCTATACTGTGATTCACAGATACTCCATTTTTTTAAACAAATTGAGGGTTTGTGGCATCCTTGTATCAAGGAGTCTATCAGTGCCATTTTGCAGAACAGCAACTTCTCAGTTTGTCTCTTTGTCAAATTTTGGTAATTCTCACAATATTTCAGACTTTTTCATAACAATCTGTTATGGTGATCTATGATCAGTGATCTTTGATGTTACTATTATAATTGTTTTGGGACCCCATGAACCATGCCTATATAAGATGGTGAACTTAGTAAGTGTTGTTGTGACTGCTCCACAGAGCAACTATTCTCCCATCTCTCCCCTTATTCTAGGACCTCCCTATTCCCTGAGACAAAACAATATTGAAATTAGGCCAATTAATAAGCCTACAAATGCCTCTAAATATTCAAGTGAAAAGAAGGTTCGTGCATCTCTCACTTTAAGTCAAAAAGCTGGAAAAGATTAAGCTTAATGAGGAAGGCATGCTGAAAGCAAAGACAGGCCAAAAGCTAGGCCTAGATTCCTCTGATGAATCTAGGCAACGTAAATTGAAAACTTTCTAAAAAGGATTCACCATTTTAGATACCACTAAGAACTTTTGTTATTCATGGGAGGAAGTCAAAATATAAATATTAACAGGAGCTTGGAAGAAGTTGATTCCAACCCTCCTGGATGATTTTGCGTGGTTCAAGACTTCATTGGATGAAGTACCTGCAGATGTGAGAGAATAGCAAGAGAACTAAGAGTTAGAAGTGAAGCATGAAGATGTTACCGAATTGTTGCAGTCTCATGATAAAGCTTAAAAGGATCATTGCTTCTATGGATAAGGAAAGAAAATGGAAGCCATTTCCCAGATGATTTTAATATATCCCCTCCTGGCCCCAACACACACCCCCTCAGTTACAGATCTATGAAATTTTACCCCATTCAGATAAAAACCTATCTGCTGTAGGAATCATAATACATTCAATCAAATGTTCAGTTTACCAATATAAGACATATCTATTTTTTCTCAAATCTCATTTGTAAACCCAAGTAAATTTCCTCTATACCAAATTCAAAATAAATCCAAAATATGCCATATAATATTTTTAAGTGATACATTCTCATTTTCACAGAAGGAATGCAAAACGAAAATAGTAGTGATTGTAAACTACATAAATATCAAGCACAATTGTTAAGTAAACACATTATCATGAAACATTATGATAAAATAATTTTCCTTTAAAAATATAGTAACAGTTTTGTAAAAATCATTAAATGTTTACATTCAAATGTTAAACATATAATCTGGATAATTATAATGATAGCAATGTTTTTAAAAAATATGGAAACTGGAGGAAACATGCTAAGATATAAACATTTCCTCTTTAAATTTTCTACAATAAATGTATAATAAATTATATAAACTGAGTTTTTAAAATAATTTTTAAAACCTGACAATGTACTCTCTTGTAGTGAATCTGTAACTAAAAAGACCTGCATGTTCATCAAAGAGGAAATATTATGCACACCTTTCCAAGTACAATCCTCTTTATAGACTTTAAGCCAAATTTCTTGGCTCCTATGGTGGACTGTGTTAATTACTTTTATGGGTTTCTTGGCTATAGGGAACTGGATAGTTCAGTGGGCTCAATATGAGTGGATTAAAGTCCAATGACTGAAGGATTCAGTCATTTCTGTAGACATCTTGTAAACTTAGTAAGTTTCTGTCACATGGGCTGAAATTAGAGAAACGAATTCCAGGCTTGCACAAAAGATAAACCTAGGTCCATGTTGATAAAATATGCTGCAGCAGGAATGTCCCATAGATACACAGTATCTTCATTATAATTACATGTTAACATATATGTATTTAATTGTATCTTTGCATAAAATCAATTCTAGAAGAAACTTAGGGAGTGATTAATGTTCAACAAATTACAAGGGCAAAACCTAAGATTTTTATTGTGTTGTTTTTATAACCTATATCAATATATTTATTATTTTATTAACATCATGACTCCTTCAAAAGAAAAAGTGTATGGTAGAATATTTCATTCTTTTTAGCAAGTGTGAAGGATCTTGGAGGTTAGCTATTTGGCTTTAATATAAAATAAAAGATAAGATTAAATGAAAGCAAATTGATAGCCACAGTCCATACATAACCTTTATTAAATATATTAATTTAGTTCAAATTGTTTAAAGAGAATATCAGGTGTCTCCTTTTTAGCTTTCAAAAGGGAAATGTTTTTGTTATTTAGAGTAGAAAAATATCAGAACAATATTCTCATGATGTTTATATAAGACATTAAGGAAACATTACCATGCCAACTATGATTACCAAGAACGCCTCATTGTGTCATTTTACAGCTAGTCTTTTAGTATTTAAAATTGTAGTAAAACAAGATGTCATGTTGCATACAGTTAAGTCACTTTGATAAGAAACTTTACATTTATGAAAACAGACTTTTAAAAAACAGATGTTATGTGCAAACAAACACAAATATAATTCAAGGAGTCGGCAGTGCATACATTTACACAATACATTTATACAAAAAAATCCCACCTACTCCAATTCCCATTTCCCATTTGAAAAGGCAACCACAGACATTAGATTTTTTTTCCTCCAATAGATTTTCTAAGCATATATAAACTAATACACACAGTTTTTATAAAATGGCAATCATCTATATACTTTTCTGTGTCTTTTTCTTTTCATTTATTAAAATGTCTTGATGTTAATTACATTTCAGTCCATATAACCTCATTCTTTTTAATGGCTGCAACATAATGTATTTAACTGGCTGCCTAATGACAACAAGTTAAATCGTTTCCAAATTTAGGCTATTACCAAAAATGCTGAAAAAAATATTTTCTTCCTGTGGATCTGTGCATTAAATTATTGGAAGCAGAACTGATGGATCAAAGTTTTGTACATTTTTAAAGATACTATCAAACTGCACTCTAAAGAATTTGAATCAATTTAGACCCCAGACAAAAAGTTACATTCCTAATACAGTATTTTATCAACATTTTTGTAGTAGTCAATCTGATATATAAAAAAAAAAAATTGGTTTTATTTTCCATATATCTCATAATGAGGAGGCTGAGCCACTTTTATTATTTGTTTGAAAGCAATTTGCAACTCTATTTCTGTGAACTGCCTGTTTGTCATTTGTTCATTTTTGTTAGCTTTTCATTTGTCTTCTTTATATGAAAGGTATTAAAATTTTATATTAAAATTATCTTTTCAAAACTTATCATTTGTCTTCACTGCATTTTTGTCATGCAGTTTTATTTTTGAGGCAGGGTCTCTTTCTGTTGCCCATGCTGGAGTGCAGTGGCATGATAATGGCTCACTGCAGCCTTGACCTCCCAGGCTCAATCAATTGTCCTACCTCAGCCTCCTGAGCAGCTGGCACTACAGGTGGGTGCCACCATGCCTGGCTAATTTTTAAATTTTTTTAGAGGTGGGGTATCGCCATGTTTCCCAGGCTGCTCTCAAACTCCTGGGCTAAAACAATCTGCCCACCCCTGCCTCTCAAAGTACTGTGATAACGGGCGTGAGCTACCGCCACCCAGCCTTACCATGCAATTAAAAACAATTTTTTTCCAACTTTAGATGTTTTTCTTTTTAAGGACTAGCATATCTATCTCTTTCATCCTGAAGAATGAGTACTATAAAAATGAATTTTAGCACAATGCTGGTGAACATATGAGTATGAACATTGCTGTATTTTTTGTTTATAAAAGTTAACTGGTTGTGAAATCCCTCAAGCAAAATTCTTCACTGCTGTTCTTGCAATAAACATCATAAACATCAATATTAAGGAAGGGGATTTTAAAGGAAGCAGCTGAAAGAGGACACTTATAAAAGAAAAAAAATGAGACAATATGAAAGGTTTTGTGAAATATATTTCTTCTGTAGTAAATGACAGCTAATATATTCAAGAAGGCAATGTTCTGTATAAATTACTATCACTATCAATTTTTCCTTATACACACGCATACATTATAGAAATGTGTAAAACAACATCACTACTCATAATAATATAATTCGGCTGTGTGTAAAACATCACTACTCACAATATAATTCAGCCTATATTCCAAATTATTTACAAAAATATAATTACTACACTACACACACACAGACACACACACACACACACAGTGTTTCAACTTGTTGTTTCATTTTGTGTTTTAACTTTATGTTTTGGACATATTTCCAAGTTAGAACATTTAGAGCTACAATGTTTTAAACTGTATATTATTCCACCTTTGAATATACCATACATTATGTAACCAATTCCCAATCAATGGCTACAGAGCTGTATCCATGTTTTCTACATTGTAAACAATCCTACTTTAAACATCTTTGACAGAGATTTTTATTTGTACACTTGGGAGCATGTTTTGCTGGATAAATTCCAGTTAAGTAAATGAACATTTGTAAATCTGAACAGCTTTAACCCTAAAACAGCTTCACCAATTCACATTTCCACTAAAAGTTTGTAAAATTATATTTTCCTCACTGCATTTTCAACAACACCTAAAGTTATCAGACTTTCAAAATTTGTAAAATTAATGCAAAAATTGATGTCTTACTTCATATATGTTTTGGATAATTAGTGTGGCTAACAGTATTCACTCTGCTTATTATTTGCATTTCTTTTGCTTTGAGTTGACTCTTTTTATCCTTAACTGGGTCATTGATTTTGAAGGTCATTAATAAGATTTCTAGGTATATTAGCAAAATTATCTTTTTTTTTCTATTAACAATGTCCGCAGTTTGTATCTTTTTTGGGGGATGCAAATGTTAATAAAAATCATGTCCCTAAATGGGTCTAGGTTTTTGTATTATGCTTAGAAATGCTTTTCCCACATGCAATGTGCACAAATATCTATTCAGGCTTTCTTTTTCCCTTTTTAGGCTGCATATGTTTAGATTTAAACTAGTAAGCCATCTAGACTACATTTGTCTATTAACAGTGAGGAAAAGTTCCAGTTTTATTATTAGGTTTCCCAAACAAATTCCTGCTTGTCCAAGTACATTCAATTAAATGTTATTTCTTCTTCCCACCCAGTGATTTAAAATGTATGCTTATCAAATGCCAGCTTTCCTTTTATTCTTCCATGTCTCTTCAGTTTCATTTACACATCTGGTAGTAGGTCTACTGCACTGTCTTTTAATCACCACAGTTTTGTAACACCTTTTATTATATGAAGAAGTCTCCACTATATATATGTGTGTATGTATAATATTAAATGTTAAAATCATATATAATATATAAAATAAGACATAATTATATATTTTGTATTTTATTATTTGTAATATATTATACATAACGTTAATATGTTTGTTCTTCCACATGAGCTAAACAGTACAGTTAAAAACAGTAACAAAAATATTCAGTTAGGATTCTACTTATACGTTGTTTTAGAGAAATGATATCTTTACCTAGAAGAATGTTATGTATTTTATTGGATTCTCATACATACCTTTTTATATCTTCTTAAAAATAATTTCTCAATTGTGTGTTATTTCATGCCAAACTGAATTTTACTTTATTTTACTGTATTATCTAGTTTATGTATAAACATCAACTGACTTCTATAAATTAAGTATGATGCAATTGGAAACTTTGATAAATTCACTTATGCTTCCCATCAAATTTCAGTGTTTCCTATGGACATTAAGGTATACACTCACATCATGCATAAAGTGATAATATGTTCCCCTACCTGTTGTCACTCGCCCATAGAATTCACAACCATGTCACAGAGTGTAATGATTAGCATTCTTGTCTTTTTCAAATTTAATGGAAATGCTGCTAGTATTTCACAGCTATCCATGAGAGCAGATAGACAGATGGAGGTTGTGTTCTATTACTATTACAGGAGAATGCAATTTAAATTAGGCAATCTATTCCCCTTTAAGCAGTATCAAGTTTGGTGCATTATATCTTCACAAGTACTTATTTTGGTGGCTCCATTCTAAATGCAGTATAAAATTAAAAACTAAATTGTAGATCCTAAGAGAAGATAAGGCCACAAAATAAAATCCTAAGTCTTTAAATATGAACGTTTTTAAAAACAAATCAAGCACAGCCCCAAATCGCCCCAGTTTGCCAGAATTGGAAATAAGAGAGAGGGATTCTCTCCTGTCACCGCCTCCACTCGCTGAGCAATTAAAAAGTTACTATAAATAGCGTTTTTACCTGCGAGTGGCCTGGCCTGAGTCCGTGAGAGCCGCGCCGTAGAAACGCCAGAGACCCATGAGAAACCCAATCAAGCGAGACCTGTCACGCAGAGCGAAACGAAAGGGCCGCCCCCGTGAAGTGCAGCCAGGACCCCCATCCCTGGGCAGGAAACTGCTCGCTCCCAAACCCTCTGCGTCTGCAGTGCAGACGCGCGCCCGACACCACGGAACTTCTGCAACCACCTGAGGATGCGACGCGAGCGCAGTGTCCGGGAACTGCTAGCGCAGGACGCCGCGCAACCTCCGCGCCTGCCCGCAGGCACCGCGGCCTCGGGCCTCCCCTGACGACGCCCTCGGCCCCGCAGCCCGGGCGCCCGCGCCACCCTGTCCTGCTCTGCGCCCGCCTGTCCAGCCCCACTCACCGCCTGCCCCGCAGAATGCTGGGCACCGGGGACGCCAGACGCCGGGTCTAGTTGTACTGGCAGAGGAAAGGGAAAGGAAAGGAGGCAGGGAAGGGAGACGGAGAGGATTTTTCAAGTTATAAACAAAGTAAGCGCGCGGAAGGGAGGGCTAGGCGCGGGTTCTGGGGGCGGGTCCGGCACGCCTGGACCCTCCTTCCCCGCGCGCGGCTTCCCCGTCTCGGACCCCGCCCCGCGCTGGGAGAGCCGCCAGCCCGGGGGAGCGTCTTCCTGGAAGAGGTGGGGCACCCTGAAGTCCGCTGAAACCTAAAAGCCGAGGGGGAGGAAGAAATGAAGAAAATAAGTTGTCACTACTCTAATAAGAGGTGAAAGAAAAGATAAAAGCCAGCCCACGGTCACTTCCAATCAGAGGGGCAGGTTGCAGGGCCTGGGAAAGGGAGCTTTGTTCATAGATTACTGCGCCTAGAGAGAAAATGAAGAAACCCCTCTTTCTCAAGAGCCTTTTTTATTTTTTTATTTTTATTTTTGATACGGAGTCTCACTCTGTCGCCCAGGCTGGAGTGCAGTGGCGCGATCTCGGCTCACTGCAAGCTCCGCCTCCCAGGTTCAGGCCATTCTCCTGCCTCAGCCTCCCTAGCAGCTGGGACTACAGGCGCCCGCCACCACGCCCGGCTAATTTTTTGTATTTTTTACTAGAGACGGGGTTTCACCGTGTTAGCCAGGATGGTTTCGATCTCCTGACCTCGTGATCCGCCCGCCTCGGCCTCCAAAAGTGCTGGGATTACAGGCGTGAGCCACTGCACCCGGCCTCAAGAGCCTTTTTGATTTGCATTTGCGCCCACCCCCAGGTCCTTGGCTTGGTGATTTAGCCTTGGCAATGCCGTGCTGGCTGGAAACACTTGGGCATAGGGCCCAGAAATTCTGTTTTCTTTTCCACAGAATTGGGGGAGGCCAATTTGATCTTGGAGGGAAGGCGGGAGAGACGCCAATAAAGGGGAAAGGGAGCAGGTTGCCCATGTTTTCTGACATTGGGAGAAAAATGCCATTTGCTTATTACTGTTAGGCACAAATATTTCTTTCAGACCAATGGGATTCAGTTCTGTGGTGGTGCTTGGAGAGAAGCACAATACACTGACAGGAAGTGGGAGAACTGAAGGTCCTCTGACCTTATAAAGAATCAGAACTGGACAGAAGTAAGCTTGATTAAGCTCTGAGGAGTACTTGGCAGAACCCCATTGTGGGAGAAGGTTGGAAAGGGGAAGGGATGTGGGAGTGGAGTTCTAGAATTTTATATTTTTCTTTGTATGTGTGTTATTTGTTAATATTCATGTGAGAATAGATTAAAAAATTCATACTGTTCTTCTCAGTAATAATTGCACAGAACATTTCTCAGATGCAGACATAGTGTTTTACTGAAAGCATAAAACAAAGAAACTGGTGGTGAAACTAAATTATAATAGCATATGTTACTGTTGGGAGCAAGCCCCCCAAAATCTGGCCATAAACTGGCCCCAAGACTGGCCATAAACAAAATCTCTGCAGCACTGTAACATGTTCATAATGGCCCTAATGCCCAAGCTGGAAGGTTGTGGGTTTACGGGAGTGAGGGTGAGGAACACCTGGCCCGCTCAGGGCGAAAACCGCTTAAAGGCATTGTTAAGCCACAAACAATGAGCATGAGCGGTCTGTGTCTTAAGGGCGTGTTCCTGCTGCAGTTAATCCGGCCCATCCCTTCGTTTCCCTTAAGGGATACTTTTAGTTAATTTAACATCTATAGAAACAATGCTAATGACTGGTTTGCTGTTAATACGTGGGTAAATCTCTGTTCGGGGGTGTCAGCTCTGAAGGCTATGACACCCCTGATTTCCCACTTGACACCTCTATATTTCTGTGTGTGTGTCTTTAATTCCTCTAGCGCCGCTGGGTTAGGGTCTCCCCGACTGAGCTGGTCTCGGCATGTTACCTTTGTTTAAAATTTATGAAAGAGGCCAAGTAATTGAGCTTATGAATGTAAACATCCACAGTGGCCACGTGAAGATACCAAAAATTTCAAGAGCAAAACATGTCTTGTGAAACATATTGCTTTGAGGGATTAAAATAAAATCAAGTATGTCATATACCCCAAATCACAACTTTCGAGGGGAAGAAGAAGAACTCAATTTCCTGTTTTTCTGAAATTTCCTGATCTGATGACTTTCCAACCTGGACATTTCGAGGGATGACAAATTAACTACTTTTTATACTAATCCCATTTTAGTTGCTCTGTTGCTCCAAGTGTATTTCTTCGTGTTATTTCCTTTTCACTGGTTGTTCTTAGGTTACCACAGTCTACTTAGAGTTAATAATGTACCACTTCACATAAAGTTAAGAAATTTATAATTACTTTACAGTTCCTCAATTGTATGTGCAAATGCTATCAGATTTTACATACCCATTAATTATAGACTTTACACAACAAAATGTTTTAAGTTTTGCTTAACTAGTGCATTGTCTTTTACAGAAATTAAAAGAAGAAAATAGCTTTTCTATATTTCCACATATACACAATTTCCTGTGCTCCTCGTTTTTTTTCTTATAGATCTTAATTTCACCTATTATCACTTACCTTCAGGCTAGAGACTTTCCTATAGTAGTTCTTGTTATTTTTGAGACAGTGTCTCACTCTGGTTGCCTAGGCTGGAGTACAGTGGCACAACCTCAGCCCACTGCGGCCTCGACCTCCTGGGCTCAGGTGATTCTTCCACCTCAGCGTCCCAAGTAGCTGAGATTACAGGCACATGCCACCATGCCCAGCTAATTTTTTTTTTTTTTTTTGGAGGGGGGAGACAAGATTTGGCTTTGTTACATGGACTGGTCTAAAACTCCTGGATTCAAGCAGTCTGCCTGCCTTGACCTACCAAAGTGCTGGGATACAGGTGTGAGCCACTATACCTAGTCCCTTTAGTATTTCTTGTAGTGCAGAACAGCTACAGACAAAATCTTTTTAGATTTTTAAATCTAAAAATGTTTTTATTTTGTATGAATTTTGTAATGATATTTTTACTGGTTATAGAATTCTGGGTGTACAGATTTTTTTTATTTTATTCCCCAACAATTTTGACCTCCATTTTTATCTGACAGAATGCATATTGTTGGTTTTAAGAATAACTTTTTATCATTGGTTTTTCTGCAGTTAGTCTATGATGTATGCTTCTTTCTGTATTCTACTGTGGTTTTCTGAGTTTCACAGATACATAAGTAGATATTATTCACAAAATTTGAAAAACTTGCAGTCATTATTTCTTTACTGCACCATACCCATTTCTCTCTCTTCTCCTTCTGGAAATTCAGTTCAATTAATTGTATGTTGGACCATATGATACTGACTCACAGCTCACCAAGACTTTATTTACATTTTTTTGATTTTTTTCTCTTTAAGTTAAATAATTTCTATGGATCCGTCTCAAAAATATGCTGACCCTTATTTCAATCTACTGTTAAGTCCATTACAGTATTAACACTTTTCAGTGCTAGTATTTCTATTTGGTTCATTTGTGCAGCTTCCATGTCTTTTGATGAGATTTCACATCTGTTCATTCACTAAGACCATCATTTTCTTAACTTTTTAACTTATAATAACTGTTTGATAAGGTTTGGATCTGTGTCCCTCCCAAATTTCATGTTGAAATGTAATCCCCAGTGTTAAAGGTGGCCTGTTGGGAGGTGTTTGGATTATAAGGGAGAATCTCCTGTGAATGGCTTAGTGCCATTGCCTTAGTGATGAGTGTGTTCTTGCTCTGGTAGTTCCTGTGAGATCTGGTTATTTAAAAGAGTGTGTCCTCTCCCCTCTCTGTCTCACTCCAGCTCTTGCCATTAATACACCTGCTCCCCGTTTGCTTTCTGCCGTGATTGTAAGCTTCTTGATGCCTCACTAGAGGCAGATGGTATCACTGTGCTTCCTGTGCAGCCTGCAGAACCATTTAAACCTGTACAGCCTGCAGAGCCAATTAAACCTCTTTTCTTTATAAATTACCCAGTCTCAAGTGCTTCCTGTACAGCCTGCAGAACCAATTAAACCTCTTTTCTTTATAAATTACTCAGTCTCAAGTATTCCTTTATAGCAATGCAAGAACACCCTAACATACTGTTTTACTACTTTATATCAACATGTATTTCACCTTGTCATGTATTTCTATGGGCTGGTTTTTTTTTTTTTTTTTTTTTTGGATGATGAGTCATGATTTTCTTTTTCTTACAATGGATATTACTTTTTTATTATGCACAGGGCATTGCAAATAATATATCTGAGTTATGTCTTCTTCCTCTAAGGAGAAAGCATTCTCTGGCAGGCATTTGAGGGCTGATCACCTTTAACATCCGGAGCCATTGGTTTATACTTTAAGGCATGACTATTGAATACCTGAAGATTTTACTAGGCTCCTCTATCCTTTGTGTTACTCAGATTCCAAACAGTATTTCATTTGCTGTATACAGCAATTGAAATCTCTGTCCAGTCCTTTCAGCTGCTGCCTTCTCCTTTCTGCTGGCATCATTGGAGCGTCCCCAATAGACACACAGTTCCACGGTCAGTCAAGGATTTGAGGACTTTTAATTGGCAGGTATTAATATTATTGTCTCTGTGTCTCCCTACTTTCTGGGATTACTCTTCATTTATAAGCACCCTGGTAGCCTGAAATCTCTACACCGATATCACAACTCAGTAATTCTGATGCATCCTACTTGAGTTCTAGCTACGTTACATCTGAGAACTGGGAGTACCCACAGGGAAAGTGTCTATAAGCGTGGGTCTCACTCAGTCATTGTAATTCCCTTCTTCACTAGTTGAATTAAGACATTTTTGCATCACCACAAAAAAATACCTGAGGCTGGGTAATTTAAAAGAATAGTGATTTAGTTGGCTCGCAGTTCTGCAGCTTATACAGGAAGCACCTAAATCTGGTCTGCTTCTGGGGAGGACTCAGGGAGTTCTTACTCATGGAAGAAGGCAAAGGAGGAGTAGGCATGTCACATGGGAAAAGGGAAAGGTCCCAGACTCTTTTAAAGTCTTTAAGTTCTCACATGAATTAATTGAGCAAAAAGTCAGTTATCAGTAAGGGGCTGGTCTAAACCATTCATCAGGGACCCATCCTCATCATGTAATCACCTCCCACCAGGCCCCACCTCTAATATTGGGAATCACATTTCAGCAGGAGATTTTGAGGGGACAAATATCCAAACCATATCATTCTACTCCTTGCCCCTCAAAACTTATGTCCTTTTCAAATTTTAAAATACAATATTGCCTTCACAATAGTTCCCCAAAGTTATAACTTTTTCCAGTATTACTCAAAAGTCCCAAATTCCAAGTCACAAGTCCAAAGTTTCATATGGAGTTGTTTTTTTTTTCCACCTATGACAGTGAGATTAAAATCAAGTTATTTACCTACAAGATACTGTGGTGGTACAGGCATTGGGTAAACATTCCCATTCCAAAAGGGAGAAATTGGCCAAACGAAAGGGGCAATAGGCCCCACACAAGTCTGCATCCCAACAGAGCAGTCATTGAATCTCAAAGCTCCAAAATCTCCTTTGACTCCATGTCCCACATCCAGGGCACACTGATGCAAGTAGTGGGCTCCCAACACCTTGGGCAGCTCCACCCCTGTGGCATTCCAGGATGTAGCCCCCATGGCTACTCTCATAGGTTGGAGTTGGTTGCCTGTTTTGGTTCCAGGATGAGGTTGCAAGCTGTCAGTGGCTCTACCATTCTGGGGTCTGAAGGCTGGCAGCCCCCTCCCCACAGCTCCATTAGGTAGTGCCCTCGTGGGGACTCTGTGTTGGGGCTCCAACCCCACATTTCCCACAGCTCCATTAGGTAGTGCCCTCGTGGGGCCTCTGTGTTGGGGCTCCAACCCCACATTTCCCCTCTGTGCTGTCCTAGTAGAGATTCTCTGTGAGGACTCTGCCCCTGTAGCAGGCTCCTGCCCGGGCAGCCAAGCTTTCTTATACATCCTCTGAAATCGAGTGGAAAGCTGCCAAGTCTTCTTCAAACTTGCATACCATGGGCCTGCATACTTAACACCACATGGATGCTGCCAAGACTTATGGCTTATCCCCTCCAAAGCAATGGCTCAAGCTATGCCAGAGGCTCTTTGAACTCTAGCAGCTGGAGAGGCCAGGATTTGGGGAACAATGTCCAGAGGTTGCACAGGGCAGCAGGGCCATGAGCCTGCTCCACTAAACAATTTTTTCTGCCTGGGCCTCTGAACCTTTGATGGGAGGGTCTACCATAGAGATTTCTCAAATGCCTGCTAGATCTTTTCCTCATTGTCTTGGATATTAGCACTTGGTTCCCTTTTAGTCATGCTAATCTCTCTAACAAGTTGCTGCTCTGCAACCTGCATATATTTCTCTCTTGAAAATGCGTTTCCCTTTTTAGCCACATGGCCAGGTTCTGAATTTTCCAAATGTTTAAACTTTGCTTCCCTTTTATATTTAAGTTCCAACTTTAAATCACTTCTTTGCTCCAGTACCTGATGGTAAACTGTTAGAAACAGCCAGACCACATCTTGAATGCTTTGCTGCTTAGAAATTTCTTCCACCAGATAGCCTCCTAGGTCATTACTCTTGAGTTCAAACTTCCACAGAACCCTAAGTCATGGACACACTGCAGCTAAGTTCTTTGCGAGGGCGTAACGGGGGCTACCTTCACTCCTGTTCCCAATAAATTCCTTATTTCCATCTGAGACCTCCTCAGTCTGGACTTCACTGTCCATATTTTAATCAGCATTTTGATCACAGCCATTTCACCATTTAAGAAGTTCCAAACTTCCCCTCATCTTTCTGTCTTGTTCTGAACCCTCTAAACTCTTCCAGCCTCTGCCCATTACCTAGTTCCAAAGCCATTTCCACATTTTCAGGTATCTTTATAGCAATACTGCACTCCTGGGACCAATAGTCTGTATCAACATGATGTTTTTGTGTTGCTCCAAAGACATATCTGAAGCTGGCTGAATTATAAAGAAAAGAGATTTAATTGGCTCATAGTTCTGCAGGCTGTACAGGAAACATGGTGCCTGCATCTTCTTGGCTGCTGGTGAGGCCTCCAGAGCCTTTTCTCATGGCAAAAGGCAAAGCGGGGGCAGACACATCACATGGTGAATGAGGGAACAAGAGAGAGAAGGGGGAAGTCCCGTACTCTTTTAAACAACCAGATCTCATGTGAAATAACTGAGTAAGTACACACTTATCAAGGAGATGGTGCTAAACCGTTCATGAGGAGGTGGGACCTACCCTCGACCCACCCTCATGATCCAATCATCACCGACTAAGCCCTACTTTCAACATTGGGAATCGCATTTCAACATGAGATTTGGAGAGGACAGATATCCAGACAATATTACCAGTCAGATGCCTTACAATTTCTGTCAGCTTTTGATTGTTCTCCAGTGCCTTCAAATAGTTTTTATTTTATATTTTCCCAGAGTTTATTATTGTTATCTAGGGAAAGATTATTGCAATCCAAGCTAACTTATCATCATTGGAGCTCCAACTCTCACAAATTCATAACTTTTGAAAGCAATTTATTTTCAGACATGCCAAACTGTTAGAAATTTTTTTTATTAAACTAAATGTACATGTATCCTTTATCCCAAAAGAGAATATTTTTCTTACTTATTTAATATAATAACGCTGTAAATTGTTGTAAATAGCTATTAACTTTTCCTTAAGTATTTTCTTCCTAAGACCAAACAGCCTTATTTCCTTTTGCTGTCTCTATTTGTCATTATTGCAGATCCCTTACATTAAGACTACCTTCCTTAGGTTTATTCATTGCCTTCTAATATTTGATCTGATGTTTAGATAATACAATAATATATCAATAGGTCTCTATTAATGAGGCCTAATTGCATTAGTTTTATTGGCATATTATTTACTCCTAGTATTATAAGTAATACTATATTTGTGGTTCATTAAACCCTAACATTATTACCTTAGAGTCAGTCTTTTCATTGTGTACTAGAAAGAATATTATCATTGTTAATATCTGATAGATGAGCTTTTATTTCCTGAGCTCAATTCTTTAGTCCAATAAGTTCTATATGCAAAGGATAAGAGATATGGAAACCAAATAATTTTAATAAAAAAGTAGGCAAACGTGTTAAGAAATGAGCCCACGGCTGATGTTGTGGGTGGAGGTAGAGGAGTATAGTGAGAGAAAGGCTCTTTCTAGCACCTGAAGTAATGGCTTGGTGGTTTTACCAGTAAACAATATAAAGCAAATTGTCCACTGTTTTCAATACTACCCTCATGATTTTTTGATTTAAAGTGCTTCATTGGTTTCACAATTTTTATACCTTTTCACATAGGCCAAGATGATAAATAAATTTGCCCTCTGACCAATCAGTGTGAGAAAAATATTTGAAAAATGGGAAACATTTCTATTTGTGTGCAGCATTAGATAGGAACGGGACACCAGCAACAATGTGTTTCAGGATATAGTTTCTCATTATCAGATGCTCTTCACAGATGGATTTGACATAAATGTTATGGGAGTTAAGAACACAATCAGATGAGCCATGTTTAGGAGGCTCTCATCTAACCAGCTTTTTAAAACTGCAGATATGGTTATTGTGTGGACAGCTGATTTTTGATTTTAGAAATAGAAACTCACACTGTGCCTATATAATTTTATCTTCCTTATTAAGCCCATTTGGCTTCTCAGCCTTGTGACTAAAATCAGATGTAGCATATTAAGGTTAATAATTGAATCTGTATTATGTTTACCTATCATGTTAGCCATTTTCTTAGATTTTGTCACATGGAATTTGATAATCTTTTTCTTTATGTCTAAATTTATGTCACTGAAACAAATGTTGGGTTAGATAAAGAATCTAATAGGTCATTTCTGAGATTAACCTCTAGGATGACAGAAATTCAGTAATCAATACCTTCTGTAATTGTTCAACCAGCTAAAAATCCATTTAGACTTTCCTTTTACATAATCCACATTTTAAAATGTCTTGCTCACAGCAATGAATATTAAAATCTCTGCTTAATGTGTTAAAAACAGTGTTTATTATGACATGCTCATGATCTCTCTACTCCACCAGTCAGGAGGGAAGGGGAAATGAGTCCATTTTATAAGATTTGATTGAGAACACAATACTGCCTTTGTTAAATGCTCAAATGCTATTATTTACAACTTCTGTACTATAAATTTGCCTGAAACTGACATTACAATGCGTTGTTAGTTGAGTTGTGTCCCCCAAAAAGATATTTTGATATGATTTTATTTAGAAATTGTCTGTATAGATGTAATCAAAATAAAAGAAAACCAATACCGTATTAGGGTGCACCCTAATCCAATAACTGTGGCCTTATAAGAAGAGAGAAATTTGGATACAGAGACAGACACACAGAGAGAACCCATGTGACAATAAAGACAGAGATTAGAGTGATGCGTCTAGATAAGGAGCACCAAGGATTGCCAGCAACCACTAGAGTCTAAGAGAGAGGCATGAAACAAATTCTTTCTGAGTCTGCAAGAAGGAAATAACCCTACCAACATATATATATATATTTTCAGTTTTCTGGCCTTCACAACTGAGAGAAAATAAAATTCCGTTGTTTTAAATGATCTCGTGTGTGGTAATTTTTTAAGGCAATACTAGGAAACTATTACAAAATGTGTGAGTGTTTCTGTGTGTAATTTCTACAAGTCAATATTTTCTTTTCTTGAAAATTGGGACACAATTCGCTTTTTACTAGTTTTCTGAATCTTCACACATTCTGTGATGTTGAAAAGAAAATTGAGAGTGATTTCAATACAATATTTTCATGATTTTTGTCCCCATGGCTATAGTTGATATGATTTTAAAAGCTTGAACTCATTTATGCTATCTGGGTCAAATTGACCTTGATACATGGAGTAGAAAGTGAGTTGCATCTCCAAGAACACAAGAATAAAGAATGTAAAAGAGCAACTGAAGTATTTGGGGGAACATACGGAACTTCTATCAATTATCATTTAAATACATCGAGAAGCATATTTAGAAATGATTGCTTACAAATGGAAAAGGATCTTAAATCTTTCTGAAGTAAAATTGCTCTAAAAACACAATGGTTAAATTTTGTTGGAAAAAACTTTATATATACTTACATATAGATATATACGCCATGCTTATATGTATGCATACACTAGATATGCTTACATGTGATTACATAAGCATGGGGAAAAATGGAAGAACAAACTACTTTTATAAATATGGGTTATCTGGGGTGTGGCAGTAGTGGAAAGAGGAAAAAAATGAGAAAACTGTGGCTTGAGAGGATAAGTAACTTGACCCAACAAGTGATGGAGCTGAGATCTGAACCAAAGTCTGTATTGAATCTAAAGCTTACTGTCATAAACTTTGTTTAAAATGTTATGATATTCAATTCAATGTAGAAAGAGACAGTAAAACAATCTTTTTCAAAAGCGTGCTCTGTTCCTTGAAATTTAATTATAGGGTATCTCTTTTTTCCTTTCACAAAGCATATTAACCAACTTTTCTGTCTATTCATAGAGATATATTTAAATCTTACTTTTTAATTTAACAATATTTTATCTTAGGTATACTTCAGACAGATTAATACAAATATATCTGTGAAATGTCTAAAACTATTTTAAATTTAGAGTATTTATACTTTACTAATGGCTAGGCCATGTGATCATTACGTATTTATATATTTTTACAAAATCCTAAAATGGTTAATGCAGTTCAACAAAAATTTGAGGAACTAGAAAATTTTTGAGGCTGGCATTCCCAAAAGCAAAAATGAGAAAAAGGAAATATTTCTTGAAGTCAGGCAAGTAATTTAACTATATATCGATGAAAAGAGTATTTTAAATTCAAATTTTGTACACGGCAGCCTCGTATGTCACAATCTGCATAATTATTATAACATCAGGGCATTTAATTCAATAGTGTGAATGTTTAAGTTGTGATTAAAGACACACAAGTTTGCCATTGTCCTTAAATGTCGATAAATAACAAATTCTTTTTGTATAGTGTCTATATGCAAAGTGAATTATTTGCTGATTTAAAGAATTTTGGCTGAATCAGATCTACTGACATTTTATGTATATATTTAGGAATGTGAGTTATTCAAGTATGTGTCAGTGATTTAAAATAATGAATGTTAAAAAATTTACTAAAGTCTTAAACATGTAATGAAAAGAGTCTATTTTTTCTACAAAATTGCTCAAGACTTCTGAAATACAAAGCTGATAATGTCACTTCCAGGTTAAAGTCTTTCATTTTTCAGGGAAGATTTTTCATTTTAAAGCCTACAGTTTTCAAGAAAACTCTTAATATGTATTGTAGAACATACAGCCCTAATTTTCTTGCATTTGCTTAATTTTTTTTTTTTGCTTCACCATGTAGCACTTCCCTGTTTTCCATGTTCTAGTGATATGCTAGATACTATATCTATCTATCTATATACATATATCTGTATCTGTATCTATATAAATTCACCATTGTATTATGTTGGTTCATGACACTGTGAGGTTTATGACTTCATAAATATTTTGCCACTGCTTTATCCTCATTTCTCCATCTGGCTACATTCCATTCATTCTCCCAGACTCATTTTAAATATCACCCACTTTGGGAATCCTTCCATGACCTCTCCATTCTGATTTACTGAGTACTTTGAGCTGGTTCTATACTAGGTGCTGGAGATTCAGTAGAAAATAAGACAGGGTTTCTGCCCTCCTAGAACTTACATTCTTGTCAGATCAGAGCCAATAAACAACGAAGTGGATTGCAAAATAATTTTAGAGCATGAAAAGTAGTTTGGAAGTAATAAAGCAAGGTGATATGGAAGATGGTGAGGTGGGACTACATTACAAATAGTATTCAGGAAAGGCATCTTGGTCACTGGAGAAAGTAACATTCATGCCAAATGATTAGAAAAAAACAACTAGGCAAACATATGGTGTTTACTAGTATTCCAGAAATAGAGAACAACTAGCATAGAGATCCTGAGGGAGGAATATTGTATGCTGACAGAACAAAACAATACAAAACAAAACAAAAATAGGTGGTGCCGGAGCAGGAGAGAGAGTGGCATGAGAATAATATGTAGTTCATGAATTCATTTTATTTTTATTTCAACTCCTTTTATATGTTTCTCCATGCAACTCCTTGCCTAGCCCTTCCTAATTCTGTTGTATTTACCCATAAAACTAATTGCTGGCATAGGAATTCCCAAAGTGATATTACTCTCTGCAAATTACTTTTGTAATTGTGGCCTGTATATTTAAATTTAAACTGGGTCTGGATATATAATGATTTATATTCAATATATATTTCAACTAGATATTTTCTGAAATGTTATTATTACACATAATAAGGCCATGATACAATTATAAGAGATGCAAATAATTTCAGCTGCATCCACAGGGTGTTTTGCAAGGAGGAACAATCTAGAACTAGAAACCTAACAAATTTGAATAAGGTTTGAAACTAAATTTATACAGAGAAGAATATCAGCCAGTTTTCATAATTTGGAAAGCTAGTAAATTCTAGCTTTGGAGCTTAACATGATGAGGGGGTTGAAACACACATAAAAACAGCATTATGTTATTTCATTCAACAGATATTTTTAAAGTACTTATCTACCCTGAGCTATCTGTTTGGATTCCTTGGGAATAAAAATAAGGAACAAATAGTGAAATAAAGCATCCATTTGAAAGCACAAAACAACCCCAAAAACATGTTATTTACTTGCATCTGTAAAACGCAAAAGGAATAACATAAACTGACTCAGAAGCCTGTGGTCTCTGTCTTATATCTGTGAAGCCATGTGTAAAAGAAACTCTGGGGTGGGTACAGGTGACAGACATTCTCCTCATGACCTTAATGATGTAATTACTGCCTACCTATCACAGGATGCTATTCACACTCATTAGCAGTCCCAGTATCTTATCTCTTCCATATTAATACTTTTTCACCTACCTATTAGGATGCAGAAATTGAAAAAATACTTTATAACTAGAAACAAAGAAATCCTTGACCTGTGAAAGGAAAACTAAAAAAGAGTTGTAATTACTGTTACCTGTCATTTCTCAGTAATACCTTAATCTTGCTACACTTTGGGTAGAGAAGGAAAGAGGAAGGGCAAGGAATGGAGGGTCAGAGTGAGACAGGGTAGCCTGAAGAATGTTTAAGTTTTTCCAGCTGTATATAGTTGTTAAGTGTCTACAGGGCTATGTTTACATAGAAATGTAATTATAGAACACAATTTTAGGAAAGCAAGTCTCATTGATGAGACTTAAGTTAGTGCATGGATGTATTAATTGGACTTTGTGAGAAAGACTTTGGAGGGAATAAAATATGATTTTACAGTGGAGCTGAGATAAGAAATGTATATTAATAGAAAGAATTGAGATATTCTAATGCATGAGAAGTAAAACAATGCCACAAAAGCAGAAACACAACAGTTTAATAAAAGTAGATCCAAAATTGCTCATGCTACTCAGCTCAGTTAGAATGGACTTCATCTGTCAGATGCATCAAAAGATAAAAACAAGGGCAGCAGGTTTAATGGAAAGAATAACAAATTGTGCACCAGAAAGTCTGTACTGATTTTTTTCATTAACTTGGAAGAAGTTCGAGAAAAGCCAAGCATAGTGCCTGAGACATAACTAGCCCTAAATTATTTGCAGAATTAAGGAATGAATCCAAGTAAAGAAGTAAGGAGGAGCAGCCATAGCTAAAATGGGACCTCTTGTTTGTGTAGAGTTTGCTATGAAATAAGCAACCAGGTTACATTAATTTCAACTATATAAAGTATTCGAACTAAAAAGAACAGTAAGTGAATGGTACTACCTAAATTTTTTCTTAAATTTATTTCTTAAATTTTATGTACTGTCTTGATAATATTTTTTAAAATTACAGTTATTACAAGTTTAAAAACAAACAAGCAAAAAAGGAATACAGAGATTCAAGTTTCTGTTTGAACCAAGACAAGCCATTGAATCTTCATTCTTATCTACTGTTGGCATAATAATGCCAACTGTAATGCTTCAAAGAATCTTTTTGATGATCAAAAGAGATAAGACTGAGTTCCATGAGAGTAGCAGTCTTTACTTCCGAATCCTCAAGGATTATTACAGTCCTGGCACAGTAGGTGATTAATAAGTACTTACTGTACATTGAGCAATTGAATACTTATTCAAATGAAGCTTTCTTAATAACTTTGTAAACAATACTTTTTTCTTTGATCTTTCTAGTTTGCCAGTTTGATTAATGATTTGTTTTACTTTTTCATACCTGGCCATCATTTCTGAACTGATAGAAACAACAGTTTCTGCAAATTTTCACAAAACATTTCTCCCAATAGGAAAGCACATTAAAACATTCTTTGCTCTAAACTTTGAATACATTCTTCTTCTAGGCTATTTGTAAACAGTGAATCTAGAATGAAAGAATTATTCACCTTTTCAACAATGTGTTCTCTATCTCTTGAAGAAAAAAAATGAAAGTTTTGCAAATAATTATAAAGTTTCTGTAACATTAAATGGCATCAAAAGAAAAATTTCAGCTAATGGAGAGCAAGACAGAGTTAAGAGAGAGGGAAGAGAAAGATGAGATAAATGTGGTGATACAAACAATTAGGTTGAGGTAAATAGACACAATATTGGCAAAACCCAAAGGCTAAGGAGGGTACACTGAAAGAACATTTTGGTCAGAGAAGTAAAATTTGTATAACCATACTTGTTTAGTTCTAAACAAATCTTGGGATCTGAGTGAACAAATTTTGATTGCTATAATTATGGCAGATTACACAGAATTGATATATACTGTACAAAAACAACCAATTAATCTAGCAAACCAACAAGAAGTGCAAAAATAACACTTCAAGAAGAAAGCCACTAACTGTGACTCTGACTTCAAGGTATAACAAGTATGTAGGACCACCTGCTAAGTAGGTACTAAGCATGAGTAAGTGTGTATCTGACCACCTGCTAAGCTACACAGGTGGTCAGAAACACAGTCACAGTGGGCCTCCACAGTGAATCCTGTGTGAATATAAGGAAAATGGACAACAGCATCTCAGAATGGAAGCATAGTGATATTTTATTATAGTTTGGATATTTCATTATCGTTTGGATTATATTATTTGGATTTCCTATACCTATGTTTACTCTGTGACCAAGAAAATTTCTGGACATAACAAGCACAATCTAAACTATGTGAAGATGCTTTTTACAAATATATTTCTTCCGCAACAGCAGATCTAGAAAGACAATAAGATAACAAAGCTGAGTGATATAGCTGCTTTTTTTTTAATTTGGACATTGAGAATTAAGTAACAAGTTAAATAAAGGTGGTTTACAGAAATAAAATTAAAAATAAATTATGTCAAAACCAGGATGAATATTCTAGCTATGAAATGTATGTAAAAATCTGGATCAAATGCCAGAAGAAAAATGCAAAAGCTCATCAAGAATGAGAAAAGCAATGCAAATTTGGCCCAGGGTTTGAAGGATGTGGGGGAAGGGAGCCAAAGAAGTTTTCAAGAAAATCTGACTAAATCAACACTTTGAAGATTGTACTTTTGATGAAAAAAAAAGATAAAAATTTCATAAATTCCTCATGTCTACTTTCCAATATAGAAGATTTATCAGTTTTTCCTACTTTAAAAATACAGATGGAGATGCTAGAAATATCATGTCATGAACATCTGGAAATGCTGATCCCATTTAGGAAGCAACTGTGGGCATTGATCTCTGATGGAAGAAGCCTGGGAAATATTTCAATTTCTTATACTCAATGTTGAAAAGCATGGAACTGACACTGCTATTAAACCCATGCCATTACATATACACTCAGCCATCTGTATCCATGGGTTTCGCATCTGTGGAATCAACCAATTTTGGGTTGAAAATATTCTTTTAAAAGATTGCATCTGTACTGAACATGGACAGACTTTCTTCTATTGTCATTATTCTCAAAACAATACAGTATAATAACTATTTACATAGCATTACATTGTATTTGGTATTATAAGTAATTTAGAGATGATTTAAAGTACACAGGAGGATGTGTGTACATTATGTGCAAATACTATGCCATTGTACATAAAGGACTTGAGCATGTGTGAAACCTGGAGGAGGTTCTGGAACCAATTTTCCACGGATACCAAGGGTCTTTCGTATTTTAACAGTGGAACTAAAGGCCTTTACCTTTTTTCCTCTTTTTAAAGATGACTCTGGTAAAAAAGAATTGTATTTCAAGAATATGCTATGAATTTCTTTTTGAACTATCTCATCAAAATGTAAAATGGCATTAAACTGGTATATTTCTGCTTTTTTAAAATATGATTTGCTTTGCCATGTCTCTGGGTGACACTCATGATGTGTTCTAAAATTCTGGCAGACAAACTACATTAACCCAGAGTAATTTAATGGATAGATACTGAAATTGTCTTTCAAGCCCCACATTGCAAATGCACTTGGGGCTCAGCAACTATCTAGAAACATGGTTCTCAAAACTGGCTGTCCTGGAGACTAATGTGGCAAGATTTTGAAAAATACTAGTGTGTGAGTTCCATACTGAGAGATTCTGGTTTAATTGCTACAGCATGGGGCTCAAAAACAAAGGACTGGGTCCAGCTCTAGTATTTGGCAACAACCAAGTTAATTATCTCTCTCCATCTCTTACCTTTATATATTACATTTTTTATTGTTGTTGTTTGTTCATTAATTAAAGGCTGTTTTCTGCTTTGGATTTCACATCACAGAAAATAGTCCCTGAACCCATGAACCAATTGACTGTGTATAGAAAAGATGATCATCTTGTAAAAGCATAAATGCTTTTGTAGTAACATGTAGACAAAGATATAGGGTATGGTAGATCACCAGTTTCCAGAAAAGGTTCAGAGAAGGTAATATTAGTGTTCAGTAATAGAGAAACTATCTTGAATCTTTAACTTCTTATGTTGACATGTGAAACAGAACACTTCAACAAAACTTCTCTAATTACATTTTTGATTTGATAGGTAAACTGAATTTTTACTAATGAAACTCTTATGTTTACTTTAAGCTGACTAAATTGTATTTATTATTTTTAATGAATACATTTGTTTCTTCTGCTATGCACATACACCCACCACTCTGTGCCAGGCATTAGGCTCCTGATCCTGTTTGGCTGTTGAATAGCCTGATGAAGGGCATGGGGAGGCAGTAGAGGAGTGGGGAGGAGGGGACGTGGGAGTGTTAGGTGATGGTAAAGAGACATGACTTTCTTTTCTGATGACCTGGTACAGCATGGACCAAGCCCAAATCTTTTCTAAGTTCAAAGAGTGGACCTGCTGATTTTTAAGCAAGAATTTCATCAGCTTTGTTATTGATGTCTCTATGACTCTGAATCTAATCCCCTTCCACCCTATGTTCTTGAAACTAGTTCTTCTTTATTTTTCACCCATCATTACAAATGCAGTCAAGTTTGTATTTTTAAGGCTTCTGAAGGTACAACTTGTCTAGTTAGAAAAAATTAATAATTGGTTTTCTTTGCTACCACAAATACTTTGTCCTCTACATCTCTTCATTCATCCCGCTGCTAATGGGCTTTGTCAAAGAAGAGAGGGCTTTAGCAGTATCCCTTTCACAATTGCAGCTTCCTGAGAACATTGGAAAAATACTCACCTTGGCTTCAGTGTGGCCTATGCTGAGATATGGTAGCAGTAGTCATGTCCCAGGAGATTAGCACTCCCAGCAAGTCCCTGCTTCTCAGAACAACTGGGTTTCGCTATGATGAACAGTATGCACTGGTAAAAAGAATCACAGCCCTTTGAAGATAACAACACTTTGAAACTTTGAGCAAGTTTGGCACACCTTCACTCTTTCCTCCCTCCATCAATTTTTACTTAAGAAACGTCAACTGTTTTTGAAGCATTTTTGTTTAAAAAGTCAGTGTTATTGACTTAATGTTTGTGTCCTTTCAACCCACCCAAATTCATATGTTGAAATTCTAACTCCCAATATGACGGTGTTAGGAGCTGGGGCCTTTGGGAGGTAATTAAGTCATGAGGGTGGAGCTGCACAAATGGGATTAGTGTCCTTAGAAGAAGAGACAAGAAAACTTCTTCTGCCTCTGTTCTCTGCCACGTGAGGACACAAAGAGAAGACAAGCATCTGTAAACCAAGAAGACGACCTTTGCCAAGAACCTGACCATGTTGAAACCCTGATCTTGGACTTCCAGCCTTAAGAGTTGTGAGAAATAAATGTTGGTTTTTTTAAACCTCTCAGTCTATGGTACTGTATTATAGTAGTCCAGACTAAAACAGGTACCCGTCCCACCTTTCCCCCCAAAACAGGATAATTGCTCTCTTCCACAACTGGGATAGAAATAAACTGTATTATCATGACAGTTTACAAAGAAGCAACTTTACTTCTTGATGAGAAAGACATCAGTCACTGTATTAGTCAGGCTTCTCTAGAGGGACAGAATTAACAGGATATATATATTTTATATATTATATATAAACGGGAGCTTACTAAGTATTAACTCACATGATCACAAGGTCCCACAATGAGCTGTCTGCAAGCTGAGGAGCAAGGACAGCCAGTCCGAGTCCCAAACTGAAGAACTTGGAGTCCAATGTTTGAGAGCAGAAAGCATCCAGCACGGGAGAAAGATGTGGGCTAGGAGTCTAGGCCAGTCTAGCTTTTTCACATTTTTCTGCGTGCTTTATATTTGCTGGCAGCTGATTAGATGGTGCCCACCCAGATTAAGGGTGGGTCTGCCTTCCCCAGCCCACTGACTCAAATGTTAATCTCCTTTGGCAACACCCTCACAGACACACCCAGGATCAGTACTTTGCATCCCTCAATTCAATCAAGTTGACAGTATTAACCATCGCAATCACTTTTTAGTGATCAGCATAATTAATATAGTCCAACCATTTGATATATACACACACATACTGATTTGGTATATCTTAAATTAAATTTCTAACTCTATTTCTTAGCAAAACTGTCTTGGCACAGAAATAGTTGGGTAAATCTCACATGTTATTAAAAGTAATTAATGAAAACATTTTCATTTAGGTTTATTAAAAAACAATAATTAATGATAACACACTGGCCTTTACAAACTCCTTTTGACATACTTATCTTTAATATTTATTAAGGCCAACATAAGTAAACAAATTTTATCAAGTAAAGATGTGTAAACATAAATTGTGAGAGGTTAAATAAGTTTATGAGCTTGTGGAATGTTGTTGAATGAATTTATGAATGTTGTTATAGAGATTCAACCTACATATTCTGACTTTAAGTCCAGTTCCCTTTTCACTACATAATGTGATGTCCATTAAAAAGAACAACACCTTAAATAGGAAACTGCTAATGTTCATGCAAAATAAACACAAATAAAAAAATAAAAATGAGTCCATTAGCTTCATGCCCAGTATGATTCAGCTATCTCATGCAGCTGATAAACAAATTGATACCAACTTAATCTATGTTAGTAAATGTCTAGTGTCCAAGAAAAGAAGCTCACATCTTTTTACTATATTCTGCAATGCTAAGAACGTGTCTGGAATATCATTTAGTTCCTGGGCCTTGTCTTAAATGAAGTTGTAAAAAGTTAAAAATATCTTAAAGAATGGCCATTCTAGCAAGAGAGCATGTGGATATGGCTTCATTTGAAAAACAGCTGAAATGGGGGATATGGACGTGTTTAGCCCAGAAAAATAAAGATTTAGCAAGGAGGATGAGGGGGTTAGTTGTCATGAAGTACTTGAAGAACTATTCGAAAGTAACTTTGCATGTCAATGTGTCAGAGCTAAGAACAAGGAATGTAATTTTTAGGCGAGGACAACAGTTTCCATTTAATATACTACTTTCTAACTATTAGAACTCTTCAGAAGCTTTAAAGGGCTACCTCATGCAGACACAAAGTGCTCCTGTGAAATACGTTGTACAGAAGGCTCCAGACTGCATGGTTCCTACCCAGCCATCAGCAATTTAACCAGAGAAGGGAAGAATGGAGGGGTTCAGTTTTTGGCGCAAGAGATCATACGCAATAGCGTAATCATGGAAAGAGCTTGTCTACAAATCGTTATGATGATGTAGGTAAGTTATATCAATCATGAAATTTCACATTTGAGAGGCTGAGTACAGTACATTTACTCTCTTTCTCCCTCTTCTTTTTGAGTAGTTGAAATTAGTATAACACATTTCATTATTTCAAAATACCCTTTGGTGTTCAAGAGACAGACTAAAAGGCAGAGGTTTCAGTTAATGTCCTCAGTTTAGAAGCCACATCTTTAAGGCAGAGAGTGACCTGGAGCTAAAATTGTAACTCTTATCCTGCAGCATTCAGGTTAGAATAGACAGCTGTTCCTTCACAACTCTCTCTGCTGAAACCCTTATGATGCTGACTAAAGCACATTTTCAATTGCTCAACAGGTCAACTGGAACTGGGGATTTTGTAACATAGCTTTACATCTTTGCAAAGGCTTTATATTCTTTAGGTTGGATATTTTCACTCTTTGGGGTGGTTCTGTAAACAGAGTAGATGTTAGGTCTCCTGGATTTGGAGTCAGACAAGACCAGCTCTTTCCCTTGACATGTGTGTGCCCCTGTATATGTCCTCTTCTGGAATAGTAAAATATCAGTAATGTTTACTACACTCAGTTGTTCTGAGAATGGAGATAACCATATATATATGAAGAGTTTAGCACAATACATGGTAAATATTAAGTGCTGGAAAAATATCAAATGTTGATTTTTAAAATTATACGTATGCTGCTTGTTTCAAGCAAGTGTGAATCCACAATCAAGGGTAGCTCTGTGAAAGAGCCCAACTGCAGCTTCTTTGTACCCAGCCAAGACTTTTGGGATTGCTATTTTGCCAGTTGTCTACATTAAACTATGGTTTCTTGAAGAATATCATCATCACACAAAGTTCATTGTTTAAAAAAATGAAATAAATACGCGTCATAAATGTTATCTATTGGAATATAGAAATATCTTCATTTTAATTGGTGACTTTTTATTTTATTATTTTCTTTGAGATATGAGAAGGTGGAAATGAAGAGAGCACTGTGGAATCAAACGAAGGTGTATGTATATATGTCTATACTTACATGTGTGTGTGGGGCAGGGAGAGAGGTCTGTGTGTGTGTATAGTTTTGGTTTTTGTAGCAGGAGTCTTTAGAAAGGTGGTGACTGCAAGGTCACCCTGCCCTTCATCACTAACTCATATGTGTCTGCTAGTCCTAAGTAAAATGGATATTAATGTCCATGGGTGTCTGTGTGCAAGTGAGGCACTGTGTTCTATGGTGGCTATGGTGTGAGCAACTGATGCAGAACCATGGACTCAGACTGGATGAGACCCTGAAAGCCAGGATTCACATACTGAAGCCAAGAAGAAACTGAAGCATACACAGATCCTTCCTACAGAGCATAGGCGAATAGGAGTATTTGCATATTTGACTGCATCATGAGGAGTTTTCTTCAGGTATCTCCGAGAAAAACAGCTGGCTTGCTTGTTTTTATTCTATCATCAGTCTTTTCAGAGTAGAACCCGAAGTCCTCATATCGACCTGCATGATTTGGTAGCTCTGACCTCATCTCCCATTCCTCTCTTATTCTCTTGCTTTTACTCCAGCCACACTGGCATCTTTCTGTTTCTTAAACTTCAAGACTACTCACCTATCTCAGGATCTCTGCAATTATTGTACCCTCTTTCTCAAATAATATGCGATTTTCTCATTTAAAATGCATATATTTATGAATGCATTTATTAAATTTATTTTCTGCTTCTCCCAACCAATATTATCTCCAATAGTCATAGAAAATAATAGAGTAAAAAAACCTGCCCACAGCGGAGACAATTTTAGAATTTAAAAATAAATTTAGTAAAAAATGTATTAGGCCTTCATGAAGGAGACTAAAATATCAATAAATACTGTAAAATCTAGGTCATGTAGGCAATGCTTTTAGATGAGAATACCCAAGATATTAAAAATCAACACATAGTAATTAACATATTACTTTAATCTGCAAAACCCCTAACTTTTAAAAAATTGACTAAAAGGATCATCAAATATATGGGGGAAAATAAATGCCCAAGAATAATTAAAAAATATTGGAAGTGTAATTTTACATACAAAATTTTACCTTTTACACAGTAACAGGGCCACTAAATATTATTTTACAATGACTCAATACAAAAATAATTTTACAAACCATGTCCATTAGCTTTAAAAACTTAATTTCTTTGTCAGCAACTTAGTGCTCTATACTCACAAATATATGAAAATTATCAAAAGTTTTGCTAATCCACGTTGCTATGATTAGGATGTTTCCTGCTGTTACCTCTATTTCACATATAGTCCATAGCTCCCTATAAGAATAATGGAGATTTATAGTGAGTAAATATGTAATATTAATGGTATGGAAGAATATCACAAATATAACAAGGTATGTTGTTTTGAAACCTCTTCCTAAATATTAATTATTTGTACCACACACCTATATTCTTAATTCAAACATTTGTGTAATGAATAGCTACATAAGGAGTGAAAAAAAAGTTTTGTTAAACTATTTTTTACTTTTTCTGGTCTGACTTTCATAGTATTTCTTTCTTTTCTAATTATACTATGATGAATGTAAAATCTTAGAGAAATAGGACTAGTAGAAATCTGTTGGTCTACAGACCCAAAAATAAACAATGCAAAATTATAGAGCATTTAAAAAATAAGTCTGTTACTTCCAGCGAATATATAGAATTAGTTTGTTTTCAATGTTTGTATATCTTTTTTTCTGAGTAAATAAATATTACCTTCTGAATGTAATGATTTCTGGACTAATGTTACAAAAACAACAAAAAACAAAACAAAATCCTCCATTCATTTCCCATTCATTGAATTTAGTCAGCTGTTTCCTAACCTAATCCATTGACCTTGTTATGGTCACAATGAAAATATCAATATTTTTCCTAGCTGGGCATAATGGTTCACACCTGTAATCCCAGCATTTTGGGAGACCGAGGAGGGCAGATCACTTGAAGTCAGGAATTTGAGACCAGTCTGGGCAACATGCTGAAACTCCATCTCTACTAAAACTACAAAAAAAATTTAGCCAAGTGTGGTGGCATGCGCCTGTAGTCCCAGCTGGGGAGGGTGAGGCAAGATAATTCATTGAGCCTGGGAGGCGGAGGTTGCAGCAAGCTGAGATCGTGCCACTGCACTCTAGCATGAGCGACAGAGTGAGTGAGACTCTGTCTCAAAAAACACAACACAACTAAACAAAGCACTCAATATATTTCCTGATTGTGAAAATGATTTATGAAAATTCAAACAGCACAGAAAAGAGGGAGTTGGTCTGCCAGGTGAAAACACACACACTTGAACCTTTTCTTGAATATAGAACATGATAGAAAGTTCAGTTTATTCTTAATTTCAAGATTGTATTTGTCTAATACAAAACATACAAGCCCATTCTGGCAGTATGTGAAAGTTGGACATGACAACCTGGTCGAGTCGACTCCATTTCAATTAACCACCCTGTACCAGCATATTGTGCCAACCTTTGGGCCCTGGGCAGACAGATGTTGCATTTGTGGATTGAGAACATGCACAAGAAAGTATCTGCTTCCTTCTATGTCCCTTCTCTTTTGTCCTGGCAGTCCCTCTGTCCCTTCTATCCCTTTGAAATGTCTACCTCCTGTATCTTGAACTTGTTGCCTTTTGTTTTCCTCCCTTAGCCAAAATTAAGGCCTATCTCTCCCATCCAAAATAATTCATCTATTGTATCCACTTCTCCCTACATTCAAAATTTCATCTTATTTCTTCTCTTCTTCCCTACCAAGATTATTATTGTATTTAATCTCCCATTCATTTCTCAGCTATTTACAATCTGGCTTGCTCTCTTATTTTTCTGCGGAAATGATTCTGACATAGTTCTCCAGTGACCTCTAAATTTCCAAACTCAGTGGAAACAATTCAGACTTTATTTTACTCTTCCTGGCTCTCTGTTCCCTGACATCATACCCTTCTGGTTCTCATACTTTTGGAATTCTTTGCCTCTTTCATGACATCTTTTCTACACAACCCTTAAATGTTTATGTTCTCCAGGATGCATTACTTGGCAAACCCCTACTGGATAATCTCATCTTTTTAAATGTTTTCAGTGATTACCCAGTATTAAAAATTCCCAGACCTCTCATTCCCACATATATGTCTGTCCTCAGCTACAGACTCACAAATCCAGCCAGCTACTGGACATTTCCTTCTGGTTATCACATGACATTCTAAATTCAACAGTTTCAGAAACAAACTGATTTTATTCCAGATATATTAATGTATGTTCTTTGTCTTGATTGGCAGCACTGTAATCCACTTAGCTAGAAACCAGGATTCTTCCCCCAAACTTCTCTGTACTTTACTAACCACTTCTAATCAATTCTTATATATGTATAGATTTTGTCTCCCAAATATTTCTCAAATTATTTTCCTCTTTTATCATCTTAATACCACTAAGGTATTTAAACTGTCTTCATCTTATAGACAGTCATAATGATATAATCAAAATACAATTCTAACCACTTAGTACCCTGAATAAATCCTTCAGTGTCTCACTGGCACCTACAGGATAAAGCCCAACCTCTTAGAATGTATATGCGGCCCCTCTGCTTGTCTGTCACCTTCTCTCTCAACATTTCCTAACACTGTGTTCATCAAAACCCAGTTGCTAGCAAATGCCCCATGCCCCATGCTGCTTGTCGTATCTCTTTCTTTTCTCATGTCATCTCCTCTTTCTCGAATCCCCTTCTACTTGTAGTCCCTATTTCTGCCCTTTACCTGTGTAACTCCTATTATAAGACTTGGCTTAGGCCTTGCTCCCAAAGCTTTTCTGACCCTTTCTTTTTTTGCTATCTGATATGGTATGGCTATATCTCCACCCAAATCTCATTTTGAATTCCCCACGTGTTGTGGGAAGGACCTGGTGGGAGGTAATTGAATCATGGAGGCAGGTCTTTCCCGTGCTGTTCTCATGATCGTGAATAAGTCTCATAAGGCAGAGTTTTATAACTTTATAAGGTGGAGTGTCCCTGCACAAGCACACTCTTTTTTTAGCCTGCCACCATCCACGTAAGATGTGGCTTGTTCCTGCTTGCCTTCCGCTGTGATTGTGAGACCTTCCCAGCCACCTGGAACTGTGAGTCCAATTAAACCCCTTTCTTTTATAAATTGCCCAGTCTCAGTATGTCTTTATCAGCCGTGTGAAAACGGACTAATAAATACACTATCTTTCCTTCATCTCATTGGGTTAAATAATATTTCTATGGGTTCACCAGTGGCTCTCCCTATCATCATTCTCACATGGTATGTACAATCAGCTTTGTAGGTATATGTATGTGTTTATCTTCCCTATAAACTATAGTAAAGATGACATCTATGTTGGTAACTATAAAACCCCAGTTCTTAGCATAGTGGCTAAGATATAGTGGTTGAATTCAATATATAACTTTTTCTTTTTGAAAATAAAGATAAGGTCTCACTGTGTTGCCCAGGCTGGTGTTGAACTCCTGGCCTCAAGTGATCCTCCTACCTCGGCCTCTCAAAGTGCTGGGATTACAGACATGAGCAATCATGCCCAGCCTCAATACCTATCTTGGCATTGTATCTTTTACTAGAATTCTGGAAGATTCACTTAGTGAGTGTTAATTAAATAAAAAGTAGCACAGACATTGTTGCCAAGGACATATTGTTTGTTCCATTTTTCTAATTTTCACCTTGTTTTAATTATATTAAAATCCAAGAATATTTTTAATTACATCCTGAAAGCTAACAATCACTAAACACATATTTCTTAAATTAAATCTTCCAATGGCAATTGGTATAGTATTTTTTTCCCCATTACTATTGTACACATCCAAAGAGGGAGGTAAAACTATTGTTTTATTTAACCATGTTTATACATTCCTATCCTTTGCACTAAGGGGGTTTTCAACAAAATTAGAATGTTTTTGGATATAGGAACAAATAAGTTAAATGTTATTACATCTACCCCTAAATTAGCCATGAGCCAGACATGGTCTAATAATATCCATTAGATGTTTATTTTACATTTTAATATTTATTTTGTTATGCTAGGTGTAAGCCAAGCCTTAAGTGATTAATTTAAATCTTTGGATAAATCAAGATGTGACTGAGCTTCATATTGGTAAAAGAAAATAAAGATGTATTGTCAACTACAATACATATACATATAAAAATAATTATAAAACAAGAATACTTTTCAATAAAGATTTAAAGAAAGGCCTGACATGGTGGCTCATGCCTATAATCTCAGCGCTTTGGGTGTTTCAGGCAGAAGTATCACCTGATGCCAAGAGTTTGAGACCAACCTAGGCAATGTAGGGAGACCCCTCTCTCTATATAAAAAAAAGTTAAAAATTAGCCAGGCAAGGTTTAGCATGTCTGTAGTCCCAGTTACTTGGGATGCTAAGAGAGGAGGATTGCTTTAGCCCAGGAGTTTGAGGTTTTAGTGAGCTATGATTGCTATGATTGCACCACTGTATTCTGGCTTGAGAGACAGACTGAGACCTTGTCTCTAAAAAAAAAAAAAAAAAAAAAAAAAAAAAAAAAAAAAAAGGTTTAAAGAAAATATTTTATATGAATCCTATTAATAAGTTCATAAGATATAATACTTTGGAAATGCCTTTTATATTCCTGGTAACTCCAAATACCTCAGAATAGAAAATAAGTTTACATTCACATACCAGAGGATACTGTTCAGATCAAGAAACTAATTTAATCCCTCTGTCACTTTCTCAAATCTATGATATCTTAATCTCACAACTTTTGACTGCTAATAGCCATGGCTGAGATTTGTATTTCAGCTTCTCTCAGTTCTATGTATCCACAAAGATTTTGAGTTTAAAGGTCTTGAGACTACTAGGTTCACAGATTACTGCCACATTCTGTCTTCTTGATTTATCATTTATCTCAACTAACCATATACTTGTAAAAAATAACAGCTTTATTGATACATAATTTATATAGTATAAAGTTCACCTTTTCACACTGTAAATACAGTGGTTTTTGTTATATTCACAGAATTGTGCAAGCTTTACCATTGAGTAATAGTAACTGGCCCAAGACACACAATAGTCTGGCTGTCATCCCAGACCATTCCAACTCTTATGTTCCTGGCCTGCTAATTCTTAAATTCCATTTCCATCTGTTTCCTGACTTTTGATCCTTTATTTTTCATTTAACACTTGCTTCTGCCCTGGAGACTTGGCATTTGTCTCTTGTCTCTAATTAATGACAGTCTTCTAAGGACTTTGACTTAGAATTGTTCACCAGAGCTTTCATTTTGGTCACCTCTGGAAGTTCTTCTGCCTTACTTGTTTTCTAAGAATCTACCCATGGATATTGCCACTCTAGTCAGATGATTGTTTTCCCATCAGGAAGTCATTCAAACATTTTGCTTCCAGTTTTTGTTTCTTTGGACTCAGTCTTGATGAAGCTATAGACACATGGATGAACTCAGACTCTCTCTTGAAGATGAAGGAAAAGTAGAGGTCTCGTTTGGGAGAAATTTAGGGCATGTCCTCAGGAATTGGGAATTACTGCAAAGCCAAGCAAATTAAGATACAAGATACATCGCAGTGAGGTACAGATAATTTGCCTGGGACTCCTGATTCTAGATCGCCCCTCAGGAGTTCACACGGTGATTCTCAGCATAGGACAAACCAAGTCATAGAATTCATATTGGACATGGCAGAATGTGTGCAAGGGAGCATTTGTAGGTGCCACTTTGATACAGACATTGTTAGCATTGAAAGGACAATGCACAGAGATATTAGGCCTCCTGCAATACATAGAGCAGTCCTGCACAAAAAGTGTGTTGGTGACTTTGATGATTTTGAATCCCTAATGGGTGACATGAAAAAATATGTCATAAACTGTCATCTGATGGATTTAAGATTATTGATTTATCCCATCATCTCCCTGCATTTCTGTTGCCTTTGGCCTACCCCACCAGTGACTTGGGTCACAACCTTGGCTCTGCTTACCTGCGGATGCCCTGCACAACAACCTGACTCCCAGTGGAGAGATTCTTCCCTTTCCCTGCCTCAGGGAAAGAACTGGTTATTTGACCCAGAATGGCTATGTTTGGACAGCATTCCTAGCAGTAGGAAAGGGTTCCTGAGCCAGTATGTGAGTTTCAATACAGCTAGAGGGTAAGAAAATGGACTCTGGCCCCAGGATATCTGGATTTGAACTTGAGCTTTACAACTCACTAAAGGGGAGATGACTTCCAGGAAGTTATCAAACTTCCTTTTGCCTCCGTTTCTTCCACAGTAAAAAAGGGGTAATATTAGTACCTGTCCTAGAGGTTTGTTATGGAATGAAATGTGTCAATACATAAAAAGTGCTTGTGAGAGGCTCTGTAAGTAATATGTTAGCTTCCCCTCCACCCTCAAGAAGCCTGCATCACTGATGATTTATCTTGGAATAGGAAAGTCAAATGACAATTAATGCTGATCACTAGATTTGTGACCTTGGTAATTTCACTTCACCCATCTTTATGTTTCTCTCTGGTAAATAAGGTTAAGAATTCCTGGGGACATTTTGCTAAGTGAAATAAGACAGCGACAGAAGATCAATGACCTGATTCCACTTATATGAGGTAACTAAAATAGTCAACTCATAGTAGCAGAGATTAGAATGGTTGCCAGGGGCTAGATGGAGGGGGAAATAGGGAGTTGCTATTCAATGGGCATAACGTTTCAATTTTGTAAGATGGATGTTAGATCTGCTGTATAAAATTGTGCTTAAAGTTTACAATACTGTATTAAAACTTACACATTTGTTTAGAAGGTAGATCTCATTAACTGTTCTTGCCACAGTTTTTTTGTAAAGCTACAATTTTGCCTCAGTTATTCCACAATGACTTACTAAGATTTCTCTTCCAAAGACCGGGAGCAGCACACAGCAGCAAGCATCACGTAATGTACGTAAGAACTCACAGGCAGAGGGTCAGCAGGAATGAGGGTCTCTTGTTTTTGTAATATGCTAGAGAGTTGTGATTGGACCATGGAGCTGGGTCCTGGCAGAGATATTCTGCCCCTCGCTGCTTTTTTTGTTTTTTTTTTTTAATGGAATAAGCATAACAATGATCTTGCTCAGGGTAATAGACACTTTCAGTTTTGGGGCCAGTTTCTTAATGATGTACTTTAAAAAGCCAGTTCTCTAGCACTGGAAGACAATGAAAAAAGTTGCCAGGCCACCCAGAGAGAGAGCTTCACAGTCCAAAATTAGCACTCCTGCTTTTCTGTATAAGACTGAAAGACAAAACATAAATAAATGAATCTTTAAAATTATTAAGCATGGTGTAATTTAAATGGATGTACCTATGAGTATCAAAAACTAATTTTGAATGATTATAATGAAGAATACAATATACAACATATATAATGCATTATATTATGTTCTTAATCCTAAATTTATAACTTTTACTTAAATATTAAAAACATCTAAAAGTATTTTTAATCATGAATCAAACTTTTGATTAGTAGCTCACAACTGAGAATGCGATAAAATTGATAGCCAAGGGGGCAAGAAAAAAAAACTCCAAAAGACTGTTTTAATTAGTATACAGTTGTTCCTTGGAATCCATGGGTGATTGGTTCCAGAATCCCTACCAAAATCTATGGATGCTCAAGCTCCTCATATAAAAAAGTTGTAGCACAATAAATTCTCATCATCATTGATAAGTTCTTGGAAACTGCAACTTTAAGTAAAACAATGTATAACAAAATCTATTTAATCATAGGCTAATTGACATAAATAAGAATTAAGTTCTTATGGCATATTTCTTGTCACAAAAACATCACCAAACTTCTAATTAAAGACCAAAACACTTCTGATATTCAACAGTGAAATAAATGTGAGCTATATATACCTTTAAGAAAGGCTCAAAAAAACAAATCAGATAAATGTTTATCCAACTACTCCAGTTCAGGATCCCGGGTAGCTGGAGCCTATCCCAGCAGCCCAGGGCCAAGGCTGACACCATTCCATTGCTGGGAGCAATTAGGCACACACACCCACACTCACTTAGAATGGGACCATTTTGACATGCCAGTTAAACTAACATGCACATCTTTGGAACGTGAGAGGAAATCAGAATGCCTGCAGAAAACCCACACAGACATGGAGAGAACGTGCAAACTCAACACAGACGTGGTCCAGGCCAAGAATTGATTTTTTTTCTCTTCAATGTTACAACAAAACAACATTCATGCTGTACTTGCATATAACCTATGCACATCCTCCCATGTACTTTAAATCATCTCTAGATTATTTATAATGCCTAATACAATTTAAATGCCATATAAATAGTTGTATTACTGCATTGATTAGGGAATCATGACAAAAAAATCTACATGTTCAGTACAAAGTCAATCATCCATTTTAATTTTTCTGATTATTTTCGATCCATGGTTGGTTGAATCCACAGATGAGGAACCCGTGGATATGAACAGCCATCTGTAATTAATACTCTAAAACAAATACCAAAATTTTAAAGCCACAAATTTTTATACATTCTTATTTTATAACACATAACATTATTTGTAAATTCATAAGAATAGAACTTACAAGTATAATTTATATGTGATGTTGGCATGTGAATGAAAGTTTAATTTGCATAACTATATTTCAGTAATGAAACTCAAAATAACTTGTCCCAAATCCAATAGTTGATATGTGATAGAGCTAGGATTCTGACCTGAACTTGCTATATTCTAATGCCTATGGTATCCAGTACTAGACAGAATAGGAGAGATTTAGCTGGCTTCAATATTTAAAGTGACATTACCTTCTGGACAGGGCTGGCTTTGTGGGCCTAGGAGTTGTGCAGTTGCATGTGGCTTAATGTGTTACATCTTCATCTTGAAGATATTAATATTTTTTTAAAAGGGGCTCAGCATTTTTAGTCTGCCCTGGGCTCACTGAATTATGTAGCCAGTCCTGTTTTTGGAAAAGATACAGACAACTCTTTAAATAGTCTCTGTGTTTGTAATCAGTGTGATAAAAATATAGAGTAAGCAACCAGCAAAGTTGTTCCTGGACAACCCTGGGATCAGCATGCTCACTTGCTGAAGTGCTCTCCATCCATGGTGATGTCTTCTGGAGTTCTCCAAAAGAAGATACCCCACTGGGTCTTTCTGTAGCTGTCTAGAATGCTCTTTGTTAGGCTTGAGCACACCTCCTAGCAAGCCACAGGACATGGAACAAATATGACTTCTAAAATCCTCAAAGGATACTTTGAACCTTCTCAGAATTTATCTTCAAAATGAGAGACAAGTGGGAATTGATAGAAGAAGGGAAGAAGAGAGAGAATGAAGAAGGCAGGGAGAAAAAGAGAGAGAGGGAGAGGGAGTGAGAATAACAATGTCTATAGACTTTGTTATAGAAAAAGAATGTATTTATATCCTACCTGTAAAGATTGTATTGCTCTCTCATTTCATTTCTATAATGGCGTATATGAAGTTCTTTAATTCCCCCATCACCTGGTAGAGGTTTATATGTATTGCTCCTCTACTAACTTCTTTAAGTAGTGGAATATTGCCTTGATCATCTTCTTGGGCCACCAAAATTTTGGAAAATTTTGATGAAGTGTTTGGTGAAGTTAAACAAAATGAAATGACAGAGCTCTGCCTGTATTCAATGACTTTGGCATTTATATATTTCCATTAAAATTATGTGCTTTTCAGGTGAGTTACGTGAAGTTTCCTAAAACTAAAACTAAATGAATCTCCAAAATAGATGCGTAAGTCCTTCATTACCTAAAAGCAATGTTTCCAATTAGTTTCTGCCTCTAAGCTTTATTTTCCCAATGCAATTTAGCTAATGCTTTAGCTAAAGAGAAAGTAAGCCACTGATTAAATTAATGTTTTAGTAGAAGATTAAGTGAACTACTATTAGCGTAAATCCTTCTTCAATAGCATTTGACAAAACTGCTGCTAATTATCTAGCCAACTACAAATGTTCTTGCCAGGTAGTAGAATCATGAGGTTCTTTTTGCCTTTTCATTTTCTTTTTCTTTTTTTTTTTTAGTTGGATTTTATTTTTTCTGGAATATGTCACATTTTAAATAAGAGTGTCTCTTGAAAGACAATGTGATTGGGGCCATACTCCTCACAGAAAAAGACGATTTTTTTTTTTTTTAGTTGAGGATATACGATTTTCAAGAGCAATAATAGCACCAGTGTTCAAATCCATCAATCAAAACCCTGTGAATGCTAAAGAAAATTTAAAGAGGAAACAGTAATACCAATCTTACACCAATACTTTCAAAGAAAAATCATGATTCCCAACCTGTTTTATGAGGTCAGAACAGGGGTGTGCTGTAGTCAGTTTGCACAGGCTAACAAAAGTCAATTACAAATATCTCTTCCCAACTCTGCATTTCACATGTAATAACCACCATTGTATAACAAACAGAACTAAGCAAATTATAATGCCAACAAATATAGTTATAGTTCAGTGAGACAATATTAAAAATTTGGGAAAAACTTTGAAAAAAAGAAAAAATTGGAAATCTCAAGAAAAATAAAATCTCCTGTGTTCTCTTTGATCAAATTTACTTTGAAGTCTGTGCTCAACTTGACTAATGAAATAAATGTGCAAATGATAACTAATGAGACCAATATACTGACTTTTCCCAAATACATGGAAAAGTTGAAATACATTATAGTTAACCTCCATGCACCTGTCACCTACAACAAAACATCAATAGTTTTTTAAGGGTCCCAATTGTTTTTTTTAAAGCTGGTCCAATGTGCAGCTAAGTTTGAGAATCACTGCGTTAAATTATAGTGTTTCTCACACTTCAGTGACAATTTAAATTACACAGATTGGTGTTGGTTATTCTTTAACTTATTGGAGAGCAGCTGTGGGGAGTGGGCTTAACTAGGAGCTGGTATGTCTGGCCACATTCCAATGCTTCAAAGGAGTATCTTTCTCCTTGAGCACAGTGTTTATAGATAAGAGCAGGTCACATTCTGATCATGGGAACATGATGGCAATAAGGAGGCTTTCCTACTCAGAGGCCTCCTGTGGCTTTCCACAACTTATTGTTCCATATTTTTATGGCCAGTTTATACAAGCACCCCATAAGCCTTTTTCCCAACACAGATTGCTATGTCCCATTTCCAGAGTTTCTGATCCAGTAGGTCTAGAGTTGGACCCATGAATTTGCCTTTTGTAGAAGTTCCCAGATGATGTTAATGTCACTGACTCAAAGCCACATTTGAGTAACACTCTGCTCTGGAAAGGGAGATAAGAGATAAAGGAAAACAAGGGGATAATTGAGTAGGCAATGTCCTTTGGGAGGCTGGAAGCAACCAGTGCACCAGTGGTTTGGTTGTCTTTGTGACAGGAAGAAAGGAAGACACTTTTTTCTTTGTGACAAGTAAAAAAAGAAAGTATGAATGTAAATTCAAATAAGTTTATTGGTGGATGGATTAACAGGAAGTTAAGGAAGGTCTGCACAGATGATTTCAAACATCTTAGGCTAACACTGGGGATCTAGAATGGTCAAGTATATCTGATACATACATAGTCATGAAGTCATAATCTACAACATTTATTCATGTGGTGGCAAAATTACATTCCAGACCACTCTATACATTATCACACTGATAATATATGTAAACAGGACCTATTTGACCAGGAAGTGTGTGCTGTTGTAAACACATTTATTTTAGCATTCTTTTTTTTTTTTTTTTTTGCATAAAAACCAAGAAAGCAGTACTCCCTTACTAGTGTTCCCAACATCTGCACAATAGCAAAGATGACTCTTGCTTAGAAGTAAGGAATACCTTTGGACAGTGATTCAAGAGACATGTGGGTTATAAACCTATGGAATCTAAATTAAATGAACCTAATCAAAACAAGAAAACTCCTCTGTTTATATATTATTTGAAATATTGACAATTTTTCAAAATTATCGTGCAAGCTTTGCATGTGAAACAGATGTCAACTGGTTCAATTGCACTGCCCTTTGCACCGGGAATGATGATCCTTATGAAGGCTGTGGAACTCTTTGGAGAACTTGTACTGCTATGAAATGTTCCATTGAATGACATACTGCAGTTTTAAAAAATCCATTGTCCTGTTGACAATGATGAACTGTTTGTAGGCTGTTCCATTATGAATAAAATGGCTATAAACATTCTTCTACAAGTTATTTTGTGGAAATGTGTTTTCATTTCTCTTGAGTGTAAAATGGCTATAAACATTCTTCTACAAATGATTTTGTGGATATGCGTTTTCATTTCTCTTGAGTGAATACTTAGGAGTTGAATTACTATGTCAAAAATTAATGTATGTTTGGTTTGATAAGAAATTGCCAGAGTTTTTCCAATGTGGTTGTACCATATTATACTCCCTTCAGCAATGTAGGAGAGTTAGAACTGGTCTACATTCTCCCCAAAGCTTAGTGATGTCATTGTTTTTCATTTTAGCCATTCTGGTGACATATGTGGGTATCTTCTTCTAACTTTAATTTTTGTGTGGACCAAATGACATTGAGCAGTTTTTTGTGTACTTTATTGGCTATTTGTATCTCTTCCTTTGTCAGATATCTGTAAAAATATTTTGCTCACTTTTAATTAATTTTGTCTTTTAACTGTTTGGTTATAATAAGTTTTTATATGTATACTGAGGATAGAAGTCGTTTGTCAGATATATGTTTGCAAATACTTCTTGCTAGTTTTTCCATTCTTTTTTTGTCTTTCAATGACAAATTTTTAATTTTGTGAAGTCCAATTTATGACTTTTTTCTGTTATGATTACTGCTTTCTAATTCTGTCTAGGAAACTTTTGCTTAGCCTCATTACAAAGGTTTGTTTGTAATGTTTATGTCTGTATGTTTATTTTGCTAAAAGTATTACATAGTGTTTGAAGTTAATGATTCCCATAAAGCTATCCAGTTGTTCTCGAACTGTTATTGAAAAAACTTTCTATTTCCATTGGATTCCTTTGGCATCTTTTTCAAAACTTGATTTACCATCAATGTGTGCTTATATTTCTGGACTTTATTCTATTGTGCTGATCTGTTTATCAATACCTATGCCAGTACCATATTATCTTGATTACTATAGCTTTACAGTAAATATTAGGGTTAGATAATGTAAGTCTTCCAAATTTGTTCTTTTTTTTCTTTCAAAATTGCTTTAGCTATTCTAGGTCCTTTGTATTTCCATACAAATTTTAGAATCAAATTTTACAAAATCCCCTGCTGGGATTCTGTTTGGGATTGCATTGTATCTATAGATCAATTTGGGGTGGATTGTTGTCTTAAAAATATTAGGTCTTCAAATTGATGAACTTTATCAAATGAACCCCATGTATTTAGGTCCTTTTTATTTAACATTTCATCAATATATTATAGTTTTCAATGTGAATGTCGTTTATATCTTTGTGTCAAATTTATTTCAAAATATTTTATGTTTTTAATGCCATTATAAGTAAAATTATTTCTCTGAGTTTTAAATTTTTCTCTGTCAATATATGAAAATACAATTGAGTTTTAAATTTTAATCCTGTATCCTGTGAACTTATTTATTATTTTCAGTATCTTTATTGTATTTTCCTTACAATTTTCTGTTAAAAATTATGTCATCTATATATAGACATAGTTTTATTCATTTCTTTTATAACTTTAGTCTTCTAAATATTTTTAATCCCTTACTGCAATTAGCAAGGACCTTCAGTAGAATATTCAAAATAAATGG
The DNA here is from genome assembly GCF_000001405.40 of Homo sapiens. Taxonomy (NCBI): domain Eukaryota; kingdom Metazoa; phylum Chordata; class Mammalia; order Primates; family Hominidae; genus Homo; species Homo sapiens. The sequence goes on from NC_000003.12 coordinate 146,286,768, forward strand.
TAGAAGTGGGTATCCTTGGCTTTTTTCAGATCTCAGAGGAACAGTTCTCAGTGTTTCTGCATTAAGCAGATTTTTCATAGACGCCCTTTGTCAGGTTGAGAAAGTTTCTTACTATTCCTAGTTTGCTGAGAATTGTTATCATGAATAAATTTTTATAAGTTATTTTCATAATTTTTTAAGTGATTGCATTGTTTCTGTCTTTTATTTTGTTAATATGGTGACTTACATTGGTTGGCTTGTGAATGTTAAACCAGCCATGCATTCTTAGAATAAGTCCTTTAATTGAGATGTATTCTTATATATATAGTAAAATTGCTAGTATTGTGTTAAAGTCTTTTTTGTTCCTTTGTTTATATAATTTTCCTTTTTTAGTAATATCTTTGTTAGGTTTTGAAATTAAAGTTATACCGGCATCGTAAAACCAATTATAAAGTGCATCTTCCTTTTATATTTTGTCAAAGAGTTTTTGTAATATCGGTACTATTTATTTATTTCATTTGCTAGTTAATAAACTTGGCCTGGAGATTTCCATATGGATAGGATTTTGACAGCAAACTGAATAGTGTGTCAGATACAGGACCATTTAGTTTTCTGTTTTACCTTGCATCAATTTTTGGCAAGTTGCATATTGTGCTTTCAGTAAATTTATTTATTTTATCTTATTTATTCAATTCCTAATAACTATAATTTATTTTTTCTCCATTTTTCTTCTTGGTAAGTCTAGCTAGGCTTATTAATTTTATGGATGTTTTGTATAGAGGTTTATATTTCATTGAGTTCTTTGCTTATATTTATTTTCTTTCTTATATATACATTTGGTTTATTCTGATTTTTTAATGATTTATTAGATGCAACGCTAATGATTCATTTTAGAACATTATTCTTCTTTGGTTTAAGGAAGAAATTTTCCTTTAAGAACTACTCCAGATGCAGCCACAAATTGTGATATGTTGTGCACTTTCATTATTATTCTTTGCAAATTCTCTTTTGATATCTTATTTTGTCCATAGATTATTTATTAAATGTGTTGTTTAATTTCCAAATATTTAAAAATATTTTATTATCACTAATTTATAACTTAATTCCATAGTAATTACACAGCATACTCTGTATGATTCAAATTCTTTATTTTTTTTTATACTTTACGTTTTAGGGTACATGTGTACAATGTGCAGGTTACATATGTACATAGGTATACATGTGCCATGTTGGTGTGCTGCACCCGTTAACTCGTCATTTACATTAGGTATATCTCTTAATGCTATCCCTCCTCCATCCCCCCACCCCAACTCACGACAGGCCCCGGTGTGTGATGTTCCCCACGCTGTGTCCAAGTGTTCTAATTGTTCAGTTCCCACCAGTGAGTGAGAACATGTGTTTGGTTTTCCGTCCTTGCAATAGTTTGCCCAGAATGATGGTTTCTAGCTTCATCCATGCCCCTACAAAGGACAGGAACTCATCATTTTTTATGGCTGCATAGTATTCCATGGTGTATATGTGCCACATTTTCTTAATCCAGTCTATCGTTGATGGACATTTGGGTTGGTTCCAAGTCTTTGCTATTGTGAAGAGTGCTGCAATAAACATACGTGTGCATGTGTCTTTATAGCAGCATGATTTTTTATAATCCTTTGGGTATATACCCAGTAATGGAATGGCTGGGTCAAATGGTATTTCTAGTTCTAGATCCTTGAGGAATCGCCACACTGTCTTCCACAATGGTTGAACTAGTTTACAGTCCCACCAACAGTGTAAAAGCATTCCTATTTCTCTACATCCTCTCCAGCACCTATTGTTTCCTGACTTTTTAATGATCGCCTTCCTAACTGGTGTGAGATGGTATCTCATTGTGGTTTTGATTTGCATTTCTCTGATGGCCAGTGATTATGGGCATTTTTTTCATATGTCTGTTGGCTGCATAAATGTCTTCTTTTGAGAAGTGTCTGTTCATAGCCTTTGCCCATTTTTTGATGGGGTTGTTGGATTTTTTCTTGTAAATTTGTTTGAGTTCTTTGTAGAGTCTGGATATTAGCCCTGTGTCAGATGAGTAGATTGTAAAAATTTTCTCCCATTCTGTAGGTTGCCTGTTCACTTTGATGGTAGTTTCTTTTGTTGTGCAGAAGCTCTTTAGTTTAATTAGATCCCATTTGTCAATTTTGGCTTTGGTTGCCATTGCTTTTGGTGTTTTGGTCATGAAGTCCTTGCCCATACCTATGTCCTGAATGGTATTGCCTAGGTTTTCTTCTAGGGTTTTTATGGTTTTAGGTCTAACATTTATGTCTTTAATGCATCTTTAATTTTTGTGTAAGGTGTAAGGAAGGGATCCTGTTTCAGCTTTCTACATATGGCTAGCCAGTTTTCCCAGCACCATTTATTAAATAGGGAATCCTTTCCCCATTGCTTGTTTTTGTCAGGTTTGTCAAAGAGCAGATGGTTGTAGATGTGTGGTATTATTTCCGAGGGCTCCATTCTGATCCATTGGTCTATATGTCTGTTTTGGTACCAGTACCATGCTGTTTTGGTTACTGTAGCCTTGTAGTATAGTTTGAAGACAGGTAGCGTGATGCCTCCAGCTTTGTTCTTTTGGCTTAGGATTGTCTTGGCAATGCAGGCTCTTTTTTGGTTCCATATGAACTTTAAAGTAGTTTTTTCCAATTCTGTGAAGAAAGTCATTGGTAGCTTGATGGGGATGGCATTGAATCTATAAATTACCTTGGGCAGTATGGCCATTTTCATGATATTGATTCTTCCTATCCACGAGCATTGAATGTTCTTCCATTTGTTTGTGTCCTCTTTTATTTGGTTGAGCAGTCGTTTGTAGTTCTCCTTGAAGAGGTCCTTCACATCCCTTGTGAGTTGAATTTCTAGGTATTTTATTCTCTTTGAAGCAATTGTGAATGGGAGTTCACCCATGATTTGGCTCTCTGTTTGTCTGTTATTGGTGTATAAGAATGCTTGTGATTTTTGCACATTGATTTTGTATCCTGAGACTTTGCTGAAGTTGCTTATCAGCTTAAGGAGATTTTGGGCTGAGATGATGGAGTTTTCTAAATAAACAATCATGTCATCTGCAAACACGGACAATTTGACTTCCTCTTTTCCTAATTTAATAGTCTTTATTTCTTTCTCTTGCTGGATTGCCCTGGCCAGAACTTCCAACACTATGTTGAATAGGAGTGGTGAGAGAGAACATCCCTGTCTTGTGCCAGTTTTCAAAGGGAATGCTTCTAGTTTTTGCCCATTCAGTATGATATTGGCTGTGGGTTTGCCATAAATAGCTCTTATTATTTTGAGATATGTCCCATCAATATCTAGTTTATTGAGAGTTTTTAGCATGAAGGGCTGTTGAATTTTGTCGAAGGCCTTTTCTGCATCTATTGAGATAATCATGTGGTTTTTGTCTTTGTTTTGTTTATATGATGGATTATGTTTATTGATTTGCATATGTTGAACCAGCCTTGCATCCCAGGGATGAAGCTGACTTGATCATGGTGGATAAGCTTTTTGATGTGCTGCTGGATTCTGTTTGCCAGTATTTTATTGAGGATTTTTGCATCGATGTTCATCAGGGATATTGGTCTAAAATTCTCTTTTTTTGTTGTGTCTCTGCCAGGCTTTGGTATCAGGATGATGTTGGCCTCATAAAATGAGTTAGAGAGGATTCCCTCTTTCTCTACTGATTGGAATAGTTTCAGAAGGAATGGTACCAGCTCCTCTTTGTACCAGTGGTAGACTTTGGCTGTGAATCCATCTGGTCCTGGACTTTTTTTGGTTGGTAGGCTATTACTTATTGCCTCAATTTCATAACCTATTATCGTTCTATTCAGGGATTCAACTTCTTCCTGGTTTAGTCTTAGGAGGGTGTATGTGTCCAGGAATTAATCTATTTCTTCTAGATTTTCTAGTTTATTTGCGCAGAGGTGTTTACAGTATTCTCTGATGGTAGTTTTTATTTCTGTGGGATCAGTCATGATATCTCCTTTATCATTTTTTATTGTGTCTGTTTGATTCTTCTCTCTTTTCTTCTTCATTAGTCTTGCTAACAGTGTATCAATTTTGTTGATCTTTTCAAAAAATCAGCTCCTGGATTCATTGATTTTTTGAAGGGTTTTTTTGTGTCTCTATCTCCCTCAGTTCTGCTCTGATCTTATTATTTCTTGCCTTCTGCTAGCTTTTGAATGTGTTTGCTCTTGCTTCTCTAGTTCTTTTAATTGTGATGTTAGGGTGTCAATTTTAGATCTTTCCTGCTTTCTCTTGTGGGCATTTAGTGCTATAAATTTCCCTCTACACACTGCTTTGAATGTGTCCCAGAGATTCTGGTATGCTGTGTCTTTGATCTCATTGGTTTGAAAGAACATCTTTATTTCTGCTTTCATTTCGTTATGTAGCCAGTAGTCATTCAGGAGCAGGTTGTTCAGTTTCCATGTAGTTGAGCAGTTTTGAGTGTTTCTTAATCCTGAGTTCTAGTTTGATCGCACTGTGGTCTGAGAGACAGTTTGTTATAATTTCTGTCCTTTTACACTTGCTGAGGAGTGCTTTACTTCCAACTATGTGGTCAATTTTGGAATAAGTGCGGTGTGGTGCTGAGAAGAATGTGTATTCTGTTGATTTGGGGTGGAGAGTTCTGTAGATGTCTATTAGGTCTGCTTGGTGCAGAGCTGAGTTCAATTCCTGGGTATCCTTGTTAACTTTCTGTCTCGTTGATCTGTCTAATGTTGACAGTTGGGTGTTAAAGTCTCCCATTATTATTGTGTGGGAGCCTAAGTCTCTTTGTAGGTCTCCAAGGACTTGCTCTATGCATCTGGGTGCTCCTGTATTGGGTTCATATATATTTAGGATAGTTAGCTCTTCTTGTTGAATTGATCCCTTTACCATTAATAATGGCCTTCTTTGTCTCTCTTGATCTTTGTTTGTTTAAAGTCTGTTTTATCAGAGAGTAGGATTCCAACCCCTGCTTTGTTTTGCTTTCCATTTGCTTGGTAGACCTTCCTCCATCTCTTTATTTTGAGCTTATGTGTGTCCCTGCACATGAGATGGGTTTCCTGAATACAGCACACTGATGGGTCTTGACTCTCTATCAAATTTGCCAGTGTGTGTCTTTTAATTGGAGCATTTAGCCAATTTACATTTAGGGTTAATATTGTTATGTGTGAATTTGATCCTGTCATTATGATGTTAGCTGGTTATTTTGCTCGTTAGTTGATGCAGTTTCTTCCTAGCATTGATGGTCTTTACAATTTGGCATGTTTTTGCAGTGGCAGCTACCAGTTGTTCCTTTCCATGTTTAGTGCTTCCTTCAGGAGCTCTTGTAAGGCAGGCCTGGTGGTGACAAAATCTCTCAGCATTTGTTTGTCTGTAAAGGATTTTATTTCTCCTTCACTTATGAAGCTTAATTTGGCTGGATATGAACTACTGGGTTGAAAATTCTTTTCTTTAAGAATGTTGAATATTGGCCCCCACTCTCTTCTGGCTTGTAGAATTTCTGCCGAGAGATCTGCTGTTAGTCTGATGGGCTTCCCTTTGTGGGTAACCTGACCTTTCTCTCTGGCTGCCCTTAACTTTTGTTCATTCATTTCAACTTTGGTGAATCTGACAACTATGTGTATTGGAGTTGCTCTTCTCGAGGAGTATCTTTGTGGAATTCTCTGTATTTCCTGAATTTGAATGCTGGCCTGCCTTGCTAGGTTGGGGAAGTTCTCCTGGATAATATCCTGCAGAGTGTTTTTCAACTTGGTTCCATTCTCCCCATCACTTTCAGGTACACCAATTAGATGTAGATTTGGTCTTTTCACATAGTCCCATATTTCTTGGAGGCATTGTTCATTTCTTTTTACTCTTTTTTTCTCTAAACTTCTCTTCTTGCTTCATTTCATTCATTTGATCTTCAATCACTGATACCTTTTCTTCCACTTGATGAAATTGGCTACCGAAGCTTGTGCATGAGTCACATAGTTCTTGTGCCATGGTTTTCAGCCCATCCGGTCATTTAAGGACTTCTCTATGCTGTTTATTCTAGTTAGCCATTCGTCTAATCTTTTTTCAAGGATTTAGCTTCTTTCCGATGGGTTCGAACATACTCCTTTAGCTCGGAGATGTTTGTTATTACCGATCATCTGAAGCCTTCTTCTCCCAACTTGTCAAAGTCATTCTCCATCCAGCTTTGTTCCATTGCTGGCGAGGAGCTGCGTTCCTTTGGAGGTGAAGAGGTGTTCTGATTTTTAGAATTTTCAGCTTTTCTGCTCTGCTTTCTCCCCATCTTTGTGGTTGTATCTACCTTTGGTCTTTGATAATGGTGACGTACAGATGGGGTTTTGGTGTAGATGTCCTTTCTGTTTGTTAGTTTTCCTTCTAACAGTCAGGACCCTCAGCTGCAGGTCTGTCAGAGTTTGCTGGAGGTCCACTCCAGAGGCTGTTTGCCTAGGTATCACCAGCAGAGGCTGCAGAACAGCAAATATTGCAAAATGGCAGATGTTGCTGCCTGATCCTTCCTCTGGAAGTTTCTTCTCAGAGGGGCACCCGGCTGTATGAGGTGTCAGTCAGTCCCTACTGGGAGGTGTCTCCCAGTTAGGCTATTCGGGGGTCAGGGACCCATTTGAGGAGGCAGTCTGTCCGTTCTCAGATCTCAAACTCTGTGCTAGGAGAACCACTACTCTCTTCCAAGCTGTCAGAAAGGGATGTTTAAGTTTGCAGAATTTTCTGCTGCATTTTGTTCAGCTATGCCCTGACCCCAGAGGTGGCATCTACAGAGGCAGGCAGGCCTCCTTGAGCTGCGCTGGGTTCCACCCAGTTGGAGCTTCCTGGCTGCTTTGTTTACCTACTCAAGTCTCAGCAATGGCTGCCGCCCCTCCCCCAGCCTCGCTGCCGCCCCTCCCCCAGCCTCGCTGCCGCCTTGCAGTTCCATCTCAGACTGCTGTGCTAGCAGTGAGTGAGGCTCTGTGGGCATGGGACCCTCTGAACCATGTGTGGGATATAATATCCTGGTGTGCCATTTTCTAAGGCTGTTGGAAAAATGCAGTATTAGGGTGGGAGTGTCCCAATTTTCCAGGTACCATCTGTCATGGCTTCCCTTTACTAGGAAAGGCAATTCCCTGACCCCTTGCACTTTCTGGATGAGGTCATGCTGCACCCTGCTCTGTGGGCTGCACCCACTGTCTGACAAGTCCTGGTGAGATGAACCCAGTACCTCAGTTGGAAATGCAGAAATCACCCGTCTTCTGTGTTGCTCACGCTGGGAGCTGCAGACTGGAGCTGTCCCTATTCGGCCATCTTGGAACCTCCCTCTTGATTCAAATTCTTTTAAATTTATGAAAACTTGTTTTAATGCCTAGTATGTGGTTTATCTTAGTGAACATACTGTTTGTAACTGAAAATAACATGTATTCTATAGTTCTTGGGTGTGGTGTTCTATAAATATCTATTAGCTTAGGTTCATTAATAACATTCAGATCTTCTAAGAGCTTAGAGGAAATGTTTTCAGTTTTCCCCCATTCAGTATGATACTAGCTGTGGGTCTGTCATACAGGTTTTTTTTTTTTTTTTTTTTATGTTGAGGCATGTCACTTCTATACCTAGTTTTTTGAGGGTTTTTATGATGAAGGGATGTTGAATTTTATCAAGTGCTTTTCAGCATCTACTTAAATTATCATATGGCTTTTGTCCTTCATTCTACTGATATGATGTATCATGTTGATTGATTTGTTTTTGTTGAACCATTCTTGCATCACTGGGATAAATCCCCCTTGGTCATGATGAACGATCTTTATAATGTATTGTTCAATGTGGTTTGCTAGTATTTTATTGAGAACTTTTGCATTAATATTCATCAGATATATTAGCCTATAGTTTTCTTTTTTTGGTATGTCTGTCTGGTTTTAATATTAAGGTAACAATGGCCTTGTAAATGAATTTGGAAGTATTTTTTTATCCTCTTTTTTAAAAAATAGTTTGGGTAGGATTGGTATTAGTTCTTCTTTAAATGTTTGGTAGAATTCAGCAGTGAATCAGTTGGGTCTCAGGCTTTTCTTTATTGAGAGACTTTTTAATTTAATGGCTTTAATCTCATTAATTGTTATTGGTTTGTTCAGGTTTTGGATTTCTTCATGGTTCAGTCTTGGTGTGTTGCATGTGTCTAGAAATGTATCCATATCTTGCACATTTTCCAATTTATTGGCATATAGTCGCTCTTAATAGCCACCAATTATCCTTTGTATTTCTGCAGTATCAAATGTAATGTCTCCCTTTTCATCTCTTATTTTATTTATTTTGGTCTTCTCCCTTATTTTCTTCATTAGTCTTATAAAAGGTTTGTGAATTTTGTTGATATTTTCAAAAAAACAAATTTTTTGTTTCACTGATATTTTGTATTGTTTATTCATTTCAAATTCATTTATTTCTGCTCTAATCTTTATTATTTATTTTCTTCTACTAACTTTATGATCAGTTTGCTCTTGCTTTTCTAGTTCTTTAACATGTATCATTATTTATCAAGTTTTTCTTCTTTTTTATGTCATCACTTATAGCTATAAATTTCCCTTTTGGTACTACTTTTGCTGTATCCCATAGGTTTGGAATAGTATGTTTCCATTATTATTTGTTTGAAGAAATTTTTCAGTTTTCTTTTTAATTTATTCATTGACCCACTGGTCATTCAGGAGCATATTTATTCTTCCTGTGTTTGTATAGTTTCCAGTATTCTTCGATTTCTAGTTTTATTGCATTGTGTTCAGAGAAGATGCTTGATATTATTTCAATTTTTTGAATGTTTTAAGATCTGTTTTGTGATGTAACATGTAGTCTATCCTTGAGAATAATCCATATGCTGAGGAGAAGAATCTGTATTCTGCAGCCTTTGGAAGAAATGTTATGTAAATATTTATTGAGTCCATTTGTTCTACAGTACTGCTTACATAATTTTTAGTGGGTTTTTTTTTTCTGGATTATAGTATAAATCCTTAATGTTTTACAGCATATTAGAGGTAGTATTATACCAATTATTATAAAAGTAGAAAGACTGAAATATATGGGTCCATTTACTCTATGCACAATCATTGTGTTACAGTTTTTATGTATAGCACATCTTTACATGTTATAAACCCTGTTGTTTATAATTGTACTATAATTTTTGCTTTAAAAATTAAAAGGAATTAAGATTAAAAAAAGTCTTTATTTCTTCATAGGCATAGAAGTTTGCAGTTGGTCTAATTTTGCTTCAGCCTGAAAAGCTTTCTTTAGCATTACTTGTAGTCCAGGTACGGTGGTGGCAAATTCTTTATTTTAATTTACCTCAAATTATCTTTATATTACCTTCAATGTTTAAGCATATTTTCACTTGATAAGGAAGTCTAGATGCACAGTTGTTCTTTGTTTGGGTATTGAATTTTGACCACAATCTCTGTATTCTGGGTACTTTTTACATGCAATTGGCAATTATTTTCTCCTAATCTGTGGCTTATCTTTTCATTCACATCAGAGGACCTTTTGCAGAGTAAAAAAAAGTTTTAAATTTTGTTGCGGTCAAATTATTTTTTCCTTTTATGTATTGTGGTTTTGTTATCAAGTTTATAAAGTCTTTGCTTAATCCTAGATCATGAAGATTTTCTCCTATTTTTTTCTTAAATTGTTATAATTTTATGTTTTACATTTATATATCTGACATGTTTGCATATAACTTTTTTGTGTAAAGTGTGAGGTTAAGCCATGTAAAATTTTGCCTTGGATGTCTAATTACTTCCACACCATTTGTTGAAAAGTCAATTTTTCCTTCATCGAATTGCTTTTGTACCTTTGTCAAAAATCAGTTGAACAAGTTTGTGCAGGTCTATTTTTCTACCCTTTCCCATTGACCTCTATGTCTATGCCTCTATCAATATCACACAGTGCTCATTATTGTAACTCTTAGATGTTACTATTCGGTATACTGAGATCTCTCTTAACTTTTTTTTCATTTTTAAAAATTATTCTAGGGCCTGTGCCCCTAGAATAAATTTTATGATAATTTTATGATAAGTAAATTTTCTGATAAGCTCTAGGTCTACAGAAAACAATTTTGAGGATTTTACAGGAATTACATTAAACTTAGAAATCAATTTGGGAAGAATTATTGTTATATTTCTATCTTCCTTCATTCCTTTATTCCTTCATTCCTTTAACCAGAATTTTATAATTTTCAGCGTACAGATTCTGTACATGTTTAAGTGAATGAGAGAAACAATTCTACCTAAAATTAAGACTTTTTAATGAATACCTAAGTATTTAATTTTCTTTGGAGTGATTATAAATGTTACGGCACTTTAAAATTTGTTTTCTACCTGCTCATTGTTAGTAGAAATGCTATTGATTTTCATGCCTTGATATGTGTCATGTGGCCTGGCTAACCTCATTTACTAGTTTTAGAAGTTTTGTTTATTTGGTTTGTAGATTTCTTGGGATTTTCCATGTAAACACATGTCAGTGTTTTGAATCTGTGGGCTTATATATTTTGCCAGATTTGGAAAGTTTTAAACATCATTATTTTTTAATGCTCTTTCAACCTACCTCTCTAATGTCATAAATGTTGGATGGTTTATTATTCTACAGGTCCTTGAGACTCTATTCATATGTTTTTTTCAGTCTATTTTCTCTCCGTTATTCAGATTGGAATAACTGCTTCCTATCTGTAAATCAGTATTCAGATTGGAACTTAACGATTCTATTCTCTGCCATCTCCATTCTACTACTGAGCCAATCTAGCAAGCTTTAAAAATTTATCTTACGTTATTTTTCAGATCTATCATTTCGATTTGTTTCCTTTAACTAAATTCTATTTCTGTTTTGCTATTTTTCATCTGTTTCAGGACAATTTGTAACTGCTTGTTGAATCATTTTTCTGTTGGTTGCTTTAAAATCACTTAACATGTAATTAAAAGTGTTACATGGATGTTAAACCTCCTGCATATTTGTATTTACATAATTTTTATTTATGTAAACGTAAATCTTACCTTTGTAATTACATAGCAAATTACATATTATTAATTTTACACATCTTTTAAATAATCACTTTATATATGGACATGCATACACAGAATAAATTTACTGTTTAAATTTCCAAAATTATTTCCCCAACAAACAGTAGATTTCATTTACTAAGACAATGGTTTTCAAGAGTGGTCCTCAGAGCAGCAGCATTAATATTATATTTGAAATACTTAGAAATACAATATTTTTGGCTCTACCCTAAGCATATTGCATGGGAAACTCTGAGGATGGGCCCAGCAATTTGTAGTTGAACAATGCTCCAGGTGATTCTGATGTACAATTAAGTTTGACAATCACTGCTGTGGGAGATCCTTAGCTTAAGGGTTAGCTGTAATGAATATGTTTCTTCTATTTCTGTTAATTCAAAATTGAAATAGAATTATGTTTTAAGTATTTTTTAAAAGGCAATGCAATTGAATAGCTTCTGAAAAATTGAATAATACAGGTCTGATATAAACCTGAAATATCAAGTTAACAATAGACTTTCATTTTAAAAAGAAAAAGTAATATAATAATAATACATTTGTAATGCTTGCTCTCTATATGCCAGGTGTAATTATAAGCACTTTACACATAATAAATATTTAATTCTCACAATTTATATAGGTAAGTAGTTTTTCCATTTTACAGATGGAAAAACTGGGTATAGGGAGGTTAAACAACTTGCCCAAAACATGGACCTGGTAAGAGAAAGGTGACGTACAGAGCTAATAATTGGCAGAGCTGGAATGTAACTCTAATTGAGTGTTTTCATATTCCCCACTTTGATCACGATGAAATACTTCTGCTTATAATAAATTGTTTTAAGTTCTTAATTTGTATTAATAAGATGTTTGCCTCTAAAAAGTAGTGCATAGGGAAGACAACACTATTTGTATATGGTTGCAAATGGAGACTTTTGTGTCTAATCACGCCAAACTACAATTTAGGATTTGGCCAGCAAAGTAGTTTGTTTGTCTGATTGTTTTTGAGAGACATTAGACTGGGCATCACTGTCAGTTCCTCTGCCTTCCCCCGTCACTTCCTGATATCTTACACTGCCCTGTGCATTTTTCTTACTTTCAAAGTCTCAGGTGGCAGATAAGTCATGAGCCTGAGTTAACTGGTTCAGTTCACTAATTAATATGAGTCCTAAAACAAAGCTCTCAAAGATATACAAGCACACAGATGGGAGATTTAGCATGGGGGTTACTTTATTCCAATTTGGCTCCTACCCACATGAGGAGTTTCTCTGTGGGAGCTTGACATTATTTTCTCAAGAAAGCAGAGGGTGATATTGTATACATAATAGTGAATTAAAAAACAAGCAGGAAATCAGCCAGAGCTGCTTGAGACATGAGATCTTCGGGGTATATACTTACTATTGAGCCTCAAATTGGAAATTGACCCAATGAACACAATTTATCCAAATCAGAATCAAGTTATTTTTTTCTCTTTAATGATCTGCATTAACTAAGACCTTCTGTTCCCCTTCCACCTAACCTATAGGTGACTGAAACTCCTGGTAAACAGAAAGGACAAGGAAAGCAATCTAATTAAAGGCTGCTATGGCTGCTCTAATCACAGTTACCAGGAAATAAACTTCCATCTTTTCCCAGGTCTCCTTTTTCCCACTTGGTGGAAAATGAACAGGCTAGAATGAACATGCATGACATGATTTATTAACTACACTGGTTCCGACTTGAGTCAGCAGCAGGAGAAACAAGAAGTTTACAAACTCTTTTGAGTATGCAGGTCAAAAAACTTTACGTATCGCAAATTCCTTCTTTGCTCTTTCTCCCTTAATCCATGGAACAAACTCCTCCCAAGGAGAAACAATTAGTTCATATTTGGCTACACTTCTAAATACTCTTGGCCTCAGTTCTCAAAGATTTTCCATAATAACACCAGCAGGGTGTGGTTGATGCCTCAATTGCAGGGTCTGTAGGAGCAGGGCTTGCATAGATTTAGCTGTAACTGAGACCTTACTCCAGATTGGCCATACTCTCACTACATTATTAACCTTGAACTGATATGAAATCTAGGACACACACTTCTTGGATTCTGCCCCTGCCTCAGGCCATTTGTACTGCTATAATAAAATACCTGAGACAAGGTAATTTATAATAATCAGAAATTTGTTTCTTCCATTTCTAAAGGCTGGGAGAATCAAGTCCTTTCAGAATGGCATTAATCCATTCATAAGGGTGGAGCCTTCATTACCTAAACACATTCTATATTCTTGTGAATAATTCATTTAATATTTTTTACTCCTGAGGAAAATGAATAACTCTTATACAATAGAGATCTCACCCGCATACCAATACTGTTTGTAAAATATTAATGTTTTAGACTCCGTTTATATGGGACATAACTTTAAAACAAAACATGTTCCATGAATCAGACATTTGTTAGACCTACTTAAATTAAAGATACTTCATCAATTCCTCCAATTTTTTCCCAACCTTTTTCTACTAAAAGCTTGAATATTCAATGATATAGAAATATGCCCCAGGAGAGGCAGAACAACATGGCAAAATAGAAAACTCCACAGATCATCCATGGCTGCAAGGACACCAAGTTAACAACATCTTCATAAGAACCAAAAGTCAGGTGAGCATTCACAGTATCTGGTTTTAACTTCATATAGCTGAAAGAGGCACTGAAGAGATAGGAAAAAAGCCCCAAATCTCCAGTGCTACCCTCTTCCCCTACCCATGGCAGCAGTGGTGTGGTGCAGAGAGCATCTCTGTGCTCCAGGTGAGGGAGAACATGGCAATGTGAGGCATTGAACTCAGTGTTGTCTTGTTAGAGCAGAAAGGAAAACCAGACTAAACTCAGCTGATGCTGGCCCATGGAGGGAGCATTTAAACCAGCCCTAGTCAGATGGGAATTACCAGTCACAATGGTCTGAACTTGAGTGCTCACAGACCTCACCACCAAGGACTATAGCACTCTGTGCCTCCAAGTAAACTTGAAAGGTAGTCTAGGCCATAAGGACTGCAACTCTTAGGTGAGTCCCAGTGCTGAACTAGGCCCAGAGAGACTGCACTGAGGGGACATGTGACTAACCAGCTTGGGCAGCCAAGGGAGTGCTGGCATCACCCCTCCCCTAACCCCAGGCTGCACAGCTCATGGCTCCAAAACAGACCCCTTCCTTCTGCTTGAGGAGAACAGAGGAGAGAGTGGGGAGGGCTTTGTCTTGCATCTAGGATACCAGCCCAGCCACAGCAGGATAGGGTACCAGTCAGAGTCATGAGCCCGGATTCCAGGCCCTAGCTCCTAGACAACATTTGTAGACACACTCTGGCCAGAAGGGAACCCACTGCAATGAAGGAAAGGACCCAGTCCTGGCAGCATTAATCACCTACTAACTGAAGGGTCCTTGGATGCTGAATAACCTGTAGCTATGCCCAGGTATTACATCGAGGGCCTTGGGTGAGCCTCTGAGACTTGCTGGCTTCAGGTGAGACTCACACATTACTAGCTGTGGTGGCTATGAGGAAAAACTCCTTCTGCTTGAGAAAAGCAGAAAAAAAAAGTAAAGGTTTTTTGGGTTTTTTTTTCCACCTTAGGTGCCAGCACAGCCACAGAGGGGTAGAGTGCCAAGTGGGCACTTGGGGTCCCCAATTCCAGGACTTGACCCTTGGATGGCATTTCTGGCCAGCCATGGGCCAGAGAGGAGTCCACTGTCCTGAAGGGTGAGTCCCAGGCCAGGCAGCATTTAAGACAAGCTGACTTAAGAGTCTTTGGGGCTTAAAAGAACATTAGTGGTAGGCTGGCAGTAGTCCTGGGCCTGGGGTAGCACAGTGGCTATGGGGTAAGTCTCCTCTGCCTTTGGAAAAGGAAGGGAAGTGTGTGAAGGACTGCGTCTTGTGGTTTGAGTGCCAGCTTGGCTGCAATACAATAGAACACCAGGTAGACTTACATATATGGATTTTGACTATAGTCCCTGACTCCTGGCCAGCACTTCTGAATCTAACCAGAGCCTGGGGGACCTCACAGCCCTGAAGGGAAGAACACAGGCCTGACTGACATTCCCACCTGTGGATTGTGGAGCCCTAGTCAGAGAGTAGTTTAGCAGACCTTGGGTGAGGCCCAGCACTGTGCTGGCATCAAGTCTGACCCAGCACAGTCATAGTAGTGGTGGTCACAGGGGTGCTTGTGTCACTCCATCCCCAGCCTTAGGTGGCTCAGAACAGAGGTAGAGACTCTATATGTTTGGGAGAAAGTAATAGAAGAGAACAAGAGTCTCTACCTGATTTTCCAGGGAATTCTTCTGGATCTCTTAGACCATCAGGGTGGTACTTCCACAAGTCAGCAAGAACCACAAATTTACTGGGCTTGTGGTGCTCCCTAAAGATAAAGCTTACATCATAACACCCAAGTTCTTTTAAATATCTGGAAAGCCTTCCCAAGAAAGATGGCTACAAATAAGCCCATATAGAGCAGGCTACAGTAAATACCTAACATCAATGCTCAGACACCGAAGAACATCTACTAGCATCAGCATCACCCAGGAAAGCATTGACCTCACCAAATGAACTCAATAAGCTGCCAGGGACCAATTTTGGACGAACAGAGATATGACACCTTTTAGACAGAGATTTCAAAATAGCTGTGTTGAGGAAACTCAAAGAAATTCAATATTACATAGAGAAGGAATTCAGAATTCCATCACATAAATTTAACAAAGAGATTGAAACAATGAAATAGAATCAATCATAAATTCTAGATCTGAAAAATACAACTGGCATACTGAAAAATGCTTCAGATTCCTTTATTAGCAGAATGGATCAAGCAGAAAAAATAGTGAGCTTGAAGACAGGCTATCTGAAAACACACAGTCAGAGACAAAAGAAAAAATAATGAAAACCAATGAAGTTTGCCTGCAGCTTCTAAAAAATAGCTTCAAAAGGGCAAATCTAAGAGTTATTGGACTAAAAGAGGAAGTAGAGAAAGAGACAGGGGTGGAAAGTTTCTTTAAAGTGATAATAACAGAGAGCTTCCCAAACATGGAGAAAGATATCAATATCCAAGTACAAGGTTATAGAACACCGAGCAGAATAAACTCGAAGAAGACTACCTCAAGGCATTTAATAATCAAACTCCCAAAGGTAAAGGATAAAGAAAGGGTTCTAAAAACAGCAAGAGTGAAGAAAAAAATAACAAATGATGGTGCTCCAATATGTCTGACAACAGACTTTTCAGTGGGAACCTTACAGGCCAGGAGAGAGTGGCATGACATATTTAAAGTACTAAAATAAAATAACTTTTAACCCAGAATAGTTTATCCAGTGAAAACATCCTTCAAACATGAAGGAGAAATAAAAACTTTCCCAGACAAAAAGCTGAGGGATTTCATCAATGCCAGACCTGTCCTACAAGAAATGCTAAAGGGAATATTTCAAACAGAAAGAAAAGAATATTAATGAGCAATAAATAATCACCTGAAGTTACAAAACTCATTAGTAATAGTAAGTAAACAGAAAAATACAGCATATTATAACACTGTAACTGTGGTATATAAACTACTTTTATCCTAAGTAGAAGGACTAAACCATGAACCAATAGTAATAAAGAGCTACAACCATTTTTCAAGACATAGTCAGTACAGTAAGATATGAATATAAATAATGAAAAGTTAAAAAGTTGGGGGATAAAGTTAAGGCATAGAGTTTTTATTAGTTTTGTTTTTACTTGTTTGTTTATGCAAATAATATTAAGTTGTTATCAGATTAAAATAATGGGTTATAAGATAGTATTTGCAAGTCTCATGGTAACCTAAAGCCAAAAAACATACAATGGATACAGGAAAAAGAAAGAGGAAGAAACTAAATCATGTTACCAGAGAAAATTACCTTCACTAAACGAAGACACGAAGGAAAGACAGAAGGAAGAGAAGACCACACAACAACCAGAAAACAAATAACAAAATGGCAGGAGTACTTCTTATCAATAATAACTGCAATGTAAATGGACTAAACTCTTTAAACAAAAGATACAGACTGGCTAAATGCATGGAAAAAACAAGACCTATTTATCTGTTGCCTACAGGAAAAGCACTTCACCTATAAAGACACACATAGACTGAAAATAAAGGGATGGAAAAAGATATTCCATGTCAATGGAAACCAAAAGAGAGCAGGAGTCACTATACATATATCAGACAAAATAGATTTCAAGACAAAAAATTTAAGAAGATACAAAGAACATCACTATATAATGACAAAGGGGTCAATTCAGCAAGAGGATATAACAATTTTAAATATATATGCACTCAACATGGGAACACCCAGATATATAAAGGAAATATTTTTAGAGCTAAAGAGAAAGATAGGCCCCCCAAAAATAATAGCTGAAGACATTTTACATTTAACATTGAACAGATCTTCCAGACAAAAAATCAACAAAGAAACATCAGATTTGATCTGCACTATAGACCAAATGAATCTAATAGATATTTATGGAACATTTCATCCAAGACCTGTAGAATACACATTATTTTCCTTAGCGCATGGATCATTTTCAAGGATAGACGATATACTAGGTCACAAAGCAAGTCTTAAAACGTTTAAAAACATGAAATAATATCAAGCATCTTCTCTGATCACCATGGAATAAAACTAGAAATTAATAGCAAGAGAAATTTTGGAAACTATACAAATACATGGAAATTTTAAACTATGCTTCTGAATGGCCAGAGAGTCAATAAAAGTCCTAGCTAGAGCATTCAGACAACATAAAGACAGGAAGGGCATCCTAAATGGAAAGGAATATCAAATTATCCTTGTTTGCAGATATGATCTTATTTTAGGAAAAAACCTATAAGACTTCACAGGAAAATTATTAGAACTGATAAACAAACTGAGTAAAGTTGCAGGATACAAAATCAAAGTGCAAAAATCAGTAGCATTTCTATATGGCAACAGGGAACAAGGTGAAAAAGAAATCAAAAAGTAATCCTATATACAATAGCCACATGTAAAATTAAATACCTAGGAGTTAACTTAACCAAAGAAGTAAAAGACCTCCACAATGAAAACTCTAAAACACTGATGAAAGAAACTGAAGAGAAACACGAAAAAATGAGAAAATATTTTATGTTGATGAATTGGAAAAATAAATATTGTTAAAATGTTCATACTACCCCAATCAATCTACAGATTCAATGTAATCTCTATCAAAATACCAATGACATTCTTCACAGAAATATAAAAAAGAAATCCTGAAGTTTACAGAAATGACAAAAGACCCAGAATAGCCAAAGCTATCTTGAGCAAAAAGAAAAAAATTGGAGGAATCACATCACCTGATTTCAAATTATACTACAGAGTTATAGTAACCAAAACAGCACAGTAGAGGCATAAAAACAGATACATAGACTTATGTAACACAATAAAGAACCAAGAAGCAAATCTTCACACCTGCAGTGAATTAATTTTTGACAAAGTTGCCAAGAATATACACTGGGGAAAAGATAGTCCCTTCAATAAATGGTGCTGGGAAAACTGAATATTCATAGCAGAAAAATGAAACTAGACACATATCTCCCACCATATACAAAAGTAAAGTAAAAATGGAGTAAACACTTGAATCTAACACCTCAAACTATGAAACTGCTGCAAGAAAACATTGGGAAAAACTCCAGGACATTTGTATTAGTCTGTTCTCATGCTGCTATAAAGAACTACCCGAGACTGGGTAATTTATAAAGGAAACAGGTTTGATTGACTCACAGTTCTGCATGGCTGGGGATGCCTCAGAAAACTTATAATAATGGCAGAATGGGAAGCAAACACGTAGTTTTTCACATAATGGCAGGAAGGAGAAGTGCTGAGCAAAGGTGGGGGAAAGCCATTTATAACGCCATCAGATCTTGTGAGAACTCAGTCGCTATCATGAGAACAGCATGAGGGTAATCACCTCAATAATTAAATTACCTCCCATTGGGTACCTCCCAAGACATGTGGGGATTATGGGAACTACAATTCAAGATGAGATTTGGGTGG
The DNA here is from genome assembly GCF_000001405.40 of Homo sapiens. NCBI lineage: Eukaryota > Metazoa > Chordata > Mammalia > Primates > Hominidae > Homo > Homo sapiens. The sequence goes on from NC_000003.12 coordinate 146,305,772, forward strand.
GGACATAGTCAAACCATATCATTCAGCCCCTGGACCCTCCCAAACCTCATGTCTTCACATTTCAAAACACAATCATGCCTTTCCAACTGTCCCCCAAAGCCTTAACTCATTCCAGCATTAACTCAAAAGTCCAAGTCCAAAGTCTCATCTGAGACAAAGCAAGTCCCTTTGGCCTATGAGCCTGTAAAATCAAGAGTAAGTTAATTACTTCCTAGATACAATGGTTACAGGCATTGGGTGAATACATCTGTTCCAAATGGGAGAGATTGGTAAAAACAAAAAGGCTACAGCCCTATGCAAGTCTGAAATCCAATAGGGCAGTCATTAAACCTGAAAGTTTCAAAATGATTTCTTTAGACTCCATGTCTCTCATCCAAGTAACACTGATGTAAGAGGTGGACTTTCATGGCCTTGGGCAGCTCTACCCCTGTTGCTTTGCATGGTACAGGCTTCCTCTCAACTGCTTTCATGGGCTGGCATTGACTGTAGCTTTTCCAGGTGCATGGTGCAAGCTATCAGTGGATCTACCATTCTGGGGTCTGGAGGACAGTGGCCCTCTTCTCACAGCTCCAATAGGCAGTGCTCCAGTGGGAACTCTACGTGGGGACTCTGACCCTACCTTTCCCTTGCACACTGCCATAGCAGAGGTTCTCCATGAGGGTCCTACCTCTGTAGCAAACTTCTGCCTGGACATTCAGGCATTTCCACACACCCTCTGAAATCTAGGTCACCCAAATCTCAATTCTTGACTTCTGTGTACCTGCAGGCCCAGCACCACATGTATGCCACCAAAGTCTGGGACTTGCACCTGCTGAAGCAATGGCCTGAGCTGTATATTGGCCCCTTTTATCCACAGCTGGAGCTGAAGCAGCTGGGATGCAGGGAACCATGTGCCTAGGCTGCATAGAGTAGGGGGGCCCTGGGCCCAGCCCAAGAAACAATTTTTTACTCCGAGGCCTCTGGGCCTGTGATGGGAGGGGTTGCCATAAAGGTCTCTTACATGCCCTGGAGACATTTTACCCATCATCTTGGTGGTTAACATTTGGCTCTTTGTTACTTACGCAAATTTCTGCAGCCAGCTTGGATTTCTCCCCAGAAAACGTTTTTTGTCTTTTTTTTTCTATCACATCATCAGGTTTCAAATTTTCCAAACTTTTATACTCTGCTTTCTCTTGAATGCTTTGCCACTTAGAAATTTCTTCCACCAGATACCCTAAATCATCTCTCTCAAGTTCAAAGTTCCAAAAATCTCTAGGGCAGGGGAAAAATGTCGCCAGTCTCTTTGCATAGCAAGAGTGACCTTCACCTCAGTTCCCAACAAGTTTCTCATTTCCATCTGAGACCACCTCAGCCTGGACTTCATTATTCATATCACTATCAGCATTTTGGTCAAAGCCATTCAACACTTCATTTGTATTTGTAATATCTTAACTTTTAAGCTGATATGGGGAACCCGGGTGTTTATAAAAACATGTTGTAAACTTGTGAGATATTAAATGCTAGTATAAAAGCTGCCATGAATACTAGTGTGGAAAGTACACCCCGCACCCCTCCCGCCACCACACACAAATTTTCTTTAGAAAATAAGACATTTTATATCAATCAAATATTTTAGGTTGGCATATTAATTTGCTAGGGCTGCCATAAGAAAATACCACAGACTGGGTGGCTTAAGTGACAGAATTTCTTTTCTTACAGTGATGGGTGAGATTGGGAGCAAAGATCAAGGATTTGGCAGGTTTGGTTTCTTCTGAGGCCTCTCTCCTCATCTCTGCATCCAAATTTTCTCTTCTTATAAGTTCAGCAGTCGGACTGGATTAGAGCCCACTCTACTGGCTTCATTTTAAATTAATCACCTTTTTTAAGGCACTATCTTCAAATGCAGTCACATTCTGAGATACTGGAATTTAGGGCTTCCACATAGGAACCTGGAGCACACAATCAGCCCATTAACAGGGAATCTAGCAAAGGGCAGGAATAAAGTATAACCCTTAAAGAATGCAGCATAAATTATGTTTTATCATCACAAAGGATGAAGGATTTATATATTTCCAAGACTTTCAGAGTAAGTACTCCTGGAATAAACAGAGTAGTAAAATATGTTTATCTTTATCATTAGGTATTTTAAAGGCCAAAGAAGAAACTCCAAGTTAAAAATCTTCTGTTATCTCTATGCAGCATAATATCTGGGAATATTTTTCATAAAAAAATTAAATATCCTCATACAATTAAATACATTGAAAAGAGCATTTCCATAGCTGTTTCAATTAATTGTGGATATTCTTTAATCTCACATCAAAATTCAATGCATGCTAAATTCTTAAAGATTCATTGCAGTGTGGAATCTGCAACTCTTATCAATGAACTTTTGTACTTTGTTTCAATAAAATCCATTGGTCTATCTTGCACTTTGAATCCATCTTTCACTCAAGTGTGATTTTGTAACATTGTGCATTGGATATGGGGAATATATTGGTTCACTGAATTATGTCAACCTTCTAAATATACAGTGAAAAATTCCACTGTATACTTATGAGAATGAAAAAGGCAAATAGCATGCTAATATTATTATGAGTACAGTTCTGACATTGCAGATTCTGCTCTAGATAGTAGTCTAGTGGTTAAGAAAGCAGGATCTGGTGCCAAACTTCAGAGTTTGACTCAGGATTCAAGAGCCAGACTGCTAGCTCTGTCCAACCCCCATCATGAGTACTTTTCTTTCTTTATGCATTGGTGTTTTAATCTCTAAAATGGATATAACAAAAATACCTACATTGTAGACTGTTGATATGTTGAAATAACATAATACATGTAACATACTTAGAACTGTGTTGGCACATAGTAAATGATCAGGAATAATAGCTCTCATTACATTTGCTATTTTTCCCGGGCTTTAAATTCTGCACCCATGTCCTCTATTTTACCTTGTTTCTTCTTGCGGCCTCTGTCCCTCAGGCCATGTGTCGTCCTACATTCTAACTGAAGGAAAGTTCAGGAATAAGGATCATCCCTTATCTAAACTGGAGCACAGGAAACAGTAATGAATGCATTGCAGGAAGTGAGATTGCAAAAATTTGGAAGGCAAAGTATTTGAGTTATTTAATCACAGGAAACCAAAAGTTTTCCTGGAGGAACTCCAAACTTTCTCATGACACTGCTCTGTTTTGGGGCCAGGGAATGGAGATTTTCCAAAGCTTTTCACATGATTGTAATGTACAATGAGGAGCTGGTGACTGACAACACAAACCAATGATTCCCAGTCTATGTTCCATGTAAGGAACACCTCCGGGACTTAAAAAAATGCCATGTCTGAGTTCCATCCAGAGAGATTAAATTAATCTTTGAAAGTCGGGGGGACTTGAACTGCTGTTATATGAAAGTTGCCCTCATTAATTTAAGTGTGTCCTCAGGGTTAGAAAGCCTTAATTATAGTCTAATAACTCACATCCTATAGGGAGCCAGCTATTATAGGCAACATTTAAAGTGTATCTGTCATTTTTTGAATTATAAAATTGATAACATTTATTGAAATAAATTCCAGCAATGCATATGCCTCTGAAATGAAGATGAACTTACTCGATTTTACATTCCAGAAGATCTATTATTAAAATATTGGTCTATGCTTTTCCTATCCCAAGCAAATCTCCAAACAATCTTTTTATTATGAAAAATGTTAAGCATATACCAAAAATCTGGATAATTGTGTACTGAACCCCTTTGTACCACTTATCCATTTTAAACAAATATCAACATATAGACCAATAAATTCTTTTTTTAAAAAAAAAAGCTCTATGGAGATATCACTGACACATAAAAAGTTGTATATATTTAAGTTGTACAACTTGATGCTTTGATATACAGATATAATGTGAAATGAACACCAAAATCCAGTTAATTAATGTGTCTGTCACCTCTACAGTTACCATATGTGCGTGTGTATTTGTGTGTGCCAAGATTTAATTTAAGATCTATTCTTTTAGCAAATTTCAAATATACAATACTGTATTAACTATTGTCATCATGCAGTGCATTAGGTCTCCAGAACTTACTAATCTTACATAACTGGAACTTTGTACATTTTGATCAACATTATCCCATTTCCTCTCCCTGCACCCAGACCCTGGAAACTACTACTGTTCTCTATGCTATTATGAGTTTGACTATTTTAGATTCTACATGTAAGTGAGATTTTGCTGTATTTTTTTTGTATCTTGCTTGTTTCACTTAGCATAATGTCCTACATGTCCATCCATGCTGTTGCAAATGGCACTATATTCTTCCTTTGAAAGGCTAAATAACTTTCCATTGTGTATATTTACCACATTTATTTATATATTCATTCATCAAAAGACATTGAGGCTGTTTCCATGTCTTGGCTACTCTGAATAATGCTGCAAAGAACAGGGGAATGCAGATATCTTTTTGCAGTTCTGTCTTCCATTTCTTGGATATGTACCAAGAAGTGGAGTTGCTAGATCATATAGTAATTTTATTTTTAATTTTTGTAAGTGTGCCCATTTTATTTCTATAATGACTGCACCAATCTACTTTCCCATCAATTGTGTATAAGGTTTTCTTTATTCTACATCCTTGTTTGTACTTTTTCTCTTGTCTTTTTGATAACAGCCATTCTAACATGTGTGAGACAACATCTCATTGTGGTTTTGATTTTCATTTCTCTGTTGATTAGTAATGTTGAACATTTTTCATATACCCATTGGCAATATATATGTTTTCTTTTGTGAAATGTCTATTCGGATTACTTGACCATATTTTTATTGGATTATTTATTTTTGTTGCTATTGAGTTGTTTGAATTTGTTATATATTCTTCTTATTAATACCTAGTCAGAAGAATAGTTTGCAGATATTTTCTTCTATTCTGTAGGTTGTCTCTTCATTCTGTTAGTTGTTTCATTTGCTGTATAGAAATTTTTTGACTTGATGTTATTCCATTTGTCTATTTTTGCTTTTGTTGTCTGTGTTTTTGAAGCCTTACTTACATAGTCTTTTAACAGACCACTGCCTAAAATACTTTCTTAATGTTTTCTTCCAGGAGTTTCAAGTCTTTAATCCATTTTGATTTGATTTGTGTAAATGGTGAGAAATAGGGATCTAGTTACATTTTTCTGCATATAGATATTTAGCTAGTTTCCCACTACCATTTATTAAAGAGACTATCCTTTCCCCAATGTATGTTCTTGATGCCTTTGTTGAAAATGAGTTGGCTGTAAATTTGTGGATTTATTTCCAGGTTCTCTATGTCGCTCCATTAGTCAATATGTCTGTTTCTGTACCAATACCATGCTGTTTTGGTTACTATAGCTCTGTAGTATATTTCAAGTCTGGTAGTGTGATTCCTCCAGATTTGTTCTTTTTGCTAAGATTTCCTCTGGCTATTCAGGATCTTTTTGGTTCCATTAAAATTTTAGGATTTGTTTCCTACATCTGTGAAAAATACCATTTGTATTTTAATATGAATTGCATGAAACCTGTAGATTGCTTTGGGCACTATGCACATTTAAACAATATTAATTCTTTTAAACAATGAGCATAGTTTATCTTTTCACTTTTTTATGTTCTCTTGAATTTTTTTCATTATTGTTTTATAGTTTTTTATTGTAGATTTCTTTCATTTCTTTGGTTAAGTTTATTCCTTGGTATTTAATTTTATTTTTGTAGTATTATAAATGGAATTGCTTTCATGATTTGTTTTTCAGATTGTTTACTGTTGGGATATAGAAATGCTGCTGATATTTGCATGTTGATTTTGTATCCTGAATGTTTACTGAATTTGTTTATCAATTCTAACATTTTTTTTTGATGGAGTCTTTAGGTTTTTCTAAATATGGGATCATGTCATCTGCAAATAAGGATAATTTGACTTCTTTCTTTCCAACTTGGATGCCTCTATTTCTTTCTCTTCCCCAATTGCTCTGGCTAAGACTTCCCACACAATGTTGAATGAAAGTGGTAAAAGTGGGCATCCTTATTTTTTTCCATATCTTAAAGGCTTTCCGTTTTTCCCCATTCAATATGATGTTAGCTGTGGGTTTGTAACATATGGCATTTATTGTTTTGAGGTATGTTCCTTCTATATGCAATCTGTTGAGAGTTTTTATCATAAAAATATGTTGAATTTTATTGGACACATTTTCAGCATCTATTGAAATGATCACATAGTTTTTGGGTTTTAATTAGTTAATGTGATGTATCTCATTAATTGATTTACATTTGTTGAAACGTATTGCATCCCTGGGATGTACCCCACTTGATTATGATGAAATGATCTTTTTAATGTATTGTTGAATTCAGTTCGCTAGTATTCTGTTGATGATTTTTGCATTTATGTTCATCAGAGATTTTTCCCCATAGTTTTTGTTGTTGTTGTTGTTGTTGTTGTTGTGTCCTTATCTGGTTTTGGTATGAGGGTAATATTGGCCTCGTACAATAAGTTTGCAAATATTCTCTCCTCTTCCTTCAATTTTTTGAAATAGTTTGAGTAGAATTTATATTAGTTCTTTAAATGTTTGATAGCATTCATGAATGACTCATATAGTTTGGTTGTCTGTCCCCACCACAAATCTCTTCTTGAATTGTAATCCCCACATATCAAAGGAGGGACCTGGTGGGAGGTGATTAGATTATGGCAGCAGTTTTTCTCATGATACTTTCATGATAGTGAGTGAGTTCTCATGAGATCTGATGGTTTAAAAGTGTATCGTAGCTCCCCCATTTCTTTCTCTCTCCCGCCACCATGTAAGATGTGCCTTGCTTCCCCTATGCCTTCCACCATGATTGTAAGTTTCCTGAGGCATCCCCAGTCATGCAGAACTGTGATTCAATTAAAACTCTTCTTTATAAATTACCCAGTCTCAGGTAGTTCTTTAGAGCAGTGTGAAAACAGACTAATACAGAAGCCATCAGTTCCTGTATTTTACTCTGAGAAGAGATGTTTTATTACTATTCCAATCTTGTTTCTCACTATTGGTCTATTCAGATTTTCTATATTTTATAATTGAGTCTTGGTAGGTTGTAGGTATACAGGAATTTGTCCATTTTTTCTAGATTTTCCAATTCATTGGTGTATAGTTGTTCATAGTAGTCTCTAAAAATCCTTTGTATTTCTGGGTATCAGTTGTAATATCTCCTTTTTTGGGTCTAATTTTATTTATTCTTTTTTTCCATAGTCTACCTAAAAGTTTTCAATTTTGTTTATCTTTTAAAAAATAAACTTTGTTTTATTTATCTTTTTTTTTCTCTATTTTATTTATATATCTATCCTGATATCTGTTTTTTTTTTTTTTTTTTTTGAGTCAGTTTCTTGCTATTTTGCCTAGGCTTAACTTGAACTCACAATCTTCCTGCCTCAGGCTCCTGAGTAGCTGAGACTACAGATATGTTCCATGAGACTTGCTTTCCTTCTGCTAATTTTGGGTTTGGTTTGGTTTATTCTTGCTTTTCTCATCCTTTGAAGTGCATTGTTATGTTGTTTATTTGAAGTCTTTCTACTTTTTTGATATAGGTTTCTGTTTGCTATAAACTTTCCTCTTAGAATCACTTTTGCTCTATCCCATAGGTATTGATATGTTGTATTTCCACTTTCATTTGTCTCAAAGAATTTTATATTTCATTTTTAATTTATTTATTGACACATTTATTGTTCAGGAGCATGTTATTTAATCTTTATGAATTTGTACAGTTTCCAACATTCCTTCTGTTATTGATTTTTGGTTTTATTCCATTGTGGTCAGAACAGATACTTGACATAATTCCAATGTTTAAAGAATTTGAGCTGGGTGTGGCAGCTCATGCTTGTAATCCCAGCCCAGTAATTCAGGACTGCCATGAGCCATAATCATGCCACTGTGCTCCAGCCTGGACAACAGAGTGAGACCTCATCTCAAACGAAATAAAACAAAACAAACGAACAAAAAAAACCAAATGTAATAGGACTTATTTTGTGACTGAACATCTGATCTGTCTTGGAGTATGTTCCATTGTGCTGTTAAGAAAAATGTGCATTCTGCAGCTACTGGATGGAATGTTCTTTGAAATTTGGGCTGGGTGTGGTGGTTCATGCTTGTAATCCCAACAGTTTGGGATGCCAAGTTAGGAGAATCACTTGAGGTCAGAAGCTTGAGACTAGCCTGGGCAACAAAGAGAGATCCCATCTGTACAAAAATTTTAAAAATATATATTAGTCACATGTAGTGCTGCATGCTGCAGTCCCAGCTACTTGTGAGCTGAAGCAGGAAGCTCGCTTGAGTCCAGGAGTTCAGGACTGCAGTGAGTCATAATTAGAGTGAGACTTCATCTCAGAAAAAACAAATTTGATAGGACTTATTTTGTCACTGAACATATGGTCTGTCTTGGAGAATGTTTCATTGTACTGCTAAGAAAAATCTGTATTCTGTAGCTATTGTGATATTATCTTGCTATATTGATCTCTTTATAATTGTGTAATGGAATTCTTTTTCTTTTCTTTTTACCATTCTTGACTTAAAGTCTCTTTTTTCTAAGTATAGCTATGCCTGATTATTTTGGTTTGAATTTGCATGCAATATCTTTTTACATCTCTACACTTTCAGCTTATGCATATCTTTATTGGTGTTACGAGTTTCTTGAATACAGCATTAATTTGGTCTTTCACTTTCATTCAGTCACTCTGTCTGTTAATTGGAAAATTTAATCCAAGCAAACTTTGGTTTAGAATCAAGGTTGTTATTGATAAGTAAGGGTGTACTACTGCTACTGTGTTACTTGTTTTTTAAATCCTTTCTTTTATTTTTCTCTCTTACTACCTTCCTTGGTGTTAAGCAATGTTATCTAGTCATATGTTTTGATTTCATGTTATTTATTTTAAGTGTATCTGTTAGAAGTTTTTGATTTGTGGTTACACAAGGCTTACAAAAAATATAATTATAACAGGTTATTTTTAACTGATAACAGCTTAATTTTGATCACAAATCAAAGTAATAAAATCAAACTGTACATTATAACATTATCTCCCCAACATTTTGACTTACGGATATTTCAATTTATATCTTTTTATATTGCCTCTCTCTTGACTAATTGGTATAGTTATTGATTTTGATGGGTTTTTCTTTCAGTCTTCATACTTTAAATATATATGATTTACTTACCCAATTGCAATATTAAGATATTCTGAATTTTTCTTTCTTCTTTCTTTTGTCAGTAAATCTAATACCTTCAGTTGTTTTCTTGCTAAATGTTAGTGTCCATTTATTTCAGATTAAAGAACTCCCTTTAGCATTTTCTTCTAAGGCATGTCTGGTATTGATGAATTCCCTCAGCTTTTGTTTGTCTTGGAAAGGCTTTATCTGTCTGTGTATGAAGGTTAGCTTTGCTGGCTACAGCATTTTTGATTGACTTTTTTTCTTTAATATTTTGAATATAACATTACAGTTTCTTCTCAGCTACTGGGTTTCTTCTGAGAAATCCACTGAAAACTCTGTTGGAGTTCCATTAAATGTGATGTTCCTTTGCTTTGCTCCTTTAAGTATTCTTTTTTGTCTTTAATTTTTTGCTAATTTGATTATAATGTGTCCTGGAGATTTGTGTGTGGGTTGAATTTAATTGGTGACCTCCGAGCCTTCTGTACCCGAATAGTGTCATCTTTATCCAGATTTGGGAAATATTCAGCGATTATTTCCTTAAATATGCTTTTCTGTCTCATCTCATTCAGAAATTTGTATTATGTGAAGGTTATTCTGTGTATTGGTCCATTCTCATGCTGCTATAAGGACATACTTGGGACTAGGTAATTTATAAAGGAAACAGTTCTGTATGGCTGGTGAGGCTTCAGAAAACTTGCAATCATGGCAGAATGGGAAGCAAATATGTCCTTCTTCACATGGCAGCAGGAAAGAAAAGAATGAGAGCCAAGCAAAGGGGGAATCCCGTCATAAAACCATCGGATCTCATGAGAACTTACTATCATGAGAATAGCATGGGGAAACTGTCCCCATGATTAAATTACCTTCTACCAGATCCCTCCCATGACACGTGGGAATTATGAAATTATGAATCAAGATGAGATCTGGGTGGGGACACAGCCAAACCATATTCTGACCCTGGCCCATCGCTAATCTCATGTCTTCACATTTCAAAAGACAATCATGCCATTTGTAGCAATCCTCCAAAATCTTAGCCCATTCCAGCATTAACCAAAAATTCCAAGTCCAAAGTCTCATCTGAGACAGAGCAAGTCCCTTCCACCTATGAGCCTATAAAATCAAAAGCAACTGACTGGGCGTGGTGGCACATGACTGTAATCCCAGCACTTTGAGAGGCCAAGGTGGGTGGATCACAAGGTCAGGAGATGGAGACCATCCTGGCCAACATGGTGAAACTCCATCTCTACTAAAAGTAAAAAAATTAGCTGGGCATGGTGATACGTGCCTGTAATCCCAGCTACTCCGGAGGGTGAGGCAGGAGAATCACTTGAACCAGGGAGTGGGAGGTTGCAGTGAGCCGAGATCGCACCACTGCACTCCAGCCTGGTGACAGAGTGAGACTCCTTCTGAAAAAAAAAAAAGAAAAAAAAAATCAAAAGCTATTTAGTTACTTCCTAGACACAATGAGGTTACAGGCATTGGGTAAATACACCTGATCCAAATGGAAGAAATTGGACAAAACAAAGGGGCTAGATGCCCCATAAAATTCTGAAATCCAAAAGGGTAGTCAGTAAATCTTAAAGTTCCAAAATGATCTCCTTTGTCTCCATGGCTCACATCCATGTTACACTGATGCAAGAGGTGGGTTCCCATGGCCCTGGGCAGTGCCACCGTTTTGGCTTTACAGAGTATAGCCCCTCTCTCAGCTGCTTTCATGTGCTGGCATTGAGTGTCTGTGGCTTTTCCAGGGGCACAGTACAAGCTGCCAGTGGATCTACTATTTGGGGCTCTGGAGGACAGTGGAGGTTTCCAAACCTCAATTCTTGACTTCTGTGTGCCTGCAGGCCCAACACCGCATGTAAGCTGCCAAGGCTTGGAGCTTGCACCCTCTGAAGCAACAACCTGAGCTGTATGTTGGCCCCTTTTAGCCACATCTGGAGCTGAAGCAGCTGGGATGCAGGGCACCATGTCCCAAGGCTGCATAGAGCTGGGGAATCCTGGGCCTGCCCACAAAGTCATTTTTCCCTTCTAAGTCTCTGGGCCTGTGATGGGAGGGGTTGCTGTAAAGGTCCCTGACATGCCTTGAGACATTTTCCCCATTGTCTCGGTAATTAGCATTCAGCTCCTCATTACTTATACAAATGTCTGCAGCTGGCTTGAATTTAACCCCAGAAAATGTGGTCTTGTTTTCTATCAAATTATAAGCCTTCAAATTTTCCAAACTTTAACGCTCTACTTCCTCTTGAATGCTACGCCACTTAGAAATTTTCACCAGAATTCACCTAAATTATCTCTCTCAAGTTCAAAGTTCCATGGATCTCTAGGGTAGGGTCAAAATGCCACCAGTCTCTTTGCATAGCAAGAGTCACCATTACTCCAGTTCTCAACAAGTTTCTCATTTGCATCCTAGATCACCTCAGCCTGGACTTGATTGTTCCTATCAGTACTGGCATTTTGGTCAAAGCCATTCAACAAGTCTCTAGGAAGTTCTACACTTTACCACATTTTCCTGTCTTCTTCTGAGGCCTCCAAACTGTTCCAACAGAGGCAGAGCCTGTTACCCAGTTCCAAAGTTGCTGCCACATTTTCCTGTATTTTTACAGCAGCACCCCACTCTCTGTGGTACCAGTACCAATTTATTGTATTAGTTCATTCTCATGCTGCTATAAGGACATACCTGAGACTAGGTAATATATAAAGGAGAAAGGTCTAATTAACTCACAGGTCTGCATGGCTAGAGAAGCCTCAAGAAACTTACAATCATTGCAGAAGGGGAAGCAAACACATCCTTTTTCACATGGTGTCAGAAGAGAGAAGAATGCAAGCCAAGCAAAGGGGTAAGCTGGTTTAAAAACCATCAGATCTTGTGAAAACTCACTCGCTATTACAAGAATAACATGGTGAAAACCACCCCCATGATTCAATTACTTCCCACCAGATCCCTCCCATGACATGTGGGGATTTGGGGATTACAATTCAAGATGAGATTTGGCTGGGGACAAAAGCCAAACCCTATCAGTTTGCTTGATGGCGTCCCATGAGTCTTGTAGGTTTTCTTAACTCTATTTTATATGTTTTTTCTTTTTCCCCTCTGATTAATTTTATATTTTACTTTGAGGCTTGTTAATTATTTTCTCTGTTTTATCAAGTCATCTGTTGAAATTCTAATGAATCTTTCTGTTCAGTTATTGCATTTTTTATTCCTAAAATTTTTATTTGGTTTTTGAAAATTGCACTTAGTTATTGGGCAAATTTCTTTTTCTTTTTTTCACTGTTCTCTTGATTTATTTTTATTTATTCATTTATTTTATTTTTTATTATTATACTTTAAGTTCTAGGGTACATGTGCACAATGTGCAGGTTTGTTACATATGTATACATGTGGCATGTTGGTGTGCTGCACCCATTAACTTGTCATTTACATTAGGTATATCTCCTAATGCTATCCCTCCCCCCTCCCCCAACCCCACAACATGCCCCAGTGTGTGATATTCCCCTTCCTGTGTCCAAGTGTTCTCATTGTTCAGTTCCCACCTATGAGTGAGAACACGCGGTGTTTTTTTGTCCCTGCGATAGTTTGCTGAGAATGATGGTTTCCAGCTTCATCCATGTCCCTACAAAGGACATGAACTCATCATTTTTAATGGCTGCATAGTATTCCATTATGTATATGTGCCATATTTTCTTAATCCAGTCTATCATTGATGGACATTTGGCTTGGTTCCAAGACTTTGCTACTGTGAATAGTGCTACAATAAACATACGTGTGCATGTGTCTTTATAGCAGCATGACTTATAATTCTTTGGGTACATACCCAGTAATGAGATGGCTGGGTCAAATGGTATTTCTAGTTCTAGATCCCTGAGGAATCGCCACACTGTGTTCCACAGTGGTTGAACTAGTTTACTTGGGCAAATTTCTTATGGTTCCTGGATTGTTTTCTCAATTTTACTTAGTTTTCTGTCTGTATTTTCTTGTGACTCCATGAACTTTTTTAAGAGGATGATTCTGAATTATTTGTCTCACATTTCATAGATCTTCAATTCTTCTGGTTCCAGTGCTGGAGATTTGATGGTGTCGTATTTCCCCAAGTTTTCATATTCCTTGCATCTTTATGTGGATGCCACACATCTAAGGAGACAGCCACCTCTTCCAGTTTTTTCAAGTGTTCTTTGGTGACATTGAACCTTCACTGCTTAGTATCAGAACTTAGAGTCTAATCTGCTATTTATTTCTAGAAAGATTTATAGTGAGTACCAGAACTAAAATAGGGCACTAGAACTAACTCATTGCCCTGCTGTTGTTTCCTGGTTTGGGGAAAAAAAAAACAAACAAACAGTAAACAGAAGAACTTGAATGCCTTGAAGCAGAAAAACTAACAAAGATATTCAGGACCTAAACTCAACATTTCAGCAAATTGACATAACAAACATCTACATAACAGTCCACTCAACAACAACAGAATATACATTCTTTGCGTCTGCACTTGCAGTATACTCTAAAATTGACCATATGATTGGCCATAAAATAATTCACAAAATATTCAACAAAACTAAAATTATACCTATCACAATCTAGGACCACAGCACAATAAAAATAGAAGTAAATACTAAGAAGATATCTCAAAACTATACTATTACATAAAAATTAAACAACTGGCTCATGAATGACTTTTGGGTAAATAATAAAATTACAGTATAAATCAAGAAATTTTTTGAAACTAATAAAAACAAAGATCAGAATCTCTGGGACACAGTTAAAACAGTTAACTGCTTTATTAAGCAGTTAATAATAATAAACTTAAGTTTATTAAGAGGAAAGTTTATAGCACTCAATACCCACATCAACAAATTAGAAAGATCTCAAACTAACAACCTAACATCACACCTAGAGGAACTAGAAAAACAAGAGCAAACCAACTATGAAGCTAGCAGAAGAAAATAAATAACTAGAGATGAACTAAATGCAATTAAGATGCAAAAAATCCACACAAAATATAAACAAAACCAAAATTTGGTTCTTTGAAAGAATAAATAAGATTTATATACAATTAGCTAGTCTAATTTAAAAAAGGAAAGAAGATACATATAAACACAATCAGAAATCACTGGCCCCACAGAAATACATTGAAAAAAAAAAAAACCCAGAGACTAGTATGAACACCTGAATGCATACAAACTAGAAATCTAAAAGAAATAGCTAAATTCCTGGAAACAGAATCTCCCCAAGGTTTTGCCAGGAAGAAATAGAAACCTTGAATAGACCAATAATTAGTTCCAAAATTGATTCTATAATAAAAAGCCTCCAACCACTAAAGACACTGGACCAGAGGGGTTCACAGATGAAGTCTATCAGATGTTTAAAGAAGATCTGGTATCAATTCCACTGTTACTATTTCAAAAAGTTGAGGAGGAGGGTCTCCTGCATAACTCATTCCATTAGGCCAACATTATTATTATACCAAAACCTGGCAGAGACACAACGAAGAAAATCCCATAAGAAAACTTCAGAACAATATCCTTATCGAATATAGATGCAAAAATCCTCAATAAAATAATAGCAAACTGAATCCAGCAGCACATCAGAAAGCTAATTTACCACAAACAAGTTGACTTTATTCCTGGGATGGAAGGTTCACTCAACATGCACCAATCAATAAATGTGATGAATCAAATTACATTTATTGATTGGTGCATGTTGAATAACCCTTGCATCCTAGGAAAAAAGATAACTTTATTATCACATCAAATCAATGATGGGATTAATCAGATCATCACATAAACCACTAAAAAACCCACACATGATCATCTTAACAAATGCAAAAAATATATTTTGTTAAAACTCAACATCCCTTAATGTTAAAAAACCCTCAACAAAGTAGAAATCAAAAGAATGTACCTCAAAATAATAAGAGCCATCTATCACAAATCCACAGCCAACATTGTACTGGATGGGCAAAAACTAGAAGTATTCCCCTGGAGAATTGGAACAAGAGAAGAATGTCTACTCTCACCACCCCTATTTAACATGGTATGAAAAATCTTAGGCAGAGCAATCAAACATGAAAAAGTAATAAAATATATCCAAATAGAATGAGAGAGATTCAAGCTATCTCTCTTTGTAGATGATGTAATTTTATACCTAAAAAACCCCATAGTCTCTGCAAAAAGCTCCTGAATCCAACAAATGACTTCAGCAAAGTTTCAGCATACAAAATCAATGTAGAAAAATCAATAACATTCATATACACCAATAACTTCCAAGCTAAAAGCTGAATCAATAATGCAGTCCCATATACAATACACACACACACACACACACACACACACACACACACACCATATACAAATACCTAGGAATATAGCTTACCAGGGAGGTAAAAGACCTACAACAAGATCTATAAAATTTTGCTGAAGGACTTCAGAGAAAATACAAACAAATCTAAAAATATTCCATGCTTATGGGTAGGAAGAATTGATATTGTTAAAATGGCCATACTGCCCAAAGCAATTTACAGATTTAGTGCTATTTCTATCAAACTACTGATGTTATTTCTTACCAAATTAGAAAAAACTATTCTAAGATTCAGATGGAATCCAAAAAGAGCCAGAATCACCAAAGCCATCCTAAGCAAAAAGAACAAAGACAGAGACATCACACTACCCAACTTCAAACTATACTACAAGGTGATAGTAACCCAAAACAGCATGATATTGGCCCCAAAATGGACAAAGAGACCAATGGAACAGGTTAGAGAACCCAGAAACAAAGCCACACACCCACAAACATCTGATCTTTCATGAATTCAACAAAAATAAGCAATGTGGAAAATATGTCTTATTCAATAAATGGTGCTGAAATAATTGCCTGGCCATATGCAGAAGGTTGAAATTGGACCCCTTCCTTTTACTATATACAAAATTAAACTCAAGATGGATGAAAGACTTAAATGTAAAACCTAAAACTATTAAAACATTAGAAGTAAACTGAATAAATACCATTCTGGACATTAGCCCTGGCAAAGATCTCATGACAAAGACACCAAAAGCAATTGCAACAAAACCAAAAATTAGTGAAAGGGCCTCAATTATATTAAGGATCTTCTGCACAGCAAAAGAACAATCAGCAGAGTAAACAAATAACCTGCAGAATGGGAGAAAATATTCACAAACTGTTCATCCAATGAATGTCCAATATCCAGAATGTATAAGGAACTTAAGCAAATTAACAAGCAAAGAAACAAACACTAAAAAATGGGCCAAATATATGAACAGACAAGATAGAAGAGATACATGTGGCCAACAAGCATATGCACAGATGAGATAGAGATACACGTGACTGACATGCATATGAAAAAAATGCTCAATATCACTAATCATAGACAGATGTAAATCAAAACTACAATAAGATACCATCTCACACCAGTCAGAATGGCTATTATGAAAAAGTCTAAAAATAACAGATGTTGGCAAGGTTGCAGAGAAAAGGGAATGCTTATACACTGGTGGTAGATGGAAAACTAGTTCAGCTGCTGTGGAAAGCAGTTTGGAGATTTCTCAAATAACTTAAAACCGAACTATCACTTGATCCAGGAATCCAATTACTGAAGTGGCATAAGTAATGAGAAGACAAATGTTAATTACCAATACAATGATGAAAATGTCTTCAGGGCAAGTCAGAGATCTTCACAGCAGCCCCTCCCATCACAGGCCCTAGGAGGGATAAATGGTTTTGTGGGCCAGGCCTGGGGCCCTCCAACTCTATGAAGCCTCAGGACATGGTATCTTCCATCCCAGCTGCTTCAGATCCAGATGTGGCTAAAAGGGGCCAATTTACAGTGGAGCTGTGAGAAGAATGCCACCATCCTCCAGATCCCAGAATGGTAGATCCATTGACAGCTTGCACCATGCGCCTGGAAAAGCCACTGACACTCAATGCCAGCTGGTGAAAGCAGCCAGGAGGGGGACTGTACCCTGCAAAGCCATAAGGCAGAGCTGCCCAAGGCCATGGGAACCAACCTCGTGCATCAATGTGACCTGGATGTGAGTCATGGAGTTAAAGGAGATCATTTTTGAACTTTAAGGTTTGATGACTGCCCTATTGGATTTCAGACTTGCATGGGACCTCTAGTCCCTTTGTTTTGGCCAATTTCTCCCATGTGGAATGGGTATATTTACCCAATGCCTGTACCCTCATTGTATCTAGGAAGTAACTAAGTTGCTTTTGATTTTACAGGCTCATAGGCTGAATAAACTTGCCTTGTTTCAGATAAGACTTTGGACTTGGACTTTTCGTTAATGCTGGAATGAGTTAAGACTTTGGGGGACTGTTGGAAGGGGATGACTGTGTTTGGAAATGTGAGGACATGAGATTTGGGAGGGGCCAAGGGTGTAATGATATGGATTGACTGTGTCCCCTCCCAAATCTCATCTTGAATTGTAGTTCCCATAATCCCCATGAGTTGTGGGGGAGGCACCCCGTGGGAGGTAATTTAATCATGAGGGTGGTTATCCTCATGTTCTCATGATAGTGAGTGAGTTCTCACAAGATCTGGTAGTTTTATAAGGGGCTTTTTCTCCTTTTGCTTGGCACTTCTCCTTGCTGCCACCATGTGAAGAAGGACGTGTTTGTTTCTTCTTCTGCAATGATTGTAAGTTTCCTGTGGCCTCGCCAGCCATGCAGAACTGTGAGTCAATAAAATCTCTTTCCTTCGGATTATGAGACTGATGCACTGCTGGCTGTGCTAAGAGGGCTAGCCATATGCAGAAAACTGAAACTGGACCCCTTCCTTACACCTTATGCAAAAATCAACTCAAGATGGATCAAAGACTTAAACGTAAGACATAGGACCATAAAAATCCTAGAAGAAAACCTGGACAATACCATTCAGGACATAGGCATGGGCAAAGACTTCATGTCTAAAACACCAAAAACAATGGCAACAAAAGCCAAAATTGACAAATGGGATCTAATTAAACTAAAAAGCTTCTGCACAAGAAAAGAAACTGTCATCAGAGTGAGCAGGCAACCTACAGAATGGGAGGAAATTTTTGCAATCTATCCATCTGACAAAGGACTAATTTCCAGAATCTACAAAGAACCTAAACAAATTTACAAGAAAAAAACAACCCCATCAAAAAATGGGCAAAGGATATGAACACACGCTTCTCAAAAGAAGACATTTATGCAGCCAACAGACATATGAAAAAATGCTCATCATCACTGGTCATTAGAGAAATGCAAATCAAAACCACAATTACATATCATCTCATGCCAGTTGGAATGGTGTTCATTAAAAAGTCAGGAAACAACAGATGCTGGAGAGGTTGTGGAAAAATAGGAGTGCTTTTACACTGTTGGTGGGAGTATAAATTAGTTCAACCATTGTGGAAGACTGTGTGGTGAGTCCTCAAGGATCTAGAACTAGAAATACCATTTAACACAGCAATCCCATTACTGGGCATATACCCAAAGGACTATAAATCATTCTACAATAAAGACACATGCACACGTATGTTTATTGCAGCACTATTCACAATAGCAAAGACTTGGAACCAATCTAAATGTCCATCAGTGATAGACTGGATTAAGAAATTGTGGCACATATACACTATAGAATACTATGCAGCCATAAAAAGGATGAGTTCATGTCCTTTGCAGGGACATGGATGAAGCTGGAAACCATCATTCTCAGCAAGTTATCACAAGATCAGAAAACCAAACACTGCATGTTCTCACTCATAAGTGGGAGTTGAACAATGAGAACACATGGACACATGGAGGGGAACATCACACACTGAGGCCTGTCAGCGGGTGGGGGCTAGGGGAGGGATAGCATTAGGAGAAATACCTCATGTAGGTGATGGGTTGATGGGTGCAGAAAACCACCAGGGCACATGTATACCTACGTAACAAAACTGCACGTTCTGCACATGTAACCCAGAACGTAAAGTATAATAATAATAAAAAAAACTTCTTGTCTTTATAAGTTACCCAGTCTCAGGTATGTCTTTATTAGCAGTGTTAGAACAGACTAATATAGGAATAAATTACTAAATTTTTGTGGTTATATTTTTAATATTTTGTTCTTTAAAGTTCATATTAAGGTTATAGAAAATTGGCTCACCAGCAATAGTTTTATATTATCCTGTATTTGATTATGTATTTACCTTTACTGGTGTGATTTATATTTTCATGTGCTTTTATATTAATGTTTAGTGTGTCTTCAATTCCACTTGAAAAACTCCCTTATGTATTTCTCACAAAGCAGATCTAGTAGTGAAAATTTATATTCAGTGTATGTTTTTCTGGGGAAGACTATCTTCCCTTCATTCTTGAAGGATACCTCTTTAGGGTTTAGTTATTTTGGGTAGGCAATTTTTTTTTTTTTTTTTAGTATTTTAAATAAGTCCTTCTACTCTTTCCTGGCCTTCAAAATTTCTATTGAGCAATACTTCATATTCTCATAGGATTTCCCTGGTGTATGATGAGTTGTTTTACTCTAGCTGCTTTCAAAATTTTCTGTTTTTTAATTTCTCAGTTCAATTTTGTTATGTCTGAATGTAGACCTCTCTCTTTTCAATCTATTTAGGGTCCCATGAGCTTCTTCAGTCTGGATGTCTATTTCCCTCTCCAGATCTGGGATGCTTTCTGTTATTATATCTTTAAATGAGAGTTATACTTTTTTCCTTTTCTCTTCTCCTTGAATTCGCATTATAAATGTGTTTTTTCACTTCAGTGTGCTTCATAAGTCACTTAGGTTTTCTTTACTGTTTTTCCTTTTTCTCTTCCTACTGGATAATTTCAAGTGGTCAACCTTCACATTTGCTGATTCGTTCTTCTGCATGATCAAGCCTGCTGTTGGAGCACTCTTTTTTTTTTTTTTTTTTTTTTGAGACAGAGTCTCACTCTGTTGCCCAGGCTGGAGTGCAGTGGTGCAATCTTGGCTGACTGCAAACTCTGCCTCCCGGGTTCACACCATTCAGCCTCAGCCTCCCAAGTAGCTGGAACTACGGGCGCTCGCCAACACGCCCGGCTAATTTTTTTGTATTTTTAGTAGAGATGGGGTTTCACCGTGTTAGCCAGGATGGTCTCGATCTCCTGACCTCTTGATCCGCCCGCCTCGGCCTCCCAAAGTGCTGGGATTACAGGCGTGAACCACAGCGCCCAACCAAAGCACTCTATTTTTTTAAGCATAGCCATTGTGTTCTTAAGTTCCAGAATCTGTTTGGTTCTTTTTTCTATTTTCTTTATATTGTCCTACTCACTTTGTCCTTGTGCTGTTTACTGATTAAAAAAAAATGTTTAATCTATGTTCTCTCTTACCTTACTATGCTTCTTTAGAATAACTGTCAATTACTGGACAGTTATTACATTCCTTTGATGATTTCATGTTTCCCTCCTTTTTTGTGTGTTCTTTGTTTCTTTGTGTTGGTGTCTGCACATTTGAGAAGCAGTTACCTATCACAGACTTTATGGACTGGCTTTGGTAAGGAAAAACCTTCACCTGCAGAGGAGGAATGAGGATGAAGGGATGCCAAAAGTAGGGTTGTTTGTGGGTGTACTCTGGGCCCTGGGTCTAGTGGTGTTCAAGACAAAAACTGTGGGAGTGTGCTTCAACTCTGGGTTTGGGGCAAGTGGTGGTGGATCAGTGATCAGGGAGCTGGAATATGCAATGTTGACAAATGTGTGGTCTTGGAATTGATGTTTACATAGGGCCCACGATGGCCACTAGGGTTGCTGGGAATCACACTGGCATCTCTTGGTCAAGTGGTGAGCATGACTGGGTAGGTGGATGTTGAAGTGGGCAACATGCTTGTAGTTAGCTACAGGGGCCAACTGCAGGTGTGCCCACTACAATGGGAGCTGAGGTTGGTGATGGGAGCAGAGCCTAGTTGTATACATTTATACAAAGTGGCCATACTGGGTCCGGAGTCTCCATGGCATCACTGGCTAGGGTGCCTTCAGTGGTTGCAGCAGATGCTGCAGCTTAGGCAACTGAGGTCAGAAAAGGGAAAATATGGACCCCTTTGTGGTGAAGGTTTCAAGAGTCTGCAGTGGCCATAAAGGTTGTTGAGGTCCTTAATGGTGACATTATTGGAGTCCTCTGCAAGGCGGGCCACTGAGAACTGAGGTAGCACCTGCTGCCATGTACTTGATACTAATGGCTCCTACCCCCTTGTTCCTAGCCATCTCCAAATATATCAGCTATGCTGATTTCCCTAGCAATCTGGCTGGGTTAAAACCAAAGTAATTCCTTCAGCCTAAAAGCTGGGGAAACTGGTTGTTCATCTTGATCCTCTTTTCCTTCATAAGGAGAACTCATGGGCCAAGATGACCTCTCACGGTGAGCAGCTGTGCTGGCCTGAGGAATTAAACAAAAGTAGCTAAATGAAACCGTTCTTCCCAGTCTATCTGTGAAGTTATTTTTGGTTCTATTGCGCCACTGTGTGGCTGCAACTTCTTCAATAGAATCTTGAACTCTCCCAGAGCTATTTTCATTTATGCATAGCTGAATAATTATTGTTTTTGTGAAAGGACAAATATATCATTTTTAAACTGAGGTATAACATATAATTTGTAATGTGTGCAAATTTAAATAAGCAAGTTAAATATTTTTTCAGTGTTATACATACATCCATGTATCAACTAGGTGGATATGGAACATTTGAAGTACTCCAAAATGTTTTCTTCTGTGCTATACCATTCAGCACACTCTAAAGAGGTGGCCACAATGCTTGCTTCTATCTTCAAGTCATTATTTTGACCTATATTGAACTCATCAAATGAAATCATCCAGGGTATATTCTTTTGACTCTTGCTTCTTTCATTTAATAAAGCGTAATAGTGAATTTTATGTGTCAACTTGACTGGACCATAGGGTAGTGAGATATTTAGTTAAACATACTGGGTGTGAAGGTGTTTATGGATAAGATTAACATTTTAACTGTTAGACTGAATAAAGCATATTGTCTACCTAAATGTAGGTGCACCTCATCCAATCTGTTGGAGGCCTAAACAGAACAAAAAGGTAGGCTTGGAGAGTATTCACTCTCTCTCTACCTGTCCTCTATGTGAGACATGGTCTTCTTTTGCCTTCAGACTTGGGCTTGGACTGAAGCCTGCACCATCAGCTCACCTGAAGCTTTCAGGCTGAGATTGGAACTATAGCATTGGCTCTCCTGTGTCTCCAGTTTTCTATCTGAAGATCATGGAACTTCTCAGCCTTCATAACCACATGAGCCAGTTTCTTATGATAAGCCTACATGTACATCTTTGTCTAAAGCTATCCTATTTATTCTATTTTTCTGGAGAGATCATACTAATAGAGATAACTTCTGAGGGTTATCCATGTTATATTGCACATCAGTAGTTTCTCATTTTCATTCCTTTGCAGTATTCCATTGTGTGAGTATAATACATATTAATTGTCCATTTTTCTATTGATGGCATTTAGGATGTTTGCATTTGGTGTTATGAATATAACTACTACAAATATTGTGCACAAAATCTGGTAAACATTTGCACTTCGAGTATTCATCTAAGAGTAAACTGGCTGAATTTTAGAGTAAGTTTGTGTCTTATGTACAGTAAGTGTAAGTCAAGTTACTCTATACTCTTACCAACACTTGGTTTTTAACAGTTTTCTAAACTTTAACCATTTAAGGCAGACGACATTTTGAAGTGAGTAGAGGTTTATCTATGACACCTGTGCTAGTGTGCAATCAAGCAACTTCTCTATATGTCTTTCATCTCCCTTACTGACATCAATGCTCAGGGCCTTTTACTACCATTACTCAGTTGCTAAATAAACCTTAATAAACTACGATGTTAGTTGATAAAAATTAAATGATAAATTCAAAGCCAACAGTGAAGCAGAATTCGTGAAAACAAACCAAACAAACATAAGAAACAGAACATATATGAGATAGTCATTAGTCCTATTTACAAGCTATTTTCTCTCCTTCCAGGAAGATGGTAAGATTGCATTTTTTTGGTCATTTGAAGTTGATTGTATTCATATGACTTGCTTTGGCCAGTGAATTGTAACTGTAAGTAATGTGTGTCACTTTGGGGGAGAAATATTAAGAACTAGTGCCTGTGTTGTCATATTTACTTTCCCATGCCTGTGTCCATTTCCCCCTGCCTTAGTACTTAGGAAAGACTGGGTCAAGATTAAGTCTTTTCTGCAGCAGGTCCTTGAGTGACTGTGATGAACAAAAGTATCTTGATGACCTACAAAGGACATGTAAGTAAATAATAAACCTTTATTTTTATAAGCCACTAAAACTTTGAGATTGTCACCGTAGCTTAACCTAGCCTACACTGCCTGGCAATCTGTTCACATGCTCTAATGCGACAATCTGCCTGTGCGAAATATTAGTTTCTCCCTTTACATGCCATTTGTGGTCTTCAGTTTGAGGGAGCCCCTGGTAGTACTAACTCACTCCACTAGTCCTCCATAGAAATTTGAGTTTGTTTGGTGACAACGTTTTCTATACTAGGGATGATTATGTTTTATTGGGAATGTATGGCAAACTGAAAATACTATTGGATTCAGATAAATGAATTTTACATAGTGGTGTCTCTTCATTGATGACTTGTAAACCAGTTAAAGAGAAAATAACTCTACATTTATTACTTTACGGGTGCTTGGGAGGTTTTCTCACATTTTAGGAAGATGCTGAAAGACTTGTTTCATCTGAAAATCAAGGGAGAGGAAATTAAAAAGGAGAAGCAATAGTATGAAGGCAATTCTTCCTGTTTATATTCAAGTATAACAACATGCCAAATTATAGGAAACCATTTGCAAATAATTGATTCCATTTATGCTAATATAAACAGTGTTATATAAACTATATAAATATAAACTATATAAAAGTAACCAGAAAAAAACTTTAAAACTCTATTAGGTTATTCAACTTTAAATAAATTGCTCAGTTAAGCTTATCAACTCCTGGACATATTTTTTAAAACAATGGTTTTCTCGTGTATCCAGCGGGAATAAGGAAAGAATCAAGGAAAGGTATGTGCCAATTATCTGTTAAAGTACCCACTAGACAATTAACATCTAATGGGACAGAACTTTACCATATCTCCAAACCTAGTTACATAGAAGGGTCAGAAATATTCTGTGTATTCCAGGTTTCATGTGGAATCAGTGAAATTAGAGATATTATGGGAGAAGAAGAGACTTAAGGGAACAAGCAATACCTCTACCAAAATTACTCTCCATTGCTGATATTTCCATGTAGAGATACTGGCATTAGAGAAGACTTCTGATCTTTATCTGTTCCCTCATTTACTTGCCTCAGGGATCAGGGATAAATGATTGTTCTTGGGGAGTTTGAGCAAAGCAACTGGGTATGAGAAGTTCAGCTGTGTTTCTCTTTGGAGAGACAGCCTGTTAACAGACAGCGCGAATTCCTAGGTTTTTCAGGGAGTGAGGTTTATGGTGGTAGGACTCTAGAATAAAGGGCTGTGTTTTTTTCCAGCTCTGCCTGAGACAGTGAGAGTAATTCTGATTCAGCACCCTTTTGCAAATTTATTATTGCTAGAGAATGAAGCCTTGTCCTCTAAACAGCTTTATCAGGTTAATGATGAAGTCAGTTTTACTCCTTTGCCTATCTCTCAAGTGATTTCATTCACAGGCAAAGAACAGTGATAGTATACAATGATCTCTCAAAAGGCCAACAATATTAGCTTGCTGTCAGTTAAGAAAACAGCACCACATTTCTCTGATTTCCATATCTAGGAAGGTCCTATGGCCATATCTCAAACAAGTGGCAAAAATTACAGGTAGACAGGAATACACAAAACCGGACAGAACAGAGAGAGCTATACAGACACAGAAAACAAACAGAAATATTGAAATGTTATAATATATAGGAAACTAAGAATAAACAATTCAAGGATATAGGAAATATAGTAGTAGTCCCCAGAATAATTTTTATAACTGACTGTGAATCTGCCAGAACTATGAATAAAGTATTCCCACATCTCCAGACATATTGTCTATTCCATGTTATCTGTCAGACTAACAGGCAGGCTAGGTCACATCTGGACAAAGTAGTATTTGGCTGCCCATTAGCTATAGTTCTTTCCCTTCATCAAGGTAATTGTTTGAGTCTGTCTATGATCATCTGATATTCTTTGTATGACCAACAATTAAATTTTTCAATGCAAGTGAATCTGTCAAACAACAAGTATCTTTCACAAAAGAATCTAAAAATATATCTTAATAAATGAAATTAAACTCAGATGTGAATGGTGGCTGTGAAAAATATGACTGTATCAATAAATGAATGGATGAGTAAATTGAAATACCTCATAGATGACAGGTATTTTAAATGCTTTTGTTTTTGTAACATAGTAATTTAGTTTTTCCTTCATAGGTAGAAGATTGCCGTGAGATCAGTCGGTATTGTTGAGATGTGCTATGTTAGCATTTGCTTACGATTAATTTACAACAGTAGATAAATTTGAAACAAATATCTAAAAATTTTCTATTAACCATTGTTATAAAAGATTGCACATTAAGGCTGGGCTCAGTGGCTCACGCCTGTAATACTAACAATTTGGGACGCCAAGGCAGGCGGATTGCCTGAGCTCAGGAGTTTGAAACCAGCCTTGGCAACAAGGTGAAATCCCGTCTCTACTAAAGTACAAAAAATTAGCTGGCTGTGGCAGCATGCACCTGTAGTCCCAGCTACTCGGGAGGCTGAGGCAGGAGAATTGCTTGAACCTGGGAGGCGGAAGTTGCAGTGAGCCAAGATCGTGCCCCCGCACACAAGCCTGGGCAACAGAGCGAGATCCATCTCAAAAAAAAAAAAAAAAAAAAAGTCTGTTAAATTTTTTGTGTGATTGCAAGAATACTGGGGGATAAAAGGAATCTGTAATTTGCAGTCCTGTTTCAACTATTTGTGCTCAGTATAACGTTGGACACATGACCTTGGCCTGTTTTCTCATTTGTAGATTAGAATGTAATGCAGGTAGTCCTCAATATTCCTTCTAACTCTAAAATATTTTGGTACTATTCATTAAAATTTATAG
The DNA here is from genome assembly GCF_000001405.40 of Homo sapiens. Classification (NCBI taxonomy): domain Eukaryota; kingdom Metazoa; phylum Chordata; class Mammalia; order Primates; family Hominidae; genus Homo; species Homo sapiens. Next base: position 146,331,964 of record NC_000003.12, read on the forward strand.
ATTAGTAGTAGCATAATTTGGCTAAGGAAATAGTATATTTCAGTAGAGAAAGCAATGAACTACTGCTGTCCCATTTTGTAGACTTATATTATTTAGTTTTATGTCAGGGAGGGGGGAAAAAGAATAATTCACCAAATTAAATGAATAATATTTATTATTAAATAAATAAATAATAAATTATGTAATTATGATTATAAATATAAGTAATAAATACATAAATTAATAAATAAATATAATTATTAAATACAATTTAATTATTAATTAAATATTTAATTCCAGTAGCAACAATTTCACAAATCTAAATAAATAATATTTTGTCTTTCTAATTGATTCTTTCTGGTGTTTCTCATCTGCCCATCCTTGCATAAGCAAGAGTTTCTAACATATCTTTTAAATCTGTTTTTCCTAGATTTTAACAAAAACAGAACAAATAATAGTTACTGTTAGCTAAGACAACTGAGAAAACATGTTTTTGAAACTTTCAAGAAAATCAGTTTCAGTAATTTCTCCAAGATAAATTTTTCTGTGCCTGGATTGCAAAACAGTTGCTAGTATAATAATTTAATGATTGGTTACCTGTATTAGTATTAGTCAGGTTTCCCTAGAGGAACAGAACTAACAGGATATATAAATATATATACACATATTTATTTATTATAAAGGGGAGTTTATTAAGTATTAACTTACACAATCACAAGGTCCTACAATAGGTTGCCTGCAAGCTTGGGGAGCAAGGAGAGCCAGTCTGAGTCTCAAAACTGGAGAACTTGGAGTCTGACGTTCAAGGGCAGGAAGCATCCAGCATGGGAGAAAGATGTAGGCTGGGATAATGAAACAGTACTGGAAATAAACATTTTCAAAGGTTTTGAAATTCTATAGTATGATAACATAAATATCATACATGTCTTTTCAAATAGAAAGTGAAGGAGTACCTTTTAAATTATTGCCAAAAATCATAATTCAAAACCAGAACATTATTTTAATTTTTATGTTGATGTTAGAACATTCTCTCTCCTGTGTTCCTTACATTAAAATCTGTATGTGTTTTTAACAATTATGTCACATCCATATTTGACAGTGTTGCAAAGTATATCATGTAAAAACCTGAAAGTCTGAGCTAAGCATAATTAAAACCTATATGCATGCAAAGTTGAGCTCCAAGGAAATTTAGAGAAATCCATGGGGCCAAAAAGTAAGAAACAATCTGAAAAATCTGAGTGTTACACAAAAGACTAACACTGTCTTTGGCTTCTGCAAGAGAAAGAGTTGCCCACCTTCCTTAGAACGGGGATCTGATTTACCAGTCATGGCTAGGCAGTTGTGAGGGCTTGGGCTTGAGCAAGAAGGGTACTGTAATAGAGACCCCCAATAAAATGGGAACCCTTAAAGGGACACATTCCAATATAAAGGGTGGAATAGATAACATTCTTCCACTGGCAAATGAGAAGTAAATGAAAGCCTCTCTGGGCCTGTGCTAAAGGTTTGTCCTCTGAGAATTCATAATTGTGAGAAAATATTTTAGATGGTCCATTTTCAAGGCATGATAAATCTAGCACTGGCAGCCAGCCTGCGGATGTAACAAACCGCATGGCTCATTCTGTTAGAAAGTCATAATAAGTGAACAGAATGAAGAGGAGGGATCAGCCCATAAAAGAGAAGAAAGTTTCATTATTGGGAAATCAAAACTTAACGGGGAAGGGGGACTTAGGTATAACCTTATAAGGGGGATAATAAAACTCAGGCGACATCTGGGAAGATTGTAACACCATAGTACTCGACCCATTAGGAACTAGGGGAGGGACTTGCATGCTAGGAGATAAATTGCATGCTAGGAGATAAATTACCTGCTGTAGCTACCCCAGGTGTGCCTGCCTACCAGACACTTGATCTTGCAAGACTGCTATTAAAAGTCTCACTTTCTCTGTTCTTTGTGCCTCTGAATCCATTCTTTGGGTTTGGATGGGTGAGCATGTTTTCTACAAATCTGAGGGCTCGTCTGGGATCTCTGTGCCTGCATGGAGTGGGACTCTAGCTGAGAAAGGAGACATATCCCACCCAATGTAGGTGACCTGGTCTTTCTGGGCACCTGGCTCCCGACAGAGGCCACAGACAAAACTGAGACTGTTATTCAGGAGGCATCGGAAGTGACACAGGGAGAAAAGCAAGCCCCACAGCAACCAGGCAACTTCGTGCATGAGCCGAAGTAGGAAAATTGGACTGTAAGTAGTGCCATGGTGGTTGGGCATTTTTGGAGGTTAAGTGTGTGTAACTGAGATGTATCCAGCATACAAAGCGAGTGCGGAGTCCCAATCTGCAGTTCTGTTCTCCTGCAAGGGAAACACGGCTGGACATGGACAAAGCAATTCTTGGGGTGTGCAAGAAACCTCCAGTGGGGGGGGCTGAGTACACAGGGAAAAGCTCAGACACAGAGACTGAAAATGGGAAACAGGAATTCTAGGCCTAAGAGACAAAGGAAGGAGGGAGCCAAAGAGACTCCCTCTGACATTCCCCCGGATAGTCCTTTGGGGAGCATGTTGCAGGTTTGAGGGACAACCCTCGAACCAGGGACAAGAAATAGCAAAAGATGATAAAGTATTGCTGTTTTATCTGGCCCAAAGACCCCATTCATAAGCCTACAGTCTTTTGGCCTAAGTTTGGCTCAGATGAAGACTGGGTGTGCCAAACTTTAACTCTCTGTATGAATGATAAAACCGCATCCTCACAAGAAGAGATAGGTTACGCTTTCTGCTGGATCAAGGAATTAGCTGCCATGTTCCCCCTCAAAGAAGAAGAAGCAGAAGAAAAGTCTAGTAAAGAGCCCTCATCCACTGAAAAGCCTTGGGACCCCCTATCATGCTCGCCCCCTGCCTATGTCTCACAAAATTGGGCATAAGAATATCAAGGAGCAACAGGTGGGTTAGAGGAAGGTGACCTGGAGACCATGGGGGAGATGAACCAACTGCTCCCTTAAATCCTTATCCAAATTTAAGAAAAGAATTAGAATAGTGTAAGAGGGATATTGAGAACTTCCCTATCCCTTCCACACAGCAGATATCTAGCATGTTCCCTCTTAGGGAAGTTCCCATGGGATGGGGAGGGATTGTCTTTGTAAATGCTCCTCTTACAAGTACTGAAGTTAGGAATTTCAAGAGGAAATGAAACCACTCCTAGAAGATCCCTTTTATTTAGAAGACCGGCTTTTACACCTGGGCTGAATTGATGTCCATCATGAATATCCTGTTCACAGGAGAAGAAAGGAAAATGATTAGGAGAGTGGTCATGACTATCTGGGAGAGGCAACACCCTCCTGGGCAAGGAGTGTTGCCAGCCAAATAAAAATTTCCAAATGTAGAACCCAAATGGGATAATAATGATCCCAGGGACCAGGCCCAAATGCAGAACCTCAGGGAACTAATAATTAAAGGGATCAAAGAGTCCACTCTTGAACACAAAATGTCTCAAAGGCATTCGAAATTCAACAAGAAAAAGAGGAAACTCCCTCTGCATTCCTGCAGAGGCTCAGAGATCAGATAGAAAATACTCTGGATTAGATCTGGAGGATCCAGTAGGGCAAGGCCTTTTGAAGGCTAACTTTGTTACTAAGATGTGGCCTTGCAGACCAGGGAGTGCAGCTGCAGGAATAGGGGCAGCAGGAGTCACAGAACTGGAGCAGACGGCCGAGATAAAGGTGGACAGTGTGAGACAGCTGGTGTCAGTAAACCCCTGATGAAAGAACTAATGTCTATATTATACAAAGGGAGTCACTGGGGACCCCAGCCTCTGTGTAATGCAATACTTAGAAATTATGTGTGTATAGGAATTTATACCCTCACTAAATAAGCATATGGAACTTGTGTAACTTGTCAAAAGATGAAGAAAAAGGTGATTAGAAAACAGGCCATGGGAGGAAGACCTCCTGGACTAAGACGATTTCAAAGCATTCAAGTAGATTTCACAGAAATGCCCAAAGTTGGAAGACTAAAGTATTTACTGGTGATCGTAGATCTCCTTTCTGGCTGGGTGGAAGACTTTCCCCTTCCAACAGCCACTGCCAGAAATGTGGTCAAAATAATATTAGAACAGATTGTACCTAGATTTGGCCTGGTGGAAAATATTGATTCAGACAATGGGAGCCACTTTACCTTAAGGGTGTTAAGGGAAATTATGGAAGGTTTACAAATTAAATGGGATTATTATGCCCCTTGGCATCCTCCTTCTCTGGAAAGGTAGAAAGAATGAAACAAACTCTCAAAAAGCGTATCACCAAACTAATCTTAGAAACTAAAATGCCTTGGACCAAATATCTCCAAATAGCACTCCTGAGGATTAGGCCCAAGAGAATACTTGGGATTGTCCCCCTATGACTTACTATATGGACTCCCATATTTGTGCAGGGCTACAGATCTTCCTACTATGGAAACCAAGGACTAATTTTTTTTTTTTTTTTTTTTTTTTTTTTTGAGACAGAGTCTCGCTCTGTCACCCAAGCTACCAAGGACTAATTTTTAAGAAATTATATACTGGCTATATCCTCCACCCTGTCATCCCTTAGGTTAAAAGGACTTCTGACTCAAACTCAATGTCAAGTGTCTGGTAGGCAGGCACACCTGGGGCAGCTACAGCAGTTAAGTTCACCACATGGTTCACCACGCCCAGCCTGACAACTTGGTGCTGATTAAGAGCTGGAAAGAGGACAAGCTCCACCAAAGGTGGGAAGATCCCTATCAAGGGCTCCTGACCACTGAGACTGCCATGCGAACAGCTGAATGGGGGTGGACTCACTATACTTGAGTCAAGGGACTGGTAAAAGAGACCCTTGAAGGGAGGGAAAAAGATCACTGGAAAGTGCATTGGTCACCTAAGAAATCCTTAAAGTTAACTCTAAGAAAAATCTAGAAAGAAAACATGGACTAGCCCCATTTCTAGAAGTTAATATGGCCAAGATGGAGTACTATACAAAGAGCAAAACATCAAAATGGAAACTGGCAGGGGACTCCTCCCTACTCAATCAGGTTGATAATTAATGTGACCAAAACAGTAGAACCCCAGAGTATAAAATTTAATGCCTGCCAAGTTTTACCTTGTGGGAATTTAGAAAATCTGAGACAGCTCTTGCAGGCAAATAAATATCTGTGCCCTGAACCAGATACAGGTTACAGTAATGCATCACCTTGCCCCAGCAGAGACGATGTATGGTGGACTACCCAATTTCAGGGTTGGACAGTAAACATGGGGTAGGTAACTGAGCTGGAGACCCTTAAAAAATAAACTACATATGTCCAAGGGCTCCCAGCCAAATAACTACCAGAATTTAGAATGCAATCCTATACCCATAACCATTAACAATCCAGCTTTTCTAGACCAAGAACCAAAAGTAGCATCTCAGGTATATGGGTTAGGGGCAGACATCACAGGGAAAAACCCCTTCAGGGTGATTTGTTCTCAAACTAATCAAAAACTCAACCTCCCATTTGCTTGGGACTACTCTAACCGCAGGCCCTAATAAACAGTTTAGTCCAGCAAATAATGACCCTAAAAGGGTAAAAATAATTGAGGTAAAGGATTTAATGCAAACCTTAGAAATTGAGACAGGGCTGGATGCAGTGGCTCACTCCTGTAGTCCCAGCACTTTGGGAGGCCGAAGTGGGCAGATCACAAGGTCAAGAGATCGACACTATCCTGGCCTACATGGTGAAATCCTGTCTCTACTAAAAATACAAAAATTAGCTGAGTGTGGTGGCACACGCCTGTAGTCCCAGCTACTCGGGAGGCTGAGGCAGGAGAATCGCTCGAACCTGGGAAGTGGAGCTTGCAGTGAGCCGAGATCTAGCCACTGCACTCCAGCCTGGCGACAAAGAAAGACTCCATCTTAAAAAAACGAAAGAAAGAAAGAAAGAAAGAAAGAAAGAAAGAAAGAAAGAAAGAAAGAAAGAAAGAAAGAAAGAAAGAAGAAATTGAGACAGATACGGCTGTGTGAATGCCTGGGTCAAACTGGTCACATTTTCGGTGCAAGCCCTTGACAAGAGTAACTGCTATGCGGGGGCTGCAGACGACCTCGGGCACAGGTGGTTCTGTTTCCCTTAGGATGGAATACCAAGTTTTGACGGTCTGCTCTTTGTATAGTAGTCCATCCTAGCCATATTAACTTCCAGAAATGGGGCCAGCACATGTTTTCTTTTTAGATTTTTCTTAGAGTTAACTTTAAAGGAATGTGTTGCATGTTGGCTCCATACCACGACAAGGATGCATTGGGAAATAAGACTTGTAAGAGTCTGTCATTGTTCTTTTCCACATTGTGGAGGCCGGATCCCAGAGCAATCCCCTCATTCTCTACAGGGAATATAAACCACTCCTTTTACCTCTCTAGGCAGGGGGAAGAATTCAATAAGCCCATGGGAGAACTCTCGTCTTGTACCCACATCCTAAACATCACTGTTGAGTCAAGCAATGGCAATTACTCAGCTGTCCATATACCTCGGGCTGATGTCTGGTGGTACTGTGGGAAAAGGAACCTCCATAACCATCCAATTGGACTGGGACTTGTGCGTTAGTCCAGTTGGATATTCACTTCACCCTGGCATTCCATAAGATACTTGAAAATACACATGGCCACCCAAACTGGAGAGATTTAACAAATTCTTTTGATCTCAATACACATGTTGACTCGATAGGAGTCCCTAGGGCGGTGCCTAATGAATTTAAGTCCCAAAACCAAATAGTTGCTGGGTTTGAGTCACCACTGTTCTGGTGGTCAGCTATTAATAAGAATGTGGATTGGATTAACTACATGTATTATAATCAACAGAATCATCAATTATACTTGGGACACTCTCAAAAGGGGTAGCTAGCCAGTTAGATGCCACCAGCCAAATGGCCTGGGAAAATAGGCTTGCACTAAACATAATACTAGCAGATAAAGGAGACATATGTGTTATGCTGGGTGGGAAATGTACTTTCATTCCCAACAATACTAGGGACCAATTGTCCCTAGATGGGACCATCACAAAAGCTTTACAAGGAATGACAACTCTAGCCAACAAACTCGCAGAAAATGCTGGAATTGGTGACCCATTTATGGGTTGGCCAGAAAGTCGATTTGGAAAATGGAAAGCATGGTGCTTCAATCCTTACATCTCTCATAATTGTGGCAGGAATCTTAACAGAAGTGGGATGATGTATTATCCCTGTGTAAGGGGACTAGCACAGAGATTACTTGAAACACCTATTAATAAGCAAATGCCCATGACTTACCAGCAAAATAACTTTCTACTATTAGAAACTAAATTAAACTCACTCTCCTATGAAGAAGAAAGTAAATGGCTTCTAGAGTGATTCTAGGACCAGGAGGATTTAGATGAAAATGAGACCAGAGGAAGTAAATAGAAAAGCAGAGAGAATTTGAGAGAAAATATTTTAAATGGTCCATTTTCAAGGCATGATAAATCTAGCACTGGCAGCCAGCCTGCGGACGTAAAAAAGTGCATGGCTTCTGCTATTAGAAAGTCATGATAAATGAACAGAATGTTGAGGCGGGGTCAGCCCATAAAAGGGAAGAAAGTTTCGTTATTGGGAAATCACAACTTAAGCAGGGAAGGGGACTGGGGTATAACCTTATAAGGGGGATAATAAAACTTTGGTGACATCTGGGAAGATTATAACCCCATAGTAATTGACCAGTGAGGAACTGGGGGAGGGACTTGCATGCTAGGAGATAAATTAGTTGCTGTAGTTGCCCCGGATGTGCCTGCCTACCACTCGATCTTGCAAGACCGTTATTAAAACTCTTACTTTTGCTATTCTTTGTGCTTCTGAGTCCATTCTTCGGGTTTGGATGGGTGAGCGTGTTTCTCACAATAATCAAGTCTTGTCCTCATCATTTAGGGGTTCATATTTGAAATACATACAGACTTGAAAAACAAAAACCTAAAAATATAAATAAAAATAATCTTCAGTTGGTAACACTGCTGGGGCACCAGCAGAAGCAAAAGCAAACCTCTCTGAAGAGAGCACACTCTCAGACAAGACCTGCTTGGAGCCTCATGAGCTTCCAGCAATAATCCCAAACTTGAAAACACATGAATTTTCCTGAATATGATTTCCTCTATATAATTTCTGTATATAATTGTATACAAATCTTGTATACAGAAATCTCCTGTTTATAATTTCTTATGTACAATTTTTCTGTATTTTCATTCCCCTGTATGTCTGTGTTAATATATATTTTTAAATTTTTTTATTTTTTTGAGATGGAATTTCACTCTTGTTGCCCAGGCTGGAGTGCAATGGCACATTCTTGGCTCACTGCACTTTCTGCCTCCCCGGTTCAAGCAGTTCTCCTGCCTCAGTCTCCCAAGTAGCTGGGATTACAAGCATGCACCACCATGCCCAGCTAATTTTTGTATTTTTAGTAGAGATGGGGTTTCATCATGTTGGTCAGGCTGGTCTCAAACTCCTGACCTCAGGTGATCCACCCGCCTTGGCCTCCTAAAGTGCTAGGATTACAGGCATGAGCCACCATGTCCGGCCATCTGTGTTAATATTAATACATAGAGAAACCAAATATCACACAGAGATAAAAGAGTAACATGGCATAATGGTTTAGGGTGTAGCATCTAGGGCTGGCTTCAAACAGAAATATAGATAGCTTTATAAATAGATAGATAACTGAGTGGTCCTCATGCAAAATACCTCATCTAGTCTTCTCACCTCTACAATGGGAATTATCACAGTAATACATCTCATAGGCTTGCTACGAGAATTAAATGAGTTAATATACAAAAAGTAGTCAGAACCAGAACCACGCCGGCAATGTAGGAAGTAATAAAAAGGGACAGTTGTTCTTATAATTATCAGCATCACCATTATCATTACTATTATATATAACTGGTCATATTATCTCACCTATCTCATAATTAGGTAGATTTTTCTTCATACATGCCCAGATACATATCCATCTGGCAAGGAATTAAATCTTCAGGTAAACCAAGCTAGACACATCTCAAAATTACATGATTTCACATTACTGGCTTTTTTGCTAAGAAGCAGCAAAACTAAGATCTATGGTAAAATTTAATGTGCAAACATTAAGCTAACTAATTACAGTATATGTTTTGAGAAATTTACTGTTTACTCTTTGTTCTTATATGTAGGTTTTCAAAGTAAATTATTTACTTTATAAATATGTTTATGTTGCTGTACACATAGTTTGATTCCTCAGAATTCAGAACATGTCATTTGAATATATATTCTAACATATATACATGATTGAGTGAAGTGAATACGGCTTTTACCTCAGAAATGGTGCATCATGCTTATCCCAGCCCTAGAACATTTCCTACCCCTCACTTAGACATCAGTTGACTCTGACCACCAGCCCACTCATGGCAACTAGGAAAACAGGGTTAGGACATCAGCTTGCCTCACCAGGTTATCTGTGTTGTGGTGGTGGATGCAGAAATCTGAACGGCTGCTGAAATTACACAGAACTAAATATACACAGTCAAACATGAATACAAGTAAAACTGAAGAAATAAGAATAAAATCTGAATAATATTTGAGATAAATGTTCTATAAATTGGGTAAGTTTGTAATTTTGATTATCTTTTCTGCATCATAGCTTTTTTAATTTGGAAGGCTGCACTAAAAGGATTTGAGAAGACAATGCAAGTCATGAATATGAAGAAAAATTCCTAGTATAGTTAAAAGAATGAAGGATACAGGTGAAGATTCATCTCAAATATAAGGCTGTTATGATTAAAACATAATGATAGGGGAGTAAGATATCTAAGAACAACAACTAACGTTCTTTGAGTACTAGACTATCTGCCAGGTGCTGTCCTAAGCATGTAACATTAATTTACTACTTAAATCTCAAAAACTCCTATGTGATATGTACTATATCATCTCTATTTTACAATGGAGGAAATCAAAGAAAAGAGGATATTGTAATACATTGAGATTAGTAAATACTGGTACTTAATATGTCTTTTAATATCCCAGTAAACCTATGGGGTATTGTTATGCATATTTTATGTACCAGAAGATTGAAGCCCAAATCGGTTAAGTAAATTGTACAAATTTAAGTAGGTGTCATATCTAGAATTTAAACTCTGGTTGGCTGCTCCAAAACCGCTTTTCTTTTTACTATGGTAAAAGATGTTCCTAGAATGATGCAGGTTATATAAGAGTAACCAGCTTGTAATGCAGCACATCTCCATTGAAATTCTGGCACAGTCAAGTGTAATACCTTCTCAGGCACTTAATCGTTTTCAGCCACTCTTTCTTTCTCTGTAGAAAGGTGTGGGTTGTGGGGCCAGGCACGGTGGCTCACACCTGTAATCCCAGCACTTTGGGAGGCCAAGGCGGGTGGATCACAAAGTCAGGAGTTCGAGACCAGCCTGACCAATATGATGAAACCCTGTCTCTACTAAAAATACAAAAATAAGCCAGGTGTGGTGACGTGTGCCTGTAGTCCCAGCTACTCGGGAGACTGAGGCAGGAGAATCGCTTGAACCCGGGAGGCGGAGGTTGCAGTGAGCTGAGATCGTGCCACTGCACTCCAGCCTGGGTGACAGAGTAAGACTCTGTCTCAAAAGAAACAAAAAACAAAAAACAGAAAGGTGTGGGTTGTGATGAGTAGTATAAAGGTATCTGAAGTCCCTTCCAATTCTAAAAGCATATGTTTATGTTTAGCATTACCTTACCTGGTAATATGTAGGTATATTTAGATAAATGTATGTGACTATTCTATGTGAAAGGTAAATTTCTAATTGCATAGATGCAACTGACGGAATCATGATTATTGACTAAACAAGCTTAATTGTGCTTGACCCACCGATTAGCACTAAAGAGCAATAACCCACATGAAAAAGGTCTCTGTGATTTTCCTTAGGTGAGATAATTTGGTTTCCTGCCTCTCCACTACCTTCTCCCATTCTGACTGGATGAGCCAGGGAAAATCCCTTTTGTATGGAAGGAGCAAACTGCTGTGAAAAGTTGAATCAGAAGGAAACTGTGGATTGGACATTCATTGTTTGACCTCTTGCCTGGCAGAGGGGCAACAGCAGGTACATCTGAAAGGTCTCTGTATGGTCATGACTTTTCAGCCCATGCATTCAGTGATCTGGAGGATGAAGGGCCTTAATGTCCAATACACATTCCTGGTAAAGATATGTGTGTCTTCAGTTATGATGAAAACCATCTGGTCTGAGTTGTTTTTAACATCATTTCTATTATTAGTTTCAAAATGTGTCATCACTAGAAAATAAAATGAGAAAGTCATCTTTAAATTATTAGCTGTTAAGTCTGCCCTCAAGAGGTCATCATCAATCATTTCACAGGGTGTAAGGCCAAATAGCCTTTTAAAAATTTCATTTGAAACATAAACAACTGATGGGAACACCAAACTATTTCATCACCTTATAAGTATTAATATGCTTTAGAATTTAAAGTGTCTATTTTAAATTCAGTGCAAGATGATTTAAGAGTTTTCCATGTAAAAGATAAAAGTCATCTTGTATAAGGATGATTATGTCTTATATATTAACTGCATTCAGAGACTTTAATTATAAAATATTTTAATTATTTTATACATTAGAGCATAAATTATCCAGCTCAGTAAGATGATCAGGGTCACTACTAATTGCAAATAGCTCAGTAAGATGATCAGGGTCACTACTAATTGCAAATAGAAAAAGTAACCAAGAGGAGTTGAAGACCTTATGTTGCTAAATGAATGTGTAAAGCTGCTGCTTTAAGAATCAGCCACACTCTATTGATGAACAGATGTTAGGCTTCATGTTTACTGTGCTCATTTCTTCCTGCCTCTAAAACAAAGGCACCGCACTACACTTTAGCAAATCTAAATTCTGCTTGACCCTCACTAAGTCATTTCATTCCTCTGCTCTTTCTTTTCCGCATCTGTGAAAGTTAAATGATGGGTGGATAGAAGGTGTAAGTGTAAGGGGGCATTGACCAGATAATATATAAGATCCTTTTTAATCTAAGAGCTAATGATTATATAATTTGTAAATAAATCAAATTACACAAAATAATTCTCTTTTAATTTCTGGAGAACAGTGTTTTCTGTTTGAACCACTGAAAAAATGATTGCTGTAAAAAAAGTAACTGCCTGTTTAATAATGTCAATTTCCACCTGATTCAAATACTGCTGAACACTACTAAATTATATATACTTTCCAGGAGCTCCAAATGCTGAAAAACATGCATGTTGTCCAACTATTGAGAGAGACAGAAATAAGAGAATTAAGTTAGCATTAAGAAAGAAATTGATGATAGATATATCACAATGAATCAACTGAGTTCCAAAACAGTTTTTGAGTATGAATGAAATTAATTTAAAAATATGTGTTATCACCTGAAATTAGCCTATTTTCACCTGGTCATATAGACATTAAAAGGACTGTTCAAATAGGAAAAATAATTTTCTCCAGTTCCACTGTATAAGACTGTTTTATCTAAAATATCTGAAAAACATTAACTTGCTAAAGCAACAACATCTAGAAGTAGCTGTGTATACCTAGATTGTTTCTTGCTCAGTTACTACTCACTGGTCTCTCTGACATATCACCTGCCATTTGGATTTGATCAGGAAGTTCAGGATGGTTTTACATGGACCACCTATACAGAATGCAATTTTTTTCAATGGCTTAGGGAGAGTAAGTTAGCCAAGGTGAATCTCAAAGTGTGACCAATTTTAAATTATTTCATGGGTACCTCTGAGAGAATAATGTATTGACTTCCATTCACTTGAGTTAAAAGTGGCAGTTTTCCCTAGGTGCATGGATTAATAAGGAGAGGGTCGAAGATGGCAGAAGCATGTGAATGAAACTGGCACAAAGGAGAGAACACATTCTGTGGTAGGATTACATGAAAAATGAGTTTGGGAAAAACATTAGGTAAACTTTTAATCTTGGTTTTACTTAGGAATCACTCACAAGATGAAAGTCTGATGGGCAGTCTGATCACACTTTTGTGGAGTAGCTGTGCCCTGCGGGGGTACCGCTTCCATCCTCAGGTGGTTTGGACTCTTGTAAGCCTACAGACTGGAACAGCGTTGTCTAAACAGCAAAGATGGTTGGCCATCCCTCCCTTCAGGTGCTCCATCCAAGGCAGAAATCAAAACTGTCTGGTGGAGAATGTGGGTGGGGGTAGCTGGAGGCCCCAGTTGGAAAGTCCCACCCAGAGATAAGGAGCAGATCATGAACTCACTTAAAGAAGAAGTCTGACAGCATTTTGGTAGAGCAGCTGTGCATTGCTGGGGGCTCCCTTCTGCCTCAGACAGTTTATACTCTCCTAAGCCCACTTCCTGGAACAGCTGAGTTGTCCAAACTGCTTCTCCCCTTGGGCACTCCATCCAAGGGAGAAATTAAAACTCTGTCTGCCAGAGAATATGGGTAGGGCTTGCTGGAGGCCCCTGTTGGGAAGCATTGCCCTGAGATGAGGAATAGATCAGGGTCCCACTTGAAGCAGTCTGGCTATATTTTGGTAGAGCAGCTATGCTGTGCTAGGAGAGGTCCCTTCCATCCCTGGTTGGTTTGGTTTGGAGTCTCCTAAACCCCCAGGCTGGAATGGCTGAGTTGTCCAAACAGCAAAGATGGCAGCCTGCCCCTCTTTCTGGGAACACTGTCTCATCCCAAGTAGGTGCAACACTGTTTCTGGGGGCTGGCTGGAATTCCAAGTCAGTGGGATTTGTCCTGCGAGGCACTGTGGAAGTGGGGCCCATAGGCCTGCACTGCTTGGCTTCCTGAATTCAGCTATTTTTCCCTAGGGGTGTGTAGGAACATCCAACTTCCCTCCTTGACTGAGTTGCAGTCACCTTTGCCAGGTTTCCTGGAGCCAGAATATGTAGAGCTCCTGGAATTCTGCGTGTGCCTGAGCAGCTGCTCTGCTAAGACTTCACACAGCCATGTGTGTCAGACCAAAGGCCCTGGTGGAGTGGGTTCAGGAAGAGACCTCCTGACCCAAGGGTTGCAAAGATCCATGGGAGAAGCATGGTTTCCCAAGGTCACATATCCACTCCCTGGGGTGGAGAGAGGTTCCCTTGGCTTCGTGTTGCTTCTGGGCAGGCTGTCACTCTTCCCTGCTTTTCTCCATTCTCCATGGCTCCAGCTGTTTCCCTGATCAGTCTCAATGCAAATGCATGCCTGGATATTTCAGTTGAAGGTGTTGTATTTACTCGCCCCTTTCATTCCTGTCTGTGAGAGCCACACTGGAGCTGCTTCTATTTGGCCATCTTGGCCCCACCCCTTTCTGTTATTTTATAAAGAGATCAGTTTAATAAAATTTTTGGCTCAAGAAAATTCCAAATTTCTAATCCAATTCACACATCAACTCTATAGCATTGCACCAATAGTTTTCAATGCACAGGATTAGTAACATGTGGAATTGCAAAGAGGACCTTGTGAACTCCAAGAAATACTTGATTATGTGGGGAGGCAAATATTGAATTAAAGAGTTCCTTACATGTTGCGGGAAGTCAGGGACCCCAAACAGAGGGACTGGCTGAAGCCATGGCAGAAGAACGTGGATTGTGAAGATTTTATGGACATTTATTAGTTCCCCAAATTAATACTTTTATAATTTCTTATGCCTGTCTTTACTGCAATCCCTAAACATAAATTGTAAAGATTTCATGGACACTTATCACTTCCCCAATCAATACCCTTGTGATTTCCTATGCCTGTCTTTACTTTAATCTCTTAATCCTGTCAGCCGAGGATGATGTATGTCGCCTTAGGACCCTGTAATAATTGCATTAACTGCACAAATTGTACAGCATGTGTGTTTGAGCAATATGAAATGTGGGCACCTTGAAAAAAGAACAAGATAACAGCAATGTTTAGGAAACAAGAGAGATAACCTTAAACTCTGACTGCCAGTGAGCCGGGCAGAACAGAGCCATATTTCTCTTCTTTCAAAAGCAAATGGGAGAAATATCGCTGAATTCTTTTTCTCAGCATGGAACATCCTTGAGGAAGAGAATACGTGCCTGGAGGTATAGGCTTATAAACAGCCCCCCTAGGTGCGCCTGTCTCTTATGGTCGAGGCTGCAGAGATGAAATAGACTCCAGTCTCCCATAGCGCTCCCAGGCTTATTAGGAAGAGGAAATTCCCACCTAATAAATTTTGGTCAGACCAGTTGATCTCAAAACCCTGTCTCCTGATAAGATGTTATCAATGACAATGGTGCCCGAAAGTTCATTAGCAATTTTAATTTCACCTTGGTCCTGTGGTCTTGTGATCTCGCCCTGCCTCCACTTGCCTTGTGATATTCTATTACCCTGTTAAGTACTTGATGTCTGTCACCCACACCTATTCGCACACTCCCTCCCCTTTTTGAAAATCTCTAATAAAAACTTGCTGGTTTTTGTGGCTTGTGGGGCATCACGGATCCTACCAACGTGTGATGTCTCCCCTGGATGCCCAGCTTTAAAATTTCTCTCTTTTATACTCTGTCCCTTTATTTCTCAAGCTGGCCGATGCTTAGGAAAAATAGAAAAAAACCTACGTGATTATCAGGGCAGGTTCCCCGATACTTACATATAAAGAATTTAAATGTCTCCTCTTTCTTAAGCCGAAAGGGTCAAGGGTTACAGAATAGTTTTTAATACTACCTTTAATTTATTTATTTATACCATTTTGTTTACCAAATATTCCTATTCCTCAAGTTTCTGACCTGAGTGTCAGGGTGGCTCCATAATGTTTATAGAGAAGAGCATTAGGGTATCACCACTTAAGAAGGGACCTCAAGGACTTGGCTTGCTGCTATATGTACTTGGTTAGCACCCTGTTTTTACATGGAAAATAGATATTGGTGGGGGGAGGTCTGGAATAGCTGATGAAAATTATAGGTGGTGAAGGAAATCAAAGGGCCAAGGCACTTAAGTGATTTAGCCACTAATTTTTCTGTTCCTTTCATATGTCTTTTTTGGATGGTCGCTTTTATTCCAAGTAAATGAAACACAAGCTAGCGTCTAAGACATTTTTTTTTCTATTCCTGTTTCTATTTTTCTACCTTTTTTTAAGAGGACATCCTGAATATCTTAATGGTAAACCTGAATCATATAAACTCCATACTCATCCCACTAAAAACATCTCTATACTTTTTGCTTCCCCTTTACATTTCTGAAGTTAGTACCACCATTCTTACAGTCTTAGAAACTAGACATGTTAACATTGTCCCATCTCCTTTATTCACTCTGTCCTATATTTTCTCGCTCCTTATTGGATCACTATGGTCATATTTCATAGAAAAATAACTTGGATTTGTATGGCCTAAGTATTCCAGACCAGGAGGACAGTTTGCCAAAGCATGGAGAACCTGAGCTAAATATTCTAGACCAGGAGAGCAGTTTGCCAAAGGAGTTGGCTTTGGCTTCCATGTTATTGGAACAGGCTGATTTGGCATAGGATATTTACCAGGCTGATACTGGATAGGATGGGATAGTTGGCTGATACAAGGGGAAGGTACTGGGCTGCTGTGGAAGCCTCCAGATGGAGGGATGGCTGACAAATGAAATAATTGAAACAATGACATAATTATGTATATTTAAAGTTATAATATTTTAGGACATGGGATGAATTTTTATTTGTAGATGACATGGGTCACATGACAGCTTTTTAGATATAACAAAAGTCTCCACTTTCTGAGGACATGGCATTTCATATATCAAAAGCCTACTAGGGAGATTTCCAGATCATGGAGAAATATAATCCTCTTAAACCATATGAAATTAGGTATACCAATTTCACAAGTACAAACACTAAGATTGAGGAGATTGTCAATATCTCTTCACAACTATCTCATCAGGCTGTTGCAGAGTCAGCACAGGGCATGGCATAAAATCAGCACTATGCAAATTTCTATTATGTTCATTATTATTATTATTCAAGTTCACATAGATAGAAGGTGATAACGCTGGGATTTGAAATTAGGTCTTAATCTCAAAGTGGTGATTTTAAGCCTGTTATATTGCCTCTGATTCAGTCACTTGTTTATATGAACATCATCTGGTTCTCAGACAGCTCACCTCCAACATGGCATCAGTTAACTATTAACTTTGTCAATATAAATAAGATCACAGTCAAGGAAATCAGATTTTGTTAAGAAAACATAACATTTTAAGATAAGCACTCATAATCATAAATTCATATGAATATACCACTAATGTATGACTTTAGTTGTTATTCTTTTATCAAATGTCTCTTAAAAAGAGCAGTGATATCATTTTTCTCTCATCCCTTTCCCTCCCCCAGCCAAGATGGTGGCAGTAGAGGACCAGTAGGGAGCCTGAACTCCAGCCAAGCAGTAACAATGAGCACTTCCTCATCCCCATTCCTGTGAAAATAGGCTTCCTAGTAAGGTGGCAGGGTCTCTTTCTAGCCACTGGAAAAGCAAGGATAACTTTATTTCACAATAATTGCTAAAATTTTAGAGAAATAGTGTACATTATCTCATTTCCAGTTACTTTTCATTCATTCTTTCATTAATTCAATAAATATTTACTGAGTATCTTATTATATACTAGGCACTATTATAGATGATGAGAATATACCAATAAGCCAGACAGATAAAGTGCCACTCTGCTGGAGATTACATGGGGTGAGATTTTAAAAATGTCAACAAGGCCGGGTGCAGTGGCTCACGCCTGTAATCCCAGCACTTTGGGAGGCCGAGGTGGGTGGATCACGAGGGCAGGAGATTGAGACCATCCTGGCGAACATGGTGAAACCCCGTCTCTACTAAAAATACAAAAAATTAGACAGGCGTGGTGGTGGGCACCTGTAGTCCCAGCTACTCGGGAGGCTGAGCCAGAAGAATGGCGTGAACCTGGGAGATGGAGCTTGCAGTGAGCCGAGATTGCGCCACTGCACTCCAGCCTGGGTGACAGAGCAAGACTCTGTCTCAAAAAAAAAAAAAAAAAAAAGTCAACAAATATTTATGTTTAGATGGTAGTTATGAGGAAAACAAAGTCACAGGTTTAAGAGAAACATGGATGGTTAGTTTTAAGAGAGTCGGGAAAAGCCACTCTTAGGAGGTGCCCTTTGAGCTATTTGAACTATGAAAAGGAAACATCACACTAAAATTGTGGGAAGAGAGTTCCAGGAAGATAGGAGATTAGTGCAAAGGATCAGAGGTGGCAGTGAGCTTGGGATACTCAAGGGAGAGAAAGAAAAAGCAGTTAGAAGTGACTGGGCCACAGTGAGAGAAAGGAACTGAAGTAAGACATGGAGACAGAGAGGTCTGATCTCATCTGAAGGCCATGTCAAGGTGGTTGGCATTTTTGGTATTTGGAACTGGGAAGTGTGGAGGATTCAGTCAGTGGAGTGATCAGATCTGACCGACACCATACAATGAGAGCAAGAGTAGAAGCAGGGAGCAGTGACGGATGGCAGCAGCAATCCAGGTGAGAGCTGATGCAGGCTTAGATGGGGGAGGTGACACTGCAGAGGGTTAGGAGTGGTCAGAGGCATGACACTGTTTGGAAGCAGGGCCTCGAGGAGTTGCTGATGGACTAAAGAAAAGAGAGGAGTCAAAGAGGGTTCTGAGTCATAGCCCAAGGTAACTGAGTTGATGGTGACGCTATTAACAAAACTAGAGAGGAAAATAGTAGGGGAAACGGTGGGGATTGAAAAGTTTAGACTGGGGCATGTTATGTTTAATGAGAGGCCAAAAGAAGATAAGTTAAACATTTAAATAAAAAGTATGTATCTGCAACATTATGGGAATAACTGAAGGGTAAAAACTAGAAGTTGACATGAGTTTTGAAAGAAGCAGCGGGGGCAGATGTAGTGGATTCCATTAGGCCGAATATATTCACATAGACACATACACACACACACACACACTTATATACATAGATGTATATACACAGACATATAAACACATACATATATATGCACACGTATATATAGAAAATATATGTTATCTTCAAAGAATGAAATTTCAATATTTCAGAATTTTCATATTTCCAAGTTCTAGGTGATGACGAAGAGGAACAATGTCAACTAAGGCTATAATTTACTGACTGTTTATCAAGGGTCAGGCACTCAGCCAAGCAGTTTGCCTACATTGTCTCTAATTATAACATGTCTCCAAGATACATATCATTTGCCCAATTTTATAGATGAGATAATGAGCTCAGAGAAATAGAAATTTAACTGTATAGCTTAGTAAATGATTAAGCCCACTAAAGTCAAGTACCTTTGAATCCAAACTCCAAGTTCTTTTTTGTAAATTTTTAAAATTAAAAAAAAATTTTTTGTGAGTATATAGTAGTTGTATATATTTATGGGGCACATGAGATGTTTTGATACTGGCATGCCATGTGAAATAAACATATCATGTAGAATGGGGTATCCATCCCCACAAGCATTTATCCTTTGAGTTACAAACAATCCAATTACATTCTTTAAGTTATTTTAATATATACAGTTTAATTATTATTGACTATAGTCACCATATTCTTTCTACTATGTTATCCTGTTTATCAGTGTTTAGATTGTGTTCATTTGTGTAGCTCAAGTGAGATGGAAAGCTGCTGAGGTAGAGTAGGTCAAGGAAGCATTAGAACAGCATATTGATACTGATTTGACTTAAGAAACTCACCAAGTCATAAGCCAATATGTAGATTTTCAGCCCAACTGTGTGTCTTGCTATGTATGGGAGAAAGAGGCCAATTAGGCTTGAACTATTTCCACTCTCTCACTGGTGCCTGAGTTAGTTGTATAGTATCAAGAGGTATAAAAGTATTCTGGGACACATCAAAAAGCATGTCTCAATTATTGGACAGCCAAAGTAGTTCAAGTATTGGTCTTACCCCTCAATGATAAAAATCTCTGGCATTTTGGAAAACAACAAATATTTATGGAAACTTCAACTCTGGTCATTCCTAGGTATATACCCTTGAACGATTTACACATGTACACAAACGATATGTATGAGAATATTCTCAACACCATTGTTCATATGAAGAGAAACTGAAAACATTTATAATGTCCATCAACAGCAGACTTGATGTGGTATAATCATACAATAGCACACTAGTGAAAACAAAAATATAGCCTCATGCATTCATGAATAAAACTCAAAAATGTAATAGTGAGATACAGAAGCAAGTCACTGGAGAAGATAGTATTTTATTTTAAAATATTTACGAACAGAAAAACTAAATAATGTTTTTTTTCAGATGCATGTATGAAGTTAAAACTTAAAAAGAAAGCTAGGGAATGAAGAGAAACACAAAAACACAATGGTTATCTTTGGAGAGGAGTGACGAGGAACAAGAGACTAACTTTCTGCTAATAGTCTTAAGTAATAGAGATGATAGGTCATTATTCTTTAAATGAAATGTGTGTTTATGAATTTTTAGATATATGACATTAGTTCACATATAAAAGAACCATTTGACAGCAAGTAGATTGGTGGTTGGGGAGATGAAGAATGTGGGGAGATTTTGGTCAAAGGATACAAACTTTGAGTTATAAAATAGATCCTGGAGATCTAACATTTAGCAAAGTGACTGTACTTGATAATAATTCATTGTATACTTGAAATTTGCTGAGAACAAATAAGTATTTTCACCACATACATACACACACCATGGTAACTCAGTGAGACAATGGATATGTTAATTAGCTTGATTGTGGTAATCATTTCACAATATTTATTTATATCAAAAGATTACATCATATACCTTAAACATATATAATTTTTGTCAATACACCTAAGTAAAGCTGAAAAAATAAATAATAATAGAATGCATTTAAGAAAAAGGTTACACTAAATATGTAACTGTCAAACTTAGATATTTAGATATCAGAATTTGGAAAGGTAATAAATTCAGGCTTTGGAACTCTAATGGAACAAGGAAATTAAAACATATCAAATTACTTTTCTATTATAATGTCATTCAGCAGATATTTTAAATATCTTCTATGAGCCATATATTTAGATTTATTGGATGTCAAAATCAAGATGAGTAGTCAAATAATGTCTCTTTTGAAAGCACAAAACTTTTAAAAAAAGTTTTTTCAATCTCTGAAAAAAATGAAATAATAAAAACTTACCCAGAAGTATATAGTCTGTTTTACATCTGTGAAGATCTGCGTAATGGAGACCCTGAGTTGGGTATAGGTGATAGACACTCCCCTTGTATTAGTCCATTCATGCATTGCTATAATGAAATACCTGAGACTGGGTAATTTATAAATACAAGTGTTTTAATTGGCTCAACGTTTTGCAGACTGTACAGGAAGCATGAGTTTGGTATCTGCTCAGCTTCTGGGGAGGCCTCAGGAAACTTACAATCATAGCAGAAGGTGAAGGGGAAGCAGGCATGTTACATGGCCAGTGTAGGAATGAGAGAGTGAGGGGGGTGGTGCTACACACTTTTAAACAACCAGATCTCATTAAAACTCACTCACTATCACAAGAATAGTACCAAGGAGGAGGGTGGTAAACCATTCATGAGAAATCCATCCCCCTGATCTAGTCACTCCCCACAAGCCCACCTACAACACTGGGGATTATGTTTCAATATGAGATCTGGATGGGGAGACACATTCAAACTATATCAGCTCTTGTGACTCTAATGATGCAATAATTACTGCTCGTCTCCCCTCTAGCCACCACTTGCTCCCATTGCACCTCAATATTCCTCAGTATTCACTCTCACTATCAGTTCCCAGCTTCAAATCTCTTCCATAGTAATACTTTACTATCCACCTACTGAGAGCTGCTGGAATTGGATGAATACGCCATATTTAAAAACAGATAAAAAATAGTTGTCCCATGAAAGGAAAAGTGAAAGAACTGTGGTTACTATTACTTTCAGGCCTCTGAGCCCAAGCTAAGCCATCATATCCCCTGTGACCTGCACATACACATCCAGATGGCTGGTTCCTGCCTTAGCTGATGACATTCCACCACAGAAGAAGTGAAAATGGCCTGTTCCTGCCTTAACTGATGACATTATCTTGTGAAATTCCTTCTCCTGGCTCATCCTGGCTCAAAAGCTCCCCTACTGAGCACCTTGTGACCCCCACTCCTGCCCATCAGAGAACAACCCCTTTGACTGTAATTTTCCTTTACCTATCCAAATCCTATAAAACGGCCCCACCCCTATATCTCCCTTTTCTGACTCTCTTTTCAGACTCAGTCCGCCTGCACCCAGGTGAAATAAACAGCCTTGTTGCTCAAACAAAGCCTGTTTGGTGGTCTCTTCACATGGATGCACATGAAATTTGGTGCCGTGTCTCGGATCGGGGGACATCCCTTGGGAGATCAATCCCCTGTCCTCCTGCTTTTTGCTCCGTGAGAAAGATCCACCTACAACCTCAGGTCCTCAGACCGACCAGTCCAAGGAACATCTCACCAACTTCAAATCCAGTAAGTGGCCTCTTTTTACTCTCTTTTCCAACCTCTCTCACTATCCCTCAACCTCTTTCTCCTTTCAACTGCCACACTTCAATCTCTCCCTTCTCTTAATTTCAATTCCTTTCATTTTCTCGTAGAGACAAAGGAGACACATTTTATCCGTGGACCCAAAACTCCGGCACCAGTCATGTACTCAGAAGACAGCCTTCCCTTAGTGTTTAATCATTGTGGGGATGCCTCTCTGATTATTCACCCACATTCCATTGGTGTCTGATCTCCGCAGGGATGCCTGACTTGATCTTTCACCCATGTTCCCTTGGTGGCAAGTCAATTGCGGGGACACCTGCTTTGGCTGCTCACCCACGTTGCAGCCCAGGGCTGCTCCCCACCCCCTTCTCCATGTCTCTACCCTCTTCTTTAAACTTGCCTCCTTCACTATGGGCAACCTTCCACCCTCCATTCCTCCTTCTTCTCCCTTAACCTGTGTTCTTAAAAACCTAAAACCTCTTCAACTCACACCTGACCTAAAACCTAAATGCCTTATTTTCTTTTGCAATCCTGCCTGACCCCAGTACAAACTCAACAGTGGTTCCAAATAGCCATAAAATGGCACTTTCAATTTTTCCATCCTACAAGATCTAAATAATTCTTGTCGTAAAATGGGCAAACGGTCTGAGGTGCCTGATGTCCAGGCATTCTTTACACATTGGTCCCTCCTTAGTCTCTGTGCCCAGTGCAACTCCTCCCAAATCTTCCTTCTTTCCCTCCCACCTGTCCCCTCAGCCCCAACCCCAAGCGTTGCTGAGTCTTTCTAATCTTCCTTTTCTACAGACCCATCTGACCTCTCCCCTCCTCACCAGGCCAAGCTAGGTGCCAATTCTTCCTCAGCCTCCCCTCTTCCACCCTATAATTCTTTTATCACCTCCCTTCCTCACACCCAGTCCACCTTACAGTTTTGTTCTGTGACTAGCCCTCCCCCACCTGCCCAGCAATTTACTCTTAAAAAGGTGGCTGGAGCTAAAGGCATAGTCAAGGTTAATGCTCCTTTTTCTTTATCCCAAAACAGCGTTTAGACTCTTTTTCATCAAATGTAAAAACCCAGCCCAGTTCATGGCTCATTTGGCAGCAACCCTGAGATGCTTTACAGCCCTAGACCCTAAAAGGTCAAAAGGCCATCTTATTCTCAATATACATTACCCAATCTGCTCTCGACATTAAATAAAACTCCAAAAATTAAATTCTGGCCCTCAAACCCCACAACAGGACTTAATTAACCTCACCTTCAAGGTGTACAATAATAGAGTAGAGGCAGCCAAGTAGCAGCGTATTTTTGAGTTGCAATTCCTTGCCTCCACTATGAGACAAACCCCAGCCACATCTCCGGCACACAAGAACTTCCAAACGCCTAAACCGCAGTGGCCAGGCATTCCTCCAGGCCTGCCTCCCCTAGGAGCTTGCTACAAGTGCTAGAAATCTGGCCATCAGGCCAAGGAATGCCCGCAGCCTGGGATTCCTCCTAAGCCATGTCCCATCTGTACGGGACCACACTGAAAATCAGACTGTTCAACTCACCTGGCAGCCACTCCCAGAGCCCCTGGAACTCTGGCCTAAGGCTTTCTGACTGACTCCTTCCCAGATCTTCTCAGCTTAGCAGCTGAAGACTGACACTGCCCGATAGCCTTGGAAGCCCCCTAGACCATCACGGATGCCGAGCTTTAAGTAACTCTCACAGTGGAAGGTAAGTCCATCCCCTTCTTAATCAATACGAAGGCTACCCACACCACATCTCCACATTACCTTCTTTTCAAAGGACTGTTTCCCTTGCCTCCATAACTGTTGTGGGTATTGATGGCCAGGCTTCTAAACCTCTTAAAGCTCCCTAACTCTGGTGCCAAGTTAGAAAATACTCTTTTAAGCACTCCTTTTTAGTTATCCCAGTTCCTTTATTAGGCCAAGACACTTTAACTAAATTATCCACTTCCCTGAGTATTCCTGGACTACAGCCACATCTCATTGCCACCCTTCTTCCCAATCCAAAGCCTCCCTTGTGTCCTCCCTTTTTTATCCCCCCACCTTAACCCACAAGGATAAGATACCTCTACTCCCTCCTTGGCGACTGATCACGCATCCCTTACCATCTCATTAAAACCTAATCACCCTTACCCTGCTCAATGCCAATCTCCCATCCCACAGCATGCTTTCAAAGGATTAAAGCCTGTTATCACTGGCCTGTTACAGCATGACCTTTTAAAGCCTATAAATTCTTCTTACAATTCCCCCATTTTACCCGTCCTAGAACCAGACAAGCCTTACAGGTTAGTTCAGGATCTGCACCTTATCAACACAATTGTTTTGCCTATTCACCCCATGGTGCCAAACCCATATACTCTCCTATCCTCAATACCTCCCTCCACAACCCATTATTCTGTTCTGGATCTCAAACATGCTTTCTTTACTATTCCTTTGCACCCTTCATCCCAGCCTCTCTTTGCTTTCACTTGGACTGACCCTGACACCCATCAGTCTCAGCAAATTACCTGGGCTGTACTGCCACAAAGCTTCACAGACAGCCCCCATTACTTCAGTCAAGCCAAAATTTCATCCTCATCTGTTACCTATCTCAGCATAATTCTCAGAAAAACACACGTGCTCTCCCTGCCGATCATGTCCAGCTGATCCCTCAAACCACAACACCTTCTGCAAAACAACAACTCCTTTCCTTCCTAGGCATGGTTGGATACTTTTGACTTCAGATACCTGGTTTTGCCATCCTAACAAAACCATTATATAAACTCACAAAAAGAAACCTAGCTGACCCAATAGATCCTAAATCCTTTCCCCACTCCTCTTTCCATTCCTTGAAGACAGTTTTAGAGACTGCCCCCACCCTAGCTCTCCCTGACTCATCCCAACTCTTTTCATTATCCACAGCCGAAGTGCAGGGCTGTGCAGTCGGAATTCTTACACAAGAACTGGGACCGCACCCCGTAGCCTTTTTATCCAAACAACTTGACCTTACTGTCTTGCTTAGCCCTCAAGTCTGTGTGCAGCAGGTGCCACCACAACCCCAATACTTTTAGAGGCCCTTAAAATCACAAACTATGCTCAACTTACTCTCTGCAGTTCTCATAACTTCCAAAATCTATTTTCTTCCTCACTCCTGACACATATACTTTCTGCTCCCTGGCTCCTTCAGCTGTTCTCACTCTTTGGTGAGTCTCCCACAATTACCATTGTTCCTGGCCCAGACTTCAGTCTGGTCTCCCACATTATTCCTGATACCACAACTGACCCCCATGACTGTATCTCTCTGATCCACCTGACATTCACCCCATTTCCCCATATTTCCTTCTTTCCTGTTCCTCACCCTGATCACACTTTGTTTATTGATGGCAATTCCAGCAGGCCTAATGGCCACACACCAGCAAAAGCAGGCTATGCTATGGTACAAGCCACTAGCCCGCCTCTTAGAACCTCTCATTTCCTTTCCATCGTGGAAATCTATCCGCAAGGAAATAACTTCTCAGTGTTCCATCTGCTATTCTACTACTCCTCAGGGATTATTCAGGCCCCCTCCCTTCCCTACACATCAAGCTTGGAGATTTGCCCCCACCCAGCACTGGTAAATTGGCTTTACTCAGCATGCCCCAAGTCAGATAACTAAAATACCTCTTAGTCTAAGCAGACACTTTCGCTGGATAAGTAGAGGCCTTTCCTACAGGGTCTGAGAAGGCCACCACAGTCATTTCTTCCCTTCTGTCAGACATAATTCCTCGGTTTGGGCTTCCCATCTCTATACAGTCTGATAACGGACCAGCCTTTATTAGTCAAATCAGCCAAGCAGTTTTTCAGGCTCTTGGTGTTCATTGAAACCTTTATATCCCTTACGGTCCTCCGTCTTCAGAAAAAGTAGAACAGACTAGAGGTCTTTTAAAAACACACCTCACGAAGCTCAGCCACCAACTTAAAAAGGACTGGACAGTACTTTTACCACTTTCCCTTCTCACAAGTCAGGCCTGTCCTCAGAGTGCTACAAGGTACAGCCCATTCGAGCTCCTGTATAGATGCTCCTTTTTATTAGGCCCCAGTCTCATCCCAGACACCAGACCAACTTAGACTGCACCCCAAAAAACTTGTAATCCCTACTATTTTCTATCTAGTCATACTCCTATTCACTGTTCTCAACTACTCATAAATGCCCTGCTCTTGTTTACACTGCTGGTTTACACTGTTTCTCCAAGCTATCACAGCTGATATCTCCTGGTGCTATCCCCAAACCACCACTCTTAACTCTTAGAGTAAATAAATAATCTTTGCTGGCAAGGCTATGCTGAACCTCCTTAGGCACTCTCTAATTAGATGTCCTAGGTCCTCCCAATTCTTAGTCCTTTAATACCTGTTTTTCTCCTTCTCTTATTCCGTTTAGTTTTTCAATTCATACAAAACCGTATCCAGGCCATCACTAATAATTCTACATGACAAATGTTTCTTTTAACAACCCCGCAATATTGCCCTTTACCACAAAATCTTCCTTCAGCTTAATCTCTCCCACTCTAGGTTCCCATGCCGCCCCTAATCCTGCTCAAAGCAGCCCTGAGAAACATCACCCATTATCTCTCCATACCACCCGCAAAAATTTTCACTGTCCCAACACTTTACCACTATTTCATTTTATTTTTCTTATTAATATAAGACAGGAATGTCAGGACTCTGAGTCCAAGCTAAGCCTGTGACCTGCACGTACACATCCAGATGGCTGGTTCCTGCCTTAACTGATGACATTCCACCACAAAAGAAGTGAAAATGGCCTGTTCCTGCCTTAACTGATGACATTCTCTTGTGAAATTCCTTCTCCTGGCTCATTCTGGCTCAAAAGCTCCCCTGCTGAGCACCTTGTGACCCCCACTCCTGCCCGCCAGAGAATAACCCCCCTTTGACTGTAATTTTCCTTTACCTACCCAAATCCTATAAAATGGCCCCACCTCTATCTCCCTTCTCTGACTCTCTTTTCGGACTCAGCCCGCCTGCACCCAGGTGAAATAAACAGCCTTGTTGCTCACAGAAGGCCTGTTTGGTGGTCTCTTCACACAGACGTGCACGAAAATTACCTTTCATTTTTCAACAACAGCTCAATCTCATCACACTTTGTGGGTAGAGAAGAACAGAGGAAGTAAGGGAATGGAGAGGCAGTGTGAGACTGGGCAGTCTGAAAATGTTATGGGTTTTATTGCAGTGATATGGTTAGGATATGTGTCACCTCCAAATCTCATTTTTAAATGTATTCCTCAATGTTGAAGATGGGATCTTGTAGGAGATATTTGGGTTACAGTGGCAGATCCCTCATAAGTGGCTTCATGGCATTTCCATGGTAATGAGTGAATTTTCACTCTAGCTTCCCATGAGATCTGGTTGTTTAAAAGAGTGTGACACCTCCCTCTTCTCTCTTGTCTGCTCTTGCTGTGTAATGTGCCTGCTCTTCTTTTTCTTTCATCATGATTGTAAGCTTCCTGAGGGCCTCACCAGGAACAGATTCTGGCACCATGCCTTTTGTACATTCTACAGAATTGTGAGTCAATTAAACCTCTTTTCTTTATAAATTACCCAGCCTCAGGCATTTCTTTATAGCAACACAAGAATGGCCTAATACAGACAATTGGTACCAGGAATGGGGTGTTGCTACAAGTATACTAGAAAATGTGGAAGTAGCTTTGGAACTGCGTAATAGAAGGAGAATGGAAGAGTTTGGAAGGCTCAGAAGAGGATAGGAAGATAAGGGAAAGTTTGGAACCTTTTGGAGACTAGTTAAATGGTTGTGACCAAAATGCTGGCATAAATATGGACAGTAAAGTCCAGGCTGATCAGGTCTTAGATGGAAATGAGGAACTTATTAAGAACTAAAGCAAACACCACCCATATTATGCCCTAGCAAATAACTTGGCTGCATTGTGTTTATGCCCTAGGGATCTGTGGAAGTTTGAATTCAAACGTGATGACCTGGTGATATGGTTTGGATCTGTGCCCCTGCCCAAATCTCATGTCAAATTGTAATCTGCAGTGTTGGAGGTCAACTTGTAATCCTGTGTGAAAGATGATTGGATCATGTGGGCAGAGTTCTCATGAATCATTTAGTATCATCCCCTCAGTGTTTTTCTCATAATAGTGAGTGAGTGAGTTATTGTGAGACCTGGTTGATTAAAAGTGTGTAGCACCTCCTCCCTCTCTCTCCTTCTTTTCCTTGTGCTCCAGCCATGATGTGCATGCTCCCCCCTTCACCTTCTGCCATGATTCCAAGTTTTCTGAGGCCTCACAGACACCAAGCAGAAACTGGCATGCTTCCTGTACAGCCTGCAGAACCATGAGCCAATTAAATCGTTCTTCTTTATAAATTACCCAGTCTCAAGTATTTCTTTACAGCAGTGCAAGAATGGACTGATACACCTAGGGTATCTGGTGAAAGAAATTTCTAAGCAGCAAAGCATTCAAGATGAAGCCTGGGTGCATCTAATAGCCTATTGTCAGGTACCAGAGCAAATAAATGACTTAAAGTTGCTGCTTATATTTGAAAGGGAAGTAGAGTATAAAAATGTGAAAAATTTGCAGCCCGGCCATGTGATAGAAAAGGAAAAGGCATTTTCGGGAGAGAAATACAGGTAGGCTGCAGAGCAGCCACTTGCTATAGAGATTAGCTTGACTAAAAGGGGGTCAAGTGCTAATATACAAGACAATGGGAAAAAGGCCTAGAAAACCTTTCAGAAATCTCTGAGGCAGTCCCTCCCATCACAGGCAGAGACCTAGGATGAAAGAATAATTTTCTGAGCCAGGCCCAGGGACCCACTGCCCTGCACAGCCTTGAAACACTGTTCCCCAAGTCCCAACTGTTCCTGCTCCAGCCTTGGCTCAAAGGGCCTCAGATATTTCTCAGGCTGTCACTTTTGAGAACACAAGCTTCTGTAAACCTTGGCAGCTTCTGTGCAGTGGTAAGACTGTGGGTGCACAGAATGCAAGAGTGAAGGAGGCATGGTAACTTCCACCTAATTTTCAGAGGATGTATGAGAAAGCCTGGGTGCCCAGGCAGAGGCCTGTCACAGAAGCAGAGCCCTCACAAAGAACCTCTACTGTGTCTGTACAGAGGGAAAATGTGGGGTTGGAGTGTGCTGGTTCTTTAATTACGTTAAGATATGTTGGAGTGGGCTGGGCGCGGTGGCTCACGCCTGTAATCCCAGCACTTTGGGAGGCCGAGACGGGCGGATCACGAGGTCAGGAGATCGAGACCATCCTGGCTAACACGGTGAAACCCCGTCTCTACTAAAAATACAAAAAAATTAGCCGGGCATGGTGGCGCGCGCCTGTAGTCCCAGCTACACGGGAGGCTGAGGCAGGAGAATGGCGTGAACCCGGGAGGCGGAGCTTGCAGTGAGTTGAGATCGCGCCACTGCACTCCAGCCTGGGCGACAGAGCGAAACTCCGTCTCAAAAAAAAAAAAAAAAAAAAAAAAGATATGTTGGAATGAAACCAAATATAGTATCTGATACCTATCTCACAAAAGTTATCTGTACAAAAAGAATGAATCAAAATAGAAAGCAAGGAATAGTTTGCATGGGGGAGCAGTTGCTGCAATAAGCAACCAATTTACAGTAATTCAGTGTATAAATTATCCAAGTAAAAAAAAAGCCAAAAACAAATGGTCCTATTTTTTAAATTTTCTTTCTTGGTTTATCCTTAATGTCAGGCCTCTGAGCCCAAGCTAAGCCATCATGTCCCCTGTGACCTGCACATACACATCCAGATGTCTGGTTCCTGCCTTAACTGATGATATTCCACCACAAAAGAAGTGAAAATGGCCTGTTCCTGCCTTAACTGATGACATTGTCTTGTGAAATTCCTTCTCCTGGCTCATCTGGCTCAAAAGCTCCCCTACTGAGCACCTTGGGACCCCCACTCTGCCCACCAGAGAACAACCCCCCTTTGACTGTAATTTTCCTTTATCTACCCAAATCCTATAAAACGGCCCCACCCGTATCTCCCTTCTCTGACTCTCTTTTCGGACTCAGCCCACCTGCACCCAGGTGAAATAAACAGCCTTGTTGCTCACACAAAGCCTGTTTGGTGGTCTCTTCACACAGACACACATGAAATTTGGTGCCATGACTCGGATTGGGGGACCTCCCTTGGAAGATCAATCCCCTGTCCTCCTGTTTTTTGCTCCATGAGAAAGATGCACCTATGACCTCAGGTCCTCAGACTGACCGGCCCAAGAAACACCTCACCAATTGCAAATCTGGTAAGCAGCCTCTTTTTACTCTCTTCTCCAACCTCCCTTACTATCCCTCAACCTCTTTCTCCTTTCAATCTTGGTGCCACACTTCAATCTCTCCCTTCTCTTAATTTCAATTCCTTTCATTTTCTGGTAGAGACAAATGAGACACATTTTATCGGTGGACCCAAAACTCCAGCGCCGGTCACGGACTGGGAAGGCAGCCTTCCCTTGGTGTTTAATCATTGCAGGGATGCCTCTCTGATTATTCACCCACATTTCAGAGGTGTCAGACCATGCAGGGACACCTGTCTTGGTCCTTCACCCTTAGCAGCAAGTCCTGCTTTTCTGGGGAAGGGGAAAGTACCCCAACCCCTTCTTTCCATGTCTTTACCCCTTCTCTGCTTTTCTGGGGGAGGGGCAAGAACCCCTCAACCCCTTCTCCTTCACCCTTAGCAAGTCCTGCTTTTCTAGGGGGCAAGAACACCCAATCCCTTATTTCTGCACCTCAACCTCTTATCTCTGCACCCCAATCCATTATTTCCACTCCCCAGCCTCTTATCTCTGTGCCCTAACCCCTTCTGTGCCCCGAACCCTTTCTCACTTTTCTGGAGGGTAAGAACCCCCAAACCCCTTCCATCCATGCCTCTACTCCCTCTTTTCTCTGGGCTTGCCTCCTTCACTATGGGCAACCTTCCACCCTCCATTCCTCCTTCTCCCTTAGCCTGTGTTCTCAAGAACTTAAAATCTCTTTAACTCACACCTCACCTAAAACCTAAATGCCTTATCTTCTTCTGCAACACTGCTTGGCCCCAGTACAAACTTGAAAATGACTTTAATGGCCAGAAAATGGCACTTTCGATTTCTCCATCCTACAAGACCTAAATAATGTTTGTTGAAAAGTGGGCAAACGGTCTGAGGTGCCTGACGTCCAGGCATTCTTTTGCACATTGGTCCCTCCTTAGTCTCTGTGCCCAGTGCAACTCCTCCCAAATCTTCCTTCTTTCCCTCCCACCTGTCCCCTCAGCCCCAACCCCAAGCGTTGCTGAGTCTTTCTAATCTTCCTTTTCTACAGACCCATCTGACCTCTCCCCTCCTCACCAGGCCAAGCTAGGTCCCAATTCTTCCTCAGCCTCTGCTCCTCCACCCTATAATCCTTTTATCACCTCCCCTCCTCACACCCAGTCCAGCTTACAGTTTTGTTCCGTGACTAGCCCTCTCCCACCTGCCCAGCAATTTACCCTTAAAAAGGTGGCTGGAGCTAAAGGCATAGTCAAGGTTAATGTTCCTTTTTCTTTATCCCAAATCAGATAGCATTTAGGCTCTTTTACATCAAATATAAAAATCCAGCCCAGTTCATGGCTCATTTGGCAGCAACCCTGAGATGCTTTACAGCCCTAGACCCTAAAAGGTCAAAAGGCTGTCTTATTCTCAATATACATTTTATTACCCAATCTGCTCCCAACATTAAATAAAATGCCAAAAATTAAATTCCAGCCCTCAAACCCCACAACAGGACTTAATTAACCTCACCTTCAAGGTGTACAATAATAGAGTAGAGGCAGCCAAGTAGCAACATATTTCTGAGTTGCAATTCCTTGCCTCCACTGAGACAAATCCCAGCCTCATCTCCACCACACAAGAACTTCCAAATGCCTGAACCACAGCAGCCAGGCATTTCTCCAGAACCACCTCCCCCAGGAGTTTGCTACAAGTGCCAGAAATCTGGCCATCAGGCCAAGGAATGCCCGCAGCCTGGGATTCCTCCTAAGCCATGTCCCATCTGTGCAGGACCCCATTGAAAATTGGACTGTTCGACTCACCTGGCAGCCACTCCCAGAGCCCCTGGAACTCTGGCCTAAGGCTCTCTGACTGACTCCTTCCCAGATCTTCTCGGTTTAGCGGCTGAAGACTGACACTGCTGGATTGCCTCAGAAGCCCCGTAGACCATCATGGATGCCGAGCCTTAAGTAACTCTCACAGTGGAGGGTATGTCCGTCCTCTTCTTAATCAATATGGAGTCTACCCACTCCACATTACCTTCTTTTCAAGGGCCTGTTTTCCTTGCCTCCATAACTGTTGTGGGTATTGACAGCCAGGCTTCTAAACCTCTTAAAACTCCCCAACTCTGGTGCTAACTTAGACAATACTCTTTTAAGCATTCCTTTTTAGTTATCCCCACCTGCCTAGTTTCCTTATTAGGCTGAGACACTTTAACTAAATTATCTGCTTCCTTGACTATTCCTGGGCTACAGCCACATCTCATTGCCACCTTTTCCCCCAGTTCAAAGCCTCCTTCACATCCTCCCCTTGTATCTCCCCACCTTAACCCACAAGTATAAGACACCTCTACTCCCTCCTTAGTGACTGATCATGCACTCCTTACCATCCCATTAAAACCTAATCATTCTTACCCCACTCAATGCCAATATCCCATCCCACAGCACGCTTTAAAAGGATTAAAGCCTGTTATCACTCACCTGTTACAGCATGGCCTTTTAAAGCCTATGAATTCTCCTTACAATGCCCCCATTTTACCTGTCCTAGAACCAGACAAGCCTTACAGGTTAGTTCAGGATCTGCGCCTTATCAACCAAATTGTTTTGCCTATCCACCCCATGGTGCCAAACC
Source organism: Homo sapiens (assembly GCF_000001405.40). Classification (NCBI taxonomy): domain Eukaryota; kingdom Metazoa; phylum Chordata; class Mammalia; order Primates; family Hominidae; genus Homo; species Homo sapiens. The sequence goes on from NC_000003.12 coordinate 146,365,248, forward strand.
CATATGCTGTCCTATCCTTAATACCTCCCTCCACAACCCATTATTCTGTCCTGGATCTCAAACATGCTTTCTTTACTATTCCTTTGCACCCTTCATCCCAGCCTCTCTTTGCTTTCACTTGGACTGACCCTGACACCCATTAGGCTCAGCAAATTACCTGGGCTGTACTGCTGCAAGGCTTCACAGACAGCCCCCATTACTTCAATCAAGCCCAAATTTCATCCTCATCTGTTACCTATCTCGGCATAATTCTCAGAAAAACACACGTGCTCTCCCTGCTGATCGTGTCTGACCAATCTCCCAAACCTCAATCCCTTACAAAGCAATAACTCCTTTCCTTCCTGGGCATGGTTGGATACTTTCGCCTTTGGATTCCAGGCTTTGCCATCCTAAAAAAACCATTATATAAACTCATAAAAGGAAACCCAGCTGACCCCATAGATCCTAAATCCTTTCCCAACTCCTCTTTCCATTCCTTGAAGACAACTTTAGAGACTGCCCCCACCGTACCTCTCCCTGACTCATCCCAACCATTTTCATTACACACAGCCGAAGTGCAGGGCTGTGCAGTTAGAATTCTTACACAAGGACCAGGATCATGTCCTGTAGCCTTTTTGTCCAAACAACTTGACCTTACTGTTTTAGGCTGGCCATTATGTCTCTGTGCAGCAGCTGCTGCTGCCCTAATACTTTAGAGGCCCTTAAAATCACAAACTATGCTCAACTCACTCTCTACAGTTCTCATAACTTCCAAAATCTATTTTTTTCCTCACACCTTACACATATACTTTCTGCTCCCTGGCTCCTTCAGCTGTACTCACTCTTTGGTGAGTCTCCCACAATTACCATTGTTCCTGGCCCGGACTTCAATCCGGCCTCCCACATTATTCCTGATACCACATCTGACCCCTATGACTGTATCTCTCTGATCCACCTGACATTCACCCCATTTCCCCATATTTCCTTCTTTCCTGTTCCTCACCCTGATCATGTTTGATTTATTGATGGCAGTTCCACCAGGCCTAATGGCCACACACCAGCAAAAGCAGGCTATGCTATGGTACAAGCCACTAGCCCGCCTCTTAGAACCTCTCATTTCCTTTCCATCGTGGAAATCTATCCGCAAGGAAATAACTTCTCAGTGTTCCATCTGCTATTCTACTACTCCTCAGGGATTATTCAGGCCCCCTCCCTTCCCTACACATCAAGCTTGGAGATTTGCCCCCACCCAGCACTGGTAAATTGGCTTTACTCAACATGCCCCGAGTCAGATAACTAAAATACCTCTTAGTCTAAGTAGACACTTTCACTGGATAGGTAGAGGCCTTTCCTACAGGGTTTGAGAAGGCCACCACAGTCATTTCTTCCCTTCTGTCAGACATAATTCCTCAGTTTAGCCTTCCCACCTCTATACAGTCTGATAACAGACCAGCCTTTATTAGTCAAATCAGCCAAGCAGGTTTTCAGGCTCTTAGTATTCAGTGAAACCTTTATATCCCTTACAGTCCTCTGTCTTCAGGAAAAGTAGAACGGACTAAAGGTCTTTTAAAAACACACCTCACCAAGCTCAGCCACCAACTTAAAAAGAACTGGACAATACTTTTACCACTTTCCCTTCTCAGAAGTCAGACCTGTCCTCAGAATGCTACAAGGTACAGCCCATTTGAGCTCCTGTATAGATGCTCCTTTTTATTAGGCCCCAGTCTCATTCCAGACACCAGACCAACTTAGACTGTGCCCCAGAAAAACTTGTCATCCCTACTGTCTTCTCTCTAGTCATACTCCTATTCATCATTCTCAACTACTCATAAATGCCCTGCTCTTGTTTATACTGCTGGTTTACACTGTTTCTCCAAGCCATCACAGCTGATATCTCCTGGTGCTATCCCCAAACTGCCACTCTTAACTGTTAAAGTAAATAAATAATCTTTGCTGGCAGGACTATGCTGAATCTCCTTAGGCACTCTCTAATCAGATGTCCTGGGTCATCCCAATTCTTAGACATTTTATACCTGTTTTTCTCCTTCTCATTCCATTTAGTTTTTCAATTCATACAAAATCGTATCCAGGCCATCACCAATAATTCAACACGACAAATGTTTCTTCTAACAACCCTACAATATCACCCCTTACTACAAAATCTTCCTTCAGCTTAATCTCTCCCACTCTAGGTTCCCACGCTGCCCCTAATCCTGCTCAAAGCAGCCCTGAGAAACATCAGCCATTATCTCTCCATACCCAACCCCAAAAATTTTCACCATCCCAACACTTTACCACTGTTTCATTTTATTTTTCTTATTAATATAAGAAGACAGAAATGTCAGGCCTCTGAGCCCAAGCTAAGCCATCATATCCCCTGTGAGCTGCACGTACACATCAAGATGACAGGTTCCTGCCTTAACTGATGACATTACACCAAAAAAGAAGTGAAAATGGCCTGTTCCTGCCTTAACTGATGACATTGTCTTGTGAAATTCCTTCTCCTGGCTCATCTGGCTCAAAAGCTCCCCTACTGAGGACCTTGTGACCCCCACTCTGCCCGCCAGAGAACAACCCCCCTTTGACTGTAATTTTCCTTTATCTACCCAAATCCTGTAAAATGGCCCCACCCCTAGCTCCCTTCTCTGACTCTCTTTTGGGACTCAGCCCGCCTGCACCCAAGTGATTAAAAGCTTTATTGCTCGCACAAAGCCTGTTGGTGGTCTCTTCACATGGATGTGCATGAAACTTAATAACTTGATACAGAAGATATTTTAAAATTATGATATAATTCAATTTTCATATGTTAAAAATACCAAAAAAAAGAATATGAAGATTTAAGTTCCAGTTTGACCCTGAACAAACCATTTAATTTTGATTCTTATCTATTATTTACATAATAATGCCAACTCATTTATTTGAAAGAATCCAAAGATTCTTTCAAATGAATTCTTCACAAATGAAGATTAAATGACATAAGGCTGCATGTTTCAAGAGGGCACCATCTCTATCTCTCTGTCTCCAGGGATTAGCACAGTCCTGAAACAGTAAGCAATTAATAAGTACTTGTTGAACATTTCATAATTGAATAGTTTTTCAAATTAAAGTGTTTTTTTTTGTTGTTTTTTTTCTTAGTAAGATTGGAAAGAACATTTCTGTTTGGAATATTTTTAGCTTTTCACTTTGATTAATTGTGCTTTACTTGTTTAGATTTCCTGGCCATCATTTCTGAGCGATAGAATCAATAATTTCTGCAAAATTTTAGAACCAACTTTTCCTAATGGCAGAGTACATTAAAACATCCCTTTTCTACAAACTTTGGACAAGTTCTTCTAGACTTTTTGAAAATAGTGAATCTGTCCACTTATAAAATGATCTAAGAATTTGCCCCCATCCATCAATGTTTTATTTCAGAGCTCTTGGAAAACCAATAAATTAAAGGTTTGCAGAAACCCATGAAGTGTCTGACACATTAAATTTGCATCAAAAGACAAATTTCTGCTGTTGCAAAATCAGCACAGAGTTCAGAGTGAGAAAAGAAATGTGATATTAATTCTGCAGTATAAACCATTAGAATGAGATAATTAAACAATAGCAAAACAAAAAAGCTAAGGTGATCTACATTAAAGAATTTTTGACTAGAAAAGTAAAATTGGGCATTATCTCACTGTCAAGTTCTAAACAATCTTGAGAACTGAAAGAACAAATTTTCATTGCTGTTTTTATGGCAGATTCAAGAGAATCAAAATATACTGCATGAAAACAACCAATTAAACAAAGAAGTTGTGAGAACACTGTATTCCAAGAAAGAACTACTAACTGTAATGGAGTCTGATTTCAAGGTACATGGGTGTGGTGATAGTTACAAAGCTATGCAGATTTACAGATACATGGTTAGAGAGAACCTTGAAGGAGAAAGTACCAAGAGTCTGGGTGAACCCGAGAAAAATGGAAAAATCTCATTAAAGAATAGTGGCATGGTGATGTTTTTTTTATTGTGTGGGTCAAGGAAATATTTGGATTAACCATGCTATTATGATTATCTTCACGAGTAAGCAATTTGCTGGATATAACAGGCAAAATCTGAACTATGTAAAGATGCCCTTTGTACCTATAACCATATTCCTCTTTCAGCAGGAGATGAAGAAAAGCAATAACATAACAAAACTGAGTGATGAAATGCTGCTCCTTTTTACTTTGGATATTGAGAACTATGAAACAAATTGAAGAGAGGGGGCTATAAACGTGAAAAGAAATTTTGATAAAACTGGATATATTCTCTGTTGTATTTCTAAGAAGTTGGAGCCAATGCCAGAAGAGAAATGTGAAAAGCTCTTCAAAGAATGAGAAAAATAAAAATTTGGCCTAAGGCTTGAAATGGGAAAAAGGAAGTCAAAAGCAGTTTTAGACAAATCTAACAAACAACAATTTGAGAATTGCTCTTTTCATGAAAAAATGATAAATTCAAAAATAAATTTTTGATATGCATTTTCCCACCTAGTGTACTAATGTGGTTTCCATATATTGGGCAGGTAAATTTGATGAAAATATGACTTTCATCTACATCTGGGGAAACTAATTACACTTAGGAAGCTCTGTTGGCATTGGTCTCTGGAGGAGGAAGCCAGGGAAATATTGTATTACCTTAAATTCATTGTGGTGAAAGCAGAAGTAAATTGTTGGGGGACCAATCCTGAATTCTCTCATCTATGTTGAAATTCCCTGGAGACAGATGTCCTGAGGATAAGAAAAAATTTTTTTTTCAAAATCAGAAGATAACAACTAGAAAAGGATAATGATAAGGATGGAAGATATAAGCAATAATAGATTTTGGATTCCACATAACGCTTATATTGGACTTAATTTACCTCTAATTTCTTGAGGTCCACATTTAGATGATTGATTTGAGACTTTTCTCTTTTGTAACATAGGTATTTAATTTGGTTCTCTCTTCTTGGCTAATTCACTAGCAATCTATCAATATTATTTACTTTTTCAAAGAACCAGCTTTTTGTTTCATTTGTCTTTTGCGTGTGTGTGTGTGTGTGTGTGTGTGTTTGGTTTGTTTCAGTTCCATTTAGTTCTGCTCTGATCTTTGTTATTTCTTTTCTTCTGCTGGGTTTGGGTTTGGATTGTTCTTGTTTCTCCAGCTTCATGAGGCAGGAACTTAGATTGTCTATATGTGCTCTTTCAGACTCTTTGATGTAGGCATTTAATGCTATAAACTTTCCCCTTAGCACTGCTTTTGCTGTATCCCAGAGGTTTTGATAGGTTGTGTCCCTATTATTCAGCTGAAAGAATTTTTTGATTTCCATCTTGATTTCATTCGTGACCCAATGATCATATATGATCAAGCTATTTAATTTCCATGTATTTGCAGGGTTTTGAGGGTTCCTTTTGGAATTGATTTCCAATTTTATTCCACTGTGGTCTGAGAGAGTACTTGATAACATTTCAATTTTCTTAAATTTACTGAGACTTGTTTTGCGGCTTATCACATGGTCTATCTTGAAGAATGTTTCATGTGCTGATGAATAGAACATATATTCCACAGATGTTGGGTAGGATGTTCTGTAAATATCTGTTAAGTCCATTTGTTGTAGTGTATAGTTCAAGTCCATTGTTTTATTTTTTGTTGTTGTTGACTTTCTGTCTTGATGACGTGTTTAGTGCTGTCAATGGAGTATTAAAATCCCCCACTATTATTGTGTTGCTGTCTCTCATTTCTTGCATCTAGCAGTAATTGCTTTGTAGATTTCGGAGCTCCAGTGTTAGGTGAATATATATTTAGGATTGTGATAGTTTCCTGTTGAACTAATCTTTTTATCATTATATAATGACCTCCTTTGTCTTTTTAAACTACTGTTGCTTTAAAGTCTGTTTTGTCTTATGTAAGAATAGCTACTCCTGCTTGTTTTTGGTGTCCATTTGCATAAAATGTCATAAAATTTACCTTAGGTTTATGTGAGTCCTTATGTGTTAGGTGAGTCTCCTGAAGACAGAGGAAACTTGGTTGGTGAATTCTTATCCATTCTGTCATTCTATATCTTTTAAGTGGAGCATTAGGCCATTTACATTCAGTGTTAGTATTGAGATGCAAGGTACTATTCTACTCATTGTGCTATTTGTTCCCTGAATACCTTGTTTTTGTATGTGTTTTTTTTTCATTGTGTTATCGTTATATAGGTCCTGTGAGATTTATGCTTTAATGGAGTTCTATTTAGGTGTATTTTGAGTATTTGTTTCAAGATTTAGAGCCTTTTTAGCAGTTCTTGTAGTGATGGCTTGGTAGTGGTGAATTCTCTCAGCATTTGTTTGTCTGGAAAAGACTGTATCTTTCCTTCTATGAAGCTTAGTTTCACTGGATACAAAATTATTGGCTGAAAAGTGTTTTGTTTAAGGGGGCTAAATGTAGGGCCCCAATTCCTTCTAGCTTGTAGGATTTCCACTGAGAAATCTGCTGTTACTTTGATAGGTTTTCTTTTAGAGGTTATCTGATGCTTTTGCCTCACAGCTCTTAGGATTCTTTCCTTCATCTTAACTTCAGATGACCTGATGACTATGTGCCTAGGCTATAATATTTTTGTGATGCATTTTCCAGGTGTTCTTTGAGCTTCTTATATTTGTATGTCTAGATCTGTAGCAAGAGCAGGGAAGTTTTCTTTGATTATTCCCTCAAATATGTTTTCCAAACTTTTAGACTTCTCTTCTTTGGGAGCACCAACTATTCTTAGGTTTGGAACACTTAACATAGTCCCAAACTTCCTGGAGGCTTTGTTCATTTTTTAAGATTCTTTTTTCTTGTCTTTGATGGATTGGGTGAATTTGAAAGCCTTATCTTCAAGCTCTGAAGTTTTTTTCTTCTGCTTGTTCTATTCTATTGCTGAGACTTTCTAGTACATTTTCCATTTCTCTAAGTGTGTCCTTGATTTCCAGAAGTTGTGCTTGTTTTTTATTTATGCTATTTCACTGAGGTTTTTTTCTTCCTTTCATATCCTGTATCATGTTTTGTATTTCTTGAAGTTGTACTTCACATTTCCCTGGTGCCTCCTTGATTAGCTTAATAATCGACCTTCTGAATTTTTTTCTGACAATTCAGACATTTCATCTTGGTTTGAATCCATTGCTGGTAAGCTGGTGTGATACCTTGGGGTGTTAAAAACCTCATTTTGTCATATTGCCAGAATTGGTTTTCTGGTTCCTTCTCATTTGGGTAGACTATGCCAGAGGGAAGATCTGAGACACAAGGGCTGCCATTCAGATTCTTTTGTCCTATAGGGTGCTCCCTTGATGTGGTGTCCTCCCTCTTCCCCTAGGGATGGGGCTTCCTGAGAGCCAAAGTGCAGTGATTGTTTTTGCTCTTCTGGGTCTAGCTACCCAGTGGAACTACTGAGCTTAGGGCTTGTACAGGGGACTGTCTGCAAAGAGTCCTGTGATATGATCTGTCTTCAGGTCTTTCAGCCATGGATACCATCACCTCTGGTGGAGGTAGTAAGGGAATGAAGTGGACTCTGTGAGCATCCTTGTTTGTATTTTTATTTAGTGTGCTGATTTTGTGTTGGTTAACCTCCAGCCTGGAGGTGGCGTTTTCAACAGCACATCAGCTGCAGTACTATAGAGAGGATGCAGACTTGCCTTAGCGTTGCCTGTTTATATATTCATGTTTCTCAGGTGGTGAGTAGGGCCATAGAGCTCCCAAGAGATTATTTCCTTTGTCTTTGGCAACCAGGGTGAGTAGAGAAAGACCACCATGTGGGGGCAGGTATAGGCATTTCTGAGCTCAGACTTTCCGTAAGTGGGGCTTACTGTGGCCGCTGTGGGCAATGGGGGTGTGATTCCCAGGCTAGTGGAGTTATTATCTCAGGGGGATTATGGCTGCCTCTGCTGTATCATACAGGTTGCCAGGCAAGTGGGGGAAAGCCAGCAGTTCCAGGCCTCACCCCCTCCCACACAACCCCGCAGTCCCTAAGGCTGATCTCACTCCCACTTTGCCCCTCCAACAGCATCGAGTCTATTTCCAGGCACCCAGTGACCAGGGCTGACAACTTGCCCCAGACCACCAGCCTCCCCACTGAGAAAGCAAGAGGACTCACAGTTCTTCAGCATCTCAGGGAGCCTACAGTGGCAATCCAGTTTCTTCAAAGCATCTGTGGATTCTCTCAGCTTTCCTGGTATGTTCCTGCAGTAGTTCTTAGATGTTGATGATGTGAATCTCCACACGCTGCTCTCTCTGTCCAAGCAGGAGCTGCAAGCTAGTTCTGTCTCCTATCCACCGTCTTCTCTGGGACTTCAATTTTTAATGAACAAGACATGAGTTGCTTCTCTGTCAGTCCAATCAATTTGGTTATCGTATCTTTAATCAAATTGCTAACCCTATCTATTTTTTTTTTTTTCCAAACAGCTAACTACTACTAGCACTAAAATAGTTGGGGGAAACTCATGACATAAAATTAAATTAATAAAAAGTATGACATTTAAGTTTTAAAAACTAATGACTGCCTTATGCATAATCACAAAGGGCCTCCTGGCAAGTATACTATACAGAGGATTCCAGATATGCATAGTCCCTGCCCAGCCCTGGCAAAATTATCTGAGAAGGGAAGATCAGAGAGCTTCACTTCTTAGTGCAGTAGATCAGACACAATACTTTAATCACAGAATGAACTTATCTACAAATACTGATGATGATGATGATAATGTGAGTAAATTATGCCAAACCTGGTGTTTTCACAGTTAGGAAAGTGGAAAATGCGTACATTCTATTGCTTTTCTCACTTTCTTTAGAGAATTTTAAATTAATAAAATACATTTCACCATTTAAAAATATCCTTTGGTTTTCAGGAGACAGAATAAAAAGCAGAGGCAGAGTAAAGTGTCATCTATACAGAAGCTGCATCTTTAAGGGAGAGAGTGCCTCGCAACTAAAAATGTAATTCTTGCTCTGCAGCATCATTGCAGAGGATGGTTTGAAAATAGAATAGACAGCTGTTTCTTCACGACTCTCTTTTGTTGAAAGCTGCATCATGCTCACTGAAATAAGCCTTGAACTGCTCTTCTTGTCTAACTGAATAGGTCAGCTAGAATGGAGAATTTTGCAATACAGCTTTTTGTAAATGCTCTGCATCGTTTACATTTGGATAATTCCAACTTTTTCAGTGGTTTTGTAAACAATGAATAAGCATTAAGTCCCCTGGATTTGGAGTCAGACAAGACCAGCTCTGCCACTTGGCATGTGTTTGTGTCTATATATTTCCACCTCTGTGGTAGTAAAATATCAGTAATACTTACCACACTGCATTGTTTTGAGAATTGAGATAACCACATATATACAATATTTAACAGAATATTTGGCAAACAGAAGGCACTGAAAAAATATTTGTTGTCATTTTTATTATATTCATGTTCATTATTTCAAACAACGGTGATTCCACAGTCACGAATAGCTCTGTGAAGAAGCTAGAGCTTCTTTGTACACAGCCAAGACTTTTTGGATTGCTGGTTTGCCAGTTGTCTAAAGTAAAATACTGTTTGTTGAACAATATCATTTGTTGAACAAAGTTCATTTTACAGTACCAAGGTCAAATAAATTACTTGAATGCTATCTGTTAAAATACAGAAATAATTTGATTTGTGACTTTTTGTCTTCTCCAGGATAAGGGAAGAGAAATGAAGAGAAGTTGTGAAATTGAATTGAGCTAAATATCGTTAGAGATTCTGGAACGGGATTCTATGAAGGTGATGACTGCACAGTAGCTCCCTTCCCTCCATTACCTACTTATTTGTGTCAGTGTCTCCTCCCTGTGTTCCTAAGAACTCTTTCCTGAAATTCTTAGGCCCACTGTTGCCTGTGTGTATGTGAGATGTTGGTTTGGACAACAAATGCAGAGCCATGTATCATTTGGGCTTGATCATCTTTGTAAGCCAGGACTTGCATAGCACAGATAACAAGAACTTGACCTTCATGCCCCTCTGTCTAGGAGAGTCCTAGTAGATTTGGGTGTTAAAAATCTTCCTCCAACTGCCTCAGAAGGAGACAGGTGACTCCCCTGCTTTTATTCTACAGTCCTCTCAGAATACCTACCAATGTCTTATAATGACCCGCACAGTTTGGCAGTTCAGACCTCATCTCTCATTCTCTCTAATTTCTTGCTTTTACTCTAGCCACACTGGCCTTGTTTTGTTTTGCGAACATCTGCGGCATACTCCCACCTCAAGATCTTGGCAAATGTTACATCCTCTGATTGGAATGCTCTTCCCAGATGGCCACAAGTTTTGCTCTCTGATCTTCCTCAAATTTTTCCTTAAATATAAAACTTTTTCCTGATCATTCTACTTAAAATTTCAACCCCACAGTGTTTTCCTAGTTTCTTGTCTTTTACCTAATGCACTTATAACTTTTTAAAATACTTTTACAGATTGGTTTGTCGAATGCTATATATATTATTTCTTTAAAATTTGTTTGCCTACAAATGTATTTATTAAATTTGTCTTCTGCCTCCCCCAAGGAATACAAGCTTCAATAGTTCTAAAAAAGTAAACATAAAATAAAATAAAATAAAAATAAAAATTCATGCACTGGAAAGACAAATTTAGAATTTAAGAATAAACTTAAAAATAAAGATATTCATGAGAAAGTGACATTTTAATGAATGTTGGAAATGTAACCAATGCTTTTGAATAGGATCACTAAAGATAAAGTGAACTCATTCAAATTTAACGTATTAATTTAATACATAATAATCCCAGCATTTAAAGAATTATCTAAAATTATATTCAAATTATGGGAGAAATAAGTTCCCCCACATAGGCAAGGAAAATATTGAAAATATAATTTAAATTATAATTCAAAGTAATGGAATCTGAATATTTTCCACATCAGTGATCCTGCACAAGTGATTTTTCCAGTCCATTTCCATGAGTAATGCAGTCCATTTGATTAGCTTTCAAAGTGTAGCTTCTCAATGCTTTAGACTCACAAATACATGACAAGTGTTAAAAAGGTTTGCTAATCTATTTTATAGTCTTCTCTTGTTCAACCCACAATGTAATTTTTTCAATCATAATTATACAGTGGTGTGTTGTGAATTTGAAGAACAAAGATTCAAAATATTTTGCATTTTAGAAATTGTCTGTAGGTTATAGAAATAAAGAGTAAAAATAATAGAATATTTTAAGATGTTTGATTATTTCCAGTGAAGATGTAGAATTTGATTCTATTTTTAAATTTTTTTTTAGAATTACCATGTGTTACATGTGAGTTTATTGCTATCTGAATTGTTACAAAGAAAGAATCTCTGTCCATTTTCTGTTTATTAAATTTAGAATGTTAAATGTTTTTCTTAGTATCCCTATCCCATCAATTTTTTTTTCATTCATAATGTGTATTACTTTGGGTTCTCCAGAGAAACAAAACGAATAGCATAAGTAGATAGATAGCTATAGAAAGATAGCTATACAAATATATCTACCTTTAGTTTAGTCTATCTTTAGTTTATCTTTAGTCTCTCAGTTTCTAAGTTTTCCATATGCTTAGGAAATCCTCAGAATTAGGGCACATGGTGAGACTTATAGTTATTGTTTAACATTTTTCTGCAGCAAGGAAAAAGAAAGGAGAAATTTGGGGTTCTGAGAATAGACAAATAAAGGTGGGTACTCAAGGAGGTGTGGAATCCAGGTGGCAGCTGTTTCTTCTCCATTCAGATTATCTTGGTTACTTGAACATACAAATGACAAAACTGGCACTTTGCCACTGAAAGTTTAATTTATCTTGAATGTTAGCATAATTTTAGAATTTATTATACTACAAGAAAAGAAAAAGCATGCGACGTGTTTTGTTTTCTTTTCCTATGACCTTCAGGCGGTCAACTACTTTATTATGTAAACCTATGCTAAACTATCCAATTGCCTCCCACTGCCTGGTAATTTTTGTAAATTTAGAAATAATTATATATTTTCAGAAAAGTTGCAAGAATAGTACAAAAAATTTTCACACAATTGTCACCTATATTCCCCTATTTTTTCACATTTGCTTTATTACTCCCTTTAATATATACATATATACATATGAAATAATAATTTTAAATTGCAAACATGGTATTGCTGTACTCCTAAATACTTCAGTGTGCATTATCTCCATAAGGAACATTCCCTTAATATTACCACAATTAACATAACAGGACATTAACATTGATACAATATTTTACACAATCAATTGCTCCTTTCTGATTCCTTGGTTTATAATTTCCTTTTAAACATTAGGACACACATACTATGAGGCAATTTTTTTTGTTGTTTTCGCTTTAATAAGCACCAAATGTTATTTTGATTAGATTAAAATAGATCTATGTCATGGTTTTTATTCTTACATAATACTACACTATGAATTCACCAAAATTGGCCAATATGATCTTCAAAATTTTGTGGAGAAAATGTCCAAGAATATGCAAGCAAAATAGTAGAATATAATTAAAATTATAGTTTTTCTGCAACAGAGTCATATGAGATAGCCCATCTTCATTGGTAAACATTTTTATGAGTGCCATTAATCTCTACCTCTCTTGTAAATCCACTCATTACACTGTATTGTTACTACACATTTATGCATCTTCAAATCCCACTAGACTGTTAGACTGCAAAATTAGTACAGGCAGAAACTGTGCCTCCTTCGTTAACTAATGCATTGTGGATACTGAATCAACTGGTTGAATGAATAAGTGAATAGTAAGTATGACATAGAAGCGAATCTAGCTGCTACCTTGTTATGAAATCAAAGGCCATCAGGAGTAATCCTCCTTACTCTCCTGTTTGACCTACCCAAACTGTTATCAACATGTATGTCTATACTAACTTTTCTTCTAATTGCAGAAGAGTAGGTGTGCCCTCCTCATGTCTCCTGCTTCTTATTCCATCCTTAGGTTCCAGGCTCTTGCTCTGTTGGTCATACATAGTATTCCTCTCCTATGTCTTCAACTATTTTTTCTTTTTTTTTTTTGTTTTTTTCTTGCCCATATCAAAAATGTAGACTTTGCTCTCCCATCAAATAAAGCCATCTCTTTTTTCTACTCCCTGTAGCCACCATCTAGTCTCTTACTTCCCCTTTTCCTGCTGAGCTTCCTAAAAGCATAGCTTGTTATATATTTCTGTTATCTCCCATTTATTTCTCAACTACCCTTGATCTAGATTCATTTCTTAATACTTCTAAAGGTAGTTCTGGCTTAAACAATGGCATGTGTATTTTCATATTTTGTGGACACGATTCCATCTTGATTGACCCTCTGCTCCCTGACATCATTCTCTCTGGTTTCTATACTTTGGAATTTAGTTGGATTTAATGTTTCTTGAATGGACAAATCCATTTCCTGCATATATTTTACTAGAATTGAGTAGTCACCTAGAGAATGCCATGTAGATGACAGCAGAACAGGCCAAGACATATTGCTTGTTCCATTTTTCTTCATTTCATCTTGATATGGTTTGGCTTTGGCTCTGTGTTCCCACCCAAATCTCATCCCGAATCCCCATGTGTTGAAGGAGGGACCTGGTGGGAGGTGACTGGATCACAGGAGCTTTTTCCTTAACACTGTTCTCATGACAGTGAGTGAGTTCTCACGAGATCTGATGGTTAAAAGTGTGGCACTTCCCCTAATTCTCTCTCTCTCTCCTGCTGCTATGTAATATGTGCCTTGCTTCCCCTTTGCCTTCTGCCATGATTGTTTCACCCTCATGGGGGGCCTCCCCTGCCATGAGGAGCTGTGAGTTAAACTTCTTTTTTTTTTAATAAATTACTCAGTCTCAGGTAGTTCTTTACAGCAGTGTGAAAATGGACTAATACACACCTCATTTTACTTTTATTAAGATAAAGAACATTTTAAAATGCATTCTGAAAACTCATTAACAGCACACTGAGTGAATCATTGTTAAATTAAATGTTTCTATGTCAATTTATCTGGTAATTTTCTCTTCATTACTATGATAGCCATCCAAAGATAAGGTTCCTTTTTATTTAACATGAGGAAGGCGCCAACAAAATTATAATGCTTTGGGACACAGAAAAATTTATGAGAAATGTTACCGTGTATACTGCAAAATAAGACTGAGCTTCACCCATGAGCTGATGAAATCCATTATATAGTATTTTCATTTTGAATATTTCTTGTTTTCTGAAGGTCTGAATAAATCTTAAATTGAGTAAATCAGGAGGTACTAAGCTTCATGGTGGTTAAGAAAAGAGGGAAGAAGTATTTAAGTCTACAAAATGTATGTGTTTAAAATAATTATAAATGATATTTTATAGAGAATAATTTGAAGAAAATATAATGATCTTATCACTAAATTCATAAAAGTATAAATTGTGGATTATGTTTTTATATTTTTGATGACTTTGAATACCCAAGAATAGAGAAATAAAGTCCTTGCTTTCAGAAATAGGTGTAGCATGATGCTTTTCAGATTAAGAAAAGTAGTATAATATTTCTGCCTCTCCCTTAGTTCTGTTGTGCCTATATCTCATACTTCTGGCTGTGTTAATATCCATGGGTTGGACATGCTACTTTACTGTCAGTCCTATATATCCCCAAGATATTGTGTTAACATTTAAGGACCTGCAATAGGTACACAACTTAACGACTGAAACATTTGTAGTTTTATTTATATAGTCTATCTCAATTAAATCCAAAAAAGAGTCTCAAGATTACAAAAACTCCCAGTTAATACAGGCATCTTGAATTAGCCTACATGCCAACTTGACCACTGATGAGGAGATTCTTCAGTTTCTTTTCCTCAACACCAACTGGTTATATGGCTCAGGAATAGTGATGTTTGGGTAGCTCTCCTAGCTCTGAGAAAAGGTTTCTAAGTCAGCATGTGAGTTTCAGTACAGCTACAAAAAAAGAGCATGAACTCTGGACGATTTAACAACCCACTTTCCAACTCACTAACAGTAAGGTGACTTTGAGGAAGTCACCAAACTTTCTTTTGCCTCAGTATTTTCCACTGTAAAAAAGGGGTCACGTTATTACCTGAGAGGTTTATTGCAGGCTTAACTGTGTCAATAAATGTGAAGTACTCATGAAAGGAGCTGGTAGAAAGTAAATAATGTGCTAGCTGTTTTTTTTTTTTTTTTTTTTTTTTCCAGAGGCCTATATCACTGATCATTTATCTTGGAATAGGAAGTTCAAGTGCCACATCAATGCTGATCACTAGATTTGTGACCCTGGGCATTTTACATGATCCATGTGACTTTATGTTTTTCACTGGTAAAATGAGATTAATAATTCCTGTCCCCATTATCCCACAATGACTTGATAGGTTTTCTCTTGTGAAGGCTCATAGTGGTGCAGAATTTTTCTTGGCCTTTTCATCAGGCTCACAACAGGGGTGCCCCACTTACTTGGCCAACTATGCTCAACCCCTTGAAGGAGGCAGCACATGAGCAGGTTTGTGAGGGATCGAGCCAGCCATTCCAGGTGCCAGCAGGAGCAAGCTCTGTGCAACAGTGCCCAGGTGGGGTGCCTGTGACCCTGAGGCCCCAGAAGAGGTGATACAATGCTCCTTTAGTTCCGCTGGTTATGGATGGCTATGTGTTAACAGCTCATTTGGCCCCTTGCCTCATCATGTGGGGCGGCTTCCCTCCACCAGAGAGGGCAAAGGGCTAGTGTGACAGCCTTTTTTGGGTACCTGCACTCAGTGGGTCCTGAGCTCTTGCCTGGTGTCCAAGAAGAATGAGGTCGCATGGACACTTGAAGGATGCTGAACGTGAATAATTTTATTGAGCAATGGGAATGGCTCTCAGTGGAGAGGAGAGCTGCAGAGGGAATGGAAGGGCAGATAGCTCTCCCTGAAGTTCAGCCGTGTCTTCCCCAAAATCAAGCCATCTCTTCATTGCCAAAGTCCAGCCATCTTGTCTCCAAAGTCAAGCCATCTTGCTGAAGTCAAGCTGCCTCTCTCCCTTTACTGACTAAGTCTAGGGTCTTTATAGGTGAAGGATAGGAATGGGTTAGGCCATAGGTAGTTTTGGAAAAGGCAACATTCGATTGGTAAAACTACATTATTCAGAAAATACTAATCAGGAGAGAATAGGCAAACAAGAATAGAAATTCTCATTTTGGGCCACAGGTTTCAGGCTACTTTGGCTTGAATGTGGGATTTCACTGGACATCTGCCCCTATCTGCCTAGAATTTCTCTGCCTCCTGCCTCTACTAATGGTACACAACAGCAAACATCACACAATGCAGGTAGGAACTCACAGGCTAAGGGTGAGCAGGAACACACGTCTCTGGCTTTGCAATAGTCTGGAGAGATGTGCTTAGACCATGGGACTGGGTGCTGACAGAGGTCATCTGCCTTCTGCTGCTGTCTATTTTTAATTGAGTAAGTATAGCAATGATGTTTCTCAGGGGAATAGATACTTTAAGGTTTGGAGAAAGTTTTCTAACGATGTGCTGGAAAAAGCCAGCTCTCTAGCACTTGGAGACGGTGAAGAAATTTGCTGGGCCACCCAGAGAGACTGCTCCAGCACTCCTTTTCTTCATATAATTAAAGGACAAAATATAAGTAACATATTGTTAAAATAGTAAAGCATTACATAAATTAATTGAGTCTCTCTCTGAATAGCAAAAGGTAATAATGAAATACTGAAATGAAGAGTACGATTTTCTGTGTGGAGATTATAAAACACACATGAATATTATGTTCTAAATCTTCAATAGATGACTTCTATTGAAGTATTTTATTCATTCATTTATTTTTAGAGATGAGGTCTCACTCTGTCATGCAGGCTGGAGTACAGTGGTGCAATCATACCTGACTCTAATCTCAAACTCTTGGGCTCGCAGGATCCTGCTACCTCCTAAGTCACTGGGATTACAAGCATAAGCCACTGCACTCAGCTATTTAAATATTTTAAAATCCAATCTTAAAATAATCTTTTTAACGGTGAATCTTTAGTGCACAACTGGGGTGAGTGGTGAAATCAATGGCCAAGGAAATTAAAATAATAATTGAAAATGAACAAATTGTTTTACTTTAATAAAATTATATTTCTAAAATCAGCAGCAATATTTGAAAGCCACTACTTTGGATACATTCTTTTTTAAATAATAAAATCAGTTTTTTGTATATTCAGCAGAAGAAAATTTACATGTATATTTGTATATAATATTGGAGATTAAGTGGAAGTTTTAATTTGCATGGCCATATTTCAATGAGGAAGTAGAAAATTTTACATCTTGTTCAATATACAGTAGGTAATATGTGATAGAGCTAGAACTCAGATCTGCATGTGCTGTAGTTCAAAGCTATGGTTTCTCATTCTAGAAATATTTAGCTTGCTACAGTACACAAAGCGATACTGCCCTCTGGCCACTGCTGGCTTCATAGGCCTGATTGCCAGGTAGTCACATAGGACCCTGTGCTTGCATTAATGTGCTGCTGTTTCCATCCTGAATTCTTAATAATATTTGAAGAAGGAACATCACATTTTAGTTTTCACTGAGCTCAACAAATTATGTAGCTAGTCCTGCTTCTGGAAAATATCTTAACATCTCTTAAAATAGTCTCTGTGTTTGTAATGAATGTGATACAACCTATTCTAATTAATAAGAAAAATTGTCGCTGGACAACCATAAGACTGATCCATTTCTTTTCATTATTGGTAAAACAGCTTTACCTCTCAGATATCAGTTTCTCTTACCTATGACAATTGCACTTATTGACCCCAAATGTGCTTGCTTGTTGCTGAAGAGCTCTCTACCCATAATGATGCTTTCTGAAAGTTCTCCAAAGGAAAATACTCTACTGAGCCCTTCTGTAGCTGCCTAGAATGCTCTTCATTTGGTTTATGCAAACCTCTTAGCAAACCACAGGGGCAGTTGCAACTTTCTCTAGTTTACTGAGGGGATACTTTGGCCCTTCTTGCATCTATCTTCAAAATACTAAGTCTATGGGAAAGAGAGACAAAGAGGTGTTAAAACACTATCGATAAACTATATCTCCTATCTAGAAAGAATGTACAATTTTGATCTCGTGGTGTTTCTGTAGCACATTATGTAAATGTCTTTAATAGCCCTATCACCTCGTAGAGTTGTTGTTGGTTTAATTGTGTTTCTCCTCCCCTACTAGGCTCCTTAAGTAGTAGGATACAGCCTTGATCATCTATTTTTTTTTTATCTTTAGAGCCTGAAATGTAGCCCAAACTTTCATGGAGTGTTTATTAAAATGAAATGAAATAAAATGCCAAAGTTCCCCCTTTATTCAATGACTTTGGCAGTATATATTTCAATGACAATTATGCATATTTTCAGGTGAGTTATGTAGAAACTTCCCCAAACTAAAACTAATGAATCCTCAAAACAGATATGTAAGTGCTTCATTACCTAAAAGCAATGTTTCCAATTAGTTTCTGCTTCTGGGTTTTATTTTCCCAATGTGATTTAGCTAATGTTTTAGCTAAAGAGAAAGTGATCCACTTATTAATGTCCTAGCATAAGATAAAGTGAAACACTATTAGCATAAATCTTTCTCCAATAGCATTTGACAAAAACCATTGATAATTAGGTAGGCAACTACAAATTGATTTGTCAGACAGCAGGATCATAAAATGCCTTTTGTCCTTTTCTCATTTGATTTTCTTTGTCCTGGAATACTGCACTTATATATGAAATTAGTGTCTCTTGAATGACACAATGTGATTGAGGCCATCTTCATTGTAACGAAATAATTTTTCTACATTAATAAATGTTTTATATATATTATAATATGTAATATATCTAAATTTATAGTTTCAGAACAATTTTTATAACTATATATAGTTTTATAAGTAATAGAATCAATCTTCAAACTCATTAATCAGGTTAATAAAAATCTCAGCAACTGAAAACTATAATTAAATTTATTCAATCTGATAAGAGTATCTAGATGTTTCAGTTACACTTATGGGTATGTTATTAATATGCATATTCCAAATTTGGATAAAACTCTTAGAAATCTAATATGTTATCCATCATAATTGTGGCTACCATATTGTATGCCACAAAAATAACTAAATTATCTTGTCAAATGCTGATTATAATAAACTTCCACCAGATTTTTAACCATGGCTATTCTAAGTTTTTGTCACTCACAGTGATTATTTTGAACTCTTCTCTGAAAGCATGTGCAATCAGATTCAAGGAAAGACTAACAAGTATTTGTATGTCCTCTTAAATATAGGTTTCTAATATATTTAAGATCAATGGGCAAAATAAATTTTTTTCAAAACTTTAATGAAGAAACTGATGGGTTCATAAAATTTCTAATCAAGAACAAGCAGAACAAAAATTAATTACATGAGATTGGACAACTAGTGAAGATAATGTTTTTATGACATTTAAAACATTGTTGACTCTTTATTAAATTTTTTTTCCAAATGTAAGAAATTTTTGTTCTCTCAAACTATTTGAACTTTACAGAAATTTGGTAAAATATACATCTGAAAACAAAGATAGAAGGAATTGCTTTTTCTCCTTCTTTGATTCCACCAAAATTCAAAAGTGTTCATGATTATTCTCATGACAATATGGTTATTTGCATAAGTCCAGTAAAAATCTGCTCTCTCTATATAGCAGGATACAATTGGAAACATTGTTTATATTACCAAGTCTTTGACTGAAATACCACTTTTGAGAATGCCTGGTTTCAAGGGTTCCTTACAGTACAGCCTTTTTATCTTCCTAGCAGATAAAAATGGTTACTTCTTGGCAGGCCCAGAAACCTTAAAGAGTGTATGTAAAATCTAAAGTCTGCCTTGGTTTGGCTTCCTAGTCTCAAGAGGTTTTCTGAGATTCCTTTATAATCAACATACAGGAAAAAACATATTTCCAAAGAAAAGCCACAATACATCTATTATCAAACTGTAGCCCTGTGCATTGTTTTCAAGTTCTTGCTATCTACCAATAGACTAGACTAGATCCTGGATTCTTTTACATTCTTCCAATCCAACTTTCTTTCATGGAGTTATTAAAATTGGGAACTGCTGTGTTCTTAATGCCTTATATGCTAAAACTACAATAATTTTAAGGAGCAAGACTTGTACCTATTGGCCACACAAAAAGTTTACCAAACCCACCTGATGCCATAACCAAGAGACACTCAAATTGCAAACCGGGACAAGAAGATGACATTTTCATGCAGTAGACAGTTTTCCACAGATGCCAGAGCAAGACTCCATGTCATAATGAGACTCTTACCCCTCTTAATGCCTACCTTTTTCACTTGGCAGGATAATAGATAATCTGATTCACTCAATTAGTTGCCTTTAAGTCTAGATTCATGGCTCTAAACCATTATGCAAATGGAGATTGTTATATGACTATTAATTTTACTTTGTATTTTCCATTTTTAAACTTTATATTTGCCACTTGTTAAAATTCTGCAGAAGTACAACTCTTAACAAAATAATACTGGCCCAGCTCTTTGAGATGATAGCAAAAGACTACAGAAGAGATGAAATTGAACTTAATAATGAACTCTAGGTAGGCTTAGCCTGAGAGCCACTTCCTTCAAACCACCATTGTTGTTCAAATGCAGTTAAAAGAGTTCTGACACTGACTCCTACTCACCATTCTCCCAACATGGGACCAGACCAACAAACTGGAATAGGTTCATTCTGGCAGCAAGAGATAACACAAACCTAACTATAGGATGATTGATCAATGATGTTTTCAGAGAAATAGCTTGATCAATAGGGGGAAATGAGAAAGTTGTCAGAATAAAAATAGAGTTGCTTGTGTTAAAAATGAAACCTTAAAAATTGCGCCAGGAAAGGCTACAAAGAGAGGGTTCTCATGTATAAATGCCTGATAAAAATGATCACAAAGGACTGCAAATTCTGCAGCCTTGAACAAAGGCCATTACAACTTTACACAAAAAATAATTCTGAAAAGACATCAGTCTAGCAACTGCCTATTCAACATCAAATTAGTGTCACTCTTGTTACCGATTCTTGTAGCTAAAGATAATTATATAAGAATTATGTGATCATCTTCATTTTTTCTTTAAAAATCTTTGCCTTCCTTTACTTCCCTGAATATGCACATAGTTTACTATGGCCCACATATGCCCATTATAATGCCCTACTCCCAAATAAATATCTTTTTCTTTTTTTCTGTTTGTTATTTAGGTTGACAAAGGTAACAGTATTAGCCAATGTACAAAATCAATTGTATTTCCATATACTAGAAACAAAAAACTAGAAAATATAATTGAAAGATGCCTTGTCCAAAAGCATCAAAACACTAGATATCTGTAATAAAAGTAATAAGAAATATGTAAGGAACTTTTTTTTGTACTGTGCTAACTACAAAACTTACATGAAAGAAATTAAAGGAGCCCTAAGTAAAAGAGAACTATATGACATTTTCATATTAGATGTTTCAATATTGTCAAAATATCAGTTCTCCATAAATTTATCTAAAAATTCAATAAAAATCCAAATAAAAGTTCCAGCAAGATTTTTGCTTATATATGTAGAAAGTGGGTGGCGGGGAGTAGCCAGATGCTATTGATTGTGTGATAAGTCTTTTAGCAGTGTTTGGCATTTTAGACTATTCAAATGTTTTACTTTGATAAATAAAAATTAATTTTAAGTTTTTAATGTACCTTCAATTTCCCTGCTATGTGACAAGCTAGATAGTCCAGAAAAGATCCAAAGATACAAAGTTGAGAAACATCAGCATTTAATGAATGGGTACACAAGAAGATTTAATAGAGCCTAAGGATGAGTGACAAGAAAAAAAAATCAGAGAATGGGTTTTCTGTAAACGAATGAAAGACTTTAGGAAGGAATGATCAACAATACTAAATGCTGTACAGAATTCAATTAAGGTAAGATTTAAAAGTATCCCTTGGTAAAAAATAAGGTCATGGTAGAAATGCAAAGTCACCACAGTGGACTTGTGGTGAATAAGAGGCAAGGAAGTGGAAAAAGAAAGTAGAGAAAATTGAAGAAGCTTAAAATGAAAAAAAAAAAACCAACAAAAATATTAAAGGGAAAGGTAGCTATGTGATCAAAAGAAATTTTGTTTAAAATAAGGTCCTCAGCATGTTTAAATACTGATAAGCAAAATGTTCTTGGGATTAGTTCCCAAACTTGGCTGTGCACAAGAAACACCTGGAAAACTTCAAAAAATTTTAGTGCCTATATGTGACATGGTGATAGGGATATATAAGAAACCTTTGTACATTCCAGTCAATTTTGTTGTGAGCCTAAAACTACTCATTTAAAAATATCCAGTGCCCCAACTGTACTTTAGATAAATGAAATCATTATCTGGGGATAAGACCAAAGCATCAATAGTTTTTTAAAGCTCCCAGGTGATTCCAATGTGTAGCTAAGTCTGAGAAGCACTGCATTATTCTAACGTTTTCCACAATTAAAATTATCTTGAGAATTTGTTATTAATAAAAGACAGATTGCTGGGTCTCATCCTCAGAGTTACTGATTGACTAGGTCTAGGGTAGGACTCATTCATTTGCCTTTTTGGAAGTTCCCAGATTATGTTAATATTGCTGACTCAAAGCTGCACTTAGAGTGACCTTATATTCCAGAGACGGAGACTGAAGATAAAAGAAAGAGGACATACCTGAAGATCCCCAGCCATGCTGCATAAAGATGGGGTAATTTGGATGATTCCAGTGGTCCTCTAAAATGTTTCATAAGCCTTCATAATTTTCTTGACTTGCTGCCTTTAGCAAGCAGCTCACAGAATTCTGGCTGAAGTCTGGTAGTTTGCTCGAGTGCCAAAATTTTCAAGTGTGGTTCCGATTAGTAGTAGCAGCAGCTTCACCTGGTAACTTGTTAAAATGGAAATTATCAGCACACCCAAGACATGCTGAATCAAACACTTTGGGGATGAGATGCAGCAATCTGTGTTTTGAAAGACCCTCCAGGTGATTTTGATACATGCTAAAGTTGAAAACCGCTATTTCAGTGAATGGCGTATTTTACGTGTTTTCAAAAGCCAGTCTGTACATCTAATTCCCCCTGCTAGAGGCTGTCTTTGCTTCTTGTGCCCTTGCTTCCACTTAATCATCCCTAATGCCTACCGAGTCATCTGAAGAAACTTCACTTGTGCTATGATTTGTTATGGGAATGTCACTGGGTGTAAGTGCTGTCAAAGCTTCCAATCCTTAGGGTGCTAGACGAGCATCAATTAATCTACAATGTTAGAGGTAAACTTTGTCCCTGAAACAATTTCACCTGTGTCAGGAAGCATACATGGTTTCTTCTTGAGCAATGTTACCAACTTCTAATCCTCAATACTCAAAACACAAAGGATGAGACCAGACACCATAGTATATACTTTCTTCTCGTCCTCCTGTAACTGTTTTGTTACATGAAATGTATTGGCATAATTGAGCTGAGGACAGCTTTATTTTTTTCAACACAGCCTACATAAATGGTTTAGAACTGTGTTCTGGAACGTGAGCAATGAAATTTTAATGTTTTGTGCTTAGTGTTTGCAAGCTTGACCAAAAACAAGCATAAAATGTTCCATTAAAAAATTCTGTTAACGACTTCAACCAAACTTTTCTTCCTCTAAAAAAAGTTTTAATCTGTATGAATGGGGGCAAACAAGATAATGGTGTGTGAAAATTTCTAACTTTCTTCATATGCAAATGTTCTGTGTGAGCATAGAATATCTGAACTATCAGCATTCAGTTGAACATGACTGTAATAACACTGTCTAATATATACTAAGCATTCAGTATGTATCATGCATTGTAATGAAAATTCCCTAATTTTATATTCCAAACCCTGATTCTGTCAAATCTGCATAGAGAGGGAAAAGTTGGTCTGTCTTCCAGGGGATGTAGGCAGGGAAGTTCCATAAAAGAAACTGTGAACAAGACATATAATTTGGAAATGAGATTGCTTCCCAGAATTCTGTAGCAGAAAATATCATGTTATTTATGTTCTTGTTTAAATTAATTTTGTTTCAGGTTTCTTTTCACTCATTTATGAGAAATTCCACTTTATGATTTTTAAATTATTTTTCTTGAGAAAAAGTGGTATGTGCCTTTTTCCCAATAAAATGTCCTAAAAGATTCCTAAGAAATGTTATAAAGCATAGAGAACTGGGGTAAGCTTATAGGCTAGGGTCTTGTAGTCCCCTGGAAGGCAGGAATTTCCACATCCTCCTGGCCACCCCAGAGTATGAGGTTCTTTATGTGAGTCTACCAGGACAGTGCACCTAACAAACATCTTCAGGCATACATGTGGGTCAGTTTGCCTCTGGATCTCTGAAGAGGAGTAAGGGACAGATCCTTGCGCCTTGGCAATATGTGCCTCAAGTCTGTTCCCTCTCCCTTGGAGGGAGCCACTTCTGATGGCTTTAAATTTTTGATCCCATGTCTTTCTAGAATGACCTAGACTATACCCTTTTAAGCATAAACTTTTGCAAACAAAAATCTGTTTTGTTCTGTGGACAGAAATCCTAACCACAAGGGGAGGATTTATCCAAAACATTACATGGTAACACTTGTATAATTAGGGCTGCTCTATCCAGATACTTTTATAAGAAAGAAGAGTAGCTTTTCTGTGGAAGCATCCAGGACTCATTTTATTACATTTCACCAAGTCTTTATCTCTCTTGATCTTTAAGAGAGAGTGTCTGTGTAGCTCTGATGTAGGATGACCTGGTCTTCGGATATTATCATTCATTGAAACCAATAATACCTATGAATTATCATAAATATTTTAATTAATTCAATAATGATATATAATTGAAAATATCCCAAATTCAAAGGTATTTCATAGGTAATATGAATAAAAAAATCACCTGTTAAATAGCGTGCTAGATTGTTAAAAAAAAAAAAAGTCCACAATATTTTACAGATCTTCTCATCAAGAAGTGGGATCTCTTTCAACATCCCTTGAACGGGGATTTAGCCATGTTACTTGATTTGGTCAATGGGGCATTAACAGACATGATGCAGAGGTTTGAAATGTGCTTGTTCATTAAGGATGTGTTCTCTGGCTCCCTTTGCAACCCACCTGTCATATAAAGAAGCTAAGCTAGATATGAATAAGTCCAGAGAAAGAAATAAAAAGAATAGTAGATGTGACTTTTTTCCAATGAAGTGGTCAAAATCTGATAAGTAGAAATCCACAGTTTTTAAGGGAGTTGTATAATCATAAACTAAAAGAGACTAAGACATTTTAAAATGAAGAAACCTCTGTTTCCAATATTCATAGACAGATAGAAGCCTACAAAAGCTACTCAGCTAAAAACATGGTAATTTCATTTAGAAAAGAAAAAAAATGTTTCAGAAGGCAGAGCCAAAATTCCAGAGACCAGAGTAGAACAATGGACTGGAAAGTCACTCCCAGGGAGCAGAATTTTCTCTGTCCCCAGAGTAAGGGGAACTAGAAACATATCCCTTCTGATTTCTATAATTTCTATTGACCAGTGACTACTACATGAATTTTATTTGTTCATTGTGGCTATTTTGACCTTTGCTCACTATTACATGTAAGGTGGGTCTTTTTTGTTTTCAAGGCTCTGAATCAAGAGAAGCTGCATCCAAGTATCCTCACTCACATTTACAAAAGGTAACAGATCACATTATACTGGACTTGAGCTTAATGCTATAATTGAAAGAGACTTGTTGGGAGTCCTGAGAGGGTTAAGGATATTTTGTGTTTGGGGAGAATGTAAATAATTGGAACCAGAGAGAAGGCAGTGATAAATTGTGTTGGAGGAAGAATGGCAACATTATTTTGCAGCAACTGTCATTAAAAAATTGAGTCTATTTTTCCACCCCTTGAATGTGGGCTTGGCTATGTGATTTGCTTTGGTCAATGGGATATTACTAAGCATAATAGAAGCAGAGGCTTGAAATGAGCTTGAACATTTGAACTTGCTTTCTTGTTGCTTTTGGAACACAGTCATGTGTAAAAGCTTTGGCTAGCCTCCTAGATGATGAAAAATATGCAACCTATTGCCCCCATTCCCTCAGCCAATAGCCTGACATGTGAATGAAGCCATCTGGGATGAGACAGTCCCAACCAATCTGATAATTGACTCAAAATGCATGAGTGAGCCAGGTTCTGAACAGGAGAACTATACAACAGAATCCTAAACTAAACACAATGATTATTTGAAGTTAAACATTTTTGATGTAGTTTATTAGGCAGAAAGAATATATATGAATAGTTTTAGTAAAATAAAACTTTATTTAGATATTTTCAGTGAAAGTTGCTTAGTTTTGTTGAGGGCTGGCAAAAATAAATGCCAGTAATCTCTGACATATTCTTTCAGGGTAATTCTTATGGCCACAGTTCAAAATACATGTATTCCTAGAATGAAAATGAAAAATAAATACAATTAGATTGGTTTAACAGTAGAAACAACTACAGGCATTAGACATGAGAATGATTTTTAAGGTCCCTGTATTATAATAACATGATCACAAAACATATTAAAAAGCAGAAGTCTGAGGAGCAGACCCATGAGGAACCAACTTGCAAGGGTATAAGAATGACTGTTTGCCCTTAAATACATCAAAATAATAGATTTGTACATCTCTAAAGGCCCTTAGAGATCAGCAACTAATTCTACCTCATTTTACTTATGTATGTTTTTTCATTTACATACTCATTTTAGAAAACTGGAGGAAAAGAGAAGGAAAAAATTTATATTTTCAATCAATCCCAAAATCTACCATAAGTATTTTGGTACAAATTACTCCAAGACATACATAATTGCTGTTATAATATGCTTATACCCTGGTTTTTTTCACTGCATAAAATATTCTGAGTATTTGTGTCATTAAAGGTCCTTAAAAGTATTTCATTTTTTAGTTTGTTTTAATATCTATTTATTACTCTAGTCTAGAGATGTCTCATAATGTATTTAGTAAGCCTCATACTCACACATTTTATGTTGTTTTAATTTTTGCTGTTTATTTAAGTTTGCTACATAGAGTGTACATTGCTAGTTACTATATTGTACACAATTATTTGTCTGCATCTGAAAGAATATAAACATTAAATTTTTGACAAATGTTTTTAATTTATTCCTCTAAAGGTTGTACCTATAGCTCATGAGCACTTGATTCCTTAAATCTTCATCAGCATTGAGCATACATCATTAGAAATAAAAACTTTAATACATGATAAACAAAAAATGGTATTTTATCCTTTATTTTTTGCTTCTCTTGTGTGTTTTTGGAGACGCTTTCTTAAGTTTAGTGGTTTTTATTCCCTCTTTGATAGTTATTTGAATTATTTTTCATAATATTTGTACATTTTCGTTAAGTATTTGATATTTTTCTTAATTAAATATCATTTTTATTAACATAAGAACATTAGTCCTTGGTCATATTTGTTGTGTATTTCCTTAATTTATTATTTTCCTTATTTCCTATACTTTCCTTAATTTATTATTTGCTTTTAAATATTTAATATTATGAGGTTTTATGGGGTACACACATTTAAACTATTTAAATTTAGTAGTCTGTTACTTTATGATTTTCTTGCTTTGAAAGACCTATTTTGTCTAGAGTACAAGTATGGGTACTCTTTGTTTATTTTTGTTTGCTTAATGGTTCAATATCTCCTTCATTATGCTTCCTTGGGTTTATTCTTTTTTTTTTTCCTAACTTTATAGCTTTAGCTAATTAATTTAGCTTATTAATTTTTCTCTTTTCTTCAATAATTATAGCTATAGAGTTTTGAGATGTAATATTTTATTACATATTTTAAAGTATTTTAAATTTTTTGTTACGGCTTTTTAAAAAAATAATTGGGTTATTTACATTCCTTTTTTTTTTTTTTTTTTTGAGACAGAGTCTCGCTCTGTTGTCCAGGCTGGAGTGTAGTGGCGTGATCTTGGCTCACTGCAAGCTCCGCCTCCCTGGTTCACGCCATTCTCCTGCCTCAGCCTCCCAAGTAGCTGGGACTACAGGCGCCCACCACCACGCCCAACTAATTTTTTGTATTTTCAGCAGAGACAGGGTTTCACCGTGTTAGTCAGGATGGTCTTGATCTTCTGGCCTCGTGATCTACACGCCTCGGCCTCCCAAAGTGCTGGGATTACAGGCGTGAGCCACCGTGCCCAGCCTACATTTCTATATGTATAAAACATTTAAAAATATTTATTAACCTCTAATTGAGTGTTGTTTGCTCATATACTAAGGTCTAAATGATAATGATTCTCTCTAATTTGTCGAGACTTGCTTCTTGGCCCACTATTATATTAATTTTTGTAAACAATATTTATTTGAGAAAAATGTGTGTTGTCTAATTGTTTGATAAAAAGTTCAGCTGGGCACAGTGGCTCACGTCTGTAATCCCAGCACTTTGGGAGGCCGAGGCGGGCAGATCACGAGGTCAAGAGATTGAGACCATCCTGGCCAACATGGTGAAACTTCTTCTCTACTAAAACTACAAAAATTAGCTGGGCGTGGTGGCATGCGCTTGTAGTCCCAGCTACTGGGGAGGCTGAGGCAGGAGAATCGCTTGAACCCGGGAGGCAGAGGTTGCAGTGAGCTGAGATTGTGCCACTGCACTGCACTCCAGCCTGGCGACAGAGACTCCGTCTCAAAAAAAAAAAAAAAACTTCTAAATAAGACCATTAATCAACTTATTCATTTTGTTGTTCAAATTTTAAATAACTTTACTAATGTTCTGTCTCTTATATCTAGTATAAATGAAGAGATGTGAGTAAATTCCGCATTTTGATGATGGGTTTGTCATTCTAACTTTTTAACACTTGTCTCTATATTTTGAAGTTAATATTACATGCATACAGGTCTAGAATTATTACATCTTGTTTGAATAGAAGCTTTATCATTGTAGTTACCCATTTTGTTTCTGTTTCTATTTTTTGGAGTCTTAATGTCTTTTTTTTCCCCTGGTATTAATTTAGCTTCCCTAGCTTTCTTGTGGTTAGTATTTATCCATATTCTCTTTCTTTCCATTTTTTGGTCATTAATTTAGATTTGTCTTTTTAAAAGAGACTACAGATACTTTAAAAATCCAATTTAACAATTTCTTTTCTTTTCTTTTCTTTTTTTTTGAGATGGAGTTTCGCTCTTGTTGTCCAGGCTGGAGTGCAGTGGTGCAATCTCAGCTCACCGCAACCTCTGCCTCCTGGGTTCAAGCGATTCTCCTGCCTCAGCCTCCCGAGTAGCTCAGATTACAGGCATGTGTCACCTGCTCGGCTGATTTTGTATTTTTAGTAGAGACGGGGTTTCTCCATGTTGGTCAAGCTGGTCTCGAACTCCTGACCTCAGGTGATCTGCCCACCTCGCCCTCCCAAAGTGCTGGGATTAAAGGTGTCAGCCACCGTGCCTGGACCAATTTAACAATTTCTATCTATCAACTGGTAATTACAGAAGGTTTACAAATAATGTCATTTTGTTAAATGTTGTTTTGTTATAATGTTGATGACAAAAATAATTAGTTTTATTCTATATCATTGTGCTTAAATTTGCAGTTTCCAAGAGCCTATTGATGACTGATATGGTTTGGCTCTGGGTGTCCACCCAAATCTTAACTTGAATTATAATCCCTATGTGTTGAGGCAGGGTCCTGTAATCCCCAAGTGGGGAGGGAGGGAAGTGATTGGATCATGGGGGCAGTTTCCTCCAGGCTGTTCTTGTGATAGCCAGTGAGTTCTCAGGAGATCTGATGATTTTATATGCATCTGGCATGTCCCGTGCTTGTACTCACTGTTTCCTGCCGCCTTGTGGAAAAGGTGCCTGCTTCCCCTTCACCTTCCACCATAATTGTAAGTTTCCTGAAGCCTCCCTAGCTATGTGTAACTGTGAGTCAGTCAAACCTCTTTCCTCTATGAATTACCCAGTTTCAGGTATTTCTTTATAGCAGTGCAAAAATGAACTAATACAATGACATTAAGTGAGGATTAGGAAAAAGGAACATAACCTTAGAGGGATCATCTAAAGTTCAATAAAATTTAAGAGCAAATAAAACGCTAAACATATCTGTGATATTATTAGAAAAATAAAATAATAGCAAATATTTAATTTGTGAATTTAAAAAGAAGCAAAACTAAAACACTAGTCAACAAAAGTATATAAGTTGTGAGAAAGAGATTAGAATTAAAATGTTTTTAAGGTCTTTGTATTGCGCAAGAGATAGAGCTAAATCAAATAATATCTATAGTTTCCAAATTAACAATATATTACCATTTAAATAAAGTGTAACAAGCATGTATTAATAAATTTTACATTGTAAGAGATAACTATAAGTCACACTGAATGAACCATATTTTTACTATTTTCAGTGACAATCTGATTTTTCATGAAGGCAAAGGATTTAAACCTGAATCATCATGTTTCTAGGACACTCTAATTTTTGCTTCCTTTGCAATGTGAATACTGAATCCATGATATCATTCGGGGACTGAGGATGGCCAGAAAGGCACAATTTGCAGTTGATTCAGATGATTCAAGGAGAAATATTAGTAAAAGTGCAATGGTAATCTCAGAAAATATAATTTTCAGCTAAATAGAGTAAAAATAGACTCACAATGAGGAAAGTTGCTCCAAGCATCAATGCTTTAATTTTAACATCAAGATCAAATGGAAACTGGATCCCAAATTTCTCACCATTGGTTAATATTCCCCTTACAAATCCAGAGTACTGTTTTGAAATCTTTCCAATAACCATTTCCTCATCCAGAGTCAATAACTAAAATGGAAAAATATATAATCTTAGGATAAAAATCTGTGAGACAAAAAGTTATTCCTGTACCAAATTTATTAATTATGACCTTGATGAGTTATAATCATACTGATTGTACCCAACAATTTACAAAATATGCAACATGGACACATAATAGCCTGGTAAAATTTATAGGCAATTCCTATCTAAAAGTAGATTTTCAAATTGTATACAACTGATTATATCTATTTCTATGTCTATGTATACACACGTATACACTTAATTCATATTATTTGCTTTAATTTAATGTGAGAATGAATTTCATTATAAAATGAAAACCACTAGCTTCTCAGCTCATTACACAGCTTCCCAACTCTTTCATAAGTGCTTTTTATTTTCTGGTTCCCTTTACTTTTTCCTCATTTTTTTTTCTCTCTGTTACTTACCTAAACCTCCTAGAGCATCATTTCTCATACCAACTCATACTAATTCCTTCAGAATAAGAGATACTCATGTAAATATAAAACAACAAACCTGGGATGAATCATATTACCTGCCTTGTAATGAGGGCCATAAGGGAAGGGTAGGGTGCTATCATGTAGTACAACTGGGAGCTAATAAGCAGACTACACAAATGGTAGGGGCATGGTTTTAGAGTAAGTGCTTGGGGACAGCATCATTTAAGCTGAGACTTAGAGGACCAGAAGGAATTAGTGACAAGAGAAATAGGAAGACAGACAGAATTCCAGAGAAAGTTAACATGTGAAAAGGCCCCAAGTTAGGAAGGACCATAGCTGGAGTGAAGTGAGGGAGGGGGCTAGTAGCAGAAAATTAGTGAGACCAAAGAGGTTAGCAGGGCTGCTCATA
This sequence comes from Homo sapiens, assembly GCF_000001405.40. NCBI lineage: Eukaryota > Metazoa > Chordata > Mammalia > Primates > Hominidae > Homo > Homo sapiens. The sequence continues at coordinate 146,396,762 of NC_000003.12, forward strand.
ACACAGCCTTGTAAGTAGTGCTAAGGAATATGGGAAACGAGAAATATCAAAGTGTTTTAAATATGCCCAAAGTTCTCCACTCTTTTCAGAACTCTGAACCCACCATTCCCCCTCATTCTCAACAAAATATCTTATCTCTTATACTACAGAAAAAATAAAAGCTATGGAACAGGAATTCACACTCACACACTAGCCCTACAAACAGAACATATTCATACCAACATTTCCTGCCTCCTTCCTGTTATGATGAATGGGCCATCTCTATATGAAGCTAGTTCTCTACATGCGTCTTAGTCCCATACCAAATAAGAAACCGGGTTCATCAAGTATTCAGCCTCTGTTGTATCTCCATACTTTCTCTCATTTGGCTCTGTTCTTTTACAATCAAAGGGATAACGACATATTTTTCAGAAAAATACCTCCCCTTCCACCCTGTGCCTTCATCCAGCCAGAAACAGGATTAGGGTATTGCAGAAATATAAGTAATGCAAGTACATGGTCAGTTCGTTTCTTAATTTTTTGGTGTATTTCATAATAAAAATTTTTGCATTAATTTTAATTTTTTTAAAAAACAATGCAACACATTCAGGTATCACTTACCTTTAATACTGAGATTTGTGTTGCTCCCTTAAATTTTGTACCTGAGATGAACACCTTCATTGCCTCACTCTAGTTCTGGCCCTGTAACTAGCTACTACTTTATCTCTTTCCTCTTATTCATAGCCAAAAGTATTAAAAGGATTGTCCACATTCATGGAAAAGATGACTTTCTTACAGAATCCTGATTTCCCTTTCTTGCTCCTCTTACTTGGAGCTTACCCAAGAGTGCCAGCTTTAAAATTGTTTCGCTTCAAACAGAAAAAATAGGAAGTGTTTTATATAACTTTGACAAAGTTTTGAAGATATTACAACGAGTAGGATTTGCTGTATTATACTCTGAAATATAAAAAAATGCACAAAAAGCATTTTATTATTTGGTGTCAGTAAAAATGGCTTTGGATTCCAGAGTTTTATGCATAGTCTACTCTGTTACTTTGGCTTTTAACTTAAAATAGAATCCTATGTAGTCATATTATTACTTTCCAAACTAACCATATTATTAACAATTAATTTGTACTGTATTAAGTATATTTTACTTAATCAGTATATGCAGATGCCAGTAAGAATCAGAATCACTAAAATGAATTGACATAATTCTAAGAAAGGAAGGAAAATCAGGTAGTATTTTAGTTAGGCTGTATCCAAATTTCTTACTAGATATTTTAGATATTCAAACAAACAAACATGTTTTAGATGAAAGTTAGGGAAGTATGGCTTTTTGCACATCTACTATGATGTTAAACCAACACAATATTCTCTGTTGCTTAAGAATCTTCAGGTTTGAATAAATATAACAAGTTATTTAATTTTATTAACTATGTGAAGTATGTTTAGTAGCTAATTTCCCAAATTATTATCTGGATGTTGGCTATAATCTGAGAAGTAAATTAGTAAGCACCTAAAAATTTTTAAAAATTATTTTGAGTTTCAAAGTTTTATAAAAAGCAGAAACTGCGTTAATGAACATTAATATAACACATTATCTATAATTAGTACCAGATTAGGTCATTGTCCATTTAAATAAAGTTTAATTTTCTCTGTCAATATTCTTTGAGATATTAAATAACAAACTTCTGATACCTTTAAAACTTGCCTTATAAGCTACATAAACTTATAGAGCTTTTAAATAAGGACGCTGTGAATTAGTAATCCAATTTTTTTTTAAAAAGCAAATAGTTACAATATTTTCATAATAATATTCTTTTATTTATCTTTAATCATATTCATTAATTATATATTAAAGAAATCTAATAATTAACTAATTTTAATATGATATTACAACTTTATTAATTAATTACATTAAAATTTAGATCCCCAAGACAGCTGAAGACCAACCATGGGCCTATAATTTTCATTACGTCCTCCTTATTCTCATTTTTTATTTTGAACTTTGGCAAGAATGGGTGAAAGTATCGATAAACATATCCAATTGTTTCACCTGGTGGAGCTTCAACTTTTAGCTACAAAAGATTGAAAATATAATATTGATCCAACTGGATATGTTAGACTTGTAAGTAACACTTTATTTAGTTCTGTACTACCTCTTAAATGAGCTTTTTGTATATTTTGACAGAACTTTCTGTATTTAAGGGATGCTTCATGTTTGAGAATCAACATAGAAGTGAGAAGACCAGGATTTAGATGTTAGAGCCCCCTGAGCTAAGACCTGACTTCACTGCTTGAAATGTGAACAAATCACTAAAGTCCTGAAATTTACTTTCCATTTGCAAAAGAGGGATAATAATAATTTCCTTTTTAGGCATGTATGAGAATTACTTTTTAAATTGCCATGCCCATGAAACACAACGAAACTTTAATCTCATCCAAAACTGCTTATTACTCAATATGCCAAGCACTTTCATAACTCTTTGCCATGGCAAATATAAATTTTGCCCCAATTTTTATTTAAAGCTCAGTTCATCAGACTCAACAGAGACTTGTTGAATAAATTATGGCATATCCATATAATGGGTTATTATGCTGCCATTTAAAGGAACAAAGAAGTTCTAAACATAGATGCAATCCTCAAATTATACTGTTATGTGTTTAAAAAGTAGAATAATATGCTACTAATTATGTTAAAACACACACACATATACACACATAGTATAAATATGCTGTATTTATGTAATACATTATACAAATATTCACAAAATAACTGGGAGAATACATAAGAAACTTGTAATAGTAGTTGTATCTAAAAAGGAATGTAGGAGGCTTAGGAAGCAAGCATTTGAGAGAAATTGTTTCTCCTGAATATACTTCCATTATATTCTGTCCTCTTCTATTCTGAAAAGTAGAGAATTCTGGCCTTTCTTTCCTTCCTTCCTTCTTTCCTTCCTTCCTTCTGCTCTCTCCCTTTCTCTCTCTCTCTTTTTTTTTCTTTCTTCCTTGCTTGCTTTCTTGCTTGCTTTCTTCTTCCTCCTTCTTTCCTCCTTCCTTCCTTCTTTCCTTCCTTCCTTCCTTTCTTCCTTCCCTTTTTCTTACCATATATAAGTATTACCCATTAAAAGGTAAAGGAAGACTGCTAAGTCAATATGGTGGTAATGGTGGTATGGTTTGTAAATCTCCCCAAAAACTCTCATGGAAAAGGACAGAACAAGTATACTAGCAAAACGAAACAAAACCACTGTCAAATTCTTTAGACAAAATTAGATGGCAAAATTAGATGGAAAAACAAAGCCTCAAGCCACAAAATATAGGTAGATGTAGTGAAATATGTGACAAGAACAAAATGTTTCTGAGATTTCCAGAATCCAGAGAGTAAATAAATACATACATTCATAAATTTATACATACAAATAAAAAGCATACAGATGACAAAGGAAGAAGTAAAATCTGTATTTTCATATCTATAATTGTAGGAAACTTTAGGAAATCTACAAAAAAGCTACTAGAATTTGTAAGTAATTTTTGACAAGGTCAGAGTAAAGTGAAGGTATACACAGAGCAATAATTTTCTATATACAATATACTATATACAAGCAACAAAAAAGTAAAGTTTAAATAAAAATACTATTTATAATTGTATCTAGAAATATAAAATAATTAAATTTATTTGTAATATAATATTTGTAAGACCTAAGTACTGAAAATGACTGTTACTGGGAGTTATTAAAGAAGATCTAAATAGAAGGAGAAATATGCCATAGCCATTGAGCAGAAGATTCAATATTAATAAGATATCAGTTCTTTTCAAATTAATCCATTGATTAAATACCATCAATATCTCAGCAGAATTTTTTAATATGATAGGTTTTTTTTTTGTAAAATTTATATAAAAATGTGAAGGAAGTAAGAAAGCCAAAAAAGCTTTGACAAAAGCAAAACAAAATAAGAAGGCTTGTACTACCTGATATTAAGACTTACTCTACAGCTGGTATTATGCCAATATTATATTGTCCTGATGATCCTAGCTCCGTGTGTGTATATATATTTGTATGTATATACATAGGTAGAACGATGGAAGAGAGTAGACTCTAGAAATATGTAAACATATACATTGGCAATTCATTTTCAGAAATGTTGCCAAATCAATCCAGTAGAAAAAGAATAGTCTTTTACAAATCATGGTGTTTAAACAACTAAATATTAAAGTGGGAAAAAATGGATCTCAACACTTTCCTCACATGAATACAAAAATTAACTCAAAATGGAAGTAGATTTAAATATAAATATAGAGTTTCTATAGGAAACACGAGGTAGAGTCTTTGCCACTTTACAATAGGCAGATTTCTTAGGTCACAAAAAGCCTTGGATGGATGCTTAGATAGTTTAGAATAGAAAACATCTAAAGATTTTATGACCTTCATTGCCTAGAAAAAATTTGCAATGTTGTGGATGATTCTCACCCTATACTTATGTGGTACAAAAATACAATTATCTCTCTGACGTTTTCCATTCCAGACAATTCTTTGCAGCCAATCCCAATGTTTAGACTTTATCATACTGTCCGGCATTGAGGCTTTTTTGATATGATGGTATAAATATTTACTTACCTTTTGTAAGCTACATTTCAGAGCCTTATGCAGAGCAAGTACATCTCTACCTACATTATCATAAATTGTCATAGTAAAAGGGCTTGAAAATCCACAAAGGTGTCGAAGGAAGCAATTATTTCTCTCTTCTGCAAAATAAATTCTCTGTCCTTGATTGTTCAAGATTTCATACGTTTTACTAGTTTCAAATTTTCTGAGGACTAGAGAATAAAATAATTCATTAATTTGTTAATAATACTGATGTAAGATGTATGTAAACAGGTATCAAATTACCTTCAAATAGGAAATTATATTGGATAATAAACTGCTCGAATTTAGTTAACTAACTTTCTTTAACTGGTATCTTAGTCTTCTTATGAAGAAAAATGAGAGATAGGCTAGGTACTCTCTGGATCCATTTACTGCTAAAATTCTATGCATAACTTTTTGGTATCCTTTTTGAATTTCAAAGAAGTTGACCCATTACTATTATGTTTTAAGTTATGTTAAATTTTATTCTTCATCTTTTCCTTATTATAGAATTTTTAAAGGATTTCATTAGAACTCCATTCTGGATAGTAGAAATAAAAAAAATTGTACTTACACTAAATTGAGGGAAGTAGGAAATACTCTCATATATTATTTATATAAGATAATAATCAAATTTACCCCTTTTGCAAGCAAATAAGAATATTATTATCTTTTGTTTTAATAATTTTTCTTCTGTTATTATACAAACAAAACAACCCTAAAACTTAAAAAAGTTTTAGGCATCAAATGTTCACTACTGCACTATTTAGAACAGAAAAAATAAAGTGAAAACAAAGAAAGTGTCCAATAAGAGGCAATACTTATTATCCCCTATTGAGGATTACTATGTAGCTCTTTAAAATGCTGGGGTTTTATGATAAAGAAAAAATAACATTAAGTGACTAAATATGAAAAATCATGTGGACAGTAATTAAAAATGATTTTTTAAAAACTCTAACAAAATAATAATTTTAAAAACCTCTTCAGAGGAAATGTATCAGTAGTTGTGCATGGATGACTTTTTTCTCTCACTGCTATTTTTGAAATGAGTATACACTTAATGAGTACATGTTAGTCTAACATACATTAAACATTCTGGTGTTTTTTTTTTCTTTTTGAGATGGAGTCTCACTCTGTTGCCCAGGCTGGAGTGCAGTGGCACAGTCTCGGCTCACTACAACCTCCGCCTCCCAGGTTCAAGTGATTCTCCTGCCTCAGCCTCCCGAGTAGCCAAGACTACAGGCGCGTGCCACCATACCCAGCTAATTTTTTGGTATTTTTAGTAGAGATGTGATTGCACCATATTGGCCAGGCTGGTCTTGAACTCCTGACCTAATGATCGGCCCACCTCTGCCTCCCAAAGTGCTGGGATTGCAGGCATGAGCCACCGTGCCCAGCCTAAACATTCTGTTCTAATGCTAAACTCTGAAACAGGTTGAGTATAGAATTTCTTCATTTTTAATGATTCTGCAGGTATTAAACATAATTATGTTTCTATCCTGTGCCAACACATATAAAATGTACACATTTTCATTTGATATTGAGGACTAATCGTGATTCATAACTCATTAAAATAATATTTTCTAACTGCTTTAAAAATCAATTTTTAAGTAGAAATTATGTATACATGGCACAAATTTTTAAAAAGCAAATGGGAGTATAAAATTAAAAATAATTTATTCTTCCAGCCCTACCCTATCCCCATCCTTTTCCAATTTCATATGCATCCTTTCAGAGATATACAAAGCAAATAAAAAAATCTTCACATATTGTAAACACACACACACACACACACATGCACACTCCTAACTACATGCTCTACTTTGTAATTGTTGTTTATTCTTAGTGATATATTCTGAAAATATCCCCGGCATATCTGTAGAGCTGTCTAATTCTTTTAACTAACTCACGGTGTTAAATTACATGGAAGTGTCTTCATTTAGAGTGGTAGTTCTCAAATTTAAGCCTGCATCGAGGTCACCTGGAGGGCTTTATAAAGCAAATTATTGACGCCAAGCTGTGGATTTTCTGAATCAACAATGGGTCTGTAATGGAGCTTGAGAACTTGCATTTCTAACATGTTCCCAGGTGATGTTGATGCTGCTGTTCCAGGGACCACACCTGGAGAGTCACTGGCTTGGAGAAATTCCCTATTCAAGGATGTTTAGATTCCCAATATTTTTGCTGTTTTTGTGACTTCTTAAATTATGAGTTACTGTGGCTATTTCTCTCCTTTGAATTTCCACAATTAGTTTTTACCTGTCTCATTATTTTTATGACTCTATGCTATATATTTTATTTAAGTATTGTCTTAGTTTTTTTTGTGTCACTATAGCAGAATATCACACATTGAATAATTTATTTAAAAACCCGATTTATTTCTCACAGTTCTAGAGGCTTGGAAGTCCAAAGCTGAGGGGCTGGCATCTGGTAAGGGCCTTCTTACTACATCATGTTAAATATAAATTCTAAATTTCTCTTCAAAGAATTAATATGTCAGTACAATTCTTTGCCTTCTACTTTTAAACTTAACTTCCTCGTAAAACAACCTTTTCCTATTACCTGCTCCACCCTAACTCATTCTCCACCTTGACTCATTCCGATTACCTACTCCACCCTGACTCATTTCATAACCATTTTTCCCACCAAACCACTCACCCCGTCACTCTCTTTAAACTAGTCAATTGGAATTAGTTTAGCCTGTGTTCTGACCCTAGCCAATAGAAGAATGGTACAGCAGTAGGGACCACATGCATCAGGGATAAGAACCCCTTTCCCTCCCTTGTCCAAGTGTGTGCTCACCATTGCTCCATCTGTAAGGGTGCACCCTTCTCTATATAGAAGTACCTTGCCTTGCTGAGAATTAAAAAGAAAATTTTATATTTGAGTGCTATTTCTTTTGCAGCACCAAAACTTTATAACAATCATAATATGATGGAAGGCATCATATGGTGAGTGAACATATAAGAGAAGGAAGGAAGGGGTCCAAACTCATCCTTTTATTAGGAATCCACTCCTTCAATAACAAGCATACTCCTGCCATAATGGCAACAATCTATGCATGTAGGAAGAGCCCTCATGACCTAATCACTTCTTAAAGGTCCCACATCACAACACTATTGCATTGAGAATTAAGTTTTCAGCACATGAAGTTTGGGGGATGCATTCAGACCACAGCATTCCACTTCTAGCCACCAAAATTTACATTCTTCTCACATGCAAAATACATTCATTCCACCCAATAGTCTCAAAGCATCAACTTAAAAGGTCAACATCTAGAGTCTCATCTGAATCAGACATTGGTGAGACTCCAGGCACAATTTGTCCCAAGGCAAATTCCTTTCCAGCTACTACCCTATGAAATTAAGTTATCTACTTCCAAAATACAATGGTGGAATAGGCATAGGACAAACATTTCCCTTTCAAAAGGAAGAAATAGGCAAAAAAAAAAAAGGGGGGGGGTGGTGGTTAACTGGTCCCAGGTAAGTCCAAAGTCCAATAGGAAAAATAACATTAAGTCTTAAAGCTGAAGAATAATCTCCTTTGATTCTATGTCTTGCATCCTGGACATACTCAGGGTGGGGATGTTTGACCCTTAAGGCCTCAGGCAACCCTATCCCTGTGGCTTTACTGGTTTTGTTGTACTTGAGCGAGTTAGAGAAAATGCCACACTTTGAGACGGATTAAGAGTCCGTTTATTTAGCTGGCGGCCAAGAGAAGGCTAACGCTCAAAATTCTCTCAGCCCTGAAGAAGGGGCTAGATTTTCTTTTATACTTTGGTTTAGAAAGGGGAGGGGGGTCTAGTTAAAACAATTTTACAGAAATAAAGTAGGCAAAAAGTTAAAAGGATAAATGGTTACAGGAAAGTAAACAGTTCCAGGTGCAGGGGCTTTAAGACTATTACAAAGTGATAGACTCGGGGCTTTGGGTGGTATCAATCAGATGAATTCTTGGGAATTGCGGATATAGCTTGCCACAGTATCTTATCAGTTAATTGCATTCTTGGATGTGCTGGGAGTCAGCTTGCACAAGTTAAGTCCTTGAGGAAGGGGCTGCCAGTGAAAGAGCCAAGACGGAGTCTGTCTGGCTCTCTTAGCTAAGGGAGAGTCAATTCAAGTGGAAACAAGGCTAGATGATTAAAGGAAAAGGGAGAGTCTAAAAACAGGGTTAGTAAAAACAAGGTTAGGCATTACATTCCCCACTGGTGTTTTTGGGGAATCAAATCGTTGATTCCTCAGTTATAACAAGGGGATTACATTGAGTCTTAAGATACATAAGTTTGACAGAAGCTATGCATTGTTTTATAAATTAAGAAACTAATTTAATATACAAGGCCTAAAAATTAGACTTAATGGTAGGATGGGGAGGGGTCTGGCCAACCTAGTGATTAGAGTAGCTAACCATGAGTTCCAGTTGAACATGCTTTGATACCAGGGGATGTTATTTTCTTGTTTTTGTTGGCGCTTATCTAGATTTTTCTCGCACCTTTTAGAGTATATATTTTTTTATTACTAAGAATGGTGGAGGAACAGTTAAATCAACTTTGTCAGGGTGTTTCTGGAACATAGGTTCACCTAGATCAGTTAAAGGCCTGATTGGCTTGGGTGGGCTTCATGAGACCAGGATTTTTTTTGGATGGTGAACATAGTCTTAACATCAAATCTTGGGATATAAAATCTTAATCTCTATGATATGCTATAATACTATTGAGTTGAATTAGGGTCATGGAAGTTATAGTAAGAGAATTACAATTTTTTCTAGTACATAATTTAGGATGAGAAGCACAAGTTATGGAATGAAGATGTGGTTGATCTCTTAGAGCAGGCCGCTAAAGTTACACCTGTCTAATCAGGGCAGAAAAACTGATAAGTATCTCGACAGCTAGCGTCAGGGTGATTTCCAGGACAGAGGTAAAAGTCAACATTTTGGAGTCCTTTTTTCTGCACCTTTGGAGCTTCTACATCTAGTTTGGCTCCTGGAGCATCTAAATCCTGCTGCAAGGTCGATACTTCCTGCTCCTGGGACTGGCAGATTGTGTTGTTCTTTGTGGGTACGGGCTGGCTCTGGGAACAGTACACATAAATCAACTGCAAAGGAGACTTCCTTGGAGGTACTGGCCTTCTAAGTGGTGTTTGTAAATACATGTCCTGTTGTGAAAGAGGTGAGGAGAGGAGTAGGAAGGCGCAGAGGACATAACAGGCAAAAACAAACAAGTGAGGTAGATAAAAAGAATTAATCTAATGGCTTCACCTGACTTAGGTGCAGTTTTAAAGGGGCTTGACCTAGGCCTGGGGACCTATGTTTTTAGTTGGGCTCTGTTGGACTTTTTGATGCAGGAGTGATGAATCTAAGCAGGAATGCCATCCACCTTCAGAGCTGTTGGCATTGTGAGGATGATGGTGTGAGGTCTTTTCTAAGCAGGAGTGAGTCCTTCTTTCTGGAACTTTTTAACAAACACTAGGTCTCTTGGCTGGAATGAATGGCAGGACCCCGTCTGGTCAGGAATTGGATTGGGATGGGTTCCTCGAACAAGTGGCAGGATGATGTCTTGTACCTGTTGGGGAGACTGTAGGTACTGTAATAAATTAGCTTGTGATATTTCTGCTAATTGGGCATCTCTTAGCTTAGGCAAGATAGGTGGCACCTTCCTATACATGATTTTAAAAGGTGACAACCTAGCTTAGTAAGGGGTGTATCTTATTCTAAGTAGGGCTAAAAGAAGGAGACTTACCTAATTTTCACCAGTTTTTAAGATTAATTTTGTAAGTGTTTTTTAGGGTGCGGTTTATGCGTTCTACCTACCTAGAGCTCTGGGGTCGATTGGCACAATGGAGCTTCCATTGAATGTTTAACACCTTACTGACTGACTGAGCTATGGATGAGGTGAAGGCTGGTCTATTATCAGACCTTATGGTAGCAGGCAGCCTATGTCGAGGGATGATTTCATTGAGTAAAAACTTAACTGCTGTGCTGGAAGTTTTGTTTTTGGTAGCAAATGCTTCAGTCTATCCGGAGAAGATGTCCACTAGTACTAGAAGGTATTTGTACCTAGCCCAGTGTGGTTTTACTTCTGTAAAGTCAATTTCCCAGTTTTCTTCTGGCAAGTTTTCTCGGAGACGGTGGCCTGGGCTGGGTTTAGGACCTTGCTTGGCATTCACCTGGGTGCAGGTTGTGCACTGGAGAGCTGCTTGATCTGTTAGGCTTTGAAAATGGGGGATTCTTCTTTGTTTTTGATTGCCTTTCTTGCTGAGGTGAGTAGCCTGCATTCCTGGTAGATAGCGTCATGTACATGCACAGTAGCAAAGCCGTACCTGGTGTCAGTGTAAACGTTAATATGTTTATCCTTACCTCATCGGAGAGCCTGAGTGAGGGTGATCAATTCAGCTTTTTGCGCTGAGGTGTTTGCTGGTAAAGCCTGAGCCTACAACACATCTGTCTCTGTGGTAACAGTTGCACTCGCCTTTCGTACTCCTTGCTCGAGAAAGCTGCTACCATCTGTGAACACAGTGGCATCCACCTTCTCTAGGGGTACATCTTGAAGGTTGGGTCAGCCAGTTTCGGTGGTTTCTAACAGTTCTTGACAGTCATGGATAGTAGCTGGATTTAAACACCTTGTGGGAGAGAAAGTCAAAGGAGGCTGATCTAACAGTAAACTCTGATACTGCCAGGATGCGAGCATTTGACATCCATTCACCAGAAGCACTTTGAAGTAAAGTCTCTACAGCATGAGGAGCCGTAAGGGTTAAATTTTGGCCTAGAGTCAACTTATCAGCCTCTTGGACTAGGCTTGCTGCAGCCGCTACAGCTCGCAGACAACTTGGCCATCCAGAGGCCACAGGATCCAGTCTCTTAGATAAATAGGCCACTGGGCAACTCTAGGGTCTTAAAGTCTGGAGTCTCGAGCCTTTTTAGCAACTCCTTGGCTTTCGTGGACAAACAGGTGAAACGGCTTTGAGATATTAGGGAGGGCTAAAGCAGGGGCTTCAGTTAATGCCTTTTTCAGGTTTTGAAAAGTCTGTTCTTCTGTGTCTGTCCAAATTAACGGGCCATTTCATCCTGCACCTCTTGGATAGCCACCATTTAGATTTTTTTTTGTCTTTTGAATGCTTTATCAGCGGCCTTTTCAGCTGCCTGTGTTGCTTGTTTCTGTTTTTTTTAAGAAAACTTTCGATTGTCAGAAACCTTTTGGGCTATTTCTAAAAGCTGACTGATATTCATTCCAGCAAATCCTTCTAGTTTTTGGAGTTTTCTTTTAATATCTGGGGCTTCCTGAGCCACAAATGCCAAATTAAGAGCACGGCTATTTTCGGGGGCTCCCAGGTCAAAAGGGGTGTAAATCCGATAAGCCTCCTGGAGGCGCTCTAAAAAACACTCCTGGTGACTCATCGGGCCCTTGGACAACTTCGGTCATCTTAGACAAGTTTATGGGTTTCCAAGTGGCTCCCTTAATACCCATGAGGAGATACTGGTGAAAATCATCTAAAGCTCTCCTTCCACTTAAGGAATTTGGGTCTCAGGCCAGGTGGAGGGAAAGACCTCCTCAAGGAGGTCTCTAGCTTCCTCCTCCAGTCTATTGGCTGATGTGAGGAAGTACTTTTTGGCCTCTCTTCGGATACATTTCCTCTCTTCAGAGGTGAAAAGGGTTGAAAGGAGCTGTTGGCAATCATCCTAGGTGGGCCAGTGAGTCCGGAGTACGGACTCCATCAGAAAGGTCAAAACCTGGGGCTTTTCAGAGAAGGGAGGATTATGGGTTTTCCAATTATACAAGTCAGAAGTAGAAAAAAGGGACATAAACTAAGAAGGGGGCTGAGCGCTCGTCACCTGGAGGGACTTGTGCCTCTCTCAGTGGTAGTAGAGGGGCTATTTCCTCTACAGTCAAGAGGCAATGGGTGGCGAGCCCACAGGGGGTGTCATCGAGGAGACATGGGGTGACCCTAAGGGAACAGGCTGGTTGTAAGGTGGTGGGACTGGGTGAGGGAGACTCTTCTCGTCTTCAGAGGGAGGCAGTACAGGGGGAGCGAGCCGGCTGAGGGTAGAGGTGAAAACGCGGCCTGGCTCAGGAGGACTTTGGAGGTAGAATTATGAATGACACATGAGCAGAGCCATGGAGGGGGCCTTCTGACCAAACTCAACCATTGATTAATGTAGGGAAACTGATCAGGGTGGCCGGGAGTTGCAGTAACAACCCGCCACACAGCTTGAACTATTGTAGGATTCAATGACCCTTCAGGGGGCCACCTAACTCCTAACTTTGGCCATTCTATCCCGCAGAGTGTCTGGAGCTTGCCTTTTTTAAGGTGGACTTCATAATTCTCTGAAAAACCGAGAGAAAAATTCTGTAGCATACATTGGAGAGGGCTCCAACTCTTACAAGGCTGGGAGGAAGTGTTTCCTATTTTTATTATTATTATTTTTTAAAAGGCAATTTAACAGAATTTGAGCAGAGATATTAGATCCAACATGGACAGAAAAACTCACTCCCTGGGGGGCTGGAGTATTGGAAAAACAGAATTAACCAGAAAGAACAGAAAAACTACAACAGCTAATACCACTTACCACATTACTGTAGCTTTAAGATTGAGGGAGGAGGACTAGAGGCCAGCCCAAGATCTCCTGGGTCAGTTGTATCTAGGCGTTTTCCCTTCTCATTTTCCTTCTAGACCTGTACTCTAAATACCTTTGATGTCTCCACAACTCAAAGGCAAATAGCTCAAATTCAGCTTTTTTTTTTTAAGGGTTCAAGGAGTGAGAGCACAGCCAAGTCTTGGAGACGCTGAACTTGCTGTCACACCAGAAAATGAGATGTGTGGGGTAGGGGGCAGGGGCGAGGAGGAAAAGGACTACTTGGATCATCCTTAAGATGAGAGAGTAGCCACGGAGGAACAGAGTAGGAATCTAAATGAAGTAAAGCAGTATGGGTGTAAGTTTCCTTACACAGTGTTCTATTTAAGGGCACAGGAAAATTACAGAATGACAAAAGAGGTGAGCAAGGAAATCTGCAGGGTGGCTGTTTTGAACCTACCACCGGTTTAGTTTAGAGGAGGTCCAATCACTTGGATGTGGGGTATGACAATCTAAACACCTACAACCTTCATGGTGCCAGAAATCCTAATCAGGTGTATGTTTTTCACACTCGTTCTTGTAACAACACCTGACTTGCCTCTGGCAGAAATGACAGGACTGTGGTGACCAGCCTAAATGACTGATGAGAAATTTAACCTCTTGTGACAAAAAAATCAGCACTAAGGACCTTGAAGAAGTTTTTACCTAGACATCTTGGGCAGTACCAACGTCTTGACATGCAAAACCTTAACAACCACTAAACAAGACAATAGACACCGAACAAAACAATAAACATAAAACAAACAATTGACCCTAGGGCATCTAAACAGTTATAACAGTTTTCCTGTTTATTTTTTATTAGACAGACAAGGGGAAGGGGTCCCATGATGGGATCATTCAGATGCCCACCTGGCCGCTCCCCCTGAGGGGACTTGGGCTCCTCTTAGCATTGGCAGGCCAGTATAAACCCCCGGCTCAGATCAAGCTATGCCCGATGCTGCCTTAAGCCTTATGAGGTCGCCACGGAACTGCAGGTGACGGCCCATTCGAACTCCGTAGCTTTCACTGTGGAGCTACAAACTGGAGGATAAGTGCAAGCCCTTGTCCTCCCCCATCCACACACCATTCACACAGAATTTATAACAGTTTTTTTTTTCTTTCCCGGAGATTCTCCAAGAAACCTGAACAAAAGAAGGATGAGAGATAGAAAAAGGGAGAGAAAGAGAGAGAGACCAGTCTGCCAGAAACTAAGGCTCAGTTCCCCAGCGTTCTGGGACGTGAACTAAATCAAGGGAGGGCCCCTGTCAGGACCACTTCCCACCCAAACCAAAACACAAAGGCACCTACCAGAAAACCAAGGCTCAAACCTCTAGCGTCCTAGAGTAAGGGGCTGAGTCAAAAGAGGGATGCCCTCATCAGGGCCGCTTCCCTCTTACCAGAATCGAAGTCAAATCTGACATACCTGACCCTGGGGTCAGAAGCTGAGGACTCAGATGTTGAATTTTAGGGCACCCACACCGTAGTCAATCCGCTCTCCTCCGGAAGACGGTCACTCTTCGGGGACCTGAAAATTCTTAGGTGGCGCTCCCCCTCCGAGCCAGCCGTCCTTCCGGGGGAGCCTGGAGCAAGACCGGCTCTTGCCCGGTGGCATTAATATCTCACTGGGGCCCCCAAATGTTGTACTTGAGTGAGTTAGAGAAAACGCCACACTTTGAGATGAATTGAGAGACCATTTAGCCGGCGGCCAAGAGACAGCTAATGCTCAAAATTCTCTCGGCCCCGAAGAAGGGGCTAGATTTTCTTTTATACTTTGGTTTAGAAAGGGGAGGGGGTCTAGTTAAAACAATTTTACAGAAATAAAGTACGCAAAAAGTTAAAAGGATAAATGGTTACAGGAAAGTAAACAGTTCCAGGTGCAGGGACTTTAAGACTATTACAAGGTGATAGACTCAGGGCTTTGGGTGTTATCAATTAGACGAATTCTTGGGAATTGCGGATACAGCTTGCCACAGTGTCTTATCAGTTAATTGCATTCTTAGATGTGCTAGGAGTCAGCTTGCACAAGTTAAGTCCTTGAGGAAGGGGCTGCCAGTGAAAGAGCCAAGATGGAGTCTGTCTGGCTCTCTTAGCTAAGGGAGAGTTAATTCAGGTGGAAACAAGGCTAGATGATTAAAGGAAAAGGGAGAGTCTAAAAACAGGGTTAGTAAAAACAAGGTTGGGCATTACAGTTTTAGTCCACCCAGTAGCTCTCAGGAGTTGCAGTCTCATGCTTGCACCTTTCTCAGGCTGCAGTTGCTTGTTAGAGACCCTACAGTAATGTGGTCTCTGGAGCTGCCCACTTTGACCACTCCACTGAGCATTGCCCTAGTGCAGGCTTTCTGTATTGACTTTGCTCCTGTGACAAGTCTCTCCCTGGGCCCCCAGGTTTTCTATGACATCCTTTGAAATCTACATGGAAGCTTCCATGGCTCCACAGCTCATTTGCTCTGCACATCTGAAGACTAAGCACCATTTGGATGTCACCAGTGCTTACCACTCGTGCCCTCTGGAGTTGCAGCATGAGTTGCACTTGGGCCTGCTCGAGCCATGGTTGAGGTAGCCAAGGAGTACTTCAGTGAGGTATGGGGACTAGAGAATTGTTACAAACAAATTTTCGGTGCCACAAACGAAATAGCACTTGAACATAAATTTAATTTTCTCAGCAAGGCAATTTTACTTCTATAGAAGGGTGTGACTCGTGGATAGAGCAATGACAAGAGCACACCTGAACAAGGGAGGGGAAGAGGTTCTTATTCCTGACGCAGATAGCCCCTACTGCTGTGTCGTTCCCCTATTGGCTAGGGTTGGACCGCACAGTCTAAGCTAATTCTGATTGGCTATTTTAAAGAAAGCAAGGGTACGAGCTGGAGTGGTGGGGTGAGTAGTTTGGTGGGAAGGATGGTTACAGAACAGGTGACTCAGGATGATTCAGGTCAGAGCAGATGACCAGGCGAACAGATGTGAACTACTGATTAGAACTGGCAGGAAAGTTGTTTACTGAAATTAGAGGCAAGGGGGTGAAGAGAACCAGGAAGTTAAACTTTAAAATGGAGAACAAAGAATAAGAGAGCTGAACATACTAACATACTGATTCTTTGAAGAGAAACATGGAGTTCCTTATATTTAACAGAACCAAGACAGCCCTGAGCAGTGAGCTTGTGGAGTGTTGTTTGGATCCATCTTCCAAAAACATTTGGTGCTCCTGGAACTCTGGGCCTGGGATGGGAGGGGAAGCCTCAAAGCTCTCTGAAATGCCTTCAAGGCCATTCTCCCATTGTCTTGATGAACAGTACCTGGCTCCCTTGTATTTTTACTAATCTCCTTAGTAAACCACTGCTTGGCTACACTTTTGGTTTGTTCTCCTAAACATACCTTTTTACTCTTTATATGGCTACTCTGTGAAATCTCCACATTTTTCCATTCTGTTTCTCTTTTAATTATAAATTCCATTTTAAGTCATTTCTATCCTCTTGTATCTTACTATAAGTGGTTAAAACTAATCATGCAGTTCCTTCAATATTTTGCATAGAAATTCCTTCTGCTAGATATCCTCATTCATTATGCTTAAATTCTGCCTTCCCTAAAGCTCAAGGGCATGGACACAACTCTGCCAAGTTCTCTGCAACTGTGTAATAAGAATGGCCTTCACCCCAGTTTTCAACATCTTGTTTTTCATTTATATCTACAACTCATCAGAATTGCCTTTACTGTGTATCTTTCTACCAATGCTCTGATCACAGTCACTTAAGTAATTTCTAAGAAATCTCAGACTTCCTTATAGCTATTCTCTTCTGGGTCCTCACCAGAATCACCCTTAATTTTCCACTGATGGCAATCTAGCCTTTTTCTAGCTTGCTTCTCCAAACTCTTCCAGCCTCTACCCATGACCCAGTTCCAAAGCTGCTTCCACATTTTCATGTATCAATTTTCTGTCTTAGTCTGTTTGGTATTTCAATAAAATAATACCACAGACTGGGTAATATATAAAGAACAGAGATTTATTTCTAAAATTCTGGAGGTGGTGAAGTCCAAGAAGGTGGAAGGTGGGGCTGGCACCTTGTGAGAGCCTTCCTGCTCCATCATATGGTAGTGGAAGGCATCACATGGTAAGAATGTGTAAGAGAGAGGGGGAGGAAGGAGATCAGATGCATCCTTTTATCAGGAATCCACTCCCACAATAACTAACCTACTCCTGAGATAAAGGTGTTAATTCATACATAAGGGCAGAGCCCTCATGACCTAATCACCTCTTAAAGGTCCAACCTGTCAACACCATCGCACTGATGATTAAGTTTCCAGCACATGAACTTTGGTGAACACATTGAAACCACAGCAAATGTATTCCTCACACTTCAGAGGAAGCTCTTCAGTGCAATCCTGGATCTGACTCTTCCTTGATTCTCTCAAAATGGCTAGCATATACCTTGTTTATTGTAATTACTTATGGTGTTTCTGTAGTAAATGATCTTGCATAAAATAAAACAATTTAGTATAATTCAGCAAGAAAAAAACAAAGAAAGCATCCTTTTATAATATGCCAAAACGGAAGAGCTTTCATGAGTTAAATAAATCATAAATGCTCATTTTAGTTTTAGAATCGCTAACGCATAAGAAAGGCAATGATAGTATTTTTTTTTTGTAACTAGACACTCATTTCCATGCATTTTGGTTTCATCCACATAAAAGAAATACTCATACTAAGTCGAGATAAAGGTAAACAGTTAAATTCTAAAGGACAGTTTAATTTTTCAGACTTGGGAGCACAATTGGACTATCCAGAAACTTACCTGCATTCTGCTTCTATTAACAAAATTTCTGAAGAATCTGGAATTATTGCTTCTCTGAAATACCTGTATTTGAGGAAATCAGGGTGGGAAAACCATTTCAAGTGTTATACCTATGTTTAGCATACTAAAAGGGCAGACCAGAATTTTCAGGAATGATCCTGCAGCCAGTATTTTTTCCTTTCCCATGAGAAGACTATTGCTGCATTTACCTTCTCATTATCTAAGGACCTTCTACACATTCTCTTCAGGTTTGCAAGGTTTAGCTTTCCTCAGACTTAAGAAACACTTTAATTTATGGGGGTTGATCTAACTACAACAAAACAAGTTATATCTTAAAGAATTAATATATCAGTATGTTTGGTACATACCTCCCAGAGGATCAAAATGTTGACACACTGTTAACTGATTTATCTATTAGAGTAAAAATAAAGAAGGTGGTTATGAAGTACTCAAATTAAATTTAAAGAACATAACACATAACTTAATATTTACATTTAGGATATTTAAAGTAATTGATCCATTGTCAACATCTTTGATTTTTTTCTGTCACTTGTCTTGTATATCATAGTAGTCTAAAATTAAATTTTATTTTACTTCACCATGGAAACAGGCAAATGAAAAATTATTATTACAGTCTATAAGGTGTTTTGTCTTGTCTCTATTGTTAACATACTCAATAATTTGGTTAACAAAAAATTTAAAGTACATATTATAAATATTTTTGAAATTCAGATAATATCTATACTATCATTTGAATATTTTAATATAGTTTTTACCCAAATGCTAAAAGGTTTTGTTATATTTATATCATAATTTATGACAAGTTTATAATTAAGCATTGAAAATGTAAACAACCTTTTCAAGAAGTTACATATATACTATTTTATTTTTAAAGTATTACAAAATAAAATGTGGCCAATGATTACAGACAACTAAATTGTCAAAGTTAATTATTCAAGAGACAATATCACAGGAAATTAAATCAGAATTGAAATCATAAACTTTGATTTAATTGTATTCAATGTAGTACAGAATAAGAGACATTTTCCCAAAATTAGTGTTTATATTTTACATTTTCATACCAGGTTTCTAACGCACAAGCAATAGATGAAGTGAGGATTCTCAAGGTTAATGTAAGTTATATTCTCAAAATACAATTTCCTATTTTAAAAGTAGGCATTTATTTATTTTTATTTATTTTATTTTATTTTTGAGACAGAGTCTAGCTCTGTCACCCAGGTTGGAGTGCAGTGGCGCGATCTTGACTCACTGCAACCTCTGTTTCCCGGGTTCACACCATTCTCCTGCCTCAGCCTCTTGAGTAGTTGGGACTACAGGTGCCCACCACCACGCCTGGCTAATTTTTTGTATTTTTAGTAGAGACGGGGTTTCACCGTGTTAGCCAGGATGGTCTCTATCTCCTGACCTCATGATCCGCCCGCCTCAGCCTCCCAAAGTGCTAGGATTACAGGCGTGAGCCACTGCATCTGGCCAAAAGTAGGCATTTGTTTTTAAATGAGATTCCTAGGAAATAAATTTGTATGTAACAATATTATAATATGTAAAGTGTAAGTTTACTATCTCTATCAAAAATAAAAATTTAAATATAAATAAAATATAAAAATCTTAATGTTAAAGTCACAGTATTTTAATCCACAGTCAAAATTTTTTATAACAAGTTATATTCTGGAACGATCTAAATTCATGTTGTTATGGATCAAGTAAGTTGAGAAACACATTGCCATACCTGATGCAAATACTCTAATCCAAGTGGACAGCTGGTTATTGTCTCTGGTGTAGACAACCAGGGTCGTAGGTCATAAATAGCCATAAACTGGATTATGTAAGTGCTTTAGAGTATGACAAATTGAAAATATTTAGCCTTTTATGTTTAACATCTAACATTATCAAAACATATTAGCTTGGTTAGAGACAGGAATATACAACTACAGTTTTAGCTTTTCTACATTTAATGGTGTAAACATGATTCATCTTTTATTTTGTAAATTGTTTTTAATATATGTGGTTTTATATATGAAGTCTGTCTCTTATCAAATACCAAAAAGGAATTTTAGGAGTACAAGTACTAGTTAATACAGTCATGATAAACTGAGTGCAAATTGATATTCCCATGTGACTTTAATCTATTTAAACACAATTAAATCTTTATGTTTCAGAATCATTTGAAATGGCTGGATTTTACCTACACCAATCTTGAAGAATGAGCATTGGTAAACATGGCAACATTTTGTCCCAAGTAAAGACAAGATAAATCATCTTAAAATGAGGTTTGAGTAGATCTCTGTCTCCAGCACCATGATTCTAACAAAATTAGAATGCATCTCTATGGAGCCAAATTTTCTAATTGGCCCTAATTAGGATTTTGTTATTCTCTGTGTTTTCCTTAGGTTGCTCAGAATAAAACTTATAAAATAAATCCATCTACAAACCCTGTTTCCAGCTCAAAATTTAAGAGGAGGATTCTAACAGTGCCTACAAATACATTGAAAATATTGCAGAACTTACATTATTTTGTGGCAAATATTGTGTGAACTACTCTCAAATAGATACAAGAAAAAATTTGAACTTGTAACTAAGAGGCCACAACATGTAGACAAGAGACAAATATTAATAATGACAAAGAAGAAACATACTTTGAAAAATGTTTACTGCCAAAAACAAGAGTAAATTTTAAATAGCAGGTTTGCATTCCAAAGATATTGACTATGAAATAAGAGATGAGGTAAAGAGAAGTAAAGAAAGAATCCTAGCAGAAGAGAGGATGATACAAACTTAAGTTACTATTATTATTATTTTAGATGGGTCAGTTAACAACTGTATGTTTAAATTTATGAGAAACTGCTAAATGTTTTCCAAAGTGGCTACTCCATTTTACAAGTTCTAATGTTCAAAAGGAAAGCTGGCTGACTTTAGTTAGCAACATGTATTGTATATTTCAAAGTAGTTAGAAGAGAGGATTTGAAATATTTTCTACATGAAGAAATGATAAATATTCAGGGTGATGGATAATTCCAAATACCCTGGACTTTATCATTACCCATTTTCTGCATTTAACAAATACTCACATGTAGCACCTAAATACATAAAATATTAAGTATCAATTAAAAAAATCAACACAAATGTACTGCTTTACAATTTCTGGTGGTCAGAAGTTTGCAATGGGTCCTCAGGGTTGCCTTTGTGCTGGAGGCTGTAGGAATTATATTTTTCTTTCTCTTTTCTAGTTTTACCTTCTGATCTTGTATTCTCTCATTAGGAGGCTTGTAATTACATTTGATCCACTCAGATAACACAGGATAATTTGACTTGTGTTAAAAGATCTAAAGATCCTTAATGCAATTATGTTTGAAAAATACCTTTTTTCATCTAGGTAATATATCTACTGGCTTTCTGGATTATGATATAGGTATGTTGGGGAACCATTGTTCTGTCTACAATATTTCTTTCTTGGTTCCCCTAAAGGACTAGCTATCTCACATGCAAAGTATATAAACCCCATATCAAATCTCCAAAATCTCAACACATTACAGTATCTACTTAAGTCCAAAATCTCAAATAAACCTCATCAGCTGAAACATCCAAAATCTCACCATGTAAATCTTGCATCGGTTGTGACTGTGGGTATGATCCATTATGGGTAAAAATTTCTCTTCAAACTTAGATTTGTAAAACAAGAAAACATGTTACTCTTTTCATAACACAATGTAGGACAGGCATAGTTTCCCTGTTAGAGGCATTTCTGTTCAAAGAGGGAGAATATAGAATGAAAAAAGGAATCATTAATCCAAATAATTTTGAAATCCAGCATGTGAGGCTCTACTAGGTTTTGAGGACTTGAAATAATCCTCTGTGGCTGTCAGTTTCACCTTCTGGCTTCAGGATTCTGCCCTCTTGTCCTGCAGCTCTGCCCTCAGAATCATTCTTCATTTTTCTTAAGGGGAAGCATGTGTTTTCAGCTGAGTAATGTTATTAGGCAGTTTTCATTTGCAATTCTAGTGAATTTCTTTTATTTCTTCCTTTCCCTGTCATTTGCTCCTCCATTGATATTTCCTTGATAATGCCAACTTCATTCCTGGTTTCTGCTTAGAACCAAAAATCACACACCTAAACTCTTCAAAGAGTCCTTTGTGTGATTGAATACTCTGAAATGTTGCTGCTTCAGAAGCATTAGCAAAAGGTTGTCCAGCCATTCCCTTTGCCTTCTCTCCAGAGCACAATTTCCTGACATTGAATGTGCTCATTTTAGTGTCTTGTGCAATCTGGATAAGATGAAAATCTTCTAAATCATCAAGTCCTGATTCCTTTTTCTTAAAATTCTCTCAAGATTTTTTTTCTCTCTCTCTTCTTTTTTATCTCCCACATTGTGCTATAAGCAAAAGGAAGAAACCAAACCACAATTTCAATACTTTGCTTGGAATCCCAACTAAAAATCAAATTTATCTTTCAAAATAACATTATGACACAGTTCAGCTAAGCATTCTATCATTATATAAAAAGAATACAGTTTCTTCATGTTTCCTATAACTTCCTTCTGAGCTCTCACATACAGTACTGTTAATAACAATATTTCCACTAACAGTCTTGTAAAGTAATCCAGGAATTTTCTATTATGCTCCTCAAAGTTCTTCCAGCTTAAACCCATTACACAATTCCAAAGCCACTTATGTATTTTTAGGTACTTGCTACAGCAAACAATGTCCCACTTCCACGTACCAAAACCTGTATTAATTTCCTGTTGCTGCTATAACACATCACTACATACTTAGTGGCTTAAAACAACACATGTATGATATTACAGTTATGAAGTTAAGAAATCAAACTTGAATCGGCAGGACTCTATTCTTTCTAGGGGCTCTAAGGAAACAAAAAATATGTTTTGTTTCAGGTTTTGTTTTGTTTTGTTTTCTGGCCTTATCCATGTTCCAGAGGCTGCCTGTATCCCTTGGTTTGTGGCCTCCTTCCTCCATCTTCACAATCAGCAGTATAGCGTCTCCTTCCCTCTTTTACTTTCTGCCTTTGTCCTATAAGGTCACCTGTGATTATATCGAGGCCTCATAGACAATACAAGATAATTTCTCCATATTTGGAGCCCTTAACTTAATCACATATGTGCAGTAACTTTTGCTGTTTAGGACAACGTAATTATAGGTTTGGGGGATTGTGATTTGCACATCCTTGGGGGCCATTATTCTATCAATCACATTATGGCTACTGTAACTTCAAGGTAGTTGAATTCCAAGACTTCTGTGATGCTGAGGAGAAGGTGATGGAAATAAGGTAAATCAAAATGTCACAAAGCTCACTCTTCTTACTGAGATTTTCCCATTTTTCTTGAATAAATGCTCTTCAGATTGTTGCAAGCCTTTGGTTAATTTTCCAAGTTCTGAAGATTGATGTTGACAAGTTTTACCAGTATTCTGATTGCTTTTATAGAGGAGTAGATTTTCAGACACCCTCACTCTAAATTTGTGTAAAATAATCAACATATGTAGGGAGACTATTACTAGGAAACAAATCAAAATATAGCATCTATGTGCACTGGTAAATACACAAATATATAAATGACAAATACACTTCTAAAAAATTCCAATTACCTACTTATTAATTTTTCTATATTTTCAATAAATATATTGGTTTTATACAGTGTAATATTGTATATATAGTTGTATATGTACATATAAATATATGTGTTTTTAATGTTTGCTAAGTAACGCTGTGTTGATTTTTTTAACACTTGTAACCAAGCAAAAAGATATAAAGCAATCATGCTGAATAAATTGGTTGTCTTTCAATTGTTTTCTCAAAGAATCTCAACTTTAAATTGTTGCTCTATTATTGATTATCTCTAGTTTAATAAAGCAATATATTGCTGCTGGTGAACATGAAATACAAACAATTTTTAAATATTGTCATGATATAAATACTTTCTATATTATAGATCTTCAAACAACAGTGATGACCACACAATTATATAAAATGGATAATTTACCTGAATCCTTAGAGAAAATAGGCGTATTGTATTATGCTTCAGCCCAATTATAGGTTTGTTAATTCTAGAATAAAATTCTGGCTGAATTCATGAAATCTCATACATACAAAAAAGATTCGTAGTTGGTTCAGTGTGGGACCTTATAGATTATTCCTAGTTCAAATCTCATCTCAGTTTAATAGATCAAAAAGATGAGCCTTAGAGATGTTGTGTGGTCACTTAGATTTATTAATGAAAGAGCTAAAAAGAGAACCCAGATATCCCAAAGAGAAACAGCAGAAGCAGCTGTGATGGGCCATGGAAGGAAAGTGGAGAGTATAGATGGAGAAAATGTATTAGGGCAGGACAAAAGAGGCTTGTACATATATATTTTACAGAAATGTTTAATCATAAATCAGAAGAAAGATGGGGTTGAAGACTTTTTTACTCTGCATCTATGTTGTTTATTTCTGTGTCACCTAGATACAAACATAAATGTCTGCCTCCTACTTTGTATACTGAAGATCTATGTGGGTCTCTCATATTTATAATATACTAAACCCAGAAACCTAGGCATATTCTACAAAAGAGAGCAGAATTTTATCTCATATTAGATCAGCAGCAATGAAGCATCAGAAAGGTTATAGATTCTTTAGCCTGAAGACTACTATTTCTTGGTGTGAGATATATAAAATCTCAATTAGATCAGCAATGAAAAGGACTATAGACATAAACAAAGGGCAGTTGTCAGTTATGGACATCAACATTTGAAACAGAATAGTTTCTGGAAACTACATGTGGAATGGCTATCTGACAGGTAAGTTGAAACGGTTTGGTCCTCTGTCTGGCCCACAACCCACTGTCTCTCAAAGTTGCTGTTAGGAAGAGTCTAAGATGGGGAGATCCAAGCCACCACAACAATAAACATTCCATTCAGAATTTTGAAGGTAATTAGTTCTATGAATACTCACATGTGTTTATAAGTCGTCTGCTTCTGAAAGTAGTGAATGGGTGTGACAACACAATTGGTAGGTTAGTGCAAATGGGGACCTTTGGGCCAAATCAGGCCAGAACAGGTGAGGGCTTAGCCAGAAAAATAGTTTGCGTATTTGTTTTTAATTTGAGAGACATTAGCTGAGCAGCACTTTCAGTGTCCTACCTTTGTTCATTCTTGGCTGTCTTTTAAGACATCTACAGCATCATGTATTTATCTTATTTGCCTGGCCCCAGCAGGCAGTTGAGTCATGAGCGATGGCTAACAGATTCAGTTCTGGTCAATATGAGTCATAAAACAAAGCTCTCAGAGACATACAAGTGCACAGATATAAGATATTGTCTTTAATCTTCTATTGGCATCAGGGTTACCTTTTTCTACCCATTCTGGCTGGCACCTCCATGAGGAGTTTCTCTGAGAGAACTTCATTCACATCATTCATGCCTAGAAGTCAGAGTGTGATCTGGTATGAGTAATATTAAACAAGAAAACAAACAGGAATCTGCAGGAATTGCTTGATAATTCAAGTCTCCAGGGTGATATTTTAGATTTTGAGTCACAGATTAAAAAACTGGCCCATGAACGTAGCTGATCCAAATCCCACACAAAGTGTTTTTGTGTTATTTTTGTCTTTTCTTTATTTCTTATTTATATAAATTGTAACTCCTTTTTCTCCACCCACCCAGCCTGCAGGTGGCTGAAATTCCTGGTAAATAGAGAGGACAGGGACAGCAACCTAATTGAAGACAGCTATGACTGGTGTTATCACAGTCATCAGAAAATAAACTTTCATCATTCCAGTTTCCGGGTTTCCCATTGATGGAACTGGTTATACATGGTTCCACTTAGCGGACCAAGTTGGAACAGCTATGCACTGCATAATTTATTAGCTACACTGGTTCTGACTTGAGCCAACAAGGGAAACAAGAAGACAGATTCTTAGTGAGCAAGCTGGTCAATGTACTTGACATGTTTCAAATTATTTATTCTCTTTGTTCATTTGTAGAACAAATTTCTCCCAAGACCTTCCTCCAATGGAACACAAATAAGTCTATATGTGGCTGTAACTCTAAATTACTCTTCACTTCAGTGCATATAATTCTCCAAACATTAACTCCCAAAACCTAGAAGCATAGGGGTAAACCTGGTATAATAATAGGTTTGTGATCTGTGAAATAAAGCAGGACACTGCCACAAATGAAGCCAAAAATAAAAATGGACCACCCTTTAGATAAATCAGAGGTCTATATTTCTTATAGTATTTATAATACTATGATATTATAACATTTTGCTTATTAGGATGTCGGCAGTGTGTATGGGCATCCCATTTGGAGGGTCTGTGGGAAAGAAGTTTGCATATATTCAGCTGTGACTGAGACCTAAGCCCAGATTGGCTAGACTCCCACTACATTCTTATGTCCTTACACTATTGTGGGCTCAAGAATGCAAACATTCTTGATTCTTTGGTTCTGTCTCTTTCCTCTCCTTGCAGTGCCTCTCTCTCTCTCTCTCTCTCTCTCTCTCTCTCTCTCTCTCTCTCTCTCCCTGGCTAGATTCTCACAAGAAACTTAATATTAACTCTACTTAGTTAACAATATTTTAACTTGGAAGTAAAATTGATAACCTTTTCTACTTCTATTCAATATCAGTTATTTCATTTGCCTCAATACTATCTATAACACATTACTTATTTAGGCTCCACTAATGTTAGGTATAACTGTAAAATAAAGATTATGCTACAAGTCACATAAAGTAGTCATTCATTTGGTCCACACAAAAAAATATTCAAGCTTCACCCTTAAAACATCTGCTTTCCATCATTTTTTTCTAGTAAAGAGCTTTAATATCCAATGACTTGTAAATATGATTTGTGCACCTTAAAATATTTTAGATAATGCTAATCAGGTACCCTTAAAATAGGTAGATTATCCTGCATTATTCAGGTGGACCAACGTAATTCCAAGCTTCCTTTAAATGTGGGAGAGGAAAGCAGAAGAATTGAAGTCAGAGAATGGAGATGTTACAGTGGAAACATTTGCTGGTTTTAAAGATGGAAGGAGGCCACAAGTCAAGAAACAGAGGTGGTCTCTAAAAGTTGAAAAGATAAGGAAACAGATTCTTCCCTAGTGCTTCCAGAAATAATGAAACTCTTCCAATAACTTGATGTTAACCCAATGTATTAATCTTCTCAGGCTGCCCAAATAAATTACCACAGACCAGAGAGCTTAAACACAGAAATTTATTTTCTCACAGATCTGGATGTTGGAAGTTCAAGATAATGGTATCCTAATGCAGATGATGGGTTGATGGGTGCAGCAAACCACCATGGCACGTGTATACCTATGTAACAAAACTGCACATTCTGCACGTGTATCCCAGAATTTAAAGTATTTAAAAAAAAAAAAAGATCAAGGTATCAGCATGGTAAGTTTCTGGTGAGAGCTCACTTCTTGATTTATACATGGCCACCTTCTCACTATGTCCTCCCTTGGTCTTTCCTTGGTGCTTGTGCCCAGAAAGTGACAGAGTTCTCTGGTGACTCTTCTTATGAAGACACTAACCCTTTGGGATCAGGGCCCCATCCTTCTGACCTCATTTAATCTTAATTACTTCCTTATAGGCTCCATCTCCAAATACAGTCACATTGCGGGTTTGGGCTTCAACATATGAATTTTTGGGGGACACCAACATTTAGTCCATCACACCAAGTAAGATTCATTTTAGACTTTTGACCTCAGAAATTATAAGACAATAAATTTGTTTTATTTAAAGCCATGAAGTTTGTGGTAGATGGTTATGCCAGCAATAAAATCCTAATATAAATCTTGGTACGGGAATCACAGCTTTTCTGCTGTTTTGCTTTTTATAGTTTCAGTTACCAGCATGGTCAACTGAGGTCCAAATATATTAAATGAAAAATTCCAGACATAAACAATTCATAAGTTTTAAATTGTATGGCAGTCTGAGTAGTGTGCGAAAATCTTGAGCTGTCCCTGTGGGATGTAAATTATCTCTTTGTCCAGCAGATCCACACTGTCTCCACCACCCTCCCGTAGGACATTTTCATTATCAGTTTGAGTGCACAGTGGTTGTGTTCAAATAACCCTATTTTACTTAATAAGGGCCCTAAAGTGCAAGAGTAGTGATGCTGGCAATACAGATATGATAAAGAGAAGACATAAAGTGCTTCCTTTAAGTGAACAGGTGAAAGTTCTCAACTTAATAAGGAAAGAAATAATATATATGGAACCTCAGTATATATATATATACTAAAAACAAATCTTCTATCCATGAAATTATAAGGAAGGAAAAATAAATTTGTGTTTGTTTCACTGCTGCACAACAAAATCTAAAAGTTACAGCCATAGTGCCTGATAAGTGCTTAGTTAAGATAGAAAAGACGTTAAATATGTTGCACCAGGAAGCACTGAAACTATGTGAAGACTCCAGCAAGGGATCCCCTGAAATGAATGACATCAAGTCATTTATTGCAAGTAAGAGGCTGTATCTGCCCATTAAGAAGCTGCTACCACATTTCTGGAAGAGTTAAAGAAGTTAAGGGGAAAGTATACCATCCAAACGTGGCACTTCTGGAAGAAGATGCCCAAAAGAAACTACATTCATAAAAGTGCAAAAAAGGTACCAGGACTTAAACCATGAAAGGACATATTAACTCTGGTACTATGTGGCAAGTCATATGTAGAGTTTGGTACTATCTACTATTTGGGGTTTCCACCATGGGTGTGGCTTCGGTTTCCTGCAGACAAGAGGGTGGCAACTGTATCTGGAAGTGGGGTGCTGCAGTTAACAAATATCTAAAAATGTGGAAGTAGCTTTGGAATTTGGCAATGGGCCAGGCTGAAAGGATTCTGGGGAGTATGATAGAAAAAGTATAGATGGCTTAAATAGCTGTTTCATATAAATATGATGTTAATGACTCTGCTAGTCAGTACTCAGAAGAAGTGAGGTTCATGAAAATAAAATAAGTACTATTTTAAATAATACATCATCATGAGCAGACTGATGATAGAAATATGGAGTTAAAGGCACTGAAGGGGTGTGGGCTCAGATAAAGATGAAGAACCTATTATTTGAAACTGGAGAAAAGTGGATTTTTGTTATATAATGGCAGAAAGATGAGCTAAATTTTGTGCTGCATTAAAGCCATCATTTTATTCTTTGTAAATTTACAAGTATCTTATTGAGTGCTGCTTTGAGACAATGTAAATACACTTTTACTCCTCAAACTTTCAACCACTGATTATAGAAACCATTTATGATTTCTTGCTAGAATGAAATTGTTGTCATAATGATTGCCAACTGAGAATTTTTTTGAATTCAATCATTTCTTCTACTTCTAATTAGCTTTTCTGCAAACAAAGGAACATTCTATTTTTTCTCTATTCCTCCCTCTCTGTTTCCCCCCTTTATTTTCCTTCCTTCCTCCCTCCCTCCTTCCCTCCTTCCTTCCCTCCCTCCTTCCCTCCCTCCTTCCCTCCCTCTCTCCCTCTCTCCCTCCTTCCTTCCTTCCTTCTTTTCTTCCTTCCTTCCTTCCTGCCTTCCTTCCCTCCTTCCCTCCTTCCTTCCATCAAAATCGTATATGAAAATGTCTGATTATTCTACCTATTGGACTGGTGGTGATTATTGCTTTCATTTTCAGACAAAGAACTTTAGAGGAAGTCAAGATAGGCATTCTCTTAACTGATCTTCACTTGCCCAAATTACTGGGTTGACTTTTTAAACTCTCTATAAAACCTACCCATGATCCCCAAATTACACTGAATGTGTGTGGCTAGTACATGAAATTTGTCCCTTTGATTTTCTAATTGTGAGGGTACATCTACCCTAACAAATTGAGTTCTACACCTACAAAGAGTGATTTGTATTTTTTCTTAAACCAGTTTATGCAAAACATATTCATTAATATTACGGAAAGCAGATAAATATTATTTAGTACTTTAATTAAAGATTAATTTAAAAATATTTTGTACAAGAACTAACCTGAAATCTTTGAAAACACTTATTAAAGCTAGTTGCTAAAGTTGATATGAAACACTAGAAAATGGTAGTAAAAATCTAGTATTCTGCACTAAATTACGTTTTTATGTGTCTTTAAATTCTGTTTCCATGTATACAAAAATAAAGTGTGTATCTTTATGGAAGAAAGACAAGGTAGAACAGCAGGTCCAAACTTGGCCTTTGGCCCTACATCCAAAGACTAGAAAATAAATAAATGATATAATAATAATAGTAGTAGTAAACTTCACCCTCAATTTATTTAAAAGAATGCATGCATTTTAAAAATACAATTCTCCACTTTTTATTGACATTTTATTTAAACAACTGCTAAACTCAATATCTTCACATAAATGGACTTTGACAACTTTGAGAACTTTCAAGATTTACAATACACATCAATTCACCCTGTAAATTTGAAAGATGGGTAATTCAACAATTTTAGGCCATATACCATGTATCCAGTTTTAGCATGTTCAAAAAGAACTTCTCTAACTGTAGAATCTATATTAGTTCCTAGAGAACAATCAGTCAAGCCATGGTGCTAAAGAAAAAGGTACAATTTCAGACAAGCCTGCCATCAGGATTCCTGGAGACTGAAAGAGAGCTACATGGAGGAGGAAACACTTGATTTGATCTTTCAGGAATGGTTGGAAAGTCTAGGAAAGGCTGTCCAGTCAAGAGAAAGAGCATGGATAAGATGGGTGAACTTCTTAACATGGCTAACAAGGCACTGCATTATCTAGCCTTCCTTCACATGCTGCACCTCCCTCCCTGCCCAGCACCGGCAATGCACACAAGAATACAAAGCTAATGGTCCAGCCACATTGCAGAGGACCGATGTGAACTCTGTCCAAGTTCTTTCCTCTGTCTAAAACTATATTCTCCCCAATTCTCTTGTGCTGAGCAAACTTTCTGTCTTAGTTTAAAAGTCACCACCCACAGGAAGAATTTCATTAAAATTGAGTTCAGCATTCCCAATACTTAGTTTCTATATACCTTGAACTCGATCATAACACTTTTCACATGTATGCCTGTACTTAAGCACCTTGAGGATAATAATTTTGTTCATTATTGAGGTCAATATACCTAACAAAACCAATAGCCCAGAGCAATATCTTTGTATGTATTTATTAATTGACTGATAATCAACTTTATCTCCTTTAAATCAATCAATTTTATATTTTTATATTGGTTTCCCCCTCAGTTCTCATGGAATAAATGCCACAAATGCATTTATATGAGTGACTATCTTTTTCACACACACACAAAAATTAGATTGCAAAACAAAGGATTTTGCAAACAAATGCACTTCTGCCTGTGATTAGCAACAATGGTGAGAAAATTCTGGCAGTACAATTTAAAAGAAATGTACTTAGCTTGTACGTGGTAGATCCAATTTACTCTGTAAAGGGTATCTGAAAGAGAATTTATCTGGATTATCTCTGAATTACTACTGTCTATTGGCAATATTTGATTAAAGTTGAAATGTTTCTTAGAAACTGATTCTCAAGAGAAAATGCAATTTTAGGAAGAAAGAAACTGATGTTTGTTTTCTACCTCTGCCAGACAGAAATAACCTCAATATATTAATGACAAGAGGCCAGAATCCACAAGCAGAAACAAATTGCCATTAGTAGGCAAGTAGATTTCAAGTATTGGTTTTCCAAATCTAGTTCATTTCCAAATTAGATAAATTTATAACCTGTCATTAATAGGATATTTTCAGCCACAGAATAATATTAGATTAAAATTTGACTTCAGTGCTTGGTTTGTGGGAATAGTAAGTTCAGAGCTCTGTGTATTGCTTATCATTCTATAGCCCTCCCACCTTGTAAATCCTGAGTTCAAACCCTATATTGTTCAGTTATGTTTCATCTGGTTTTAGGGTATGAGATTTTTACTCCCCTCAGACAATGGCTTCTGCATTTTGATGCTATGAGGCTAAGAAAAAACAGTCTCTAGCCCAGATGCTAGTCTACACTTCTGTGAGATGAGAATCATTCCTTAGTTTGGCATCTTGCATAAAGACTTATTTTCTGTTCTGAGAGGATAATCAATATTCATCATGGGGTTCAGAATGGTTTTATATGCCATTAAAAGTTGCAAAACAGAAATTTAATGTAGCCCAAATATTCCACATTGGCTTTGAGCCACCTCCCTGTGTTTTAAAAACTGTTGATCTTTACCAACACACAGTCCTTTTTTCTATGTTTGTTCTACTGCAGGAACCTTCTCATGTCCCTGGACCCGCATTAGATCACTAAATCTTCACACTGACCTTATGAGGTAGTGTATTAATCCATTTTGCATTGCTTTAAAAGAATACCTGAGGCCGAGTAATTTATAAAGAAAAGAGGTTTATTTGGCTCATGGTTCTGCAGGCTGCACATGAAGCATAGTGCCAGCATCTGCTTCTGGTGAGGCCTCAGGAAGTTTACAATCAAGATGAAAGGTGAAGGGGACCAGCATGTCACATGGAAAAGGAGAGGGCAAGAGTTTAGAGGGCTCAGAAGAAGACAAGAAGACAAGGGAAAGTTTGGAACTCTTTAGGGACTTGCTCAGTGGCTGTGACCAAAATGCTGATGGAAATGCAAACAGCGAAGGTCGGGCTGACAAGGTCTCAGAAGGAAATGAGGAATTTATTGGGAACTGGAGCAAAGGTCACCCTTGTTATGCCTTAGAAAAAAGAACTTAGCTGCATTGTGTCCATGACCCTGGACTTTGTGGAAGGTTGAACTTAAGAGTGATGACTGAGGGTATCTAGTGGAAGAAATTTCTAAGCAGCAAAGCATTCAAGATTTACCCTGGCTGCTTCTAACAGCCTACACAGATGTGGGAGAAAAGAAATAACTTAAAATTGGAATTTATTTATTTATTTTTTTTTTGAGATGGAGTCTCGCTCTTTCACACAGGCTGGAGTGCAGTGGCATGATCTCGGCTCACTGCCAGCTCCACCTCCTGGGTTCATGCCATTCTCCTGCCTCAGCCTCCCGAGTAGCTGGGACTATAGGCGCCCGCCACCACACCCAGCTAATTTTTTGTATTTTTAGTAGAGATAGGGTTTCACCGTGTTAGCCAGGATGGTCTCGATCTCCTGACCGTGTGATCCGCCCACCTTGGCCTCCCAAAGTGCTGGGATTACAGTCAAGGATGTTTGACTTCCAGGGAAGGGGTGGGAGCAAAGAGGGGTGAGAGAAGGAAGGGCTGTGTAAAGGAGACACTTTCTGTCCTAGGATAATTAAAGAGACAATACTCAAAGCAGTTTCCCCCCACTAAATTCCGCGCCTGGCTGGAATTTATATTTAAAAGGGAGGCAAAGTATAAAAATTTGAAGCATAGCCATGTAGAAAGAAGGAAAAAGCATTTTCAGAAGATGAATAAAAGAGGGCTGTAGAGCCACCACTTGCTAGAGAGATTAGCATGACTAAATGGAAGCCAAAGAAACCTTTTTTTCTTTATAAATTACCCAGCCTCAGGTATTTTTTGTAGCAACACAAACAGACTAATACAGGTAGATACTACTATCAATGACAACTATACTATTGAAAATTGAGGAAAATTAAGGCACAGGGAGAAACACAGGGCTTGAAAGAGATAGGGCCAGGTGCAGGAAGGTTCTAGGAAAGTCAGGAAGCCATTGTATGGTGGGTAATAACAAGGGCAGGAGTAGGGCAGGACTTGGAGAGAACTTCTGTGCACTCTTCTGGCACTTCACAGCATCAGTAGCACTTAATTGTGCCCAGAGACATTTTA
Source organism: Homo sapiens (assembly GCF_000001405.40). Classification (NCBI taxonomy): domain Eukaryota; kingdom Metazoa; phylum Chordata; class Mammalia; order Primates; family Hominidae; genus Homo; species Homo sapiens. Next base: position 146,430,512 of record NC_000003.12, read on the forward strand.
AATCATTCTGTCCTTAAATGATAGCAGCAATTCTCTATTGAGTTTTTTCTGATTACACTAATGTTACAGTAGCTCCTTTTGAGCCCAAACTCAGCTAAAACTTTAATACCTAAGCTGTAGAGAGATGTTAATTAACTTGATGCCAGGAGTCCACACAGTGATTTTCTGCAATTTAACTGCCTGTGTGTTCTTTTTTGTTCCTATCCTCAGTCTGGTCTCCAGTCTACACTTTCACTTCCCCCCACCCCCAAGTCTCCTCCAAGAGGTATGCAGGTCCAGGCAGTCACATCTCTTAGCCTTGTTCTTTCCCTCCCTCTTTATTCTCCCCCTTCCCCACTGATCCATGTGCCCAGAAATTCCTTCCCAATACAAAACACAGCTCCATCCCCCAGCCATCACAACTCTTCCTCCTCAATGTTACTCCAAGTCAGGGATACCTACTGACCTTCCATGCACTGTTACAACCACCCCACAGTGACACAGGTCCTAGCATGAGGCAAGCACCCAAACTTCTCCTCTCCTGGGTGTTAGGCCCTCATGGAGCAGGAAAAGAAACTTCTCACTCATTGCCTTCCCCCTCAGGCCAAGGATGCTTGACTTCCGGGGAAAGGGTGGGAGCAAAGAAGGGTTAGAGAAGGAAGGGCTGTGTAAAGGAGACACTTTCTGTCCTAGGATAATAGTAGAGACAATACTCTAAGCAGTTTCCCCTCACTAAGCCACTTAAGGCAAGGGGCCATGAAAAGGAACTTTCTCAGAACTTTTTTATTCTAGTATGTTTCTATCCAAAATCATTAGATCTGTCTTCTTGTTCATTATCTTTTGCCTGAAAGTTTTATCAACTCACTCTTCTCCATCCCACAACTCCCTTCACATAAACATACCCAGACACAACTCAGATTTTTAGCCAGCACTGGCCTCTTAGTGAATGCTTGCTGCATGATGACATGATTAAAGCAGCAAGTTGGCCAAGACCCTACAGTTTCTGACTTCAGGATTACATTGAGTTGGAGTGTGCCTGCTTAAGAGGGAGGCTTAAACCAAAACATCAGGGAATATTCTGTTCCCCATCTCCCACCACTAACTAACTAACAATAATTGAGTGGAAAGAACAGTGAATTACAGGTAAGAATACCACAAGATACAGATTATCTCCAAGGAGCAAACATGTGGTAAAACCCTCTGGCAAAGTAGCCTACATCTTGAACAAAAGTTATCACTAAAAGAATACGAAGACTGGGGTGCAACAAAGGTAACTATACAACATACTTGAAACTAAGCCAAGCTATGAACTGCGTAAACACAATTCACAGGCCAAAAGGTTTACCACAAGGACAGGCAAGCTCATCAAGCATTAAAAAAAAAAAAAAGACTTTATTATCTTCTTTCCTGTACACATCAAGATCTATGTGATGCTGTGTCTTAGTGCATCCTATTAGGTGGTACTTGATTTTCTTTTATCCCATTACTGATGATGTTTATTTTAATTATTTTACTTTAAATTTTCTTTAATGGAGTTGGCTGCTAGACATTCTCTAAAATGTTACTCATTTTCCCTCTGAAATTAAAATAATTTGAGGGAAAATAAATTGAAACTGTGTATATCATGGTCTTCATCAAACCTTTAATTAATTTATTTACTTATAAGAATATCTGTATGAACTTACCGTGTCCAATTTTATTCAGGAAGTAATAATATCCTTAATTTTGTTGGGGAGAACCCTTTCAAGTTCCTTCCTTTATCCTTTTGCCATGTCAGCATCATTACTTGAGCACCTCCTTGAGTTTCCACAAGTTGTACAAAGCTTATCTTACACCTTTCCCTACCAAAATCCTGGGATCAACCATTCTCAAAACAAGCCCAGTTGATTTGAGTGGAAAATAGTATCTAGAAACCAAGATTTAGGACTTGGTGGGCAAAATGGTGGCCTGAGATGTGATACAGTTCCTTTGCTTTTTCAAAGTAAGAAAGATGGGCAAAGTGAGCCACTGTTAGGAATGAGCCTAAGACACCATATCTGTATAAGTCACATCATGCTGAAGGAAAAAATTCCTGCAGTGGTAAGGTCTCTACTCAAAGGCAGGTATGGCAAAAAGGAGGGCAAGGACAAAAATACTTTTATAGAATCTACCTTTTTGTTCTAAATCCTTTGGTTCTTTTAAATGCCTGCTATTAAAGTGTGCTAAATTTGATTAAATGCTGCTGGTGAGGTAGAAAATATAATAAACTAGAATGTGGGTATATCATGGAAGTTAAGCCACAGAAACTATTCTATTACTACCTAAAAAGTCTTCCATATACTAGCCATGTAATAATGTTTTTTGAAAAATAATCATAAGTATGTCATTTTCATTCATTTTTGTCTGCTTTATGGTAAATCCATTAATTTAAAGACTATAGTATGTCTTGATTGCAAATAAATTTTTTTTACATTAAAATATATTTTCTTGCCTCCAACTGATTTCTCCTTCTGGAATTCTTATTGTGCATGAATTGAAATTGACATATTTGTTTGCTAGGTCTTAACTTTTTTCTTTATATTCAGTGTTTAATCTTACTTCTGGGAGAACTTCCAAAACCTATTTTTTAATTTATTGTGTTAGCTATCTATTTTATGCAATCTGTTGTTCTGGTGCCTCCATCATACTTTAAAATAGGGTCATCATATTTTTCAATTTTATTAAAATTTGGCACATCAGAATGTTCTTTTTTCTGTATGCCTGTTTCAGAAACAAATACACACCATTCTCTCAAATCTCACTAAAATTCAAATTAAGCCTTTTTTGCAATACCTAGTATTTTTATTAATTAACTTGATAATTGTTGATGTTTGATGATTTTTCTCCATGTAAATATTCAATGCGAAATGTTTATCTAGTATTTGAATTTAAATGAGTTCCACAGATAGTGTGCGAGTTTTTCCTTACATCTTCCTTGCACAGTAGAAGAAGGAAGGAACCGTTTAGATCAGTTATAGTTTCATTTTGCCTAGCCAAAGATCCGGAATCCTATGCAGAGAGAGAAGAAAGGAAAGTAAGACATGGTTGTAAAAGAGATAATGTCAGTACCTCTAATCCTCATTTTGGGTTGGTTTTGCATCTGACTGCCATATTTGCAAGCCCTCCCCTTCTCTAATTGGCACAACTAAAGCCACATACAAATACCTCCACTTGACTTGGCATACTGTCTGTACTAAGCATATGCTAGAGATGAGTGCCCTGGGTACCCTTCATCCTTGGAATCTGGCATCTGATGAATTATTTAGGCTGCTGGGAGGTCATCTAGACATTGCTTTTTCTGTAGCTCCACTGCTATACCAATGTTCTCATCCATCATTTGCCATTTGGGGTTATTGGCTTTGGTAGAGTTCTGCTGGTGGTAACACTTATGGGGAGAGTGGCTGTTGGAGGAGTTTGCTGAAGCTGAAAGGGATACCCTTATTTCCTAAGCATACTTTTCTTTGCATGAAGTAAATTGTGGGTTGGCTGTCCCCTCTCTCAATTCAATCTTCCCTACAAAACAAATTACAAATGCCTTTAAGTTTCTGACAGCTGGAAATCCTAGTTTCTAACACTGGTACAGTTTTTACTACAAAATATTATATGTCTTCCCTTTCTTTTTTAATGCTGAACGTTATTAAAAATGAGATAATAAAACATTTAACTATGTCAGGATAACATATCTCACTGTATTGGAAACCACACAAAAATATAATAATATATACCTGAATGGCTCTGGGCAACTGAACACTGTTCTAAATTGCTGATGGGAATTCATAGATAAATAAATTCTATGAAGGATAATTTGAACAGGTATTCCACTTTTCAAATCACTTCTAAATATGCACTAGGAAAAATATAAAATATGTATGCCTATTTATTCATGAAAGCTTACTTGGAATCGTACAAAATTTCAAGGAAAATGAAAGTCCAATTGTAGGGAATTGTTTGAAGAAACCATGACATAGCCACTTAATGACATACTATGCAACTAGTAAAAGGAATGAAAACATCTCTATGTACTTATGTAGACTTTTATATATATATGATATAATTTTGCCCTGAAAATTTATAGATCCTTAATATATACAAAAATAAAATTAGAAGAGAAAATTCAATCCCTAAAAATTAAGAACAAATGGAAACAAATGATTTTATTTATTTTTACAAGAAAGTCATTTCACTTTGTTTTATTTCCAATAGTGATTTAGTTATTCAATTTTTCTTTTGCTGTGCTCTTTTTAAAGGTGATTTTATTTATTTATTTACTTTTATTATTATACTTTAAGTTCTAGGGTACATGTGCACAATGTGCAGGTTTGTTACATATGTATACATGAGCCATGTTGGTGTGCTGCACCCATTAACTTGTCATTTACATTAGGTACATCCCCTAATGCTATCCCTCCCCCCTCCCCCCACCCCATGACAGGCCCTGGTGTGTGATGTTCCCCATCCTGTGTCCAAGTGTTCTCATTATTCAATTCCCACCTATGAGTGAGAACATGTGGTGTTTGGTTTTCTGTCCTTGCTATAGTTTACTCAGAATGATGGTTTCCAGCTTCATCCATGTCCCTACAAAGGACATGAACTCATCATTTTTTATGGCTGCATAGTATTCCATGGTGTATATGTGCCACATTTTCTTAATCCAGTCTATCATTGATGGATATTTGGGTTGGTTCCAAGTCTTTGCTATTATGAATAGTGCCACAATAAACATATGTGTGCATGTGTCTTTATAGCAGCATGATTTATAATCCTTTGGGTATATACCCAGTAATGGGATGGCTGGGTCAAATGGTATTTCTAGTTCTAGATCCTTGAGGAATTGCCACACTGTCTTCCACAATGGTTGAACTAGTTTACAGTCCCACCAACAGTGTAAAACTGTTCCTATTTCTCTACATCCTCTCCAGCATCTGTTGTTTCCTGACTTTTTAATGACTGCCATTCTAACTGGTGTGAGATGGTATCTCATTGTGGTTTTGATTTGCATTTCTCTGATGGCCAGAGATGATGAGCATTTTTTCGTGTGTCTGTTGGCTGCATAAATGTCTTCTTTTGAGAAGTGTCTGTTCATATCCTTCGCCCACTTTTTGATGGGATTGTTTGATTTTTTCTTGTAAATTTGTTTAAGTTCTTTGTAGATTCTGGACATTAGCCTTTTGTCAGATGGGTAGATTGTAAAAATTTTCTCCCATTTTGTAGGTTGCCTGTTCACTCTGATGGTAGTTTCTTTTGCTGTGCAGAAGCTCTTTAGTTTAATTAGATCCCATTTGTCAATTTTGGCTTTTGTTGCCATTGCTTTTGGTGTTTTAGTCATGAAGTACTTGCCCATGCCTATGTCCTGAATGGTATTGCCTAGGTTTTCTCCTAGGGTTTTTACGGTTTTAGGTCTAACATTTAAATCTTTAATCCATCTTGAATTAATTTCTGTATAAGGTGTAAGGAAGGGATGCAGTTTCAGCTTTCTACATATGGCTAGCCAGTATTTCCAGCACCATTTATTTAATAGGGAATCCTTTCCCCATTTCTTGTTTTTGTCAGGTTTGTCAAAGATCAGATGGTTGTACATGTGTGGTATTATTTCTGAGGGCTCTGTTCTGTTCCATTGGTCTATATCTCTGTTTTGGTACCAGTACCATGCTGTTTTGGTTACTGTAGCCTTGTAGTATAGTTTCAAGTCAGGTAGCATGATACCTCCAGCTTTGTTCTTTTTGCTTAGGATTGTCTTGGCAATGTGGGCTCTTTTTTGGTTCCATATGAACTTTAAAGTAGTTTTTTCCAATTCTGTGAAGAAAGTTCATTGGTAGCTTGATGGGGATGGCATTGAATCTATAAATTACCTTGGGCAGGATGGCCATTTTCATGATACTGATTCTTCCTGTCCATGAGCATGAAATGTTCTTCCATTTGTTTGTGTCCTCTTTTATTTCGTTGAGAAGTGGTTTGTAGTTCTCCTTGAAGAGGTCCTTCACATCTCTTGTAAGTTGGATTCCCAGGTATTTTATTCTCTTTGAAGCAATTGTGAATGGGAGTTCACTCATGATTTGGCTCTCTGTTTGTCTGTTATTGGTGTATAGGAATGCTTGTGATTTTTGCACATTGATTTTGTATCCTGAGACTTTGCTGAAGTTGCTTATCAGCTTAAGGGGATTTTGGGCTGAGATGATGGGGTTTTCTAAAGATACAATCATGTCAATTGCAAACAGGGACAATTTGACTTCCTCTTTTCCTAATGGAATACTCTTTATTTCTTTCTCTTGCCTGATTGCCCTGGCCAGAACTCCCAACACTATATTGAATAGGAGTGGTGAGAGAGGGCATCCTTGTCTTGTGCCAGTTTTCAAAGGGAATGCTTCCAGTTTTTGCCCATTCAGTATGATATTGGCTGTGGGTTTGTGATAAATAGCTCTCATTATTTTGAGATACATCCCATCAATATCTAGTTTATTGAGACTTTTTAGCATGAAGCACTGTTGAATTTTGTCAAAGGCCTTTTCTGTATCTATTGAGATAATCATGTGTTTTTTGTCTTTGGTTCTGTTTATATGATGGATTACGTTTATTGATTTGTGTTATGTTGAACCAGCCTTGTATCCCAGGAATGAAGCCCACTAGATCATGGTGGATAAACTTTTTGATGTGCTGCTGGATTTGGTTTGCCAGTATTTCATTGAGGATTTTTGCACTGATGTTCATCAGGGATATTGGTCTAAAATTCTCTTTTTTTGTTGTGTCTCTGCCAGGCTTTGGTATCAGGATGATGCTGGCCTCATAAAATGGGTTAGGGAGGATTCCCTCTTTTTCTATTGATTGCAATAGTTTCTAAAGGAATGGTACCAGCTCCTCTTTGTACGTCTGGTAGAATTTGGCTGTGAATCTGGTCCTGGACTTTTTTTGGTTGGTAGGCTATTAATTATTGCTTCAATTTCAGAACCTGTTATTGGTCTATTCAGGGATTCAACTTCTTCCTGGTTTAGTCTTAGGAGGGTGTATGTGTCCAGGAATTTATCCATTTCTTGTAGATTTTCTAGTTTATTTGCATAGAGGTGTTTATAGTATTCTCTGATGGTAGTTTGTATTTCTGTGGGATCAGTGGTGATATCCCCTTTATCATTTTTTATTGCATCTATTTGATTCTTCTCTCTTTTCTTCTTTATTAGTCTTGGTAGTCATCTATCAATTTTGTTGATTTTTTCAAAAATCCACCTCCTGGATTCATTAATTTTTTTGAAGGGTTTTTTGTGTCTCTATCTCCTTCACTTCTGCTCTGATCTTAGTTATTTCTTGCCTTCTGTTAGCTTTTGAATGTGTTTGCTTTTGCTTCTCTAGTTCTTTTAATTGTGATGTTAGGGTGTCAATTTTAGATCTTTCCTGCTTTCTCTTGTGGGCATTTAGTGCTATAAATTTCCCTCTACCCACTGCATTAAATGTGTCCCAGAGATTCTAGTATGTTTTGTCTTTGTTCTCATTGGTTTCAAAGAACATCTTTATTTCTGCCTTCATTTCGTTATGTACCCAGTAGTCATTCAGGAGCAGGTTGTCCAGTTTCCATGTAATTGAGCAGTTTTGAGTGAGTTTCTTAATCCTTAGTTCTAGTTTGATTGCACTGTGGTCTGAGAGACAGTTTTTTATAATTTCTGTTCTTTTACATTTGCTGAGGAGTGCTTTACTTCCAACTATGTGGTCAATTTTGGAATAAGTGTGATGTGGTGCTCAGAAGAAAGTATATTCTGTTGATCTGGGGTGGAGAGTTCTGTAGATGTCTATCAGGTCTGCTTGGTGCAGAGCTGAGTTCAATTCCTGGACATCTTTGTTAACTTTCTGTCTCCTTGATCTGTCTAATGTTGACAGTGGGGTGTTAAAGTCTCCCATTATTATTGTGTGGGAGTCTAAGTCTCTTTGTAGGTCTCTAAGGACTTGCTTTATGAATCTGGATTCTCCTGTATTGGATGCATATATATTTAGGATAGTTAGCTCTTCTTGTTGAATGGATCCCTTTACCATTATGTAATGGCCTTCTTTGTCTCTTTTGATCTTTGTTGGTTTAAAGTCTGTTTTATCAGAGTCTAGGATTGCAAACCCTGCTTTTTTTTGTTTTCCATTTGCTTGGTAGATCTTCCTGCATCCCTTTATTTTGAGCCTATGTGTGTCTCTGTATGTGAGATGGGTCTCCTGAATACAGCACACTGATGGGTCTTGACTCTTTATCCAATTTGCCAGTCTGTGTCTTTTAATTGGAGCATTTAGCCCATTTACATTTAAGGTTAATATTGTTATGTGTGAATTTGAACCTGTCATTATGATGTTAGCTGGTTATTTTGCTCATTAGTTGATGCAGTTTCTTCCTAGTATCAATGGTCTTTATAATTTGGCATGTTTTTGCAGTGGCTGGTACCGGTTGTTCCTTTCAATGTTTAGTGCTTCCTTCAGGAGCTCTTGTAAGGCAGGCCTGGTGGTGACAAAATCTCTCAGCATTTTCTTGTCTGTAAAGTATTTTATTTCTACTTCACTTATGAAGCTTAATTTGGCTGGATATGAAATACTGGGTTGAAAATTCTTTTCTTTAAGAATGTTGAATATTGGCCCCCACTCTCTTCTGGCTTGTAGAGTTTCTGCCGAGAGATCTGCTGTTAGTCTGATGGGCTTCCCTTTGTGGGTAACCTGACCTTTCTCTCTGGCTGCCCTTAACATTTTTTCCTTCATTTCAACTTTGGTGAATCTGACAACTATGTGTCTTGGAGTTGCTCCTCTCGAGGAGTATCTTTGTGGCATTCTCTGTATTTCCTGAATTTGAATGCTGGCCTGCCTTGCTAGGTTGGGGAAGTTCTCCTGGATAATATCCTGAAGTGTGTTTTCCAACTTGGTTCCATTCTCCCCGTCACTTTCAGGTACACCAATCAGACGTGGATTTGGTCTTTTCACATAGCCCCATATTTCTTGGAGGCTTTTTTCATTTCTTTTTGCTCTTTTTCTCTAAACTTCTCTTCTCTCTTCATTTCATTCATTTGATCTTCAATCACTGATACCCTTTCTTCCACTTGATCAAATTGGGTACTGTGTGCATGCATCACGTAGTTCTTGTGCCATGGTTTTCAACTCTATCAGGTTATGTAAGGTCTTCTTTATGCTGTTTATTCTAGTTAGCCATTCATCTAATCTATTTTCAAGGTTTTTAGCTTCTTTGTGATGGGTTTGAACATCCTCCTTTAGCTCGGAGTTTGTTATTACCGATTATCTGAAGCCTTCTTCTCTCAACTCGTCAAAGTCATTCCCCGTCCAGCTTTGTTCCATTGCTGGCGAGGAGCTGCATTCCTTTGGAGGAGAAGAGGCCCTCTGATTTCTAGAATTTTCAGCTTTTCTGCTCTGGTTTCTTCCCGTCTTTGTGGTTTTATCTACCCTTGGTCTTTGATGATGGTGACGTACAGATGGGGTTTTGGTGTGGATGTCCTTTCTGTTTGTTAGTTTTCCTTCTAACAGTCAGGACCTTTACCTGCAGGTCTGTTGGAGTTTGCTTGAAGTCCACTCCAGACCCTGTTTGCCTGGGTATCACCAGTGGAGGCTGCAGAACAGCAAATATTGCAGAACGGCAAATGTTGCTGCCTGATCCTTCCTCTGGAAGCTTCTTCTCAGAGGGGTCCCTGGCTATATGAGGTGTCAATTGGCCCCTACTGGGAGATGCCTCCCAGTTGGGCTACGCAGGGGTCAGGGACCTACTTGAGGAGGCAGTCTGTCCATTCTCAGATCTCAAACTCTGTGCTGGGAGAAAAACTACTCTCTTCAAAGCTGTCAGACAGGGACATTTAAGTCCACAAAAGTTTCTGCTGCCTTTTCTTCAGCTATTCCCTGCTTCCAGAGGTGGAGTCTACAGAGGCAGATGGGGCTCCTTGAGCTGCAGTGGGCTCCACCCAGTTTGAGCTTCTTGGCTGCTTTGTTTACCTACTCAAGCCTCAGCAATGGCAGACGCCCCTTCCCCAGCCTCGCTGCCACCTTGCAGTTTGATCTCAGACTGCTGTGCTAGCAGCGAGCGAGGCTCCATGGGCATGGGACCCTCTGAGACAGGTGTGGGATGTAATCTCCTGGTGTGCCATTTTCTCAGTTGGAAAAGCTGAAATCATCCATCTTCTGGGTTGCTCATGCTGGGAGCTGTAGACTGCAGCTGTTCCTATTCGGCCATCTTGGAACCTCCTCCTTAAAGGTGATTTTAAAGGAGGTAAACGTGTAGGATCATAATGCCACCTGAATGTGTTATCCAGTTTTTTTTATAACAAAAATAAAATATTCAAAAACTATATCAATAAATTTTACTTTAGGAATTTGATTTTTGGCATAAAATAACCTAAGACCACTAATGAAGTATGCTTTGTAAAGATACACATATTTTTTATTTCATTTACACCTGATTAATCTTGTAACTAACATATTCTGGGAATGATAGAATACAGGAGCTAACCATTCCATGTGGTAATAAACAACTTCAAAAGTGATAACAATACCAAATTTTAGAATGAGTCTGTCTTTTGGATAGACTCACACAGTCATGTCTTTCTTTATTTACTGAAAACCATAAAAAATTGCTAATTTATCATGTAGTCATTACGAAAACCTTATTTATAGTACTAGGTTAGCTGATAGGAGAAGGTAAATATAGTGTGCTTTTCTGAAGATTAAAAAATACTCCAGCCTGGGTGACAGAGCTAGACTCCATCTCAAAAACAAAAAAAAATCACATTTACTTTTGCTTGAGAATATGCATATTAAATATTTAGCATGGTAAAAGAAACTGAAATTGTGTCAATTTTTAAGTTGTTTTCTGAGTACACAGTATTTGCATATTAATTTTTACATAAAATAAATTATAACTAGCTTTAAAAAATAAAATATAATGATACATTAAGACTCCTTTAATAAGGCTTTAATTTTTGCTTATAAAATGGAAACCCAGACTATAATTCAAGTAGTCTTTCAAAGGAAGTTTTGTATCTAAATTTAAAAATTCCTATATTCTTTTCCCCATATATACAATGAATAATCTAATAAAGTATATAAAACATTTATAACCCAGTTATAAATAAAATAAATATTAGAATTTGAAAAGTGAAATTATATACTCAGAGCTACAAGCATCATAGCTTAACTCACACAGGTGTAAGTAATTTAAATAAAGAAAAGAAAAAAACACTGAATTTTTCTTTTAGATAATCCTAATCAACACAGACTTCAAATTTTCTGAGGAGACTTACATTAATCCACTCCCACACTCTGACATTCCAGTCATTACCTAGTTCTTTCAAAAAACATGTAGTCCTGGATAAAAACAAAAATACAGAAATGAATTCTCAGAAACCAAACAGAGATCAGATGCAGAAATGCTAAGGGATCTGATGAAACACAGTTAATTGTCTGTTAAATAAGAAAAATTAACTATAATAAGTAATGTGAGAAAAGTCTACAGGTATAAGTTCTCTACCTTCAGCTATCTATTTTAATAGAAATTAAATCCTATAATCCTATTTATTTATTGACACCTGCATTAATTTAATTAATCCTATGGCAATTTCTGTAAATGTCACTTTTATCCTCCTGAAATCATCCTTTTTCAATCTTTCTTATTTAATGTTTTGCAGTCCTTCTCTAGTAATATAACTCTTCTTGTAATTTGAATTCATTCCATGTACAACAAATTAAGAAAACAATTCCATTTACAGCAGCATCGAAAAATATTAAATACTAAGGAATACATTTAACCAAAAAGGCAAACATTCTGTATACTGAAAACTGTAAGACAAACTGAAAAAGGCACAAATAAATGGAAAGATATTCTGTGTTTCTGGATTAGAATAATTAATATTGCCAAGATGTCCATACTACTGAAAGGGAACTACAGATTCAATGTCATCTCTCTCAAAATACCAGTGAATTTTTCACAGATATAGAAAAAATAATCATAAAATTTGTATGGAATCACAAAAGACCCCAAATAGCCAAACAATCTTTAGCAAGAGAAACAAAGCTGGAGGCATCATACTACCTTATTTCAAAATATATTACAAAGATATAGTAATCAAAACAGCTTCGTACTTGCATAGAAAGAGACACAATGACCAATGAAACAGGAAGGAAAGCACAGAAATAAACCCAAACATTTGTAATCAATTGATTTTTGACAAAGGTACCACCACCACACAATGAGGAAAGGACAGTACCCTTAAATAATGGTGTTTTGAAGACCAAATATATATACAGAAGAATGGATTTTGACCCTCATTTCACACCATATACAAAAGTAAAATTAAAATGGATTAAAGACTTAAATGTAAAACCTATACTGTAAAACGACTAGAAGAAAATATAGGGGAAATCTCCATGATATTGGTTTGAGAAATGATTTCTTGGATATGACCTAAAAAGCACAGACAGCAAAAGCAAAAAGAGACAAAGGGAATTGCCTCAAGTTAACAAGCTTTTGCACAGCAAAGGAAGCAATAAACACAGTAAGGAGACAGCCCATGGATTGGGGGAAAATATTTGCAAACCATGTATCTGATAAGTGGCTATATCCAAAACGTATGTTGAACCCTTTTTGCTTCTCTGTGATAAATCCCACTCACTCATGATGAATTATCTTTTTGATGTATTGTTGATTTTGACTTGCTAGTATTTTGTTAAGGATTTTTGGATCAATGTTCATCAGGCATATTAACCTGTAGTTTTCTTTTTTAAATATGTCTTTGTTTGGTTTTGGTATCAGAGAAATACTGGCCTCATAGAATAAGTTTGCACGTATTCCTCCCCCCTCTATTTTTCAGTAGCTTGAGTAGGATTGGTATTCATTCTTTAAATGTTTGGTAAAATTCAGCACTGAAGCCATTGGGTCTTGGGCTTTTCTTTGCTGGGAGACTTTTTATTATGGCTTTGATCTTATTACTTATTGACTGTTCAGGTTTTAGATTTTTTCATGGTTCAGTCTCGGTAGACAATATGTGTCTAGAAATTTATCCATTTGTTTTAGGTTTTCCAACTTATTGGCATACAGTTGCTGACAGTAGTCTTTAACGATCCTTTGAATTTCTGCAGTATCAATTAAAGCGTCTCCTTTTTCATCTCTGATGTTATTTATTTGGGTCTTCTCTCTGTTTTCTTAGTTGGTCAGGCTAAAGATTTGTTGATTTGGCTTATCTTTCCAAAAAACCAATTTTTACTTGTTGATCTTTTTGTGTTTTTTTATTTCAATTTTATTTATTTATTTTTGCTCTGAACTTTATTATTTCTTTTCTTCAACTAATTTTGAGTTCAATTTGCTCTTGTTTTTCTAACACTTTAAGATTCATTGTTAGGTTATTTATTTGAACTTTTTCTACTTTTTTGATATGGGGGCTTATTGCTATAAACTTTCTTCTTAGTACTGCTTTTGCTGTATCCCATGGCTTTTGGTATGTTCTGTTTCCATTACCATTTGTTTCAATTAACCTGTTAATTTCCTTCTTGGTTTCTTCATTTACCCACTGGTAATTTAGGAGCATATTGTTTAATTTCCATGTGTTTTTATAGTTTCCAAAGTTCCTCTTGTTATTGATTTCTAGTTTTATTCCATTGTGGTCAGAGGAGATATTTAATATAATTTCATATTTTTAAAGAATCTTTAAGGCTTTTTTTGTGGCCTAACATATAGTTTATCCTTGAGAATGAGCCATATGCTAATGAGATGAATGTGTATTCTATAAACGTTGGATTAACTGTTCTGAAAATATCTATTGGGTCCATTTGGTTTATAGTGCAGATTCAATTTGATGTTTTTTTGTTGATTTTCTGTCTGGAAGATCTGTCCAATGCTGAAAAGTAGGGTGTTGAAGTCTCCAGCTGTTATTGTATTGGGGTCTATTTCTCCCTTTACCTCTAATAATATTTGCTTTCTATATCTCGGTGCTCCAGTATTGGGTGCATATATATTTACAATTGTTACATCTTCTTGCAAAATTGACCCCTGTATCATTACATAATGACTTTGTTGTCTCTTTTTACAGTTTTTGCCTTGAAATATATATTGTCTAGTGTAAGTATAGCTACTCCTGCTCTTCATTTTCCTGGAATTTTTTTCCATCTTTTTATTTTCAGTCTATGCGTGTCTTTAGAGGTGAAGTGTGTTTCTTGAGGGCAACAGGTAGGTTGCGTCTTGTTTGTTTTTTTCCATGCAATCATTCTATGTCTTTTGATTAGAGAGTTTAGTCCATTTATATTCAATGCCATTATTGATAAGTAAGGACTTACTCCTATCGTTTTGTTATTTTGTTTTCTGGTTATTTTTGTGATCTTCTCTTCCTTCTTTCCTTCCTTCCTGTCATCCTTTTAGAGAAAGGGATTTTCTCTGGTGGAGTGTTTTAATTTCTTGCTTTTGATTCTGTATGTATCTTTTCTACGTTTTTGATTTAAGATTACTCTGAGGCTGGCAGATAATATCCTACAACCCACTATTTTAAACTCATGGAAACTTAACACTGATTGCATGAACAAACAAAGAGAAAAGTAATAAAAAATCTACACTTTAATTTCATTGTCCCATTTTTAAATTTGTTGTTGTTTCTATTTATATGTTATTATACTATGTCTTTAAGAGTTGTTGCAGTTTTTATTTTTAATAGGCTCATCTTCTAGTCTTTCTACTTAGCATATGAGTAGTTTGCACACTACAATCACAGTGTTATAATATTCTGTGTTTATCTGTGTACTTACTATTACCAGTGAGTTTTGCACCTTCAGGTGATTTCTTGTTGCTCATTAACATCTGCTTTCAGATTGAAGAACTTCCTTTAGTATTTCTTGTAGGACAGGTCTGGTATTAATGAAATTCCTCAGCTTTTGTTTGCCTGGAAAATCTGTATTTCTCCTTCATGTTCAAAAGATAATTTTGTTGGATATACTATTCTATGATCAACGTTTTTTTTCCTTCAGCACTTTAAATATGCCAAGCCACTCTCTTCTGACCTGAGAAGTCTGCTGCCAGATGTATTGGATCTTGCTTTTATGTTATTTTTTTTTCTCTTGCTGCTTTTAGGATCCTTTCTTTATCATTAACATTTGGGAGTTTGAATACAAAATGCCTTCAGGTAGTTTTCTTTGGGTTAAATATGCTTGGAGTTCTATAACCTTCTTGTATTTGAATATTTATATCTTTCTCCAGGTTTGAAAAGTTCTCTGTTATTATCCCCTTGAATAAACTTTCTACCCTTGTCTCTTTCTCTACCTCCTCTTTAGGACAAATAACTCTTAGATTTGCCGTTTTGAGGCTGTTTTCTGGATCTTGCAGGCAAGCTTCATTGTTTTTTATTTTTTATTTTTGTCTCCTCTGTCTATTTTCAAATATCCTGTCTTTAAGCCCACTCATTATTTATTCTGCTCCATCAGCTCTACTGTTTAGAGACTCTGATGCATTCTTCATTACATCAATTGCATTATTCAACTCCAGAATTTCTGCTTGTTTCTTTTTAGCTATTTCAATCTATCTGTTAAAGTTATCGGATAGGATTCTGAATTCCCCCTCTGTGTTAACTTATATTTTGTTGAGTGTTCTCAAAACAACTATTTTGAATTCTCTGTCCATAAGTTCACATATCTCTGCCTCCCTGTGATTGGTCCCTGGTGCCTTATTTAGTTCATTTGGTGAGGTCATGTTTTCCTGGATGGTCTTGATGTTTGTGGATGTTAATTCATGTTTGGGCACTGAAGAGTTAGGTGTTTATTGCAGTCTTTGCAGTCTGGGCTTGTTTGTACCTGTCCTTCTTGGGAAGGCTTTCCAGGTATTCAAAAGAACTTGGGTGTTTTGATCTAAGTTTTTGGTTACTGCAGCCACATATACTTTAGTGGATACCCCAAGCCTAGTAATGCTGTGGCTCTTGGAGACTCATAGTGGTAATCCCTTGGCAGTCTTGGGTAAAATCCAGAAGCATTCCCTGCAATACCAGGCAGACTCTTGTTTTCTTCCCTGACTTTCCCCCAACAAGGAGCGTCTCTGTGCTGAGCTGCCTAGATCTGGGGGAAGGGTGACACAAAAACCCATGTGACCACCACCACTAGAACTGAACTGGGTCAGACTCAAAGCCAGCACAGCACTGGATTTGTCTAAGTCCTGCAATGACCACTATCTGGCTACCACCTATGTTCACTCAAGTCCCAAGAGCTCTACTATTGGCAAGTGTCAAATCCAGTCAGGATTGTATCCTTCCTTTCAGGGCATCAAGTTCCCTCATGGTCCTGGGTAGGTCCAGAGATACTGTCCAGGAGCCTGGGCCCAGAGTTGGGAACCTTAGGAATCTACTTGCTGCTCTATTCTGTGGCTGAGCTAGAACCCAAGTTGCAAGGAAAAAATCTTCCCATGCTTTTCTTCCACTTCCTTAAGAAAAAGTGTCTTTCTCATTGGCCACCACCACCCCAGGCCCATAATACATACTGTTTAGCTACCATTGATGTTAAATATTACCTAGCTTATACTTATGTTCACTGATGTTCACTCAAGGCCCAAGTGCTCTTCGGTCAGCTTGTGGTGAATTATGCCAGTCCTGAATATCTCCCTTCATGGCAGCGGGCTCCCCCCTGGCCCAGCACAGGTCCATAAATGCCATCCAGGAGCCACGGCCTGGAACATGGACTCTAGAGCCCACTTGATGTTCTCTCCCACTGTGGCCAAGCTGGTATACAAGCTGCAAGACAAAATCTTCTCTCCTCTTCCCTCTCCTTTCCTCAAGTAGGAGGGTTATCTCCCCATATCTGCCACAGCTGGGAATGTGCTGGGCCACACCTGAAGCAAGCATGTCTCAAGAGTTTCCCCTAATGCCCATGGCAAGTACTGCCTGGCTATCAATAGGACAGACATTAGGACCCAAGGGCTCTTTAGTCAGCAGGTGATAAATCCTAGCAGGACTGGGTCCTTCTCTTCAAGGCAGCAGGTTCCCTTCTGGCCAGCAGTGTCTTTAGAAACATTGTCTGGGTGCTAGGGCCTCGAATGGGGGCCTCAGGACTCTGTTTAGTGTCCTATTCTACTGTAGGGGGGTGGTATACAAGTTGCAAGAAAAAGACCTCTTTACTCTCTCCTCATGAAGATGGAAGGAGTCTCTACTGGAGCTGCAAGCTGTGCTGCCTGGAGTTGGGGAAGGGGTGATGCAAGCACTCCTTGGGCTGCCCTGGCTGGTGTCTCACTAGGTTATATATACCCATAAGTCCAGAGGCTCCATGTCCAGCACAGCACCGGGAGTTGCCCTGGAATTGTGGTCCTTGTGGCTTAGAGTGCCTTTCAAGTTTATTTAGAACCCCAGAGCACTTTAGCTCATGGTAGCGAGGTTTGTCAGAACTCAGGTTCTGAATGCTGGGATGGGCAATGCCCCTCTGGCTAAGGCTGGTTTATATGCTGTCTCCATGAGTGCCATGCCACTTGTTACTTTCTGTTATGACAGGGAAGCACAGAGTTCCAATGCAAAGTCCCACAATCACTGTGTTCTCCCTCCCCCAACCACACAGATTTTCTCTCTCCACCAGAAAGCCACTGCCGGGTATGGGGGAGGAGTGATTTAGGTGATTCAAGACTGTCTTTCCTACCCTCCTCAGTGCCTCTTTTTTTAATGTGATCTTTAAACTAGGTACAATGATCATTTGACTGATTTTCAGTTCTTATGAAATTGCTTTCTGTTGTGTGGACAGTTGTTCAATTTGGAATTCCTGCAATGGGGATAATTCTCAGAGCCTTCTATTCAGCCATCTTCATCAGCTTCCCCTGTTTAATCTTTATCCCATTATTTTCATTGGCATTTACTTGTTGAAGCAGCTGGGTCCTTTTTGCTGTATATTATCTGTTAAGGTTTTCTGATTATTTCACCAAATTAATGTTTAAGATCTCTATCTGGTGTGTCAAACCTTGATTGCATATTGGAATCACCTGGGAGCTTTAAACAGCTTGAAGTCTTCATCCCAACTCCAGAGATTTTGGTTTAATAAATTTGGATGGACATGAGGAGTTTGAAAGTTACCCAGGTGTTTCTACTGTGTAGCTAAGGTTGAAGACCATTTCTCTGTTTCCATAAACCTCAACTTTGGCTGCATGTTCGTATCATCTGGGGCACTACACAAACTTCTGACTCTGAGCTTCTTGTTTAGTTGAAGTGGGGAATGGCCTGATACTTGAGGGTTTTAAAAAAGTTTCTAGATAATTCTAATATAAATATACATTCAGAATCACTGCTTTACCCCATGTATTTCCTGTAAATTGATAGTTAGCTCTAGAGGCTTGATTGAATGTATACTCTTATTGCACTTTATAATCCCATGTTAGATGTTTTAATTTAATGAGTTAGGATGAAATTTCTGTGTTTCACTGAGTTTTATTCCATGTAAGACTAGCTTCACATTTTTCTCCTAATAACATATTTGATTTTTTAATAACCCTACCCCAAACCAGAGCTTCTCCTTAGCATATAAAGTTATTCTCTTGCCATTTGAAAGTGTGTAGACTCTTCAGACATAAACTAACCACCTATAAATCCAGAGTATCAGAATCAAATAGAATTTCAGTGCGGGGATTAAATGAGAACATTTTATAAAACCTTTACACTTTAAATGGTAATCTTAAAATGTATAATTTATTGAAGTATTTCAGAATGATTCTAGAGAAGCCATCTGTCACCAAGATTAGCAGGAATAGACTTACAATGAGGAAACAGGCACCAATCATCACGGCTTTCATTTTAACATCAAGGTCTCTAGGGAATTGGATTCCAAAGTTGTCAGCATCAGTAAATGCCTCTCTTAAAAACCCAGACCAGTGCTTAGAAATCCTGCCAACCACAATTTGTTCATCAAGAGATGTAATCTAAATTGCAAAAAAAAAAAAAACTTAAAAATTTCTAGAAAACTTATAGCAAAATTACTTTTAACACTGGAGTAAAAGGAAGGAAATATTATAGTACATTTATGCACCATACATGAGTATACAGTTAATATGTTATATTAGATGCATATAGGCTCCTGTATATTTATAGATACATAAAAAACTGTTCTATTGTGTAGGAAACTTACATAAAAGTAGTTTTACGAAATTTTTAACATTTTCTACTTTATATTAAGATAGACATTAATATATGTTTTATTTATTTGAATTTAACCCAAACAAAATTTAAGCAGAAAAGGATATAAATTTGAAGTATTTCTTTGATATAATTTCTAGAAGCCATCAGGAAGGAAACAAATGAAACTCCTATTAGACTTCTGCTTTTTAGAGGTGCACAGGGAGTTTACACAGCTGAATGTTTAAATATGAAGAGAGGCCTCACTACCACCCACTGTCAGTAGGAAAACATAAAATGCTAAGAGCCTAGAAAAGAAGACTGACAGTTTGAGTGAAGAAAAGCAACCAGTAAGTAACTTGATGGGATGCCTCAAGTCAAGGGTGTGGGCAAGACCAGCTAACTAGTGGGGTGTGAAGAATAAAAAAAGAATAGGTAGACAAGATCTCCAATGTAAAACTTTTCTATTTTTGTGAAAAAAAATAAAGGTTGTAAAAATTCTGCTGAGGAAAACTGAGGGTCATTATATAGCATTGAAAAGTGTGTGCTCAGACAAAAACACCTCACCAGATGGGCAGGTAGTGGCGGAATATAACTAACATTCACCAAACTACATGTTAAGAGTTATGTCAACCCAAGTCAGGAATGTCATTTTCAAATTTGAACACAGGATCAGAAATATAAATAATGACCTACATATACAGGTCACATGTGTCAGCAACACCCTTTGAAGCCATTGCCTCTGGTTGTGACCATCTAGATAAATGTAGGGAAACTGAAAACATTTGATTCATTTTAGAGTGTTGGTGAAAAGGTTCTTTTTAAAAAGTGAAATAAATGTCTAATATAAAACTGTGATTGCTATGGATTATTCTTCATCAAATATTCATTTCATTTTTCCTCCCATTGTAGTCTGAAGCATTTTCCTATTTCTTCATAATTAGGCTTTGCCTTGTGGCTTGTTTGACCAATGGAATATTAGCAGCTGTAACATGGGCAGTGATCTTACATATGGGTAAGTGGTTTGCTCTGACTCTTGGTCTCAGGTAAATAGCTACTAGAAAAGCATCGTCTAGGTAGCCTCTGCTGCTACATATCCAGAGTGAACATATATCATCTAAGCATTTGAGACTATTAATGAGAACTTTATATTTTTATTTTAAAAATCATTCAAATTTTGAAATATTTACAAAATAAAAAATGCTGAAGGTAACTTACTAGCTACCATAAACCTACTACTAGACTTAACAAATATTTCTCCATTTTGATGGCTATAGCAAGAAATTAAAAAATTCACCAAATTTATGCAAGAAGTAGAAAATAAAATTTTAATGGAGGATCAGAAATATAAATAATGACATGCATATACAGATCATTATAAAGTCTAGATAATTTTTATAAAAAAAATTTATAAAGTATAGATAATTTTAGCTAAATTCTATATAACATTTTAAAAACAAAACAAAAAAATATGGTAAAATTACTTCAACCTCTGGAAATAATACGTTGGTATTTACAACATCATAAGAAGTATACATTAAGTTTTCTTTTTTTTTTTTTTTTTTTTTTTTGAGACGAAGTCTTGCTCTTGTCCCCCAGGCTGGAGTGCAACGGCGCGATCTCCGCTCACTGCAACCTCCTGTTCCCGGGTTCAAGGGATTCTCTTGCCTTAGCTTCCCGAGTAGCTGGGATTACAGGCGCCTGCCACCACGCCTGGCTAATTTTTGTATTTTTAGTAGAGACGGGGTTTCACCATGTTGGCCAGGCTGGTCTCGAAATCCTGACTTCAGGTGATCCGCCCGCCTCGGCCTCCCAAAGTGCTGGGATTACATAAGCCACCGTGCCCGGCCTACATTAAGTTTTTATCCCTGCTTCCTGACACAGAATTTCTAAAATGCTCATAACTTTCTAAGTGATAGGGGTAATAGGAGAGTCTTGTTTTAATATTTGGTCTTTGTCCCAGATTGCTGGCACGCAGCTTCAAAATCCTTAGACTCTTCTAAGCAATAAATCTTTTATATACTAAGATGACTGGTGGTTGGTGGTTGGGGTGCCTGATAGCTTCAGTATCAGGCTGGACACCAGAAAAACCAAGCAATGCTTAGAGGATTGAATCATTCAGTCCTGTCCCCATCCTCCGGAGATGAGAGTAAGGCCAGAGTTTGAGTTATTCACCAATAGCCAGTGGTTTAAATCAGTCATGCCTACATAATGCAACTTCCTAAGAACTCTAAACAACAGGTTCAAAGGCTTTCTGGATTGGTGAACTCACTTGCCATGAAGGTGGCTTACCCCAGTTCCACAGGGACAGATCCCCCTTTGCTCAGAACTCTTCCAGAATTCATCTACTAACCTCTTCATCTGGCTATCCATCTGTATCCTTTATAATAAATCAGTAAACATAAATAAAATATGTTCCTAAATTTTGTAAGTAGTTTTAACAAATTGTCAAACCCATGGAGGAGGTTGTGTGAATCCTGCTTTATAGCTAGTTGGTTAGACGTACAGGAGGTCTTGCATTTGTGGTTGGAATTTGAAATTGGGAACAGTTTTGTGGGACTGAGACCTTAAACTGTGGTGTCTGCATTATCTACAGGTGAGTGAGTGTCAGAATTGAACTGAGTTGTAGGGAACCCAGTTGATGTCTGTAGAGAAGGAGAATTGGTTGACATGGAGAAAAAATATCCACACATTTGGTATCAGAAGTATGAGTAAAAAAAAAGAATTGTAGTGTATTATATTAGCATGAAATTTATAAATCTGTAAATTTAATACTAATAATTGGTAAAGATAGTCTAAAAAACTAAATATTTATTTGCAGTGTAAATATAAATGCAAAAAATGCAAATAGGCCACTAGCACATAGAACCTAGGTAAACATCAAAAGAATATATTAAAATAATGTGTAAGATACTAGAGGAGCACTATATAATTCAAAACATATAATTTATGAATGGTTACTGAAAAGGTATTTTTAAATTACAAACTCAGCATTTGTATAAAATTTGCTATATGCATTATTTTCCTGCATTCTCTAATCGTATGACTATTAGTTACTCTTAGAATCTGGTGTCTGCAGACATAGAGAATTGAAGAGCTACTGAATGAAATCTAAATTTTTAGTATTAAGAATGTTTCACAATTTTTTAGTGATTTACTCATTTCTTAGGAATAAATTATATTCCAATTAGACTTTTATTAATATCATTCCTAGAAGGAGAAATAATCTTTCACTTGTCTGGATTTTTATGGGCATGAAAAGAAAACTATTATTATACATATCCCTACATAAAGTTCCTATACATACATATTACACACTCACATACCCACACACCCATATATACCCACACACATGTGTATATATCCAATGCATATTATCATATATTTTATATACACATATATAATCATATATTTCATATACATATATATGTATCCCTTTATAAGAGCATTTTAAAGGTCTCTACAACACATGTGTTTTCTTAGAATTTCCCATCTCTGTCATCAGATTATAAAGTTGAAAAGGGGAAGCATTCATTTTTATATAACCAAATTCTAATAGAGAAATTAAAAATCATATTATTAGAGAAGGAAGGATGCAACAGAATGAAACTGGATAGTGCTAAACCTTAGGAAGATGTGGGGACACTGTCAGAGTTCCCACATTTTATCATAAGTGAGGTAGCCCTACTCAACTTTAGGATTTTTATTCCTCATTTTGTGGAATTGTTGGCCCAGTTTACTAAATTTTCTGATTTTCCAAGAGAATCAGGAAATCAAGATTAAGTTATAAAACCTTCTGATGGTTAAACATTTGCAACTAAATGATTTGATTATAAGGCTAGGCTATCTGTTGGAGAACTGCTGTAATGAAATTTCTGCAGGAATTAAATATAGAGACATATGGTGGTTTCCAATGACCTAATTTAATACAGGGTTAAAGAAGAGACCACAGAGAAGTATAATTGGGTAATACATATTACACTGACTTTCTCAAAACTATCTTTGCCAAATTGGGCTTTCTGTAGGAACTCAAAGATGTCAGAACTTCTGGACATGGCCTGGAGCACTGGCAGCCTATATTTTAGATTAAGGAAGGATCCATATGCTTTGGCAATCAGACTTAGATGACAAGGTTAAAGTTTTCTTTATAATGGATAATATATAGTGTCACCACACAGAACCCAACATGTTTAAGTGTTAGATGATTTGCTTATTTTTATTTGACTACAGAGCTCTGCTTCTCTTTTATCCATTTATCATTATCAATATTGACCTTTAGTCAGTAATAACCTCCACTCTGACCAAAGTTAAATATATGGGAACATTATCTTGCTATTGAGACATCAGTACACAATACTAATTTAAGGCATTCATAATATTCTGCAAAATTATATTCTTCTATTAAAAAAGCAAATCCTATAAACATTATGACATCTCTTACCTCAAAATCAACACCCGCAATACAGCTGCACACGATACATGGACCACTAATTTTTAGTACATCCTCTCTTTTCTGATTTTTAATTGTAAACTTTGTTAGACATGGGTGCCAGGTCTGAGTAACATAACCTACTGGTACACCAGGAGGAGCTTGGATTTCTATCTACAAAAGTAAAATATGTGTGAACGTAATAAATCATCATAATAAAAATATCTAATAATAGCTCTAATTTACTGAGCATTTCCTAAGTGCCAGACATTGTAAGTGAGGACTTCCTAGGACTTTTTTTTTAAAGATTGAATAAGGTAAAGTATTTTAATGTGCTAGTCAAATTATAGAGCATTTCCCATCAAACTGTCAGTTTTTCCTCAGTTATTCTTACAAATATATAATTATACCTAACCTAAATGGCATGGAAAACAAAGCAATTCATTATAAATAACTTCAGTTATCCTCTCAAAATAAGTGCAGTATTAGACTTTAAATAACTCTATGCCTTTATCTCTATCTGTATGATGTTCTCACAGCAATCTGTATGGAAGACTAAGTTACCCAGGCAGATATGGTGTTGCGCCAATGGGATCCTGGAAAAGGCCAACTTTCCTAAAACATCTCTGAACCCTACTGTCTTCTCTGAAATCATATTTTCTAGGAGTAGGCTGCCATGCAATATGAAACAGAGACATCTGGTCTCTACAGATATCCATTTAGGATATCCCTTTTGCAGATGACATAGATATGTACGTTTTTATTTTGAAAAGGAGAAATGAAAAACAAAGGAGATAAGACTTTGTTCTAGGTTTGTCCCTTACTAGGTTGGCCAAAATTATGAGATGAATACATCTGTTCTTTCCTTCATTCTTTTGTCCCCATGATCCTAGAATGCTATTTTAGGATATTTTCAATGGTGCAACTCTGCTGATTTCGACCATGCCTCTTACAGTCATCTCTAAAAAATGATTTGAAAAAGGTGCCCTGTCTGACCTTTCCTTTAATATCAAGAACTCTCATTTCTGAGCAGTTGCTCAACCCCATGAGGCAGACTGCTGCGGGACACGAGGCTAACTATTCCCTGTTGTTTACTTGCCTTCCTTCTTATACAATTGATTTGGAAGCCCAAACATATAGCTCATGGAGCCATATTCATTTAAATTTCATTTGATTATACAGATTCAATAAAAGGGTGGAAATCCTTGCTGAACTACTTTATGAAAAGCTCTAGTAATTGCTCACATACCTCCTGAAGGCAGCAGGGGCAACAACAACAGTTACATCTTAGTGGTCTTTCCAGAGTTATGACTTCTCGACCCACATTATCAGTAATCCTCAAGGTAAAAGGTCTAGACCGCCCACAGCAATTTCGGATACAGAAATTAGTATCTTCTGCTGCAAAATAAATCCTCTGCCCAAAGCTGTTCTTGATTTCATACATGTTACTACTTTCAAAACTGAATAGAACTAAAAATGAAAATAAAATCAGTTGCCTTTACGTTAAAATGATTGAACCTATCTTAAGATATTATATCTAGCTAGTTTTAGATGATGCTCCAAGTATCATAGAAAGAACAAAAAGGAATGGTATTTAGAGTTGATCAGGCAGAGGAAAAAGGCAAAGGAAAAAGAGGAAGTTAGGCTATTAATGCATGGAGAAATTGATTCCTTATGTGAGATATGGAAAACAAAGCAGGTCATATTTTCCTAATCCCATAGGCTCCTGTGAGAAGAGAGACTTTGCTGCTGAGGGTTGGGGCAATGCTGCCAGTAAGCACAGTGGTGCTAGGTGTATGGATAAAATGTCCATTTATTTGGTATAGTTTTCATATATTATGGAGAGGAATATAGGATGATTGCAAAAAATACTATATTAAATCAATTGGTTTAAGATTTCCTTTTGTAAGTCATACTTATGTCTTCTTTGTTTGCACTGTTTGGTGAAAGGCAGTAAGAGGGCTAACTCTCAAGGCACGTGCATAAAAAGTGAGAGGCAAAAATGGAAGGAAATTAGAAGATCACATCGGACTCAGGGCACCCTTATTTAGCTCAGCAGTAATTTGAAAGTAAGAGATGAATATTAAACAAATGGGGAAGGTGCTTGGCAATCAGGGCTTCAACTCAGAATATCTAGACCACGAGCATCCTAAGTGAGCTCTGCACCTTAGATAGGCTAACCTCTTCATGAGGAAAACAGAGGAATGCAAAATGCTGATGCTCACATGGTATCTTACCAAGGACTTCCATATTGAACCACACATTGGAAACCTCTCCTTGTTTAAAGCCATGAAGGAGCAATGAATTGTCCCACTATCCACAGAAGGACATCATACAGAAATGTTTCTCACAAGTCCTATTACCATAAACTTCCTTAAGAGTCTACGGTGGGACTCAAACAAGGCCTGGACTCTGCCTATATAGGAACTGCACTTGACCTCAACATCTGCTGTAGACAAAAGTTTGTGAAAAAATTTAAAATCGAATATAAAAAAATTGATTCCTCTGTGGTCATCTATTATCCAACTAATTGTTTAATTATGTAACTTACTTGCGAAAATCTTAAGCTGTTTATCTATAAAATGACATCAATGGGGTTACAAAATCTTGAAGTTTCCTTCAAGTTACTTGAAAAATGGAGACAAAACAAAAGATTGCAACAATTATATTTTTAGCATCTATTAACTTTTCAGTCGTGGTAAGGTATAAGTATTTGTCATAGTCTCAGGTGCTAAAAATAAACTGAGTAATCATCTTTTTATATGCCTCGATGTTAGCAAACAATATAGACTTTCAATTTGAGAAAAAAAGAAAAGAAAATTAAAAATGTCTTTTTTAAAAAATTAAAAACTGGTAAATGTGGAACTTCGTATTTTTCAATGAAGCACATATATTGTGCAAATATATGTAAAGCTTATAAATCTAAAAAATATAAATATAATGTTGTATAATGTATAGTGTCTGGCCTTTTGGATTTTATAATCTTAATTATATATTCCATAAAATAAAACATTTTAAATAATTCAGAATACAAATTATTACAGAACAAAGTGCTCCTTTCCAGAGCAAACTTAATTTAGCCAAACTACAAAAAACCGAGAACATTATAAATATCTAATCACGTACTTTAAAAGCAGTTTAAATGTAATAGGTAACAATTGTATATGTTAATGAAATTCATTACTCTGCTTGTACAATTCAAGTTATAATTTCAACGAGTTAAAGAAACTGCAGTATGCAAAAATGAATTTATTATAACAGATATATTCTAAAAACCAGCAGTTTTTATAATAAATAGAAGAAGTAACTTTATTATATCAGAAGGAAGACGCTGTGGTTCATAACTCTACCTAGGCTCTCATTCCCCTGGCAGCTGTTCTGAAGCATCTAGAGGCTTACTAAATTTATTCTTGCACCTAGGAAGCACTGGACCTAAGAACATAACTGGTGGCATCAGGAACATTCAGCAGGAGCAGGAGTGCTCTTCTAAGAAGCCAGGCTGGAGGCCTGCTGGTCAGCATCCTCCAACACTGCAGTGCCCCTGCACCCTGGCTAGTAATCTACAGCACGTGGAACAAAGATTCTACTGGGTTCATCCAAACTCCCAAGAGAAACTGTGGGAAGGAACAGCAATTTTCCAAAACACTCCCATCCAAATTCAAAAAGTTTACTCACTTGGAAATGTACTAAGGTAACTAAAATATTGGATGTGGCTCTGTGCCATTCTAAAGGTGATCACAAATTGGAGAGAAAAGAGCTGAAGTGGTAGAAGTCAGGTAAAGTGAGTGAATCCCTTAATGTTATTTGCAAAAGAGAGCAAAAGTAAGTCTTGGCTGTATTCCTTCTACATTAGAGTTTATAACATTAGGACAGATGCTTATCATAATAGTGCAGTCATCCCACAGTATTTGTAGGAGATTGGTTCTAGGACTTCCTGTGAATACCAAAATCCTAGGCTACTCAAGTCCCTGATATAAAATGGCGTGGTGTTTGTATAGAACTTATGAACCTCCTCCCGTATTATTTAAATCATCTCTAGATTACTTATAATACACAAACACAAGGTAAATGCTATGTAAAGAGTTGTTACATTGTACTGCTTAGGAAATAGTGACAAGGAAAAAGAAGTCTGCAAATGCTCGGTACAGGTACAATTTCTAAAAATATGTTTTTGATCCATGGTTGATTTAATTCACACAGGTAGAACCCACGGATAGGAAGGGCCAACTGTATTTTACCATTTCACTTCTGATGTTCAGAAATAGACTACTGATTTCATTATTGTAAAGACAGACATTCGTAAATAGTCAGTTTTACCATCCCACATCACTCGGAATGCTATATTTATAGTTTTTGATGTATCTTTATTTGCATAAACTTCTTCTCTTTTTAGAACTATGAGCAATACAATTAATACATACCTTCCAGAAGTTCAATTTGCTGATGAATTAGTATCATATCTATCTATTATAGTAAAAAGAAAATGAAGTTGTATGTCAAATATTTTATAGAGAACTAATTACTATTCATGTTTTTATTTAATACTGCATATAATCAGTTATCGACATTTATCAATATCAAATTTTAATAAGTTTGCTACCTTTTATTGTAAAACTAAAGTTAACATATTTTTAATTAAAAATGCTGTATGTTTATTGAAAGCATTCACTATTATAGTTGTAAATTTAGGTAAAATAAACTAATATAGTGGAATCCCTATAAAAGTTAGAAAACAATGTTCTTCCTAAATGAGGCTTAAACATATAAAGACATTTTTTATTGATTTAAATAAGCTTTTACTGTAAGTCTCAGTTATTCATTTTACATCTACTTCATATAATCATTTTGTAGTAAGTGATAATTTCTTCTATATATTTTTGAGACTGATTAAAAAAACTGTAGGGCATTTCTTGGAGAAATATGAACTACTAAACATTCTTATAATATTCACTGTGCAAGTGCATTGTGGAAAATTAAGTTATTATAAAGAGTACAAGAGAGATAATTCATTTACTGAAAACTCATTGACTATCATAGAAATATTTGTTTATAGATTGGAGATATAAAACTTTATATTCCTATTTTACCAATCTGATCTCTAAGACAAAACAAACATTAAACCTCACTTTGCTGAGGTAAACTATCATGTAGTACAGCAAAATCCAGGACATTTTTTTTCCTTATTGGCGACATTTGTAAAATTGGGTCTTCCAAAGGAAAAAAGCATCATAAAAATGTAATTTTACTAATTGTAAGAAAAAATGAGTCAAATCCCACACAAAAATATTAAGTCATTTTTGGTACTGCTTACTAAAACTCAACTCTAAACTTTACATGTCTTTTAAGTGTCAAGAAAATTATTCAGTATTGGAATTAAAAAGCGCAGAATCCAGAATCAGGGTGGTGATGAACAGTGTACCCCCAGTTCATTAGGTTTTTAATCCTTGGTAATTTATATAACTGCTCTGGACCTCAGTTTCCTCTTGTGTAGAGTAGTGATGATTACAACGCTTATACATCATAGGGATTCTGTAAAGATTAAGTGAGGTAATACATGTATTATGCTTAGAACAAAACCTAGAAAATAGTGCCTAATAAATGTTTACTTTGGACTATTATCACATTATATAAAAGATCATAGAAAACAATCACCTGTGACATTCATATTTTGATTTAACAATGAATCGAACCCAAAAGAACTAGTGATTTGTTAACAGAATGTGCTGTTTACCATTTCTGACTTTAATTAATTAATAAGCAGTAAATAAATAAGTATCACTTAACCATAATTACTATGGTTCATAAACCAGAAAGAGAGTTTTTTTTTTTTTCTGAGTATTTTACGTATTTGAAATTACCTGACTTAAGTATTCCAATCCTGGCGGACAGTTTAATGGTGGTGGTGGTGCTGGCATCCATGGTACCCCTTCAGGTCTACCTGGCTGATTTTGAACAGGAATGCCAGCTGTGCCAGCAGGTGGGACTAGGTAGTCATGCTGACGTCCTGGGTAGAAGGCCTGGGAGCCCAGGTGGTCAGCCTGTTTCCCAGTGTGTCCAGCCTGGTGCTTAGGGTAGACAATATGTCCGGGAGGTCCTGAAATAGGAGCAAGTAAAATAATTTGTAGCTGCCCAGAAAAGTCATCAATCCTTTTTAGAATAACCCCAGTTATCTACAAACTGACCTCTCAGCTCAGAAGTCCTATATCTGTGAAGCTTGAGGTATGTTTTTATCTTCAGATATGTTTTAATGAAATATCTGTGGTTTCACATTCACTTCTATTTTGAGGGTGGTTCACTGTGAATAGAGTCGGCCTAGAGCTTTACTTTTACTATGTAAAACTCAGATAGAAAATATGCTTTTATACCTGTGAAAGTGAAAGTAAACCCACCATGATCTAAAGTGATCTATATGAAGATTGTGGCATGCCTTCATGGAAAAGAGAGATGAAATTGGAAAAAAAAAAAAAAAAGCCAAAAATAATGGCTATGTGTCAGCATTCCCAGAGCCAAAGGCACCCTGTGAAAAATTTTAATTGTGGAATTATAACAAATGACATATCCTATATGTATAGAAGTCAATGGGGAGATGGGGTTGACCCCTGAAGGGGTATCTGTCAAGGTTTGGATCCATTTTTAGTTGTCGCAACTGGAGGAGAGACTGATATTGTCAGCTGGTTGATAGAAGCCAGGGATGCCGCTAAACATCCTAAAATGCCCAGAACATCCTCCTGAAAACAAATAATTATCCACCCCAAAATACTACAGTGTTGAGAAACCCTAATATAGATGTAAAATCATGTCGTCCCTCCTAGTACTTTTCAGATGCTTGTCTGGGCCAATGGGTTACGAGGAGTTTTAATCTACAGCGTGTTCCTCTCCTGTTTCCCTTGATATTGTTCTTAAAACATCAATTATGATATTGCGGTTACAAAATTAAATTTCACAATTTGTCACTCTTAGATCTTTAGAACACATAATTTGAGAAAATTAAACAAAACAAAAGTAAAAAAATCAACAGAGTTTGAGGAAGAAAAGCAAAATATTTAACAGATGAAAAATTCTAAAGTAGCAGAATAGAGGAAGAAATTTAATAAGTATAATCTTTATATTACATGTAAATGTACATTGCAATGATGCTTCATAAGCTTATTTGTATAGTCCGCAGTGTAGTGATTCCATAGGAATGAAAAATAATTTCAAGGGACTATGTTCCTCAATATTTTAAATAAATACTTAATGCCACATAAAATATAATACTTAGAATAGGCAATACATTTAAGTGGAACACTGGTGACAGGCTCATATACTAATAAAAAATAAGGGTTAGCAAACAATTTAACCTAGTACTAATGCACTGTAAATATAGCTTTTATAATTTATTCCTCCTACGATTAATGAATATAGATGACTCGTGATTGGCTCTGTTGTGGAATCAGGGGATACAGCTATCAAAAAGTCAATATGCTGTCAATGAGCTTACAGTTAACTTCTGGAAGAAATAAAATAATTTTTTATAAAAGACTTCATATTGGTATGATGGGGAAAACATGGGAGAAAGGACAGAGGATAAGTAAGTTACTTTAGATGGATATAATTTATGTTGAAATCGAAAAGATGAGAAGGGGAAAATTTTACGTGACGATCTACCGAGAAATGCTATAGGAGGAAGGAAAAGCAAATGTAAAAACGCTGACTCTGTAAGGAATTTAGCATGTTCGTGAGAGAGGAGAGTCATAAGAAAGGAGGAGTATGCATGGTTGTCACCAAAGCAATAGGAAGAAGTTCATCTAGGGAGACCCTTAGTAAGGAGTTTGGATTTTATCCCAGGTGTCATTGATAATTACTGGAGGAATTTAAGCAGAAGAGTGAGTTCCATGATCTCATATATATCTTGCGAAGTTTTCAGGAGTGCCCAGTACTGGAATTTACAAGGGAAAACACAGCTACAAATAATATCCTTTCATAAGCTAAAAAAAAAAATGACAAAGAACAAGTCAACAACACATTTAGTATTATAGGGAGGAAATTAAACACTTAGTAAATTACTTACTTTTATTGTTCATGGATTGAAATAGTTCTGAAAGAGACCTGATATTAATATGCTGTCTATACATTTGTAGGTCCAATACAACTGTTGGAACAAGATATTCTAAAACAATACAGTCACATTCATGGGATATTTCTCTTTATTCATCTAGTAGAGCCTTATCTGGCCATTTAAATCCTTTGGGCTTGACCTCATTCCCCTTCCTGTTTTCACAGTAGAATTGATTATTATTTTCTATGGAGACAAGGTCTCATTATGTTGCCCAGGCTGGTCTCAAACTCCTGGACTCAAGCGATCCTCCTGTCTCGCCCTCCCAAAGTCTTGGGATTACAGGCATAAACCGCTGCATGTGGCCTTGGTAGGAATTTAGAAATTGTTGGTCAGCCCACGACGATGAACACTTTCTTTTTTCTTTTTCTTTTCTTTTCTTTCTTTTTTTTTTTTTGGAGATGGAGTCTCCCTCTGTCACCAAGCTGGAGTGTAGTGTGGCATGATCTTGGCTCCCTGCAACCTCTGCCTCCTGCGTTCAAGCGATTCTCGTGCCTCAGCCTCCCGAGTAGCTGGGATTACAGGCACACGCCACCATACCCAGCTAATTTTTGTATTTTTTAGTAGAGACGGGGTTTCACCATGTTGGCCAGGCTGGTCTTGAACTCCTGACCTCGTGATCTGCCCACTGCGGCCTCCCAAAGTGCTGGGATTATAGTCGTGAGTCACTGCGCTCGGCCGATGGTGAACACTTTCCAAAAGCCTTTAGGAAGAAGGTCTAATCAGGAGGAAAGCCATGAAGAAATGCTGCGAGCTAAGACCCCAAAGGGTAATTGAGCTAAAACTTCAGCCTTCACAACCTGCACAATCTAAATGAAGTGTGTGGTTTATTTCCAAGCCTCTGGGCTTGGGCTCCAGGAATGGTTCAGCTAAAGAGCAAGAAAGGTTAATTATCAGATCACACCACTGCAATTATCTCGGAAAATTTCAGGTCCTGTGGCCCTGTCATGCCAATCCTGACCAGCAAATTTGAGAAGTTCTGACACTACTCTGTTCATTAAGAGATGTATTTATTTATTTATTTTTTACCAGAGAACCCACTCTCAGGAGCTGTCACAGCCATAGCATCCTGACCACCAAGTGAAACTTTGTACTTGGTATTTCTTTTTTTTCTTTTTTGAGACGGAGTCTCGCTCTGTCGGAGTGCAGTGGCGAGATCTGGGCTCACTGCAAGCTCCGCCTCCCAGATTCACGCCATTCTCCTGTCTCGGACTCCGGAGTAGCTGGGACTACAGGCACCCGCCACCACGCCCGGAATAATTTTTTTTGTCCATGTTAGCCAGGATGTTCTTGATCTCCTGACCTCGTGATCTGCCCGCGTCGGCCTCCCAAAGTGCTGGGATTACAGGCGTGAGCCACCGCGCCCTGCCTATACTTGGTATTTCTACAGAAACATAAATGACAGCAAATATTCTACTCAGTAATTCTGCCTTCTGATGCCTTGACCCCATCCTAGTCTTTCCCACTGCTATCCAGTCACTGTTTTCTCCATCTACTGTAGATCCCAGTGCTTTTCATGACTGTTAATTACAATGAACACATCGGGCAAAAACTCCATTACCCAAAATTTTTATCTTGGACCCATGCACGCTAATACAAACTGCCCTCCCACTTCTCAGGCCCACTCCAGTGTTGGCTTCCCTTTTACCAACTCCTCCTACTGTGCAATCCTAAGTGGTAAATAAGTCAACTGATCCCTCCACATCCTCAACTAAAATCTAGAATTCTCAAGAAGAAACCACCTCCTTACCTGCCATTTCAAAATTATTTTTTATGATTACCAACTTTAAGCACACATTTTCATAATATAGTGAAACTCTTAAGAATTCTCCAATTATAGTCACCTCTTAGTTACATCTACTCAAGAAGTTCAGCAAAGGTTGAATAATTCCAAGTGGGTTTATTTGGCCCTGAAATAAATCAAAAGATGTATTTGTGTTACTGATTTAACTTCCCGGATTTTCTTAGAACAATCGGAATCCAGTTTGCATTAACTGGTCAGAAATCAATGCTGTGGACCTCATCAAGTCAGAAGAGTAGAAATATTAAAACTTACATTTTTCTGCAGTTAATCTATAAGGTGAACAATAAGCTAGTAAACATGTGTAACTAGGGTAGACTAACTAGGGTAACTAGACTAACTAGGGTAGACCACTAGCTTTCCTGGTCTCCAGTTTACAGACTTCTAATGTGGTGGGACTTTTCAGCATACAAAATTGCATGAGCCAATTTCTTATAATACATCTCTTCATATATATATGTCTACATCCTACTGCTCTGTTTCTTTAGAGAATTCTGACTAATATGATGAGTCTATTCCAAGAAATAACATGACTCAGTTTAGGACATGATTGGGCTGTGTCCTGACTAAATTAGCTAGTTAATCTAACATGATAACTTTAAATCATTGCTTCCACCACTCTTACTAAAAAGTAAATTCTAGAAATAACTTCAGAGAAAGAGAAAATCATATTTTTATGCTGTACTAAAACAAAGCAAAAGTTTGTAATAAAGTCATATTATATATTATACCATTTGAATTATAGTTACTCCAAAACAAACACAGAACTTCAAGTTACAATCTGATTACTACACACTTCTTTCTAACTCTCTGTTAAGTGATAAATTTGGAGTAAATTGAGGCAGCATATACTATATACACATTAGTACATCTCTTTTAAAGTAATTATATCAGAAATCATGTCTTCATTGCTGCTCTGGACTATTTGATAATTATAAACTTCTGCACTCAGGGAGAGGGAGAAATAGCACAGAGGATTTCCAGTTCTGACTTCATAATTTATATTACAGTTGTTAAATATTAACAGCTGTATAGGAGGACATCCATTTGGTTTGACCTCCTGCACTAGGCTTCAACAGATCAAATCAAAATGGAGTAACTAATGCTAAAGTTCCACATTACCAAACTGAAACTAAGTTGTTTATTTAACCTTCCAAGAAATCAGGAGAGAAATGAAAGCCCAGACTCCAAACAGGCCAGTTTTAGCCTGCATAATAAAGAAGTTCCCACTACTTTAGTCCTTATAAAGAGAGTAACCTGAACTAATCTACCGTTAACTAATCCACTTTTTGTATTATGCTATTTCCTCATTCCTGCTCAAGGTACCTTATAAAAACTGACTATTCTGCAATGCCGCATGTAGCATCTCTCTATTTTTAGATAAGATGCTGTCATATTCATGAATTCCTAATATAAGCTAATTACATCTTTAAATTTGTTGTAATTTATCTTTTGACACAGCTAAAGCCTTTTGACCTATTTCTTAAGGTCCTGAAAATTTTTTGTTTTACTGCTTTCAAACATAACTAAAGTAAAACCTGGAACTCACAGGGAAATCATACTTAATTCTGGAAGATCCTAAAATTACTATGCCTTTAACATAGACAATTAACAAATAAATTCAGATTAATAACCTAAACCTAGTTATGCCTAAGAACAACTCTCTCCCGCCACACTCACCCTCCACAAAAAAAAAAAAAAAATCACAATATAAAACAGTTCATATTCTTCTCAAGCCCCAAGCAGAGACATAGGTTCTGAATTATTTTAGCAAAATTCTACCATTCTGAAAACAATCACAAGAATTCTAGGTGCCTAACTTCCTACCAATAAGTAAGAATGAGACATTATGCTATGCCAGAGGGGAACTGTGAATAGCCCAGGGAGAAGGCAACATTTATTGAGGTAACTCACAAATTAAATAGCTTTCACATCATTCAGTTACATGATATGTAAATTTTATGCACTTAAAAGATTTGGTTACCATCTAAGAAGACAAACATTTCATCCCTTGAATTGTGGTTTCAGTCAAAGTAAAGCAGAGCAAGCACAGATGCATTTTTACACATGTGTGGGGCAAGAAGATGGTGAGCCTTTGAGTACAAAGCACACCATATCTGTGAGGTATGAGATTGAAGTAGGGTGACTGAGGCCAGTTATTAATGCAAAGCACCTTGTAACCGGGAGTTTTACTATAAAAATCCACTTCAGCATCTAGGCTCAAGAAAACAAAACACATATGCTTAGAACCAATGTAAGATAGGCTTTTACAGTTTTGTTTGTTTGTTTGTCTTTTGGTTTTATTGAGACAGAGTCTTGCTCTGTTGCCCAGGCTGGAGGCCAGTGGCACGATCTCAGCTCTGCAACCTCTGCCTCCTAGGTTCAAGCAATTCTCGTGCCTCAGCCACCAGCATAGCTGAGATTACAGGCATATGCCCCCACACCTGGGTAATTTTTGTATTCTTAGTAGAAACGGGATTTTCCCATGTTGGCCAGGCTGGTGTCAAACTCCTAGTCTCGTTATCTGCCCACCTCAGCCTCCCAAAGCGCTGGGATTACAGGTGTGGACCACCACACCTGGCCTATAGAATTGTATATTAAACCTTGAATTAAAATGTAGATAATATATCAACTAGACCCAACTGAAATTGTAGTAGTAAAGTGTTCTACAAAACTAACAAGTAAACCAAGGAGACAAAAGCAACAAAAATGAGTCTTAAAGTCAGTTATTCTCATTTGATTGCTTTATTACTGCTCAAAAACCTTTTCTAACAACCCAGACCTCCCTCACAAATGGGAGTTTTCCTTTCTTCTTCATAAATGAGAAAACTAAGCCCATAAAGATAAAGTGTTTACTTAATGCTGTACAGCTCAGTAACTAGCTGAATTGAAATTATTCATGATTCATGTCCATTGCATTCATGTTCCTATTTCATTGAATAAAAAACAAACAAAAAACCCCACATTCTCCCAATGTGCCAAATTTCAGTGAAAGTTGTTAGAGGTTATCTTTAAGGTATCTTTCTTACGTAAGATAGAAATATCTTGAATTTCAATTTAGTCTCATGATCAATTAGTTTTTAACTAGGATAGGCAAAACTTTTTTAAAAGCAGTTTTTAACAACAAATTTTGGGAAATGAAAAGCACAGTTGTTACTACTGATTAACTAAAGTGCTTTGGCTTTTAAATTTAGCACTGTTCAAGGCAGTGCTATAGAGTGTGTGTACAGGTACACATATGTGTACATACATATATCCACATATATGTACACATGTATAAATGTATAAGTACATAAATACTCACTTAACATAAAGCTTATTTTGTTTTTCAAGGAATATTGATCAACTAGACCCAACTGAAATTGTAGTAGTAAAGTGTTCTACAAAACTAACAAGTAAACCAAGGAGACAAAAGAAACAAAAATGAGTCTTAAAGTCAGTTATTCTCATTTGATTGCTTTATCACTGCTCAAAAACTTTTCCCAACAACCCAGACCTCCCTTGAATATTAATCTAGTTGAATAATATATTTACATGATATGTAAATTTTATGCACTTAAAAGATTTGGTTACCATCTAATTACTACCATTTGATTAATATTCAAGGAATCTTAACCAAAGGCATAGAGCATGAAAGGCACTGTACAGGCACTAAAAAATGGAGGAGTCAGGCAGTTAATAAAATTAAATATATTCCAGCACATTATATTAATTAAATTTATTATAAATATATTATGGATAACACATATATAACAATACAAATGTATTTGTACATATACAAATACATTAAGCACTATGAATACAAATAATGGTACAATAAAAAGGATATGGAGTCATTGATTTAGTTGGAGTAGTGGTGGCATTGTCAGGAAAGTCAGAGCGGAGAGTTGAAAAAAGTCTAGAATCAGCCAGGCCATAGGGATGTATGAGGGGCGTGGTAGGGCATTATAGACAGAGGGAAGCTCACTAGTAGAAGTCCTAAGCTGCAGGAAACTGGGCTTATTCGGGAAATGAAAATTTATGAAATTACAGAGCCAAAGATGGACAGACCCTTAGAGATGAGGATGGAAAGGTGCACAAGGGCCAGTTCACAAATGTTTAAAGTCGCTCTACCTGCACTTTAAGACCTCAAAGGCCAGAGCTTGGTTTGTCTTATCCAAGACAAGCCACTTAATCTGTGTTTGTTAATTCAACAATGAGTGTACAGTATTATTTTGCTCTTTTCAGTCAGTAAGAATAGTTCCCTTACAGATCTGAAGGCTGCTTCATGTACAGTGAGACCCAGGTATTTTACACTTGTCTATCCAACTGCAGCAATCCACTCATTTTCCTTTGTATGTGTTTTTCATTTCCTTGTGCTTGTTCATTGCTCAAAACCCTTCTATTGTAAACATCAGGGTGGCAATAAGAGAAAGGTTTGCTCTTAGGAAAAGTTCAAGAAAGAAAGGAGCCCCCAAACCGCCTGACACTTCTAAGTGTCACTGGTACTAACCATGTATCTCAGTGTCATAAGCGGGAAGAAACAACGACTGCCTGTTCCTGCAACTGGCAAGTGGCCATGCCAAGACTTCCAGAAATAACAGTGAATGAATGAAACCACATGGGAACCAGAGAGTCAGCTTGGAGAGGCAGGGACTTTGTCAAATATTTAAAATAATAAACGCTAACTTTCACTGAGTACTTTCTGTAGTGCCAGGCACTGCTCTAAGAACTTTACATTAACACACATTAATTACTGCTCAAAAACCTTTCCTAACAACCCAGACCTCCCTCACAAATAGGAGTTTTCCTTTCTTCTTTATAAATGAGAAAACTAAGCCCATAAAGATAAAATGTTTACTTAATGCTGTACAGCTCAGTAACTAGCTGAATTGAAATTATTCATGATTCATGTCCGTTGCATTTATGTTCCTATTTCGTTGAAAAACAAACAAAAAATCTCACATTCTCCCAATGTGCCAAATTTCAGTGTAATACTCTGTAGCTCATTTAATACTTACACAATTTCAGAAATGAGGCAATGGAAAGAACATATATGAAGAAAGTGGCTGACAGTCCACAGATGTGAAGCAGTAGAGGCCGAATTTAAAGTCGGGGAGCCTGACTGGAGCTAATGGTCTTAGGAACCGCGCTACATACCGCCACTATCTTTCCTAAGCTGGTATTGTAGAGGGCCTAGCATAGACGTGGGCTCCTGGCGGACTTCATTGAATACTTACTGATAAATGACAGCTTGCAGGCTGTATTAACCGTCCCTTCTAATAGCCCCACTATGCTGGCACATGCTCCTGAGCCCAGACTCTGCCCAGGATTCAGGGCCGCTCTCTACCTGTAAAGCAGTGTAGCTAAGGGGAAGCTGAGCCCCGCAAGGCGTTTTCAGGCAGGACACCCCTTGTCATTCGAACGGTTCTGGTGTGAGCCAGGGTACAGCTGGGCCGCCTGGGGCCCCTTGCCGAGTTTCCGTTCCACTTCAGGTGTCGCTTCCCGCGGCCCATTGGGCCCTTGCCCCGCCCTCTGACGCAAACACAATTATGGGGCGGAGCATCGTCCCCACTAGCCAGGCACACCCCAGTCCCATAGGGAGGCGACTGAGAAAGCCGCCCCCTTACCCGTGGCTGCAGCTGCTCCCGCACAGCCCTGAGCGAGCCGAGGTCCTAGCGTGGCTTCCTCCCGTCTGCCCCGTGACTGCCAGGCACACCTGTTGCACAGCCCTCCCGGAAGTCGGCGGAAAAGGGGCCTGGACCAGCCTCAGAGTCTACACCTGCAGCAGCCCCTAGTTTAGGTTTCTGGACCCCAAGGGTACAACAAGGCTTCCCTCCCCTGGTCCCTGCGCGGGCTCAGAGGATCCGGCTTTGCTGCTGGAGCGCGGCCGAGCTGGGGGCGCGACTGCACCCACCCCCCCACGCCGTGTGCGACGCGCAGCTGCCGCCCAGCCCGTCCCGTCTCCCTCTCCCCATCCCCGTCCCCTTTTTTGCTCTTTGGAGAGACTCCGGAAACGTTTCTCCGGTGGTTAAGGGCACAGATGAACTGGGACGTCGACACCAGCTGGAACTGGAAAATCATCAGGCGGGGAGTGGCCTACCCCGGGAACTTCCTTAACTCTGCTCTTGACCTCCATCCCTTAGAAGCCTGTAGCTTTTCAAGGTGAGGGAGCTTAGACTACAAAAGAGGAGCGGTCGAGATTATTTTATCTCTAGCCCTTGCCCTTCTCCCTTTTCTTTCCAACAAAAGGCATTTTTAAGTTAAGAGTGAAAATGATGAGGCGTGTAGAATGTTTAATTTTTCAGGACGCGCCTTTGATTTTTCAGGGTGTGCCTGCAACTGGCACACCCTCATGCAATAAATAAATACATATTGCACTGACGTTTCTACTGATTTTTTAAAAATTTATTTACACGCCTGAAACCCTAGCATTTTGGGAGGCCGAGGCAGGCGGATCACCTGAGACCAGGAGTTCAAGACCAGCCTGGACAACATGGTGAAACCCCGTCTCTACTAAAAATACAAAAATGAGCCAGGTGTGGTGGTGTGCCCCTGTAATCCCATCTACTGGGGAGGCTGAGGCAGGAGAAAAATCGCTTGAACCCGGAAGGCAGAGGTTGCAGTGAGTCGAGATCCAGCCACTACACTCCAGCCTGGGAGAGAGAGCAAGACTCGTCTCAAACAAACAAACAAAAACACATGATCTTCCAAACAATAACACCATATATGGAGAAAAATGAAACCTCACCCTCTCCATTCCCGGTGCTGTTCTCCCGATTACCCTGCTAACCAAGGTTGACACAAACATTTGAAGACACACTAAGAGAGGTGGGGGGAGGGAAGAAAAAAGGGAATGGAAGGGAGGAAGGTGGAGAAAGAAATTGAGAAAATAAGATAGAAAAAGGAAGAAGGAAAATCGAGCTACCTGAGTTTGAATTCTTTCTTTTTTACTTCCTGTGCCTGTGACTTGTGAAAATTACTTGACAATCTCTTTGCCTGTTTTCTAATCGGTAAAATGAGAGTAGTAATGGTATCTACCACAGAGGATTTTTATGATGATTAAGGAAGTTAAAATATATAAAGAATTTAGAATGATGTTTGCCATAGAGTAAGCGCTCAGTAAATGTTATATACATACAAATAAGTATATACACAGCTACACAGTGTTTTTGTTTTTTTGTTTTTTTTTTACATAAAGAGGATTATTTTATACAGCTCTTCTCTGATGTGTTTTTCACCTAACAGTGCATCTTGGAAATCTCTATCCCTCTAATACAGAACTGTGTCATTGATCTAATAATCTAGGTACTGTTTCCAAGTTTTATCAATTATAAATTGTGCTGTAGTCATCATCTTTGCACATATCTTTCTGTATACAATAAAAAAAACATTTTATTCTTTTACCAATAAGTCATGGGATTTC
Source organism: Homo sapiens (assembly GCF_000001405.40). Taxonomy (NCBI): domain Eukaryota; kingdom Metazoa; phylum Chordata; class Mammalia; order Primates; family Hominidae; genus Homo; species Homo sapiens. The sequence continues at coordinate 146,471,291 of NC_000003.12, forward strand.
TAATTTTTCCACACCTCTTCGATTCTAGAATACCAATTCTAAATGTTTCCTACTGTGAATGGCAAGCATTATCTTATTTTTTGTTTGTTGATTCTGATTGTTAATGAGATTGAGGACTTTTTCATATGATTACTAATTATTTTACAGTTTTATTCTGTGATTTGTCTGAAATATAATGCTCATTTTGTTATTGTTGTTGGATTGGGATTTTTTTCCCTCTTGCTGATTTGTTAGTGGTCTTTATATATTGTGGGTATGTTAAATAAGATACAATTCTTTTTTTTTTTTTTTTCTGAGACAGAGTTTCACTCTGTTGCCCCGACTGGAGTGCAGTGGCACGATCTCAGCTCACTGCACACTCCACCCTCCGGGTTAAAGAAATTCTCTTGCCTCAGCCTCCCAAGTAGCTGGGATTACAGGCATATGCCACTATGCCCTGCTAATTTTTGTATTTTTAGTAGAGATGGGGTTTCCCCATGTTGGCCAGGCTGGTCTCAAACTCCTCACCTCAGATCCACCCACCTTGGCCTCCCAAAGTGCTGGGATTGCAGGCGTGAGCCACCATGCCCGGCCAAGATACAATTCTTTTGCCTACTGTGTCTCTGGCTTGAAACTTATTTAAGGTTGCTTTCACCACACAGAAATTTTTATTTTCAGTGATTTTTACTTTTATTTTTTCATTTTGACTTCTGGTCTTTGAATCTTATTTTAAACTGCCTCTTGTACCCAGGACATTTTTATGATTTCTTCCTTTACGTCTATTCCTTATTTCCAAGCAGTTGGGAATGTCTAGTTGTCTTTTTATTATTTGTAATTTTATTGTAGTGCAAGCACATGCTGTGTATGGTTACAGTCATTTGAAATTTTTAAGACTTACATTATGACCTTCTGGTTCACAGCCAATTTTTATAAATATTTTGTACGAGAAATAGGTGTATTCTGCAGTTGTGTACAAGTCATGTATTTTCATTCTAATTGGCTGTGTCAGTTAGTTTTGCTGTTGCTTTAGCTAATATTTGGTTTGATTAATCTATCAATTATTCAAAGAGGTATTAAAATTGAGAAAGTATCTATTTACATTTAGACTTCTTTTCATGTAGTTCATTAGGGCAACTAAAAGAAAATACCATAGTCTGGGTAGCTTATAAACAACAGAAAGTTATTTCTCATAGTCCTGGAGGCTGACAAATCCAACACCAAGGTGCCAGGAGATTCAGTGTCTGCAGAAGGGCCTACATTCTAACACATACATGGCATCTTCTCACCGGGTCCTCACAAAGTGGAAGGGACGAGGGATCTCTCTAAGATTGTATTTTTCTTTCTTTCATTTTTTTTTAAAAGGTATTAATCCCATTTATGAGAGTTCCATTCTCGTGACCTAATCTCACAAAGGCCCCACCTCCTAATATGTCACATTGGTGATTAGGCTTCAACATATAAATTTTGAGTGGACACAAACATTCAGACAATAGCAACATCTGTCTTAGCTCCTGTTGCAACAGCAAAATGGCATAGTCTGGGTGACTTAAACAGCAGACATTTATTTCTCACAGTTCTAGAATTTGAGAAGTCCAAGGACAGGGAACCAGTAAAATCATCATCTGTTGAAGCCTCTCTGGCTTGCAGACAGTCCCTTTCTTGCTGTGGCCTCACATGGCAGAGAGAGAAAGAGCTCTGGTTCTTCTTCCTCTCCTTATAAGGACACTGATCCCATCATAGAATTTTTAACCTTTCCTTAATTTGGCATCACCAATCCCTCCTTTTCTCTGGGGTACTGTAGAAATAAATTGGATCTCCTTATTATATCTGTCTAGACACCCTTTGTGACTTCCTGTGTCTTGCAAAATGATTTGCCACATCTGCTTTTTTTCATATTCTCAAATTTGTTGAAATCTTATGCCCTGCTATATAATCTCATCTTTTTTTCATCCTTGGTTTATTACAGCTTTGGGTTTTGTTTGTTTTGACTATCTTCACTTTTATTGTATTATAGTCCTGAAGAAAAGTACTATCTTTTTTTTTTTTTTTTTTTAAGACAGAGTCTTGCTCTGTCGCCCAGGCTGGAGTGCAATGGCACGATCTCAGCTCACTGCAGCAACCTCCACCTCCCAGGATCAAGCAATTCTCCTACCTCAGCCTCCCATAGTTGGGATAACAGGCACCTGCTACCACGCCTAACTAATTTTTGTATTTTTAGTAGAGATGGGGTTTCGCCATGTTGGTCAGGCTGGTCTTGAACCCCTGACATCAGGTGATCCACCCACCTCGACCTCCCAAAATGCTGCGATTACAGGCATGAGCCACTGCGCCTGGCTGAAAAGTACTATCTTAAATTAGAAAACATCTAGGTATAACATAAACACACTGTTGGTTAACTAATCAAAACTCAGTATCTGCTCTTACATGGTAAAATAGTGGTTTTCAAATTTTAGTATCCCTCAGATTCACCTGGAAATCTTGTTAAAACTCAATATGTGTTTCCCACATCCAGAGTTTCTAATTCAATATATTTGGAACGGGGCTTGAGAATTTGCTTTTCTAATAAATTCCCATGTGACGCTCATGATGGTTTTCCAGGGACTTCACTTTAAGAACCATTGCTAAGTGTTCTATTTTGCTCAGTTCTTGAAGAACAATATGTTCTTGAAAGGAATGTCCTAACCCAAAGAACAAATATTGGTTAATTGTCAGTCATAATGAATCCAGCCTCCTTTCTCTGTTATTGGTATGCATTTGGTTATATTACTTAGATTTGGCTAAAGAAGAGTCATATTGAGAACTTCTAGGAAAGAGTTTCCTGCTTACTTTTGTATATGTATATTAATATGTATCTGTGATGTGCATAAGTACATGTACACACACAGCCCATATATACACTTATGTGAAGACTGACTTGTGGTTATAGAATCTATGAGGGTATTTATTTTTGTTCTTTCCACAATTTCTTACTCAAAACATGCTATCTTTTTTTATTGTTGTCCTCTTCTGCATGGAGGGTTTTATTTCTTTTCAATAGCTCCAAGATTTCCACGGCACCAAGGGGGAAAAGGTATAACACAGCTTTATGGGAAACAGTAGCAGAAGACGATTTCACTTTGCATCATGGTTCTAACATGTGGGTTAAAATTCTGGGTTGGAAATTCTTTTTTTTAAGAATGTTGAATATTGGCTCCCACTCTCTTCTGGCTTGTAGAGTTTCTGCTGAGAGGTCTGTTTTTATCTGATGGGCTTCCCGTTGCAGGAGACCATGCTGTTCTCTCTGGTTGCCCTTAGTAGTTTTTCCTTCGTTTCAGCCTGGGAGAATCTGATGATTATATGTCTTGGGGTTGATCTTCTCGTGGAGTATCTTAATGGTGTTCTCTGTATTTCCTTAATTTTCATGTTGGCTTGTTTTGCTAAGTTGGGGAAATTCTCCTGGATGATGATATCATGAAGTGTGTTTTCCAACTTCTTTTCATTCTCCCTGTCTCCTCCTCGTACTCCAATCAATCTTAGATTCAGTCTTTTTATAAAGTCCCATATTTCTTGGAGGCTTTGTTCATTCCTTTTCACTCATTTTTTCTCTATTCTCGTCTGCATGTCTTATTTCAGTAAGGTGCATTTCAAACTCTGATATCCTTTCTTCTGCTTGGTAGATTTGACTATTGATACTTGTGTATGCTTCATGAAGTTCTTGTGCTGTGTTTTTCAGCTCCATCAGGTGGTTTTTGTTCCTCCCTAAACTGGTTATTCTAGTTAGCAATTCCTCTAATCTTTTATCAAGGTTCTTAGCTTCTTTGCATTGGGTTAGAACATGCTCCTTTAGCTCAGTGTAGTTTTCTATTACTCATCTTCTGAAGCCTACTCCTGTCAATTCATCCATCTGATCCTTTGTCCAGTTCTGTGCCCTTGACGGAGAGATGTTGCAATCATTTGGGGGGAGAAGAGGCACTCTGGCCTTTTGGGTTTTCAGCATTTTTTCACTGATTCTTTCTCATCTTCATGAGTTTGCCTAGTTTCAGTCTTTGAGGCTGCTGACCCTTGCATGGGGTTTTTGTAGGGGCCATTTTGTGGGGGCCATTTTTGCGGGGGTCATTTTTGTTGTTGTCAGGTTCCTTTTCTGTAGGGCTGCTGCAGTTTTCTGGGGGTTCACTTCAGGCCCTATTCATCTTACATTCCTACTTCTTTACATGCTTCATAACTTGTTGAAAACCATATATTTAGAATAATATAATATGACAACTCTGGAAACTGTATATGCCTCCTCCCCAGGCTTTGTTGCTGGTGGTGTTTTTCCTATTGTGCATTTGGTTACTTTCCTCAACTAATTATATTAATCTATTTTCTTCATTATGTGTGACCACTGACATCTATTCAGTTAGCATAGTAGTCATTCAATAAATGGATATAGTTTTCCTTAAATATGCTGCATAAGTGTATCTCCCAGCCTTTTCCAAAAGGTCCTTTTTGTGTTTGGGGACACTATTTCAAAGATCCAATAGATGATTTACGGTATTGGCTTAGCTTTCTCTCACTGCTTGCACAGAAACTTAAGGTCAGCCAGACGAGAGAGATTATTTCTTTTTCAGGTCTTTTCTGGGTATGTGCACAGTTCTGTACGTGCACATTTCCTTCTAAATTTTCAGGAGTATGTCAGAACTTTTAAAAGCCCCTATTAATATCTCATTCCCCAGATTTTCTTTTTAAGAGATTTTGGTCAGCTTCTTCTATGCCCCAACTATTATTAAGGCCTCACTCAATTGTCATGTTAAACAATTACCACTAATTATTTCCCAAAACTGTTATATAGCGGGGGCGCCGGGGGGTGCACTGGGCCAAGAAGGCTGACAAGAAGCAGCTGCAATCAAAGGCTCCCACCAAGAAGAACGAAGACAGTGTGTGAATCCTGCACTGGGAACCGAGGTACCCTCAGGTTCTATCAGGACTGACTAGGCAGTTGGTGTGACTCACAGAGAGTAAGGAAATGCAGTGTGGTGCATCGCCTCACCTGAGAGCCACATGGGGCAGGGGGAGCTCCCATTCCCCAGCCAAGGGAGGCGCTGAGTGTTCATGCTACCCAGCCTGGGGATCTGTGCTTTTTCCATGGATCTGTGCAACCCATGGATCATGAGATCCCACTTGTGAGCCCATGCTACCAGGGCCTTGGGTCCCAACCGCAGAGCTGCATAGATTCTCAACAGCTACTCAGTTGGCATCTGCCTAGGACTACTGAGCTCCCAGGGGGAGGGGAAGCCTTCATCACTGCAGCTGCCTGCTGCCTAAGACAACTGAGCTCCCCAGGAAAAGGACAGCAGCCCTCACTGCAGCTGCTAGCTGCCTAAGATGCTGAACTACTGGGAGGAAAGGGCAGTAGCCATCACTACAGCTCCAGCCCACTGTATTTCCCCGGCTGGTGCCTGGGAGACTCAAAAGGCACTCCCCATAGTACAGCACACCAGCTGTGGCAGATCACGACCAGACTGCCTCTTTAGGGCAGACCCTGATGCATCCCTCCTTACTGGGTGGGGCCTCCCTGCAAAAACTTCAGCCACTCCAGCAAGGGGCTTAGGGCCAAAATTCTGGTCTCCCTGGGCCTGAGCCCCTAGGGGGAAGGATAGTCATGGTCTCCATGGACCAGCTGACTTAGTCTTTCCCCCTGGTAGCTCTGAGGAATCCAGGCAGCCCAGATGAGTGGGATTCCCCTAAGAACAGCACACCTGTTGGACCAAGGGACAGCCAGGGTACTTTGTTAAGTGGGTCTCGGATCTCATGCCTCCCAGCTGGGTGAGAACCCCCGCAAACAGAGGTCACCAGACACCTTATACCAGAGTGTTGCTGGAGTTCTGTTCCAAGATGGCCAAATAGGAACAGCTCTGGTCTGCAGCTCTCAGCGTGATCGATGCAGAAGATGGGGGATTTCTGCATTTTCAACTGAGGGACCTGGTTCATCTCATTGGGACTGGTTGGACAATGGGTGCAGCCCACGGAGGGTGACCCAAAGCAGGGCAGAGCGTTACCTCACCTGGGAAGTGCAAAGGGTGGGGGGATTTCCCTTTCCTAGCCAAGGGAAGCCGTGAGAGACTGCACCTGGAAAAAGGGACACCGTGGCCCAAATACTGCACTTTTCCTATGGTCTTAGCAACCAGCAGACTAGGAAATTCTCTCCCGTGCCTGGCTCGGCACGTCCCACACCCATGGAGCCTTGCTCACTGCTAGTGCAGCAGTCTGAGATTGACCTGCGAGGCAGCAGCCTGGCTAAGGGAGTGGTGTCAGCCATTGCTGAGGCTTGACTAGGTAAACAAAGTGGCCAGGAAGCTTGAACTGGACAGAGCCCACCACAGCTCAGCAAGGCCTACAGCCTCTATAGATTTCACCTTTGTGGGCAGGGCATAGCTGAACAAAAGACAGCAGAAACTTCTGCAGACTTAAACACCCTGTCTGACAGCTCTGAAGAGAGCAGTGGTTCTCCCAGCACAGCATTTGAGCTCTGAGAATGAGCAGACTGCCTCTTCAAGTGAGTCTCTGACCCTCGTGTAGCCTAACTGGGAGACACCTCCCAGTAGGGGCTGACACACACCTGATACAGGCAGGTGCCCCTCTGGGATGAAGCTTCCAGAGGAAGGATCAGGCAGCAATATTTGCTGTTCTGCAATATTTACTGTTCTGCAGCCTCCACTGGTAATACCCAGGCAAACAGCGTCTGGAGTGGACCTCCAGCAAACTCCAACAGACCTGCAGCTGAGGGACCTGACTGTTAGAAGGAAAACTAACAAACTGAAAGGAATAGCATCAACATCAACAAAAAGGACATCTACACCAAAACCCCATCTGTAGGTCACCAACATCAAAGACCAACGCAAAGATAGGGAGAAACCAAAGCAGAAAATTCTAAAAACCAGAGCACCCCTTCTCCTCCAAAGGATCGCAACTGCTCACCAGCAATGGAACAAAGCTGGATGGAGAATTACTTTGACGAGATGACAGAAATAGGCTTCAGAAGGTCAGTAATAACAAACTTCTCTGAGCTAAAGGAGCATGTTCTAACCCATTGCAAGGAAGCTAATAAAAACCTTGATAAAATGTTAGATGAATGGCTAACTAGAAAAAACAGTGTAGAGAAAACCCTAAATGAACTGATGGAGGTAAAAACCATGGCATGAGAACTTCAAGATGCATGCACAAGCTTCAGTAGCTGATTCGATCAAGTGGAAGAAAGGGTATTGGTGATTGAAGATCAAATTAATGAAATAAAATGTGAATACAATTTTAGAGAAAAAAGAGTAAAAAGAAACTAAAAAAAGCCTCCAAGAAATATGGAGCTATGTGAAAAGACTAAATCTACATCTGATTGGTGTACCTGAAAGTGACGAGGAGAATTGAACCAAGTTAGAAAACACTCTTCAGGATATTATCCAGGAGAACTTCCCCAACCTAGCAAGGCAGGCCAATGTTCAAATTCAGGAAACATAGAGAACACCACAAAGATACTCCTCGAGAGGAGCAACCCCAAGACACATAATTGTCAGATTCACCAAGGTTGAAATGAAGGAAAAAATGTTAAGGGCAGCCAGAGACAAAGGTCGGGTTACCCACAAAGGGAAGCCCATCAGACTAACAGCGGATCTCTCGGCAGAAACTCTACAAGCCAGAAGAGAGTGGGGGCCGATATTCAACATTCTTAAAGTAAAGAATTTTCAACCCAGAATTTCATATCCAGCCAAACTAAGCTTCATAAGTAAAGGAGAAATAAAATCGTTTACAGACAAATAAATCTTGAGAGATTTTGTCACCACCAGGCCTACCTTACAAGAGCTCCTGAAGGAAGCACTAAACATGGAAAGGAAAACCGGTACCAGCCACTGCAAAACATGCCAAATTATAAAGACCATTGATGCTAGGAAGAAACTGCATCAATTAACGGGCAAAATAACCAGCTAACATTATCACGACAGGATCAAATTCACACATAACAATATTAACCTTAAATGTAGATGGACTAAATGCCCCAATTAAAAGACACAGACTGGCAAATTGGATAAAGAGTCAAGACCCATCAGTGTGCTGTGTCAGGAGACCCATCTCACGTGCAGAGACACACATAGGCTCAAAATAAAGGGATGCAGGAAGATCTACCAAGCAAATGAAAAGCAAAACAAAGCAGGGGTTGGAATCCTACTCTCTGGTAAAACAGAATTTAAACCAACAAAGATCAAAAGAGACAAAGAAGGCCATTACATAATGGTAAAGGGATCAATTCAACAAGAAGAGCTAACTATCCTAAATATATATGCACCCAGTACAGGAGCATTCATAAAGCAAGTCCTTAGAGACCTACAAAGAGACTTAGACTCCCACACAATAATAATGGGAGACTTCAACACTCCACTATCAATATTAGACAGATCAATGAGACAGAATGTTAGCAAGGATATCCAGGACTTGAACTCAGCTCTGCACCAAGCAGATCTAATAGACATCTACAGAACTCTCCACCCCAAATCAGTAGAATATACATTCTTCTCAGCACCACATTGCACTTATTCTAAAATTGACCACATAATTGGAAGTAAAGCACTCCTCTGCAAATGTAAAAGAAGAGAAATAACAACCAACTGTCTCTCAGACCACAGTACAATCAAATTAGAACTTAGGATTAAGAAACTCACTCAAAACCACACAACTACATGGAAACTGGACAACCTGCTCCTGAATGACTACTGGGTAAATAACAAAATGAAGGCAAAAATAAAGATGTTCTTTGAAACCAATGAGAACAAAGACAAAGTGTACCAGAATTTCTGGGACACATTCAAAGCCGTATGTAGAGGGAAATTTATAGCACTAAATGCCCACAAGAGAAAGCAGGAAAAATCTAAAATTAACACGCTAACATCACAATTAAAAGAACTAGAGAAGCAACAGCAAACACATTCAAAAGCTAGCAGAAGGCAAGAAATAACTAAGATCAGAGCAGAACTGAAGGAGATAGAGACACAAAAAACCCTTCAAAAAATCAATGAATCCAGGATCTGGCTTTGTGAAAAGATCAACAAAACTGATAGACCACCAGCAAGACTAATAAAGAAGAAAAGAGAGAAGAATCAAACAGACGCAATAAAGAAATCATAAAGGGGATATCACCACCGACCCCACAGAAATACAAACTACCATAAGAGAAAACTATAAACACCTCTGCGAAAATAAACTAGAAAATCTAGAAGAAATGGATAAATTCCTGGACACATACAACCTCCCAAGACTAAACCAGGAAGAAGTTGAATCTCTGAATAGACCAATAACAGGCTCTGAAATTGAGGCAATAATAGCCTACCAATGAAAAAGAGTCCAGGACCAGATGGATTCACAGCTGAATTCTACCGAGGTACAAAGAGGAGATGGTACCATTCCTTCTGAAACTATTCCAATCAATAGAAAAAGAGGGAATCCTCCCTAACTCATTTTATAAGGCCAGCATCATCCTAATACCAAAGCTTGGCAGAGACACAACAAAAAAAGAAAATTTTAGACCAAAATCCCTGATGATCATTGATGTGAAAATCCTCAATAAAATACTGGCAAACCGAATCCAGCAGCACATCAAAAAGCTTATCCACCATGATCAAGTCAGCTTCATACCTGGGATGCAAGGGTGGTTCAACATATGCAAATCAATAAACATAATCCATCACATAAACAGAACCAATGACAAAAAACACATGATTAGCTCAATAGATGCAGAAAAGGCCTTCAAAAAATTCAACAGCTCCTCATATTAAAAACTCTCAATAAACTAGGTATTGATGGTACGTATCTCAAAATAATAAGAGCTATTTTGGACAAACCCACAGCCAATGTCATACTGAATGGGCAAAAACTGGGAGCATTCCCTTTGAAAACTGGCACAAGACAATGATGCCCTCTCTCACCACTCCTATTCAATATAGTGTTGGAAGTTCTGGCCAGGGCAATCAGGCAAGAGAAAGAAATAAAGGGTATTCAATTAGGAAAATAGGAAGTCAAATTATCCCTGTTTGCAGATGACATGATTGTATATTTGGAAAACCCCATCATCTCAGCCCAAAATCTCCTTAAGCTGATAAGCAACTTCAGCAAAGTCTCAGGATACAAAATCAATGTGCAAAAATCACAAGCATTCCTATACACCAATAACAAACAGACAGCCAAGTCATCAGTGAACTCCCATTCACAATTGCTACAAACAGAATAAAATACCTGGGAATTGAACTTACAAAGGATGTGAAGGACCTCTTCAAGGAGAACTACAAACCACTGCTCAAGGAAATAAGACAGGACACAAACAAATGGAAGAACATTCCATGCTCATGGATAGGAAGAATCAGTATTGTGAAAATGGCCATACTGCCCAAGGTAATTTATAGATTCAATGCCATTCCCACCAAGCTACCAATGACTTTCTTCACAGAGTTGGAAAAAACTACTTTAAAGTTCATATGGAACCAAAAAAGAGACTGCATTGTGAAGACAATCCTAAGCAAAAAGAACAAAGCTGGAGGCATCACACTACCTGACTTCAAATTATACTACAAGGTTACAGTAACCAAAACAGCATGCTACTGGTATAAAAACAGATATATAGACTAATGGAACAGAACAGAGGCTTCAGAAATAACACCACACATCTACAACCATCTGATTGACAAACCTGACAAGAACAAAAAATGAAGAAAGGATTTCCTATTTAATAAATGGTGCTTGGAAAACTGGCTAGCCATATGTAGAAAGCAGAAGCTGGATCCCTTCCTTACACCTTATACAAAAATTAATTCAAGATGGAATAATGACTTAAATTTTAGACCTAAACCATAAAAACCCTAGGAGAAAACCTAGGCAATACCATTCAGGACATAGGCATGGGCAAGGACTTCATGACTAAAACACCAAAAACAATGACAACAAAAGCCAAAATAGACAAATTGGATCAATTAAACTAAAGAGCTTCTGTATGGCAAAAGAAACTACCATCAGAGTGAGCAGGCAACCTACAGAATGGGAGAAAATTTTTGCAATCTACCCATCTGACAAAGGGCTGATATCCAGAATCTACAAAGAACTTAAACAAATTTACAAGAAAAAAACAAACAACCCCATCAAAAAGTGAGCAAAGGATATGAACAGACACTTCTCAAAAGAAGACATTTATGCAGCCAACAGACACATGAAAAGATGCTCATCATCACTGGTCATCAGAGAAATGCAAATCAAAACCACAATGAGATACAATCTCATGCCAGCTAGAATGGTGATCATTAAAAAGTCAGGAAACAACAGATGCTGGATAGGATGTGGAGAAATAGGAACACTTTTACACTGTTGGTGGGACTGTGAATTAGTTCAAACATTGTGGAAAACAGTGTGGCAATTCCTCAAGGATCTAGAACTAGAAATACCATTTGACCCAGCCATCCCATTACTGGGTATATACCCAAAGATTATAAATCAGGCTGCTATAAAGACACATGAACACGTATATTTATTGCAGCACTATTCACAATAGCAAAGACTTGGAACCAACCCAAATGTCCATCAGTGATAGACTGGATTAAGAAAATGTGGCATATACACACCGTGGAATACTATGCAGCCATAAAAAATGATGAGTTCATGTCCTTTGCAGGGATATGGATGAAGCTGGAAACCATCATTCTCAGAAAACTATCACAAGAACAGAAAATCAAACACCATAGTGTTGGAAGTTCTGGCCAGGGCAATCAGGCAGGAGAAAGAAATAAAGGGTATTCCAGTAAGAAAGGAGGAAGTCAAATTGTCCCTGTTTGCAGATGACATGATTGTATATTTAGAAAACCCCATCATCTCAGCAATCTACCCATCTGACAAAGGGCTAATATCCAGAATCTACAAAGAACTTAAACAAATTTACAAGAAAAAAAACAAACAACCCCATCAAAAAGTGAGCAAAGGATATGAACAGACACTTCGTAGGTGGGAATTGAACAATGAACGTGGTGAACGGGGGGTGGGGGGCTGGGGGAGGGATAGCATTAGGAGAAATACCAAATGTAAATGACGAGTTGATGGGTGCAGCAAACCAACATGGCACATGTATACCTATGTAACAAATCTGCATGTTGTACACATGTACCCTAGAACTTAAACTTAATATATATATATATACACATGTATGTATATATATATATATATATACATGTGTATATATATATATATATATATATATATATAATGTTACTACTGGTATCAGGTTGGTACTCTTCAAGGAAAAAGATTCCCCGAGGAAGGAGCAGGCACCCATCTTTGCTGTTTGCTGTTCTCCAGCCTCTTCGGGTGATGTATCTAAGTGAGGGAGGAACCCAGGTGAATAGGGCCTGAAGTAAACCCCTAGCAAACTTCAGCAGCCCTAGAGAAGAGGGGCCTGACTGTTGAAAGAAAAGCAAACAAGCAGGAAGCAGTAACAACAGCATCAACAAAAAAATACCCACAAAACCCCATCTAAAGGTCAGCAGCCTCAAAGATCAAAACTACACAAATTCATGAAGACGAGAAAGAATCAAAGAAAAAAACACTAAAAATGCAAATGGCCAGAGTGCCTCTTCTCCTCCAAATGATTACAACATCTCTCCAGCAAGAGCACAGAACTCGGTGAAGGCTGAGATGGATCAATTGACAGAAGTAGGCTTCAGAAGATGGGTAATAACAAACTTCACTGAGCTAAAGAAGCATGTTCTAACCCAATCTAAAGAAGCTAAGAACCATGATAGAAGGTTATAGGAGCTGCTAACTGGAATAACCAGTTTAGAGAGGAAGATAAATGACCTGATGGAGCTGAAAAACACAGCACAAGAACTTTGTGATGCAAACACAAGTAAAATAGCCAAATCGATGAAGCAGAAAATAAAATATCAGAGCTTGAAGACTATCTTGCTGAAATAAGGCAGGCATACAAGATTAGAGAAAAAAGAATGAAAAGGAATGAACAAAACCTCCGACAACTATGGGATTACGAAAAAAGACTGAACCTATGGCTGACTGGAGTACCTGAAAAAGACAGAGAGAATGGAAATAAGTTGGCAAACACACTTCAGGATATCATCCAGAAGAGCTTCCCCAACCTAGCAAGACAGGCCAACATGCAAATTTGGCAAATGCAGAGAACACCATTAAGATGCTTTATGAAAAGATCAACTCCAAGACAAATAATCGTCAGATTCTCCAAGGTTGAAATGAAGGAAATACTGTTAAGGGCAGCCAGAGAGAAAGGCCTGGTTTCCTACAAAGGGAAGCCCATCAGACTAACAACAGACCTCTCAAGAGAAACCCTATAAGCCAGAAGAGAGTGGTGGCTGATATTCAACATTCTTAAAGAAAAGAATTTCCAACACAGAATTTTATTTCTGGCCAAACTAAGCTTCATAAACAAAGGAGAAATAAAATTCCTTTCAGAGAAGCAAATGCTGAGGGCTATCATTTCCACCAGTCCTGCCCTGCAAGAGTTCCTGAAAAAAGCACTAAATATGACATGGAAAAACTGGTATTAGCTACTGCAAAGACACACCAAAAGATAAAGACCAATGACACTATGAGGAAACTGCAACTAGTGTCCAATATAACCAAATAGCATCATGATAACAGGATCAAATTCACACATAACAATACTAACCTTAAACGTAAATGGGCTAAATGCCCCAATTAAAAGACACAGACTGGCAAATTGGATAAGGAGTTGAGACCCATTGGTGTGCTGTATTCAGGAGACCTATCTTCTGTACAAAGACACACACAGGCTCAAAATAAAGGGATGGAGGAAAATTCATCAAGCAACTGGAAAGAAAAAAAAAAAAAGCAGGGGTTGAGGGGTTGCAATCCTTGTCTCTGACAAAACAGACTTTAAACCAACAAAGATCAAAAAGGACAAAGGAGGACATTACATAATGGTAAAGAGATGAATTCAACAAAAAGCACTAACAATTCTAAATATATATGCGCCCAATACAGGAGAACACAGATTCATAAAACATGTTCTTTGAGACCTACAAAGAGACTTAGACTCCCACATAATAATAGTGGGAGACTTTAACAACCTACTGTAAATATTAGACAGATCATCAAAACATAAAATTAACAAGAATATCTAATACTTGAACTCAGCTCTGGATCAAGTGGACTCTGATGGATATCTACAGAACTCTCCACCCCAAGGCAACAGAATATTCATTCTTCTTAGTGCCACATGACTCTTACTCTAAAATTAATCACATAACTGGAAGTAGAACACTGCTCAGCAAATGCAAAAGAACTAAAATCATAACAAACAGTCTATCAGACCACAGCACAATCAAATTAAAACTCAAGATTAAGAAACTCACTCAAAACCATACAGCTATCTGAAGATTGAACAACCTACTCCTGAATGACTCCTGGGTAAATGTATTCATCTGTTTTCATGCTGCTGATAAAGACATACCCGATACTGGGCAATTTATAAAAGAGGTTTAATTGGACTTACAGTTCCATGTGGCTGGGGAAGCCTCACAATCATGGCGGAAGGCAAGGAGGAGCAAGTCACGTCTTACATGAATGGCAGCAGGCAAAAAGAGAGCTAGTGCAGAGAAGCTCCCATTTTTAAAACCATCAGATCTTGTGAGACCCATTCACTATCATGAGAACAGCATGGGAAAGACCCACCCCCATGATTCAATCATCTCTTATGGTCTCTCCCACAACATGTGGAAATTATGGGTGCTACAAGATGAGATTTGGGTGGAGACACAGAGCCAAACTGTATCAGTAAATAATGAAATTAAGGCAGAAATCAAGAAGTTATTTGAAACCAATGAGAACAAAGAGACAATGTACCCAAATCTCTGGGACACAGCTAAAGCCGTGTTAAGAGGGAAATTTATAGCACTAAATGCCCACATCACAAAGCTAGAAAGATCTCAAATTGACACCCTAACATCACAACTAAAAGAACTAGAGAAGCAAGAACAAATAAATCTAAAAGCTAGTGGAAAACAAGAAATAACCAAGATCAGAGTGGAACTGAAGGAGACAGAGACATGAAAAACCCTTCAAAAAAAATCAATGAATCCAGGAGCTTTTTTTTTTTGAAAATATTAATAAAATATAGACTGCTAGCTAGACTAATAAAGAAGAAAAGAGAGAAGAATCAAATAGACACAATAAAAAATGATAAAGGGGATATCACCAATGACTCCACAGAAATACAACAAACCATCAGAGAATATTATAAACACCTCTATACAAATAAACTAGAAAATATAGAAGAAATGGATAAATTCCTGGACATATACACCATCCCAAGACTAAACCAGGAAGAAGTTGAATCCTTGAATAGACCAATAACAATTTCTACTATAGGGGCAGTAATAAATTGCCTACCAAAAAAAAACCCAGGACAAGATAGATTTACAGCTGAATTCTACCAGAAATACAAAGAGGGACTGGTACCATTCGTTCTGAAACTATTCCAAACAACTGAAAGGAAGGACTCCTCCTTAATTCATTTTAGGAGGCAGCGTAACCCTGATACCAAAACTTGGCAGAGATACAACAAAAAAAGAAAACTTCAGGCAAATATTCCTGATGAACATCAAGGCTAAAATCCTCAATAAAATACTGGCAAACTGAATCCAGCAGCCCATCAAAAAGTTTATCCACCACGATCAAGTCAGCTTCATACCCGGGATGCAAGGCTGGTTCAACATATGCAAATCAATAAACATAATTCATCACATAAACAGAACTAATGACAAAACCTACATGATTATTTCAATAGACATAGAAAAGGCCTTCAATACCATTCAACATCCCTTCATGTCAATAACTCTCAATAAACTAAGTACTGATGGAACATATCTCAAAATAATAAGAGCCATTTATGATGAACCCACAGCCAATATCATACTGAATGGGCAACAGCTGGAAGAATTCCCTTTGAAAACCAGCACAAGACAAGGATACTCTCTCTCACTACTCCTGTATAACATAGTATTGGAAGTTCTGGCCAGGGAAATCAGGCAAGAGATAGAAATAAAGGGTATTCAAATAGGAAGAGAGGAAGTCAAATTGTCTCTGTTTGCAAATGACATGATCCTATATTTAGAAAACCCCATTATCTCAACCCCAAAGCTTCTTAAGCTGATAAGCAAATTCAGCAAAATTTCAGGATACAAAATCAAGCAATGTGTAAAAATCATAAGCATTCCTATAGACCAAAGAATAGACAAGCAGAGAGCCAGATCATGAATGAACTCCCATTTACAATTGCTACAAAGAGAATAAAATACCTAGAAATACAACTAACAAGGGATGTGAAGGACATCTTCAAGAAGAACTACAAACCATTGCTCAAGGAAATAAGAGAAGACACAAACAAATGGAAAAACATTCCATGCTTGTGAACAGGAAGAATCAATATCATAAAAATGGCCAAACTGCCCAAAATAATTTATAAATTTAATGCTACTTCCATTAAACTACCATTGACATTCTTCACAGAATTAGAAAAAAAACTGCTTTAAATTTCATATGGAACCAAAAAAGAGCCCTTATAGCCAAGACAATCCTAAGCAAAAAGAACAAAGCTGGAGGCATCATGCTACATGACTTCAAACTATTTTACAAGGCTATAGTAACCAAAACAGCAAGGTACTGGTACCAAAACAGACATACAGATGAATGGAATGGAATAGAGATCTCAGAAATAAGACCAGACATCTACAACCATCTGATCTTTGACAAACCTGACAAAAACAAGAAATGGGGAAAGGAAAATTATTCCCTATTTAATAAAAATAAGTGGGAAAACTGGCTAGCCATATGCAGAATATTGAAATTGGACCCCTTCCTTATATTTTACACAAAAATTAACTCAAGATGGATTAAAGACTTAAATGTAAAAACAAAAACTATAAAAACCCATGAAGAAAATCTAGGCAATGCCATTTAGGACAAGAATGAGAAAATATTTCATGACAAATACATCAAAAGCAATTGCAACAAAAGTAAAAATTAACAAACGGGACTTAATTAAACTAAGGAGCTTCTGGACAGCAAAAGAAATTAGCATCAGAGTGAACAGATAACCTAATGAGTGAGAGAAAAGTTTTGCAGTCTTTCTATCTTACAAATGTCTAATATCCAGAATCTACAAGGAACTTAAACAAATTTACAAGAAAAAAACCAACCCCATCAAAAAGTGGGCAAAGGACATGAACAGCCACTTCTCAAAATAAGACATTTATGTGGCCAGCAAACATGAAAAAAAGCTCAACATCACTGATCACTAGAGAAATGCAAATCAAAACCACAATGAGATACCATCTCATGCCAGTCAGAATGATTACTGAAAAGTCAAGAAACAATGGATGCTGGCGAGGCTGTGGAGAAATAGGAATGCTTTTACACTGTCGGTGGGAATCTAAACTAAACCATTGTGGAAGACAGTGTGGTGACTCCTCAAGGATCTGGAACCAGAAATACCATTCGACCCACCTATCCCATTACTGGGTATATAACAGAAGGAATATGAATCATTCTATTATAAAGATAAACGCACATGTATGTTAATTGCAGCACTATTCACAATAGCAAAGACATGGAATCAACCCAAATGCTCATCAATGATAGACTGGATAAAAAGAATATGGTATATATACACCATGGAATACTACGCAGCCATAAAAAGGAATGAGATCATGTCCTTTGCAGGACATGGATGGAGCTGGAAGCCATCATTCTCAGCAAACAAACACAGGAGCAGAAAACCTAACACAGCTTGTTCTCACTCATAAGTGGGAGCTCAACAATGAGAGCACATAGACACAGGGAGGGGAGCAACATACACTGGGGCATGTTGGGGCAGTAGTAGGGGAGATAGCATCAGGATAAATAGCTAATGCATGTGGGGCTTAATACCTAGGTGATGGCTTGATGGTTGCAGCAAACCACCATGGCACACATTTACCTATGTAACAAACCTGCATGTCCTGCACATGTATCCCAGAACTTAAAATAAAATAAAATATATATTAAAAACAGCTATGTGGGGAAACGTTATTTCTTTTCACTGACTGAGCTCAGAGTTAGGTCAAATAAAGACAAGCTCTGCAAATGGATTTTCAAGGGAACTTGTAGACCAGTAAAATGGCAGCAATTCTTAGAGGATAAAAATTTTAGAGAGGTCCAATCATGTTCTGTTCCCTCCAGTGACTGATTGCTTGGCTGCTAGTTTTCACATTTACTAATTTCTCTCTTTCTCTCTGTTGTAACAAATTAACACAAACAGTAGTTTAAAGGAATACAAGTGTATTGTCTTTCATTTCTGGAGGTCCGAAGTCTTAAATGATTCCTCACAGTTATTGTTCCAGAAACTATATAAAGAATACTTGTTTGCCTTTTCGATCTTCTAATCTTCTGACCTTGTGATCTCTCATAAGGACCTTTGCCATTACAGAAGACCCACCCAGATGGTGTGGAATAATCTCCCATCTAGAGATCCTTCAATTAGTCATGATTGAAGCTACCTTTTTCCATGTAGGCAATACATTTATGATTTCCAGGGAGTATAATATGAACATGCTGGGAACTATTTTTCTCTCTACTATATTTCTCCCACTTGCTTCAAAAGATTCATAGCCATCTCACATGCAAGGCACATTTACCCCATTCCGGGTCTCCAAAACCTCAACACATTACAGCATCTACTCAAGTCCAAAAATCTCATCATAAAAGTCCCAGATCTTTTCATGTAGACCATATGTTGATAATAATTTTGAGAATGATCCATCTGGGTCAAAATTTCTCTCTTACTGTGGACTTCTGAAACTGGAAAAGTAGTTAGTGCTCCCAAAACACAATAATGGGACATGTATAGGATACCTATTATAGATGTTTGTATTCAAAAGGGGGAAAAAATAGAAGAAAAAGAGGAACCACCATTTGGAGGAAATTTGAAATTCAGCAAAGCAAACTCCATTAGCTCTCAAGGCCTGAGAATATTCCTTTGTGGTTGTCAGCTCCATTCTCTGGGCTGAGAGCTCTCTGCATTCTGGGCTGACAACTCTGCCATGAGAATACTTCCTTCCTTCTTTGAAAATGAAGCATGCCTCGTAGATCTGTTTGACACTGTCAATGAGATGTTGAAGACTCCCCCTATTATTGTGATTATCTAATTGTGGTTATCTAAGTCTCTTTGCAGAACTCTAAGAACTTGTTTTATGAATCTGGGTGTTCCAGTGTTGGGTTTACATATATTTAGGATAGTTAAGTCTTTTTGTTGAATTGAACACTTTCTTGTTATGTAATGCTTTGACTTTTTAGGTTATTTACAGTCTGCTTGATCTGAAATAAGAATATCAATTCCTGCTGTTTTTCGTTTTCCATTTGCTTAATAGATATTTCTCCATCCCTCTACCTTGCGCTTGTGGGTGTCATTACAGTTGAGATGGGTCTCTTGAAGACAGTATATGGTTGGGTCTTGCTTCTTTATTCAGCTTGCCACTCTCTGCCTTTTAGGTAGGGCATTTAGCCCATCTACATTCAAAATCAATATCGATATGTGAGAATTTGATGCTGTCATCATGTTGTTAGCTGGTTATTATATAGACCTGATTGTATAGTTGCTTTATAGTGTCAGTGGGCTATGCACTTAAGTATGTTTTTGTGGAGACAGCTACAGTTCTTTTGATTCCATGTTTAGCACTCCCTTAAAGACTTCTTGTAAGGCAGGCCTACTGGTAACAAATTCCTTAGAATTTGCTTGCCTAAAAAAGATATCATTTCTTCTTCACATTTGAAGCTCAATTTGGGTGAATATAAAATTCTTGGTTGGAATTTCTTTTCTTTAATAATGCTGAATGTAGCTCCCCAATCTCTTCTGGCTTGTGTGGTTTCTTCTAAAACTTCTGCTGTTAGACTACTAGGGTTCCTTTTTTAGGTGATCTGCCCCTTCTCTCTAGTTGCCTTTAAGATTTTTTTGTTGGTTTGTTTGCATTGACTTAGAAAACCTGATAACTATGTGTCTCGGGGATGTTTTTCTTGTACAGTATCTTACAGGGTTCTCTGAATTTCTTAAATTTTCACACTGAAAATTCTCTAGTGGAGTTGGGGAAATTTTCTTGGACAATATCTTCAACAATGTTTTCCAAGTGCTTGCTCTTTCTCCATCATTTTCAAGAATGCCAATGAGTCATAAGCTTGTTCTGTTTACGTAATCCCTTATTTCTCAGATGTGTTCTTCATTTAAAAAAATATTAAATTTTGTCTGCCTGCATTGAGTCAAAGGAATGTTCTTCAAGCTCTGAGATTCTTACTTCAGTTCATTCTACTCTGTTGTTAATGCTTCCAATTGCATTATTAAATTCCTGAAGTGAATTTTTTATTTCCAGAAGCTATTTTGGTGCTTCCTTAAAATGACTATGCCACTTTTCAACTCTTGGATCATATTATTAGTTTTCTTGAATTGGGTTTCAAACTGCTTCTGTATCTTTGAGGTTCCTTGCTATCCATACTCTGAATTCTATGTCTGTCACTTCAGCCATTTCAGTGTGACCAAGAACCAGGAGCTACTGCAGTTGATTGGAGGTAAGAAGACACTCTGGCTTTAAGAGTTTTCAGAGTTCCTGCACTGTCTTTTCCTCATCTGTGTGGACTGGTGTTCATTTAATCTTTGAGGTTGCTGTCCTTTGGATGGGTCTTTGTGTTTTTGTATCCTTTGATGCCCTGAAGGATTTGACTGTGTTATAAGTTGGGTTTAGTCAACTGGCTTCATTTCTGAATGCTTACATGGCTCTGAGGCTCAGATCAGCAATTCTCAGCTGTATGTTCCGACCCTACTGACCTGGAAACAGGCCTTCAGTTGTATGTGCTGGCCCCTTGAGATCAAATACTCACTGCATCGGAGAGGCTGAGGTGTTCCCAGTCCACTGGCAACAATACTCTGCAGAAAACTAATGAAGCTATTCAGGACTTAAACTCAACACTTGACCAAACAGATGTAACAGACATCTATAGAATAATCCACACAACAACGACAGGTATACATTCTTCTCATCTCCACACAGCACATACTCTAAGATCAACCACATACTTGTGCATAAAGCAATTCACAAAAAATTTAAAAAAAAATCATACTCATCACAGTCTTGGACTACAGTGCAATAAAAATATAAATCAATACTAAGGAGATATATCCAAACCATACAATTACATGGAAATTAAACAGCTTGCTCCTGAATGACTTTTGGGTAAAGAATAAAATTAAGTCAGATCAAAAAAAATTTGAAACTAATGAAAACAAAGATAAAACACACCAGAATCTCTGGGACACAGCTAAAGAAGTAGGAAGGGGAAAGTTTATAGTGCCAAACAGGTACATCAAGAAGTTAGAAAGTACTCAAATTAACAAGCTAACATCACACCTGGAGGAATTTTAAAAAAAAAGAAGAGGAAACCAACCCCAAAGCTCACAGAAGAAAAGAAATAACCAAAACCAGAGCTAATTGAATGAATATGAGATGTGAAAAACCATACAAAAGATTAACTTAGACCAAAACTTGGTTTTTTAAAAGAAAAATCAAGCTTGCTTTGATAGACCACTAGCTAGATGAATAAAGAAAAAAAGAGAAAATCCAAATAAACATAATCATAAATGACAAAGGAGACATTAATATGGACCCCACAGAAATACAAAAAAAAAGTCTCAAAGACCGTTACAAACACTTCTATGTACACATATTAGAAAATCTAGAAGAAATAAATAAATTTCTGGAAATACATGACCTCCCAACATTAAACCAGGAAGAAATTGAAATCCTGAACAGACCAAAAACAAGATCCAAAACTGAATGAGTAATAAAAAACCTACCAACAAGAAAAAGCCTTGGACTAGGCTATTTCTACAAGATATACAAATAATAGATGATAACAGTCCCACTGGAACTATTGCAAAAAATTGAGGAGGAGGGACTATCTTCTAACTCATTTTAGGAGGCCAGCATTATTCTCATACCAAAATCTGGCAGAAACACTACAAATGAAAATCTTCAGAACAATATCCCTGTTGTAAAACCCCTCAACAAAATATGCAAACCAAATCCAGTAGCACATCAAAAAGCTAATCCATCATGATTGAGTAGGCTTTAATCCTGTAATGCGAGATTGGTTCAGCATATGCAATTCACGAAATGTGATTCATCACATAAACAGAACTAAGAACAAAAACCACATGATCATTTCAATAGACATAAAAAAGGCTTTTGATAAAAATTCAATATTCCTTCATGTTAAAAACACTCAACAGCTAGGCAGTGAAAGAATATACCTCAAAATAATAAGAGCCATCTATGACAAACAAAAAAAGGTAAGCATGTGTTTTCAGCTGAGTAATTTTATTAGGCAATATTCTGTTTATAGCATTTCGGGAGTCCAACAAATTTCTTTGATTTCTTCTTTCTGTTTTTCAGTCCAAGGTGGCGTTTTTTTTTTTTTTTTTTTTTTTTGCAAGTGTAAAAACTTTGAGAACATTGTGTCTCTAAAGTATATGTCACTGGATTCATTCCATAGACATTATGTTGACATTAATAATGTGTAAGATAATATGTTTATGGTTTTGGGGAATATGACATACACATCTTTAGGTGGAATTTTTCTGTTGATTACATCATGGCTACTGTGACTACAGAGCTGTTGGTTTGCAAATCTTCTGTGAATCTGGGGATTGGAGGATGGAAATAGAACAAGTTGAAATTCCACAGCTCACTGTTCTATGATAGTTTCACATTTTTTAAGATGACCTTTAGATTGAGGTCATTGGTTAATGTTCGGAGTTCTAAAATTTTGGTTTTGACCATTTTTACCTGGGTTCTGACTGCTTTCTTTGAGGCACAGATTTTTGGAGCCCTTATTCTGAATTGTTTTGTGCATATGAAATTGTACATAGAGACTATTATTTGAAATTAAAACAAATAAGAACTATGTCACATCTATGTATAATGGTAAGTACATAAATATTTCATATACATGAATGGCAATGTACTTAATTTAAAAATCCCAGATATGTATGTATTTATTAATTTTTATGTTTTATTAAGTATATTACTGTTTTTCATGTTGTCTACATGTGTGCATATACAGTGCATATGTGTATATATGTTTTAATACTTGCTAATAAGTATAACTATATTGATTTTTAAACATACATGTCACCAGACAAAATATTTAATTATGCCAGACAAACTGGTGGTCTTCCAGTTGTTTTGTCAAAGAATCTCAATGTTACATTGTTGTATTATTCTTAAGTCTATTTAATTTGATAAAGTAATATATTGCTGTCAGTGAACCTAAAATACAAACAGTTTTTAAACACTCATGGTTTAAATACTTTCTAAATCACAGATCTTCAAAGAATAGTAATAATCACACAATTATATTAGTTGGAAAGTTCTCCTGAAGTCTTAGAAGGAATATGATTTTGCATTATGCTTCACCCAAATATATAGGTTTCTTAATTTTGAAAGAAAATTCAGACTTTCCATCATGAGGTCTCATACTTATGAAACACTCTTATCTCTAGAAGTGTTTCCTAGTGGGTTCACTGTAGAAACTTGCAGATCATTTGTAGGTCAACTCTGATCCCAGTTTTATGGATCAAAATATGAGCCTCAGAGATGTTGTGTTATCCATTAGATTTATACATGGAAGAGCTATAAAGTGAATCCAGGTATCCTAAAGAAGAGGAATGGCAGGAATAGTTGACATAAATAATGGATTGGGAAAGAGGAGTATCAATTAGAGTAGGAGAGAAGAGGTTCATTCAGGGTCAGACATATTTCATATACATGGTGATTTTCAAGTTAGATGTAAGATGAAGTTGGAGGCTTTGTTACACTCCAACTATGGCATTCGTTTTTCTTCTCTCTAGAGAAGAACATAAATGTCTTCTTCCTATTTTTGGACACTTTGTACTGAGTGGAAGCTCAGAGATTTGTCCCAAACCTGGAATCCTAGGCAATGTCTCTAAAAATACATCACAATATTCTTTTATATTATATGGGCAACAATGAAGCATCAGCAAAGTAATAAATTCTGAATACTACAGTTTCCCAGTCCAATGGACTGAATATATCTTTCTGAAATTAATATGTTAAAGTCCTAACTCCCAGAGGTTTTAGGAAGTAGGGCTTTTGGAAGATGATTAGGCCACAAGGGAGGAGTTCTCAGAATTGGGAGCAATGCCCTTATAGAAATAGACCCCAGAAAGACCCCTCCCCGCTTCTGCCCTGTGAGGTTACAGTGAGAAGTTGGTCATCTGTGAGGAAGTGAACCCTCATCAGACACCAAATCTGTTTAATTCTGGGCTTCCCAGCCTCTGGAAGTACAGAAACCAGTTTCTGTTATTATAAGTCACCCAGTCTATGGTATTTGTTACAGCAGTTCACACTGTTTAAGATACCTAGTATGAGTTTAAGGTCCCCATTAGGTAGTTCGTGAATAGGAACATATGCATAAACAAAAGGGAGTATGTAGTAGTTATAGAGATCAACATTTGAAGCACGTTAGTCTCTGGAAACTACATGTCATTGGCTACCTGGGAGGTGAATTTGAAAAGGCTTCATTCTCCATTCGGCCCACAATCCAGAGTCTCTCAGAATTATTGCTAGGAAGAATCTAAGATGGGCAGATACAAGCAACCACAACAATAGACATTCCATTTAGAACTTTGAAGCTGACTAGTTCTATGAATAATTGTACGCATACCAGGATATAAAGCTTGTAATTCTCCCATGGTGTTGGAATGGCAGCAAAGGCTCAAAGCAGTGGTCATGCCTCCTGCAAGCAGTGTGCCACCTCAAAGCAGTATTCACACCTCAAAGTAGTATGTCACACCTCCTATATTCCAATAATTGATCAAGTGGGGCCAGTTCCACATGAAGTTTCTGATACCTAAGGCTTTACCACTACATGTTAAACAATAAAATGGAACAATCAAATAATTACATGATGGTGCATAAAATGGTTTCAGAGCATTGTACGTTGTCCTCTGTTGTACTAGTTTCATTACTTTGCACTTTGTGCAAGAGCACACTGTTATTGGGAGATCTTCTCAGTCATATAAAAAGAGAGAAAGCCTAAGTGGAATGTAAATTAGAACATTATGTTTTGTAGTAGGATTTGAGTAAGAGGAAAA
Source organism: Homo sapiens (assembly GCF_000001405.40). Lineage (NCBI taxonomy): Eukaryota > Metazoa > Chordata > Mammalia > Primates > Hominidae > Homo > Homo sapiens. Next base: position 146,496,495 of record NC_000003.12, read on the forward strand.
GTATCTCTTTGGTATCTCAGAACAGAAAGGAAAAGTATTCACAATGTATGAGAGATGAAACAACCTGGATACACATTTCAATTACAGGATCTAGAAGCAGAATGTTAAGGATACTATGGTAAGTGACTCTCTTGTGTGGGCCCATTTGCCAAGCTTAGCTATGGACAACACAACAGCCTTGGGTGTCTGTAATCCTCTCTGAACAAAGTGAAGGGATTTGGACTCTTGTGAAGGTACATGGGCATGAAGTTACTTCTTCCACTGACTATGATGTCAATGAATCCCAGGGTGGTGGTGGGGGCGGGGTTGCATTTCCTGTGAATAAGGGCACAGGTTTAGCACCTCACAGCAGCATCTGGTCAAGACAGATAAGAACCTACTGGCATTAATCAGTGGAAACAATACAGGATAAAGGCTGCCACTTTATGAAAGATGAGCTTGGCCTGTCCAAAATAAATTGTGTAACTTCCCCATGGAGAAGACAAGAGAGGCTAAATGGGTCACAAGCAAATAGTCTCATAAGCCCTCAGCCAGATTAGCATGTTGAAAACCTCCCCTTTATCTGGGCCAGTAAGGAGCAACTTAGCCTCCCAGAACTGGGCCCTCTTGGATCCACTAACCTAGATCATAGTGAGAGGTGACAGCGTTCTGGCAGCCCTCGCTCACTCTTGGCGCCTCCTCAGCCTCGGTGCCCACTCTGGCCACACTTGAGGAGCCCTTCAGCCCACTGCTGCACTGTGGGAGCCCCTTTCTGGGCTGGCCGAGGCCGGAGCCGGCTCCCTGTGCTTGCAGGGAGGTGTGGAGGGAGAGGCACGGGCAGGAGCCAGGGCTGCAAGCAGCGCTTGCAGGCCAGCCCAAGTTCTGGGTGGGCGTCGGCTCGGCAGGCCCGCACTCGGAGCAGCTGGCCGGCCCTGCCGGCCCCGGGCAGTGACGGGCTTAGCACCCAGGCCAGCAGCTGTGGAGGGTGCACTGGGTCCCCCAGCAGTGCTGGCCCACCAGGGCTGTGCTCGATTTCTCTCTGGGCCTTAGCTGCCTCCCCGTGGGGCAGGGCTCAGGACCTGCATCCCGCCATGCCTGAGCCTCCCCGCTCTGCCGTGGGCTCCTGCGCAGTGCACCCGAGCACAGCCCCCTACTCCACGGAGCCCAGTCCCATCAACTGCTCAAGGACTGGGGAGTGCAAGCGCAAGGCGCCAGACTGGCAGGCAGCTCCACCTGCGGCCCTTGCAGGATCCACTGGGTGAAGCCAGCTGGGCTCCTGAGTCTAGTGGGGACTTGGACAACCTTTATATCTAGCTAAGGGATTGTAAATACACCAATCAGCACTCTGTATCTAGCTCAAGGTTTGTAAATGCACCAATCGGCACTCTGTGTCTAGCTCAGGGTTTGTAAATACACCAATCAGCACTCTGTATCTAGCTAATCCAGTGGGGACGTGGAGAACTTTTGTGTCTAGCTCAGGGATTGTAAACGCACCAATCAGCACCCTGTCAAAATGGACCAATCAGCTCTCTCTAAAACAGACCAATAGGCTCTCTGTAAAATGGACCAATCAGGAGGATGTGGGTGGGGCCAGATAAGAGAATAAAAGCAGGCTGCCGGAACTGGTAGTGGTAAGCGGTTTGGGTCCTGTTCCACAGTGTGGAAGCTTTGTTCTTTTGCTCTTTGCAATAAATCTTGCTGCTGTTTACTTCTTGGGTCCATACTGCATTTATGAGCTGTAACACTCACCGCAAAGGTCTGCAGCTTCACTCCTGAAGCCAGCTAGACTACGAACCCACTGGGAGGAAGGAACAGCTAAAGACGCCCTGCCCTAAGAGCTGTAACACCACAAAGGTTTGCAGCTTCACTCCTGAGCCAGGGAGACCACGAACCCACCAGAAGGAAGAAACTCCGAACACATCTGAACATCAAAAGGAACGAACACCAGACAATGCCGCCTTTAAGAACGGTAACACTCACTGCGAGGGTCTGTGGTTTCATTCTTGAAGTCAGTGAGACCAAGAACCCACCAATTCTGGACACAATAGGTTACAGAACACTGACATAAAAGTGATGAAACAAAACATGGAAACAACAGTGTCTCACTGCAACATCTAGTATATTGAGATTTTTGAAAGAGAATAGTGCCTCAAAACCTTCTTTACCCGGAACTGAATTTCCTCCTTTTTCAGTCACTGATTCAATGTTCTCTGTTTTTACCAAACTCATGAGGTAATATAGACACCTCGAAACCCAGAATCTTTAAGGAGTAATAATAATGAGCTTTAACATTAACTTAGTAACATTAAAACCTCAGTTTTTGTATTTATAAATTATACTGGAGGGTTTCTTCTGGTAATAAAATTCCCCGGTAGTGCATCTATTCTCACACACTCTTATTTGAATTCTAAAGGAAGTGATCATATTTTGATATATGGATATGCTGAATTAAAATTATAAGTTTACAAGTTTAGACAAAACTAAAATTTGGAAATCTAAAATTGGAAAACAAACTGAAGTATGCGTCTGTTAAGTAAGTAGATACACACACAAATACATACTTTTCTTTACATATCAAGACCTGAAATTACGTCACAAACATACACCAGTGTTGAAGAAAGCACTTAATTCCTCAGAAGGAAAATGCTAGATTAGATATATCCAATACCAAGGATGAATAGACAATCATTCTTTTAAAAAATTAATCAGTTAGATTACTACCTACATCATATGAAATTAATAAAAAATGGTTTGCAGCAGAATGTCATCTAAGTAGAATTGAAAATTAATGGTGCATTAATAATAAAAATAAGAATAATAGTAGAACATGTTTACTTTATCCTAATACAAACTTTAAAATGAAGAGGTTATTATCCTAATTTTAGAGGTAAGAAAACCAAAGCTTAGATAACCATTATTGTTTTTGTTCAAATTGACTGAGCTACAAAGTTCAGGTGCCTGAAATCAAATCCTTGTCATATTTGGATTTCAGAAGCAACAATGATTTACTTATTTCTTATGGTTGATAATATAATTGAATTTAATTATCCAGCACTTACTTTTGCTACAGATGGATGAAATCAATCTATTATTAGAAGAGTAGTTTGATTAATAATTTTCAAAATGCCATTTAGAGGCAAGGAGGTGAACTGGGTACTTATTTTTTCAACTGGGAAAGCTGGATCAGTTACAGACTTCACATGAACTTTGTGACCTGTACAATAAAACAGAACAGTGCCCGAAACCAAGAAACTAACAAAAATGGACCACCTTTTAGATTAATTGGGCTTCAGAGTTCTGTTTCTTTAAAGCTGATATCCTGTGATCTTGAATGGGAGATGTGGGAACACTGTCTGATCACTTGGCAGAATCCTATATGGGAGATGTGGGAACACTGTCACTTGGCAGAATCCTAGAACATATTGTTTTACAATTTGGCCACATGGAAACACCTAGATTATTTTATGTTCTGAGACATTGTATACATTAACAGTGAAAAGAATAAATTCCTTCTCTTAAGAATGTAATTGCTTCAATAAAACACCTATATTTTCAGCAAGATAAGAAAATGTAATAAAATCAGGTGAGTTTAAATCAGACAATAGCTTGAATCACCCAGTTTTTCAAAGTTCAAATACTAGTTCCCTCTCACATTTATAAAAGAAATAATAGCTGGGCGCAGTGGCTCACACCTGTCATCCCAGCACTTTGGGAGGCCGGGGCGGGTGGATCACCTGAGGTGGGGAGTTAGAGACTAGCCTGACCAACATGGAGAAACCCTGTCTCTACTGAAAATACAAAATTAGCCAGACATGGGGGTGCATGCCTGCAATCCCAGCTACTCGGGAGGCTGAGGCAGGAGAATCGCTTGAACCCGGAAGATGGAGGTTGGGGTGGGCCAAGATCGCGCCATTGCACTTCAGTCTGGGCAACAAGAGTGAAATTCCATCTCAAAAAAAAAAAAAAAAAAAAGCAAGAAAGACTAAATACTGGGCACAAAAAAATCACCATCTATGGTAAAATTGGAGTATTATGTCCCTGGATATGAGTTCTTCACTGCCAGTTTTACCACAGACGGAAGTTCAAATAAATCTTTCACATGTTATCTTGCATTTTAAATTATGCACATCTATATGTAAGAAAAACTCAGTTACAAAATACAAGCTTGCTCATTAGTGTTTTGATTGGCCCTCCTCTTCCTTACATTATTTACTATTACTATGTCACTAATAGTTATTAAAAATTCCATATTACATACCTTTATATTCTTTCTAATTATACTTTGTTAAAAGAAAATACCGTTCATTAAAAGAAAATCTCAAAAGCTCATATACATACAGAATCATGTGCCTGGAAGCCAGAAAACTTTTCTGTTTATTCATTATTTTATTTTTTTCCCAGACCTTTACCAAGGTGAGCAGGGGCCAGGAAGGGGCCTGAAGGAGGTCATCCAGGAAGCCTTCCTGCCCCAAATGAGCAGTGATTATATCTGTCAGACAACGATGAATGAGCTGATTAGTAGTTTTAAGAAATTAAAAATCCCATGTTTATGAAATATTTTTTAAAACATGCCAATGATGGCAATTTAGAAATGTTACAGGAATATTAAACATCCTACATATTCATACTACATGATTATTTAATATCTTTTTAAATACATAGTAAATGATAATAATTTTATATATCAAATTATAAATGTGAATGTGGATGCATGTATATATACACACACAGAGGAGTAAATTTACTGTTTACATTTTCAAAATTCTTTACCAAACAAACATTGGACGTCATTTGCTAAGACAATGGTTCTCAAGTCTGGTCCCCAGATCAGCAGAATCAGTATCACATTAGAAATTGTTAAAATGCAAATAAATTCTCTGGAAAAGTCTGATATCTACTCAATCAGAAACTCTGTGGATGGGCCCAGCAATCTTCATTTTATCAAGTTCTCCAGGAAATTTATATACATTCTAAAATATGACAACAATCACTGTGCCAAAAGAACCCTAGCTAATAGGTTATGTGTAGTGGATATACCTGCTCCAAAGTTTAACTAGAAATGATATTTTAAAATAAGTTTTAAAGGCAAGTGGTTAAAGGATTTCAGAATAACTGAACTCTGCGTCTTAATTTGTTTGATGTTGCTATAACAGAATGCCACACACTGGGTAATTTATAAACAATAGAAATGATTTATCATAGTTCTGGAGTCAGAGAAGTCCAAGATCAATGCATTGGCAGGTTTGCTGTCTGGTAAGGGCCTGGTCTCTACTTCCAAGATGGTGCCTTGAACCCTGCATAATCTGGAGGGGAGGAATGCTGAAAGAACAGGAGAGAAAATCTGTTCCCACAATCCTTTGTATAACAGCATTAATTCATTCATGAGAGCTCCATCCTCATGACCTAAACACTTTCTAGTAGGCCCCACTTTCTAACACTGTTGTACTAGGGGTTAAGTTTCAATATGAGTTTTCAAGGGAACAAAAACATTCAGACCATAACACTATGCAAGTATGATACTCAGATATCAAACAGACTTTCACTTTAAAGGGGAAAAGTGAGTAACATAATAATAGGTAATGCCATTGTGCTGCTTGCTATCAACATGCCAGACATGGCTCAATGAAGATTTCATATCAAAACTCATAAAATTCTTAAAACAACCCTTTGAACTGTATTGAAACTATTTAGAAGTGTGGCCACAGGTGGACTGGTTGGTTCCCCCTGTTAATAGGCCTATTTTACAGATGGGAACATTAAGGCATGGAAAAGTTATATGACTTGCCCAAAGCTCAAAACTGCTCAGAGGAAACTGCGGCACAGCTGGGACTAACTCTAATGGGATATTTCCATGGTCTCCACTTTTAATCATGAGAAAATGCTGATGTTTATAATAAATCATTTTAAATACTTAAATTTTATTCAATTATTTTCTTCTGAGGAGTATTTTATGGATATGACAAAACTACTGGTAGGTGGGTGCAAATGGAGACATTTAGGGCTAATTAGGCCAGACTACATTTGAGAATTTAGCCAGCAAAGTATCCTGCTTGTGTGTTTTTAATTTGAGAGACATTAGCTGGGCTGCAGTTTTGGTTCTCTACTGATATGGTTTGGAAGTATGTCTTCTCTCAATCTTATATTAAAATGTGACCTTCAATATTGGAGGCGGGCCCAGTGCAGGGTGTTTGGATCATGAAGGCAGATCCCTCTTGAATGGCTTTGTGCTGTCCTCATGGTAATGAGTGAGTTCTCACTCCATTAATTCACATGAAGGCTGGTTGTTTTTTATGCCACCTTCTCCCCTCTCTCTCTTGCTCCCTCTCTTACCATGTGACATACCTACTCCCTCTCTGCCTTCCACCATGAGTAGAAATTTCCAGAGGCCTCACCAGAGCTGAGCAGATACTGGTGCCATGTTTGTACAGCCTGAAGAACTGTGAGCCAAACAAATCTCTTTTCTTTACAAATTACCCAGTCTCAGGCATTTCTTTATAGCAATGTAAAACAGACAAACGCACCTACCTTCCCTCATTGCTGGATGTCTTACACCTGTAGTACTATGCATTTATCTTACTTGTCTGGCCCAAGCAGGTGGTTGAGTCATGAGTCTTGGTTATCAGGTTTAGTCCTAGTCAACATGAGTCCTAAAACAAAGCTCACAAAGACACACAAGTACATGATGGGATATATCTCCTTTATTTTTTTTTACTGACATGGGATTACTTTGTTCTCTTCTGGCCCCTACCTATATGAGGAGTTTCTCTGTGGGAACTTCACATCATTCTCCTTAGAAGTCAGAATGTAATCTCCTATGAGTTATGGCAAACAAGAAAACAAACAGAAATCTGTAGGAGTTGCCTGATAATAATTCAAATTCCCAGGGTATATATTTTCCATTTGAGTCACAGATCAGAAAATGATTCAATAAATATAGTTGATGCAAATCTCAGACAGGTTTTTTTTTTTTTCTTTTTTAATGGTCTACTATTCTTTGTTAACTGAGACTCCCTGTTCTCCCACTACCCAACCCATAGGTGGCCTGCAGCACCTGGTAAACAGAAAGGATAGATTTAATTGAAAGACTCCTTTTATTGCAAGGCAATTGACAAATGTTACCAGAAAATAAACTCCCACCATTCCCAAGGGAACGGATTTCAATCTGGTGGAACAGGCTAGACTACACGGAACTACACTGATTCTGACGTGAGTCAGCAGAGGGAACAAAAGGACTGAGATACTTAGAAACTCTAGTGAGTAGGCAAAGTCAAGTGCTTTACATATCTCAAATTCTTTTTTTACTTTCTCTCCCTTCATTTGTGAAACAAATTTCTCCTAAGACCTTTCTCTAGTGGGGCACCAGTAAGTCCACAGGTGGCTACAACTGTAAATACTCTTGAATTCAGTGCACATGGATTTTCCTTATTATAACATCAGCAGTGTTTGGTTGGTGACTCATTTGCAGAGTCTGCGGCAGTGCAGGGGTTTGTGCAGATTCAGCTGTAACTGAAACTTAAGCCCAGCTTGGCCAGACACCCACTACATTCTTACCTCCCTGTACTCTTGTGGGCTCAAGACTGAGTCTCGCTCTGTCGCCCAAGATGGAGTGCAGTGGCGCCATCTCGGCTCATTGCAAGCTCTGCCTCCCGGGGTTCACGCCATTCTCCTGCCTCAGCCTCCCGGGTAGCTGGCACTACAGGCACCCGCCACCACACCTGGCTAATTTTTTTGTATTTTTAGTAGAGACGGGGTTTCACCGTGGTAGCCAGGATGGTGGCGATCTCCTGACCTCGTGATCCGCACCGCCTCAGCCTCCCAAAGTGCTGGGATTACAGGCGTGAGCCACCGAGCACGGCCGAATGCAAACATTCTTGATTCTCCTTCATTTCCCTCCTTGTTTTTTGTCTTTCTGACTGTATTCTCTTTGATAGTGTATTTAATATTTACTCAGTTGAATTAAGCTTATTTTAATTTACTTGTAAGTTAAGTTGATAACTTTCCCTAGTTTTGTTACTGGAAAGGGGTCCTGATCTAGACCCCAGGAGAAGAGTTCTTGGACCTCACTCAAGAAAGAATTAGAGGCAAGCCTATAGACTAAAGTGAAAGCAAGTTTATTAAGAAAGTAAAGGAATAAAACAATGGCTACTCCATAGATAGAGCAGTGGCATGGGCTACTTGACTTAGTATGCTTATAGTTATTTATCAATTATATCTCAACAAGGGGTGGATTATTCATGAGTTTCCTGGGAAAGAGGCGGGTAATTCCCAGAACTGAGAGTTCCTTCCCTTTTTTTATCACATAGGGTAACTTCCAGACATTTCCATGGCATTTGTAAACTGTCATGGTGCTGGTGGGGTCTTTTAGTATGCTAATGCATTATAATTAGCATATAATGAGCAGTGAGGAAGGCCAGAGATCACTTTCCTTGACATCTTGGTTTTGGTGGGTTTTGGCTGGCTTCTTTACCACGACCTGTTTTATGATCAAGGTCTTTGTGACTTGTGTCTTGAGCTACCTCCTGTGTCTTCCTTTGACTAAGAATGCCTAACCTCCTGGGAATGCAGCCCTGTAGGTCTCAGACTTACTTTATCCAGCCCCTATTCACAATAGAATTGCTCTGGTTCAAAGGCCTCTGACAGTCTCATATCACAGTGACTCTCCCACCTGCATCAATTCGTCCTATAAAGCATTACTTATTTAGGCACCACTTATATTAGGTAAGTATGTAAAATAAAAAAGTATTCTACAAATTATATAAACCAGTCATTTGTTAGGCCCACAAAACTTCAATACTTAACACTTACCCTTACAACTTCAGCTTTGTATCTTTTTTCTTCTATTAAAAAGCTTTAAAATCAAGTGGTTTTAAAACATGCACAGTGTAGCCTAAAATATTTTACATAAAATTAAAAAAATGTTGAGTAGGAAATGTATTTTAATTACAAAATTAGATACATCTTTAAAGTCTTATTTTGACTCCCATATTTCTTCTTTACCACAATATAACTTGCTTGTTTACAAACAAAACCAAAATTACTAAATAAATAATATATAGCTGTTAAAATACTAAAGGCTGATCTATTTTATCAGGATATTAAATTAACTCTGTGTCTTGCTCCTTCCTTTTGCCTGTTTTATGTTCCATCAATAAATTGCAGCTGTTTAAGGGGACCAGACCAGAATAACATTCAAGAGGAAATAAGCTGTCAGGAATATTTGAAGGGAATTGTTTATACAAAAATATTGAGCAACAGAATAGGAGAGTAAGCTTGGAAACAGATCCATAAATCTATGAAAAGTGGATGGCTGGCAAAAGTAGCAATACAAATCAGTAGAAAAGATGAACTCTTTGCTGTTATTGGAGCGATTAGCTGTTTGTATACAATAAAATTAGATATCTACTCATATATTAAAAAGTTCCAAATGGAGTAATGACCTATCTATGAAAAATAAACCTTCAAAACAAAAGAAAAAAAATACAAACCTTGAAAAAATGATATGATTTAAAATTTCTCTAGACAACAAAAATATTATTTCACAAATAAAGTGAATTAAAAGCCATATCCTGAGAGAAGATATTTACAATGCCTACAAACTTATAAAAGATTTGGTTGCATAAAAAGAAACTTCTACAAATTAATAAGAAAGTTGACAGCAAACAAATACAAAAATTACTAAAGTGTGCAAAAAGATGATTCACATTAGAGGAAACATGAACATCTAATTTTAACAAATGAAAACATACTCAACCTCACAATTTCATGCAGATGAAAACAAGAATGAGATTCCCAATTAAAAATATTGGGAATTCACCAAAACAAAACATAACCCAACAATACCAGATCTGATGGGGGATGTAAAGCTGTAGTGATGGTCATACACTGGTGTTTAGACAATAAATTGGTATGATTTATTTGGAGAGCAATATTACAATATTTCATAATGATGTTTAGACCCTTAGAAGCAGCAATTTTACTCATAAGGATAATCATAAATGCTTTTTTTGACATGAGCACAAGGATACATGTACAGAAATATTCATTGAAGTTGATTATAGAGGAAAGAGGAAAGTTGGCATATTATTCAGGGTTCTCCAGAGAAAGAGAACCAATAGGGGTAAAAAAAGTGAATATATACCGTGTGTGTGTGTGTGTGTGTGTGTGTGTGTGTGTGTGTGTAAACAAAAATTGTGGGAGGTCATTGTTTTGGAGTGAGCTCACGCACTAGACTCCAACAAACCAGATTAAACCACAATAGAGTCACTCATGCCAAATGTTACACAATCATACTGAAACTTTAAGGAAACAGACAGATCCCAAGCAGACCATTTTTTTCCCCTGAAAACAGGAAATTTCAATCTGATTGAGTCAGCATAATAAGGAAGTCCCTCTGCTTTAACCCTTACAAAAAAGTAACCTGAAGTAATCTGATGTTAACCAATCATTTTTTTTTAATTGTGCCATTTCCTCATTCCCACCTTACAAGGCCCATTGTTCTTTTATTGTCTAGTCAATGAGAATGATGAGACTTTATTTCCTGGTGATATTTGTAAGTTGGCCTACAATAAGAGGAGTCACAACAGCCTTCAATTACATTGCTATCCTTTCTGTTTACCAGGAGCCACAGGCCACCTGTGGATTGAGTAGCTGGAGAACAAGGAGTCTCAGTTAACATAGATTAGTTGATTATTAAAAAAAGAAAAAAAAAACTGCATGAGATTTGCATCAAGTATATTCATTGACTCATTTTCTAATCTGTGACTCCACTGGAACTTACTTCATTTTCTGGAGCCAATGTTTCTCTAATGATCATTCCAAACTTTTTGCTAGAATAAATTCTTCAAGACTGAATTCTGATTCTTTTGATTATTTCAGATTGACAGAGCTAAAGACAATGGAAACAGTTTCAATAGAAAGAAGCTACAGGACTTCTTACAGCCCACAGTACCAGAACATCAAGCTATTTAGCTGCAGATGTGTACTACTCTTGAAGATAAGAAAAGCAGTAATCCTGAGGGCAATTCAGAGGTCATCAGGTCTGTCTCCTTGGTTTTCAATGGGGGAGAGAGCCATTGCCTTGGTTTCAACAGGCTAGACAGTGGCAGCCTGGAGCCTGGAGAATGAGAATTCACTCAGCTGAGCCTTGGGGGTGGATGTGACTCTCACATTGCAGAGCTTTGAGGGCACAACCCCCACCCAAAAAAGCCTTGCAGGACATGGGTCTCAAAGACAGAGCATCAAACTAAAAAGAATTATTCTTGAGCCTCAAGATCTAATGGCATTTGTTTGCTAGGTTTTGAACTTGATTTGGACATGTTACTCCTCTCTTCCTCCCAACTTCTCCATTTTGTAATGGGAAAGTCTATTCTATGCCTGTCCCACTATTGAAATTTGGAAGTACGTAACTTATCTGGTTTCACAGGCTCACAGCTGGAAAGAAATTTTGCCTCAGGATGAATTGTACCTTGAGTCTCATTCATATCTGATTTAGATGTTTCTTAAATGAGACTTAGAAGTCCAGAGTTGATGAGAGAATGAGTTATGGATTTTGCTACTATTGGGATAGAATTAATACATTTTACATGCAAGAAAGACATGAATGATGGGGGGCCAGGGGTGGAATGTTATGAACTAAATGTTTGTGTACCTCTCCTGCCAAATTCATATGTTGAAACTCTCACCCCTAATGTGGTGGTATTTGGAGTCAAGGCCTCTGGAAGTCAATTAGGTTTATAAAGGTGGGGGTCTCATAATGGGATGAGTGTCCTTATAAGAGGAGGAAGAGAGACCAGGGCTTGGACTCTCTGCCATGTGAGAACACAATAAGAAGGTGGCTCTCTCCAAGACAGAAGGAGGTCCCTCACCAGAAACCAGATCTGCTGGTACTTTGATTTTGAACTTCCCAGGCTCCAGAACTATGAGAATTAAACGTCTCCTGTTTAAGACAGCTTATGATATTTTGTTGTAACAGCCTGTGCCAACTAAGACAAGACTGAAGAGATATGGATGTTAATGACTGATAAGTATACAAAAGGAAGTGAGGAGCATGGTATGTATTTTCTCTAAGAAAATGTTGATCATCTTAGAGAAGATTTACATCAACATGAAGAGACCGATGGTAGAAATACAGAATTAAATGCACTTCAGGTGAAGGTTCAGATGAGTGGAAAAAAACTTGTTATTGGAAACTGGAGGAATGGAGATCTTTTTCATATCATGGCAGGCAGCTCAGCTGAATTGTATCATGCAGTAAATGTAAAGTTACTCACTATTTTATTTTTTGAAATTAATAAGTATCTTATAAGAAGCTACTTTGAGACAATGTAAGTACTGCATATTGCTTTTCCTTAAATGTTCATCAGTAATTTTAGCAGCCACCGATGTTTCCTTGCTGGAATAAAATTATTGTGATGATGACTGTCAAATGGTCATTTCCTACCTTCGTCATTTCTTCTATATTTTTTAGTTGACTTCTAATGAAACAAACAAACAAAAACCCCTTTTCTTTCTTCTTTCCTTTTCATTTAATCCCTTCCTTTCTTCTTTCCTGCTTTCTCCTTTACTTTTTGCAGCAGATAAGTTCTTGAGGGAGCCATGAATCGTATAAAAAAGTGTCATATTATTTTACCTACTGGATTGATGGTGACTATTGTTTTCCTTGTCAGAAAATAATTATTAAAGAAAGTCAATATAGATACTCTCTTAACTGATCTTAATTTACCCAACTCCTTGGGTTGACATTTCCTATTCTCTCTGTAAAACCTAATTATTAGCTCAAATTATGCTGAATACACTTGACTATTACATTAAGAGGGTCCCTATTGACTCTCTAGTTCTAGGGTACGTCTACTCTCTCAAAAGTTCTACACCAACTAAAAGTGATTTGTATTTATTTGTAAATCAGTTTATACAAAAGATTATTGTAGTTACAGAAAGTAAATATTTTTACTTGCTTTGATTAAATATTAATATAAAAGATTGTTTCTATGTAAGTTAATCTGAATTCCTTTAAAATGCTTATTAAGTCTACTCAGTAAAGTTGATTGCTACTGAGTTAGTAAAGGGTGAGCCAAATATGAATGACTGAAAAATCATGGTAAAAATTGACTGGTCTACACTAAGATACCTTTGAAAGTGTCTTAGAATTCTGGCTCTATTGAAACAAAAATAAACTGTGTATTTTTATAGAAGAAAGACAGTGCAGAATAGTAGACCCACACTTGGCCCTTGCCCCTACTTAAAAGATTGATAAATAAATAAATGATATGATAATAATAACAAAATAATAAAATTCACCCTTAATTTATTTTAAATATATTCATCTTTTTTACAGATATGCTTCATCTTTTATTGACTTTTTTACTTACACAACTAATTATTAATACCATCTCCTCAGATAAATGGACTTTGGTTATTTTGATAGCTTTCAGGACCTGAAACGTAAATCGATTCACACTGTAAATTTGAAAGATAGATAATTCAACAATTTTAGGCCATCTACCATGTATCCAGGTTTTGGTGATGAGGGAGATACCAAATCACCATGAGAAAACTTCTGTGTAGACAAAGTAACTTTCTCATCTGAAAAGGCTAGACTAGTTCCTAGAGAACAATCAGGCAAGCCATGCTGCTTGGGAAAAAAAAAAAAAAAAGTGCAGCTTTAGAGAAGTCCACCACCTGATTCCTAGAGACTGAGAGAGAACTATGTGTAGGAAAGGACACTTGATCTTTCCTACCTCCTCCCACCTCAGCCTCTCAAAGTGGTGGGATTACTGGTGTCAACCACCATGTCTGGCCCCAACCTGAACTTCTTAATGTGGCTAAGGCACTGTATGATCTAACCACTCTTTAGATGTCCTACCCCCTGCATGTCTTTCACTCACGAAGGAACACAAAACCAGTGGCCTAGCCACATTTCAGACCCCTGAGGTGACTTCTGTTTATGTTCTTTCCTTTGCCTGAAATAATCTCACTTGCCTTTTGTCCAGCAAACTTTCTTAGTTTAAAAGTTACTTCCCCTAATTTCCTGACCATTAAAACTGAGTTCAGTGTCCCTACTACCCCTCTCCATAGTACTCTGGATCCTATAATCAAACATTCCATATGTATAATTGACCTTAAGCATCTTGTAGAAAATAATTTTTGTTGCTTATTGAGACCATCGTACCTAGCGTAACTACTGGCCCAGTGTAGAAGCTCCGTATGTACTTGTTAAATAATTGATGAGCAGTTTCAGTGCCCTTAAATCAATCAACTTTTTTTTTTTATATTCATTTCCTCCTCAGGTATAACGTTTACAAATACATTTATGTGAATTATTTGAGTGAATCTGTCTTTATTCATAAAAACTGAAATAGATTTGCAAAAAAAATAATTTTGCGAGTAAATTATCTTCTGCTTGTGACTTGCAATAACGGGGAAAGAATTCAGGCAGTATGATTTAACAGAAATGTGCTTAGTAGGAGCCATGGTTTAAAGGTATGTGTGCCCCCAAATTCATTTGTTGGAAACTAAGACCCATTTTGACAGTATTCAGATATGGGGCCTTTAGGATGTGATTAAGTCATGAAGGCACCATTCTCATGAATTGGATTGGTGACCTTTTAAAAGGGCTCGGTTGGGTCCCTGTTGACCTTCTGCCTTCCGCCATGTGAGAATGCAGCAACAGGGTGCCATCTTAGAAACAGAGAGCAGCCCTCACTAGACACCAGAATCTGTTGGTGACTTGATCTTGGACTTCTCAGCTTCGTGAACTATAATTAACAAATTTTAGTCCTTTATAATTACACTGTCCCTGTCTAAGGTGTTTTGGTATAGAAGCCCGAGTGGACCGGGTGGTAGACTAAGATCTAATTAACTCTGTAAAGTCAATATAACCGAGAATTTCTCTAAGATATTTTCAGGTGGTTGCAGTCTATTGGCAATACCTGACTAAAGTTGAAATGTTTCCTAGCAACTAACTCCTTTGCTGAAATAAATAGGCCAATGTTTGTTCCCTATCACTGCCAGACAGAATAACCTCAATGTGTTAATGATGGAAAACCCCCAGAATCCACAGGCAGAAACAAATTGTACTTAGTAGGCAAGCAGATCAATTTTCCAAATCTATTCAGAATTCAATGTGGGTAGATTTATAATCTGCATTTTGGCATAAATCTGATGTTTTCTACCATATAAACATTAACAGTAGGTTAACGTTTAACTTGAATGCTTGGTGTGTGTATGTGTGTGGAGGGTTGTTAAGTGCAGAGCTCTGTGACCAGTTGTACTTGTTCCTTATCATTCCATGGCCCTCTCAGTTTGTAAATCATGAGTTCAGACTCTGTATTGTCAGTTGTTTCATCTGGTTTCAGGGGCCCAGATTATTGTTCCTCTCTCTCTCTCTTTTCTTTTTCTTGAGAAGCAGTTTCACTCTTGTCACCCAGGCTGGAGTGCAATGGTGCAATCTCGGCTCATTGCAACCTCCGCCTCCCAGGTTCAATCAATTCTCCTGCCTCATCCTTCCCAGTAGCTGGGATTACAGATGCCTGCCACCATGCCCAGCTAATTTTTGTATTTTTAATAGAAACAGGGTTTCACCATTTTGGCCAGGCTGGTCTTGAACTCCTGACCTCAGGTGATCCACCTGTCTTGGCCTCCCAAAGTGCTGGGATTACAGGCATGAGTTACTGCGCCCAGCTATTGTTCCTCTCTTAAAATAGCTTGCCACATTTTGACACTATAAAGCTAAGATTAAAAAAGGCTCTAACACAGAAGCCAGAGACTCTGTTCCTCCCTGTGCCTTAATTTCCCTTAATCTACACTTCTGTGAGATGAGCATCATTCCCTAGCTTGGCATCTTGCATGGACTTTTTTTTTTTTTTTTTTTGAGGAGATAGTATTCTTGCTAGGGTTTAAATGGATTTTGCTTGCTATTCAAATCACAATACAGAAATTTACTTTAGGCCAAATATTCTTCACTGGCTTTGAGACACTTCTCTGTGTTCTGAAAACCATTGATCTTTACCAACACATAGCCCTTTTCATTTTTTACACTGGTTCTATTGCAGGAACCTGCTCAGGTCTCTGAACCTGCATTAGAACACTGAATCTTCATACTGACCTTATGAGGTAGATAACATAATCAATTGACAACGATACTATTGACAACTAAGGGAAATTAAGGCACAAGGAGGAACACACAGCTTGAAGGAGACAGTACCAGGTGCAGGAACATGGCCCTAGAAACTCAGGCGGTGTATGCTGGGCTAGAGACAGTAAAGGAGAGAGGCAGGACATGGAGGGAAACCCTGTACACTTTTCTGGCACTTTAAGCTCTAGGAGCACTTCATTGTGCCCAGAGACATTTTAAATCATTCCATTCTTAACTGATGGCAGCGATTCTCTACAGAGGCTTTTCTAGTTACCCTAAAGTTACAGTTGTTGTTTTTGAGCCCAAATGCAATTAAAGCTTCAGTACTTATCCATAGAGTAGCTAGCTAACTTGATGCCGGGAGCCCAGACACTGACTTTCTGGCAATTTAATTGCCTGTGGCTGGTGCTTTTTGTTTTTTCCTCTCCCAGCCTTGTCTCTACTTTCACTTACACTCCCCTCACTCCTCAACCCTCCCCCAAGAGGTACATAGGAGAGGTACTGACATCCCTTAATCTTGTCTTCCTCCCCTCCCTCCCCTCCTTCTTCCTCCCTCCTTCTCCCCCTTCCTCACTGACCACCTACCTAGAACTTCCTTCCCAAGATCAAAAATATACCTCCATGCCCCATCCATTGCAGCTTTTCCTCCTGAATATTTTCCCTAGTCAGGGACACGCAGTGACTTTCCATTCACTGTTATAACTCACATGGTAGAAATAAAAAAATATGCAACATTTCCTCAAATCTCATTGAGATTACAAATTAAACTTTGAAAAACAATTCCTGGTATTTTCTTAATTAAATATCGAATTTTTCATGTGTGATTATTTTCTGTATGTAATTATGTAATGAGAAGATATTTGTCTAGTATTTAAATAGGTTCTGCAGAAGATATGTGGGGTTTTGCTCAGATCTTCTTTGCAGAGTTGAAGAAAGAAATGTTTAGATCAGTTTAGTTTCATTTTGCTTAACCAAAGATCCAGAATCCTGTTGAGAGAGAGAGAAATAATGAAAGTAAAATTTAGCTGTCACAGAGATAATGTCAGTACTCTAAGCCTTATTTTGGGTTAGTTTTGGCACATTATGGCCAGTTTGGAAATCCTATGCCCACCCTCTTCTGTAACTGGCATAACAATGCCATTGGGATTCAGCTATGCAAGTACCTCCACTTTTCTTGGCATGCCATCTGTACCAAGCACATGCTCTGAGTTCCATGGGTACACCTCATCACTGGAACTTGGCATCTGGTGAATTGTTTAGACTTGTGGGAGATCATCTAGACTTGACTTTTCCTGAAGATCTCCTGCATACTAATGTTCTCACCGCTTGCCATTTGGAGCTATTGAGGTCTAGGGCACTAACACCATGAGGAGAGCTGCTGTTACAAGAATTGTGCTGAATATGAAAGAGGGACTCTTCCACATGCCCTTATTGCTTAAGCATACTTTTCCATTGCATGAAGAATATTGTGGGTTGTTCATGTCATCTTTCAACTCAATCTTCATTACAAAAGAGATTAACTAAATTCTTATAAGCTTCTGACAGGTGGAAATCCTAGTTTCCAACACTGGTACAGATTTTACTACAAAGTGTCATGTACCTTTGCTCATTTTTAAAGGAGATTTGAAAGGAAAAGTCAGTTAAATATGATGGAGACAGGAGGCAGAGAAATTCTAGGTAGAAAAGGGTGAGTCCCCAGTGAAAACCCTACCCTCAAGCTGAAATGCCTGAAACCCCGGCCCAAAGTGAGAATTTATATCCCTGTTTTCCTACTTGAATGTTGCCTTTTCCTAAACTGCCCATGGCCCGCCCTGCCTGCAATCCTGTGCCTATAAAGACCCAAGACTCAGTCAGAGAGGAGTGGAGACTATGGCTGGACATTGGAGAGAAGCAGCTTGACTTCAGAGGGACAGCTTGACAGTGTAACTTCAGAGAAGAATCCAGCTGGACAGGGCCAGACTTCAGGGGAAGATCACCTACCCCACTGTCCCCTTTTCAGCTCCCTTTCTCACTGAGAGCCACTTTCATCAGCAATAAAATCCCCCTCATTTACCATCCTTCAGTTTGTTTTTGTGACCACATTTTTCCTGGACACCGGACAAGAGCCTGGGAGCCATGAGTGCCGATATAAAAGGCTCTCACATTCGCCATTTGCCCTTGCTGGTGGAGGGCAGCTGTCCCACATGACAAGGCAAAGGGCCCACTGAGCTGTTAACACTTAAGCCGTCCACAGACAGCAGAGCTAAAAGAGCACTGTTAACACATCTTCTGGGGCTTCAGGAATCGCAGGCAACCCCACCTGGATGCTACCACAGGGCCTGCACAGTTTGTTCCTGCCCATGCCAAAGCGGCCAGCCAGTTCCAGTGCTTGTACACTCCAGTTCCTGCCTTGTTTGCCTGTGCACTCCCTCCCAGGAGGAGTTGAGAATGGCAGGCTGAGTAAACAAGGCACCCCTGTCTCGAGTCCTGTGAAGGGGTCAGGGAAATATCCTGCTTCAAATGTACCATCATTTAACTGAATGAGTGCTCAAAATACCATCTGAACACATTTCGTTTAAAAACAAAAATCAAATATACAAAAAAATCAAGTTTTTATTTCAAATATTTGAATCTAATAGATCATTATTTAGGTTTATACTCTGTGAATATATATATGATATTGTATTTAATTAATATCTGAGTAATCTCAATTACCATTTTCTAGGAAGGATAGAGTGTAAGAGCTAAACATTTCATGTAGAAATATTAACTTTCAAAAGTTATAATACCAGAGTTTTAGAGTGAAGGAGTATTTAAAATGTGTCTTTCTTTGGGAGAGAATCATTTTGTTCTTTACTAACAATAATTTGAAAATTGGTAATTTAATATCTTGTGAATATGAAAATATTATGGTATAGATTAGCTTCTAGGAGAAGTTAAGTGTAGCATGATTTCTTGAAGATTAAAAAAACATTTAACTTTTTAAAGATAATATGCATATTGAATATTATTTGAACATAATAGTAAAGAAAATTATCTTTGAGCTTTTTTGAATATATGGCATTTGCAAAATAACATTAGCTCTTATGCATGAAATAAATTGTAACTAGATTTAATAGGACAAGATATAATTTATATAAAAATTAATAAGGCCTTAGTTAATATTTGGTAGTAAAATGGACAATGAATCAGAGATCATAATTCAAAGCAGTTTTTCAAAGGAAGTTTCATTAATAAATGCAAAAACTCATATGTCCTTTTTCTCAAATTGACAATGAGTATTAAAAAATGTACAAAAACCTTTATAAATCAGTTATACAGAAGATAAACTATAATTTGAAAAGCAAAAGTATACAACCAGAGCTACAGGCCTTACAGCTTAATTCATACAGGTATGAGTTTAGATAGTCTCAATCAATATACAGACTTCAGATTTCCTGAGGAGACTTTCACTAATCCACTACCACACTCCTGATTTTTGTTCCTGGCTGCCAGTGCTTTCAAAAAACATGAAGTCCTAGATAAAAACAAAAGTATACAAATGAATTTTCAACAACAAAACAGAGATCAATTATCAGATGCAGAAATACTAAGGGATCTAGTGAAACACAGTAACAAATCTGTTAAAAAAATTAAATGTAATAAGTAAATATACAAAAGCTCTATAATTATATAAGTTCTGCCTTTGGCTTTCCATTTTAATAATAAATTCTATAATTCTATTCATTTATTGATACCTGTATGAATTTAATTAATCTTCCAGTCATTTTCTCTAAATGTTACTTTTTCTCTATCCCCATAATTCTCATCTTTGGCTGCATACTGGAATCACCTGGAACACTATATGAACTTCGAAGTTTCTGATTTAGTTGAACTGAGGTATGGACTAGTCCTTGGAGTTTTTAAAGTCCCTAGGTGGTTCTAATGTGAAGGCAATTTCAGAATCACTGGTATATCCAATTATTTCCTGTAATTTGGTAGTTAGGTCTACACACTTGAGTGAATGTACACTCTTATTGTACTTCATACTCCTATATTAGATGGTTTAATTTAATTACTATGAGTCATGGTAAAGTTTCCTTGTTTCACTAAATTTTTTCCACATATGCCTACTTTCAACTTCTTCCTCAAAGCATCTAGGAGATGCCTGATTTAAGGGGAGACTAAAATCTCTCCTTAGTACATCTCCTTAGTCCCCCTCTTGCCATGTGAATATTCATAGACTCTTCAGGTAGAAACTAGTCACCTGTGACCCCAGAGTGTCAGGATCAAATAGAATTTCAGAGCTAGGATTAAATGGGAATCCTGATTTAAAATCTATAAATTTTAAAATGTCATTTTGAAATATACACTTTACTGAATCATTTCAGAATGAACCTAGAGAAAGCATCTATAATCAAGATTAATAAGAACAGACTTACAATGAGGAAACAGGCACCAATCATTACAGCTTTCATTTTAACATCAAGGTCTAAAGGGAACTGGATTCCAAAGTTATCAGCGTCTGTAAATGCCTCTCTCAAAATTCCAGTCCAGTGCTTGGAAATTTTGCCAACCACACACTGTTCATCAAGAGATTTAATCTAAATTGAAAAAAAAAAGTATTAAATACTTTTAGGAAACTTATAGCAAAAGTACTTTCAAATTTGAAGTAAGATGAAACAAATATGGTATTAAAATTATGCACCATATGTAACCCTCATTAGATAACTGGAGGCTCCTGTATCTATTTATAGATATATGAAAAAAACTGTTTCATTGTACGGAGAAATTATATTTCAGAAAGTTTTCCTGAAATATTTAACAATTTCTATTTTATATTAATATAGACATTAATAAATTATTTGAATTGACCCAAAAGAAAATTTAAGCAAAAAAGGATATAAATATGAAATGTTTCTTTGATGACATTTCTAGAAGCCATCAGGAAGTTAATGAACAAAACTCCTATTAGACTTCTGCTTTAGGAGAAGCACAGTTTACACAGACTGAAAGATTAAATATGATGAAAAGGCTTATTACTACCCACTGTGAGTTGCCAAACATGAAATGCTAAGCACCTAGAAAAGATTAGCAGTTTGGAGTAAAGGCAAATACCAATAAGTAACTTGATGAAATGCCCCACGCCAAGGGTTGAGGTTGAGAGTGGATAACTAGTGGGGTGTGAATAAAAGATGAAGAGTGTATGAACAAATGAGCTCCGAAGTAGAAGTTTCCTAATTTTACAATTCTGCCTGAGGAAAGCCCAGGGCCATCATATAGGGTTGAATGGACTTTGCTCAGACTAAGGCAACTCCTCTAGGAGGGCAGGTGGGGACTGAATGTAGCTGAAATTCACAAAACTATGTACACATATAGTTGTATTAACAGAGGAGTGTCCTTTTCAGCTAAATAAATGTGGGGAATCTAAAAATACTTGACTCATTTTATTTGAGTACAAGTGGATAGTTTGTAAAATACTAGAAATAAACATCTAATATGAAGCTGATAGCATAATACTGTTCATCAAATATTCATTTCATTCCCTCTCCTTCTGTAGGGCCAGTATACTTCCTGTTCCTTCATAATTAGGCTTGGCCATGTTACTTGTTTGAACAACGGGTGTTAGCAGATATGACATGAGTAGTGTCCTTAAACTTGGCTAAGTGCTTTGGCCTGGCTTATGATCTTCAGTGACAAGCCACTAGAAAAGCATGACTCAGGTAGCTGCTGCTGCTACAGCCATAGAACAAATCTACCTGGAGCAGATTGAGGTTAACATGCGCCTAAGTCAGTGCTTAAATACATCCACTGAAACACAGTTGACCTACACACCCATAAGCATGAGTATAAACACTTATTGCAAGCTGCTGAGTTTTAGGGATTATGTGTAATGAAATACTACTGTGGTGAAATAAACTAATACAAATCCTTTCTTGTACATGTTAGTATTTTTCTGCTAATAGCTGTCATTGAAGCATTTGAAGCTAGTAATGAAAACTCTTATGTTTTATTTTTTAATTCTGAAATTTAAAAAAATGAAAAATGCAGCTGACAACTTACTAGCCACCGTAAACTCAACACTATACAGATAAAGATATTAACATTTGCCCTTTTTGATTACTACAGCAAGAAATTTAACAAAGTAGAGAATACATTTTTTATGGCAAGGATAAGAAATGCAAATAATGATCTTCAACCAATAAATTAGCAGGACTAGATAATTTTTAGCTAAATTGTAGACATTTTGGAATAGAAAATCACTATAATAAAATGTCAACATTTGGAAATAATAAATTGGTATTGTATAATGTTAAACTTTCAAATCCATGAGTGCAATACTAATTGGTAAAAGCATTCTAAAAAGAAAACCATAGATTCATCTCACAATGCAAATATAAATGCAAAATACTGAAATATAATGACAGCATATAGGATCTAGGTATGTAGCAAAGAAATATAAAAAGTGTATCATGAGTATATTAATAGTTGCTGGTAAGCTATTTTATTTACTTACTAATGATTTATTTATTTACTGTTATTACACCCAATTTTCATGTAAAAAAACTAAAGCAAAGAGAAGTGAAAGAATTTGTTAAAGTCACATAGATAAGTGTTGTGAAGATGGGTTTCAAACCTGGGCATCTGGCTCCAGTGTCTATACTCTTGACCATTAGGATTGTCTGCTTTTTAAAAACATATTTATTGAATACTAATGAAAATCTAGTTGAGAGGGCAGGAAAAAAAATCTGTGGGCTATAGTTGACCATATAAAATTTATCACTACTCAGGATCAGTTTCTATATTTTGAGATTCCTGAAACACAACAGTGGCAGGAATTCAGATTTCAAGCTCATAGACAGAGCTGACTTGGTATGTCAGTTTCATGTGGCCATATTTTTTCCCCCTACCAAGAGTCCTTGAAGGAGACAGACTCTCTTATCACCTATATTGGATAAAAGGTCTACTAGGCTCTCTCTTACTCACCATTAAGATAACCTTCTTAGAGATTCAATTACTGTCTGTTTGCTGAAAACTCTCCATTCTTTTCCTATACATAACTAAAATCCAACATGACCTTAATTCAAGTCATTAACTTCCCATATATATTTTATATAATCAACTACAGCTCATTGATTATATTTTGCTGATCCCTGACCTAGATGTGTATTAGTATTTGATACCTTACTTTTTAAAAAGCAGACTATCATAATGGTCAAGAGGACACAAATCAAGTGTTTTTCCTCCAAGATTCTTAACTTGGCCAATGTAATATCAGAATAATAACACATCAAGTTTATCTCCAAAATTTTTTTCATCCTCAATTGATATCAAATCCATGAATTAGTTCCACATAGTACACCTATGAAATGCCTCTTGAGTTATTCTCTGTTTTAGAATGACTCCTGCCCCTGCTGTGGAACAGGCTTTTATCTCTTTTATTACTTCAAGTTTCCATGCCCAGTGACACCCTGGTGGATTTCATGTTCCTTAGTGGTCCCTCATACTGATAATTTCTGCTTTGAGGTGTCAAAGTTTCCATTGTCAACTCTATGGAAAATTCTTCAAGTGACTATTTCTCAATTCTTTCCATGAGAGTACCTTGATATCATCATTCTAGATAAATAGAAGAAAAGTTAATTTATTACATGGAATGGATGCTTTAAGGTATCCATCAAGAAAGACTGCCAGATGAAACATAAATTTTTTAGTATCAAATACAAGGATTACACAATGTTTTTCCAGTGTTTTCATTTATTTACTAAAAATAAAATATATGCCAGCCAAACTTCTGTTAATATTGTTCCTTGAATGAGAAATTACTTTTCACTTCTCTGGATGTAGGACAGAGATTCCATCCCTTACATGAAGAACTGCTATTATGCATACCCTTACATAAAATTTTTATACATGCATATTATGCACACATATACATACACACATTATATAATCCCCTTATAAGAGCCTTTTTAAAGTTTCTATATCACATCCTCCTTAGAACTGCAAATCTCTGTCATTAGATTATGAAGTCAATGGGGGAAAGGATTCATCTTTATATAGCTAAAGTCTGACGGAGGAATAAAATACCATGTGATTAAAGAAGGCAGGCAGATCACATAAATGAATGACACTGGATATTGAAAAACCTCAGTAAGGGGTGGAGACAGTGGTAGAGTTCCCATGTCATTATTACAAGGGGCAGCCCCACACATCTTTAGTAGATTTTTACCCTTTTGTTGGAAAGGTGGGCCCAGTTAACCCAATTTTCTGATTTTCCAAGAGAAACAAGAAATCAAGATTAAGTTATAAAACCTTCTGATTTTTAAACATTTGCAATGAAAAAATTTGGATTGTAAAAGTAGACCATCTGTTGTTGAAGAGCTACTCTAATGAAATTCTACAATGTATTACAGTAAATATACAAATATTAATATGTTGCAGCTTCTAGTGACCTAATTTAATATAGGGAAAAGGAGAGACCACAGAGAAGCATAACTGGGTAGTACATATTATACTAATTTTCTCAAAACTATCTTTGCATAATTGGGCTTCTTGTAGGAATTCAAAGATGTCAGACATTCTGAACATGGCCTTGAGCATTGGCAGATGATATTTCAGATTTAAGAAGGATCCATATGCTTTGGCAATCAGACTTAGATGGCAAGGTTAACGTTCTGTTTAAAATGGATAATATACAGTGTCATCACATAGAAACCACCACGTTTAAGTGAGGGATGATTTGCTTATTTTTATTTGACTACATAGGTCTGCTTCTTTTTTTTCCATTTCTCATGACCAACAGTGACCTTTAATCAGAGTGATAACTACCACTCTGCCCAAAGTTAAATAAATGAGAAAATCATCTTGCTATTGAGACATTGGCACACAACACTTATTTAATGCATTTATAATGTCCTGCAAAATTACATTCTTCTTATATTAGGAAAGCAAATCTTATAAACATTATGACATCTCTTACCTCAAAATCAACATCTCCACAACAGCTGCACACAACACATGGACCACTTATTTTTAGTACATCCTCTCTTTTCTCATTTTGAATTGTAAACTTTGGTAGACATGGGTGCCAAGTCTGAATAACATAACCTATTGGTACACCAGGAGGAGCTTGGATTTCTATCTACAAAGGCAAAATAATATATGTAAATGTAATAATCATAATGCCTAGGTTCGATGAAAGGTTCAATGACAGGGCAGAAATTCTTGCTGAACTATTTTACAAAGTGCCCTGGTAATTGATCACAGACCTCCTGAAGGCAGCAGGGACAACAACAGCTGCTACATCTTAGTGGTCTCTCCAGAGTTATGACTTCTTGACCCATATTATCAATAATCCTCAAGGTAAAAGGTCTAGATGGCCCACAGCAATTTCGGGTACAGCAATCAGTATCTTCCGCTGCAAAGTAAACCCTCTGTCCAAAGCTGTTCTTAATTTCATATTTGTTATTAGTTTCAAAACCTGTTAAAACTAAAAACATAAAAGACGAAATCATAATCACCTCTATGTTAAAAATATTGAATTTATCCAGATATTATAATATCTAGCTATGCCAGTTTTTGATGATACCCCAAGTGGCATAAGGAGGAGAAGAAATGATGTTTAGAGATGATCCAGACAGAGAAAAATGGCAAAAAAAAGGAGAGATTACCAATGTATAGAGAAATTAAGTCCTTATGCCGTGGGGAAAAGAGAGATCAGATTGTTACCATGTCTGTGTAGAAAGAAGTAGACATAAGAGACTCCATTTTGTTCTGTACTAAGAAAAATTTTTCTGCCTTGAGATGCTGTTAATCTGTAACCCTACCCCCCACCCTGTGCTCCCTGAAACATGTGCTGTGTCAATTTAGGGTTAAATGGATTAAGGGCTGTGCAGGATGTGCTTTGTTAAACAAATGCTTGAAGGCAGCATGCTTGTTAAGAGTCATCACCACTCCCTAATCTCAAGTACCCAGGGACACAAAACACTGTGGAAGGCCACAGGGACCTCTGCCTAGGAAAGCCAGGTATTGTCCAAGGTTTCTCCCCATGTGATAGTCTGAAATATGGCCTCCTGGGAAGGGAAAGACCTGACCGTCCACCAGTCCGACACCCGTAAAGGGTCTGCACTGAGGGGGATTAGTAAAAGAGGAAGGAACGCGTCTTTGCAGTTGAGATAAGAGGAAGGTATCTGTCTCCTGCTCGTCCCTGGGCAATGGAACGTCTAGGTGTAAAGCCCAATTGTATATTCCATCTACTGAGATAGGGGAAAACTGCCTTAGGGCTGGAGGTGGGACGTGCTGGCAGCAATACTGCTCTTTAAGGCATTGAGATGTTTATGTATATGCACATCAAAAGCACAGCACCTTTTTCTTTACCTTTTTATGATGCAGAGACATTTGTTCACGTGTTTACATGCTGACCTTCTCCCCACTATTATCCTATTGTCCTGCCACATCCCCCTCTCCGGGAAACGCCCGATAATGATCAATAAATACTAAGGGAACTCAGAGGCCGGTGCTGGCGCGGGTCCTCCGTATGCTGAATGCCAGTCCCCTGGGCCCATTTTTCTTTCTCTATACTTTGTCTCTGTGTCTTTTCTTTTCCAAGTCTCTCGTTCCGCCTAACAAGAAACACCCACAAGTGTGGAGGGGCAACCCATCCCTTCATTATGTGAGACACTGGAAACAAGTTATATTTTCCTAATTCCATAAATGTCTGTCAGAAGAGAGACTTTTCTGCTGAGAGTTGGGGCAATGCTGTGGGTGGGCACGGTGGTGCTAGGTGTATAGATAAAATGTCCACTAATGCAGGATAGTTTATGTGTAATGTGGAGGGGAATATAAGAGGATTGCTGTTTATGTGCTATGAAATTTTATATTAAATCAATTGGTTTGAGACTGTCTTATAAACCTTACTTATGTCTTATTTTTTTGCAATGCTTTTGAAAGAAGGCAATGTACACGCATAAAAACCGAGGGAGTAAAAATGAAAGATGAATTAGAATGTCACATTGGACCCAGGGCATCCTTATTCAACTCAACAGTAGTTGTTCAGAAGTGGGAGGTGGGTATTAGACAAACGTGTTCGGCAACCAAGGCTTCAACTCACAGAATATCTAGACCGTGGGAATCCTAAGTGAACTCTGCACCTTTGCTGGGCTAATCTATCTTCATGAGGGAAACAGATGGCTGCAAAATGCTGACACTCACATACTTTGTATCAAGGGCTTTCCATATCTAACCATACATTGGAAACCTCTCCATATTTAAAGCCAGAAAGGAGCAATAACTGTCCCATTTGTACATAGTCCTCAGTAACTGGGGTCATAGATGTCAGAAGCCTGGCTAAAATAATGAGTGATTAAAATAAATATATGGAGGAAAAGTCACTCTATAATGCCTATGTGGAAAGACTCTGAGTCGGATAAAGACGGCCTTCACAAGTCTTACCACCATGAACTCCTTTAAGTGTCCTTGGTGGGACACAGACAGACCCTGTACTCTGCATTTATAGGAACAACGTCTGATTTCAACATCTGAAATAGTCAAATGTTTGATGAGAAAAAAGTTAAGCTGATTTTGAGAGGACATTCATTATCTAATTAATTGTTACATTAAGTAGCTTAATCTCAAAAATCTCCAGCTTATTTGTAAAACAACATTGGTTTACATAACCTTTAAGTTTCTTTTCATTTACTTTAAAAATGTAAACAAATTGTTTATATTTTTATTGTCTTCTGTGTTTTGAATTGAGAAAAAAAAGTAAGTGCCTAGTTTATGCTCAGATTCTAAAAACCTGAGTAATCTTCATCTTTTTTATACCACTCATGAAAAAATAACATAGACTTTCAATTTTGGAGAAAAAGAAACAAAAAAAAAACTGGAGACATTTCTTTTTTGAAAAATAAGCATAATTAAAAACTGTTAGATTTGGAACTTTCTATTTCATAATTAACACATATTTAACAAATATTTATAAAGCCTATAAATCTACAAAAAAAGATAAATAGTGTGCTGTGTAATGTTTGGTTATATGTCTGTTTGGATTTTATAGCCTTACTAATATATACTATAAAACATTAAAAAATTCAGAATACAAAGCTGTCTTCCAGAGAAAGCTTTGTTTAGATACACTAAAAAAAAAATCAAGTAACTTATAAATAATAATGTGCTTTACAAATAACTTCAATGTAATAGATGACAATTGTATATTTTAGCCAAATCCATTATTCTGCTTATACAATTCATCTTCTAATTTTTACCAGTGGAAAGAAACTTTGGAGACAGGTGAAAATGAATTTAGCAGACATATTCCTAAAAACTGGAGAGTTTTATTTTTTATTAAACCTTTTTTATCTAGAAGGAAAACACTATGGTTCATAAATCTATCCAGGGTCTTCTTCCCCTGGCAGCCATTATAAAACATTAATTGGCTTCCTAGGTTTATTTTTGCACCTAAGGAGCCCTGGACCCAAGGAAATGTCAGGCCATTCAGCAGGAGCAGGAGTGCTCTTCTATGAAGCCAAGCCTGCAGGCTAGTTGGTCAGCATCCTCCCACACTGCAGTGGCCTGCATCTGACCTCGTATACAAAGGTTTTATAGGGTTCATCTTAACTCCCAAGAGAAACTGTGGGCACAAATGATAATTTTCCCAAACTTCCTCATCCAAATAAAAAAGATAACTTACTTTGGAATGTGGCTCTGTGCCATTCTTAAGCTGATCACAATTACGGAGAAAATAGCTTAAGTGGTAGAAGTCAGAAAAAAAGTGATGTATGAAGAGAGGAGCAAAATAAGGGTTTTGATTATTTTCCTTCTAAGTTAGTGTCAATATCCCGAGGGCAGGTGCCCAACATAACAGCATTTTACCTTTTGATTCCTAAATTTTAGAAATGAATTGCTGATAACATTTATTATTGTAAATAACTGGTTTAACTGTCCTATATAAGTGAGAGTGTTATATTTGTGGAGGTCAATGTGCCTTTATCTGCATAAACTTCTACTCTTTATAGAAACAGGATTAAAACAATGAATACATACCTTCCAGAAGTTCAATTTGCTGATGAATCAGTATCTGATCTATCTATAGCAGGAAAAAAAATAAGTGGTATGTATATGTCAAATGAAGGTTTTTATAAGCTAACCAAATTAAAATTCATGTATTTATATTTTTAAAGTACATGTAACCAATTATCAATATTTAACAGCTTATATTACTTTTTAGTGTAAAACTGAAGTTAATATTTTTAATTAATAAAATATTTATTGTGTTCATTATTAATGTGGAAAAATTTAGGTCAAATAAAATTGATTTATACTGGAGTACCTTTAAAAATTAGACAATTGAGGTGGCTCATGCCTGTAATCCCAGCACTTTGGGAGGCCAAAGTGGGCAGATCACGAGGTCAGGAGATCGAGACCATCCTGGCTGACATGGTGAAACCCTGTCTCTACTAAAAATACAAAAAATGAGCTGGGTGTGGTGGCAGGTGCCTGTAGTCCCAGCTACTTGGGAGGCTCAGGCAGGAGAATCGCCTGAACCCAGGCGGCAGATGTTGCAGTGAGCCGAGATCGCGCTACTGCACTCCAGCCTGGGCAACAAGCGTGAGACTCCATCTCAAAAAAAAAAAAAAAAAAAAAGAAAGAAAAAAAAAAGAAAAGAAAATTGATACAAAATGGCCAGTAAGTTTATGAAAAAATGCTCAACATCACTAATCACCAGGGAAATGAAATCCAAACCACAATGAGATATTATCTTTGTACAGTTAAGAATTTTTATCAAAAAGACAAAAAATAACAAATAATGGTAAAAATGTGGAGAAGGGGAAATCTGTTGGTGGGAAAGTAAATTAGAGCAGCCATTATGGAGAACAGTGTAGCGGTTCCTCAAAAATTAAAATTACAGCCACCATATGATTCAGCAATCCCACTACTGTTTTTTTTGAAACAGTATTTTTTCAAAATTTTCAAAACAAAAATTTTAAAGGAAAGGAAATCAATATGTCAGAGGTATCTGCAATCTCATGCTTATTGCAGCACTAACAGTCAATATATAGAATCAACCTAAGTATTCATCAATAGATAAATGAATAAAGAAAAATTCATTCTTAATACACACAATGGAATAAAAATCAGCCATAAAAATGAATGAAATCCTGTCATTGGCAGCAACATGGATGAGCCTAAGGGACATTATGTTAAGTGAAATAAGCCAGGCACAGAAAGAAAAATACTGAATGTTCTCACTCATACATGGAAGCTTAAAAAAATTGATTTCTTAGAAGTAGAGAGTAGAGGCCAGGCGCAGTGGTTCACGACTGTAATCCCAGCATTTTGGGAGGCCAAGGCAGGCGGATCACAAGTTCAGGAGTTCAAGACCAGCCTGGCCAGTATGGTGAAACCGTCTCTACTAAAAATACAAAAATGAGCTGGGTGTGGTGGCAGGAGCCTGTAGCCCAGCTACTTGGGAGGCTGAGGCAAGAGAATAGCTTGAACCCGGGAGGCGGAGGTTGCAGTGAGCCGAGATCGTGCCATTGCACTCCAGCCTGGGTGACAGGATGAGACTCCATCTAAAAAAAAAAGTAGATACTAGAATAGTGGTTACTAGAAACTGTGAAGGGTAGGGAGGAGAGGTATAAAGAGAAGTTGGTTAATGAATACAAAATTACAGCTAGATAGGAGGAATAAATTCTAGTGTTCTATAGCTATGTAGGCTGACTATAATTAACAATAATTTATTGTATATTTTCAAATAGCTAGAAGAGAGGATTTGGAATGTTCTCAACACTAAGAAATGATAAATATTAAAAGTGACAGATATGCTAATTATCCTTATTTTTCATTACACGTAGTACATGTGCATTAAAATGCCAGACTGTACTCCATAAATATGCACAATTATTATGTGTCAAAAACAATTCAAAAGGTAGAAAACAATCTTCCTTCTAGAATAGGCTGAAGAAATATTGGTAACTTTTTTAGCCATCAAAGAGATTTTTTTTTACAAGTTTCAGATTTGTATTAAGCATACTTAATATCAACCTTTGTCATATGTGATAACATCCTTTATGTATTTTATGAGACTCTGATTTTTAAAATATCTATTTCTATGTATTTCTTGCATAATATAATAATGACCAAAAATTCCTATGATTATGCCACTTAAGCACATTGTGGGAAATTAAGTTACTAAAGAGAGTGCAAGAAAGAAATGATTTATGAAATGAAAACTGGTTGAATATCACAAGAATATTTGTATGTGTATAGACTGGACACACAGAGTTTCTTGTTTCTATTTGACCTACCTGATTTCTAACACCAATTAAATGTTAAACCTCTTATTGCTGAGATTAATTATAATTTAGTGCAACAAAATCCAGGACTTTTTACTCCTTTATTAATGGCATTTATAAAATTAGGTCTTCCAAAGAACAAAAGCAGCATCATAAAAATGCAGTTTTATTAGTTACAATAAAAAGGTGAGTCATATTATACATAAAATATTAACCCCTTGTTTGGGGCCACTTATTGAAACTCAACAATAAACTTTATTTAAATTTTCTTCCAAATTATAAGGCAATTATTCAGTATTGAGACTAAAGAGCACTTCGCTCAGTACCAAAGTTTCGGGATTAAAAAAACAGTCTTGACTCTTTAGGTTCTCACCCCAGAGTGAGCTATATAACCTCTCTGGACCTCAGTTTCTTCTTTTGAAAAATGTAGCACCTATACATCACAGACTTTCAATAAGGATTAAATGAGTTAATACATGTATCAGGCATACAACAAAGGCAGGAAACAGTGCTAATTAAATGTTTGCTATTGGCCATTATCATAGATTGTATTTAAGATAACAGAAAATACAATTTTCTAAGGCATTTGTATTTTGCTTTAAAATTGAACCAGACCTAGAAGAATTAGAGTAATCTGTTAGCAGAAAATACAGTTTTGCTATTTCAGACTTTGGTGAATTATTCATTTGCTAATCTGGTTAAGCAAGCTGGAAGCACAGTTCTGTTTTTTATGAGTATTTTGTGTCTTTGAAATTACCTGACTTAAATATTCTAATCCAGGTGGACAGTTTAATGGAGGCTGTGGCGCTGGCATCCATGGTACCCCTGCAGCTCCAACTGGCTGATTATATACTGGCTGATTATACACTGGCTGATTTGGGACAGGAAAGCCAGCTGGGCCAGGACCTGAATGGCCGGCTGGTGGGGGTGGGTAGCTGACCTGGGGCCCAGGGTAGCCACTATATCCTGGAGGTCCTGAAATACAAACAAGTGAAATGATTTGTAACTGCACCAAAAATGGAATTGTCAACCTTTTTAGGGTTATGCCATCTATCTATAAGTTGACATTTCAGCGTAGACATCTGTATCTGTGATGTTTAATACGCTTTTCTCTTTCTGAGATTTTTCAATGAAATATCTGTGGTTGCACATCCACTTCTATTTGGATGATAGTATGCGGTGAATAGCCTTACCCTTACCATTCAAAACTCAGAAGGAAAATATGCTTTAATATCTGAGAAAATGAAAATAAATAACCATGATCTAGAGTCACCTACATAAAGATTCTGGCAAGCCTTCAAGGGAAACAAACACGTCATTGGTAGAAGGCCCAAAATAATGGCTTTGAGTCAGCATTTCTAGGGCCAAAGTATCTTGTGAAAAATGATAATTCTGAAATTCTAGCAAATGCCTTATAATATATGTATAGAACTGGGGGTAGTTTTGCCCCCTCTCTGCCAGGGATATTTGACAAGATCTGCAGACTTTTTTTGGTCACAACTGGAGGGGAAGATAATACTGCATCTGGTGGGTAGAGGCCAGGGCTGCTGCTACACATCTTAAAAGAGCCAGAACAGCTCCCTAAAAATGAAGAATTGTCCAGCCCAAAATATTATAGTGCCACTGTTGAAGGTGAAAGCACGTCATTTCTTTCTTTCCATTTTTTTTTTTTTTGAGACAGAGTCTTGCTCTGTCGCCCAGGCTGGAGTGCGGTGGCATCATCTCTGCTCACTGCAAGCTCCACCTCCTGGGTTCACACCATTCTCCTGCCTCAGCCTCCTAAGTAGCTGGAACTACAGGCGCCCACCACCACGCCCAGCTAATTTTTTGTATTTTTTAGTAGAGACGGGGTTTCAGTGTGTTAGCCAGGATGGTCTCGATCTCCTGACCTCGTGATCTGCCCACCTCAGCTTCCCAAAGTGCTGGGATTACAGGCGTGAGCCACCGCGCCCATTCGTTTAGTACACGTCATTTCTTTTAGTACATTCCAGATGCCTGCTTGGGTTAATCCTTTGCCTTATGTTTTAATCCATAATGTATTGCTTTCCTAAGTCCTTCTTCATTAAAATAAAATTCTATTATAATATTTAGGTTAGAAATTTAAATTTCACAATTTAACATCCTTTGGTCTCTGGAAAATATAATTTGAGAAACAAGGATGGCAAAAAATTGTAAGAGGCAGAAATTTAATAACAGTAAATGTACTTCATATTCTCTGCGAATGTGTGATTACAATGAAGATTTATATACCTGTTTGTATGGTCCACAGTGTAGCAATTCCATAGCAGTGGAATACAATTTCAAAGGACTGTGTTTCTCAATATTTTAACATTAAAGCCTATGCAAAATGTAATACTTAGAATAGGAAATTTACAAATTCTTTTAAATGGATCATTTATGATAAAATTCATTTGCCCTTCAAAAATAAGGCTTAGAAAAACAGAATAAACCTCACAATAATGCATCATAAATATAGCTTTTATAATTTATTCCTTTATGATGAATGAATATTTACAAATGATCATAATGTGACTGGCTGTGTTGTAGAATATGAGGATACAATTCTCAAGGAGGCAGCCTGCTGTCAGAGAGCTTACAGTCAACTTCTGGGAGAAAGAAAACACATTTAAAACAAAAAAAATTCATATGGATGTGATGGAGAGAATGTATGCGAGCGAGGGCAGGGTATGAGGCAGTTACTTTGGGTAAATATAATTTATATCAAGGTCTAAAAGATGAGAAGAGAAAAGCTTTATATGAAGATTAGTGATAAATGCTTCAGGAGGAAAGAAAGGCAAATAGAATACCTCTGACTTTGTAATGAATTTGACAGGCGTAAAAGAGAGAGGAATGTCATAAGAAAGAAGACGACTAGGAAAGGCTGTTAGCAAAGCAACAGGAAGCTGTTCATCAAAGGAGGCCTTAGTAAGGAGTCTGGATTTGGTTCCAATTATGATTGGCAAGTACTGGAGGAATTTAAGCAGAAGAATGAGTTCCATGGTCTTATCTATATCTTACAAAATTTTCAGGAGTGGAAAAGCATTAGAATTTACAATGGAAAACACAGATGCAATCCCTGCCCATCATTGTTTAATGAGAGAGACAACTTTATATCCCCACTTATTCTAGGGAGCTATAATACCAGTGTAATTAATTGATTCATTAGAATTGGAGATAAATGCTTTCAAGTAAGAGACCACGGTTTTATGACTAGAGATGCCAAAGGTCGCTATTGAGATGGGAAGAGAAAAAGGGAAGGAGCAGGAACAGCTGCCTTGAGGGGTCACCTTTATGCTGAGATCTGAAGGATGCACAGGAGTTCAGGAGGCCAGAGTCACAGAAAGAACATTTCAGAGCAACGTCCTGGGACAGTAACTAACATAGGCCTTTAAAAATCTGAAAAATAGCCAGTCTAGCTGAATAACAGCAAGCCAGGCTCAAGAGGAAGTTAAAGAGAGAGCATGGAAAAGGCCATCCTGAGTTTAGTGTTAGCCTTTATCCTAAAAGTAATAGGCCACTAATAAAATAGGGGCTCTACACTCTCTGTAATATGAGCAGATTTACATTTTTAAAGATCACTGGGGTCAGCACAGAAACCAGACCATAGGCAGACCAGTGGGGATATGGAGATGTGAGTTAATTTCTTACATTTTTAACATCATCATAATTTTCCCCAGACTCTGAAAGTATGATGGATTACTCCTCAAATCAATGAATTAAGCATAAAGAATTACCTGAAATTTGAATACTAGTATCATTTATGTAAAGACTAATTGATTTAAAATATTTTAAATATGTTAGCAAATACTTGTCATTTATAATTTGCAAGCATTGTGCTCAGTGTTTTACATATACTCTCATTTACTCTACAAAGCAACCTACATTGAAAATATCACCCTTATTTATAGATAGGAACTCTGAGGCTTTGAGGTACTGCAACTTGTTTAAACTACCACATAACTATTAGTACAGAAGGCAGAACCTGGTTTACCAGCACATTTACCTATACGAATTTTTTTTTTAAAGTAGGCAGAACTTGAAGCCTGATACAAACTTCCTATGCCTCAGCTTTCCCACATACATAATGGGGATAACTGACAGTATTTACCTCATAAGAGTATTCTAAGAATTAAAAGTGTTAGTCCACATTAACTCCACATTTAAAACAATGACTAAAGCATGGTAAGATCTCAATTTTAAATTATCCTTACTCTTAGCATCGTTATCTTAAGACTTGTGCTATATGTAATCTTGGACTTGAGAAACAAAATCAAGCTGTAGAGCCATATATATCTATATATATAAACAAACTCTCAAGTCTGATTATATCTGAACTGTATTATTTATGTATATCTACTTTTAATTAGTGATAGGGTGGATTAAATCATTCTCTTAAGTGCCTTGGATGAATATTATAGACTTACTAATGATTTTTCAAACACCAACCCTATAAGAATTTAGAGCAGATGTTCTCAACCCTGGCTTCACCTTAGAATCACTTGGGGTGTTAAAAGATTACTATTCCTTGAGTCCCACCACTGGAAGCTATGATTTAATTTTTCTGGAATAGTGCCTTTGCACTACTATTTTTAAGTGCTTCTGGGTGATGATACTTCAGTGCAGACAAGGTTGCCATGAGCCACCACTTGAGAGTCTGAGCTTATCTAGCTCATATTCTTTCAGTTGCAAACATCTGGATGAGATCCGGGACCCGCAGGGAGGTTTCTTGCTAGGCAATTAAACATGACATTCAGCTCCTAAGCACATTTGTTTACTCAGAGAAGAAAACACAGTGGGTACATCCTTCTATCCAAACCACATTCCCTTTGGTCCTAAATCCTCAGGATGCTCTTTCAAGATGTGGGTAGCCTGTCTGCTTGTAAATCTGGACATGCCATGGACTTTGCTATTTTTAAAGTTCTAGTAGTTTTGATAACTGCATTTGCCTAAATGAAAATCTCTGAATTCTTTCAGGCATTGGTTGAAAAGAAAAAATGTACTCAATTATGTATGTAGTCAAATGACTCAATTACTTTTCTTAGAAATACAGGGTGGAATCAGCATATATATAAAAATAAAGCTTTCATATACATTATAAAATTAAAATGAGAATTATTCCCAGGTAACTGAATTTCTATTACTTTCAGTTTTAAGCAGTCTTACTATTTTGATGTGACTCTCACTGAACACATGCCAAGCTACTACATGACTCAGTTTATCAGAAATAAATTTCCTAAATGTGATTAAATGATCATAATTTTCAGAACAGATGGAGGATCAATAAAATATTTTACTTAACATTTGTATTTTAGGATGTACAGTCTTGTATTTCATTTGCTAAATGTAAACCTAATGTTGTTTTTACTAGCTTTCTTTATACCTTTACTGTCCTCTATAAATAAAAATTACTTCTGTGCAAAATGATAGCCAAATAAAAATAATCAAGAACAACTAGGCTGCCAAAATTTCATTAATATAATTTTAAAAAAAGAACTACTAAAATAAAAACAAATGCACAATTCTCTCTCTCTCTTACTCTCTCTCTCCCACTCTCACTCTCTCTCTCTGTCTCTCAATTAATTTTACTTTTTCTTCTTTCAGCAACTGCTTTACCTTGGAATGCTGTCGGTGGATACTGAGGAGGATACCCAACTGGCAAGTTTGTTTCCGGGTGAGAAGCATTCATCTGTGAGTCTGCAATTCAAGGAGAGGTAAATAGATGTCTGATTAAATAAAATATATATTAGAAAGAAACAATGTATTGTACTTAGATAATTGTAACTTGTATGTTCTTATGCTGTATTGAAATAGGGAAAGTAAAATTTTCACTTAACGTAAGCTGTGCCTGTTCTCAGAGCTAATTTGCAACTAGCAAATTTGTTTCAAACAAATTCTCCTTTAGATAAAATGAGACAGTTAAGTTACTGGGGCTGAATTACCAGTTTTTGAAACATCCCTGATGAATGTTCAGTTCCATGTTTTGTTGATAATAAAACAAAGATAGCTTTAAAATTACATACAGACTACGAAGAAAGAGATAAATGAAATTAATGGGATGTGAAGATGGTAGAATTATGGATGATTTTAAAGATATCTATCATCATTGCTGTAAGTATTATTTTAAATATTTAAAATAATGAATATACTTCAGTATTTATATATGTTATGCTTACTCTGGAACTACACCAATGAAGTTGAACCATATGAAATTCCCCAAATATGACTGTTTTTGACCCACAAAAGCCATGTTTAATTACAATACACTAGCATATTAAACTTTGTTATTTGCTAATAAGGCTTGAGTAAACTTAATATATGCACAAATGGTTCAACCTCCTAAATATTAATATTCATGTCTATCTAGTCATTCGGTTACCTACCGCAGCCAGTCTCTAAATATTTACTGAGCATGTCCTGTGTCACCCTTGAATTAGGCTCTGTGGCTACAATGGCTCTGCTTTCATACAGCTTAAGGTGCAGTAGACACTACACTTATCTCCTTATCTGTTTCCTTATGAATTACTAACTGTAAATTCAAAGTCTTTTGTTTTAGAATCATGGAGACATGGCATCAATATAGAAGAACATATAGGTCAAACTTTCACTGTAACACATTTTTCTGTATGTGTCTCTATTATGAACTTTCAAAGACCACTCAACTTGTGAATCGTGTGGTTTTATCAGGAAGATTGGATTGTTTCCCCCACCCCCTGCCCCGGCCTTTCTCCTTCATAAATAGCTTCATGATGACTTCAGCGGAATCCAGTCCATGGTGATTGTGTAAAATCAGGCAAAAAAACCGCTCTCCTACTCGTTCAAGACTAGCCTGGCCAACAAAATGAAACCCCATCTCTACTAAAAATACAAAAATTAGCCAGGCATGGTGGCACGCGCCTGTAGTCCCAGCAACTCAGGAGGCTGAGGCAGGAGAATCACTTAAACCCGGGAGGCGGAGGTTGCAGTGAGCCGAGATCGTGCCACTGCACTCCAGCCTGGGCGACAGAGCGAGACTCCATCTCAAATAAATAAATAAATAAATAAATAACACAAAACAACAACAAAAAACAAATGAGGACTTTTCCCTGGACAAACATTGCAACATACCTTGTGATTTGTGAATCATCACAAATCTCTGAAACTCCCCATCATTCTTTCCCATCCATTCTCTTCTATTTCTCAGCATCAAGTGACTGACCTAACTCCCTAGTTCTCTAGCTAATAAGGCCCTGCCTGCAGCCCCTACTCCCAAATTAAGTTGGAAACACAGCATCAGACTCAGAATAGATTTCAAGAAAATATTTTGCAAGTCTGAAGTAAAGATCTACCCTTGACAGGTATGTCACATTGTGATACCTCTTAATAAGCAACATTGTTTGAATACTATAACATAGAACACACACACACACACATATACAGGAACAGACAGACTCAAGAAATCATGAGCTCACAATCTCTGGGCTTTTGGTACCAAAGCAATGATTCTGATTTCAGGCATTCCAGGGGGAATTCATACAAGGAGAATGAGTGAATGGGCAGGTGTTCAAGCAGAACAAAGAGCATGTTAATTATGGTTTGATTACTGCGTTTTTGAAATGCAACTTAAAATGGCTTATAAGAAGTACAAGTCTATCACATTGTCTTAAAGGTACTTTTTTTTATGTCTACATGTATGTATATATACATATTTACACATTTATTCACACACATATACACATTTTATTTCTATTTATGCAAATACATTCATACATACATACAATTATATATACAAAACTGAAGAGTTAAAAGTTGCCTATGACCATCACCAGATACATTTTTGTAAATTGAGTGGAATCAACTTAAAGTCTGTGGCAAATAAACCAGTATAATTCTATATAAATTTACATTTAAAAAGCTTTGAGTTTTGTAAGTAAAAAGAAAATCATAAAACTTCACATGGGAAAAGCAAGGAGTCTAGTCCTGGAGATTATTTCATATATCTAATAAGGGTGACACTGTAGTGACAGATAAATATTTTTTTGTTACCTCAACAAAGATGAAAGAGAGAATAAAGAAAAGCGTTTCAGAAAAACAGGATTTAATTTTTGAATTTAATTTTCCCTATGTAGTGGGAATTTTGAACATAATTTTCCCTCTGTTCTTCAGAACCTTGATATCTTAATAAGACAGTCTTTTATTACTTGCTTGATAAATATCCATCTTACTTAGAATTTTCTTGAGAGAAAAAAAGCCAGAACATAATGACTGGTATTTACTTAAAATACAAACATGTGTCTGTGATGAAATATACATTGAGGTGTGTATCTGAGGAGTTTATTACAATGAACTCAAATCTTATTATCTGTTAATTAGTATGACTTGAATAATCTTTATACATATAAAATACACAAAGAGAATATTGTTGTGGTTTAAATATATGTTACAGAACATATTTCCCAATAAATCTAGCATTTCTTAGCTTTCCAAAAGGCTTTCGTATTTTTAATGAAGAACCTAGTGATAGTGCTATTTTTGTACATCTTCTCTATAGTCAAAATACTGAACTAGACATTGTATTCTGGAGCATAAACAACAGAAAACAAATTATACACTTTCAGACACTGAATAAAACATTATGACAAATAACAAGTTACCAACAGATTAACATTATAAGGAGGAAAGTAAACATTTAAAATAAATTACTTACTTTGTTTGTCCATGATTAAAACAGTTCTGAAAAAGAAGATCTGACATTAACACACTGTCTACAAGGCCACAAGTCAAATATAACAGTTGAATCGGGATACTCTAAAACTACACAGTCACATTCATAGGATATTCCTCTTTATTCATCCAGCCCAGCCTTATCTGGTCATTTAAGCCCTTTGTGCTTGACTGCATTCCCCTTGCTGTGTTTCTGAGTAGGAATTTAGAAATTGTTGGTCAGCTCATGATGGTGAACACATTCTAAAGCCTTTTGGGAAGAGGGTCCAGTGAGGCAGAAAGCCATAAAGACACACTATGAGCTAAGACTCCAAGTAGTAACCAAGCTAATAACATCAACCTTCACAACTTGAACAATCTAAAGGAAATGCTTGGTTCAGTTCCCAGTCTTTGGACTGGAAATGCTTGGCCCAGTCTCTGGGCCCCAGGAATGTTCCAGCAGGAAAGCAAAAAATGTTAATTATCAGGTCACACTACTGCAATTATCTTGGGAAATGTAGGTCTTGTGGACCTGTTCTTTGCAAATTTGAGAAGGCCTGAGACGACTCCGTGCATTCAGAGATTTTTTTTTTTTTTTAACCAGAAAACCCACTCTCAGGAGTTGTCACAGCCATAGCACCTTGACCACCCAAGTGAAACTTTGTACTCGGTATTTATACAGAAACATAAATTGCAGCAAACATTCTACTCAATATTTCTGCCTTCCAGTGCCTTGATCCGATCCTAGTTTTTCCCACTACTATCCTGTCACTACTTTTTCCATCTCCTGTAGATCCCGATGCCCTTCATCCCTTTTAGCGACAATGCATTAGGCAAAACTCTGCTACCCAACATTTTTATCTTGGACCCACACACACTAACACAAACTGCCCATCCCCTTCCCAGGCCCACTCCAGTGCTGGCTACCCTTTAAATTATCTTACTGTGCAATCCTAAGTGGTTAATAAGTCAAGTGATCCCTCTACATGCTCAACTAAAATCAAGACTTCCCAAGAAGAAACCGCCTTCCTCCTTGCTGTTTCAGAATTATTTTTTGGCCAGGGATGGTGGCTTATGCCTATAATGCCAGTATTTTGGGAAGCTGAGGCAGGAGGATCACTTGAGTCCAGAAGTTTGAGATCAGCCTGGGCAACATGGACAGACACTGTCTCTACTAAAAAAAAATTAGCCAAGCATGGTGGCATGCGCTTGTAGTCCCAACTACTCGGGAGGTTGAGGTGGGAGGATTGCTTGAGCCTGGAATATTGACGGTCTAATGAAGTATGATGTCATCACTGCATTCCAGCCTGGGTGACAGAGCAAGACTGTGTTTTAAAATAAAGGGTTTTTTTTGTTTGTTTGTTTTGTTTTGATTATTGCCAACTTTAAGCACAAAATTTTATAATCAACTTAAAGTCTTAAGAACATTCCAATTATAGTCAACTCTTAATTATACATACTCAAGAAGTTCAGCAATGGTTGAATAATTCAAAATGGGTTTATGTGGTCCTGAAATAAATCAAAAGATGTGTTTGTGTTACTAACTTCCCAGATTTTCTTAGGACAATAGGAATCTCAGTTTGCATTAACTGGTCAGAAATTAATGCTGTAGACCTCAAGCCAGAAAGGTAGAAATATTAAAATTTATACTTTTCTGCTGTTAATCTATAAGGTGAGCAATAATAAACACATGTAACCAAAGTAGACTAAAAGTTTTCAAGACTACATTTGTTTTAGATTCCATCATATGAAGAACTGTGTAAGACTAAATTCATACATAAGAGGACATGATTTTTGTCAATCTCACATTTCTACCATCAAAGACTATACTTTAAAATGCCAATTTTTTAAAAATATGCGAAGAGTACTTTAACAGATATATCAGAAAAGATTAATACATACCGAATTAGAAGTAGGTAGTATCCTTTAATTAACACACTGGACTATACATCTCTAAAGTCTTTACCTGCCCCTTGCTTCTTATAGGATACCTCTCTATAACATGCTTAGCTTAAAAAAAAAATTCTATGGCCTTTAACCAATTTTAACAGAAATTTTAAGAAACTAGTGTTTCAATTATTCTCACCGTCCCTACAGGGTCAGAAAAGCACTAAATAATGTCTAAGGGCAAATCCTAAATAAAATGTAAGAGAAGAAACTTAGGCAAGTTTTTATTTTTTATTTTTTTTTATTTTTTGGCAAACAGACTACTCAACTGAAAAAAATTCATAGTTTCTGGATTGCAGATCTATACATCTGAAATAGAAAATATTTTTGTCATCATTTTAAAAATAATTTTTCTTAGCATTTAGTTGTTTTAGGCTTTCAAGTCCCATGCAAGCCAGAAATAAAGGATGTGCTGCAAAGATAGGGAATTCATAAACCCATGCTATGCATCCTGGTAAACAGTGGTCCCCAACCTTTTTGGCACCAGGGACCGGTTTTGTGGAAGACATGGACCAGTGAAGCAGGGGATGGTTTTGGGATGATTCAAGCGCATTACATTTATTGTGCACTTTATTTCTATTATTATTACATTGTAATATATAACAAAAGGATTATACAATTCATTATAAGGTAGAATCAGTGGGAGCCCTGAGCTTGTTTTCCCGCAACTAGACAGTCCCATGTGGGGGTGATGGGAGACAGTGACCGATCATCAGGCATTAGATTCTCATAAGGAGTGCGCAACCTAGATCCCTCACACATGCAGTTCACAATAGGGTTCTTGCTCCTATGAGAATCTAATGCCACTGCTGATCTGACAGGAGGTTGAGCTCAGGTGGTAATGTATGTGAGCGATGGGGAGCAGCTGTCAATACAGATGAAACTTTGCTCACTCTCCAGCTGCTCAGCTCCTGCTGTACAAGCCCAGTTCCTAACAGGCCACAGACTGGTACTGGTTGGTGATCCAGGAGCTGGGGAGCCCAGCTGTTAAGAATAGGTGGAGGATCTTCAGCAGGGAGTGTCATGAGTTTCAAGTCGTTGCCAAATGAATAACAACCATGAATACACATGGTATTTGCCTTTCACAAGGTCAGAGATCATTCTCTCCTTGCACAGAAATACCGGAAAGGAAAAGAAGCAGATTCTAAAA
This sequence comes from Homo sapiens, assembly GCF_000001405.40. NCBI lineage: Eukaryota > Metazoa > Chordata > Mammalia > Primates > Hominidae > Homo > Homo sapiens. The sequence continues at coordinate 146,539,633 of NC_000003.12, forward strand.
CAATGACAATTTGTTCATATTTGCTCTTTTTCTTCCCACTTGGTTACATTATTTTTAATCTTAAAAGATAAGTTAGTGAGGATGAGACTTACTGGCAAAACTACTGCAGTATAAAATCTGGGTCTTTGCTTTACTATAGGTTTTAGAATTTTAGCATTTATATAATATCTCAAGCATTGAAAGTGGTATGTAATAAGCTCTGGTGCAAAATGTTAAGTGTTCCTTGTACCTGTACATGTGCCAAGTAGATAAGGCACTGTGTGCCAGGTCACTAAAGTCATCCACTATGTGGATGCCTACATTCCTGTTTGCTGTTATAATGATCCTTTGGGTTTTCTCAAGCTTAATAAGTCTATTCCCAGAAATACATCACTCAGTTTGGGGAATAACTGGGTGTGCCCTGAATGAATTAATGAGTTAATTAATTTAGCATGATAATTCATAAATAATGGCTTCTACCACACTTATTTCATTTTAAATTTCAGAAATACTCAGAGAAAGGGAAAATCATCTTTATGCTGTACCAAAAAATGTAATAAAGTTATGTTGTATATTGTACCATTGGAATAATAATTACTCCAGTATGAACACAGAACTTCAAATATAATCTGATTTTTTCTAACTCTGTTAACTAAGACTTTGGAGGAAACTGAGGCATCATATATTATTTGCATACAAGTACATCTCTGTTAAAATTTTTCTATCAGAAATCATAAGTTCCCATTGCTTCTCTGGACTATTTGATAACTGTAACCTCTACTACCACGAAGAGGAAGACACAGCACAGGGGATTTCCAGTTCTGGCTTCAAAATTCATATTACAGTGAAACTCTTTTGACCCATCTCTTGAGGTCCTGAAATTTTTATCTTACTGCTTTCAAAAAGTATTACTGTAAAATCTGGAACCCAAAGGGGAAGCATACTTAATTTTGAAAGTTCCTAAAACTAAAATTTGTTTACCCACACCAGATTTGGATTATTTATTTAAATTTACTTGTTAATTGCCTAAGAACAAGCTCCTTCCCTCATTCCCTCAAAACAGAAGATAAAGCATTTCACATTCTCTTCAAGCCCCAAGATAGGGATAAATGTTTTGAATTATGTTAGCAAAATTCTACTGCTCTGAAAACAAGAATTCTAGGTCCCTAACTTCCTCCGAATAACTGAGAATAAGATACTAGACTAGAGGAAAGGTAGGAATTTCAAGTAGGCCAGGGGAACATTACAGAGGTAAGTCACAAATCAAGTAACTTCCATGTCATTTGGGTTATGTTTGTACATAAATTTTGTACCTTTAAAAATGTTTAGTTAACATCTAAGAAGGAAAAATATTCATCTGTTGAACTCCAGTTTTGGTAAAAGTTAAGCTTAGAAAAAATTGATACATTTAAGCAAATGGGTGGGGCAAGCAGGTGGTGAGGCTTTGAGTATACAGCACATCATACTTGTAAGATACGGGATGAAACTGAGGTGACTGTGGCTGATTATAAATGCAAAGTACCTTGTAACAAGGAGCCATTCCATAAAAATCCTCTTGTGTATTTTATGCTGAACAAACAAAACAAATATGCTTAAAACCAGTTTAGGATAGCCTTTTATAGCATTTTATATTAAACCTTGAATAAAAATGTAGATGATACATCAACTAGGACCAAGTGAGATGGTAGTGATCAAGTGTTCTACAAAACTAAAAAGTAAACCAAAGAGACAAAGGAAACAAATACTGAATCAGTTATTCTCATTTGATTGCTTTACTACTCTGAAAAGCCTTTCCTGACAACCCAGAGCTCCCTCACAAATTTGCTTCCTTTCCTCCTAATAAATGGTGAAACTAAACCCATAGAAATAAAAGTGATTTTAATAAATGTGATACAGCTTGCTAACTAGCTGAATTAAGATGATTAATAATTCATATTCTTTGCACCGATGTCTCTAATTCACTGAAAAAAGGAAGACTGACATCCTTCAGTGAAATTTGTTAAAAGACTCTTTTAAGGTTATCTTTCTTATGTAAGACAGAAAAGGCTTGAATTTCAATTTACTCTTGTGCCACTTAGCTTTAACTAGGCCAGGTGCTATGGTTAGAATGTGTGAGCTAAGTTCATGTGTTGGAAACTTAATTTCCAATGCAACAGTGTTGGGAGGTGGAGCCTAATAAAATATGATTAGTTTATAAGCACTCTACCTTCATGAATAGATTAATGTCGTTATCTTGGGAGTGGGTTTGTTATTGCCAGAGTAGGCTTGTAAGGAAATCAAGTTCCACTCTCTCTTGCTGTCTTGCCCTTCCACTTTCCACCATGGGATGATGCAGTAAGAAGACCCTCACAAGATGCTGGTGCCTCCATACAGTCATGCACCACAACAACAGATCACATATATGATGGTGGTCCCATAAGATTATTTTTACTGTACCCTTTCTATGTTTAGATACATAAATACTTGACATTGTATTATACTTGCATACAGTATTCATTACAGTAGTACATGCTATACAGGTTTCTAGCCTAGGAGCAACACCTTATTCCACACAGTCTAGGTCTAGTAGGCTATCTGCCACCTCACTGGTCATTCCTTTTCTTGAATGAGCCAAGTTCCCTCCAGCCCAGGACTTCTACCTGTGAGGTTCCCTCTGTCTATAATGCCCTCCACCAACCCACTCACCCACACGTCTATAGACTAGTTGATTTGAGACTTCCCTCAGCTCTCAATCTGACTCTCCTCAACACCCCCAACCCCACCACCCCAGCCTAAATAGTAGGCTGGCTATAGTATCCAGGATTGTGTAAGTAAATTCTATGACGTTCTCACAACCACAAAATTGCCTCATGATGCATTTCTCAGAATGTATTCCTGTATTTAAGCAACACATGATTATGTTGGACTTCCTAGCCTCCAGAACTGTAAGAAATAAATTTCTGTCCTTTATAAATTACCAAGTCTCAGGTATTCTTTTACAGCAGCAGACAACATATGGAGACATCATTTTTTTCTAATCACTTCTTAAAAGAACATATGGAAAATTGAAGAGTGCAACTATTAAGTTCTGATTAAAAAGTGTTTTGGTTTTTTAATTTAGCACTATTCAGGGCAGTGCAATACAGTGTGTATATACACAGATACACATATATACACATAGAAATTCTTCCTATATAAATATTCACTAAATATAAAGCTTGTGTGGTTTTAAAGGAATTAATTGAAGGCATAGAGCATGCAAGGCACTATACCAGGCACTAGAGCACAATACCTAGACACTAGGGGAGACAGACAATTAAGAATTAAATATATTATTAAAAATACTCTAAGTGCTATAAATAAAATTAATGTTGCTATAAGAAAGGGTTATGGGGCACTAACTTAGATGGTGGTAGGGGGTTTAAGAAAAGTCAGACTAGGAGATGAAGGAAGTCTCAAATCAACTAGTCTATGGAGGTATGGTGGGTGGGGTGTTGGAGGGCATCATAGATAGAGGGAACTCCATAGGTAGAATTCCTGAGCTGGAGGAACGTCCCTCATTCAAGTAAAGGAAGACGAGTGAGGTTACAGAGCAAAAGAGGGAGACATTCTTAGAGATGAAGATGGAGAAGTACATAAGGGTCTGCTCACACACATCTGATGTCTCTCCACCTGTATGTACTCTAAGCTCCTTTACAGATCTAAAGGCAGTTTGATCTATAAACCAGCTATTTTACATGCCACTTTTCTATCCAATTGCATAAATCCACTCTTTCCCTTTATATGTCTTTTTCATTTCCCCGCATTTTCTCATTGTTCAAAGCCCTACTATTGTTGTAAACAGGGTGGCATTAAGACAAAGGTTTGCTCTTAGAAAAAGTTCAAGAAGGGAGCCCCCAAACTGTCTGACACGTTTAAGTGTCACTTGTAGTAACCATGTATCTCAATGTGATAAGCCAGAAAAAACAACGACTGCCTGTTCCTGGAACTGGGAAGTGGCCATGCCAAGACTTCCAGGAATAACAGTGCATGAATGAAACCACCTGGGAACCAGAGAATCAGCTTGGAGAAGCAGGAACTTTGTCAAATATTTAAAATAATAAGAGCTAACTTTCACTGAGTACTTTCTGTAGCGCCAGGCACTGCTCTAAGAATTTTACATTAATACTCTGTAGCTCATTTAATAGTTACACAATTTCAGAGATGAGGCAATGGAAAGAACATATATAAGAAGAAAGTGGCTGACAGTCCACAGACGTGAAGCAGTAGAGGCCGAATTTAAAGTCGGGGAGCCTGACTGGAGCTAATGGTCTTAGGAACCGTGCTAGATACCGCCACTATCTTTCCTAAGCTGGTATTGTAGAGGGCCTAGCATAGATGTGGGCTCCGGCGGACTTCATTGAATACTTACTGATAAATGACAGCTTGCAGGCTGTATTAACCATTCCTTCTAATAGCCCCACTACGCTGGCACATGCTCCTGAGCCCAGACTCTACCCAGGATTCAGGGCCGCTCTCTACCTGTAAAGCAGTGTAGCTAAGGGGAAGCTGAGCCCCGCAAGGCGTTTTCAGGCAGGGCACCCCTTGTCATTCGAATGGTTCTGGGGTGAGCCCGGGTGCCGCTGGGCCGCCTGGGGCCCCTTGCCGTGTACCTGCTCCACTTCCAGGGTCCCTTTCAGAGGCCTCTTGCATTTCTGGCCCCAACCTTCACCCCACATCCTCCACCCCCAGAGCAGCAAACACAACCTGCGGGCCCTCGCGCCGGTTCCCCACAAGTTGCCCTCCACACCTGACCCCGGCCCTGGCCCCAGCGCAGGCTCCGCGCAGTTCCCGCGCCCAAGTCCCCAGGAGGCGGCAGAGAAAGCCGCCCGCGCACCTCTGGCTGCCGCTGTTTCCGCTCCCGAGCGAGACAAGGTCCAGAGAGCCGGGGCCAGGCGATGGCTTCCTCTTCTGCGCCTCTAGACTGCCGGGCACAGCTGCTGCGCAACCTTCTCAGAAGTCAGCCGGAAAAGGGTCTGGGAGTAACCTTTGCGCCAACACCCGCGGCTCCTGGTTTCGTTTCCTGAATCTTACGTACACAACACGGTTTCCTTTTCCCGGTTCCCGCGCTGGCGCTCGGGGACCCACGAGACTACTGGAGGGTGAAGGAGCTGGAGGAGGGACTGCGCCCACCCCCTGGTGTGAGGCCCCTCCCCTACCCCCGACTTGCTTTCTTGCTCATTGGAGAGACTCCAGAGACGTTTGTCCGGTGGTTAAGGAGAGGAACTGGGACTCCGACACTAACTGGAACTGGAAAGTCATCAGCTGGGGAGTGGCCTCCCCCGGGAACTTTCTTTACTCTGGCTTTGACCTCCATCCCTCGGAAGCCCGTGGCTTTTCAAGGCGAGGGAGTAGAGGCAGCTTAAGACTACAAATGAGGAGGGGCCAAAATTGTTTTTCTTTATGGTGCCTTTTCTTTCTTGCTGTCTTGCTCTTTCTTTCCTTCTATTAAATTATGTGATATTACTTTTTAATTTTTAAGCAGTTATTTGAATGTTTTCGAGCTCACTTTATTTTTTTATAAATATTGTTCCTTTTTAAACTAAAATAGTTTTTATTCTGTGTATTTAAGTTATTTGTATGACATATCCATCAACTCCTATAATTACACATTTCCCCCCTTGGGGCAAGAGCAGCTATAATCTACTTATTTAGCATAAATCCTGAATACCACTATCATTAACTATAGCCCTCATGTTGTACATTAGGTCTTCCCATTTGTTCATCCTACGTGTTTGTAACTTTGTATACTTTTACCTAAATTTCCCCATTTCTCCTGACCCCACTCCAACCTGGATGACCCTGGATAAACCAGTGGTCCCCAACCTTTTTGGCACCAGGGACCAGTTTCACGGAAGAGGATTTTTCCATGGACCAGGGCCGGGTGGCAGACGGTTTCAGGATGATTCAAGCACATTACGTGTATTGCGCACTTTACTTCTATTATTATTACATTGTAATATATAATAAAATAATTATACAACTCACCATAATGTGGAATCAGTGGGAGCCCTGACCTTGTTTTCCTGCAATTAGAAGGTCCCATCTGGGAACGGTGGGAGACAGTGACACCAGAAGTGTGTTGCTTATGTCCAGTCTACTCCGTAATCTTGTTTTGGTTGCTGTCACTGCAGAAAATCCTGCTTCACAAAGATAGCATGTTGGAAATGGAAGCAGACTCTTCAGTGCTTTTGTGGCAATCTCAGGATATCCCACCTTGAGTTTAATCCAGAACATGGGATTTGAAGCTGTCTCAAACATACTTTTAAGGCCACCATCATTTGTGATCTCAAGCAATTGATCCTCTTCTAGTACGGACAAAATCGATTCACCTGACTTACTCACAAATGGGTCATGGATACATTCATTCCCAGTTCAGGGTTCTTTTGTGGTTGGGTAGTAATGCTCGAACTCTTTTGAAAGCTAAGATAGGTGATCATGCATCAGCTGAGAGAAAGAAGCTGCTGGCTCAGTCTTCTTCAAAATCTCTGCTAATGTTTGAAACATGTCAAAAATCTCAATGTTCATTCGTTGCCCCCATAATTCCAGTTTGGCTTTCAATGCAACCAATTTATCTGCTTCCTTGAACACAGTTGTCCTTCTCTCCTGAAGCGACAAGTTGAGTTCATAGATCGAGTTGAATACATCACACAAGTAAGCAAGTTTTGCAACCCTTTCTGTGTCACTGAAATGTGCCGCCAATGGTGACTGATTTTCTAAAATAAATCTCTGGAGCAGCTCTCATAATTCAAAAATTTCAGCCAGTGATCTACTTTTAGAAAGCCATCTCATTTCTGTGTATAAGAGAAGACATGCATGCCCAGTGTCCATCTCCTCACAGAGCTGCACAAACAGATGTGAGTTAAGAAAATGTACTTTAATGTGGTTGATTATTTTTGTCACATCCTGCAAAACATTGTTAAGTTCAGGTAACATTTTTCAGCTAGCCAGCATTTTTCTGTGGATGACACAGTGCATAGACTCACATTCTGGTCTCTTTGACCAGAGTAGTGAAACCAGAAAGCCATCCAGTCATGGCAGCCACTCCTTCCATGCATATACCTACACAAAATAACCAATTCAGTTTTCTTGATATGTAATCATTCAAAGACAAATAGTTCTTCAGCTGTGGTTTTGATTGGCAACAAAAATTCACATAATATATCCTTGTGCACATCTTCCTGAAAAATATATCACACACAAAAAAGCATTGTTGCTTTGTTGTCAATATCAGTAGACTCATCAACCTGGATTGCATACCAATTGCTAGAGAGGATTAATGGTGACTCATTAATCCTCTCTAACAATTGTACCTCGATATTCTCTGCTATTTCATCAATTCATCTAGTTATGGTGCTAGCCAGAAGAGGAATATGTGCTATTTTTTGAACTGCAGCCTCTCCTAAAAGTTCCCAACAAATGTCCTTAGCAGCAGGCAGGATCAATTCTTCACCAATAGTAAAGGGCTTCTTAGCTTTAGCAATGCAGTTAGCCACTATGAATGATGCTCTCAGTGCAGACACATTTGATGACATGGTGGCCTTCAATAATTGCTTCTATGTGTTCTTTGTGTTCATGGTTTCATGGTTTCTGTTTTTTTTTTAAACAAAACAAAACAAAAAACTCCAAAGGCTTGTCTTTTAATGCAGAGTGCTTGGTCTCCATGTGGCAAAGTAGTTTTGCAGGTTTCATGGCTTCATTGGGCAGTTGGTCACCACATATTATACAAAGCAGGATTGGAGAATGTGAACCACCTGTTGCAATGAACCTGTAATTTAAGTAGGACTCTTGGCATTTTCCTTTAAGTGCAGCTTTCTTTTTGTTAGCAGTCTTAGAGTCTTCTGTTATCTCACCTTTGGGTTTTTCCCCATTTTCAAAGAAGCTGTCCAGTGATGTTTGTTTTTCACTCACTTTGATGTTTTTAACAAAAACTTTTTTTTAACAAAAACCCTTGTTTTTCACAAGGGTTAGCTTGTGGGCTTAGCAAAACTGTGACTAAGACAAGTGCACAGTGTGGAAAAGAGGTGCAGATGGAAGTGGTAAAATAATGGGTGGGCCATGCACAGACTAAAATAAGTGTTGGATTCTGACTTAAAGCCTGCCACCAGATGCAACTGTACAATTGAAGTACATCAATTTTCCACTATAAAGCCTGCCTCCAGACACAGCTTAATTGTCACTTGTCATTTGCCCCTCACTGATAGGGTTTTGATATGAGTCTGCAATCAATGTATTTATTATGGTCTCTGTGCAGTCAAAACTCTCTGCTAATGTTAATCTGTATTTGCCGCTGCTGCCCGATGCTAGCATCACTGCCTGAGCTCCACCTCAGATAATCAGGCATTAGATTCTCCTAAGAAATATGCACCTAGATCCCTCACATGTGCAGGTCCGTGGCCTGGGGCTTGGGGACCCCTGCTATAAACCACTATTGTATATATTTGACCTTTTCTTAATTTCATATAAGTGAGATTGTGCAAAATTTTTCTTTCTGTGTCTGGCTTATTTCATTTAGCATAATGCCTTCCAGGTCCATCCATGTGATAGCACCTGGCAGAATTTCCTTCTTTTATAAGGCTGAGTAATATTCTATTTTGTGTGTATCTGTGTGTGTGTATACACACAACATGGAATATATGTATCTTTATTTATACAGTTGTCTATTGATGGACACCTAGATTATTTCTATTATCTTGGCTATTCTGAATAATGCTGCAATGAACATGGGAGTGCGGCTATCTTCAGGAGACGGTGATTTCATTTGCTTTTGGTATATACCCAGAAGAGGGATTTCTGGGTCATATGGTAGTTCTACTTTTAATTTCTGTAGGAACCTCCGTACTGTTTTCCATAACGGCTGCACCAGCCTACATTCCCACCTACAGTGTACAAGGATTCTCTTTTCTCTACACCCTTGCCGACACTTGTTATCTCTTGTCTTTTTGATAATACCAATCCTAACAGGTATGACGTAGTATCTCATAGTGATTTTGATTTGCATTTTTCTGATGAATAGTGATGCTGGGCACATTTTCATATACCTGTTGGCTATTTTTATGTCATTTTTGAAGAAGTGTCTATTCAAGTCCATTTCCCATTTTTAAATTGGGTTATATGTTTTCTTGCTATTGAGTTGTATAAGTTCTTTATAAATCTTGGAAACTCAACCCTTTTCTGAGAACATGATTTGCAGATATATATTTTTCCAATCTATAGGTTGCCATTTCATTTCGTTGATTGTTTCCTTTGCCATGCAGAAGTTTTTGGTTTGATGTAGAAATAATATTGTTAAAATGTTCATACTACCCAAAGTAATATATAGATTCAATGCAAATTTGTATGAAACCACAAAAGACCTCAAATAGCCAAAGCAATTCTGAGAAAAAAATTGAAGCTGGAGAAATAACACTTCCTAATTAAAAATTATATTACAAATTTATATAAAACAGAATGGCACTGACATAAAAACAGATATGTAGACCAATGGAACAAAATAGCTCAGAAATAAATCCAAACATACACGGTCAACTAATTTTTCACAAGGGCCCCAAGAGAACACAATGAGGAAAGGATGGTCTCTTGAATAAATGGTGCTGGGAAGACTGGATTTTCACATACAAAAGAATGAAATTGAACTGTTGTCTTACACCACACAAACAAATCAAAAACAAAATGGATAAAAGACCTACATGTAAGACCTCAAACCGTTAAACTCCTGGAAGAAAATATAAGAGAAAAGCTCCTTGACATTTACCTTGCCAAAGATTTCTTGACTATCACACCAAAAGCTCAGGCTACAAGAACAAAAATAAATAAATGGGACTATACCAAATGATATTTTAAATATGTTTTGAAATCAAACCAACCAGATTTGTTTAGAATGTTTATTTTTCCAGCCCTGCAGCTGGCATAGAGACATGTAATAAATAAATATTTATTGAACTGAAGGAATAATTATTTTCCTTTAAAATTTGTTATTTACAAAAGTAATGTGATTTTTTTCCAAACAATAAAGCTGCAAATGCAGAAAAGAAGTGAAATCTTGTCCTTTTCACTCCCTAGTTTTATTCCCATTATCTTGCTAACCAAGGTTAACACATGTTTGAAGATTTACTAAGAGAAGTGAGAGGAGAGAACAGGAAGGTGGAAAAAGAAATTGAGAAAACATGGTGGAAAAAGGAAGAGGGAAAACTGAACCACCTAGGTTTGATCTCTTTCTCTTCAACTTACCATCCCTGTGACCTCATGAAAGTTACCTGACAGCCTCCGTGCCTCTTTTTGAAATCTATAAATGAGGGTAGTAATAGTATCTACTTCATAACATTTTTTGAAACTTCAGAAAGTTAAAATACATAAAAGGTTTAGGGTGGTGCCTGCCACAGGGTAAGCATTTGCTTTGGGTTTACCTTCCTGACTAATGGACTTCTGCTGCAAAAGGGCAGGAGACAGTAGAAATCCAGTAGCTTTCATTTTCTATATTTTTCAACCTCTCCTTCCCTGATGAATAGTGTATTTTGAATCCCAAAACTTTTCTGCCAATTTTACACAGAAGAAATCTATCCTTTGCTTAGGGTGGTACCACATTCTCTTTGTGGAGGTAGTAAGTTAGGCTGGGTGAATTGGCTTGTGAATAGACCTTCAAGCATCCTCAATTTACTTGCTAATTTATAACTTTGTCTTTTTATTTGACACCACTAAGTCCTCAGCCTCTTTGGATTTCTGTGGAGTTAAGGTGGATCTCCTGAATCTTATTTTCCTTTTTACACACTTTAGGTTGTGACTTTCTGAGTCTTGCAAAATCAGTTTCACTTTTGCCTCTCCCTTCCATTTTCTCAAATTTGTTGAAATCTCACTTGCTACAGTAAATTCTCATCTTTTCATAGTCTGTGTGGTGTTTACAGCTTTTGGGTTCTTTATTTTGTTTTAATTGTCTTCATTTTCATTTTATTATAGTCTCTGATGAAAGGTACCATCTTTAATTAGAAAACATCCAGATACCATATAAATTATTGTTTGCCTAAATAAAACTCAGTATTTGCTTTGACAGAGTAAAATAGTGCTTCCCATATTTTAACATGCATAAGTATCACTTGGAAATCTAATTAGAACTAAATTTGCAGAGTCCCGCCTTTAGTCTTTCTGATTCAGTAAGTCTGGGATGTGCTTTGAGAATTTGCTTTTCTAACAATTTTCCGTAGGGTGCTGATGATTCTTTTCAATAGACCACATTTTAAGAAGCATTTGCTGAAAGAACTCTATTTTTTTCAGGTATTGTGTAACAGTGCATCATAAGAGGAGGGTCATAGCACAAAGGATGAATTTTGAGTAATAGACAATCATAGTGATTCTATTCTCCTTTGACTGACTTGTATAATTGAGGGCATATGCAAATGTAAGCAGTAAACCCTTTCCTAGAAGCCCTCAAGAAGAGGGCTTTTGTGTATGTGTGTGTGTGTGTGTATATATATATATATATATGCACGCATACACACATAAATACACATGCAAGTGTATAATATGCCTCTTTCTCTCTTATATAAGGCAGTGACATATGGAATTATGACAGTTATCTTCAGATCACAGAATATGGGAGAACAAGTCTTAAGGATGGTGGATACAAAATGTTCTACATATCTTTCCAAGGGCACGTGAGGCACTGATGACCTGCTACACTCATGCAGGACTCACATAGCTTCAGATGACTCATTACGTGAAAGCTGGCTTGTGGTTATAAACTCTATAGATATTTCTCTTTGCTCTTGACCTGATTTCATATTCAAGCAAGCTTCTTTATTGCTCTTCTCTTCTGCATGCTGGGGTTTCTTTTTAATTTTATACTATGGTTGTAGTTCTTTATGATAATGGCTTTTTGTTTGAGCTATCGAAGTTTATTTGTAGTCAAAAATCATTGTACTACTGAGGTTTTATTAGTATTCCTTCTAAAATCTTTATTGCACTTAACTCTCTTTTCTGGCTTAGAATCAATACCTCTAAGACTCCCACAGCTCCAAGGAAGAATTGATATAACAGAGCTTTATGGGAAACAGCAGAAGAAGGAAATTTTCACTTTGAATCACTAGTCCTGACAACTGGGTGCCTGAATGTCACCTAAATTACAAAAATCTTCCTTTTTTTTTTTTTTTTTTTTTTTTTGACAGAGTCTTGCTCTGTCGCCTGGCTGGAGTGAAGTAGTGCTATCTCGGCTCACAACAACCTCCACCTCCTGGGTTCAAGTGATTCTCTTGCCTCAGCCTCCTGAGTAGCTGGGATTACAGGCATGCACCACCATGCCCAGCTAATTTTTGTGTTTTTAGTAGCGATAGGGTTTCACCATGTTGGCCAGGATGGACTCCATCTCCTAACCTCGTGGTCCGCCCGTCTCGGCCTCTCAATTTTTTATTAATCAACATTGGGCCAATTATATTGGGTAATGCTGGGGACATTACCATCAACTCCAAGACTTTAATAACAAATAAAATTTTAAAATTTGGCTATAAAACAATTACATGGAAATGTTCCTTTTTGTAAGTGGAGGACTCTGCTTCACAGCATCATTTAGGAACCCAGGTTAATGGAAGCTCTGGCATCTTTAATATATGGCTTCCCAGGTAGTTCTGGGCTTTGACATTGAGTCTGCAGTCATGATGGGACAAAAAGGATTGTATATGGGAGATTTTTATGAGCCACACATGAAATTGACACATATTTCTTCTGGTTCCATTGTATTGGTCTGAACTCAGTTGGATAGCAGCCACACTTAATGGAGAAGGAGGCTGGAGGATGCTGTCTAGTGTCTGCCCAGAAATACAAGGAAATGTGTTTGTGATTAATTAAGAAATATTTACACCATCTTCTGAAGATTTTCACTAAAGATTAAGGCCAAAATAAAAGTCCCTCTTTAACAAACTGTAGCCGGATATATGATCACAAGTATTTATAAAATCTTAAATCCTAGTGCTGTAACAAAAACACTTCCAGAAGTTTGTAATAACAATCATTTTTAGTAAGCCAGATTTTCAATACCCATGTTTTTTAGTCCCACTGAGAAAGAGAAAATGGACATTTTAGAGTAATAATGCACAGAAATTAGACTGAACCTATCAAGATTTTCCAAGCACCATATTGCAAGAGAAAAATATAGAATACATAAGGAGGGTATTAATCCAGAAATAACGTTTCTGTGCTGACTTTGTGAAGGACAAGCCTTCTCAACTAAGTTTTGAAAGAAGAGTAGAAGATATTCAAAAGCAAAAGACAGCAACACAAGCAAAGGAAGGCCATGGTGTATTTGAAGAATACAAGCAGTTAAGCATAACTATAGTGCAAGATGGAGCAAAGTATGGAATTTACAGAGACTCTGGATCTTGAGGAAGAGACAATTAACTGTGGATCAAAATTATTGTTCTCTCTTTCATGGAATACAATTCTTGCTGAGAAGTGGCTGTCTAGCCTGGGACTGTATTTCCTTGCATAGAGGTGTGGTCACATGACTGAATTCTAGCCAGTTAGAATGTGAGAAGAAACAAATATTTAAGTTCTAAGCAAGAATTTTTAATAGGTGAGCCTTCACTGCTATTTTCCATCCATTGATTTGATGCAGAAGATGATGAGCTCTTAAGGGATGGCTGAACTACAAAACAAAGAATCTCTCCAACCTGAAATTCCACATGAATAAAAGCTGTCCATTAGTCAAAACTCTCACCTTGATAGTCATATCAGGGAGAAATAAATTCTGTTGGAAAATTTGTTATAGCAACTAGCACTATCCAAACTAATAATCCCTGGAAAGATTGGGAAGGAGTCACTGGTGTAAGGCCATATACCATGGAGAGGACATTGGCTTTCATCTTGGAGGATAGATTGAAAAATGATATAATTTTAAGTATCAGAAAGACATTATCAAGCTCTTGTTTTAGAAAGACTAAATTAGTGACATTGTGAGGAATGATTTGTGTGATAGGAAAAACAAGCTGCTAGATCACTTTAGTTGCAATTCAAAATCAAAATAATGTAATCCTGAACTAAAATAGTGAGGTGATGTTAAGTAAAATTAAAAAGGAGGGAGGTCTCTAAGGGATTTTAGAAAAAGAATAGACAATGCTTGGCCACTCAATCAATGTAAGGGAGAGGAAGGAAGAGAATTGTCTTAAGAATGTTTCCACGTTGGGCAATTGATAGTACACATACACACACACACACACACACACACACACACACACACACACATATATGTATATATGAGGGAATGCAGAAGAAGATTTGGGGGGAGGGTCTGGTTAGATTAATTTAGTTTGAGAGGCTTATGGGACATCAAAGTGGGAAAAACTGATAGCTTATTAAGATAAGCTTGCCTACCTCTTAGGAGTGAAACAGCTGTATGCACAGTAATTGAACCCATGGTTTAGACAGAGCAACACTGCTGAAATGTTATTGCATGAAGAGGAGGTTCAAGTATGGGAAATTGGGACACCTATGTTTAAAGACCATGGGTTTGTTAACCTTTCCTAAAGCAAACTGAAAGGGAAGACCAAGAAAGATGTGTAAGAGAGCAGTGTGGTTTTTCTGAAACTAAGATGTGACAGACTTACATAAGGAAGTGATGAATGGTGTCACAAATTGCAAGGAAATAAAAGAAATTGTAGCTGTCGTGGTCAAGTCCCGCCTCACAGTTCACATAGTATCATGTCCTTTTGTTTGCACCTAATGACAGTGAAAGCGTGCTTACATATACCTTGTGGTCAAACACAGTGTCTAATTGACTATGCTCCCCATCGCCCAGTTCCATAAAGAAAAAAAAGTCAGTAATCGGAAGATATATCCCACAATGTTATGCCACAATCTGAAGCCTACTGTGCCGATGCTATCTGGATGGAAAGAAAGTAGGATCTCACAGTGTAGTTTCTGGATTTACTAAAGTAGTTATCATTTTTTCTTCAGGCAGGGGAGAGAAAGAGAGAGCATTCTTTTAGCCAGCAGGAAGGGAGTGAGCATGCTGTTGCATCAGGTTTCTCTGGGAGGAGGCACAGGCTGAATCTATCTATGAGGCTAGCCAGTTGCAGCTATGGTTTTATCAGGCACCACCTGATGAACTTGACGCCTTCATTTATTCACTTTGCAAACAATTATCACTTACTACAAATCCAAACCTCCCAAACCAAACAGTTAGATTTGGGGCCTAAAGGTTTCTACTTATTTAGCCAATTGTTGAATGACCACCTTAAGAGACAAATATTATTAGGTTTAAAAGAAAAAAAGCTAGAAATCGAAGCAAAAAAAAAAAAGAATTTTGATAGATTTCTTCTCACTTTTAGTTCAATATTTAAAAGTTTCTATGGGCTCTAACAATTAAAAGGCCACTACCAATTACAGAAAGGTCAATTTTATTTAAATAGTGGGGGTAGAAACTATATTTCAGTGGTTTGCAGAATAAAAGGGAAGATAATGAAATACAAACAAAAAATTTAGAATTTTTTAAAAGTTACTTCAATTACTATTAACCAAGCTTACTCAAAAGACATTATAGGCAAATATCATGATCACTAACCATAATAGGTAATGAAAACCTAAAAGGGGGATCACTTCACCACGAATCCAGTGAACTCAACATTTATTAATTGGAAACATAAATTTTCCTGGAGGTATCACAAGCAAAAAGAAGGGAAGAGGCATTTTAATATAAAGTTCCGAGACCACTTTGAAACCCTATTAACTGAAGATCCTAAGATTCAGATATGAGATGTATTTGTCGGGGTTCTTCAGAAAATCAGGACCAACAGGAAGCATACAGATGATACAAAGGATGTATTGTGAGAGATTGGCTACTGGGATTGTGGAGGCTGAGAAGCTCCATAATTTGCCATCTGCAAGCTGGAGACACAAAAAAGCTAGTTGTGTAGTTCCGATCCAAGCCTGAAGGCCTAAGAATCAAGGAAGCCAATGGTGTGGGTCCCAGAGTCTAAATGCCTGAGAACCACAAATGCTGATCTCTGAGGGCAGGGGAAGATGGATGCCCTAGCAGAAGAAGAGAGGACAAAATCACCTCTTCCTTTGCCTTTTTGTTTGACTTAGTCTATCCTTCAATGGATTGGATGTTGCCCACTCACTTTGGTGAGAGAGACCTTTACTCAGTCTACTAAATGCAAACAATAATCTCTTCGGGGAATACCCTCACAGTCTGTAAGAGATAGAAAAAACAATTTGTTTTTCCTATTCTCACACACTACTCAGCACTCAATTTCTGACAATGGATGTTTATGGGTTTTTCTTCACATGCCAAAAGGACACCAACTGGGTGTCCTGTAATTCAACTCAATTCTTACACTGTCCACCTGGAGTTAGAGTCAGATCCTGCAAGTTAAGGCATCAGTCCCCAAAAAATGCCACCCCCACTTCTGATGCCAATCATGAGCAATAGGTTGTCACTTATATTTCTTACCAACAGGCTGTAAATCAGGTTCTCATGACCCACTCCTAGGTTTGACTAATTTGCTAGGATGGCTCACAAAACTCAGGGAAATACTGTCATTTACTGATTTATTACATAAATGAAGGATATGATAAAGGATACAGATGGACATATGAAGAGATGCACAGGGTGAGGTCTAGGGTAGGGAGAATGGAGTTCCCATAACCTCTCTGAGTGTGTTACCCTCTAGGTTCCTACATGGATTCAGCAGTCCTGAAGCTCCCCAAACCCAGTCCTTTTTTTGGTGGCTTCATTATGCAGGCATGATTCACTAAATCATAGGCCATTGTTTATCTACTCAACTTTCAGCCTCTCTCCCTGTGTTCCCAGAGGTTAGAGGTTGGGACTTTAAAGTTCCAACCTTCTAATCACATGGTTGTCTCTCTTGGTAACCAGCCTCCTCCTGAGGCTATCTGGGAGCTCACCAACAGTTATCTCTTTAGAACAAGAAATGTTCCTATCATACAGTAAATTCCAAGGGATTAATGAGGGTCTCTGCATCAAGAACCTGGGTCAAAGACCAAGAATCTAGCAAGAGATGCACCTAACACTCCTATTGTTCAAGAAATTAAGAGAGTTTTAGGAGCTCTGTGCTGGGATCCAGGGGCAGAAATCAAATACGTACTTCTTATTACCTCACAATATCACAAATCACACCCAGAAAGAATTTTACCAAATTTGCTTTTACATGAACATTGATTTATATATCTACTTCTAGGATAAAATACATGAAAAATAAGATGTTTTTATTCATGAAAGCTGATATGTACTTAGATTATTAAGCTTTAAATTAGATGGCTAAAATGATTTTGAAGAAGTAAAGTAGTTTTGATAAATATAGTCTGTATGTATTTGTAAGCACATCTATATAATTTTTAAAATAATAAACTTAATTTAAAACTCTTCCTTACAAACATGAGGGCAAGGAACACCTGGCTCACCCAGGGCAGAAAACAGCTTAAGGCATTCTTAAACCACAAACAATAGTGTGAGCTATCTGTGCCTTAAGGACATGCTCCTGCTGCAGATAACTAGCCAGAGCCCATCCCTTTATTTCCTGTAAGGAATACTTTTAGCAAATCTTATGACTGGCTTGCTGTCAATAAATATATGGGTAAATCTCTGTTTGAGGCTGTCAGCTGTGAAGGCTGTGAGACTCCTGATTTCCCACTCCACACTCTATATTTCTGTGTGTGTGTCTTTAATTCCTCTAGCACTGCTGGGTTAGGGTCTCCACAACCAAGCTGGTCTTGGCATACGAATATTATTTTCATATGTATAATGTTAATACAAGGAAATAATAATAGCATGAAGAATTTGAAAAGGAAAATCACCAATAAACTATTCTATATAGATGTCATTTACATAAGATGTTACTTAAAGTGAGAAATTAAGACAGCAATTTTCCAATGATTGCCTTCTAGTTTGTACTGTCTTAACATGTTCAAAAATTATGAAGTAGTAGGATGAAAAATAAAAAAGACTTTATTTATTGTGACTTAGTAGAAGACTCATGTTCAGTGTTCAGAATATGTTAATGCTCATAAGGGACTAGTGCAATAGTGACATGAAGAACAGAAATGGCAAACTGCCAAATTGAGGTGATGATTCTAGGGCAATATGTCATATACCTAAGCTTTTCTTGAAGCTGCTTGCTATGGTTTGGATGTTTTTCCCCCAAACCTCATGTTGAAATTTAATCTCTAATGTTGGAGATGGGGCCAAAAGGAGGTGCTCAGGTCATGGGGGTTGATCCTACGTGAATGGGCTTTGTGCCATCCTTGCAGTAATGAGTGAATTCTCACTCTGCACTTCCCTCCTCTCTCTCTTGCTTCTTCTCTCATCACGTGATCTCTAGAAACACTGGCTCCTCTTCCCCTTCTGCCACGAGTGGCAGCAGCCTATAGCCCTCACCAGAAACAGATGCTGGCACCATGCTTCTTTTGCAACCTGCAGAACAGTGAGCCAAATAAACATTTTTTAAAATATATAAATTATTCAGTCTCAAGTATTCTTTCAGAGCGATGCAGTGGACTAAGTAATTTCTAAATTCAGATATTTCTAAAATGTTTGTGTTCAAACCAATGCTAGGCCCTTTAGGTCAATTTTATTTTTAAAGTGCAAAATTGTTAATTTGGCAAGGAAGTATGTAGAGTTAGACATATATATAAATAGAAGGCTAATTCTACAGATTATTGTTGTTTTCTTAATTACCTTTTTATTTTATAAAAGCTCTATATATTACAAAGTAATAATAAATAGAACTTTTGTAAAACATGCAAATAATAAGAATTCCTAAAACCTTACCACATATTAATAACCTCTCAAACATAATGTGCTTCTTTCCAGTCTTCTCTGTGTGTGCAGTCTATTTGTATTTTTAATAAAATCACTTCAGACTGTTGATACAATTTACTTTCCTACTTTCCAATTATACATGACAATTGGATCCCTACAAATCTATTTCAAGGTTTCCATATTATTTCTTCTAATAATTATACCATAATATATTTAAGCATTATTATGATATATAACATGGTGAGCAACCTTATACATCAAATATATGAGCATCTAGAATTATTTGTGTGAGTTAGAATCCTAGGAATAAAATTACTAGGTAATCAGTCCTGTAGTGAAACAAAATGGAACTAGTGTACAAGGACAATGAAGAGTCTGGTATCTATTTTATCCATATAGGCTTGCAGATAGAATGCAGAAATAAATACGCAACAAACAAGCTTTCTATATTTCAGCAGTTAGCTTGGTGTTATGAAAGTTGTCAGAATCAAAATGGAATCACTAATGACTCCATTGGGAAAATCCTGACAAACAAAGCCTGGAAAGGCCATGAAGAGAAGGTTCTCGTGCTTACATGCCTGATAGCAAAAAAAGACTCTACAAAACCACAACCTTGCACAAAGGCCACCACAACCTTACACAAAAAGTACTTCTGCAAAAAAGTCTGCCCAGCAACTGCCTGTCCAACCTCAGAATGGTGTTACCCTTCTTATTGATCTTTGTAGCCAAGGATAATTATTTAAAAATATTTATGTCACCCTCATTTTTTTCCATTAAAAATTGTAATCCTCACTTTTTTTCCATTAAAAACCTTTGTCTTTCTTTACCTTCCTGAATATGAGCATGGTTTACTACAGCAGGCATATTCTAATTGCAATGTTGTATTCTCAAATAAACATCTTGTCTTTTAGAGAGCCTCTCTCTTTGCTATTTATGTTGACAGCAGTGCTACTAGTTTTAGGTAAAACATTTTATGGCATAGTCTGGGCTGATATTTAGCAGTTATGTGCCTGCATGCAAGTTATACAAATTTGTTGACACTTTTTTAGTGGTTTTTTTTTTTTGTCATTGTTATTGCTGTTCTAACAAATTACCACAGATTCAGCAGCATGTAACAACACAAATTTGTTGCCTCACACTTCTGTATGTCAAAAATCTGGGTAGGCTTGAGTGGTGTTATTAGTCAGGGTTCTCTAGAGGGACAGACCTAATAGGATATATGTACATATATGAGAGGGACTTTATTGAGGTGAATTGACTCACACGATAACAAGGTAATTGAGGTGAATTGACTCACACAATAGGCCGTCTGCAAGTTAAGGAGTAAGGAAGCCATTGGTGGATCAGTCCGAGTCCCAAAATCTCAAACATAAGGAAGCTGATAGTGTAGCC
Organism: Homo sapiens; assembly: GCF_000001405.40. Lineage (NCBI taxonomy): Eukaryota > Metazoa > Chordata > Mammalia > Primates > Hominidae > Homo > Homo sapiens. Next base: position 146,559,785 of record NC_000003.12, read on the forward strand.
TTCAGTCCTTGACCAATGACCCGAGAGCTCCTGGAAAACTATTGGTGTAAGCCCAAGAGTCCAAAAGCTGAAGAATTTGGAGCCTGATGCTCGAGGCAGTCTGATGCATCCAGCACAGGAGAAAGATGAAAGCTGGAAGACTCAGCAAGTCTGCTCTTCCATCTTCTCCTTCCTGCTTTATTCTGGTTGTGCTGGCAGCTGATTAGATGGTGCTCACCCAGATTGAGGGTGGATCTGCCTCTCCCAGTCCACTGACTCAAAAGTTAATCTCCTTTGGCAACACGCTCACAGACACACTCAGGAACAATACTTTGCATCCTTCAATACAATGAAGTTGACCATCAATATTAGCCATCATAAGCGGGTTCTCTGATCCGGGTCACATGAGATTGAAAGCAGGTCTTGGTCAATTGGGCTCTTACTAGTGGGAAGCCCTGGAAAGAATCCACTTCCAAACTCCTTTAGGTCGTTGGCAGAATCCATTACCTTGAGTATGTAGAACTGATGTCCTGGCTTCCTTGCTGGTTGTCAGCTGGGGAACCATCCTTAGCGCCATAGGGACCCCTGCATCTCAGGGCCAGCGATTTGTCTGACCTCCATCTCTGATGCAACTTTTTGACTGCCTCATCTGCTATTTAGGCCTCGTGTGATTACATTGAATCCCCCCTGGATAATCCAGAATGCTATTCCCATCTTAAGGTCAACTGATTTGTAGCCTTAGTTAAATCTAGACTAGTGTTTGATCAAATAACCAGGGTAAGGAAAACTTGGAATGAAATCTTTAGAATTCCATCAATCACAGCATCTATTCTAATTGCTTGGCTCCCATGCCATCCCAGTGATAATTTTGGTTATCATTCCTGAAAATAATCTAATCCTGATAGCAGTAAGATATGTCAGAACCTTGGTTGTCAGCACTATTCCTCTACTCAGCATTCATGCTTGAGGGAGAACCAGTTATAATCCTGGTATGACTAGGTATTGAACTCCATTGCAATTGCAGCTGTTTTATCATATGGATGGTTCTGAGTCGCCCTCAGCATTATATCAGAAGTTCCGCAAGCTAACTCCTTATCTTGGAGGCCAGGTCCTTAAGAATCAATCAAGATAAACTTTACCATCTGTCTTGCCTATAAAAATGCTTGTTTGAAGTCCTGAGATTTGGAAAAATGGTGCTTTTTTGGTGCTTAACCTAGTTCTCACAGGTAATAATTTGATACAGGTCTGCAGTAGCTCCAAATGACCCCAAAAGCTATCAGTGTCATATGCTGTGGAAATACTTATTTTGGATTAGAGTTTGTGAAAATTCAGAATCCATTTTTTGGAGAAGACTTGAGACCTTAAAAACATCTCATTTACCCCATAAATATACCTACTATGTACCCACACACACACACACACACAAAACCCTTGAGACCTGGAATAACCATAGAATATGAGTTACAGAGGGACCTCCCAAAAGAAGTGCATTATCTCCCATTATGATAGAGCTGAGTCACCTTTGCAAAGTACTTTGAGAACTCTGTATTAGTCCATTTTCAAAATGCTATAAAGAACTTCCCAAGACAGAGTAATTTATAAAGGAAAGAGGTTTAATTGACTCACAGTTCTGCAGGTGGGGGAGGCCTCAGGAAACTTACAACCATGGTGGAAGGTAAAGGGGAAGCAAGGCATGTCCTTCACAAGGTGTCAGGAAGGAAAATGAATGTAGGAGGAACTACCAAATACTTATAACACCATCAGATTTTGTTGAACTCACTCATTATCATGAGAACAGTATGGGGGAAACTGCACCCATGATACAATTACCTCCACCTGGTCTTTCCCTTGTCATGTGGGGATTATGTGGTTTACGGAGATTACAATTCAAGATGAGGTTTTGGCTGAGGACACAGCTAAACCATATCATTCTACCCCTGATTCTACCCCTGGCCCCTCTGAAATCTCATGTCCTCACATTTCAAAACACAATCATGCCTTTCCAACAGTCCCCCAAAGTCTTAACTCATTCCAGCATTAACCAAAAGATCCAAGTCCAAAGTTTCATCTGAGACAAGGCAAATTCCTTCTACCTATGAGCCTGTAAAATCAAAAGCAAGTTAGTTACTTCTTAGATACAATGGGGATACAGGCATTGGGTAAATACACCCTTTTCAAATGGGAGCAATTGGCCAAAATAAAGGGGCTACAGACCTCATGAAAGTCCCAAATTCAGAGAGGCAGTCAAATCTTATAGCTCCAAAATCTCACATCCAGGTCATGCTGATGCAAGAAGGAGACATTCACAGCCTTGGGCAGCTACACCCTTGTGGTTTTGCCGGGTACAGCCCCCCTCACAGCTACTTTCACAGGCTGGCATTGACTGCCTGTGGCTTTTCCAGGTGGACAGTACAAGCTGTCAGTAGATCTACCATTCTGGGTTCTGGAGGACAGTGGCCCTCTTTTCACAGCTCCACTAGGCAGTGCCCCAGTGGGGGCTCTGTGCAGGGGTTCCAACTCCCAATTTTTTTTTCACACTGCCCTAGCAGAGGTTCTCCATGAATGCTCCACCCCTGCAGCAAACTTTTGCCTGGATATCCAGGTGTTTCCATACATCATCAGAAATCCAGGTGGAGGTTCCCAAACCTCAATTCTTGACTTCTGTGTACCTGCAGGGCCAATACCAAATGCAAGCCTCCAAGGCTTGGGGCTTGTACCCTCTGAAGCAATGGCTTCAATTGTATGTTGGCCCGTTTTAGCCACAGCTGGGACACATGGAACCAGCTTTTGAGACTCCACAAAGCAGTAAGGTTCTGGGCCCAGCCCGTGAAACAACTTTTTCCTCCTATGCCTCCAGACCTATGAAGGGAGGGGCTGCCATGAAGACCCCTAACATGCCCTGGAGACATTTTTCCCATTGTCTTGGCGATTAACATTTGGCTTCTTGTTACTCATGCAAACTTCTGCAGTCTGCTTAAATTTCTTCCCAGAATTTGGGTTTTTCTTTTCTATTGTATGATTGGTCTGCAAATTTTCCAGACTTTTATGCTCTGCTTCTTTTTTAAACATAAGTTCAACTCCAAACCATCTTTTTGTGAATGCTTAAAACTGAATGCTTTTAACAGCACCCATGTCACATCTCAAACCCTTTGCTGCTTAGAAGTTTCTTCTGCCAGATACCCTATATCATCTCTTTCAAATTCAAAGTACCACAGATCTCTAGGGCAGAAGAAAATTGCCACCAATCTCTTTGCTAAAGCATAGCAAGAATCACCTTTATTCCAGTTCCCAACAAGTTCCTCATCTCCATCTGAGAGCACATCAGTCTGGACTTCATTTTCCGTAGCACTATCAAAGCCATTCCACAATTCTCTAGGAAGTTCCAAAGTTTTCCACATCTTTCTGTCTTCTGAGCCCTCCAAACTGTTTCAACCTCTGCCTGTTACCCAGTTCCAAAGTCGCTTCCACATTTTCGGGTATCTTTTAAGCAGTACCCCACTCTCTGTGGGTACCAATTTACTGTATTAGCACATCTTTCACACATAAAGAACTGTCCATGACTGAGTAATTTATAAAATAAAGAGGTTTAATGAACTTACAGTTCTGTATAGCTTGGGAGGCCTCAAGAAACTTACAGTCATGGCAGAAGCGTGAAGGAGAAGCAAGACACCTTTATCACAAGGCAGCGGAAAGGAGAATGAACCCAGGAGGAAGTACTAAACACTTATAAAACCATCAGATCTCATGAGATCAGGAAAACAGCATAAGGGAAACTTTTTCTTTGAGAGGAACAGCATAAGGAAAACTGCCTTCATGATTTAATTACCTCCACCTGGTCTCTCCCTTGACATATGGGAATTATGGGGATTACAATTCAAGATGAGATTTTGGGTGGGGACACAGTCAAACCTTATGGAACTCTTTTACAAATTATATATAGTTTTTTTTTTGTTTTTTGTTTTTTTCCACAAAATCTCACTCTGTTGCCCAGGCTAGAGTGCAGTGGCATGATCATGGCTCACTACAGACTCAACTTCCCAGGCTAACTGATCCTTCCGGCTTAGGCTACCAACACCTGGGACTAAAGATGTGGTCCATCATGCCCATCTAATTTTTACATTTTTGGTAGAGATGGGGTTTCATCATGTTGCCCAGGCTGGTCTTGATCTGGTGGGCCCAAGAGTTCTGCTCACCTTGGCTTCTCAAAGTGCTGGGATTACAAGCATGTGTCCATCACACCCAGTGTATAATTCTTTTTCATAGAAGAAATTAAATATTTTATTTTGAAAAAGAGTACAATTGTCTCTTGGAATCCTTGGGGGAGTGGTTCCAGAACCTCCCTCAGATATCCCAGTTTGTGGATGCTTAAGTCCCTTATTATGAAATGGTCTTGTATTTGCATGTGATCTACAAACTTTTTCCTCTACACTTTAAATAATCTCTAGATTATTACAATATCTATTAAAATCCATACGTTTTACTTCATTTGTGTGGATTCTACATAGTACTTGGCAAAGCAAATTCAAGTTCTGGTTTTTGAAGTTCTATTACATTATTTTTTTCTGAATATTTTTGATCTGCACTTGGTTGAATCCACAGTTGCAAAACCCAGGAATCCAGGGGGAAAATCGCCTTCATGAAATATGAAACAGAGCATAAAAGCTACCAAGATTAGCTCCTTCCGAATCAGAGCAGCATGGTCGGCTCACCCTGTAAACCCAGCACTTTGGGAGGCCGAGGCGGGTGGATCACGAGGTCAGGAGATCGAGACCATCCTGGCTAACATGGTGAAACCCTGTCTCTACTAAAAATACAAAAAATTACCCAGGTGTGGTAGTGGGCGCCTGTAGTCCCAACTAGTCGGGAGGCTGAGGCAGGAGAATGGCATGAACCCAGGAGGCGGAGCTTGCAGTGAGCCGAGATCACACCACTGCACTCCAGCCTGGGCAACTGAGCCCTGCCTCAAAACAAAAAACAAAAAACAAAAAAACAGAGTAGCTTTGCTTGCAATGGTTATTTCTCTTTTTACTGGCCAAGGTAAACCCATGGCCATTTCACAATAGGATATTTAAATTTAATTTTCTCTTTTATTCTCTTTCTTTCTCTCTTCCTCCCTCCCCCTTTCATTTCTTTTCTTCCTTATTTTTCTCCTGTTTTTTTTTTTTTTTTTGATTAAATTTCTGGCAGGTTTTCTCAATTTATCTTTCTGACACTAAATTAATTTTAAATTTTAGTATCTTATTTTCATCTCCCCCTGCCTCCCCCAAATATCCTTTTAAAAAACAGTTTTGGCCAGGAGCAGTGGCTCACGCCTGTAATCCCAGCACTTTGGGAGGCCGAGGTGGGCATATCATGAGGTCAAGAGATCCAGATCATCCTGGCCAACACGGTGAAACCCTGTTCTCTAATAAAAATACAAAAATTAGCTGGGCATGGTGGCGTGCACCTGTAGTCCTAGCTACTTGGGAGGCTGAGGCAGGAGAATGGCTTGAACCCAGGAGTTGGAGGTTGCAGTGAGCCAAGATTGTGACACTGCACTCCAGCCTGGCAACAGAGTGAGACTCTGTCTCAAAAAAACAAAAAAAAAGTTTCTTATCCTTGTTAGGTAGATTTTTTTTTATATTCCACAAGATATTATTATCTTATTAATTGGGATTTTTCCCCAATTTTTTTTCTTGCTACTCGCAATGTCTCTGTTTATTTTATGTTTTGATTTTTGTTTTTCTGAGGATTTTCTTAAATGTCTGGGGATTTTCAGATAGTATATTTATATTTATGCCAGAGGAAGTAAAATAGCAGATCTCAGCAGCAGGGCTTGCCCATCAATTTTCCACACTATATGGTGATTTGTTTAAAATATGATTTTTTGAGGTATTTCCAAAATTTGTAGAGGTTTCTTTTTGTTCTTTAACTATTTAATTTCTCCACAGAACATTTTTTATGTTCTATTACCAGTTTTTTTTGGTCTCCTAGAAATATCATCAGAATAGTGAATATGTATTATTTAGTCCTCCCAGGTGTCAACCAATGAATAACCTGTTTATCTATTGAGTAGACATAAAATTTGGAAGTTAATACAACTTAAGATTTTGTTTTTAAGTTACTGAGTGACACTCATATTTTGATATTGCCCAAACCCATTTTATGTTTTATAATATATGTTATATTTATGTGTTCCAAATTCTAAAACTACAGTTTAGATATTTTACTACTGAAGAAAAAATAATAATAGTGTTTGTAACATCCAAGATGTAATATCACTGTATTAGTCTGTTCTCACACTGTAAATAAAGGCCTAACTGAGACTAGGTAATTTATAAAGGGAAGAGGTTTGATGGCCTCGCAGTTCCACATGGCTGGGGAGGCCTCACAATTATGGTAGAAGACAAAGGAAGAGCAAAGACACATCTTACATGGTGGTAGGCAAGATACCTTGTGCAGGGGAACTTTTGTTTATAAAACCATCAGACCTCATGAGACTTATTCACTACTATGAGAACAATATGGGGGAAACCACCCCTGTGATTCAATTATCTCCACCTGGCCCCACCCTTGACACCTGGAGATTAGTACAATTCAAGATGAGATTTGGGTGGGAACACAGCCAAACCATATCATTCCACCCCTGCCCTTCCAACATCTCATGTTCTCACATTTCAAAACCAATCATGCTTCCCAACAGTCACCCAACTTCTTGACTTATTACAGCATTAACTCAAAAGTCCACAGTCCAGAGTCTCATCTGAGACAAGGCAGATGTCTCAGAGCCTGCCCTCTGCCTATGAGCCTGTAAAATCAAAAGCAAGTTAGCTACTTCCTAGATACAATGGGGGTACAGGCATTGGGTAAATACATGCATTTCAAATGGCAGAAATTGGCCAAAATGAAGAGGTTACAGGCCCCACACAAATCTGAAATCCAGTGAGGCAGTAAAATCTGAAAGCTCTAAAATGATCCCCTTTGACTCCATGTCTCACATCCAGGTTATAGTGATGCAAGAGGTGGGTTCCTATGGTCTTGGGAACTCTGCCCTTGTGGTTTTGCAGGGTAAAGCCCGCCTCCCAGCTGCTTTCCTGGGCTGGCTTTGACTGACTGCAACTTTTCCAGGTGTATGGTGCAATGTGTCAGTGGATCTACTGTTCTGGGGTCTGGAGGACAGTGGCCCTCTTCTCACAGCTCCACTAGGCAGTGCCCCAGTGGGGATGCTGTGTGGGGGCTCCCACCCCGCATTTCCCTTCCACATTGCCCTAGCAGTGAGGGCTCCACTCTCGCAGCTGACTTCCACCTCAACATCCAGGCATTTATATACATCCTCTGAAATCTAAATGGAGGTTCCCAAACCTCAATTCTTGATTTCCATGTACCTGCAGGCCCAACACTGCGTGTAAGCCACCAAGACTTGGGGCTTGCACCCTCTGAAGCAACGGCCTGAGCTGTACGTTGGCCCCTTTTAGCCACAGCTGGGATGCAGGGAACCAAGTCCTGAGACTGCATAAAGCAGCAAGGCCCTGGCCCGGCCTATGGAAACCATTTCTTCATCCTAAGTCTCCTAGTTTGTAATGGGAAGGGCTGCCGTGAAGGCCTTTGTACTGCCCTGTAGACATTTTTCCCATTGTCTTGGTGATTAACATTTGGCTGCTTGTTATGTATGAGAATTTCTGCAGCTGGCTTGAATTTCTCCTCAGAAAATGGGTTTTCTATCACATTGTCAGGCTGCAAATGTTCTGAACTTTCATGATCTGCTTCTTTTTTAAACATAAGTTTCAATTCCAAACCATATCTTTGTGAGTGCATAAAACCAAATGCTTTTAACAGTACGCAAGTCACCTCTTTAACACTTTGCTGCTTAGAAATTTCTTCTACCAGATGGCCTAAATCATTTCTCTCAAGTTCAAAGTTCCACAGATCTCTAGGGCGGGGGCAAGATGCCACCTGTCTCTTTGCTAAAACATAGAGAGTCACCTTTGCTCCAGTTCCAACAAGTTTCTCATTTCCTTCTGAGGCCACATCAGCCTGGACCTTATTGCCCATATCACTATCATCATTTTGGTCAAAGCCATTCAACAAGTCTCTAGGAGGTTCCAAACTTTCCCACATTTTCGTGTCTTCTTTGGAGTCCTCCAAACTGTTCCAATCCTTGCCTGTTAACCAGTTCCAAAGTCACTTCCACATTTTTGGGTATTTTTACAGCAGCACCCCACTACCCTGTACCAATTTACTTATCAGTCTATTCTGATGCTGCTAATAAAGACATACCTTAGACTGGTATAAAGGAAATTTATAAAGGAAAGAGGTTTAATGGACTCACTGTTCCACATGACTGGGGAGGCCTCACAATCATGGCAGAAGATTAAAGAAGAGCAAAGGGACGTCTTACATGGTGGCAAGAAAGAGAGCTTGTGCAGGGGTACTTCTATTTATAAAACCATCAAATTTCATGAGACTTATTCACTACCAGAAGAACAGTATGAGGGAAACTGACCCCATTTTTCAATTATCTCCACCTGGCCCCACCCTTGACACATGAAAATTATTACAATTCAAGGTAAAATTTGGGTGGGGATACAGCCAAACCATTTCAATTATTGACACATGCAGTGCCATAGCTACCCCTATGTTATGGACATACATTTCTGTCAATTTATCTCGGTAAATGTTTGGCTTTCTAGGCAGTTGCCTGAGCTTGTAGTTACATAAAACTCCTGTTTGTTTGTTTGTTCATTTTACATGGAAAGTTGTAATGGATGATTGACATACTCTCCATTGTGAAATTTCAATGATGAATATTAGTCAAGTCTTTGATATTACAAGTATCTGCTTAAATTTTTCATCTGGTATACAATAAGACAATTGATGTTTATGGAAATTAATTATATCCAAAGCACAGTGTTCTTGACACCATGGGGAACAGACACAAAAATGGTTCTGAGTCAAATCCTGCCCAGAACGAGCTCACAGTCTAATAAAGAAAGTGCATCAGAGACAGAAAGTAAATAGCTGTAATACACAGTAGAATATGGTAATTTCATAATAAACTTACCATTACTTTTTTTTTTTGCATGAAGTGAATGGAGAAAGTAACACACACTGGACAAAAATTAGAGAACAATTTTGAGGCAGAAACTGTGTTGACATTAAAAGATAAAGTAAATCAGGCATGGTGGCTCATGCCTGTTCAGCACTTTGCGAGGCTTACTGAGAATCGGTTGAGGACAGGAGTTTGAGACCAGCCTGAGCAAGATACTGAGATCCCATTTCTACAAAAAAAAAAAAAAAAAAAAAAAAAAATTAGCAGGGTATACTGGCATGTGTCTATGGTCTCAGCTATTCAAGGAGGATGAGGTGGGAAGATTTCTTAAGCCCAGAATTCAGGGCTGCAATAAGCTGTAATCACACAACTGCCCTCCAGCATGGGTGACAGTGAGACCCTGCCTCAAAAATAAAAACAAAAACTAAATATGAAGAGCATTTGGGCAGGTAGAAAAATAGAAAAAAAATGTACTAAGGGAGAGGGAAAAGCATAAATGAATGCAGGAAAATCAGAGTGCCTCAAGCATAGTTAAATTTGAATAAAGTTAGTCAGGCTGAGATTTAAAATTAAGATGTAATTCTTTTTGCTTCAGAATTGAATTTGAAAGGTGTTATACTCGTATTTCAGCTTTTCAACATTGAGGTTTCACTGCCTCCCTCTCTTGTAGGCTAATACATGTGCAGGTTTGTTTTTGTTTTCTTGTTCTTGTAATTGTGCATAAATGTGTGAAGGGCAGGAATTAAAATCTGCATCCTGTGTGGTGATTTTTGATAATTCCTCAGCCCTCACAGCTGTTCAATTTGCAGTTTGAATAACGGAAACATTCCATCTTGCAAAGATATTTACATTTTGGTATTCTCTGGAAGCCACAACCAGGCATAAATACAGTGAGTGATGTGCCTATATAAACGTCTGTTGCATTCATAAATGCACATGGTGGACCCTATTTTGTGAGAACAAAGGGATAGAATTAAAAGTTGAATATCAAAAGTTGAAATATGTTTTACCTTCTACAATGAAAAAGAATCATAAGTCATACCAAAGAGTTTACTCTAAGAGTGACTCACTGTAAATCTTTTTATAATTATTGAATGCATGTTTTAAAAAATCCATTCTACTTTACTTATGGTATTTATTTTTGCAAAATCCATGTTATTTATAATACAAAGCAATACAATAATGTTTTTGTACATTCATCTCATGGAAAATTTGAATAGTTCATTCATAGTGGTTATTAAAGACTGTGGGTAAGAAGGAGATAACATTAATTTCCTATAGCTGGAAATGTTTTATAATATATATATATTTGATAGAATTTTTATTTGTTTCAGAAAAGTAATACTAATATCTAAGAAAACAGCTAGCAGTTTGTCAATTACTTGTGACAGTTTGTGAATCATTCATGTGGATTATACATTTACAATTTTTCTTTTCTTTCTTTTATAGTGTTATGAAATCAAACAAAAAATTAAGCTTCTGTTTTATTTTATTTTACCAATACACAAATCTGGCTCCTAATTCTTGTGCCAAAGTGCACAGTGACTGGTGCATTTATTAAGTATATGTAAGCAAAACAGTCAGCAACTGATTATACATTTGTTTATGTGAAATCTACATGTTTTGACTACTTTGTTTTGGTTAGTGATGTCTTCATTGCTGATATTTACCTTCTTTTGAGAATTAAAAGACATAATATTTAAAATGTGTGGATTATGCTTCTTATTAGAACTTATGTTAAAATATTTCCTGGAAAGGGAGTGAAAACTCTTAATTCAAATAGAAAATGAAAATTTTCTTTGGATTATTATATTAAATCATAGCCATTCCAGGAACGTAGTAATATGTTTATATTGCATGTGTAATTTACATTTCCTTTTATTTATTTTTCAGACCCTCTTGTCCTTCCTTAATGGATGTATTAATTTTTCAAATTCCTCAAAATACAGTAGAATTTTGTTTTTAAAATTTTTTTATGTTTTTTGATTTACATTTGTTTCTTCATTGGTCACCTATTTTTTGGTTGTCTTGGTTTTCTATGCTTCATATATGTAGTGGTTCTTAGTTCACTTATATTTAAGAATGGAAGACCGGTGACTCTTGTTATTTTTCTCTGTCGTATATGTCCATTTTTCTACTAGGTCTCTCCCACTAGTAGGACTAGGACTGGGAACCAAGGTAGAGACAGTGCTTATCACAATTAGGGTGAGCAGGTGAGGAGATCGCTCTTTGGATGCTAAAATGAGGAGAGTGCCATCCTTTGGCATGGGAAGCCATTCCAGAAACTTCAAAACCTTAGTTCTCCCTGTGCAATTAATTAAGATTCAATAAGAGTACTAATTTGGATTCCTGAAAGTATAATGCTGGGCTGCTTAGGCTTAGTGTTCATTGAGATAAGGAAGAGACTAGCAGTGAGGTTGGTGTGGGACACCTGACTAGCATATTTCATTATACAGACTTTCAATTAACTCTGTTTTGAGTTGTTCTTCGTACTCCCACCTTGCCTGGTATTGCTGTCTTTGAGCCAGGTAGCTCCCTGGGATAAGGACTTTTCTCCATCATAGACTGTTCACATGTGCACATTTAATCTGAATGATAGGCTCACATATTCCTCCATCTATCAGTGTTCCAATATGACTTGGAACTTCAGCCTAGAATTTATGAATATCTTTTTAAAAATATCCTGTGCTTGCTTTGGCAGCACATATACCAAAATTGGAACGATACAGAGAAGATTAGCATGGTCCCTGCACAAGGATGACACGAAAATTTGTGAGGTAAATTTGAGAGGTTGTTTTTTCTATCAGCATTTGCATTTGCTATAATTGTATTGTGGACTTAGGAGAGAGGAGAGACAAGTTATTTTCAGTGCGCCATTTTGAACTTTAAAAGGCACTTTCAGACACTTGGTTTTAAAAGATCAATCCAGGCCGGGCGCGGTGGCTTACGCCTGTAATCCCAGCACTTTGAGAGGCCTAGGAGGGTGGGTCATCAGGTCAGGAGATGGAGACCATCCTGGCCAACATGGTGAAACCCCATCTCTACTAAAATACAAAAAAAAAAAAAAAATACCCACAAAACAACAACAACAACAACAACAAAACAAAACTGTAGTCCCAGCAACTTGGGAGGCTGAGGCAGGAGAATCACTTGAACCCAGGAGGTGGAGGTTGCAGGGAGCTGAAATCACACCACTGCACTCCAGCCTGGTGTCTCAGGAGACTCCATCTCAAAAAAAAAGAAAAAAAAAAGATTAATCTAGCAATTATATGGAGAATGGACTGTAAGATGGAGAGGCTAGTGTCAGGGAGAATAAGCAGGCTTAGGAATAAGATAGTGACAGTTGTGAACACACAAGAAGAAATAATTTCTTCCCTTAGAATGACAGATACAATTTTAATGTAAATACAATATGTCAATATCCAGACTACATTCTGTTCTAAATTATTTTCTAATTCTATAATTAGGTTCTACATAATTAAAATTTTAACTGCTAACTTTAATAGATAAATTATATTTTCTAAAATCTAATATGGAACCATGACATCTGGCTTTGCATGCAACCCATATAGAAGAATTTATTGAAAGTTAGAAGCTCTAATTCTTTATCTAATTCTTCATTTTTCTTTGTGTTTTTTCTATAACTCCAGAAAAGTTATATCTGAGCTTAATCTTTTAACTCATGATCAGCATAATGTTCAGGCTTTTGATTCTGGAATAAGTACCTCACTCTTACCAGAATAACAGGTTTATTAAGCTGTTTTTATATTATTATTCTCTGGGCTTTGCTTATATTTCCAGTAATTCCTCTGCAGCAAAATAAAATAGTCCCTGCTTCATTAGGACCTGGCAGTGCTACCCTCTGCCAGATCATTGTGGTTGTTACTACCTTTTTATGTTAATTCCAAGTTATTTTTGTTACATTTTTAAAAGTCACCCATTTTATCTGCTTTCTTGCTTTTCATTTTGCCCAGATGCATTAAATTAGGACCCTCAACAAAATAAATTTAAACTGCCTTCTCCAAGGCCTAATATTCTAAGATCTAAATCCAAAGAAAATAACTAAATCCTATCTTTTTGTTAACTCGCTGTAGCATTTAGCCTGGTTAATCACTGCCCACTTTATAGAAATCTCTCCTCTCTTAATTTCTAAAGCATCAGACTTTTGTTTTTCCTGCTATTCTCCAGGTAATTTTGCTCTGTCCCTTGTGGACTCTTCTATTCTTTAAAGTATGGTGTCCCAAGGCTTTCTTCGACTTTTGACACTTATCTTTTCCTGCTATATAGCTTCAAGGTTTTATGTCACGCACTCATAGTTTAACTTTCTAAGTTCAAAACTTTAAGCTAGAGCATTCTCCTGGCAGGTACTTGCAAATTTTCTGGACTTTGATGTTCCATAAGCACCTCAAGACCAATACATTAAGAAATGAATTCCACCTTCTCAACTTCTCTTCTTACTGCACTTATGTGCCGTAAAATGAAATAGTAATGAAAGTATTATAGTATGCATTGATGGTAAATTAGGTACCAAGTAATTTCAGAGTATATATTTTGATGAAAGGACACATACATCCTCATAAATTACACACCAACAACGTACCCATAAAAAATAACAATTTAAAAAACTTTTAAAAAAGGACGAATATATCTTTCCCACCTTGAGTACTCATGTTGGATTGATGCCATATCAAATCAAATCACCACTGAATTTTGTGAAATAAAATACTAACAGTTGAGATTCAAATATGTTGGGTAGTGTGATAAATCCCAGGAAAAGTTATACATCTTTATGAGTTAGACATTCTGACAAATACATCAATGAAAAAATGAAATAGATATGTATCAGAGATGGGTTCATTTAGAAACAAGTGAAAAGAAAGGTTGACAGTAGTCATGTAGAAAAGAAAGACATTATTTTAACAAATTTTATTCTTAAGTTTTTTCCTATGAATTCAAATGTCACAAGTTTTTCCTTATGAGGCAAATCTGGATAATTGTTTTTAAAAATAGTTGTACTTTAACAATTGTGTGCGTATGAGCCGTGTGTGCTTATATGTATTTTTAGAGCTATATATTAAATGGGTTTATTGTTCAAAAAATTAAAAACACAGAATTATTTAAAGTAGTATTTAATTCCCCCCGTTATGCCTGACCCTACATTGAAATAATTACTGTCAATATTTTGGTATGTATTCTAGATTTTTAAATTTTAGAATGCCCTATTTAGTGTACATGTAATTATTTTTATTAACATTTTAAATGAATTATTTCATTTCATTCAATTTCATTTCAGAGTTCACGTGCTATGAAAAGGGTTTGTTTTTCCTTTACCAACAATATTACAGATACTTTTTATCCCTGCTTCCTTCCCTTCCACCCCCATCTGCTTGGCTACCAATCTATCTCATTTTTAAGAGGAGACAATTCCATTCTATGTTTGAACAATAATTTATTAGCTAAATCACCATTGGTGAACTTTAGTATGTCTTCATTTATTTTACTGAGAATGTTAAAACAATGTTGCAGCAAGCACCCTGACACATCTTTGGAAGCTTTTGTGATTACTTAGCAAATCTATAGGCAAAGTTGCTTACTCGACTAAAATATACATTTAAAATAAATGCACTTGAAGCAAATTTTCTCTCCTGATTAGTTATATCAATTTACCTTACTGCCAAGAGTATATACTTTCTTGAATCTTTGATAACAATGGATAATTCAGATTTTTGAATCTTCTATTCTGATTCATTTCTTTAATAGAGAATTTGAACATAATTTTATTTTTACTGGCTGTTAATACTTTCTTTTAGTGATTTTTATGTTCCTGTGCTTTTCCTATTTTCTTTCAGTATATTTGTCTCATATATTTGCAGAAGCTCTTTCCTCATTATGGATAAACACTGTGTCTTCTTTTATATTGTAAGCTTTTTTTCAATTGTCTTAGTTTTCATTTGCCTTAGTTGTTTTTTAATTTATTGCATAAGAAGAAAATGTTGAATTTTATTTCTCTATTTTTATATCTAGATTTATATTTGTGTGTGGCCTAAAATCATATTTTAATTTTTCTTAATGGTCATATTAGATAACAATATTTTCAGCTTCATGTTACAGTGTACCTGAACACTTGTGACTTAAGCAATAACACCTTTAATGGTCTCAGCTAAGAATTTTGGAGGTAGGTAGTCCAGGACAGGGAAAACAATTTCATCGTATCTTCAAAGACCTGTGTTCCTTCTATGTTTTTTGGTTTACACTTTTAGAGTATTGGCTTGTTGACTTATTCACACAAGATCATTGCTCTATATTCAGGTATCACATTGTGTTCCCTGGAGGAAGAAGTAATCAGAAAAATAGAGCCAGCAACATCTTCCTCTTTTTACAGAAAAGTAAACGCTTTACTGAAAGTCCTAATAGAGTTATGGTTATGTTTCATTGACAATACCTGACTACATGGGGCCCCTAGATACAAGGAAGCTGAGAAAGTAATAGTTGTAGGGCTGTAGAGTAGACCTATAATCTGGCTATCATGCTTTTAAACGTATATCAAAAATATCTTACATGGTTTTAGATGATTGCGTACCTATGCTTCTGCTGTAGCAAATAAGGAACATAACATTTTCATATTCCTTTCTCTCTTTCTTTCTCTCTCTATCACACACACAGACAGCACATTTAGCCTCTGAGATTGATATGGACAAAAGGGAGTTTGGAAATGCACTAGCTAAACAAAAGTGGCTCCATATTGGCTAAGGTTTTCCTTACCAGAGTTTATTGAATGATTATTCAATGAATAAATAGTCATTTATTTATTGACTTATTCCTTTGAAAAACATCATTTTATCATAAATTAATTTTCCATATAGAGTAAGCATCATTACATTTCTGGACTATGTACTCCTTTTTTTTTTTTTAATTTCTACTAAGAACCAAACTGTCTTAGTTCCTGTAGTTCTTATTTGTACTGAGACGCTGTCAGAGCCAGTAACTGTGTTTCTGGGACTTGGCTGCCAAAAATCAGGAAGACACATATTCCTATTGATGATTGCATGTCCATTTCTCCCAGCTGTGTTTTGTAGGCCAGAATAACCTCGCTCATTAAGGTTGTCTGACTAAGTTAAATTTATGAACAGCCCTTGGGAAGAACTTATTTTCCACAAAAAATATGCATTGTTCTGAATTTGATCACAATCATATGGGTTCCCCAGAGTTAGATCTAGGAGCTTAATACTTCTCTCAAATCTTTACAATATTTCTGTTGATCAAAAAAGTTATCTCATGGTTTTGAAAGGTGAGCTACTAATTTGAAATACCTTAGAGTAGATCTATATCCTGGCTGGCATTCTTTTAAATGTATATCTTAAAAAAATCAATATGGCTTTTAGGTGATTTGCATACCTGTGCTTCTGCTGTAGCAATTAGGAAATTTAACCTTTTCCACCTCTCCCTCTCTCTCTCTTTCTCTCTCTCTCTCTCACACACACGCACATTATATGTACTTATTTTTTAATTTTACAAGAATTGAATCATAGTTCTGCACACATGCAAAGTAAATGCTTTTCCTTTACCAACTATATAATAATTTCCATCCTGTCTATCTCTCTATGTATTTTATCATCTAAAAATCTCATTCTAAGAAAACAGAACCCCATTCTATATGTGAACCATAATTTATTAAACAATTTACCATGTTGAGCATTTTATATATTTATGTATAGTCTTTTTGCATATACTCTTGTATAATAAAAAGACTTGTGGGCACAAAGTAAAACAAAGTAATTTAATTTTTATATTTCTCATTTTCTAAGTCTTCAATATATGGAGGTTGCACCTGGTCATCTCTGATGTTATGCACAGTTGAAACCCTCTGTTTTCTTGTGAGGTCCAGTGCAGGCCATTCATATGTGTGGAAGTGCTTTGAAATACTCTAAATAATTCTAAAAAATAAGATGATATCATTATTATTATTGCTTAAAGATAATAGGCTAGAGATCTATAATGGGATTCTAGAGGGACATTACAGTACTATAATATAAAGGCTCAGGTTAAAATAAAGTCTATATAAGTAAGCCAGACACTGATTACTATAGTTTTGAAAGCCAAATTTTGAATCCGGAATTAAAAATAAAAGTTATACTATTTTGTCAGCATTAGAAAAGAAATTGTTTATGACACTGGTTGTACATTAGAATTACTAGTCTTTTTTTAAAAAAAAGAATTAAGTGACTTAAAAGATACTCTTAGGGATTTTGACTTAATTGGTACAGAATGAGGTCTGGGTATGGATATTTTTAAAAAATAGCTATGTTATTTAAACATTTAGCCTGGGTTAAAAGTCAACATACGATAAGTTGATTTTTCTACATTTATATTGCTTTTTCCTGCTTCTGACCCCTGACCTTAACTCTAGATAGAATATTATGGTTTTATGTTCTTATCATCTTGTTACCTTAAAAGCCTATTTAAAATGGTGGGGCATTTGTATCCATTCTTAGACCTACTCACACTTGCTCAATGACCTTGAGTCACCAAACTGGGACTTGACTCCATGGATGTGTCTTGGTTTGGCCTATACATTTCCTCTGAAGGCGATCAGGATGCAACATACAAATGACCAAAAATGAGTGGATTTTCTGTATAATTTTAAATAATTTTAGATTTTGTGTACTGATGGTTTAGCTCTTAAATGACAAATAGAAAATCAGAGTTGGGACTCTACTTTCAATTATATGCTTGATTTTATGGTGCTTTTATTTAACTGTTTGGTACGCCAATGTTACTCAGTTTCCTTAGAAAAATAGGAATATATGCATTCACTAAATTGATGGAAACTGTCCATCAATTCAGTCTGCTCATTAAAAATAGTAATTACTAAACTTTCATCATGTGCATAATACATTAACAAATATAGTGTTTCTCAGTTTATTAAAAACATAACATCAAATTTTACCCTTCTACACACAAAATTGATGTGTTTTATTTCCCAGATTACAGAAAGAACAAAATGAATACTCAATAGAAATTTGTATTTTCAAGATTCTGCTGGTGTAGCTAAGCAATGCCATCATAATGTGAAGTGTTGCTGCCATCTGCAGCATGAAAGACTTATTAAACATATATATTACCTAGGCATATGTAACTGGATTTTAAAAAGTAACAACTGTTTAATTCTCTATTAGTCTTTCTATGTATTTTCTACAGCTAGCTTTCAACATAATTAAAAATATGGTATAGTTTAAAACATTCAATGTACTTAAGAATATAATATAGGTGCCAAAATGAATACTGACATTTTATTTTATTATTTGGTTAAGCTAAAATTAATATTGAAGAGGCAATGAAATGGTAGACCGAAACTGCTTTTATGATTTATTGATATTGGAAAATATTTTCCAAATCTTTTATGTTTAATAAAGTTTTTTATTAATTACTCCAATATAATGTAAACTTTTTCTCAAAGGTATTTTTTCAGGCTTACACATTGGCTACTTTATCTATTATGTGGAATAATAACCACAAAGATAACCACAGAATAACACCACAGATATACTATCAGTGGATAAAAGAGTTAAAGTTGTTTATATGTTACCTTTCTAAATAGAAAGAGTACATAATATTGATGAGAATATTATTAATTCAGGTCTTAAAGGAATAAAAGCATCTCTCCCCTAGTTTTTTGGCTTCCCATTTTATTTCCTTATTTTAAAAGTGATTTCCTTGTGCCATTTCCTGCCCACTCATATTCTTCATTCTGGAAGGTCGACAAAAAGCTAACAGTTTTGTAAAATCTGTCAAGTTACTTAACCTTCCTGAGCATTGATTTTTTTCATCTGTACCTTTGGGCTTATAATGTGTGGCACTGGAATCAGATGAGAAATGTTTGTAAGAAGTCTAGCCCAGTGTCTCATAATGTTCATTAATGCTAGGCTTTATATATTTGTGAAACAAATAGTCTTATCGTGTTTTAATTTTGTTTTGGGCAAAATATCAAATTTTAATATTTGAAATCTCTTATAGTTCCATTGTAATTGTTTTTTAAAAACAATATATTTATAATTAAATCAAAAATGCCTTGAAATGCATTTTCAATAATGCTGATAATAATACTTGGCAGACAGTCATAAAATAGAGGCTCAGCCAGCAAAAGTTACTATGGTTTTTTCCATTTCTTTAACAAGATTTTTAATGAAAATTTTTTTCTTTTTAAAATATATTATAGATCCTTTAAATTATTCAATTCAAATTATTTAAATATGTGATGCCTAAATTTAACACCTAGACAGTTAGAATGAACCACAATACATGTCACTAAGTACAATTCCCACCTATTTTTAATGGCAAAAATTTCACAGCATAAGAAATAGACAAAATCCATTTACACTTATTTAGAGAAATTTTATTAAAAAGAATTTTTTCTTCCAAGGTGAGCAAAACACAATGTAAGGAGAAATGATAAAAATCAAAGTGTATAGAAAGGAAAAAATGCTTAATTTGAAAAGTCAAAATATGATAAACAATAATTTCATTTCCCCTTATTTTAGCAATTAAAGAAACAATAATATAAAACTTACCAAACAGGAGTAAGAGTAAATTATGAAGTAGTAAACGTTTATGTTATTTCCTCAGTTTGTTTTCATTTTGAAAATAAAATACAACAAATCTAAAAATAATGTGTCCATAAACCTCTAATTAAGGCTCAAATGAATTAGAATTTCAGTGTGCAACCTGTCTGGGCTATAACCTGAATTCTTCAGATCATCTATCCAAACCCCTCTTTTGTAGGAAAGTCTGATTTATCTAACAAGTTTTAGCTTCCTTCCTTCCAGATATTATGGCTTCGGAAAGATATTGTTTTGTTCCTCCTTAATACTTGTCAATTCGCTCAGATTCAGTTTCCGAGTTTCAATACAGTTTCTAAACAATTTCGAAAGCCCCTAGAAGATGCTTTGGCCAAATACAAAGTACGTAAATTCAGAAGAAAATATTAGTTGAATCATCATCTAGCACCATCACTTGGAGGATACGTGGGGCACAGCTGAGTGGGACAATGTGGCCTAGCCTAAGAGAGTCTGACCTCATTAAGCACATTCTGATCTTATGCAACCTCTTCATTCTTCATTCTGACTACTATATTTCTATTTCTTCTGTGCCTTTGTTTGTGCTGTGCTCTTCGCTTGGAATGTTCTCCCAGCCAAACACTTCCTAGCTTTGACCCCACTTAGCATGGAAGACACATATTCAACTCATGCGTTATTTGTTAGCTACTCTCTAGGGGTACTAACTTTCCACCTTAAATGGTATTGAATGCTTCCTTTTTTTGTGCCTTTGTGGTACATTCTTTTTATTGTAGCACCTGTAACACTGATTTGAACCTGTTCTTATGAGTGTCATGGCCATACCTTCAGTTTCTAATGACAAAAATTGGAATGAACTGATTTTATATACTAGAGTTCTTAAAATCCTTTACATTCCATATCTAACGAAATGCCAAGTTTTGTCAATTTCTCTTCCTAAACTTGCCTTGCAAGACTGTATGTGATTTAGCCCCTAGCTACTTTTCCTACAGCAGTTCATTTCTCTCTCTTCTTGTTTACTGTACTCCATACTGGCTTCCTGTGCTTCTCAAACTTGCCCAGTTGCTCTTGACTCAGAGCCTTTGAATTTGCTTTTTTTTTTTTTTTTTTTTTTTTTTTTGAGACGGAGTCTTTCTCTGTCGCCCAGGCTGGAGTGCAGTGGTACGATTTCGGCTCACTGCAATCTCGGCCTCCCGGGTTCAAGCAATTCTTCTACCTCAGCCTCCCGAGTAGCTGGGACTACAGGCCACGCTGCCATGCCCAGTTAATTTTTTGTATTTTAGCAGAGATGGAGTTTCACCGTGTTGCCCGGCTGTTCGAGAACTCCTGAGCTCAGGCAAGCCGCCCGCCTTGGCCTCTCAAAGTGCTGGGATTATAGGCGTGAGCCACCGCGCCTGCCCCGCATTTACTTTTATATCTGCCTGGTACACTCTTTTCCTAAATATTCTTAAGTCATGCTTTCTTCTTTCTGGTCTACGCTAAAATGTAACAGCAGTTCTATTTCTATTTTGTTACCCTGAATTACTTTTTCATGGGTTTGAGGGTGTAAAATTCTCATCCTTCTAGGAAAGAATTGATTGTTCACTCCTTGCATTAACAATCAAACGAGTAACAATCAAAACTAGTATTAAACCTGCTTAATCAATCAATGATTGATTACAAAAGTACACACACTCTGAAAGACAATTGGAAACATCTTCTTTACATGATTTCTGAAAATCAGATAATCAGCAATAGCTTTAGTCCAGTGAATAG
Source organism: Homo sapiens (assembly GCF_000001405.40). Taxonomy (NCBI): domain Eukaryota; kingdom Metazoa; phylum Chordata; class Mammalia; order Primates; family Hominidae; genus Homo; species Homo sapiens. The sequence continues at coordinate 146,581,118 of NC_000003.12, forward strand.
ATTCCTAAGGGTCAGCCAGTCAGTGAACATATTTACATAGCTAAAGTCAATACTCCAGCATTTAAACTCCACACTTTCCCAAAACCTTATATAATTTACCTTCTTTGCTTATAAATTGTGTCTTGCAAAACCAGTTCTCCCTTGCCTGAACAAGTAATAAGTTCAGCTTATTGTTTTAGATATTGAGTGGTAGATTCCTTGTCAATATTTGTGGTTATCTATGGTAACCTTAACGTGTTGTTATCTGTTGGTTTATTATCAACTCTATTCTATGTAAGCTCCACAAAGGCAGGAACCTTGTTGCTTTTGTTTACTGTTATAACTTAATGCTGACATTGATGCCTAGTGCAGTGTATGCATTCCAGAAATATTTGTTGAAGAGAGTTTAGAGCAGGGACAATGTACCATTGAATATAATATCCCCAGTGCCTAATATGGAGCCTAGTACATAGAAGTGGTTTCAAAAATATTAGCTAAATAAGTGAATGAATAAGAAAAAGTTCAAGAGTGACTATAGTTAATAACAATGTTTTGTATTCTTGAAGATTGCTAGTAGTAGATTTTAAGTGTTCTCAGCACAAAACAAAGTGAGATAATGCCTATGTTAATTAGCTCAAGTTAGCCATTCTACAATGTATAGATATATTTCAATACATCATGTTGTACATGATAAATATTACACTTTTATTGGTCAATTATACAATAAATAAAAATGAAAAAATGATTAATTGTCCATGTATTATTTAACACATTTTTAGGAACATCCTTGAAGTAAACCAGAAATTATTCAGATCTTAATGGGTCCACATCTAGTTCTCTTAAACTCACTTCTCTTTTTAGAAATATTCTAGTTGAAAAGATACCCACTTTCCTTTTTTGACATCTCTTTTTGAAAGACTTAAAGGCATTACAATTTCAATGACTAAAACTGAACCTATGCTCTTCCCCTAAACCAGATCCTCTTTTAATATTTCCTCTGTCAGTAAATGGCATAGGCCAGAAATCCTTTCTCCCTCACAGAGAGTAGGTAGGAAGAAACTAGACAGGTAGTCAGTTAGGGTGGGTCCTGGGTTGAATTCTTTCAAACAAAAGAACAGCCTGCAGGCATAAATAAGGGAACTTGCATAGGAGGGCTTGCCTAAGACATGGCCTCACTGCATAGATAAGACAGGCCACACAGCTGACTTGCCCAGACATGTCTGCAATGGAAAATTCCATCCCCTGACACATGTGCAGTAAGGGGAACAAAGCAATATGGAGTAACTCAAGGTAAGGGCCTGCATGCACACTAGGAGGACAGAGTGGAGCTACCAGAAATTTGTACTTTATGCAAATTAGATGCCCAGCCCTCATTGGTTTCTTAAAAAAGCCTCTGTATTCAACTGTAAAATGGCAACTCTTTTCTGGGACCCTTCTCTGTGGCAGAGAGCTTTCTCTCTTTCTTTTGCTTATTAAACTGCTGCTCTAACCTCACCCTTGGCATGTCGCCTTCTTGATTTTCTCAGCTGTGAGACAAAGAACTTCGGAAAAATTTAGTTTGTAGTTTAAAAGAGAATAGCCCTTACCAGAACAAAACTGTCTCTATAAATCTAATGAAAGGCCACCAGGTTAAAAGGATGAAAGGGGCCTGAACTCTGCTAAGATGTAGGTGTAATTAAATGATTACCAACCATTATACTGCAGGTCACAAGATTTACAACTTTCCCAATTACTCCTGTAAATACCATTACTATTGTAGAAACTAAGATTGGCTTTTTGAGATGTCTTTTCAGGCTTTTGCATTTCAAATAACCGAATGGTCCTGCCTAGACCAGCAACTCCTCTGTGGCTTCCACCCAGAAGTGGACTCAGTGCATGAAGACCATTTTCCACACCCCTACGTTTGTATCCCCAACCAATCAGCAGCACCCATTCCCTAGCCCCCTGCTTGCCAAATGATTCTTGAAAAACCCTAGCCTTCAAATGTTCAGGGAGGCTGATTTGAGTGCTAATTAAATCCAGCATCACTCCCTCCTTCTCTGACCAAGTCAAATTGCCATATCTTAGCATCTTGTCCCTCTCCATTAAACACTTCTCATATCTGAAACGTAATCTGTGTTCTTGTCATTATTGGATTAAAAGCTATCTCTTCAACTAAACTGTTACCACTGTAAGAGAAGGGTCTACTTATTGGCATGTAAGAGCAAGTAAATAAATATTTATTTAAATGAATGAATGAATGAGAGTTGTGTGAATCTGGTCAAGTTTTTCCCAGTAAACACAGTAAACAGAGTTGGAGTAAACAGAGTTGGAGCCTGTATTCTGGGGTTGTCCTGGGGACAAGAGGCAGTAGTGCACTAGGAAACACTGTTGTACAAGTATCAGTCCTGGTCTAGAGCTGCATGCTTTTCACTAAAAATCATAAGGTCTGGCTAGTCTCTCATGGACTTATGTTTGGTGGAAAAGGGAAAAGTAGAGCATGAAAGAGATAAGAAGATCAATTTTACCTTTAATAAGAAAGGAGAGACAGAATGGGTCTCAGTTTATTGTACTATGCCAACTTGGAAGCAAAGCGCTACATCAGGTTTTTATTTAAATGCAGCCAATTTTTAAATGAGTGATATATTCTAAGAAGGATTTTAATCTTTAGTGAGTCTCCCTTTGGTGTAAGTGTTGAATAGCTCTGTCCAATATTTTAGGGTTCATTTAATATTAAAAAAAGTCTCCAAAGCAGTTTATCATGGTAAAATGCAGCACTTACAAATGATAATTTCTTTTTCCCATTTTTGCCCCATGGTGAAAATCTCAGCTGTTGCTGCTATGACATCAGTTATAAAAATCTTATATTTTAGAAACCAAAAGTAAAGGACAAGAGAAGATAGGAAAGCAAGATTATCTTTAGGAAGAAAATTGGGACATGAAGCAGGAGTGCTGGGTGGGAAGGGGGGAAGACAATTTCCCAGGCAGTCATCCTCATACTGACTGATTTTCCTTTGTTATCATTTCGTTACCCTACCAGAAATTTATATAAAGCATGGTGCCTGGCATGTTATTTGTCCTCCATTTTATTAGTTAATGAGCATCAGCTTTAAAAGTGTAATTTACTTTAGCTGATTATAAGAAAACCATAAATCCCATATATTTGAAATGCAGTAGATTGAGAGGAAAGGGAAGGAATGCTAAGCTCTTCTTCATCATCACCAGAGTTCTTCAAGGTAATATGAGAATCTCAAGGAGATCCCCAAAGATCACAGTTTAAGGTTGCAGCACTGGCAAACAGCAAAATTAGATTCCAGGTTATGTCTATTGCATAAAAGGTTTTTGTTCCCTTCTATGACTGCATTGCTTCCAGAATGAAGGTGATACCAGTTACACTGAAAAAATAAATGGTATGACTGGGAGAAAGGTCGCACGTGATTTTAAAATATAGTTATTTTTTGGTAGTTAATTCCTAAACTACTCTGCCTCAGGTACAAGATATGTTATGGTCGATTGAGGCAATGTATATTCTTTGCATGCCAAAGGAGGGGGTTATCAGAAAATGTTAAGGTGTAAATAAGGAAAAAGAAACTGAAGAATACTGAACCAGAGTATGGGGGAGAGAAGCTTTTCATTTTTATGTTATACAGCATAAAGCCCTTACTCCAGAGCCTAGAACTAAATTGATATTTGTGTGTTCTCTGGGGAACTTACTACCACCCATAATATTATTTCTAGGAAATGATCATCTCCTAATTTCAAATGACTCTAACTTGACTAACTTAGTAACAGATGTTTAGCATACATTCTCTTTTTCTAAGTGAAGAATCGCCTGGAATTTCTTGAAACACCCTTATACATGCATAAAACTGTAGGTGGTATTTGTGTAAGTCTAAAATAGAGCCTACATGGCTTCATGGTACCTTGCTTAAAAGAAATCTGTTCCATTTGGAAGAAGGAGAGAATAATTATTGTCATTCATAACAAATTTTCCTTTTGTGTAGGTTTTGGAGATATGTTGATAACTAGTGGATAGTAATCAGGAAAACTCCATAAATGTTGAAGTGAAATATATTAATTTAATTGAATGTACTGGACTCTTTTACTTCTGCATTTGACTCATGGATTAAGATTTTATTTATTTGGTTTCCTTTGCTTGTTTTTAAGTCCTTGAGTTGTCTATTTTTCAGAGCCTTAGATCCCTTAATTGATTGAATTTTCACTGCAAATAGATAAAATTCCTGCTAGACAACACTGCAGGTCTTAGAGGTCTATTTATATGCTTATTTAAATCTCTGGCATGAGTAGGTATTTAAAGCATGCTTTGGTTTGTAAATACTAGTTTCTTTATGGAATGTAACTGTGCCTCTTACCACTAGAATGAATTGATACCATCTATCTTCCTCTTCATCTTTAGATATATTATTTACCCAACTTTTAACTTTTCCAGTGTAAAGTAATAATATCTCACTACAATAAGAAAATTAATAAACAAAGTATAAAGGGACTACTTTTGAAAAAATGTTTTAGAAACTCAGTCCTTTTGATTAGTAACTAGCCTTAGTACCAGAAAAACTTCAAAAGTGTTCTCTAAACATTGAATTTTCATCAGTGATGCTGCAAGCCTTAGTTCTCATCTTTCATGCTTACCATTGCAATAACTTCAAAAGGATAAAAAGAAAGAATGGTAATCTCTCAAAGCAACCTTGTGCTCAGGCCAGTAATCACGTATTTAGCTATCATGCATTCACAACTAGATAATTGCCTCATTAAACTGTTTTAATAAATATAATAATTAACATTTTTTTTTAACAAAAAAGCAAACATTCAAACCATTCAGAAATGAAATCCAGAGCCCAAGGGATTTCTAGAAGAAAATGAAAAAGAGTTAGATAGCGTCAAATATAGACATCTTCAAAGGGAAAGAGATCATTTAAACTTGCTTTTTACTTACTGAAATATGTTCTGCATATTTTATTGTTTTCATTATCTTGGTTATTATAATCCAGCCAGTGAATGTTCAAAGAACATAAAATCCTACAAATAAGTAAACTGAATATAAGTGAATTTACAAAAAGACAACAATTAAGATCAAAAGTTTGACATGCAAGCTTTGATTATGTAAAGCAATTATATTTCCAGTGGTGTTCCAGTATTATGATTTAACAGAAGAAGAAAAATTTAAAAGTCTTAAGCTTTACAACATTTTATTTTCATGTTGAATTTTCAGAGTATAAGTAACTTAGAAACCCTATCTGAATCTGCATGGTATTGTCAAAGTGTTCCAGTATTATATGATTTATCTGGAGAAGAAAAATTTAAAAATTTTAAGCTTCGTGACTTTTTATTTTCATGTTGAATTTTCAGAGTATAAGTAACTTGGAAACTTTATCTAAATCTGCATAGTATTGTCAAACTTTTGGGTGATAAACCCTTTGCAGAATTAGACTGTATGCATTCTGGGTCAGTGTAGGAAGTTATAATGGATACGAATATTTGAACAAAAATTAGATATATTACCAGAGATAATGTGGTCAGCAATAGGTGGTTATTTGAGGGAGTACTGAAAACTACACCAGAGAGAACTCAAAGAGTGAGTGGTGAGTCGGAGGAGTGGTGGGTTGTGAAGCCGTATCTTGGAACCAGAAGAGACCAAAAATTAGATTTCATTTGTGATTTAGATTTGTATTTAAATGAGGAAATAACCTTATACCAGCAGCTTTCTAAAGCTTTCGCCTGAATAAAATAGAAACAGCAATTAAAAATTAAAAACATAATTCTTTCTATAAAATTATGTATAAGGAAAGTAATTTATCTTGGTAATACATGTAAGAAATAGTTTTATAAGCTATATTGGCTGGCAAAAAAAGGCAAATGTTTTACAATATGATGGTAAAAAGAAAAAAAGAGAAATGAATGGGAGTCATTAACTATTCTCAGTGAACATTTCTCCCTTAAATGCTGGAGTTTAAAAGTTATCCTTTTAGATGATTAGGGTATTATCTAGATCAGTGCTTCTTAAATTTATAGTGCATAGAGGAAGCACCTGGGCATCTTGTTCAAGTGCAGGTCCTGATGCATCTGGGGTGGGATCTGAGATTCTTTGCTTTGAGCGAGCTTCTAGGTGGTGCAGATGCTTGCACTTTGCACCACACTTTGAGTATGACCTAGATCAACCTTTACGGAACCTACATCTCATCAATCTCTCAAAGCATATGGACTAAGAAATACATGCTTTTTCAAGAAGAACATATGTTTAGAGGGTTTCTGAAACAATAAGAAAAACTGATAAGGTTTAAAATACAGAGAACTGTAGTTCCAATTTTGGCAGTACATTTTAACTATCAGCTTGTTATGTAAAATAGGTGAGTAGGGCAGATTAAAAAGGATCTATTTCTAAATATTAACGTTAAGTGTGGGGCTTAATCAGAAAGGCCTAATGAAGATCTTGGGGAAAGGGTGTGTGTGTGGAGGGGTTGGTGTTGAAGTCAGAATGATCAAAGATGGGAACAGTAAGCAAAGGAAGGGTGACAAGTTAAAAGCACTGTCCAGTGGATAGAGGAGAATAGGGAAGAGATGACATTAGGCAACAGGCAAGGTGGACTAAGCTGGTTAGATTTGCAGATGAAAATGGGAGTTGAGAGTAAGTGACAACTTAGTAAGTTTAAAAACCTAGCACTCTATAGATATTACTTCCATCTTCTACCAATAATAGGAGACTGGTAAGTTAAAATAATTCCTCTGAAATCCTGGAGAAATAATCCTAATATACATACTTGTATATGTATATGTATATGTATATATGCATATATATATACATATATATCTATGTATTAAATTCTGAGTTTCAGTGAAGTCATCAGGGAATAATTTTTAGTTCATATATTTTCCAAATATCATTAGAAGAGACTCAGTAAATAGGGCATTAATGTAAACAATCAGATTTAGCATTCTGAAACCCCAGAAAACAATAAAACATGAGAAGGAATTTAAGCTTTATAAAAATTTCATGATTACCAAAAGTGCATAACCTGAATCTAACCATGACACAAACTGAAATTAGGCCACAGTTTACAAAATAATTGGCTTATGCACTTAAAAAATGCCAATGTCGGCTGGGCAAGGTGGCTCACACCTATAATCCCAGCACTTTGGGAGGCCAAAGCGGGTGGATCACGAGGTCAGAAGATCGAGACCATCCTGGCTAACACAGTGAAACCCCATCTCTACTAAAAATACAAAAAAATTAGCCGGGTATGGTGGCACATGCCTGTAATCCCAGCTACTCGGGAGGCTGAGGCAGGAGAATCGCTTGAACCTGGGAGGCAGAGGTTGTGGTGAGCCAAGATTGCGCCACTGCACTCCAGCCTGGGTGACAGAGTGAGACTCTATCTCAAAAAATAGAACAAAAAATAAAACAAAAACAAAAATGCCAATGTCATGAGACTCAGGGAAATGCACATGCATGTGCACATGTTCATGCACACACATATACACACACACACACCCCTTAGGAACAGTTCCAGGTGAAAAGAAACAAATGAGATGTGACAAAATGGACATACTTCATGATCTTGGATTTTCTATTGTCAGAAAGGACATCATTATGCAAATCAGTGCAAACCGAATAAAGTCTGTAGATTAGATAATAGCATTGAATCAGTGTTTAGTGCCTGACTTTGACAATAGTACTGTGATGTGTAAAAAAATTCCTTGTTTTTAGGAAATGCACACTAATATAATTAGGGGAAAAGGCATCATGTCTGCAACCTACTCTCAACTCTTATGCTGTTTGTTTTAATCACTTATGTGTGTGCCTGTGTATACACATCTTTTTCATGTATTTATAGAAAATACATGTGTTTATATATCAACAAATAAAAACTCCATAAGTTTTTATGGCTGCATTGAAAATGGTAGGAAATTAGGTAAATATTAGAGGGAAAACTAAGAACAGGATATAGGTCAAGCATTTTGATACAGGTATTATTTGACTTCTGTTCTTCTATCACCAATCTCCATATACCAAAGAAGAAAAGGTTTTCAATATAATTGTAAGTTGGAAAGTAATAACAAGAACATAGTATCTTAGAAATAATGGCAACTGGTACCTATTAACTCATCAAATCATTTCATGTGTCTATGTTCACACTGAGAAGGCAACATTCTTAATATCATCTAGCTCACTATTATGCAATGAACCAGTCTGGAACTTTATCCAGGATAAATCATGTGATATTTATGTTTGCATATTTTTTAGTTCAAGTGAAAATAAGCCAAAAATCTAAATTGAACGTAAAAGCAAGGGGAAACTAGGTTTTAAAGAAATGATGAATAGGATGTGATAACACTTCAATCTTTGAGAAAGGGGATATGAGATCACTGAAGAGGGGCTGCCTAACAGAAATGCAGGGTTCTAAATTCTAATTTTTGAAGAACATTGGTCCTAAGCTATCCTTCTATGAATAAAATATACTCTTTGGGGGTAAAAACTGTGTAAATGGGATAGGCTATATTGTAATTAACAAGCAAGAGGGAGAATAACAAATCACTCATGCTCTCAAAGCCCATACTTACAAAGAGAAAACAGGCACCGATCATTGCTGCTTTGACTGTTACATCTAGATCTGCAGGAACATGAATTCCGAAATTGTCAGCATTTGTGAAGACATCATTTACAAATCCTGACCAGTACTTTGAAATCTTCCCAATTGTAAGCTTTTCATTAATGGTTTTCACCTTTAGAAAGAAAATAAGGAGTATTAAATTTGACAGTGAAAAAAGTTGGTTTTATACTTCTGAGGGTGTTTACTTCATGAGAGATTTGAATTATTTTATTTGTCATCTTCAAAATGACAATTCCATGTTATTCATTCCATCATATAAGCATAGGTTTGTAAATTTAGCTTTTCAGTTTACTTTTTAGAAACTTTGCTTTTTTGACAGTTTTCTAGTCCATCATAATTCTTTTTCTTTTTTGTATGCAGATGGAGAATATCAGGATAAATAATTAAGGCTCAGCCACCACAAGATGGCAGCAGGTACATAGTTCAATTGTATCATCTAAGCATGAAGGCGATTTCTTTACTTGAGGTCCAGATTTTAAACCTGAATTCTCCATCTTAAAAATGTAAAAGAAGATATGTTTGAAAAAATATTTCAGAAGGAATTAAATTAATTTCTAGGCATAATTTGTAAACTTTCAAATTTCAGTTGCTAAAATTTTATAATTATTAAAACATTTAAATATTATTGGCCATTGTTAAATCACATTTTTATATTATACTCAGACATTTATTAGGTCAATACTTTCTAACAAATCCTAAATCCTATTTTTACATTAAAAAAATCCTCCTGGTTAATGTACCATATAGGAAGTTAAGACCAACTAGACATCAATCAGTCCTTCTCAGCTAGAAGGAGTTCACAAATCAACTTTATCAGCTATTTGTTTGTTTATTCTGCTTCCCATCCTGATGCTGAAAGTAATTCAAGAGAAACTATCACTTTTTTCAGGGTAGTAAAAGATAGAGAATAGAGAGGGTTACTTAGGACATTTCTATAGCATGAATGCTAAAACTCTTATGTTTAAAGTCCTCCTCAATCATATTACTCGTAGGAAAGTCATGCCAAATCCTTTGGGGATAGGGTGAAGTTGGAACAGCTCAGTTTGCAAAATTTGCATTGTATTCTACGTGCATAGTGTTTCCTGAAGTCCTGAGAACTAAATGCCCTTGCTGAGATATTTATGTATGAATGGATGAAAAATAAATATACACTTTCAATTAGGCTGTCTCCTCTACCTAAGTTGTATGTCCAGGACAACCTGTTAAGATAGTTTATATTGCTACAGATCAAATTTACAACTTTCTATTTTTTAAATATTCAATTTATACAAATACGAGAATAAGGTTTTTTTTTGTTTTTTTTTTTTGTTTTTTTTACAAAACTAACTTAGCAAGTCTTAGAAACACAGCTTTTGAGTTAATGCTGTTTTAATGTAACGTGCTGCTGAAATGAGATCTAAACTGGGATATGTGATCTCAAGGCCCATAGGAAAGAAGATACATAATTTAGGTGATTCTAAACTGTATATATTGGCTTTATTGCCATGTGTCCTGTGATTCTACATAAATAAAACATACTGAAACAAGAATGAAGTGCTAATTTTCAAAATCAGGAAATATTGGTTATCTTAAAAAGGCAAAGCTATGTGTCCAAAAATTTTTGATGTTCAAAGTCTTGCACACATTAAAATAGCAACACATTTACTATTCTAATCAAAGAGATATAGTAGCTTTGTCCATAGAACACATAGAATTATATTTAGCTAAACATGCTTTTATTATAGTAAAATTTATTAATATTACTTTGGATAATACTTACACTGGTCTATGACAGATATGATGGCCAAGGTGATAAATTTTGTAATATTATTTTTAAAAAATCCTTGGACTTTATATCTCTGGATTTACATATTCCTATTCTTAGCATGTACAATATGGGCTGATTACATTATATTACAAATATGTCATTTTCTGAACTTATTTTAAATGAAATTAATTTGAACATAAAAAAATTGAATTATGTTGCAAAAAAAAATCAGGACCTAAATGAAAACTTCTTTCATTTTGTCAATTGTACCTCAAAATCCACATCGCCAAAACAGCCACATGTCACACAAGGACCAACAATTTTCAAAATATCTTCTTTGTTTGCATTTTGGATTGTGAATTTAGGCAGAAAGGGGTCCCACTTCTGCGTAACGTAACCAACTATAGTACCAGGAGGGGCTTGGATTTCTAACTGTAAGAAGAGATAATGATAAAATAAGATTTTCTTAGGTTATCATATTTTAATTTTACTATAATGTCAATTTACCTGTAAACAATATACTGTTATAAAATTATTTTGATATTCTACAAATCATTCTAAATACCTGCTTCTAAGGATACAGATTTTATAAAATATTTTACAGAAAACAAAGAAATTCACTGTATAAACATACGTTTAGCACTGTGCACTAAAAGTCTATGTCTTATTTCCCTAAAGAGAATCTACCCCACGACTATCTTCTGACCCTAGGACAGTGGCTTCTTTGCCATTTTATCCCAAGTACAACCATTGGTCAACCACTGAAGCTGTTCCTATGTGGTTACTCATATCTACTCCTTTTAATTGTAGCCACAACACACATCTATTTTAAGTCTCCTTTATCAATTATTGAGTATTCATATTTTTTCTCTAAGATTATAAGCTCCAAGATTATCTATATTTAATTAAAAACAAATGCTTCTTGCAGAGTTATAGTCATTAAACACCAGTTTGATTGCTGGTTTGTGGCTTCCAAAGTGTTCGAGACTAGTAGTTGGATTTTTGCATTATCCGGCATTACTTTAGCATTTGACTCCATTACCTTTACATATTTATGTAACCCAATCAAATATTTTGTAAAATAAATTGGGGGTGGGTACAAATTTTTTAAATGTTTGCTTTTAAACCAAGACATCGCCATCATCTGATCTCATTTTGACTTTTCTTATGAAGTTCATAGTCTTATGCATATGTCTATAATGTTCTTGGATAGATAAAAGTGATTTCAACTAGACTGCTTAGAATTAATATAGATTTGCTCTGGGATCACTTTTAAAGTTATTAATTTGCTATTGATCAAATTTTTTTAAAAGTTACTAATAGTTATCAAGTAATATATTATGTTTAATTTATGACCCTGGACTACCATTAAAGAAAAAGTTAATTATCAAAAATTTTAAAATGAGCATATTTCTGTGATCATAATGACTACACTCTCTTGGGGCATATTAATATTAAATATCCTCAGTAGACGGATGGAAATTCTTGGGCTCCATGCACGAGCACTTCAATCATTTTATCACTTAGTCAGATGCTTACCTAAAAATAGTTGGAGAATTAGCTTTGATATATGTTATTAGAAACTTCCCTAAATAACCATCTTTCATATTAATATTTTCCCATCACCCTAAGGCCAGTACTTATCCACAGGTTCTAACAGAGAAGGTTGGGCTTAAATTAGGACACCTGGCTCAAGTCCCATCTATAATATTTCCTGATTTCTTGAATGTATAGTCATAGGTAGTCACCTCCACTCTCCTTCCTTGACTGCCAAATGTAGAGAGTAATTATTTCTAGCTCCTAGAGATTTCATGATTCTGTTCTTGCTCATGAGTAGAATATCATGGTATCAAAGCCAGTAAAGTAAGTAAAAGTTCTGTGTCAATTTAACTGCATAAGTCAATGAAAGTTATTATTACAGGTGTACTAAATAATAACGTAAATCTATTATATATTAAAATAAAATAATTGAATTATTCCCTGTAGAACAATAACATTGTCTTGCCAAACCTTGGGCTTTGTCATAAATGGGTAAATGCATTGTGAGATTCCATACTAAATAATAATACCTATCCAAGAGGATACCTTAGAGGAGTTTAATATCACTTAGCATTTCCTGGACTTTGCTCCAGTTGGAGAAGACAAAGGGTGTATATGCCCAATGGTGGAACCTGTAGACATTACAATTACATGACTACTATAGAGATTCCAGAGGTCTATCTCATTTACATGATGCATGAGCTGTCTTCAACAGTTTATATCATGAAAGCCACCATAGTTTTTGGTTGGAAAGAAAAAAGTTTAGTGAATTACCAAATCCTCAAGCTGATCTGATCCTAAAGGAGCAACATACTATTAATAATTAAAACAACTGGCAGGTTAATTGCCTCATTGCTCCAGATGAATTCCTTTTAAAGAAACAAATGCTAATCTTAAAAATCAAAAAGGACAACCAGAGCCAGTAACTAACCTCTTGTAGGTAGCAAGGGCACCAGCAGCTGTTACATCTCAAGGGCCTGTTCACTGTAATGACCTCTCGACCTGAGTTATCTGTGATCCTCAGGGTGCAAGATCGCAGAGTGGAACAGAAAGTACGATTGAAGCAGATGCTTTCCTCCACTGCAAAGTAAATTCTTTGTCCCAAGCTGTTTTTAATCTCATATTTGTTGGAGGTCTCAGTACCAAGTATCACTAATGGAACAAAAAAAAAATTATAAAAACATTTTTTTCCTTAGTATTGATAACTTTAAATAAAGGGGAGATGTTATTAAAAGAATACAGTGTCTGATCAATTATTAAATATATGGTATCTTCTTCACACAAATTTATTTCTATGCTCTAAATTTTTAGGACTTAGCCATGGAAATAAAAGTAAATGGTGAGAATAAAGCTATATAATTAATTAATGTTTATTCCAGATATATGACCTACTTGAGAACATGTAGTGTACCTTTTCACTAAAGGACAAATGCTTTAAAGAATAATTTATAGCTCAAAAAATAATTATATTATTGTTATAGAACTATTGGGACAACTCATGGTGATAATAGTGATTTTGTCTAAAATATTTGTCTGGTAATATATCTAAAGGTGTACGCTATCCTGCTATTTCAATTTTTATATATATTTAGGCATAATATAGAGCACTAAACCCAGAAAATACTCAAGTAATTTGAATCCAGTTAGTCATGCTTGTAAATTTGTAGATTCTTAAATAATTTGCCTATTTGGTAAATCACTCATTTAGTCAAAACCTTGACTTCCATTTTTGAAATTATTAGGAAAGTTAAATGATTAGCATCCACGGAAATGATCAAATACCTTTTACTATTTTAAAGTATATGTAATGTCAGAATTTGAATGGCAATATCACCAAAGATTCAGAGTTTTATGCTTCTATTTTATCTAAATAAGACTAATAATTTTACTTTCAGCTTTTAATTGAAAAAAGACCTAGTACTCTTTTTGATCTAATTCTATTCTACACATTTAACTTTCTCATTTATAACATATTTAGATGCAAAGAAACTTCTGAAAACTAAAATATTTTCAATAGTTTTAATAAATATGTAATATATATAATGCACTTACTTCCAAGCAGCTCCACCTGCTGGTGTATAATTATCAGGTCTAACTGTAAAGGATGACATAAAAGGAAATAAAAAGTATTAACATCACACGGAAAACCTTTGGAGATACTACTAGTACCCTATTTACTATATTACATAAAATTAGTGATTTTCATGCTTTCTATTAGGAAAACAGTTGAAAATATCTCACATTTTACAATGCAAAAGAACGTAATTTTTTTTTTAATTTAAAGAAGAATTTAGAAGAACCTTGAAAATTCCAAGGCAGCATTGAGCAAGAATAAGAATAGCAACGGGGCTGGGCGCAGTGGCTCATGCCTATAAATCCAGTACTTCTGGAGGTCAAGGTAGGCAGATTGCTTGAGCCCAGGAGTTCGAGACCAGTCTGTGCAAAATGGCAAACCCCTGTCTTTACAAAAATTAGCTGGCTGTAGTGGCGTGCGCCTCTAGTCCCAGCTACACAGGAGAGAGGTGGAGGTGGGAGGATAGCTTGATCCTGGGAGGTCGAGGTTGTGGTGCACAGTACACTCCAGCCTAGTCCCCAGAGGGGAGACTCTGTCTCAATTAAAAAAAAAGAAAAAGAAAGAAAAAGGAGACTGAGACAGAACTAACTCTGTGTTAACTCCGCAATAATGAGAAAATTAGAGTAGATCTTGAAAACAAGAGTTTGTGAAGATTTTTAAACAATCTCTGAATTATAATGTTTAAGATGTTTTACAACTCAATTTTTTTAGAAGACATGAAACAACACAATAATGATTTGAATGCCTGGCCTCTCCTCTTAACCTCTGCCTACGTCTACTATCACTCTGTCAAACTGCAACTCATATCTTTCAGTGATGGAATATATTTGTTAAACCTGAAAGGTTATTGTATACATTTTTCTCTCATTCACACTTTCCTTTGGACTAAAAATAAAAATGAGTTCCTGTGGATGCCAACAAAATACCAATTTAAGTCAAATAAATGTTATGGCACTAAATACATTACAAGATTTGACTTATGTAATTAAAAATAAAGTTAATTTACAGAGATAAAGTATCCACAGATAATTGAGAAATGATGATTAAATTAAAAAATCTGTAATGCAAATTGCTTTTTAAAGGAAATATGAAAGTTATGTTCTTATAAAGAAATTTATTTGCGTTTATTTTATTTTTATTTTTTGAGACAGAGTTCAGCTTTGTGGCCCAGGCTGGAGTGCAGTGGCACCATCTTGGCTCACTGCAACCTCCACCTCCTAGGTTCAAGCAATTCTCGTGCCTCAGCCACCTGAGCAGTTGGGATTACAGGTGCACGCCACCATGCTCGGCTAATTTTCGTATTTTTAGTAGACACACAGGGTTTTGCCATGTTGGCCATGCTGGTCTCAAATTCCTGGCCTCAAGTGATCCACCCATCTCAGCCTCCCAAAGTGCTGGCATTACAGGTATGAGCCACTGTGCCTGGCCTATTTGTGTTTATTTTCAATCTGATATTCAGTACTTGAAGATCCAGTAATGCAAAAGCATGAACACTAAATATGCTGCTGATCATTGTATTTTCTAACGCTTCATTTTTCCTTTCACCTTAAAATTTTCTTCACCATATTCTCCCTTCGCATTAATAAACTCACCAGTAACTATTAAACTAACCAGTCATTACTAAAATTTGGTATTGATTGGACATCACAATCTCAGAACATTTGAAGCTACATGATTTCCCTCATTCTCCTTGTATGTCCTAAGGTGAAGGTAAAACTAATATCATTTTCTCTATTTAAACCTTATTATTGATAAAATAATATGTGTGGCCTCTTTTTTAAGATTCACAAAAAATATTTTTCCAAAAATAATTTATGATCTAAGATATTCTAAAACCTAAATTAACAATAATAAGAAAGCTTTTATTAGAAAAAAAATACTAGACCAAGTCTTTAGTAGTGTACTGCATTAGTTCTGTTATCTTCTGAGGAAAACGGAGTGGTAAGCCTCAACAAGGATATATGTTATTATTTAGTAGTTGATCTAAGCAAAAGTAACTTAGAAATGGAGATCTGTGTGATCAAGAATAAAGTGGGAGTTTAGGTACTTTGAATACTGTTGTCATGAATCAAGTTCTAGTATTGAAATTTAGAAACTATTAATTGAAGTCCACCTGACAATGAAAAAGTAGTACCTCTCTAATATCCAACAATAACAGTTTTTTTAATTGAATAACTACCATAAGGTAGTCACTGTGCTAGATGTTTAGACAGCATCTGATTTAATCCTCACAAAAACTCAGAGAGATAAATATCATTAATTTTAAATGTGAGGAAGCAAGCCCACAGAGATTAAGTAATTTGCCCACCATCACAGAACTTGTAAATGGACATCAATTCTGACATGCATTCTATTCTGTTTCTTTACGGACATCACTACGCTAAATTTAAGGGAAATAAGTCTTAAGTGACGACATGAAACTTGAGTACCTTTCCTATTTTCTTTACTCTTATACCCTCCCCATCCTCTGTAATAACATTTGATTTGCTCTCTCTGTGAAAAAATCTCCTGGATTTAAGGGAGTTGTTTGTTTTAGGCTGTTCTTGTAGTTTTCCTTAAATAGCACATAGCCACTTACAAACTATGGCCCAAAGGGGCATTTTCCATTCTTTTTCTATTCATTGATAGACTAGCAATTTTGGAAACTTTAAACAGATTGAATTATACGTTTAGGTGTCATGGCAAGTAAAACTTAACTCCTTAAGTATGAAAGCTGTAGAAATGAAAATACAATGAGAGGATTAGATGTATGGCTTAATAATTAATTTAAAAAAAATCAAGTTGACAGGTATCAATGATTCCATTTGATATATGTATTTCAAAATAAATTGGATATTTACATGTTTTGTAGACTTTAACTCATTACTCTTATGTATAGGTGACTATAATAATTATTCTTTGACACTATACAGTAAAATGTTATTGACTGTATGAACATGTAAATTTAATTTGGAAAGAATTTATTGATTTTACTCTTAGATTTAATGTACATTATATAGCTAAACACTCATATATGTATATTTTCAAATTGTTCATGGAAACAAGATTCTCAATAGTAATTGGATGGACTTGATTAAAAGAGAATAGATGTTAAAATATTTTATTTAAATTTTTAAATTTAGAACATATTAATTGTATATTTCCTGTTTATTCATTGATTAATGTACTATTTCCAAATGTTCATTATTTTGTTTGATTTTTGTGGCTTTTAGGGAAAAGTTGGCATCTAAAAATTCATTTTATATTGTGTCTCTTCCAGACTCATGGCATAACAGTTTGGAAGTGCTCATTCATCCTTTTATATGTGCACTGCTTTAAAGTAAAGTAAATAAATGTTCTTTTAGTATAAAGTGAGGAAATTACCTTTCCCTTTAGAAGTAGAATATTCAACAATTGGTGGCATATTTTTCTTTTCTTGGAATGATTAACAAAGGTATATTTTTGGAAAATTTATTCCATTTTAGAACCAAAGCCAATGGGCTCATATCTCTACTTATTGAACACAACAAAAATGTATTCATGTCAAGCATCTGGCTCCGGGTGTGTCATCATTCATGAATGGAAGAAGAATATGTGATGACCATATGTGATCATCAAACCTCAGCCCTCTGGCACTGGTATATCACTTTTATACTTGGCAAAACCTTGTCTGACAACATTCCCAAACAGCTTGCAGCAGTTAATCAACTCTAGTCAGCTATTACAGCTGATCCTTTCTGCAGATGGAAGATGGTAGGTTTGCGTTTCCAGCTCTTTTACATATCTCCCTGAGCTCTCCAGTCTCTAAAGTACATTTGTCTGCCAGTGGGTTTCTGGAGAAGACATCTGCAATTATAAACATTTTCCCAGGAACATATGCTGCGTGCAGCTTAAACCCTATCAGGCATAACAGAAATCTCTTGTACCTTAAGGGAATTAACACAGAGATTTGATTTTGATAAAGGAGATAGACTTTATAGTTTGAAAGAATGCCAAACAAGCTGAAAATTGCAGCAGATGTGCTGACATCTCAATATTAGTGTAATTGTACTTCTAATCCTTTTTAGGATAAAATACAAAAGCAACAATAATATACATACATGAATAGCAATAGCTGAATTTTATATGCCATAAAATTCAGATAGTGATATTTTGATTGATTTATTATAAGGCTTGAATCCTGCCTACTTTACAATGACTAGAACAGTGACTATACCCAATAGCAATATGCTCTTTTAAGCAAATTGGCCTGGAGATGCAGTGGTATCAGCAGACAATGTTCACTTTATAACCGCTTTGTCTTGGATTTGTGTCCTCCTTTTGAGATTCAGTTGAAGACATTGAACTCAGCTCATTGTTGAAGTCTCTCTAGTACTTTGATCCTTAACAACCTCTCTCTCCTCTATACACCTGCACAAATTACAATAGTGTGTTTATCAGTCATTTGTACACAGGCTTGCACTTTGCATTAACTTTTTTTTTTTTTTTTGTCTTGCCAATTAGGTTGCAGAACTTTTGGGTAAGAGGGGCTAGGTTTCGTGCTTTTTATATGTCTCTAGTATAGCAAGCACTCGACAAATATTCTTTAAATAAATAGCTGTAGATGACTAGATATGTTAGAAAATTTCTTTTCTTTTCTTTTTTTTTTTTTTTCCAAGGCAAGTCTCACTCTGTCACCCAGTCTGGAGTGCAATGGTGAGATCACAGCTCATTGTAGCCTTGACCTTCCTGGGCTCAGGTGATCCTCCCACCTCAGCATCCCGAGTAGCTAGGACCACAGGCAAATGTCACCATGCCCTGATAATTTTTATAGAGACAGGGTTGTATCATGTTGCGCAGCCTGGTCTGGAACTCCTGGCTTATCCACATGCCATGGGCTCCCAAAATGCTGGGATTACAGGCGTGAGCCACCGTGCCTGGCATATTAGACAATTTCTTGAGCAAAAATTTACTGACACCTTGAACAATGAACAAGTGGATAAATATGCTAAACAGCTCCATCAAAAATATTTAGTCTCATCATTCTGTCAAATAAATAAGGAAGATAAAAGTAGTAATAAGATACACTTTTAAAAATAGTAGAAATAAATAAAGTTAATATTTTATAATTTTATGATTTATAATGCTTTTTTCATTTCAGTAAATTATTGGTTAAATTCTTTCAACCTTGATTGAAAAGCCAGAAAGAAAGTTTGTATTAATTTTAAGGGTAGAACATATCTGTAGTAATAGAAAGATAAAAACACCTGGCTTAAATATTCTAGACCAGGAGGGAGACTGACTGTTGGCAGGAAACTGCTTGGCAGAGGGAGACTCAGCTGCCATGCTTGGTTCCCTGGATTGGAAGAGGCAGGAAGGCTTTGGTCTGGGTCTGGAGCTCCAGGAAGAAAACCAGGCAGACCTCTTCTTTGGTTCTGGGCATCTGCAAGAGAATGGAAATCCCAATCCATATTTAAATTTAGGCCATTTTATTTAGTCCTTCTTAAAGTATTTGTTACTTCTTGATTGATAGGATAGTTTATCTCCTGCCTCTCATTTTAATGCCCTTTTCCTTCTTTTCACTACTCACTGCCATTATTACTTGTCCCCTAAGTTAGAAAAAACGAAACGCAGAAGACTGCTGGTAGTAGTTGTGAGAAAAAGTTGAATTTAGCCAAAATAAAAGACTTTAGAAAAAAATATGCATATGTGTATATGTATCTGTATATATATAATTACTTGCATATATATACTTACTGCATATATATTTATATGCATACATAAATTATATATTATATACATATATGAACCAAAATGTGGAGAGTAATTATCGGTTACTTTATACATATATAAATTATATATTATATAACTATATATAGGTATATACATACAAATCGATGTTACTTGAATAGATATGCAGTAATACATGTCTATATATTTATATATATACTTATTTTTATATATTTATATTTGTATAAGTCTATATTTATATAACCAATAATAGTTTGAAGCTATGCATCCTTTTGTAGCTCACCCAATATTACAAAATATAAAAGATATCATAATCAAAGAATTCTATAAAGTTTGACTAAAATTTTTAGAGAAGACATCTGTTTTCTATATTATTGCCAGGTAAATATGTTACCATTTTAATCATCTTTTATTTTGAAATTTGGGGGTTTGTTATTTACTTTGCATTACTCTGTGTAATTTTATGTATAACCCCTAATAAGGTGGTATATGCAAAAGTCGTTTTGTTTAAAAATATAAATGATAGCCTTTCTACTATTTTTTTCTTCTCACATAACTACCACTTGGATATCTCTCTCATTAGATATAATTTTTTTTTCAAAGAATATCAGTGTTTTTACTTCTCATGTTTAGTAATCAACAAAGTGTTAGAGATTTCACAAGTGCATTCAGTTAGTTTATCCACATTATGCTGTTTTAGATTGGGTATAGATGTGAAGCAAGGTTTGTGACAGGTATTTTCAAATATGAGAAGGGCCGTTATGAAGACAAGTAAATCAGATTGTCCTAAAGACATACAAAAGAGAGGGACAAGGAAATTGCTTCTGCATTGACAACAAGTAGGAAATTTATAACAGCTACACAAAGATTTGAATAAGTATTCTCATTACTCATATACCAAAATTGAAGCGGAATCCATATAATTAGCAGCAAATTACAATGTTCTCACTTCAGCAATGACTCTCAAATTCATGAATGTTTGTGTGTGGGGCAGGGGGGTGGTGAAGAAACATCTTTATCTTTTAAATCTGTGAAAAATAAATTCTAAAAATGAATTGGGTTTCCTTTGGTGATAGTAAATTTCTCATCATTAAGAAAACTCAAGCATATTCTGCATTCATTCATTCATTTATTTATTCATGAAGTAAATTCATTCATTTATTTATTTAACCTTAAGGTTGTACGAATAAACTGAGTTCATTATTATTAGTGTAGGGCCATTAAGTTTGTACTGGTCTGTGATATTTAGAATGTAGACATGCTTTATGGTTAGGACCAAATGGAATAACTTGTCAAATGGCCCTACTAAAATACAGCTTCCTACTGATAATACTATAGCAGTTTGGTTTCCGCAAGTACCCCCACCCTGAACTTCTCACACATCTGGGGCAGATACAAAGGATATAGGCTTTAGACCTTCCCCTGCTCTTGAGAATGGCTCCTCAATAGGATCCTAAGAAGTAAAGCCAGAGAAAGACTATGTAACACTATGTCAGATTTGGGAGAAGAGCTAATGGCCATTAATATAACAATAATGATGCAAAAATATTAAAAGGCAATAAACATTATTTCTTTAGCGTTAGTGCAAAATGTACCATTGTCACTTTCAGAAAAACATAGAAGCAAAATTATGATATAGGGAAAACTAGTTCACAATGATAAAATCCAGAATAGTGGTCCATCTTGGGAAAGGGAGGATGCATGGCTATTGGCTAGAAAGAGAACATTATAGAATCTAGAAATGTCTATATCTTGATCTTGGTGGTGGTCATGAATGGGTCCTTATTTTAAAAATCATGGAGCCTAGGTTTTGTGCTCTATGTACTTCACTGCACATATTATCTCTCAATTAAAAACCATGTGTAGGGATTAATTTCTAACAATAGCTAGTATAAGATTTTTAGATTCTCTCTCATTGTAAACTTAATTGTTAAAGGGATTCACAAATTACCCCAATTTTATCTTGTAAATTATGTTTGCTGTAACAAAATGCAGTAGGTTATGGAGGGTTTGGCAAGTAGCTGTACATTCCCGCCCAGTCCTGGAGGGCCTTAGACTTCACAGCAAGTCCAGAAGCATTAATGCACTTGGAGCTCAGAGGATATTGTGTCCAAAGTCTTTATTTAGGAGTAGAGTGTGAGTGAGTCTCTGCCTGAGACTGTTGAGAGACATCACTATTCTGAGATCACTAGCTGCTTCTTCTGGGATTTTAGTTCACATTGAAGCAACCTTTGGAGACAGCTCTTGCTCAGTTCAGATCACCGTGTTTGAGAGCAACTTGCTCTTAAATTGTGTTAATTTCTACTAAGCCAGGATGCTCCAGCTCACACAAATGTCTCTTCAGTTCTAATGGCACCTGGTATTTAGACTGTCTTTTGGTTTAGTAGTGCTGATTGATCTGCCTATGAAATATGTGAAATGTACAATTAGTCTGCATTCCCTGGGAAAATGCTAATTGCCAATATAGTTACTGGACAAGAAAACATGATGTTATAAATAATGTGTTTATATACAGCTGAAGAAAACTATCCACAAAAATGTTTTACTTAGATAATGGTGATAATTTGACTTGCCCTCTTAAACAAGATATCTAATTCACAAGAAAGCTTCATTATCACTTATATTCTCCTAGGTAGTATGAAGTCTCTAATAGGTGTTTTATCCTTCCATGCATTAAATATTTTGAGCCGGTTGCAGAAGGAGGGTCAGTTTTCCACCTGAAGTTTTGCTTCTAAGTTTAGACTTGGGTCTTTATCATTATGGAACATCACTGCTTCCTGTTAGATTAATCATATTTTGACATAATATTACTTTCCAGTCACAAGTTTCTTCAAAGACTCAGACAACCAGATGAAGAAGGAACTCCTTTGAATTTCGTACTGGCTTTGAATTTCTATCTACTCTTTTAAAAATGTATAACTAGCTTATAAATATTTTATACACTCTGCAACTTTTTACCTTACAGTCTACAGTATTGCTGTAACTCTTATTTTATAAAGTGATGAAGTATTTTGGACTAAATAGTAGTGTCAGTCTTAAATGAAAGGAAATATTTGTCAAGGTTTTTTGTTTATTTGTCTTCAGATAGAAAAAAATGACACATATGTTAAATTCATGATTTTGCTATTTCACATCTATGTTTTACAATTTGTGTGAGCTTTCTCAGTGATTCTGAGGGACTGAGGGACTGGTCTACATTAAAGATTGATAAAAAATGGAAAGATTATCTCATTTGTTTCATATTAAATAGTGACCAAAAGTGTGTTTTGATAAAGGAAGCAAGTAAGCATACACATTTGTTTGAATGGATCACTAATTTAGGATATTACAAATTGATGAGCCCTATTATCCTATTTGTAATTAATTTAAAAGGTTTTCACCAATTATACTAATTATAATTCTTCATGCTAAAACTTTTCATTATAGCCTAGGCTTTAGTGGTTCATTCTGACAATGAAATGAAAGCACATTATAATTTTATTTCTTACACAGTTTCACAAGTGTTTTTAGTGAGATTGCAACTTACTTTAAAAACAACTACATCTCTTGTCTTTTTAGACCTTCTTTAAAGTAAGATAACGTAATGATATTTTTGCAGTTTTAGGAATTTGAGAAAAAACTCATCAGTCCTACTCCCCAAAAGTCTGCTAAGTGATCTGTGCGCTTAAAGCAGATATTTTCTGTTTGTTTTCTATCTTTAATTTACCATAAGGAAATTTCAAGATATTTTTGCTTTATAATTCAGAAATACTTATTTCTAGCCCATCACATTTAAGAATCAATAATAACGCATGTCAGATTCTTTATAATAAATGGCTATATCACATAATTTGAATAACAAATGGGAAAATAAAACTTAGAGAGTGTAACTGGATTGTCTGTAACTCAAAGGCTGAATGCTTGATGGGATGGATATCCCATTCCCCTTTATGTCCTTAATTCACATTGCCTGCTTGTATGAAGACATCTCATGTATCCCATAAGTATATATACCTACTATGTACCCACATAAATTTTTAATATTTTAATTAAAAAAATTATTAAATTGCACTTTAACACTTTCTAACTTATGTGTGAAAAGTTTTCTTCAAATCCTTTTAAACTTAAAATATCACCCTGTCCTTGTGTTTAACATTGAAGATTCCCATTCTAAACTTTGCTATGCAGCTTTTCTTATTAATTCACTATGTTTGTATTCATGATAACTAAAACATCGTTTACATCTGAACTTTTACAGTCTGTCAGATAAAGTGTTTTTACATGTAACTCAACATGCTCCTGGGAGTTAAGATTTTAAAATCACAATGTTCAAAAGTGACAAATGACAGCTTTTAAAGTACCAATCTAACTGGTTGTAACACATCCACAATTGTATATTTTTAGTCTTAATATAAGAAAAAGTTATTAGTTGGTTATATTTACTCTTACCTTTAGAGGCCATGAAGATGTCTGAGTCACTTCTTCAAAGGTTGCCAGGTTGGAAAACAAAGGCTTTTCTTGTTGCAGCAAGGAGAGAAAACGCAGCATGCACAAAACTTCAGAACGTGTTTGTCTGCCTCTTGTCAGCTTACATATAACAGAGGAAGGGAGTCCCTTGCTGTTTCTAGACTTCTGGACTTTATCAGTTTGGACAACAGAGTGAGATGAAACTGTCACAAAAGTAAACGCTGTTCAGAAACCATCATATAACTTTGGTGGCTGAAGGAACAATTTAAAAATAATAAAAACCAGAAAGGAAAGCACACAGCACTCATTTTAAGTGTCTTTTTTTTTTTTACCAAGTTGTTTTTGTATTTCTTAGAATATACACATTTGCATTCAGTCTTATATCAGAAATATCCTGTATTTCTCAATTTCTAGAAGTCTCCTT
Organism: Homo sapiens; assembly: GCF_000001405.40. NCBI lineage: Eukaryota > Metazoa > Chordata > Mammalia > Primates > Hominidae > Homo > Homo sapiens. Next base: position 146,605,642 of record NC_000003.12, read on the forward strand.
TCCAGATTCTGTGATAAAACATCCTATTGTATAAATTTTTGATAGTTCTAAATACAATTCTTTACATGTTGAAAATGTTTGAACATTATTATTGTTATTTTTCTATTGGATTTATCTCCATCTCTTCAACTCAAAATAAATAAGAAGAGGATATATTCCCTACTATTATATAAATAAATCTTTATTTTCATTTTTAATTGAATTTGATTAATCAGAGGCATTGGAATATACAAACCTTCAATAGCCTTGCAAAGCTAATCAAAATTTACAGATGATATTTAACTGCATTGAATTCTAAGGAAAGAAAACAAGTGCTGTAACCTTGACTGGACAGCTCCTATTTCTAAATGCAGCTACCCAGGTGACCATGGAGATTTTGCTCACCAAGTCAATTGCCCTACATGGTATGATTCACAAAGGTTGAACATGCAGGATATATTGCATTATCAGCAACACTGTCTTTTTCTGAAAATAGTTAAGAGGCTTCAGGAGGTATACCTTGTGATGAAAAATTATAAAGTCAACCTCACAGTTTGCAGACTGCCAAAAGTTTGAGTTTTCCTTATTTGACAAAGAGGAGTGGTTTTGTTGTTGTAGTTTTCTTAGTGTTTGGAGTTGAAAAAAGCTACCATTATTTAAGTTGTCGTTTTGCAGAAAAGATGTGTGAATATGATTAATATTTTTAAATTAAACTGTATGTTTCCTAAGTTTTTTCTAATGTTTGTCGTGAGCATTTAGAAAAACTTTAATACAAAAAATTAAGTTATTAACACTATCAAAGAAGATTAAAAAAATTTTTTTTATTATACTCTAAGTTCTACGGTACATGTGCACAACGTGCAGGTTTGTTACATATGTATACATCTGCCATGTTGGTGTGCTGCACCCATTAACTCATCATTTACATTAGGTACATCTCCTAATGCTATCCCTCCCCTCTCCCCCCACCCCACAACAGGCCCCGGTGTGTGATGTTCCCCTTCCTGTGTCCATGTGTTCTCACTGTTCAATTCCCACCTGTGAGTGAGAACATGCGATGTTTGGTTTTCGGTCCTTGCGATAGTTTGCTGAGAATGATGGTTTCCAGCTTCATCCATATCCCTACAAAGGACATGTACTCATCATTTTTTATGGCTGCATAGTATTCCATGGTGCATATGTGCCACATTTTCTTAATCCAGTCTATCATTGTTGGACATTTGGGTTGGTTCCAAGTCTTTGTATTGTGAGTAGTGCGCAATAAACATACGTGTGCATGTGTCTTTGCTCAGCAAAAGGAACTACCATCAGAGTGAACAGGCAACCTACAGGATGGGAGAAAATTTTTGCAATCTACTCATCTGACAAAGGGCTAATGTCCAGAATCTACAAAGAACTCAAACAAATTTACAAGAAAAAAACAAGCAACCCCATCAAAAAGTGGGTGAAGGATATGAACAGACACTTCTCAAAAGAAGACATTTACGCAGCCAACAGACACATGAAAAAATGCTCATCATCACTGGTCATCAGAGAAATGCAAATTGAAACCACAATGAGATATCATCTCACACCAGTTAGAATGGTGATCATTAAAAAGTCAGGAAACAACAGGTGCTGGAGAGGATGTGGAGAAATAAGAACACTTTTACACTGTTGGTGGGACTGTAAACTAGTTCAACCATTGTGGAAGACAGTGTGGCAATTCCTCAGGGATCTAGAACTAGAAATACCATTTGACCCAGCCATCCCATTACTGGGTATATACCTAAAGGAATATAAATCATGCTGCTATCAAACAAGATGTTTTGAAATGTGGTCAGAATTCACCAGTTAATTTTGACTGCCCTACACAGCACAAATTTTGGAATAAAAATAAAAATCTTAGTGAATTAAACATATTTGTGAACTCTCCAAAGACAACCATATATGACTTGGGCATATGATGACATGGGCATATGACTGACTGATGGGATCTTTTAATATTTAATCTGCAGTGGAGGCTTTTCAGATCATCGAACCTGGTAATGCTACTGGTGAGGTATACTCAATGCATTTTTCTTCCCTTATGCACTCTCCCTGTCTTGCCAAAGACAATACCAATGTTTTTTTTCTTTTTAAAGGCTAAGTGTTTGCCAACCTGAGATCTCCCTTTTGTTCATTCCTTTCTTTTTCTCAGCTTTTCTCAAGGAGAGGCTCACAAAACTCTGTTTAATAGGACTCTCACATGTTTCAAGTGTCCTAACACTGTGTGTTCACGCAGCCAGGAGATGCTGCTCCACAAGCTGGCCTCTCTCCTGTTGCTATTGCTGCTGCCATTCAACTTCACCTTCATAGTACTCAGTGCTCTTCTCCTAACACCTGCTGCCTTCCTAGAAGAACGATGGTCATACCATCCTCTTGGCTCTGTGCCATGAAGCCCTTGACCTTTTCAAGAAGCATCAGTTTGACTTTGCCACCAGCCTGCAGTTTTTATGGCCCACTCACTTGATTCCAACCCAAGGTGGGCATGTCTAACACAGTACTGAAGACTTGAGATCACATCGAGGGCATTGCTGTAAGAAACAGGAAACTTGAACACGAATATCAGAAACCATAGGGTGAATGGGCTTTGCCTCTTCCCAGGAAACTCCCTATTGGTCATCGCTCTCTCCTGAGCCACTGGTTTGCTGCTCTGCTGCATGGGCTTGCTCATTTACTCAGGATGATCTGCCTTTCTGGTCCTGTACCTCCTGAAACAAGAGGAGCCTCATATATCCCCCCTTTTCTTCCATTCCAGCCAAAAGGAAATGGAAACAAATTGCACCATAATTGCTGCACAATTACCTTCTGCCCATAGACTATTTTCAGGACATATCACAGGTGTTTCTAAAGAGTTGTCCATTCAATATTACAGTGATGTTCATAACTTTACTCTTTATTTAGTGGCTAGTATTTGACTTACATTTTAATGTCTGAAAGACGCATCAAAATGCTTTCTCTCAGTACAAGGTGAGAGAAATGTCAATTAAATCTATATAGTGACAGAATAGAAATGTTGCCTGTTATAAATCAAAGCAAAGACTAATATTCTCTAGAATGGAAAATGGAGTAAGACATAATCTTACAGTTCTGGGGCAAAACCAAGGACTGGGATGAACTGGCTTTAGAAATACTTTACTGGACTTATGGTTATTCTTCCTCTGGCTTTACTATAAAATGTATGTATCTTAAAAATTATATACATACATACATACATATACAAACATATACATACATACATATATATGCAAATATATGGAGTGAGAGATAATTACTTGTTTTTTGAGTTATATAAATATTATTTTAGGTATAATTCTAAAACAAATTTTATTCTCTTAAGATTATATTCTTTAAAAATTCATGATAATACATAAAATTACATTTATTTTAAATCACTGCATATGTTATTTCATTTTATAAATATAATGAACATAATTGGTGGCCATTGCCCTTTTAATGGGCATTTAAATTGTTTCTATTATGTAAAGCAATTGTCCTTATGCACATTTGTAGCAGCCTTTTGAAGGCATATATTCAGAAATAAAATTTCTGGTTTATGGGGTAGGAAGATCTTCATTTTTACCAGCTAGCACTGAATTGATCTTAAAGTACTTGTGCCAATTTACATTCCAAACGTTAGTGGATAAGAGTTCCTACTGCCACATACCCTTTCCAATACTGGGTTCGTCAGTGTAGTAGAGGATTAACTAGGGGTCTTTCATTTATGAGAAGGCAGCTTTCAGAGGTCTTGATTACATTATAATCTGGGTAACCAGCACTTTTTAAAAAAATCTTTTCTTATATTTCATCGTGTAAGAATAATAGCACATTTTGTGAATAATTGGTTATAAAAGAAGTGGGGAATGGTGTCTAAATGGTTTATACGTTAGTGATAAATAGCTCCTTTCATTCAGTGATGCTACTGGCATGATCTGCTAAAATATGAATCCACATAAGAATTCAACCGTGCAGCACCTAAGGCATGCATTTCTATGCTTAAGTCTTATTGTCCCTGGATTTATAATTTTCCATAGTAAAAAATTCACCGTGGAGCAAGACACTGTATGTGTAAATAAAAAATAATAGAAATAAAACAAATATGGGAATAAATAAATATTATAAATAGTTTTTCCAGAGTCATGTGATTTAAAACTACCATCTTAAATATGAAACACCCAGTTTCTTAATGCAAACTGGATGTTTCTTTTCTGGGAATGTGTTTTTCTATTAGCCAGTTATTCACCTTTTGTAAACCTCCTATCAATGTGCAATTTTTAGTATCTGATTTAAACCTGCCCTTTTTATGGAGTGCCTCATTCATTTATTCATTCAGCAAACATTTACTAACTTTTTACTATGTACATGACATTGTGGAGCATACCGATGTTTAATGATGTGAACTCCACTCTGGGGAATATGTAGTTTAGTGGAGTATCATAATACAAGGATGCAATATTGCAATTTTTTAATTTTTTTAAATTGTAAGTTAATTACTACCTCCAGAAAATAAAATGATATAACTCATCCTCTCTTAAAAGCAAATGAAATTAGAATGAATAATGTATCATTCACATGAGAAATTCATTATTTCACACATACATGTCAGATTTTTCCTTAATCTGTTACTTTAAAACAAGAAAGTAATAACTATTAAGATATTCTTTCTTACATAATGAGGATAATAAACTGGATCACCCTTCTTAGCTTCTAATAAGAGATAATTTTTTTAATCCCCTCTTTTTCTGCCTACCTAAAATTATATTGATCCAATATCCATTCTTTAGAATGAAAGAAAAAGAATCCTGGATACATGGTAGAATCTGTCCGAAACTAAGAAAAAGATAATTCTGGAGCAGATATATCTAGGTCTCCATGTACCAAGATGACATGGAAAAAAACTAATTTGGAGTCCTGTGCACAGACACAACATGGGACAAATGGTATTTCATTATCAGCAGATTGTAAAGCCCAAGGCAGAAGCAAAAGTTTCATCTATAGAAGTTCTTTTTAAATGTTCAGCCTTATACATTTTCTTTGAGCAAGACTCGTGTCTTTGTCTTCTGGCATTTGCATGATTTGTTATGCACAATATGAACTTTTAACAGTTCATAATGGTACTTTCCTCTAAAGAGTCTGAAAACAACAGCAAATATTCTGAGAGGTTCTTGCATGTAAACATTCTAGGCTATATTACAAGAAAACGAGATGGAAATTGCAAGCAGAAAATGGCCCTCTGCAGAGATATGAAATAGCAACGACTATTTATCTAGATATTGTTCAGAGTATATGTTTATGTATGTGTCTGAGAGAGAGAGATGAAGGGAGGGAGGAAGGGGAGAAGAGAAGAATTTGGAGCTATACTAAGTAGATGGAGGGAAGAATTAAGAAGACATTAACAATTTTCAGAGACCCCAATTCTTTCCACCAAGAATTGCTTTACTATTTTTAAAACCTCTTTATTTCTACCATTATTTAAATGATATTTACCTTTGCCTTCGTTCTTGGGTTTTGCTCAATGTAGTCACTTTGTCTTCCCAACATCTGTCTGCATCTTCAGATATCACCAAAATACTGCAACATGCCCTTTGGTGGCTGCAGCCGACAGCCCAGCAGTGCTCTGCATACAACTGCCTTCATTGACAGCAGCCATATCATGCACGGCCAGTGCAGCTGCAATTCAGTGCCAGCAAGGGTGTATAAATTGTTTCTGCAGCACATTTTCTTTGCATTTCCAGCAATGAAAATAAGCTTCTCTGAGGTTGGGTCCCCCAAGAGCAAAGTTTTCTAGAAATTGAGATAATTATTATGTTAAATATACATTAAATATATAGGCAAAACACATTAGAGTTAATTTATGCTTAATAGTGTATGTTTAGTGTTTACTTCTGGTGCTATTTATAGGCTAAATCACTGAGAAAATGTTCCTGCATTTGAAAGCATGCTTTGCTAAGCAGTGGCTAGAAGTGTGGGATGTGTCCTATATACCATGTAGAACCTTGCCTCCCTGAATGAAAGGTTAAAGTTTGGTGGAAAAAGGTCTGTTTGTGCTATTTGTGAATTTTTTTTTCCTTGTTATTGCTTAATGGAGAGAAGCTGCTAATGCAGGTCCTGGCCCATTATCTGCTTTCCTGAAATGCTCATTGAAAGAATGATGGAATAGATGTCACTCTAAGCATCTGGCTTGAGTCTTCCTCCTTAACAATTCTGATACAAATATATATATATGTGTGTATATATATGTGTGTGTGTATATATATATATTTATATACATATATATTCATATATATATTTATATACATATATATTCATATATATATATATATTTTGAGACAGGGTCTCACTCTGTCACTTAGGCTTGAGTGCAGTGGTATGATCAAAACTCGCTGCAACCTCAACTTCCTGGAGTGACTCTCCCACCTCAGCCTTCTGAGTAGCTGGAACTGCGAGTGCACACCACCACTCCCAGGTATTTTTTTTTTTTTTTGAGATGGGGTTTCACTATATTTCTCAGGCTGGTCTCAAACTCTTGGGCTCAAGTAATCCTCCAGCCTCAGCTTCCCAGTGTGCTGGGATTACAGCATGAGTCACCATGCCCTGACCTTGAACTTTGAAAAATAGATAAAAACTATGGTCTTGCTCCTGACTTCAAATTATAGTCATGATTTTATATATACATATTTTATATGTATGCACTACTGCATTTTTGGTATGACCAAAAATATAGACTGCTATAAATTTTGGAAAACATTATTAAGATACTCTTTGCAGAATTAAATAATGATCAAATGGACATGGCAAAAATTTAGGCTTTGAGATTTTTAGCTTACCTCAGATTCATATTCCTACTTACCTTATTTATACACATGATTTATATGAAATTTCTGACCAGGCACTTTGACCCATAGCTCTTAAGAGGTATCCATCAAATGTCAATTCAAAAATATTTATTGAATCTTTTGGAAGTACCACGTACTGTACTATGTTTTGAGGCTAAGAAGATCAAATAAAAAATGCAATGAGTAGTCCAGTGAGAAGCAGCTATACAAACAAATTATGATGCAAAGCAGAACATGTAAAAAGTCCTATAATTAAAGTATGTATAATATAAAGAAGAGGATAACACTCTCTCTGGTATTGGGGCTTTCGAGACTTCTTACGGGACGAGATATCTTACCTCGATTCTGAATAGTACGAGTATTGTGCCAAGTAGAGTAATAAAACACGAGCACTCCAGTCTGAATGAATGGCATCGATAATAAATATAGACATGAAACTGCAGTGGGTTTATTGTACAAATTAAGCAAATTCTTAAAAAGATGCATGTAAAAAGATGCATGTAAATCAATTAAAAATATATTAAATACTCAACTAAATTACTGTTGCCTACCTTATTTATAAAATAATTCATAAATTCCTATTTCACTTTCTGTGAACACTGTTCAAATTCTGCTTTGTTTCAAGTGAAGTACATTCTTGTATAGTTTTTTTTAACTGCCTTCATCATGCCTTTCTCAATTTACTAAATAGATTCCAGTGCATTGCTGTCAGTAGAAATATACTGTAAGCAATGTAGGCAATTTAATATTTTCTAGAAATCACATTGAAAATAAAAAGAAATAGGTTAAATTAATTTAAATAATATATTTTATTTAACCAACTATTTAAAAAATACTTTTATTTCATCATGTGGCCATCAGCACATTTGAAGTGTTCAGTAGCCACATATGACTATTGGCTACTGTATTGAACACTAAAATCCTGGTGTATTGATCCAGCAGCAAAAGACTTGGCTGGTGACAGATAACATGTTGTTTAGTAACCTTATGAGTTTGTTTAAATATAAGTGTTTGAAAATAATTTTGAACTTCAATTTTTAATTTATATTTTAAAAATAAAAGTAACACATTGATATGAAAAACTAACTTTAATTATACTGTAAAATGAGAAATAAAAATTAAAAATATTATCTCTCCCCCTGCCACCAGTTCTTTTCCCCCAAAATAATTACTTTAATTATTGTATATCTATTTTGGGTCAAAAATGTGCTTATAATTATATATGGAATATATATATATTATAATTTCTATGCATATGAAATATTATACAAATTTGTCTGTACACTGCCCAATTCAATAGTAGAGATAAATTAAATAAGATACCATTAAATACTTACTGGAGAGGCAAAAATTAAGAGGACAGACAATACAAAGTGTTAGAAGAACATAAAGCAATATCAGCTCTTATATACTCCTGGCAACTGAGTGTATTTCTACAATAGTTTGGCAATATTTAGTATATCTGAAGAGATACATACTCTGTGTCATAGCAATTCCACTTCTAGGTGTATAGGCTTAAAAACTTGCATAGTTTTACCATGAACACTACATAAAATTATTTGTAGAAGTATTGGTCATTATTACCTCAAATAGAAAACAACCAAAATGTCCATTTACCAAACATGAGATAGTTGCATACCTATATAATGAAATGCTATTCATCAATGAAAATAAATGACCTATGGCTATGTGCATATAACATGGATATTATAGTCATGGTGTCAAATGTAAAAAGCAATTCACAGAAAACTGCTTATAAGTATGATTAAATTTTTATATAATTTGAAATGGCCTAAATCAATGGCATGCCTGTATACTAAAACTATACTTTAAAAAATAAAACAGGCATATGACTAATACAAATATCAGACTGATATTTAGTTACCTTAGTGGGGAGAGAATGATATATGAACAGGGTAGGGACCTAAAATTAGATTCTTAGTTCCTGGAATATTCCAATTCTTAACTGGTGTGGTTTGTAGATTGGTGTTGCCACTTTGGAGTGTAATCTGGCAGTATTTGTGTGTATACAGAGGGTACGTACCTCAGTGAAATTCTTCCATGGGCTCATAGAGGACACTCATGATAGCTAGAGGTAATGAGAAGTTGTAGGCAACTCAGGTGTTCATAACAAAAAAAAATTGATAAAAGTAAAATGTGATGGAGGCCCACTGTAGAATAGCATACAAATATTAGAAATAATGAAGTACATGTGCATACAATTACCTAAGTAGATATTGACAAAAGTGTTTAGTAAAAAAGTAAGAATTCAACAAAGTTCATTCTGTTGCTGGTATCTGACATTCCCTTTTACTTCTTAATGATTTGAGATCCTGGCTTTCTGTCACCATTTGCAACACAAGAATACCTTGTTTTACTGTTGTTTGTAGATACAGTGGTTTTTTGTTGGTTTGTTTTTGTTTTTTGTTTTTCACAAATTAAAGGTTTGTAACCCTGCATCTGGAGCAAGCTCATCAGTGCCATTTTTCTAATAGCATGTGTTCACTTCGTATCCCTTTTTGGAAATTTTGGCAACATTGCAACATTGCAAACATTTTCATTACTATGGTATCTTTTTTGACAATATGTGATCAGTGATCATTGATGTGACTATTGTAATTGTTTTTGTTGAAACACACGAACCATCAACTTATAAAATGGCAAACAATAAATGTGTGTATTCTGACTGCTCCACCGATTGAGTGTTCTCCCATCTCTCTCCACATCCTCAGGCCTTCCTATTCTCGGGGACACAAGCTGAAAACAGGCCAATTAATAACTCTGTAATGGCCTCTAAGTGTTCAAGTGAAAGTAAGAGTCACATGTCTCTCACGTCCAATCAAACTCAGAGATGATTAAGTATACTGAACAAGGCATGTCAAAAGCCATGATAGGTCGAATGCTAGCACCGGTTAGCCAAGTTGTGAATGCCAAGAAAAATTCTTGAAGAAAATTAAGTGAAACAGCATTATTGCTGATATGGAGAAAGTTTTAGTGGTCTGAATAGATCAAATCAGCCACAATATTTCTTTAAATCCAAGCCTAATCCAGTACAAGGTCCTAACTCTTCAATCCTGCAAAGGGTGAGAGATAAGGAAGCTGTAAATAAAAAGTTTGAAGCTAGCAGAAGTTGGTTGATGATGTTTAATGAAAATAGCCATCTCCATAGTTTAATGAAAATAGCCATCTCCATAACATAAGAGTGCAAGGTGAAGCAACAAGTGCTGCTGTAGAAGCTGCAGCAAGTTTTCCCAAAGATGTAGCTAAAATAATAGATGAAGGTGGCTACATCAAAAAATAGATTTTCATTGTATATGAAACAGCTTTTGACTGGAAGAAGACACTAGATAGAAATTTCATACCTAAAGAGGAGAAGTCAATTCTTAGCTTCTGATCTGGGCAAAGTAAATTGAAAGCCTTTTGCAAAAGGTTCACCATTCTATAACAGATGCCATTGAGAGCATGATTTATGGGAGAAGGTCAAAATATCAACATTCGCAGTTGAAGTAAAGAACTCTCATGGATAACTTTGAGGGGTTCAACACTTTGGTGGAGGAAGTGATTACCAATTCTCTTGTGGTGGAAATAACAAGAGAACTAGAATTAGAAGTGAAGACTGAAGATGGGACTGAATTGCTCCAATCTCACAATAAAATCTGATGAATGAGGAGTTGCTTCTTATGGATAAGCAAAGGAAGAGGTTTTTTGAGATGCAATTTACTCCTGGTGAAGATGCTGTGAACATTGTTGAAAAGACATAAACATTTAGAATGTTACATAAAAGTTGGTTGATAAAGCAGCTGGGATTGAGAAGATTGACTTCACTTTTGAAAATTCTACCATGGGTAAAATGCTATCAAACAATATTGCATGCTACAGATAACTCTTTTGAAAAAGGAAGAGTCAATTGATGTGGCAACATTTATTGTTGCATTATTTTAAGAAATTACTACAGCCACCCTAACTTTCAGCAAATAGCACCCTGACCAGTTAGCAGCCATCAACATCAAGGCAAGAACCTCCACCAGCAAAAAGGTTTTGACTGGCCAAATGCTCAGATGATTGTTAGTATTATTTAGCAATAAAATATTTTTAAGTTATGTACATTGTTTTCTAGACATAATGCTATTACATACTTTATAGACTAGAGTATAGTGTAAACATGACTTTTATATGCATTGAGAAACCAAAATTATTTGTGTGACTTGCTTTATTGCAGTGGTCTAGAACTGAACCAGTGATACCTCTAAGGTAGGCCTGTATCACCCTTATCTTAATTGTTAGAAAACTCCATGTACATACAAATGATTCCAACATTTTCATGTCCTGTTACTTTTCTCCAATGATCTTGTCTCTTCTTCTACCTCGGCCTGTTTTAAATAAACATAATTTTATAGCTATAATTTAGATTTGTTGTGACTTGTAAATGCAGTCCTACCATAATATCAAATTCATGTATCCTATTGCCCTATTTTCTTCCTCTACTTCTGGCCCACTCCCTCTGGTACTCCCACTGAAATAAGCTTTTGATGCACCAAGGTCTTTGATCTCACTTATCTTTTGCCTCCTTGATGTCCTCATCCTCTTTGTCACCCAGCCTAAATTCCAGAAAGAATTTTTATAATTTCACTCCGAATATAAGCATATCTTGTTAGATAGTACTTACTTGATCAAAGAAAAAAAGAAAAATCCTGGTTTATTCTGACTTTTCTCCTTTTCCAAGCTTGTGCCTAAACACATATAAAGCAAGCAAAAGAATACTTATTGGTCTCACTTCCATATTTGTAAACCTGAAAATCAAGTGGGCCCTCAATACTTAAGATGTCCATGTCACCCAGTCTCCTAGATGACTATTTCAAACTTCTTTCACAAGAACCCAACACCTCCTATCCTACGCTTGTTCTCAACTGGTGACTTTACATAAATTGAGAAATGGAAGCTATCAGAGGATGACTTTTAAAAACTTCCCCCACCATATCTCCCCACCAGTGTCCAAGCCCACCCACATGTAGTCCGCTTTCCCCCGTGTTTCCCAGGATGATACAGCAGCCTCCTCCCTCCACGTGTGCGCTAGGTCTCATCCTCTCTTTTACACTCAAGGACAGTGCACCAGCAGTTCTCTCTTCTCTCCTACTTCATCAAGTTTTCACTTTCCACATGATCATGTCCATAGTAGGTGTACATATTTATTGGGTACATGAGATGTTTGGATACAGGCATGAAATGTGAAATAATCACATCATGGAGAATGGGGTGTCTATTCCCTGAAGCATTTATCCTTTGAGTTACAATCCAATTACACTCTTTAACTTATTTAAAAATGTACAATTACCTTATTATTGATTATAGTCACCCTGCTGTGCTATCAAATTAGCAGGTACTACTCATTTTTTTCTATTTTTTGTACCCATTAGCCATATCCACCTCTCTCCCTTCTTAAATATGTTTTTTCTTGACTGACTCCCCCTACTTGTTGCTGTCCCTTTCTTTGCTCCACTTTGCAGCAAAACTCTTCAGAAGAGTTTTGTACTTGCAGCCCCTGATTTCTTTCCTCCCATACTCCCTCAACCCACTCCACTCAAGCTTCTGCCTTCACTATTCCACAAATTGCATTTGTTAAAGTTAATAATAATCTCCCTGTCCTTGAGTCCAATGATTAATTTTTGTGTCTCCTCTTGTTTGACCTACTGACAACACCTGACACAGTTGATCACAACCTCCTTCTTGACACACTTTCCTCAATAGGCTTTTAGCATGCCACATATTATTGGTTTTACTGATCATTCTTTCTCAGTCTGTTTTGCTGGCAACGCCTCTTCTTTCAGACATCTATTTTGTAGTGCCTCAGTCTTCTTCCTTAATCCCTTTATCTATATATTCACTTCCTGGGTTATCTCGTCTAGTCTCGTGGCTTTAAATAAACTATACATGTTGACTGTTCCAATTTATATCTCTAGCTCAGGCTTCTGTTTTGCATTCTTTACTTGTATAATAACACTTCAAACTCAACAGGATGAAAACTGAACTCCTAATCTGCTTTACCCACCAAGTCCATGCCAACTGTATCTCTCCAGTTAGGCCAAATCTTGTGGCCATTGGTGACTCCCCTCTTTATCTCATACCTTATATTTTTACTTCTCTGCAGAGTTCATAGAAAAAAAAATCATATACCATATATTTTACATACAGAATCCCTTGGCTCTTCCTTCAAAATACATAAAGACTCCAACCAGTTCTCAGCACTCTACGACTTCCATCCTAGTCCAGTCGTAATATTTTGTTGCCTGTGTTATTGCAGTCATCTCATAAACAAACTTCTCATTTCTGCCCCTGTTCCCTACAGTTAATTCTCAAGATGACAACAAAATAGTTGAAACACACAACATAAAACAATCTTAAAGCTATTTCAAGATACACACCAATACATGCATCAAGTACATTAGTGTAAAGCAATACCTAAATAAGAGATGGTTCTGATAATGTTGAATTAAACAGGTTTGTGATTAACTCAATTTCTAGATCATATGCCCCCCAAAATTTTAAATGTAAAATAAATATAGCTGATTTTTAAAAAACCATCCAATCTGGTAATATACATATTCCAGTAGACAAGTATATAATATGTATATTACTTTTATATTTATTTCAATTTCTGATTTATTTGGGCTTATTTCTACCATCTTATTTTATATGTTGCATATTATTTTCCTGATTCATTTAAAAAAGTCACATTGTCTCCTTTTGAATTGATAAAGTTTTATTAATTCTTCCTCCTTATTTTCTTTTTCTTTCTTGGCTTGGAAGCTAAATGTTTTATTTGTATTCTTTTAGAGCCTCAACCTTACAAACTGATCATGCATATTTAATAAAGTCAAAAGTTGTTTTCCACAATCATATTTCTTAACAACATTTAAGTCTAAGTCTTACATATAGAATTTTTAGAGTTTATCATTAGCCTTTTAACCACAACATTACCATATCATTGGTGGTTATATTTGTCATGATGCTGTGTTTTCATGAAGGGTTCATGGGTTCATATTTTCTTAATTCAGGTGTATCTGAAAATTTCTGTTGCCTTTATACTTGCTTGGCAGATTGGTTGAGTATAGCATTCTTTGTTTACATTTCATGTCCTGTTACACTGTAGACTGTTCTATAGTCTCTGAATATTTATGTGGATGTCTGAAGACAATATGCATTCTCCACCTCATAAATGTCTTGCTTTTACTGCTTACATGACTGAAGAAGTCTATCTTTACCCTTGAATCTCAAGAGGTGGACTACTATATGTTAGATTTTTTTCTTAAGAAACTTTTTTGTCCCATCGATTGTGTTCTCTACTTAGCATACAAGGTTATTCTGGATTTTAGGTTTTACTTTTATTCCCTGCTCTTTGTCTATAGTTTTTTTTTTTTCTAGTTACTTTAATCACTTGGTCTTGTTTCTCTGCATTCACTTTATGGCCGCAAGGCTGTGTTATCTGTTCTACTTATGTTATTTAATATTATCTAGGTTACTTACTTTACCTGTTATTTTCCAATTATTTTTTAGTTCTTTAATACTGTTATTTCCCCTTCAGTTTTGCTCTTAGCTCTGTATTTTCACTTTAATCTGCTATTTTATTATTGTAAACTTAGTATACTGATACCTTGAATGTGTTTTCTGTAAGTTCTTTGCCAAGAAACAGTGCAATATTTTTCTTTATTTCATTAGGTAATATTTTTCTTCTAGAGTTGATTTTTTATTTCATTTTTGTAGTCCATTATTCCTTCCTACCTCCTTGGTCATTCGTCTTCCTCTTTCCTTCCTCTCTTTCTTTTATCTGTTTCTTTCTTTCTTTTTTATTCCTTCCTTTTATAATGGTATATTTGCAGTATTGACATGCTGCTTTCTTTTTTCTATATCATGGTCTTCTAATTGTTATGATGCAGTGTGGGTAAATTTTTCAACCTAATTTAAAATTCACAGAGCTTCAGTTTAACACTGCTATTTCACATTGCATTACTTTTACGTAGCCTAAGACCACAAAGTTTCAAGAGGAGAATTCAACCTAGGTTCTGTGATATTTTATATAAAGGATGTGTTTTCTGTGCTTCTTTTTCCATTTTTTTGTGAAATATATTGTATCAAGTCTCAATATACTAAGTTGGCTGTGCAGCTGCTTCTGTTCTGTGGTGGGCGCTCTTGCATTCAAAATAAAGTGGACCCTGGAGCCCACCTTTGCTCCTGAGGCGGTTAGCCTAGGTAATTCTCTCATCACTTCTTCCCGTAGCCATTTCCACACTGTCTCCTCACACTGGAATGAAACACAAGTAGAAACTGTTGCTTTTGATCACAAAATTTCAAGAATGACTGATCTATTGACTATGAGGTTAGAATTTGAAGGTTTAAGGCACTGCATAGTAGAGGGGACTGAGGTTGGCGTTACGATCCCAGCTAAATCAATGGCCTTTAGTGCACTCATTTCACCTTCTTCCCCTCTCTCAGAGGATTTGCATTTTTTTTTTTTTAATGCTTAGTCTTCAATTGCTTTGCTTTTCCAAGTTAACTCTGGGAAAGATCGTTCAATCCTTCTTCTTCTTCTTCTTCTTTTTCTTTTGAACATTCTTCCTTCTGAGAAAAAGCCCTGAAGATTGTTGAATATTTTTCCTGAGTCTTCTGAGGCTTGGGGGACTAAAGTATATAGAGCTTTGTCCACAATTTTTACCTGGACTGTCTACGCATCTCTTCAAGTTTATGTTTCAAGTTGAAAGAAAATGTTTTAAAATCATGGGATTCAAGGCATGCAGGACATTATTAAAATCATGCAGAATAGTGTTTCCTAATCAGTAGCTTAGGTAGTTTTTCAGTTTTTGTGTTATTTTTGATAGTGCGTACTGCTAGTTACTTGGTGAGAAGAAAAGCAATTTGCAACTAAAATGATGTACCTAAATTATGCAACTAGCTACAGAGATACACCCAACTCTAGTTTTCTAAATGCTCTTCTTACTATGCTTTCTATTACAACATAGTTTTTTGTCTATTAAACTCCATAAAATAATACAGAAATTTAAAAAATATGTATTTTAGTCTGGGTTCATTCACAAGGTAAGTTAAGTAATAGATTTTTAAGCTAATATTTAAAGTAGATTATAAACAATCTAATATACTTTAGCTAGTTAATCAGGAGCAAGAATTTTTGTCTGCAGATTCATACTGTTAAAAATGGAGATATTCTACCCAATATTTTAATGAAGAAGCAAAAGTTTCATTAATTTTCAAAGGTCTGTCTTGTGTCCAACCATCAATATGCTATTATTACTTCCAATGTCTCATTCCTCATGAGAAAAATATGTTTTCTTTTTTTAATCCTCTGTCACTTTCCAAATCATCATTTTTGAGAATATACCAATCAAAGGAAATTGTGATTCTTTGAGTCTTTCAGTGTACTCTTTGTAACCATGGAAACCAAGCCAAACTGTTACCAAGGTTACCTTTCTGAAGCTGTGATTTCATTCTCATTATCAGTTTTTCCTAGGATTAATAAATTCATTGAAAGTTTAACATAAATAATGCTATATTTGTGTATAATATATTGATGACTATATGATTATTTTTAATTATCTTCCATTTAAAATTATATATAACTAGATTTGCAGTTCAAGGTGGAGAAACAAGCACACTCATGATTTTGAGCAATTGATTATCTGAAAACAGAATTAATTTGACCTTAATGCTGAGAATATTTTCCCTTTAGTGGCTTATATTTAGTAGCTTAAGCTTACTTGTACTTTTTTCTTTCATGCAACTTTGTTCTGAAGTATTGTATGCCATTATATTATAAATACTGTTATTGGTCTTCACTTTTTGTAATCCACCTATGAATAAAACCCAAAGGTCTTGGTTATACATAAATAATAGAAGATAAATTATATAAACCTTGAAAACATAACAGCAGTTGTGTATGTGTACACACACACACACACACACACACACATTTATATATATGGAGAAAGAAAGCGTGATTTCCTTAGGTAGCTAACCTATATTGAGAATAAATAGATACTGTTAAATTGATAAATCAGGAATTTGAAGCATTATGTTAGGTTAATCTTATAAGTGTTTCTATGTATTTATAATATTTAGAGAGTTGAATATTTTTAGAGTATTTTAAGATTATTTTCTGACATCTATCCCAAGAAAAATGAGTAAATTGTTAAAAAATACAATGGAACCAGAGTTTGGAGAATGGAATATAAAACTCATATTTTAAAACTTTTATATGGTTTGATATCATGTTTTGAGCATTAGGCACTTTAAACAAATTTAAAATCAAAATATTTCTTTTTTTTTTTGCAATTATCATTTATTAGTTGTGTAATCACAGATAGGCAACTTTAACTTTTTGAAAGCATATACTTTTAGGTTAATTAAATGAAAGAATGGACATGGAAGTAGTTTAAAAACAATATAGCATTAATAAATACAAAGTGGGAAAAACACAACTAGAGTGACACTTTGTTAAAAAAATCAAAATATTTCTTGTTCTGCAATCTGTAGTGGCATTTCTCACAGAAAAAGGGAGTGTCTAGGAATTTTTATTTCTCTCCTAATTGAAGATGAACATAAGCATATCTGCTAGATTTTCTACTGTACTTTTATTTATTTATTTATTTATTTATTTATTTATTTATTTATTTATTTTAAGACGGAGTCTCGCTCTGTCGCCCAGGCTGGAGTGCAGTGGCGCCATCTCGGCTCACTGCAAGCTCCACCTCCCGGGTTCACACCATTCTCCTGCCTCAGCCTCTGGAGTAGCTGGGACTACAGGCGCCCGCCCCCACGCCCGGCTAATTTTTTGTACTTTTTTTAGTAGATACGGGGTTTCACTGCGTTAACCAGGGTGGTCTTGATCTCCTTACCTCGTGATCCGACCGCCTCGGCCTCCCAAAGTGCTGAGATTATAGGCGTGAGCCACCGCGCCCGGCCTCTATACTTCTTTTTAGATTGTCCCCTTGCTTCCTTTTTCCTGTTAGGGAGATGCAGAGGCATATATCAGTGGAACTGAGATTCTGAATGTGGAGCATGAGCACAAGGAAGGGCTAGTCATGCAATGCCTGAGTGTGCATGAGGAAGGGACCTCCTACAGTCAGGGTACCAATAGAAACTCGATGACACCTTCAAAACGGAAGAAGATCCAGAATGCTCATTTGCAAAGGCATTATTTATAAATCTGTGAGTGTGGGACAAAAGACAAATACCCCTTAGTCTATTAGTCAGTCCTAAAGAGAAATATATGAATTAAAACAAGAATCCAGAAGAATAGAGTCACAGAGGTTGGCTGTCTTGAGAGGGATTGAGACAGGGAAATAGCTACTCTGACCTCACTGTCCTCCCACCTTCCCAATCTCCCGGCTCTTCACTGACTAAATGCCAACAAGAAGACAGAGGACATGAAAATTTTGTTTTGTAGGACAAAGAAGTCAACTTCCCTGGGCAGAGAGCAGGGTGGGGATGGGTGGAGACGGACAGAGAGTGGGTGTCTGGGGCTAAAATAAAGATCTGTCATGGAATCCCTACATTGAGACCCTTTTCTGGTTTTGTTAGAACTGAGATGTTACTTTTGTCTGTCATAAAAATCACTGGAATCAATGATTTTTGCCCTGTGTGCAATTGAGTGGCCTTCTCATAGATAATATGACGTTGTATACTGCACAACTTACAAAGCCATGCCTCATGTGTGAGCAAAAATTCAGAATTAGGAACATAGCATGACTCCATGAGTGATGTCTTTTGCTTAAAATGCCCCCTCTAACCAGTAAAATGGAGCTACTGTGATTTTAAAATTTATTACATCACCAGGGTCACACTGATAGAATTCAGAAGTGGGAAACCAGTCCCATCAAAGTGTAGCAGGTCCTAAAAGCCATTATTGGGAAATTCCTTCAAATTCATTCCATTTTCTACAGCCCTTGTTTAGAATATGTATACCCATGGTTTGGGAAACACAACAAAATAATTCTTATTAGAGAATAATGACTTTAAATAATATTTTTTTCTTAAAAAATAAGCCTAGGGTGTATCTCTACATCCCTTGTTTCATGTGAGAAAGGGAATACTTGAAGAAGGAAAACGGAAGGAAGAAAATTCACATACGCTTCACATATTTTGCATCAGATGCTACAATAAGGGATTGCGTGCACACACACACACACACACAGAGACACACACACAGATTTAATTACAGCGAATTGATATGGTGAGTAATTTTCTCTTAATTTCACAAATGCTGTGTATGTTTTCTACAAAATTTGGTTCCAGCCATGTTTGTTGATTGTTTTTCAGTTGAAGGTGATTATGAGCCATAAAATAACCCAAATTAGAAAAGGAAAGAAAGGTGATAAAGTAACAAACCAGATCAATGAATTTTAAAATGTGTCTTGAGAAAACCTCAGGTCCCAAGAAGAGGTCTCTTGGACAGCTGTGTGTATGAGGGTCAGTACAAGATTGGGGGCTTCGGTGAGGCTGAGCAGGTGGGATTCTGGTTTCCCATTTCCTCTTTTTTAATCAGGAAGTTTTGATTTTATCTCAAAATTTTCTTTAAAACAATTGGCCTAGAAAGTCTAAAAATTTTGTGATCAATTACTTCATGTTCACTCAAAATTCCTCTAATATACCAGTGGAATAAGGCTTTCAAATATTACACTTAAGTAGAAATAAAGTAATATTCAGGTTGCTATTCACAAAAAACTCAGTATTACCTATTTTGCTCCACAAACAAAGGTCCATTAAGTCATTGAAAGCCAGATAGTTTATTAAACAAATATGCGATCCCACATGAGCAGTTCCTTCAGAAAGTGAAAGTGAGAAAAGGAGTACCATGTGACCTCTCAGGCTAAAGATTATTTTCATGTTCTTGTTTAAAATCTGGCATTTATCTGTTTTAGGGAGTTCTCTTATTGTCTTCTTACTCTTATCAAGATAATATTCAATTAGTAAGCAAGCATAATTTGTCCATTTACTGTATAAATATTGCATTTTCATGTTGATACTGAATCTAGAAGCAATCTGTAATTTTTTCCAGGCAGGCGGAGGTATGAAACCTGCCTATCAAGTAACACAGAATGCCTTAAGTGGCTCTGCCACCAAGATATCTTGATAAAAGAGTGAGGGAATTATAGTCCCTCTGTTGTGCTATCACACACCAGGTCTTATTCTTTCTATTTTTTTTGTACACATATAGAGTGTACAAAAGAGTATAATTGGATTGTTTGTAACACAAAGGAGGTAATGGATATTGCATCGCATGCCTGTATCAAATATCTTATATAACTCATAAATATATAAGCCTACTATGTACCCACAAAAATTAAAAACAAAAATTTAAAAATAAAAGAGAAATAAGACATCAAAAAATTTTTAAAAAAAGAGTGAGAGGAAAATAATTCAAGATAGATTTATCTTTCATTTATAACTGAAATAGGATTTCCAAAGCAGGAGACCATAGGGAATCTCCCAGAAGCCCACCACACTCCTCCTCCTTATTGGCATGCTAGAGGAAAGCAAAGGGTCCGATGATCTTCCAGTTTAAATCAATGAAGAAAAACAAACTATATCTGAGAGTTTTCCATTTTAAAAATTATTATATATAGGAAAAAAGGAATACATAAATTTTCATCTAATTCATTTGGACTGTTTCAATTTATTTACATTTGGATATATTAGTGTACAAAAGAACTCAAGAAGAAAACCCATTGTTTAGTCAAGTAAAACAAACAAAACAATGGCAAGGAAGAAATGTGAAGATTATAGTAGGATCTGGCTAGGATTTGGTTGCAAGTATTTGTAGATAAGGAAATTGAAGCAAGGGCTTACACATCATCTCTATTTAATTTTTCCCTTATATTTTACCTTCTTTATAACCAAGAAGAATCTGAGAAATGTTACATTAGCTTTGGAAGTGGTTCCACAGAAGACTAATTAAAATAGAAGAAGTAGATAGTGCTACGGAGTTTTAAGGGAGGTCCAGGGCTTATCTGCTATATCTCATTAACCTCAGACACATTTTATAAGTAATTTGGACAGATAAACATAGAGGAAGGGTGGTTCCATAAACTATTTCTAGTAATTCATTGTAATGTTTTCTTGACCTCCCGTTCCCGGCACGAAGATCATAAATCTGTGTGGAATTCTTTGCTCAGGATTTACATATTATATGGCAGAAAATGTGAAGGAATATTTTCCTATTTTGCAGCTCTGCAATGTCAAACCCTTTGTTTCTTTCATTTGAGTAGAAGCTTCCTAAAACGTGTCAATATTTGCCTTGTCAACTTTCTCTCCCCACCCACCACCCACCATTCTCTACTGACACAAGTGCAATCTGCTTCCGCTCGCTGTTTCAAAGGCCTATCGCATCTCTGAAACTGCTGTTTCCAAGGTAACATATGGCCCTCTGGTTGCCAAACCTAAATATGCTTTGAAATCCTTACTCACTTGACCTCTCTTGGCATTGATGGTTAACAACTCCCTTGTTTCAAAACACTTTCCCTCTTTGGCTTATTTGATAGTGTTTCCCCCTAGTTTTGCTTTTATGACACTGAGGGCTTTCTTGTTTTTACCTAACTTTTAATTTTGGTGTTATCTGTGCTTCATCCTTGATCCTCTTTTTTAATTTTCTCATTCTATACCCCCCCCTGAACAATTGTATCTACATGCTGGCTCTAATCTCTGTCAACTCAAAAATCTATAATATTACCTCATACGTCTCTTCTGGTCTTCAGATTTCTATAAAAATTTTTATAAAATGTAAAAATAATTATCCATATTGATTATTCAAAAAACTCGGATGGTCTATAAATCGTACACACACATACACACACACACACACACACACCATCACCACCACCAATTCCATTGTTAATCGGATTTTTAACAATAATACATCTCTGTTATAGCCTTTCTATGGACCTGTCATGGTCCTGGACAAAGTACTTAGAATCAAATGAAATACACACATGACCTTTTAGGAGCTCTAAGTCCAGAGACCCTCAGCTCTCTCTTAGATCTATTTCTCAGAGGCTACCAGGCCAATTTGTCCTTCCCCAGCAAAGCTTTTGTTATGCTATGCTATATCCAACTATTTCCTTATGTTAGTTTCTGTCAAAAGGACAGAAATTTCCCCTATCTTGTTTCTTTCATTCTAACTCAATAAAGGTTTTTGAATGAATTTTCCCAAGTGCCACATACTCACTGTCTTAGTGTGTTTGGGTTGCCAAAACAAATACCATAAACTCGGAAGCTGATAAACAACAAAAATTTATTTCTCACAGTTCTGGAGGCTGAGATATCCAAGATCAGGGCACTGGAAGATTTGATGTCTGGACACTAATCCCATCCATGAGACCTTCATCCTCATGACCTAATCATCTCCCAGAGATCCTTCCTCCAAATACCATCATCTTGGGGGTTAGGATGTTAATATATGAATTTGGAAGACAGAGGACTCAAACATTCGGATCATAGCACCCATGTGACTATTATATACACTTGATGTAAAAGGAAAATTCTTGCTATCCCTCAATGAAATGAGTTTTATATTTATACTTTGGCAATTGTTCTCTGAGCAGGCCAAGAACATTCTATTTAGCCATTCATAGTATGTGCTTGATATTTATGAACCAAATCAAGGGACTCATGTAATGCAGGTGACTTGATAAACATGTGGCCTATATGACCACAGACTTTTAAATGTAGCTTCAGATGTTAAAGAATTACTAACTTCGGAAATCATCTGGAATTTGTGTGTGTGTGTGTGTGTGTGTGTGTGTGATTCTAGCTAGGATATAAAAGAAATGATATAGATTTTATTGAATCCTTTTATTTAAAAATTCTTACCATGTATTTTTATTGACCTTAGTATTACAATGAAAAGCCTTGTTTATTGATATTAGCTTATGCATCATAGTGAAAATATTGATCATAAGATTTTTAATTATGCTAAAGTAAGGATATTTTGTGAAAACTCTGAAATTATATAGAAATATTGGTGTATGTATATAATTTTTTTTTTTTTTTGGTTAATGCTCAGTAGCTTTTATCAGATTCTCAAAGGGGTCTGTGTTTCCCAAATGTTAAGAACCAAAGCCACAATACACTTTTGCTCTGTATTATATTTTACAATTATTACTGAGAAAGAAGAATTTTCAGAGAAAATGCCAAATGAATAAGCCAAAATATCTTTTTTGTTCTTTAAATTTACACTACACAGAAATGCAAGCTCTCTTGATGTTGACCCTACAAGGGCATTTCTATTTGTATCTGAATAGATTTATATCCAAATTTGGAGAGAAGCCCATGTTCCATTACCATGCAAACCACAACATGCTTGAGATTGCTA
Source organism: Homo sapiens (assembly GCF_000001405.40). NCBI lineage: Eukaryota > Metazoa > Chordata > Mammalia > Primates > Hominidae > Homo > Homo sapiens. The sequence continues at coordinate 146,628,853 of NC_000003.12, forward strand.
ATTAGGGTACAAATTGTGGTGGTATTTCTGGTGACCTGGACATGTGTTCAATAGAAACAGAAATGAGCCCCTCAACTCATTTCACATAGGCCAGAAAACATCTGCCAGATGGTTATAGCTTTCAGTAACTATTAAACAGGATCACATTTGAACAAATGACTTAGATATATAGTGTTTGAGAGCTTACTCTAAAATTTCTAACATATCCATAGAGATTAGTCTTAATGAAAAACTACATTAATCTACCTCATACATTGTAACTAGCCTAAAATGAATAATTCCTTCTCATTTTAGCCAAAATCAAACTAAAAATGCCTTTATACATTTTTGTATAATGCTGACAAAACATCTGGGAGATTTATTGATGTAAGGGTATCTATTAGGACATCAAAATTAATTTCAATTCCCTGAGGTATCTCATTTTAATTAACAAATCCGTGATCCTGTTCTATTAATTAGCATGTTGAAGGAATAAGTTTGAGATGAATTTAATTCTAACAAAGCATTTATCTTCTATAATAATAAAAAGGACATTAACAATCTCAGTCTAATTTGTTTTATACTTTTAATAACAGTCTTGAAATTCCATTCAGAAAAGCAATATAAGTAATATCTATTATTTTTAATTTAAAGCTTTATTTTGGGTGTGCATACTTTTTAAAACCATCATTATTAGGGGCACCATAGTTCTAACATTATACATTTTAAATATTACTAATGTGAATACAAGTTCATTAAGCATGTTATATTATTAAATTCTCAATTGTGTATAACCTATATATTTATTTCACTCTGAGATAGTTTTTTTTTTTTGATGTGCCACTGAGTATGACAGAAAACAGGTAGAATCTATGAATAATTCCCTGGTCTGACCAAACATTTAATTTCTGCATACTTATATATTTTATCCTAGATTACTGTTATTGGTATGTCCTTGTATTTGTCTTAAATACAGCTAAAACATTTTAGGCAGTAACATAATAACAAATTAAATTAATAGTGCATCTGATAGCATATTGAAAGTTCTAATATAATGGAAAATATTGAACAATTTCAAATAACTTTGTCTTATGTCAAGCCACAAACAATGGCTTCAGATGGTATTAGAGTATTAGAGGAACTGGGCTATATAAACCTAAATGGCATAATTCTGAAACTACTCATTGAACTTTTCCATTCTCATATCTGTTTTGTTGCCAGTAGGATGCCTTTAAATAAAAAGGCATCATAGAGTTGCTCTCAAAAAAAAACCTCTGATATTCAATTAATATACAATACAAAAAATCAAGATTTTTATATGGTTTCAATTTTTGACTCTGTCATAGTTATAACCTATACTGTATGTTGTCACAGTTAAAGAGACTGATAACAAATATTTTAGGTTTTGTGGGCCAGCCAAGAGGCAAAATCAAGAATGTTTTATGGGTCTTTTTGTAACAAATGGGAAAATAGGTTTCTACAAATCTTATTTATGAAATTATAAAACATAAAAATTGGAGATAATTTTGGGGAATCCAAGGCTACTAATTAGGAAGATGGGATTATCTTTTAGAAATACTATGTCATTTAATTGGGGTTCAAAATTAGAGTTTTCTATGATCAAATTAAATTGCAAGTGTTCAACTGTTAATGCTGATCTGTAATGAGATTTTCTATATTTAATCTTTGAAAATATCTTCACACAGACAGGTACTGCCAAATACTGATATTAACTCAACAGCATATAGAAAGCACTTAAAGAATTATGATATATTCTTCTCTAGATACTGCCTTTTAGTATGTCACCGCATTTCAGATTATTTACTTAAAATTGAAGGTTAGATAGAACCTCCTTCCATTTTAAAATATGGAAATATCCCTTGAACTTAGAATGCAAGTCAGGATATTCAGCTTTTATTTCTTATCCAAGTTCACGAAATTAATGATGATTGTATCCACGAGAGCCAATGAGGATCACTGTTGACACTCTTGGTAGTGGCTTACCTAATATAAAACCTTTTATTCTCGTTGTGTTTATTGACAGTAAGTCACTGAGTTAGTTCGGGTCCTCTAAGAAGCAGACACTAAGATAGAATTTGACATGCAAGAAATGTATTGGGGAAAATATTTGTAAGGGACAAGTGTAAAAGAGCTGGAGGAGATGGGGAATTCTTTGGACAATACACAATGCTGTTCTGACCCACATGAATAAAAGAAGAAATGAGTGTCTGCAGTGTAGTTTGTAAAAAGTTTTGGTCAAGCCAATGGGGAGCCCTTGAGCCAAAGCCACCCATCAGAGGCATTTCTGCTGTGCTCAAGTGTGGCCTCAGCATAATAATGTTGGCAGATTTGGGTGCAACAGTTATGGCTGTCAGTCAATTACAGTCCCTTTAGCAAGAGGTCTGAGTGGTACATTTTCATGGCTGCCATAGTCCACCATTTCCTCCAAATAGATTTACTTCTCCGCCCTGGTTTGGGAGAAGTTGCATCTTTGTTTCCAGGGGTCTTTCCTCCTACAGCCCCAGTCACTGCAGGGGATCTTGGGCTGCAATTGGTGCTTACTTGTTTCTATCTACAAAATCCATTCTAAATCCCTGTGCTCAGCTATCACATCAGTAAATATTGATTGATTCCCTGGTGGTGTGATTCAAACTTTCATTCCTGAGGATCTGAATGCTTGATGAATATACCCTACTCAGGCCTGGGTTGCTGCATGTTCAATGGGCAAGGGAGTACCAGGAGGTGCTCATGTGAATAATTTGAGTTCCATGTGTTTCTCCTTGTCCCCATTGCAGAACAAACAAACTAATAAACAAACACACCCCTATCTTCACCTGTTGCTCAGGGTCAATTATTTTTGTTAGTACGTTGATTACTATTCTCATTATTTAGTCCCTGGATATAAGGAGCCTTGGAAGACATGGTGTTCTGGGGCAGTTGTAGCTTATAATTTAATAAGACCCTTGCTGTTTTACTAGGTAAGAGGATACTCTTTTTGGATTGCATGACCCCCATTCCTGTACAGCCCAGTATTGTAGAGATGAGCAACACAAAATTCCCCAGTGAGTAATTGGGAGCGATGATAAGTAGGGTCACTGTTGTGTATGTCCTTTAGTTCTTGAATCCATGTATTTTTACTATTGAGGACAAAATACCATACCAAGTTCTCTGTTTTAATTCATATAAAACATACCAAAGAATGACATCTCATCTTTTCAGAGAATTACCTTTGGGCTGGTACTAAATCTCTGCCTTTAAAAAGTTGTTCCAGCCTTTGATAAAACCAGCTGCTTCTGGATGTTAGGTGTGTGATTTAACCTGTAGATTCCATGGTCATAGGCTCACTCTTATACCTCTGCTCTGTAGAACCCCTGCTCAGATGCTATGCTATGTGAAATTCTTGCTATGTGAAATTCTTGCTTTTAGATTAGAAATTCCATAAATTCTTATAAAGTGACTGATTGAAACGGTGTGGGTAAAAATGGCAAAATCAAACCTAGAACAGGCATATATCCCTCTAAGAGAAATGTACTGATGACCTTTCCAGTATGGGAGGGGCCAAGTGGTTGGTTGCTCTCCCCAACTAATAAGGACATATTGATGTCAAGAACTGTGAAGGATCTGACATTTTACCTAATTTGTCAGTAATTAATTTGTCTGCCATCGTTTCATTGATTTTGGAAGAAAAAATGAGACTCTTGGATAGGAGACAATGTGCCAGTTAATACTTAAAGGAAATGCATTAGTCAGAGGATCATTTTTTAAAAATTAATATTATTTTCAACTGACAAATCATAATTGTATTACATTTATGGAGTACCATGTGATGTTTTGATACATGTATACAATGTGGAATGATTAAACTGAACTAATTAACATATCCATCATCTCATTTAAGATTTCTTGTGTTGATATATTTGAAATTTACTCTCTTAGCTATTTTGAAATATACAATATTTTACTACTGAGTATAGATACCCAACTGTGCAATAAATCTCAAAACTTATCCCTCCAGTATAGCAGAAACATTGCACCCTTTGACCAACAACTCCCCATTCCCTTGTTCACCACCTGAACCCCCAGCCTCTGGTAAATCTCGTCTTCTAAAAGTAATCATCATTTTTGTTCTGGTTTCCCCAGCTCCAAATCCCAAAGAGGTTTGTGAAAAGGAATACATATGCAGTAAGCTAAACTAAGGGGCAATTTTAGGGAACACAGATATTTTATATGACAAGTAACTTGCATTTTTTCCCTAGAGGGAGGAGTAATTATTTTACTAGTGAACAAACCTGCCCTTTCCTCCAATGAAAGACAAGATCTGTCTTTCAAGGTTGTTTGCTATAAAAACACCCTTGAAAAGATGGTTCTGAAGAAAACCAGAGCCACTGCAGACATGCAGACATGTGAGAGACACATGGAGAATTGTTTTTCAACAATCAGGTGCACAATTGGTCTCTGTTGTTGAACGAGTTACACATTCAGAAACAGGAATAGCTTTGCAGAACTTGATAAGTGGACGTCCATGCTCATGGGTCCCTATGTAGTGTCCGTCTTTGCTATTATGACTATTACTTTAATGTACCCTCTGTGACAGATCTGGGGTTGTTGATGATGACATACGCTAAAGTCAATTAGTCAAGTAATTTTGACTACTTGTTTTTCCAGTCCCTTTCCATGGTGTATGATTTGTGGTGGGCATTAAAGTTGCCACAAAAATATACATACTTTCTGCCCACTCCATATAGCCAGACATGTAACTCTGCCCCATAACTTTTTGTCTCAGTCCTTTCCTTCTAGTTCCTTGACCAGAAGCCCAGGCCACTGGCTACTGCCAAGGAATCTGTTTATATTCTCTCCACCAGAAGTGGACTCTGTGTCACTTCTTCACAAAATAGATGAACAGGAACACTGCTTGCAGCTCAGCATGTTGGAAAGTTTTCCATCTGTAATATCTTCAAGGCTGCACCTGAATATGACTGCAATGTAGTACATGTTCATTTTATGTTGATATCCTAAGCTAACCCATTAATAAACCAAATCCCAGCTTTTTTCTCCTCCTTCAGCTGGTCATATGCCACCACACTGTGCAGCCATAGTGTACTTATGGAGATATACACAGATACTGTGGACAATGAAATTAGCCACAGTAGCTACTGAAGATTAGTAGGAAGATAAATAAAAGACTTGGGTCTCAGCCAAATCATATCAGAGGTTCTGAAAAACTAAATAATTTTTAGCGGTCTAATTGACCACAAAATGATTTTAGATTTATATCTTTGTATACATATAGAAATTACTCTGCATATTTCTTAAACAGCTTATAACTTATATAGAACTTTTGATATGCTCTAAATATATTAGATAAATATATGTATTTGGATTAGGCAATATATTATAATATCAAAGTTTATTTTGAGCTTTTATTCTTGGAAACCTATTTTGAAGTATCTTACAAACTTTGTGTATATCAATCTGCTCTCCTAGGAAATGATTTCAAATTGTAGGCTTCAGGATAAGCAAAGAACATACTTCAAAAATAAAAATTATCTTCCTACCAGACAACTGCTTTTGCAATTCGTGCAATAGCCACCTTCCTGGTCCTCTTTTCTTCAGTTCACACAGACCTAGGCAAAATTACACCATGTCAGTTTTCTGCTTGGAACTCTTCAATGGCTTATGGATGCCCTTGGACCATCATTCTCAGCAAACTATCGCAAGGACAAAAAACCAAACACCACATGTTCCCACTCATAGGTGGGAATTGAGCAATGAGAACACATGGACACAGGACAGGGAACATCACACAACGGGGCTTGTTGTGGGGTGGGGGGGGTGGGGTGAGGGGGGAGGGATAGCATTAGGAGATATACCTAATGCTAAAAGACAAGTTAATGGGTGCAGCACACCAACATGCACATGTATACATATGTAACAAACCTGCACATTGTGCACATGTAACCTAAAACTTAAAGTATAATAAATTAAAAAAAAGACGTGGAAAAAAAAATGTCAAAACTTTTTACTGACCTTCTAAGCCTTATAAGTTTTGTTCCATTCTTAGCTCCCAGGCTCATCTTCCTCCCTTCTCCAAGTTTCTGTCTTAACTCCAACAACTATTGGTAATGGCAAAAACTGGAAATAACCAAATATACATCAACAAGGAATAATTTGAATTAATTATGGTATATCCACACAATGGAGTTCTATGGAAAACTTCACCACTTTGTCTGTATGTGTGTGTGTATATATATAATATTTGTATATATAATATGTTATATATAATATATGTATATATAACATGCTGTATATAATATATGTATATATAATATGCTATATATAATATATGCATATATTATATACTTATATATACTATATATTATATCAAGTACATATATGTGTATTACATATGTATATATAACATACTATATATTTATATTATATATACGTATATTATATATGTACATACAACATACTATATATGTATATATCATATATGATATATGTATATATCATATATGATATATGTATATATCATATACTATATGTGTATATATATCATATATTATATATGTATATATCATATACTATATATATTCTACATATACTATATATGTATAAATTGTATATTATATATACATATATAACATACTTTGTATGTATAAATTGTATATTATATATACATAATAACATACTATATATGTATAAATTGTATATTATATATACATATATAATATACTATATATGTATAAATTGTATATTATATATACATATAATATACTATATATGTATAAATTGTATATTATATATATATAATATACTATATATGTATAAATTGTATATTATATATACATATATAATATATATTTAATAATATATACATATTTAATTATATATACATATATAATATACAATATATGAATATATTATATATACACATATAATATACAATATATGAATATATTATATATACACATATAATATACAATATATGAATATATTATATATACACACATATGGATATGCATTATGTGTGTAAATATTATATGTCATATATATTATGGGTGTGTATTCAAATGCAACCACAAAATAATAGTTACCTATAGGAGAAGAGGAAACAGAGTGCAGGAGCAGGACAGAAGGGACAGGATATCAGCTAGATGTCATTGAATATATTTTGTTTTGTAGATTTGGCTTTTCAATCATCTACTTGTTTCCATGACTGTAACACTAATTTAAATTTAAAAGATTCAATGCTGAAAAGCCAAACTCAAAATACAATAAGTCTAACTAAATATTATTGGTTGCATAACCACACAGAAAATAGAAAAGTTATTCTATTCCTGATGACTTAGACTCTCCTTGAATTCATTTATTTTATAATAGGTCAAACTTCTTTTTGCTTTCTGCTGGATCCTTTTTGCAAACATTTCATGTCCCGCTACTTGGGGACCTCCCTGGGTCAATGTGGCTTATAAGGAGTATACATACACATGCTTGCCCATCTCACACCCATCATTTATATATCAAGATGCCTCCTGTTGCATTTTTAATTTTCACACATTTCCAGTTGAGAATCAGGCACTGACTCTAGCAACCCATGAACTCCCAGAATCTGAGATCAAGTTTTCCAAGTGATAGGGTTGAAGCTCTCTTGTTGTTTTGAGGTGACTAGGAAGCACATTTCCCCCCTTTCTATAGAGCTGGAAAATAGCAGGGGTCTCTGACAATTCTCTCCAAAAACCTGTTCTCTCAAAGTCATCCAAGAATCACTCTCCCCTCTGCCTCTTATACAGCCTTGTGGTAGGTGGTGGGCTAAGGTGTCTGACTATTTTAGGGTCATCATTTAGCAAGTCCAACACAGCTTCTCTGATCTCTCTTTTAAACATGGGAAGAAGTATCCTCTTTTGTTCTCAGCTTTGGAGTTTCAACTGATAGTAAAGGTGCAGGAATTGCAGGCCTGATGGTTGAACAGCTCTGGACAAATTTCGACAGCCATCACAGCAGACTAGACCACAGACCTTTGGTAAACTACCAGACTGCCAGCACTTGACCACTCAGCCACCTTTAAGAATAAGCATCCAAAAGAGTACTTCATGCATTTGAATGGTGATAAAGCCAGATGTTCTCCTTATGTAAAAGAACCAATGAAAGGTAATACAGATTTGAGCAGAATGACATGGAGACTTTCCTTATTGTACGTGAAACACACATCCTAGAGTTAACAGAGTAGAGAGAGATGGAAAATGCCTGATCGTCAATTTAACTATTGATGGGAAATACATAATGTCTATAACTTAAAAAAGTCAAGACTTTATATACCCTTGTGGTATGTATGAAAAAGCACATAAATTAAAAATGCAAAGTAAATTACAACAAAATGGTAAAAAATTAAAAATCACTCTCACTGGGGATTAGAAAATAGGAGTTCTTTGATAATTCAGCAGAGTAAGTAATTTAATTTGTAGAATAAGCATCCTTCTCTTTTTAAAATAATTTGTATAGCATTTTTTCTTTTGTGAAGTGATCAGCATCATCTTGATCTTAAATTTGCATAATGAAATAAATCTAAAACAACTGAAAAAAATGTAATTAGAATATGAATCTGCTCTAAGTGTAATCATGACTGTGATAAGTAAATATTTGATTTAAAAACTTTAGTTAACTATTTTTGAGGCAAATATTATGTGAAGAAATAGTAGATGCAATGGAAGAATAAAAAAAATTAAAACAGCATGACCAGTGTTCATTACATGCAAATGTCTGAACCTGTTGGACCTCAAACCCTGTATACAATGCCCCTCAAAATGCATGTTTACCTCAAGTGGGCTCTTTATTATCTTTAAATGCACTGTTAGAAACTAGCCTTATTCGACACAGTCTAGGGTAAGGCACAAGAAAGTTTAACTAGAATAGGTAATTGATTTTATGTCTAAATTATCAGAAAGTACATAATGTATGTATACGCTATGTATCAAAAAATACATAGTGTACACATATACCAGAGCTAAGAATATTTGCTACTTTGAAAGTGAAATATTTTCTTCATGTTCATTTTTTCAAAGGGATGTGGATTTTAGCTATGTCTATATTATAAAAAAGTATGCTCAGGAGTTGAAGGTAACTTTTTGTTGCGGAAAAAAACAAACCCTCAAAAGACTTCAAAGGGAAGTCTTTTTAAAACGAAACAAAAACATATTGACTCAGAGTTGGGATGGTAAATATTAGGTATGAATGTTAAGTAATTTAGGTTGGATGGTGTATTTATTCAGTGAGGGAGTTGAGATTGTGGTTGACTTCCCAACATCTGTGCATTCCTCACATACATGTAGGTGTCATGCGACTTACCAAATTGTCCCCAAATCCAACAGGAGATACTTGAGGGTTCCCAGGAAATCCTGAAATTCCTGCTCCTCTTGTCAGTTTTCAGAAACTTAGGTATATGGCAGCCAGTGCATTGCATTCCCCTGGTGACATTACTGGGCATATAACCAAATTGGCCAAGTTAGTCCAATAGAATGAAATTTTGGTGTGTTGTTAGGGCAGAGGTGTTTTCTTTCTCTTGAACTAGTTAGGAACAAGAAAATATGTGGCTTTGGTTGGTGCTGGTAACTATCTTAAAGCCATGCGGCTTGGAACTGCCTTAAACTGAAGCTGCTAATGGCAGAATGGTGACACCAAAAGAGCTGGTACTTAATGACAGAGTAGAACAGACAGATTATTCAACCCTAGACTATCTAATATATAGGCCCCAAATTTCCTTTTTGTTTAGGCCATTTTGAACTGACTTCTGTGTAAAATGTAGCTGAAATTATCCTAACAGATCTATAATTAGGGCAAAAGTTCGGATCCCTGATATGTAAGTGTCCAAGAACAGGTAGCTAATATTTATTACACTAAAATAAATACTTAAATTATTTTTTACTTACTTTTTTTTGCTTTTTCTTTAGATACACTAATAAAGCATTTAGTTAAGTGCCTAGCACAATGTAAATGTGTGTTTAATAAAAAGTATCTATACAATTAAAAACAGAAACTATAAATATTCATAATTTTAAAATTAAGAGGAGAAATTTTCAGAACAGAGCCACCTAGTGGGAAGAAGAATGTGCTATGAGGACAAAAACATTTGTTTTGATATTTCAGAGAAGTTCTGTGGAATAAAATTAAAGATGCAAGTAATAACTATTTTTATAAGATATAAATAGTATAAAATACTTTGCTAGTAACTTGTCATTAACATTTCATCTTTTACAGTTAAATGGTAAATGAAATAATTTAATCCATAATTATTTCTATACCCATATATATTATTAGTAAAGGATGAGAATACCCATGTTTGTGTGTATGAGCTTCTTATTGCCAAGAAACAAAATTCCCCTGTACAAAATTTTTACAATCCTTTTCCCCTCTTCTCTCTACAACAAGTCAGCAGGACACAACTTACTCCTTGGCTTTTTTACATCTCAGTCGTCCTGCGTGTAAATTACGGTTACTAATGATTCCTCAGATCACTGATCTATGGAACAACACTGATCAAGCATCCTAAAATTCTTGGTTAGCTGTAAATTAAAAGAAAATTTCTAATGACACATTTTTTTCTTATGAAATAAATGTATTTTTAGAAATATTCTGTAACATCAGTGAAACAAGAAAATATATCTTTATTTTGTAAATATATATAGCAGTATTCTATCAAGTTTGAATTTCTGTACTATAACGGCTTCATCTGCTTTGGGGGTGCACAGGTTTTGGGATCTTGAGTACAAGTGGAATCAGTGTACAAAAATGTTTATGAATAACTCAGTATATTTTCTTTCATCTTTGCTCTGTAATATCAAATATATATATTTATACACACACACAAACACACACATCTATATATATGACTATGATGTTCAGAGTACCTGTTACTTGTTATGTGGTTAATCATTTTTCATGTCTAACTGATTTCCTTGAAATGCATATTTATTATTACGTCCTCTTGAACGTTAGTCATGCAAACTGTAATGTAGTCCTAATTTTATGTATTTGTGTGTGTGTGTGTGTGTGTGTGTGTGTGTGTATTTTATACTCATTGCTTTCCAACTGATTTCTGAATGATGGAACATGTTTTTTTTTTAGCCAAAATATTGCTATTGGTTAGTTTTTGAAATGTGGTGTGAGGCTTTCTCTTTCAGTAGTGGTGGGTTTGTAAAAAGAACTTAGAATTTGTCTTGAATGAATTTCCTCATGATGCAGGGTACCCATATGTGAGAGGGCTGAGACCTTGCCCTCTGATCGCAGAATGATACAATGACATAAGTTAATTTCTAAGAAGATAGCATCTTTGATCTGGATTGTATGCTAATATGTAGAGAAGTTATCACCCTTATCACCTTATAAGTCAGTGAATGAATAAATAGTGCATATATGAGAATACTTCAGAAAATGAGTTAACTTTCACTACATATAAAGTTACAGATATAACATGAAGATATTACATGGTAGAAAAATAGTCACTTGCTTTTATCTTTATCACAGTAATTAATCAAATATTACCTCTTGGTTCTTTCAAATGTTGTGGACCCAATTGTTTAATTGTCATCAATATCATAGACAATTGAAGATTCTCTTAGAAAGCCACTTTGGGCCCAGCTGTCAGGAGAATGAGAATGTCTTATTTCCCCACTCTAGGCATTTCCATTAAAGGATAATCAGATTCCCACAAACCCTAGGGCTATTTGCCATTTGGATGGCAGGAACAGCTGTGGAGTCCAGAAGGTGTGTGTCGGGTTCTCCTACTAGGAAGGGGTTTGGGGGACTGATTGAGGGAGAGGCCTTAGGTTTGGAATAGATTAGGGAGGTAGCTCAGGTCTGCAACATAGTATTCAATAATACATAACTGTTCTGAGGGGGAGGGTCATCATATTCCTCACATATTGAAAATTTAAATTTAATAGAATGTTTTAAAAGGTTGAAATAATGTATGCATTGCATGTAGAGTAGATTATATGTGAAAATTAACATAGCCACCAAATAAAATTGTAAAGGGCATATTGATTCATACTAAAATGGAGATAGTTGGTAGGGGTTTAGGTAATATTTACTTCAGAAGATAGACCTTTATTTACTTCATATTTTAAGCACTTTCTTTAACTCAAGGAGATTCTCACTCTCAAATGCTGGTTTATCTGCATCTACATGGTGAAATATTGCCATCATGTGGCTAGTCCGTCTATCACACCTGCTTTCCTCTGGGAGAGATTGTATTTTGGGGTATTTTTATATGGTGCTTGAATGTTTGGGTTATGTTATATGATACCCATTTTATATGGGCATGTATGGTGTCTGTTGGGGTAATTATTTTCATAAGATAGAAAATATTTAAGCATATTAATTCAAAATACACATTAAATTAAATTTTCTGTTACTGTCACTCAATTGGGTTTTACTTTGTATCTTCTGGAGCTCTTAGAAATTTTCCTTTTCAGTGGGCAAATTATTCAAGTTGTAAATCTTAAACTCTTTGGAAGTGCCCTCTTAAGAACCCAGTTTCTTTTTTTTTTTTTTAATGTTTGTGTCTACTCTGAAAGTCACCACTAGTTACCAAAATGTCCATTTATTTGTATACAATTTGGAAACTATTTCTGATGCATACCCCATTATAAACAATAGGGGGCGATATGATGTCATGTTTTTGGTTTCTCTATGAAAGTATTTTTCATAGTATAAGCCCTGTTTATTTTTTTCTTGATAACAATGCTTCCCTAAAATGAAAAGCACATTTGTTTTATTATGACAGTACTGGCAATAAATATCAGCCTCCTTATACATACTTGGGAGATGTAATTTCTTAGAGAAAAAATTCTATGCCAGTTTATTAGTATTTCAATACATGTATGTATTTCTAAATTGATATAAATATCCAATAAACTTATATTTAATCCAGAGATAATAGTTTCCAAATATACGTTGGCTTGGTTTCTCATTAAATTCAGAAATTTTACCTTTTCAAGTGTTTTTCATTAATCTTTTTCATTATATATTACCATGAATGCAAAAATGTAGAGTTATACTTCAATTTTAGGTTAAAATCATGAAACTATGTACCTGGCCTTTTAAAAGTTTGAAATCTTTAGACAACAAGGATACAAAGTATTAAAACAAAAATTTTTTCAAAGTTACATGATTTTCTTAAATCAACTAAGAAGTTCTTTCAATGTAGGGTATTTGGATATTTTATATTTTCAAAGTTTATATGGGATTTAAGGTTCAGAAAGAATATAGGATAAAATAGTAATTTATAAGTTAAATATTTAAGTTCAAAATTGACAGTTTGGGATAGAAAAATATATGTATTTCAATGGGAAGCATGTTTTCCCTGTTTCTTCAAGTAGATACAAGTAAACTAAGGATAATACAACTCCCATGTGAGATTATAATTTCTGTCTCCCTCTCAAATAGAATCACAGTTGTCAGTGCTTTTAAATTTTTGTTAAAATTGTATATATACACACATAATGTATATATATATATGCACACGTAACTATTACATTATTGTACTCTCTTTATCTCTTCATAAAAAATAAAACATTAAATAATATTCTAAAGTCAACTTTTAATTTTTTTCCAGCTCGCAGTTCCCTTATCAGATAAAGTTAATCTTTACTATGAATTTGTTATATATGCTAACTTTTTAATGATTTAAGTAAAAGTGACTATAATATATTTTTCAAACATGTTTTTTGGCATTAGGAGCCCTAATTTTACACCAAAAAAAGGAATTTTTAAAAATACTTTATATCCATTTTTAAAAAATTTCAGGTTGGTTGCCTGAAATTAGCCATAATGCGAGAATTTACACCATGAAAATTAGCAAACTGTACACATCTTGGCTCTTTTTCCTTTTTCTGGAGAGCTCGCGTATTTCTTAGCTGGAGCAACTATTGGCATTTTGGTTAGAAAATGTCTTCTTGGGCCGGGCGCTGTGGCTCACACCTGTAATCCCAGCATTTGGGAGGCTGAGGTGGGCAGATCACAAGGTCAAGAGATGGAGACCATCCTGGCCAACATGGTGAAACCCTGTCTCTACAAAAATTAGCCAGGCGTGGTGGCATGTGCTTGCAGTCCCAGCTACTCGGGAGGCTGAGGCAGGAGAATCGCTTGAACCCATGAGGCAGAGGTTGCAGTGAGTGGAGATCATGCAACTGCACTCCAGCACTCCAGCCTGGCGACAGAGCAAGACTCCACTGAAAAAAAAAAAAAAAAAAAAAAAAGGTTTTCCTATCCTTGACAGGATATTTAGCATCTCTGTTCCTTGCCCATTAAATGACAATAGCAAACTCAAGTCAGCAAGTCAGTAAAAATGCCCCCGCAAGTTTCTAAATGTTCCCTGGGAGAATATCACCCCTTCCAAATGACACCCAGTCCTGCAGGGTTGACTAAGCAACATGCGGCAGTGCAGTAATGAAAACTCTCAGGCTGGGTCAGAACTTAGACACTAAGTTGAAAACTAAATTGAGACAAACTGATAAAAAGATTTAAATTATAGTCTGTATTGCTTAACTTGTTGGTCATATGGTTGGTCTTACTGATATGATCAGAATGTTCAAAGACAGAAAACAGGGAAACCATTTAGGAAGCCATAGTGTGTTGTCTTGTGAACTAATGGCGTTTATTTTTCTTCCGATAACATTACATTTCAAGTGCCTTCCAGACTCCAGAGTTCTGCTGTCCAATATTGTGGCCACTAGGCACATATGACATTAAACAGTTGACATAAGGTGCAATTGAGGAACAGAATTTCTAATTGAATTATGATGTGACGAAAGTGTATATACACTGAATTTTGAAAACTTACTTTAAATATAAAGAAAATGCAAAATATCTCATTTATTAATAATTATCTATATTAAAAAGATTGAAAAGATACTATTTTGGATATACTGGGTTACATAAAATATATATATATATATATATATATATATATATATATATATATATATATAATTTTTTTTTTTTTTTCTTTTCGAGACGGAGTCTCGCTCTGTCGCCCAGGCTAGAGTGCAGTGGCACAATCTCAGCTCACTGCCAGCTCCGCTTCCCTGGTTCACACCATTCTCCTGCCTCAGCCTCCCGAGTAGCTGGGACTACAGGTGCCCGCCAGCACGCCCAGCTAATTTTTTGTATTTTTAGTAGAGATGGGGTTTCACCGTGTTAGCCAGGATGATCTCCTTCTCCTGACCTTGTGATCTGCCCGCCTCGGCCTCCCAAAGTGCTGGGATTACAGGCGTGAGCCAACGCGCCTGGCCAAAATATATTTTAATTAATTTATTAATTTTACCTAATTCTTCTTGCCTTTTTGACGTGGCTACTAAAATATTTAAAATTACATATGCAGCTCACATTATATTTCTACTAGACAGTGCTGCTTTAGAAGGAATCACGTATTTTTCTTTCTGAGCCCCTTGCAGTTCTGGTGGTGTTGATTCCATTCCAACTCTGGAGGTAGGCAGTGATTTACGCCTGGCCAATGGAAAGACTGTGTCTTTTTAGGGAAAGTTATGTGACTCAATTTCAACCAAAGCCAGCTTGGAGTAGGCTTTAAGTAGATATTATATTGTAGCAGCATAACGGATTATAACTGAAGACAGAGAGACATTGTTTGTAATTCCATCTCAGCCACTAATTAGTACAAATTACTTAAGGTCTTTGAGCCACAGTCTTCATCTGACAAATTGGGATACAAAATATTTGTTTTATTTGGTTGTTACGGGGATTAAGTCAGATACTGTATGCAAAGCATTTACGAGTACTCCCGACACTGTGTTCAATATATAGCAGAGTTTAAACGTCATTATGACATTAGCAACCATTTGTTTTTTTTTTTAAGGCAGACATTGAAAGTGAAATTCGAACGAGATTGAAAATGTCCTACATCCTAAATCTCAGGTACTCTTCTCTGAAATATTATACAAAAGCATTTTAATATCAGTCAAAGGAGCATCATTTTAAACAACAATTTTGTAGGGTTTATTATTGTTTTACCAAATTAATAAGCTAAAACAGCTTGAATTTTCTAGTGTTTTTGAAATTATTTTTCTCCTATGTAAAAGTTAATGTAATTTTAGTGAAAACATAAACCTAAAGGGATAAGCCTCTTAAAATATAATAATGCATTGTTAGATTTTTGTGGACTTGTCATAATTCTGGGTGTTCTTTCCTGCATACTTATTAAGAAATCTGGGAAGTATAAATAATATTGACGTATTGATGCCATCTGATCATTAACTGATTGGAATGAATGATAAATAGGAGTTTTATTAGCATGTGATATTGAATTTGTTTTGAAATTTAGTCTCTTCTAATGATATGCTAAGTTCAAATCCTTAATAACCTGGTTGTTGGCATTCTTAGCCAGGCATAGTGGCTCATGCCTGTAATCCTAGCACTTTGGGAGGCCTAGGTGGGAAGACCACTCGAGGTCAGGAGTTTGAGACTAGCCTGGCTGACATGGCGAAACTCCATATCTACCAAAAATACACAAATTAGCCAGGTGTGGTGGTGGGCACCTGTAATTCCAGCTACTCAGGAGGCTGAGGCAGGAGAATTGAATGAACCCGGAAGGCGGAGGTTGCAGTGAGCCAAGATGACATCGCTGCACTCTAGCCTGGGCAACAGAGTAAGACTCTGTCTCAAAAAACAAAACAAAACAAAATAATAAAAAATTTTTAAAAAGTTAAAAAAAGTGACTCTTCTTAGTTTTCCATGTGACCTTCAATTTAGTCTTTATTTAACCTTGGGAAATGAATGCTAGTGTATAATTAGTAAAATTAGAAATTAAGATTTGTATTTAGGATCTAAACTAGAAATACATTGCTAGCCATTAATATACATGTCAGTGTTACTGAAAACAGTTTTATATAACCACCCACCCACCCAACTTTGCTCCTTTTGTAAAAGTGACCCGTAAATTCATGGTTCAGGCACCATACGCAACTGTTGCTGAGTATCTGAGTCAAGTAAAAAACATTTATCTTTTTGATTACATGCCTTCTGTTATATGTAAATTTTTACAAGGTTTCATTTTTTTTTTGGCAAGTCATAATTTGTTTTATATAATCTAAGTTTCAATGAAATCTCCATCCCTCAATGATCTTAACAAATTTCCATTTTTAAAGGTTACCTCTAGATTTTTAAAATCTGTGTTTTAAATTACAACGGTAACAGACAAAATATTTAATGACTGTGTTTACACTTTTACTTCTGTCCTCTGATCTACTTATGATACTGAAAGATTATGCAGAATGTTTGATATTATCTACATTCCATGTTGACAAAATACAAGGGTGCAACAGAGTCGATTACTGGGAAGAAATTTTTAAAAATTATTTAATAAGTTAGCTGGAATAAGATAAGCTTTCTTATTATGATAGAATTTTTTCAAATTTTTAAAACATGATTTTAAAAATGAACTGCTTGTAATGTACCAGTTATATTCAACTCAGACACAAACAACCGAACATGTACAGATAGCTCAGTGCTCTTGACACCAACAAAAACATTGCCTAATGCAAGAAAGAAAGACAGGTCCTTCTAATTGTATAACAGTGGAAGGATACTTGCATAATTACAGGGCTACAGTAACAGCTGTGTACAACGTCCACTATCCTGCACTGCAGGCGGTAATTTACCCATGTACTTCCCATTCATATGAATGGAAAACAGTCGGGGGTGCCTCTTTTGAATCCTATGTGTATAGCAGACATTTTAAGCAACTATCATTGAAAATTTCTTGTTTTAATATTGCATAAAAATATGGCTTTTTAAAAATACTGGACTTTCCTACCCAACAGAGCTTTTAAGTGCTATGCTTAAAGTATTTGTCACTTTGCTTTTCATCTGAAATTATTACTTTATTATTTTCATATTCTAAGGCACATGTGAAGGGTAACAGCAACAAAATCTTCTTGGTTGAGATGTAGGTCTAATGAAAATATTTGATTAAACCTTGTCTTCCCGTTAACATTTCTAAATGTAGTAAGTACAGTAGCATTAAAAAAGCTAGATGTCAAATACACTTTTAGATCAGTTGCATATTGTAAAATTGACTTCAGTAGTCATTTTACTTGAAAATATTTTCAAAATGTTTTTAGTATCTATTTACTTACATAGAAGTTTCTGCCTTTCTAATCTCAACCTGAGAAGAGATTTGAGGACTAGGAAATAAACAAAATGGCTTCTGCACAACTGAAGCTTCTGGCTTAAATCTTCACAGCAAAAAACCATACATTGTCTTCAGGAGAGATCCTTAGCTTTTGGTCAGAAGCCACTTTCTCTTACTTAGCACACAATTATTATTAACAAATAAACAAAGTAAGAGATTTATTTCTTAACATGGAGGCAATTAGAAACAGCAAAGGAGTGAAGACTGGATAGGAAAAAAGGTTTATTTTTGTCTCCCACCAACTCAACTCACATTTCAACTGCCTTCTACAGGTGACCCAAGTCTCCAGCACTGGGATCAATCACCTCATCATCTGGTATCCAGAACACTTATAAAAAACAAATTTACATCATGTTCAGTTTTGGTGCTGGGATATTTAAAAATTGCTATGAATGTTGGTCAAGTGTAGGAGCAAAGGCTTGGAACTCCTCACCTGTGCTGGTTACTACCTCATTAAGTTGCTGGATTCTGGGGGAATTCCAGAGCATCCCAGCACCTTGGCTGCTGGGGTAACAGGGAAGCACTCAGAGAACAAAGGCAGTAGTTATTTGCCAGCAATATGGAAATACGTGGTATTTCAACAACCAATAAGTAAGTATGGGTGAAGATCTATTTCTTAATCATTTTAACATCCCCAACTGACAGAAGACCAGACAAGTTGTTGGAAACTGAATAAGTAGTCTTTGGAACATTAGATTACAAAGAGCATTTACCAAGAATCTGTTCTTGCAGTGAAACAGAGATGCTAAAGAAATGAAGAAAGCTGATAAAAGTAAAATTCATTATGTTAAGAGATGTGGAGTCCTGTAATGAATTAAATTAAAAAGGGGCATTTTGGTTTCAGATTTTATTTTTTTTCTCTTTGGAAAAAGCTCATGTTTTCTTTTAGTCAACCTTTCATTTACCTCTCGTCTACTTGCCAGTTGGTGTCCTATTTGGTGAAAGAGATACATGAAAGTTTGTGGAAGAAACTAAGATTTGAGTGAGAAAACACTTCCAATTATGACAAAGTCCATAGAATACCAAAGATTGTTTTCTTACTTTAATTTATAATTTATAATCAATACAGAAAGTAATCTCCAAAAACAATCATGTGTCACTTAATGACAAGGATACATTCTGTGAAATGTGTCCTTAGGTGACTTCATCCTTGTGCAAAAATCATACAGGGTACCCACATAAACCAAGATGGTATAGCCTACTACACACTTAAGCTATAGTATAGCTTATTGCGTCTAGGCTAAAAACCTGTATAGCATGTTACTGTGCCGAATACTGTAGATGACTATAATACAATGGTAAGTATTTGTGTCTACACATATCTAAAGATAGAAAAGGTACAGTAAAAATATAGTACTTTAATCTTATTGGCCCACTGTCTCATATGTGGTTGTTTATATATAACTGGCCACATGTAATATGCAATAGGGATTATTTCGCATACATTTTCAAGAAGCTGTATCATACCATGAGG
This sequence comes from Homo sapiens, assembly GCF_000001405.40. NCBI lineage: Eukaryota > Metazoa > Chordata > Mammalia > Primates > Hominidae > Homo > Homo sapiens. Next base: position 146,648,511 of record NC_000003.12, read on the forward strand.
CATGTTTTAGACTACTTAGAATTGAGGGTGAGATAAATATACTGAATGTTTATATTTAATTGTAATCATGGTAGGTAAGTTGCCTTTTATGTACATTACATTAAGTTAATGAAGCTGGTGAGCAGTACTTGAACAAATCATCAGATTCACTCCAATTTCTTATAAAATGTAGAGCCCATTAATGTAGATTTCTATTTTGTTTTCCTTAAATAAAGAGCAAACAAAGCTTACTTCTACTATCAGCCCAATTTGTTTCTCCATCATGTACACGGTCGTCTTGAAGTCTCAAACTATAGTAAACATGCAATTTGGCATTTTATTATTTTCATATCTAATCCAATTTGGTGTGCATGTGGATTGACTTTATGCAGTAAACAGAATAGCATAAATACAATTCAATCAAATGTATGTAAGCTAAACACAAAAAAGTCAAAATAAAATAAATATGCTATTTCATAATGGTAGTAGCTATTCTATAACTATGAAAAACTAGTGTTTTATATTGAATGTCTTTAAGTAACTACTCAGAAACATATATTCTGGGCTCGGCACGGTGGCTCACACCTGTAATCTCAACACTTTGGGAGGCCAAGGCAGGTGGATCACGTGAGATCAGGTGTTCGAGACCAGCCTGGCCAATGTGGTGAAACCTCATCTCTACTGAAAATACAGAAAAAAATAGCTGTGTGTGGTGGCAAATGCATGTAATAACAGCTACTTGGGAGGTTGAAGCAGGGGAATCAGTTTACTCCCTGGGAGGTGGAGGTTACAATGAGCCGAGATTGCGCCACTGCTCTCCAACCTGGGTGACAAAGTGAGACTTCATCTCAAAAAAAAAAGAAAAGAAAAAGAAAGAAAGAAAAGAAACATATATTCTGGCCATTATATTTTCCCACGTTAAATAGGCTATGAATAAGACCAACATTTCCAGTATTATATTAAGACATTTATTTGTAGAGAGGGGCAAAATGGACAGAAAAACTAAAAGACATAACCTGGGTCTAGAATTTGTTGTTATTAACTATTAAAGAATTCCCATAGTTGGTTTAGAGTACCCTTTATTTTTTAACATTCTTTTCTCTTTCTCTTCCTTTCTGTACTTTGTGATTTGAGTCAAAAGGTGAAAACAAGTACATTATGGTGTGTATTTTAATCATTGCACTATGCATTGCATGCTTTTTTGTAAGAGGCCAGGGGCTGAGCAGCCCATTTATGTCCAAGTCATGGGAGTGTGGGAATTAGGATTCCTGTGTGTCTCTGTGTCTATGTGTTTGTGAAGAAATATAATTAGAATAGAAATAGAATAATATTGCCGGACATCTTCTGTTTCTATATCTGTAAAATTAAAATAATAACTTAAAAGTTTTATTAAGAAAGAGAGAATAAGTATAAAAGAAATCTGGCACTTGGAATTTTAGCTATTATTATTAAAGACTTTTTAAATAGTATTTGAATCAAAATGTACACATATCTCTCATTCCCAGTCTACCGACCTACTTGCTCTTTCGAAAATGACCATTGATTTTTTGAACTCTGGAAGCTATAGCTGTACCTGGTCAAGAAAATCTCTTGGATTGGCAGGCTATTGAGTTAGCTGCCAGAAAACAGCCGTAAGAGGGTCAATTCTGATTAGAACTGACATCTAAGACTTTTTAAAATGAGTTCTTTCCCAGCTTGCTCATGTACTCCACTTTATTGTTTATAGAATTGCAAACCCTGTTACTTAAAATAGCAAAGACACTACATTTACTTTCTGCTGACAATTAATGCAATTAAGAATAATTAAAAGTTCAGGCACTACTAATTTCCTCAGAAAGTGTCTTGGAAACTAATACAGCTAAGAGGATTTAAAATGATGCTAATTCCACATGGTCTGGGGACTGGTGCCCCATCCTTAAATTGTTTCTCTTCCAGAATAAGTACAGAAGTTGAGAGTGCCGTGAAATGAAAGTTCATGGTGCAAATATTTTACAAAATTATTGCCCTGGTGGGGACTGGGAGTGAGAATTCTTGGTTCTTGACTACAGTAATTCCCAAAGCACTGATTTAAGGGAAATCTCTGTGCATAAGCAGGTAACAATTGATGTGGTCTGACCTCTTAAGACATGTTGCCACCAGATCTGTCCCCAAGCACCTGTTATGAAATCTGATTTTATAATTAGAATTTTATTTCTTAGGGTTGTAGGCTTGAAAATAGTGTTTCAGATCCTTTTATGATAGTGCAAATATTTCTGTAAAGAGAGGTAGGAGCTATCATTTACTGAACGACTATTATCTGAGTTGCTTGTGCATTTATTACTATTATTTTGCATAATGCTGGCCTAATGCCCTAAAAGAGTTTAGTTACCATGGAGGCCAATTTGGAAGTGTGTTGAGCAATGTTAGCAAAGAATAGAAAGATCCTGAATGTGTGTGTGTGTTTGATGGGGGTGGGGTATTAGAGAATTCCAAATCAAAATTAAAGTAGCTTCCCGATTTGCCCTGTATGCTATTTGCCACTTTGAGTTCACATGGTATATCACATCTTTGGGTATATTCTTGCTAATCCACAAGCCCAGTGGAAAAGGCAAGAAAGGGGATGAAGTGTGTATCTAAATCCAGTGCATATGCAGGACAGTTGAACCTTCTTCCCCACTGATCTTTACCAGTCATTCATTCTGTGAAGCTTTGTATCCTCCTTTATTCTGTGACATTCTTATTTCCTCCATGTTTTAGGGTGTGAACTCTATGTGGAAATGTACTGAGCTATCAGAATAGCAAAAGGAGTCATGTATTCTGAAGTGGCTATTTTAGTTCAAATGTTACATATTTCCTATTTTCTCTTGAGAATTGTTTTGCTGTTTCAGGCAGAATTTCAAAATGAATAGACAAAACAAACAAAGCTTCAAGATTCTCTAAGCAAGGATTTCTCCTAATAGGATTTTAAAATATTTTACAGTTTTTTCTCATCTATTTTATACACTTAGACTTTCTAGCTAGGTCAAATTATTCTTTTACATTTTATTGCCATTGACTTACAATTATAATATTCACTATTATGTTGGCTTTGCCAGGAATATTTTAGTAATTTAATATTGAACGTTAATAGAATCTCTGGTACAAATATCAAGGCGTCTGACCTTAAGGATGAGAATTAAAGTTACCTGGTTGGAAGTATTGACATCTATGCTCTGTGAGGGTCTTATGTACACTGTATTACTGAGGTGTTCAGTAGCTAGCTTAGACTGAGTGGCATATTCTCCCTACAATAACTGAATGTTCTGCTCCTTCTCCTTTAATTGACAAATAATTACACTTAATTCACACATTTATTAGTACACTGAAGGTTTGCTTTGGAAGAAATATATGTTATAACGATACTAAATCACTGAATTGAATAAGGAGTAACAGCTTTTTAAAAACAGCTTTCCCACTTTGGGAGGCTGAGGTGGGCAGCTTGCCTGAGCTCAGGAGTTCGAGACCAGCCTGGGAAACACGGTGAAACCTTGTCTCTACTAAAATACAAAAAATTAGCTGGGCTTGGCGGCATGAGCCTATAGTTCCAGCTGCTGGGGATGCTGAGGCAGGAGAATTGCTTGAACCCTGGAGGTGGAAGTTGCAGTGAGCCAAGATCGGGCCACTGCACTCCACTCTAGCCCAGGCGACAGAGCGAGACTCTGTCTTAAAAAGCAAAAACAAAAAAACATGCAAACAAAAAAACAGCTTTCTTACAAAAGTAATTTGGATTCGGTACTTACATTTGTGCTCGTGCATTTTGCGCTCATTCCAGTGTAGAAATAGAGATAAGTGCTCTTTGTGATATAGCCTTTCGGTCATAGACATAAGGACTGAAGCCATAAACAACTTATAAACTAGAGAAATGAAAACTATATGCACTAAGTTGAAATTGAGTTTTCTCTAATTAAAATGTTAATAAGATTTAATGGCTTAGAGTCCCCTAAGACCTAAAGGAGCCCATAATTAAAATAAAGTGATTTTAAAGAAATTATGATAAATATTAAAATATCCAAAATTGTTTTGCTGTAAATTCTTAAACTTAGGCCGTATTTCCTTTACTGCTCTTTGCTTTTCTTTTCTCTAAGTATTTTTTTCTTTTTTAGATATATGTGTATAAGATTGTTGACTCTTTACTATGCCGATACTAGGTTAAACTAAAATAATACACATTCTCATTTAATTCTCACAATAGTCCTCTGTGGTAACAGCTTTTCTTCTCATGTTACTGGATAAAGAATTTCAAGCATGATATTCTGATTTACCTACACAAATAAGGAAAAAAAATTCCAACTTTCATATTTAAATTTATTATTTACTTATTACCTATCTGACACTACATTCAGCATCAGATAAGTGAATGTCTTGTGTGTGGTTAGTTGTAGTGAGCACAGAGCCCACCCATATTCCCAGCTTCCCTGTGGTTAGGTGTGGCCAGATGACTGTCCTGGATGAGGGAATGTGAGAGGATTAATGATGTGTCTGTTCTGAGTGGTGGCTTTTAACAATGGATGTGCCTACTTCGTGTTCTTTTCCACTTTTGCCAAAAGAGTGAAGATTACAACAAGGCCTTTCAAGATACTGGAGCCACAGGATAGAGGGAGACTTTTTTTTTGCCTAATTCACCCATGGAGAAAATCTGCCAGTGGTTCAGGAACTCCGGCAGGGGATGACTACATGATTTAGGAGTACACGTCTATTGCAATTTAGCTATTGCTTAATTTTAGATTTATTTGTGAAAGCACCTAATACTATATTAATGCAAGCTTGTTTTTATGTTTTCCTTGTTTTCTTTCCCCAAATTGCATAATGTATTCTATAAGAGACACCTGATTCTTTTCCTGCTGATGTAAATTAGAAGCTATAGTTTTCTATTTGCTATTACAGTAAATGTTGATCTTATTATCTTCCATCCAATAAACTTTCTGCAATTTCTGGCACATGCCTGTTATACTGATTATGAAATAAAAGTAATTGGTGGTTATCACTATGTTAAAAAAAAGAGAGATGAAAAGCTTCGTGAAAAGGGTGTTGATGGCCTTTTCAGTACTCACCATTAAAAATGCAAAATAAAGATTCAGACCAAGAAATATATATTATAAAATTACTGTATGTATATGTTATTAGTCTACTACTTGGTCATTTAGAGAAAATGTGGCTATTTTCAAGAATTCCATGGATGTGAAACGGACACTGCTTATGAGTGGGGGAAAACTGTGGGTTAATTCCTTAAGTGAGACTAGTTGTATAACCTTGACCAAGTCACTCATTTCAGTGGAACTTGGCCTCACCTCATATTCATAACAACAATTTCTAATATTTACAGAGTCTTTTCTCTGTATCAAAAAATGGCCTAGGTTTTTTCCACATATTAATTCATTTAATCCCCACAATATTATGGGACAGTACTATTTTGCCCCATTTTATAGAACAATAAGTTAAAGTATCTTGACTAAAGTCATTCAGCTAACTGGTAGCAAAGTTAAGCTTGAACTGCCAGTCTGGCTCCGGAGTAAGTACTATTAACCAGTTTCCTAATGATTCTCAAACTACAGAGTGCACCAGAATCACCTGGAGAGCTTGTTAAAATACAAATTGGTGTGTCTCAAACCCAGAGTTTCTGATGCACTAGGTCGGGGGTGGTGCCTGAGAATTTGCATTTCTAACCAGTTTCCGAGTGTTGCTGATGCCACTGGTTCAGGGACCACCTGGTGAGAAGCACTATGGTATACTATACTGCCTTTCTTCTCCAGGATTTTGATTATGTATAATTTCTTTTACATGTGTGTTCATTCAAATTAATTAAATTACATTTTAAGAAACTGTTTTAAGTACTCAGCTTTTATATTTCAAAAATACAGCATAAGGTCTATCAAAATGAATTCTTCTTGCCTTTTTCTTTAGATTATTTAAGCACGTTAAATGAATAATAAATGAAAGAATTGTCTTATTTGAGCTAAAAGGTACGATATCAATGAAAATCATTTTCTTAGCTATTTGATTACCATTATTTAATTGATACTAGCACTTTCACATTTTATGTTCCTCCTTAGAAACGCTTTAATTCCCAGTTTATATGCTAATTTATGTGGTCAAATTTTAATCCTTGCTATGTTTTTCCATTTTCAAAAGTTTCCTTGAAGTCACTTTTCCCCCCATAGCACATTTTCCACAATTACCTGATAAGTTCTATTTATAGTCTCTAAATTTTTAAACATTGTGTTTAATCTTCCTTGTATATCCTTTATAAAATCAAAGATATATATTTTGGACAGTTTGAAAGAAGATAGAAAATGGAGATAAAAAACAACATTAGAATAGTATAAGAAAATTATGAAAATATAAATTAATGAAAGAACCTAAAAAAAGAAAAAAGCAAAAATACAAATGTATATATTTAAGTAATTCTGAATTATGTATAATTTTTATTTATATAAAATATATATTTGTGTATATATATAAAATGACTGCCTAGATATGCAGTGATTTAGTATACAATGTGTTTTCATGTATTCAGGAGCTGTCATATAAATAGTAGAACATAAGAGTATTTTTCATAGATTCCGCTGTAAATTTAGTTTATGTTTAAGTGAGAAACTTTGATCCAGATAGCCTCAAAATATAAGTAAAATACATAACTTTCAATCAAAATGTATGAAATGGAAACAATAAAGAGCATGTTGGTTTTGCTGATGTTAAGGGTTTTTGTCTGTCTTGAGATTTGAGTAGGAATATCTCCCTCAGGATCATTTGCCTTCTAAAGCATCTAGGGGTTTGGAATCATGACCAGGGAGAGAGATTCCGAAATGCGAGAAGATACTGTAAGAAAAAAAAAAAAAAGGAAAGAAGCAAAAAGTAAAATAAGTGAAGGGAACATGTCCTAATTAAAAACACTTTTCTATCTTTTAGAAGCCCCAAAATGCACACAGATGAAAGCAGCACTGCTTGTTTTATTAGTTGCCTAACCAATCAATACCATCCTGGAAGCAACAACTGTATAAACACAAAGCCTCCAGCAAATGCTTTGTAGAGCCACCTGCACTCTGATCTAAAATGAACCGGAGTGACATTTCAAACATTCTCATGAGAAGTTTTCTACTTTCTCAGGATACAACATTCCACATTGTCCATAAGACTATTGGAATATGTTCAGCAGCATTTTCATTCCAGTATGCACAGTACAATGTTTTCAAATCGTAGAAGATGTGTTTGTCCTTGATGTTGAGCACATAAAGCTGATATTTTGCTGTTACTATTTCAAAAAGATTATTAAAGTAGTTACAACATGTTCCTGTTAAGTACTATTGCATGTATTCCTGATTCATATTTTTTTATTTGTTTTTCTTTCCATGTTAGAGCTGCAACTAACCGAGTTGTGTTTTCTTTAAAAATTTATCTTCTTTTGTACCACCAGGGTTATGTAAAATAGGTCTTTGTATAAACCTAAACCAAAATGTACTTAAAATATTTAGTTAAATTTGTAAATATGATTTTTCCTTTACAATAAAACAAAGACATTATTTATTCATTACTGCAAAATAGCTTAGTCTGGAAATTTTAGTTAGCATTGATTTATAAGTAGTTTTTAAAATAAAAATAGGTAACCATAAATGTCAGTTTATGCTAAATATTGTGGTAAAATTTTGTTCATTTACTTAGTTGATATTTATCACAACAATGTGTGTGGTAAATACTCTCAATATTTCATGAGAAAAGTAGAAGTTAGAAAAACTAAGCGACTTTTCCTAAACAACCAGTAGGTGTTTAAGCATAAACTTGAACACAATTCTAACTCCAAAGCTTAAGTCCAAAGAGGAATTCTTTTACCTCATTGCTATTCTCAATAGCAACACACTGAAAATTGAGTTGATTACCTATTTACTGCGTTTTGGCCCTTTTGTGTATAAGAATTATGTGGTAATTTGTAGAAATAAAAAGTTCACAGTCATTAATGAAAATAAAATCCACAAGAGAATTCTATGGTGATAATTGCATATGTTTAAATTTTTCCTGGGAAGGCAAGTTGAGGGGATGGCAGAGGAAATATGGGGATGGTTAATGGGTATAAAAAAAAAATAGAAAGAATGAATAACACATACCATTGTGATACTATTTGATCACACAACCAAATGACTATAGTCAATGTTTAGTTGTACATTTAAAAATAACTGAAAAAAGTTAAGATGATAAATATTATGTTATGTATATCTACCATTAAAAATAAAAATAACAACAATCTACATTTTTCATCCTTATGCATAGACTTTCATATGAGGCGTCTAAGATTTTGTCGAATATAAAAGAAAATAAGCCTATCAGCTTAACAATACATTTTAGTTGTAATTTTAATACTATTAACTATAATTTTACTTGTATATTAGTTAAGTAGTTATATATTAATAAAAATAGGTTATTTATCTGTACTTCCTGGATGCCAGATATTAATTCATTGATTACTAATACATTAGTAATCAATTCATTAACTCATTGACATTAATCAATTTATAGGTTTAGGAAACATGATAAACATGATGGATGTAGAACTTTCTTGCAGAGTTTATACTCTAGCAAAGGATATATACATGAAAGAAACAAATTATAGAAATAATTATTTAACTATAATTTTGATAAACGTCAGCAAGCGGAAGTGCAGGGTGCTTAGAGAACACTGAACCTCACACATGCTTTTGGGTGGAGGTGAGATTTGGAAAACTTTCCTAAGGGAATAATAGTAAGCTAATATATGAATGATAAGGAGAAGTTAGTTGGTAAAGTGTGAAGAATAATGGAGATCAGAAAAAATTATTTTATTCTAATTCTCTTCAGAAGCATGTACATTTATTGTTAGCATCGTTGAAGGACCAGATTTTTAGGGAGAGACACGAAGCATATAAAATTTTGGAAAGGAGACTCTTTAATAAAAAGAGTGCAGTTTGTACTTGGTTCAAGATGGCTGGCTAAAGACAAGGATGCTAGTTCTCCTCAAAAGTAGTCAAAATGACAGATAATTATTAACTCAAATAGAATATTAAAGAGAAAATACTAGAACTCCACAGAGAAATCATGGGAAAAAACTGCAGCACAGAATAAAAGAGGAGGCAAGAGAGCAACTCTACTGGCAAAGATCACCTAGGAGCCTCAAGGGAGTTGGTATTGCACGGAAAGGGTAAGTGGGAGTATTTTGGTTGCCCTCATCTCTACTGCAGACTGCTGGTACCCAAACTGTGGGGGAGCCTCTCTGCCCTTGCATTCCTGGACTCTAGTGTGAGTGGTGACTTGGGGATTTCTTGAGGGTATTACACCTGACTGTGGACCCTTGCCAGGTTGCTCACCCTCCTTTCAGACTCGAGCAGCTGCAGCAGGGCATCATTTTGGGGGCATGAGAATTGAGAGACTATGTCCTACCCAGGGAACCTCAGATATTGTGTCTCCATATCCAAAAAGATCTCACGAACATTTCTTACTGTCTGTTCTGAGGCAAGCATTGGCACAGTGCTGGTTGGAGCCAAGGAAGCTGCAGGGTTCCCAGTATTGTAGCCTTCTGGGACTGCTACTCCTACTGGAAGGGAAAGTGCAGAGCACCAAGAAGGTAGCCCATGGAACAAAAGACGCCAAAGGGCACACTTTCCAGTGCATTAGAGCTCCCTGCTTGGGGTTGTGAGGGGACAGATTAGCTTCCAGCAGGGGCACAATATCTGCGCTTAGCTCTGCAAGAGAGGCGTGAAATTATATCTTATTGACCAAAGGACCTCTGTGCTAGATCCCAAGCATAGAGACAGGGACTTTTCTTCCCACTCCACCCACTGATGCAGACACAGCCAGTTACTGCTCGCATGGGAAACTGGCACAGGTGAGCCACAGTACAGCCTGTCTGAGGCTGTGAGGGACAACTGTCTTCCCACTGTCAGTGTAGCCTCCCATGGAGTTTGTGTGAAAAGCAAGCCTGCCACCCCGCTATCCCTGCCCCCCACCCCTCTCTGCATAGAGCTGCAGTGTTTCGGCAGTAGAATGCCACAGAGCTATGTGTTTTGCGGGGGCTGCGGAGGAGGATCCCCCACTGCAGACACAAAGAGATAGCATGGAAGCTTGTTGTTGAGCTGCCCAGCTGGCTGGCTGCTACAGCTCTTGGCTACATTGTAGTCTGAAAATAAATAGCAGTTGTGAATAAACTGAATAACCTGAGTGCCACACAGGGCATGACAGGGAAAGAGATCACATTCCACCTGCTGAGACAGGGGTTATGAAACAGCCCTTCCCCTCAATATAGAGACCTCTGTGCATTTCACCAGGGCCCTGATGACTCCTCTGCCACCCCATTAATGCTGACCATTATAAGGAGGGCCTGGAGTATGGGCTTGTCCTGTCCAGCTCAGCCCAGCTTTGTCTCCCACCTCCATTTGATCATGGAGCCCAGACTGCTACATATTCCATAGCCCAGACCATTTCTTGAGGCACTGAAGAGCTTAGCTCCTGGTAAACAAAGATCAAGCATAAACCTACTGATACCACCACAGCCGGCTCTTATCTGCAAGTGCTGCCTCCGGGCCTGGAGGTGGAACTGCACTTCCCAAGGCAAAATTTACTGTCACAAGGACACAGCACTTGGGAATGAGACCTCTGCCACCCCAGCTACACAGGGGGCCATGAGCCTGTTCAACACACCCAGTATACCACTACTACTGGTGTTTGAGAAAATTACCACACTAAAGCTATCTATAACCAAGGAATTAATATAGTCTTCACTAATGAAAGCACCCAGAAGCAAAGCCAAACAATTCTACTCAACATATATTATAGTGACATCCTAAATAATTTAAAAAGTCCCATCTAAATGAAAGCAGATTCAAAAATAAGAAGTGACAGTTCCTCTAGTTGAGAAGGAATCAGCATAACAATTCTGGAAGTATGGAAAAATAGAGTTCTAAGACACCTCCAAAGGATCACACTAACTCTCCAGCTATGAATCCTAAAATTTGTGAAATGCCAGAAATCAAAACATTGATTTAAATAAAGCTCAATAAGCTCCAAGACAAATTTGCAAACCAAAGAAATAACATAGAAATAAGAAAATCAACTTAGGATATAAATTATAAATTTACCAAAGAGATCAATTTAAAAACAAATAGAGCTTCTGGAAATAAAAAAATGTATTGAAGGAATTATAAAATCCAGTTGAAAGCTTCAGCAATAGACTAGACAAAGCAGAAGAAAAAAGTCTCAGAACTTGAAGACAGGTCTTTTGAATTAATTCAGTCAGAAAAAAAAAAGAAAAAGAACTAAAAGAATAAACAAAGCCTTCAAGAAGTATGGAATTACCTAAAACAACTGAACCTACAAATCATAGATATTCTGAAGGAGAACAAGCAAAAAGTTTGAAAAACCTGCTTGAGAAAATAATTGAGGGAAACTTCCCTAATCTAGCAAGGTATTTAGATATCCATATACAAGAGGTTCAACAAGCACCAGGATAATCATTGCAAGAAGGCCTTTACCACAACATAGAGTTATCACACTGTCTAAGGTGAACATGAAAGAAAAAATTCTAAAATCATCAAGAGAAAGGTGTGTAGAAACCTGTAAAAAAAACTTCATCAGACTAACAGTGGACTTCTCAGCAGAAACCTTCCAGGGCAGAGGAGATTAGGATTCTATTTCCAAAGTGCTTAGAGCACAAAATCAATCACAAATTGTATGTCCTGCTGGAATAAGCTTCATAAATAGAGGAGAAATAAAGTTTTTTCCAGACAAGCAAACCCTGAGGGAATTCTTTACCATTAAACCAGCCCTACAAAAAATTCTCAAAGGAGTTCTAAACATGGAAACAAAAGGTTGGTACTAGCCATCATAAAAACACATGAAAACATAAAACTTGCAGGTCTTAAAAAACAATTACACAAGTGGGGGAAAAAAAAGAAATCAAATGGCAACATGACAGAACTTCACCAAACCACAAAGACAAACAGACTGAGGGGAAAAAAAAGAAAAAAGAAAATAAATTCGCTGAGCAACTAGATAACAATTAACGTTATGAGGGGAACAAAACCTTATATATCAATATTAACCTTGAACATAAATTGATTAAAACTTCAATTAAAATATACAGATTGACAAAATAAATTTAAAAAAATATGAACCAACTGTTTCCTACTTATGAGAAACTCACTTTACCGGTAAAGACACATGTAGATTGAAGGTAAAGGGCTGATAAATGATATTCCACACACAAAAACAGAAATCAATAGCCATCATGAATAGCTATGCTTATGTCAGGTAAAACAGGCCTTGACTCAACAATAATATAAAACAGCAATGAAGATTATTGTATAACAATAATGGGATCAATTCAGCAAGAATAACAATCCTAAATGTATATGCTCCAAACAGCAAATAAACCAGATTCACAAAATAAGTATTACTATACCTAAAAACAGAGATAGACAGTAATACAATAATAATGGAGGATGTCAACACTCCACTGACAGCACTGGACAGATAATTGAGCAGAAAATCAACAAAGAAACACTGGAATTAAATTGGACTCTAGAACAAATGGACTTACCATAGATTTACAGAAAATTCTACCAACAACTGCAGAATTTACATTTTCTTCATCACTGCATGGAACATTTTCAAAATAGACCACGTTAGGCCCCAAAATAATTATGGTAATTAAAAAAAATAAATTGTACCGAGTATCTTCTAAGACCACAAGGAATAAGACTAGAAATCACTTCCAGGAGGAATTCTTAAAACTATACAGATATATGGAAATTGAAAAATTAACTTTTTTTTTTGAGACAGAGTCTTTCTCTGTCACCCAGGGTGGAGTGCACTGGCACGACCCCGGCTCACTGCAACCTCCGCCTCCCAGGTTCAAGGATTCTTCTGATTCAATCTCCCGAGTCGCTGGGATTACAGGTGCCCACCACCACACCTGGCAAATTTTTGTATTTTTAGTAGAGACGGGGTTTCACCATGTTGGCCAGGCTGGTCTTGAACTCCTGATTTCAAGTGATCCACCCGCCTCAGCCTCCCAAAGTGCCGGGATTACAGGCATGAGCCACCGCACCCAGACTTTAAGAAGAAACTCCTGAATGATCACTGAGTCAATGATGAAATTAAGACAGAAATTTTAAAAAATTTTAAAATAAATGAATATGTAAATGCAGCATGCCAAATCCCTTGATCTACAATAAAAGTAGTGCTCAATGGTACGCTTATAGCATTAGAATGTTTGTATCAAAAGAATAGAAAGATCACAAATTAATCTCATCATTTACCTCCAGGTACTAAAAAAAAAAACACCAAAAAACAAAAAAACAAACAACCAACAACAACCAGAAAAAAAAAAACCAACCCAAAGCTAGCAGAAGAAAAGAAATAACAAAATCAATCAGAGCAGAACTAAATGAAATTGAGAACCTAAGAATACAAAGAATCAACAAAATGAAAAGTTGTCCCTTGAAAAGATGAGCAAAATTGATAGACTGCTGGCTACAGTAAACAAGAAAAAAGAAAGAAGATACAAAAAAAAGAAAGAAGACACAAAAAAAAGAGATACTACTATGAACAACCAAATGCCCCTAATCTAGAAAATCTATAAGAAATGGATTAATTCCTAGAAACATACAACCCCCCACATTTGAACTAGAAACAATTTAAATCTTGAAGAGTAATAGCAACTAGTGAGATTACATCACAGAGATAAAATATATCTCCCAAAACAACAACAAAAATATCCCAGGACCAGATGGATTCTACCAAATCTGCAAAGAAGAACTGGTACCATTCCTCCCACAACTTTTCTAAAAAAATCCAGGTGAAGGGAATCCTCCCTAATTATTTCTACAAAGCCAGTCACCCCAATACCAAAGCCAGGCATTGACATAACAAAAAAAAAAAAAAAAGAGAGAGAGAGAAAAACAACTATAAACCAATACCTCTGATAAACTAAGCTGCAAAAATCCTCAACAAAATACTAGAAAACCAAATCCAATACTACATTAAAGGATAATTCACCTAAATCAAGTGGGCTTCATTCTAGGGATGCAAAGATGGTTCAACATATATAAATCAATCCATGTAATTCCACATAAATACAATTAAAAACAAAAACCATATGATCATCTTAATTAATGAAGAAAAAACATTTGATAAAATTTAGTATCCTGTCATGATAAAAACATTCAACAAACTAGGTATAAAAGGAAAATATCTCAAAATAATAAGAGCCGTCTGTGACAAACCCACAGCAAACATCATACTGAATGGGCAAAAGCTGGGTGCATTCCCCTTAAAAACTGGATCAAGACAAAGAAATGGAAGAAACTTCCAGGCTGGCAGATCAGAACTGATATTATTAAGATCACCATACTAGCACAAACAATCTACAGTTTCAATGTAATTCCTATCAAAATACCAACATTATTTTTCACAGAATTTGACAAATAATCCTAAAATTCACATGGAACCAAAAAAGAGCCCAAATAGCCAAAGCATTCCTAAGCAGAAAGAACAATGGTGGAGGCATCACATTATCTGACCTCAAAGTATACTACCAGGTAATAGTAACCCAAATAGCATAGTACTGTATAAAAATAGACACATAGATCAATGGAACAGAACCCAGAAGTAAAGGCATACACCTACCACCAACTAAAATTTGACAACATTGACAAAAATACTGGGAAAAGGACAGCCTTTTCAATAAATGTTGCTGGGAAAATTGAATTGCCATATGCAGAAGAGTGAAACTGGATCCCTATCTCACCCTATGTACAAAAATTAACTCCAGAAGGATTACAGACTTAAATGTAAGACATGAAACTATAAAAATACAGGAAGAAAACATCAGAAAACTTTCCTGGACATTTGCCTAGGCAAAGAATTTATGATAAAGACTCCAAAAGCAAATGCAGCAAAAACGAAAATAGAAAAATGGCATTTGATTAAACTGAAAAGCTTCTGCACAGCAAAAGAAATAATTAACAAGTGAATAGACAACATGCAGAATGGAAGAAAATATTTAAATACTATGCATCTGACAAAGGATTAATATCCAGAATCTATAAGGAGCTCAAATAACTCAACATGAAAAAACAACCCAAAAGAAATTATTATATCAAAAATATAATTCTACCTGCATGTTTATCACATCACTGTTCACAACAGCAACAATATGAAATCAACTTAAATCTTCATCAATAGATACCTGGAAAAAGCAAATTTGGCATATATATATATACAATTGAATGCTACTCAGCCATAAAAATTAATGAAATCCTGTGTTTTGCAACAACATGGATGAAACTGGAGGCCATTATCTTAAGTGAAACGGCTCAGAAACAGAAAGTCAAATAGCACATGTTGCCACTTATAAGTAAGAGGTAAATAAGGTACACGAACGGAAATAGAGTGTGGAACAACAGACACTGGAGATTTGGAAGGATGAGAGGAGATCAGGAGGGGGTGAGAAATAGTATGTACCATGCACATTATTCAGATGATGACTACCCTAAAATCTCAGACTTTACCATTATGCAATATATCCATGTAACAAAACTGCACTTGTACCCCTTAAATCTACACAAATTTTTAAAAAAGAAAAAAAGTAAAAAAAAAGTCTTACTTTTAGTTTTCAAAACCTGAAGGCCTTATGAACATACTGCAAAACTTAAGCTTCATAACCTTTTTGGTAAGTTTGCTTCAGGTGATCCTGTTTGTTTCATGGGTGAGGAAACTTAAGACAGTGCAAATGATGAAATCAATATTCAAATATAGGTCTTTCTGATTGCAAAATCAATGTTTCCAACAACTCTGTTATACCTTGTCAAGGCAGTTCATTAGCAAAATCAGAAATCATGTAACAAGCTTAGGCTTGGCACTGGTTAATCACGCCTTATTTATTCCTATGTTCACCTTAACACAATTCAAACAACTGAAATATGTGTGTTAAACTCAATGGCTTTTTAAAAATATATGCTATAAGATACAACAAAGGTCACCAAAGAGTTAATGAGAAGCAGAAAAAATGGAGCTTAGAGTGAAGGGATCCGTGAAGCAAGGGGTTGTGGATTCAAGGAGGGTCTAGGGAAAGGAATTCTGCTGGATGAACATGGCCTAGGGCAGCAGAAATTCTTCAAATTCACAGAAACCAAGAAACACCTTCCTGCGTTTTTTAACAACACTGGTAAGTGGATCAAACAAAAATAGCTAGGAAATTTTGCTATCCATCTTTTTTTGAGAAACTCGTGATGAACAGGAAGACAGGTCATGAGCCTGTGTTATTATACTCCCCGTTATTAATTCGCCCTGAAAAGACTAAATAGTAATTACCCCCACACATTTATATGTATACTTAGTGATATACTCCATTTGCAAAAAGGAACTTCAAGAAATTCCCGTATACATGAAAATACAATGTACTTTTCACTTCTTTCATGTAGTCCCTAATTTTCCTTACCTGTCTGCCCATGGCTGAAATTTCTTTAACTGGTGTCAAGTGTTTTATTCAACTAAGAGACATGTCTTAAAATGTAAATGCTAGAATGCTAGCTCTTAAAAATATTTTAAGTGAAACTCATTTACCCTAATCAAAAGTAATCATTCCTTTCTAGATTAAATTGATCCAGAAAGCTCCTGCAAGAAAAAGGACCAAAGTTGGCTGATCCTGAAGCTTGAGACAAGATAGGGCCTCAAAAGATGAGTGTAATGTAAACATATCTTGCATTCCACAACTCACAACTGTAGTTGGAGTTTTCATGTTAACTTACACATGTGTGTATACAAATAATCTGTACAGAAAGATATTATTGACAAGCTTGAAAATAGATGTGCATTGTTAGGTTGAAATGCTTTTGAGTCTCACTCATGAATATAGCTAGTCTGCTTCAAGTTTACTTATGGAGTTCTTCCATTCTGCCCACCCGCTACCGTTTTTAAAGCAGTCAACCGTGTTTAGAGGAACATTTATTCCCAAAGGATATATTTGAAAAATAACAATCTTTGGATTCAGGATAACTAACAAATTCAATATAGAATAAATAAATAATGAACCCACACTTAGACGAGTGCTAGTAAATTTACAGAATGTCAAGGAAATAAGATTATCAAAAATACCAGACAAAAAAAGAAAAATCACCTTCCCCAAATCAGTTGCAATGAAGAATGATTTACCAATAACAACACTGGAAGCTAGAAGACAGAGGAATAATATCTTCAAGAAGATGAGAGAAAATAACTTTAAGCCTAGATTTCCAGCAAAAGTATCTTTCAAGAATATGAACAAAATCAAGATATTTTTAGAAAAATAAGAACTGAATTTACTACCAATAGAGTCTGTCTTTAAAAATATTAAAAGACATTTCTAGAAAGAAGAGACTGAGTTTAGATGCAAAAAAAAAAAAAAGAAGTAGTGAGCAAAGATAACTAATACTGACTGAGAAAATCATAATAATGACTTTTTAAATATAGTGTGTATTTATAATACATAGTTAAAATTCTGATTCTATCAAATTGTTCACTCCCACTGGGACTTTCAGTCCATTCACCCTGACACTTTCCTATTTCCCTCTTCTTCTTACTTCCACAGATTAAGCATTATATACACCCCCACTATATACACAAGACTCTATACCCCCGTGTATATACCCTTCTCTATTTTGCCTTTACTGACTTTGCTTTTCATGGCAGAGCCAGCATATAGTCTTGCTTACCACCGATCCATATCTGCATCTCTATAGGTGAATTGCAGGAGTAAGACAAACTACCATGCTGCTTAATTTTGCTTTCAAATTAATGACACCAAAATTTAAGTGATACTTCAATATTGCCTGGCAATAACACTCTATTTCTACAGACTATTCTTTCTACCACTGTCTTAGCTGACCATTGCTTACTTTTCTCTCTCTTCATACCTTTATCACCTCCTGCATAGCCTCTTTCTCTGTTGTTGACATTGCATTCTATTTCACTGGGAAAGCCAATGTATTTTAAAGAATTCTTTTACATGCCTCTGTTATTCTTAAACTGCCTTTCACTTATTACCATCCATAACTATCCACGTTCCTACCTAAAACCACTCTCTTCTCTTCTGTGTATGATCTTTTCTCACCTCCACCAAAACATCTATGTCTTCAACCAGTTTTTTTTCTCTTTCTCCTATATAGTTAATTTTTTTCCTTTTTAACTGTATTGTCCCAATGACAAAGAAACATCCTATTTCCTCCACAAATAAAACAAAAACAAAATCAGAACAAACAACAAAACCAAAGCTTGCTTCCATTTCCCTATGAGCTACCACTTAATTTATTTGCTTCCATTCACAACCAGTTTCTTTAAAGAGCTTTCTATATTTATGTCTCCAGTTATTGTTTATATTTTCTTGATTTTAAAAAGGAAAAGTGGACATATCATAAGTGTATAGCTTGAGGATTTTTTACAAATTGAACACACGCATGAAAATAGTACTCAGAACATAACATTACCAGCATCCCAAAGATCTCTCTTTTATCTGGTTCCAAGAACGACTGCCTCACATTGTCAATTTTTCTGGGTCCTAACACCATAGATTGCTGGTGTGTGTTTGTTTTATTTGTTGTTGTTTTGTTTTTGTTTTTTTTTTACATAAAAGGAGTCATATAGTATGTACTCCATTTGTATGCATTCCTTGAATCAACATTATCTTACTGAGTTACACATTTTATTTTATAAAATAGTGTATCCATTTCCTTTTAAACACACTCTTTGTCAGGCTTTTTTTCCCATCCCTCCACGAGTACTACTATTATCAAGTCAAAATAATCCCACATTGCTCAACTCACTGACCCAATATGATCCTACTGGACCTACTTGATCTCGTTTATTTACTTTTTTAATACACAATCTTTAATTTGCCATCAGAGCACTTCCATCTTGTAGTTTTCTATTTTTCTCATTTAGTCTTTTCTGTCTCTTTTGCTAGTTCCTTTTCTTCTGTCCAACTGCCTCTTCAAGTTAAGGTGTTCCAGTTTTTTGCCATTTTTTTTTTTCTAATAAAAAAATTTTGAGAAACTTTTTAGTGGGTTTTATGGTTCTAAGTAACATTGCAATGATTATCACTCCAATATTTATATCTCAGGCCCAGATTTCTTTTTTGAAATCCAGATTTGTATATGCAATTATGTATTCAACAGCTTTTCTTGAATTTATGTCTTCTCAACAGACATAAATTCAACAGCTGCAAAATGAAGTTCCTAATTGTACTCCTCAAAACCTGCTTCACTTAAAGCATATTCCATCTCAGTTGACATCAACTTCATTCTTCTAAGTGCTCAAAGTCAAATACTTGAAATTATCCTTGAATTCTCGTTTTCCCTCACACTGCATCCAATTTATCAGCAAATTCACTTTCTCTTGAAAGCATATTCAGAATCAGACCTCTGATGTAGGAGCCAGCATCATTCAGTGCTTACATTACTGCCACAGCCTCCTTTCTCATCACCATCATTCCATCCTTCATCTATCCTCCCATCTATTTTCAAAAGAGCCATCATTGTAAAATGTGTATTTTTAAAGAATAATTTTACTTTAGATTCAGGGGACACATGTGCAGGTTTGTCACATGGCATGGGTGTATTGTGTGAGGCTGAGGTTTGGGGTGTGAATGAATACCCCAAGATAGTGAGCATATTACCCAATAGGTAGTTTTCAGGATTTGGCCACCTCCCTCTCTCCTTTTGGAGTTACCAGTGTCTATTGTTCCCCTCTTTACAATCATATGTATTCAATTCTTAGCTCTCACTTATAAGTGAGATCATGCAGTATTTGGTTTTCTGTTCCTGTGATGTTTTGCTTAGGAATATGGCCGTCACACACATGCATGTTTCTGCAAAAGGACGTAATTTTGTTCTCTTTTATGGCTGTGCAGTACTCCATGGTGTCTATGTACCACATTTTTTTAAATCTGCCATTGATGGTCACCTAGGTTGATTCTATATCTTTGATATCGTGAATAGTGCTGTAATGAACACACTAGTGCATGTGTCTTTTTGGTATTACAATTTTTTTTTTTTGGACATATACCCAGTAACGGGATTTCTGAATCAAATGGTAGTTTAACTCTCAGTTCTTTGATGAATATCCAGACTGCTTTCCACAGTTGCTGAAATAATTTACATTCCCATCAAAAGTGTGCAAGTGTTCATTTTTCGCCCCAGTCTCACCAGCATCTGTTATTTTTTTACTTCTTAATAATGGCCATTCTGACTGGTGCTAGAGAATATCTCATTGTGGTTTTGATTTGTATTTCTCTGATAACTAGTGATACTGGTCATTTTTTCATTTTTTTTGGTCCACTTGTGTGTCTTCTTTTGACTTTGTTAGGAAGTGTCTTTTGCCCACTTTTTAATGGGGTTATGTGTTTTTTGTTTGTTGAATTAAGTTTCTTATAGATTCTGAATATTATACCTTTGTTAGACACATAGTTTGTGAATATTTTCTCCTAGTCTGTTGGTTGCCTGTTTACTCTATTGATAGTTTCTTTTGCTGTGCGGAAGCTCTTTAGGCCCCACTTGTCAAATTTTGGTTTTGTTGTAGGCTTAGTCATAAACTCCTTCCTAAGGTCAATGTCCAGAGAGGGGTTCCGAGGTTTTCTTCTAGGATTCATATAACTTGATGTCTTACATTTAAATCCTTAATCCATTTTGAGTTAATTTCTGTGTATAGTGAAAGGTAGGGATCCAATTTCACTCTTCTGCATATGACTAGCCAGCTTTCTCAGCACCATTTATTGAATGTGGAATCCTTTCCCCATTGCTTATTTTTGTTGACTCTGTCAAAGATCAGGTGGCTGCAGGTGTGCTGCTTTATTTCTGGGTTCTCTATTCTGTTCCATTGCTCTGTGTGTCTGGTTTTTTTTTTTTTTTTTCAGCACTACCATGCTGTTTTGGTTATTGAAGCCTGATAGCATTGTTTGAAGTTGGGTAATGTGACACCTATGGCTTTGTTCTTTTTGTTTAGGACTGCGTTGGCATTTGTGCTTTCTTTTGTTTCTGTATGTATTTTAAAATAGCCTTTTCTAATTCTGTGAAAAAATGACATTGGTAGTTTGATAGGAATAGCAATGAATCTGTAAATTGTTTTGGACAGTATGGTCATTTTCATGATATGAATTCAACCAATCCATGAGCATCAGATATTTTTCCATTAATTTGTGACATCTGTGATTTCTTTCAGCATTGTTTTCTAATTCTCCTTGTAGAGATTCTTCACCTCCTTAGTATTCTTAGGTACCTTTTTTTTTTTTTTTTGGTATGTGTGGCTATTGTAAATCGGGTTTTGCACTTGAGTTGGCCCTCAGCCTGGACATTGTTGGTGTATAGAAATGTTACTGATTTGGGGACATTGATTTTGTATACCAAAACTTTACTAAAGTTGTTTCACAGTTTCAGGAGCCTTTTGCTAGCATCATTAAGGTTTTTTAGGTATAGAATTATATCATTAGCAAAGATAAATAATTTCACCTATTATTTTTCTACTTGGATGCACTTTATTTCTTTCTTTAGCCTGATTGCTCTAGAATAGTTAAGTCATCTTGTCAAATTGAGCACTTTATCATTATGTAATGTCTTTCTTTGTTCTTTTTTATTGTTGTTGGTTTACAGTTTGTTTTATCTGATATAAAATACTGATCTCTGCTCTTTTTTGCCTTCCATTTGTGTGGTAGATCTTTCTCAAATGTATTCTTTTGAGCCTGTGGATGTCATTATGTGTGAGATGGGTCTCTTGAAGACAGTAGATAGATGGATCTTGTTTACTCATTCAAACTTGCCACTCAGTTCTTTTGAAATGGACCCTTTGGACCATTTGGATTCACGGTTAATGTTGATATGTGAGATCTTTATTCTATCATGAAATTGTTAGCTGACTGCTTTGTAGTTTCTATTGTGTGGTTGTTTTATACTTTTGGTGAGCTATGTATTTAAGTGGGTTTTATAATAGCAGGTATCATTCTTTTGTTTCCATGTTGGATTTCCTTAAGGATCTCTGGTAAGGCTAGTCTAATGATAATGAATTCTCTTAGCACTTGCTTTTCTTGAGAAAAACTTTATATCTTCTTGGCTTACGCAACTTGATTTAGAAAGATATGAAATTCTTGGCTGGAATTTCTTTTCTTAAAAACGCTGAAAATAGGACCCCAATCTCTCTTGGCTTGTAAGGTTTCTGCTAAGAAGTCCACTGTTAGTCTGATGGGATTCCCTTTTAGTATCTTTCAGGTCTTCTCTGCATTTCTTATATCTGAATATCTACCTCACCAGAAAGATAAGACAAATATTATTAAATTGTTTCCTCAAATATGTTTCCAGGTTGACTATTTTTTCTCCTTCTCTCTCAGTAATGTCAGTAATTTGTAGGTTAGGTCACATGACCTATAATCCCATATTTTTTGAAGCCTTTGTTCATTTTAAAGATTCTTTTTTCTTTTTTTTTTTCTGATTGAGTTAGTAAAAAGACCACTCTTCAAACTCTGAAATTCTTTCTTCTCCTCTGTGTAGTCTTTCAAGTGTATTTTGAATTTCCTTAAGTTAATTTTTCAATTCCAGAAGCAGTGATTGATTTCAAGATGTTTATTTCTTCCTTCATTTACTGGATTCCTTTAGATGTTTCTTTGTGTTGATTTGCACCTTGTATTGAATCTTGTTGAACTTCCTTGAAATTCATGTTTTGATTTCTTTATCTGTCATTCCTGAGTTTCCATTTTAGTTAGAAACCCTTGCTGGAGAGCTAATGTGATCCTTTGGTGTCATTCCTTTCAGATTTTTCATGGTGTCAGAATCCTTGCACTGCTTCTTTCTCATCTGGAGATGCTGACACATCTAATTTTTGTAATTTTTTTCCATGTAGATAGGATTGTTTTATCTTTCTTTTTTCCCCCTATATTATTATTATTATTTCCTTCCCTTTCCCCCACCCCTTAGAGGGTGTGACAGTAGGGAATGTTGACTAGGGTCTTTTTGGCTTTGCTTCTATAACCCTATGTTCTTCTGTCGGCAAGTTTTATATTAGGGTGTACAGTTAAGTGTACAAGCCTGTAAATGACACTCATGGGTAAAAGCCAGCTGCGGCCAACACAGTTGGGTGTATTTGTGATCCTTGTTTATAGGGAGAAGCTCTCTTTTCCCTCAAGCAATGGCTGCTCCATAGAGTGCAGAGTGGTCTGAGCTCCCTCTTCAACTTTGGCAGGATGTGGGAGCAAGATGGATGGGGCCAGGACAGGCAGGCCCTCCTTCAGGTCCCCTAGTGAAAGGCACAAGCACCAATGCAGAGAAAGAATCCACTGGGTGGCCACAAAGTGGCCAGGGGCTGGCATGTGTAGACATGGAGCTGGGAAACCTCTTTGGCCCCAAGTTTTTTGCATGAGGGTGGGGGGTTTTCTAAACTTTTAATCCAGGAGACTGGGTACTCCAGACATCTGTAGATCTGCCCGGGCGTGGAGTGAAGAAGGCCCCACTGCATCACAGTCTCTGCATGGGTTGCTCAGGCTGCAATCCAGCTAAGCAGGTGCTTTGAATGCCTGGAGATCTACCTGGTGTGGAGGAAAGAGGGCCCCACTCATCATTATCTATGTGCAAAAGGGAGGGGTGGCTCAGGCTGCTGAACCAGGCGAGTGAGTGCACTGAATGCCTGGAGTTCTGTCTGGGAGTGAAGCAAAGAGGGCTACAGCACACCAAAATCCCAGGGGAGCAGGCTAGGGCACCAAGCAATGATGCTTGCAGACTAGTTCCAAGTCACAAAACTGGCACTGTCTGCAAGTCTCATCACCCATGATAAACCATGGCTGTAGCAGCTCTCCTCCTGCCCCAGCACTATAATGGGGGAGAACACCTACTGCACCTACTGCTGAGCTGCTTTCCACAATTCTATCTGTGTAGGCCCCTATCCCACTCTAGAGCGGGAACTCCAGTCTCTGCCCTGACACAAAAATGCCTGTGTGGCCATGCTGCTGTGTCACCAAAGATTGACTGACTTTGTACCTGCATGGATTAAAAATGGTATCCCACTCTTGGTCCCAAGTCTGTGAAAATGCCTGCAGTTTTTGCCAGTGTCTTTCCCTTTCTACGTCTCAAAGCCTCCCCAAAAGTTAGCTCCAGGGCTTGGGAGAAACAAAGCAGTCTCTCTTCTCTCTTGGCCTGGGTTGCTCAGATCCCCAGTGTGAAGGAGGGTCAGAGAGGGAAGTTTTCTGCCCCACTCATGTACTGGGACTTCTCTCACTTTTATCAGTCAGATGCCATAATGAGGGCCATTTGCCCACATTCTTTCTCTTCCTTGGGTTCTGGGATGTCCATCACAATTTTTGTGGATTTCCATTTTCCTTCTTGAATTAAAGTTCACAGAGTTGATCTTCATGTATATTTTTCTTCTTGAATTAAAGCTCACAGAGTCGATATTATGCAAAATATATTTTGCTATTTCCAAGTGGCTGAGGCACACTAAAAGCCTGTAATCTGACATCCTGGGGGGAAGAAACTAAAAATGAAAATGTGTATTTTTAAGTGAGCTTTTTTTTGTTTTTTGACTTATAACATAGATTTGTGTACTTTACAAAAAGTAAACATATCTCTGTAATATTCCTAGAAAAGACATAGATTCATGCGAGACTCCTCCATTTTACTGCATTTACTAGTAGTTTGTTTATCCTTATTGCAGAATACTATTCCATTATATAAACATATCTAGTTTATTTATCAATTCTGCTATCAACAAACGTGATTGTTCTTTTTGCCCTTTGACTATGATGAGGAGTTCCTGCTATGAACATTCTTGTACTTTTTTTGTACAAACAAATATATTTTTCTCATGGGTATATAACTAGAAATAAAATTGCTAAATTACTAGATCGTAGGTTATCTGTATGTTCAACTTTAATACATAATACATAATATTAAATATTTTAAAATTGTTCTACCAATTTACATTCCTATCAGAATATGAAAAAGTTCAAATATTGTTTCATACTCTCTGGCCAATATTAATGATTGTTAGATTTTTTTTTTCGTTTCAGCCATCCCAAAGTTTTACCTTTTATTCCTCTACTGATATGTTTATTAGTCGTGTAATTATTCACTGCTATAAAGTGCCGGTTCAAATATTTGGCCTCTTTTTTGTTATGTTGTCTTTCTCTTATGAATTCATAGGATTTTTGTGTATTCTGGATAAGTGTTCGTATCATATATAAGTTTAAAAAATTTTATACTATTCGGAGAATTACCTTTTTTACACTCAATCATAGTTATGATAAGTTTCAATTTTAATGCAGTCTAGTTTATCCCTTTTTTCCCAATAAACTTGCATTTATTAATCTTATTTGTGCTCTGTTTAAAAAATCTTTTTCCATCCAGTAGTCATGAAGGTTTTCTAGATTTTCTCCAAGAAGATTTTTATGTTTAGAAACCACCTGGATTCAATTTACATGTATGTGTGAATTACAGGTCAAGATTCTTTTTTTCTCATGCAAATAACCAATGACTCTTTTTCTCAATGTACTTCAGTAATATCTTTCTCATAATTTAAATAATGTATATTTGTGTACATCTTTCTCATAATTCACATAATGTACTGTTTCTGGATTCTATTTTATTTTAATGTTTGTTGTTGTTGTTGTTGTTGTTTTGTTTTGTTTTTGAGACAGGTTCTCACCCTGTCTCTCAGTCTAAAGTACAGCGGCACAATTTCGGCTCACTGAAGCCTTGACCTCCTGGGCTCATGCAACGCTCCCACCTCTGCCTCCCAAGTAGCTGGGGCTACAGGTGTATGTCACCACACCCAGCTAATTTTTAAAATTTTTTTTGTAGAGATGAGTTCTCACCATGTTGCCCAGGCTGGTCTTGAACTCCTGTACTCAATCAATCCTCCTGCCTTGGCCTCCCAAATTGCTGTGATTATAGACAGGAGTCGTCACACCTGGCCTACATTAATGATTAATTTTTAAAATCTTTTTGCAAATACAAAGCTACCTTAATTAATGTAGATATAATAAGTCTTTATTTTTGGAAGTGTTAGTTTCTGTTTCCTTTTTATCTTCAAGATTATCCTGGCTTTTTTGGCTTTTTCAGTTCTCAAAAGTATTTTATATATACACACACACACCCTCATGGGGTTTTGTTTGACATTTCTGTAAATATTTCATATACACTTGAAAAAATGTATATTTCTGTTGTTACTGTCATATAAGTCAATTTGGTTAATATCATTCAAATATTCTATAACTGCTTGTTCTATCAGGGGCTATCAGGTATTATAAAATATAGTTATAGTCTCCTCTACTTCTGTTTTTAATTTTGTTAGTTTTTGCTTCACATGTTTTAAGGCCACGCTATTATGTGTATGCAGATTTAGAATTTTATACCTTTCTGTTGAATTGATTCTTATGATTATAAAATGTCCCCTTTATTCTCCAATAATACACTTTGTCTTAAAGTCTTTTTCTGATATTTTATATATTTTAATGTTATTATATTTGGTTACTGTCTACATAGTATATATTTTTATATTCTTTATTGTCATTAGTTATGTGATTTTATGCAAAAGATATACCTCATAAGCAATATATGTGTGTTTTTGTACATATGTTTGGATGTATATATGTATTGTATATACATATACATAATACACATAAATACACACACACACACACACACACACACACACACACACATATATATATATATTTTTACTACTCTGATAACCATAGACTTTTGTTGGGGTACCTCTTCCACTCACATTTAAGGTAATTTTTAATATATTTGCCTTTAAATCTACCATGTAACTATTTGTGTTTTTTGTCCATTGTTATGTTTGTTCTTTGTTGTTTTCTCTCTTTTCTTGTCTCATTTTTGATAAAGCATGTTTAAAAAATTATTTTATTTCTTATTAGCTTGTTAATAACTCTATTATTTTATATTCTCTTTTTAATTATTTTAGAGCACCGTTCAATACAGTAACTGCTAGCCACATGGAGCTATTTAAATTAAACTTAAGTAAAGGTAAAAATTCAGTTTCTTAGTCACACTGGCCACATTTCAAGTGCTCAATAGCCACATGTGGCTAAGGGTTATTGTTTAGAAGAGCGTGGATTATGGAATATGTCCATTATTGCAAAAATTCTATTTAATAGTGCCACCCTAAGGATTACAACATGTGTTTTTGATCCATTACAGTATACTTTAAATTAGTATTCTTTCTATTTCTTGGACAATGCAAGATCAACACAACTTTATTTAATTCCTTCTTGCTTTTTGAAAGGCTCATGAAATTTAATCATTTAAATATTTTGTCCCCATGTGGCATTATTTTTATATTTAAACAACCAACGCTAATTCAGAGTTCCTTAAATATTTATCCTTTTTGGTAGTCTTCATTTCTCCATGCATAATTGTGTTTCTTTTTGTGATAATTTTTTACCTATCTGTAGTATTCCCTTTCATATTTCTTTTATTGAAGGACTGCTGGTGATGACCTTTTTCAGTTTATTTTTGCTTGAAAATATCTTTATGTTAAGTTTATTTTCGAGTGTTGGTGAGTTAAAAATTCTAAGTTGGCCATTATTTTCTTACTGTACTTTAATAATATTGCAACATTGTCACATAAATTCTTATCTTCTGCACTCACAAATCCACCCAGATTCAACAGAGGGACTATGGACTGCGCTTCTGAATGAAAAGAATGTCAAAATTATATTGGAAGAAGGGCATGTGAAATAGAATAGGTTGGAGCCATTTTTAGAAAATATAATCTGCCTCAGTACCCTCCTGTTATTATTTAAATTCAGTTAGTATCTGTGGTGATTTCTCTCTCTTTCAAAATTCCAGATATAGGTAAACTCATGTCATGGGGGTTTGTTGTACAGATGATTTCATCTCCCAGGTATTAAGTCCAGTACCCAGTAGTTAGTTATCTTTTCTGCTCCTCTCTCTGCTCCCAGACTCCACCCTCATGTAGACCCCAGGGTCTGTTGTTCCTTTCCTTGTGTTCATGAGTTTTTATCATTTAGCTCTCACTTATAAGCGAGAACATTTAATATTTGGTTTTCTGTCCCTGTGTTAGTTTGCTAAGGATAGCAAACCTTCACATGTACCCCTGAACCTAAAGTAAAAGTAAAGAAAATTAGAAAGCTTTTTAAGATGAAAACATTGATGCCTAAAGAAACTAAGCAATTTGCCCAGACAGTATGCGATAGAGCTGGGATTCGAACCCAGGTTGACAAACCATAAAGCAAATACAACTTTACAGTATTGTATCTTAAGAATTGTCATTACAAATAAAATCTATAAAATATTTATTCTCACCAAAAATTCCAGATATTAGTAATTTGTACTATCTATATGTTTTGGCTCCATATTCCCAGAGGTTTATTCATTTCATTATTTTTTTCAAATAAAGAGCTTTTGATTTTTTAATCTTTCTCATTGTGTTTCCTTCAATATCTGGTTTATGGGTATTATTTATTTCCCTCACTGTTCTTTTTTTCCCCATATAATTCAGACTGGGTAATTTCTGCTGACCTCTCTGCACACTCATTTATGCTTTCCCTAGCCACACTTGCCTTGTGGCCATATTTCATAGACGTCAGATATTTTCCCATTTAGGGCTTTGCATAGATTTTTCCCTCCAAAATATTAACATAGTGTATTAGTCCATTTTCACATTGCTATAAAGAAATATCCAAGACTGGGTAATTTACAAAAAAGAGCTTTAATGAAGTCACAGTTCCACATGGCTGGGGAGGCCTTGGGAAACTTACAATCATTGCAGAAGGGGAAGCAGGCACATCTTACACGGTGGCAGGAGAGAGGGAAAGTGTGAAGGAGGAACTGTCAAACTCCTATAAAACCATCAGATCTTGTGAGAACTCACTATTATGAGAATTGCGTGGAGGAAACCACCCCCATAATTCGATCACCTCCCACCAGGTATCTCCCTTGACATGTGGGGTTTATGGGGATAATAATTAGAGATGATATTTGGGTGGGGACACAGAATCAAAACATGTCACATAGCTTAACCTTCTCATCTCAAATATTTGCCCAAATGTCACTTTCTCAAAGAAGACTCTACTGACAACCCTTAAACTTAGTCATCTCTGATTAGCCTAAAAAAAGAGCAATCTGCCCTCAGTCCCTGTGTTCTCTTTCTTCTTTGTTCTATCTTTAATTTTTCTCATAAAATTTATTATTTTCTGTAATGTCATAATATTTGCTTTTTTATTTTTAGTGCTTCCTTCATGATGATTCTTTTCTGCAGTCTAAACTCCTTAAGTAAGGTGCACTTAGTATGTTTTAGTCACTCATGTAGCCCAAGTGCCTAGAACATTGCCATCTCAAAGTAAGTGCTTGTTAAGTCCTTGTTGAATAAATGAAAAAATTTCCTCTTGTATCTTCCTGAAACTAACATTTTCACATTGAAAATATATTCTCCCTACTGTTATCACCAAAGAAGATCTTGGAGTTGTTGGGTCCGGGAGATGTACAATACATGGAGTCCTGATGTAATTGCATAATAACACCATACAGTGACTTTACAGACTGGTCAAGGCTGGAATTTGGAATTTCCTCCTCCTCTGAGCCTCTGTAGCATTTAGCTCTGAAATTTTTATAGTTTTTATTGCATAATATTTATAGCAATTAAGTTTTGTCAGGACTAGAGGCTTATATAAATTTTTCAAAAGTCTCTCAGTGTGCATCACTGAAATGAATGGCTTTTAAGAGCTCATACAGGAGCTGGTTGGCATCTCAAAGCCCTCTGGATAATTCCCATAGACCACCTCAGCCAGCAGGAGTGATGTTGGTGATTCTCAAAAAGTTTATCTGGAAGCTGCTTTGAAACTCATATGTGCTGAAATATCTGCCGAAATATCTGCCTACAGCCGCTTCCAACAATAATGGATTCTTATTTTCTTCCTCTTTCTAAATCAGAAAATTTATTTGGAAATAAACTTTCCCTCTGTGGAGTTTCTCTGCATTTATGGATTTAAGTGTATATACATAATTGTAGTAATTATTATTCCCTCACATATCTCAAATTAGTTTTCTATCTTTCCAATTGTTGATAATTTTCTATTTATACTTTTTCATTAAACTAATTAATAATTATGAATTTTAAAATTTATTCTGCTTTTATGTCTGAATCTTGGCTAGAGTCCAAATTGGGTAATAATCAGACTACCAAAAATTCCCTCTGCAATTTGAATGAGAAGTGTTGTTCTCTATTTTGTCTGCTAAAGTTCTTTTCTTGGGGTTGCTGGGTGAAAGTGACAATTCTATCATATATGAAAGGTGACATTTCATTTGTATTTATTCAATGTAATCCATTCACTGTTGTAAAAATGAGAACTGCTTCTTGCTACCACATAACAGAAGGATGCAGATTATTTCATTGCCATTAGCAGTGCAAGTTAATAATGTTATTGCCATTGAGTCTTATGCCTAAAAGTGGGGCACAGGTCGGAAAAGAGGAAATAAGTTGGTATGTGGAAAAGAAATGGCATTCTTTGCTGCCATTTTTTCCCATTGAAGATAGTAATCTATCTCTCTAGTGAAGTATGTTAACTGATGTATTTGAATTTTACTTTTGCTTAATCCTACATGAGGGAGACATTAAAATAGCAGTGAGTACTTTTAATCTACTCACAGTCTTTCTAACATGTAACATTGGAAGCTGTATCACTACAGGCAATTACAAAAAAAAAAGCTTCTAACTGCCCAATTCTAAAGATATGAATGTCATTTCTGTTACTTTGCCAGAATAATGACCCCAATTCAGAACACTGTGGTATTCTTTTGACATCACTAAGCCTAGAGGATTTTTTAAAAGTAAGGTTTATTGAGGTATGATTTACATATAATATAATTCACCCATTTTAGTATACACTTTTATGAGTTTTGACAAATGCACATAGTTACGTAACTATCACTAAAATTAAGAATAAAGAATAGCTCCATTATACCAAAAAATTTCTTGCACGTCTTTGTGGTCACCCTTTTCTTCGATCCTCAGCTCCTGTGAAACATTGATCTGGCTTTCTTTTCCCTATAGCTTGCCTTTTAGGTAATATAATATAAATGAAATCATACAGTATGTAGCCTTTTGAGTTGGGCTTCTTTCATTTAACATAATACATTTGATGTCCATCTGTGTTGTTGGGGTATTAGCAGTTTGTTCTATTTAGCTTCCAGTTTAAATGACAGAATCAGCAAGTGTTGCTTGTTCAAACTCAGATAAAGCTGGTTTATAAGTAGAAAATACATAGATACCTACTCTTAAATCCTTGAGCATAAGATCTGTTTCACTGGGAGCTCACAGAAGAATAAAACTTTAGAAAAAGCAATGCAATTAAATTAGTTACATAAACTAAATTTAAAAACTATAAATATATTCATTTTATCTTTTCAGGTGAAAGTAATGCCTTTAAAAGTTCAGGCTAGTGAATATACAATCTATAAAAAGCACCTGAGTCTGTCAGGAATTGTTTTATTTCCTGCATACCTTCAGGAAAATTTCGGTTTAAGTGATTGAAAATTAAACATATACCAGAGTAATTATTGCTCTACTAAATTTCAAAGAAATTGATTGTTCACCATTCTTTACAAAGTGGTACCCTAATTTCATTCCTTAATCCCATATCATCTGGTTGTAAGAGTGTACAATGCCAGTCACGTGATAATATCTAATTAAACTTATATACGACCATAACTTTTAGTATAACAAACAGGCATTAAAGTTTTAATTGTAATACCATATATGTATCATTTTTCCAGTTGTGTTTTGTTGGTTGATCCCATCAAGTATGTGATATGAAGTATATTTCATCCCTAATAATTTCAATGAGGTTCTAATACATTGATCAGATTTTTAAATATATTATATTTAAACCAAAAAGGCACATTATCTTACATTTTAATGGAATTTTAGAATTTTTATGCTGTGTTGTGGGATTATAGGATTATAAGGTATTTTCTTTTCTCCTCAAAAGCAAGACCTTACCGTTTAATTGAAGAGCTCAAACAGCTCAAGTAGAGAAAAATAGTATATTTGAAAAAGAAATCTATATAAAAGAATTTTCTTACCATGATGAGATAGACTAAAAAACAAAAACCCTTTGAGTGGTCTCATCCCACTGTAGTATCAAACCATTTTGCAATGCATCTTTTCCTTTTTTGTTCTCTTGCTGACAGCCCTTGTGTATTTTATTTGTATGCAAGTGAATGGCAGTTTATTGTGTCCCGGAGGATAGGGTATTAATGATCATTTGCTTCCTGCTGTGGGGCCTGTCATAATTTTGTAGTCAGAAGAGTGACAGAAGTAACGGCCAATCAGTATGCTAATACTGCTTGAGAATGGGTAGTTAGTCCATTTTAACCAAGGTTTTTCTGCCAAATCCTTAGGTAATTTTCATTAAAAAATGCAATTTTTGATAGCATTGCAAATTGCTAGATGGAACCCGTTGAAGAAACCACATATTTCTTTTGTGTGGCAGTCGGACTTCTATCTCAGCAGGTGTCTTCTAGGGAAGAAAGAAAGACTTCTAATCTGAAAGCCCATTTTGGTCAGCAAGAATCAATGACTAAAACATTCAGCAATTTGTTATATCAATATCTTAACAGAGAGAATTCTATGCAGCATACAAAAATTAAATCTAGTCTCTGACAAGTAAATAGGATGTAGAATCTTTAAAAATGATAGTTGAAAGCCAAATGTAAAAAATCCTGCAGATTTATACAATGTGATATCATTCATTTTCTTCTTTACTATTCTATTTGTTTCTTCCATTTTATGTCATTTGTTTTTTTTAATGAAAGGATATGCTTAAAAACAATAACATTCAATGCTAGTCTATAAATATTCAAAAATTTTATTGGCAATTTTACAATATACAACCTATAGTGAGTGTACTCTTGACTAGGAAAAAAAAGAGTTTCTTAAAATGATTTGTGAGTGTTTGCACAGCACGTGAACACATGATTACAGAGGGGATTAGTGGATTAAGGTATCGACAGTTGGCAGCCTTAAGGCTACAGATAAAAAGAACTCCACTATCTCTCCATAAAATAACATTTTATTTTTACCCACATGCAAACAATGCCAGCTATGTAAACTATAAACAGAATTATTTTGAGAATACTATTGTCACTTAAATATGTTCATCATAGAAAGCAGAACAATAATAAAAACAACAAAAACTTCACATATGTATATAACTGCATGAAATACAAGGTAATATCATTTACCATTACAAATATGTTTGAGGAGCTCTGATTAACCATTGAGTCTGGAGAAATAGTTCTTTTCTACATATTAAGATTTGAGCTGATTTCAAAATGTAAACTTCTTAGGTTGTAGTGATAATCAATGCCATTGTCAGAAAAATATTCAATATATTTTAATAAAAATTAAATAGATAACTATATCAAACGCAATTTTACTTTTTGGAAAATAGAGAAACAAACCTTGTTTGCTGCCTGCTGTTTTTTTATATATGCAAATCTTTATACATCACAGAACAACCTAGCTGCCTTCTACAATCTCATAAACATTTTTACTATTTTATGAGATGTTTGTAATAAATGTGATTGATGATTCTTTTTTACAATTGCCTATTAGAAATACCATTTTGTGATTAAATACTTAGGGGTAACTCAATTCCAAGTCAGGAGATTACAAGTTAAGAATTGACAAGAATGCCAAACTACATGTTTATCTACTATTTATTTTAAATAGTATTTTTTCCAGTTTACAGAGATTTTGCGTTTCGATTAATTGCACACATATCTAAAAATACTGCTAGTGTGGCTTGGCTCCGGGAAACAGCCTGAAGCTGCAAACGCACATATAGTCACAAGGGTGAGTAGCTATAATTGTATTGGAGTGCATCCAAGAAATCAGCTATTCTGTTTATACTTACTGCCGCTTCAAATTTATGTATATCTCAAGCAAACATACTGTAAATTGACTTTAATACTAAAATTGTTGACCTTGACAATGAAGTTTATTGACCATTTTTCATGTTGCTGCTATCTTCCAAAAATTGAAAATTAAGGTAAATATTGATAATAGATAATTAAGTATAATTTGAAATTATAGTTTCCTCCTTAAGGTTTAAAAAGCCTATTGGCTTAATGTAGTAAAATACAATGCATAAAAATATAAAAATAAAATATTAATACTAAGGTCATTTAAAATGGGAGTGGTCTACTGTGAACTACAATTAGAACAGACTGCTCAGGTATCATTTGCATTAGCCTGGAAATAGAGTTGCCTTATGTCTAATAATCCAATCTAGTATGAATGAAGGCAAATTTTCAATGGCTCTAATTTTAGGTGTTGGAGAAACAGATGCTGTATTTATTCAGATATTTGCTGAAGTCTAATTTACATTTGGGTCTGCAAGCTATTTTAGTTTTCTCTTTTATTCAAATTACCTTAAAAAAGAGACATGTTGATCTGAGCCATATTAAAACCCATAGCACTGTTGAGACAAAACTTAAGGAGTATGTGTTTTTTTTTTTTCTGTGTATGTAATGTGGAAAGCCTTGACATATTATGCGTCATGGCTTCTTGATTTTATTCTTCTGGAATTTGCTCTTTATGTCTTCTGATTGTGTTTTCCTGGAATCATCCTCCCTGGCATATAACCTTCAGATTTTCTTTCAGGTCACACTTCTATGGAATTTCATACACTGGTGAAGTAAGTCAGGTCCAGGAATACCCTCCTTCTCAGGTTTGTGTTGCAACCCAGAAATCAAACTGGGAGCTTAAGCAAAGGAGGCACAGGGGAGGAAACAGGTCAGATGATAGTCTATGAAGAAGAACTTCTGGTGGCTGATTCTGATTTGTCCTTTTTCAGTAGATATGGCCACTGGATTTGTAGTCCAAAGATAGGCATTAATACATTTTATTTCTCCATGGATCCAGCTGAATAGAAGATATTACATATTTCACATTAAATATCTTGCCATTTCTTTTTCAAATAACAGAAGATTATACCCATTCTTTCTGCATTTACAAAGAGACCCTTTTACGTTCTACCATGGAAAAAGAGCTACCAGTTAGTTAATAAGTCTTTTGCTCACCATAGTCATATATTCAAGATAATATAGTACTAAAGGGGATCAATTCTTGTTGGATGTGAAGTCCATTCTGCCATTAACCAGCTGAGTGACTAGGGAAGTTAGCCTCTTTGGGCATCAATATCTTCATCTATAATTTAATACAATAGTGCAACTTACATTATTTGCTGGTTTTAAAGATTAAAGTAGCAATGCATATCTAGCACTTACAAGCTACTTCCTATATACTATGTACTATGTATGTAATTGCTATTATTAATACTATAATCTATTTATTTGGTCACTCATTCCGTCATTATATCTACACAACTTTCTACCATCTTACTCATGCACTCATTCTGGCACTAACCAAAGCTCTATGGGGAAAGAATCCTGCAATGTGTATACAGTAGGGTTTATGTTACTGAGGAATTAATTGTCTGTCAGAAGAATTAATATGGATATCAATCTAAAACACATAATTAAAAGTGGTAGGTACATAAACAATGCTGTGGGTGTTCAGAGCAATAAAAATAAGCAGAATATAGTTTTTTAATTCATAATGTTAGCCACTGTGATAGATACTTTACAAATGTTATTTCATTCAACTCTTGCCTTGAGAAGATAATTTTTTGCAGTAAATGATTAGTGAGATAAGTAATAAAGGGCTGGTTGGATTTGAATTTAAGGAGAAGTGAGAAAATTATTCCATTCAGAGAGGAGCAATTACACTAAAGCGCATAGTCTGGGATGGGGAAAAACTAAACAGCTCTGTTTGGTGAGAACACAGGACTCAAGGAAGGAAACAGCTGATGCATCATCACCTAAGGAAAGTCCAGAATAATATAAAGAAGGTGTATTAGTCAATTTTCATGCTGCTGATAAAGATATACCAGAGACTGGGAAATTTACAAAACAAAGAGGTTTAATTGGACTTACAGTTCCACGTGGCAGGGGAAGGTCTTACAATCATGGCAGAGGGTGAAAGGCACTTCTTACATCGTGGAAGCAAGAGAGAATGAGCAAGAAGCAAAAGCAGAAACCCCTGATGAACCCATCAGATCTCATGAGACTTATTCACTATCATGAGAATAGCATGGGAAAGACGAGCCCCCATGATTCACTTACCTCCCCCTGGGTCCCTCCCACAACACGTGGGAATTCTGGGAGATACAATTCAAGTTAAGATTTGAATGGGGACACACCCAAACCATATCATTCCACCCCTGGCCCCTCCAAATCTCATGTCCTCACCTTTCAAAACTGATCATGCCTTCCCAACAGTCCCCCAAAGTCTTAACTCATTTCAGCATTAACCCAAACATCCATAGTACAAAGTCTCATCTGAGACAAGGCAAATCCCTTTCACCTATGAGCCTGTCAAATCAAAAGCAAGATAGTTACTTCCTAGATACAATGGGGTACAGGCGTTGGGTAAATACAGCCATTCCAAATGGGAGAAATTGACAAAAATAAAGGGGTTACAGGGCCCATGCAAGTCTGAAATCCAGCAGGGCAGTCACATTTTAAAGCTCCAAAATGATCTCCTTTGACTCCAGGTCTCATATTCAAGTCACACTGATGCTAGAGGTGTGTTCCTATGGTCTTGGGCAACTCCCCCTCTGTGGCTTTGCAGGGTACAGGCTCCCTCCAAGCTGCTTTTGCAGGCTGGCATTGAGCGTCTGCAGCTTTTCCAGGTGCATGGTGCAAGCTGTCGGTGGCTCTGCCATTCTGGAGTCTGGAGGAAAGTGGCCCTCTTCTCACAGCTCCACTAGGCAGTGCCCCAGTAGGGACTCTAGGTGGGAGCTCTGAACTCCCCTTTCCCTTCTGCAGTGCCCTAGCAGAGATTCTTCATGAGGACCCCACCTCTGCAGCAAACTTGCCTGGGCATCCAGGCGTTTCCATACATCTGCAATATAGGCAGAGGTTCCCAAACCTCAATTCTTGACTTCTGTGCACCTGCAGGCTCAACACCACGTGGAAGCTGCCAAGGCTTGCAGCTTCCACCCTCTGAAACCACAGCCCAAGCTCTATGTTGACCCCTTTCAACCACAGCTGGAGTAGCTGGGACAACAGGGCACCACGGGACCCTGTGCCCGGCCTACAAAACCACTTTTTCCTCTTGGGCCTCAGGGCCTGTGATGGGGAGGGGCTGCCTTGAAGGTCTCTGACATGGCCTGGAGACATTTTCCCGATGGTCTTTGGAATTAACATTAGGTTCCTTGCTACGTATGCAAATTTCTGCAGCTGCCTTGAATTTCTCCCCAGAAAATGGGTTTTTCTTTTCTGTTGCATCATCAGGCTGCAAATTTTCTGAACTTTTTTGCTCTGTTTCCATTTTAAATTGGAGAGCTTTTAACAGCATCCAAGTCACCTTTGGAATCCTTTGCTGCTTAGAAATTTCTTCCTCCAGATACACTAAATCATCTCTCTCAATTTCAAAGTTTCAAAATTTCAAAGTTCAAAATTTCAAATCTCTAGGGCAGGGGCAAAATGCCACCAGTCTCTTTGCTAAAACATTGTAAAAGTCACCTTTGTTCCACTTCCCAACAGGTTCCTTATCTCCATCTGAGAACACTTCAGCATGGACCTTATTGTTCATATCACTATCAACATTTTTGTCAAAGCCATTCAACAAGTCTCTAGGAGGTTCCAAACTTTCCCACATTTTCCTGTCTTCTTCTGAGCCCTCCAAACTGTTCCAACCTCTGCCTGTTACCCAGTTCCAAAGTCGCTTTCACATTTTTGGGTATCTTTTCAGCAACACCCCACTCTACTGATACCAATTTACTGTATTAGTCCATTTTCATGCTGCTGATAAAGACATACCAGAGGCTGGGAAGAAAAAGAGGTTTAATTGGACTTACATTTCCACGTTGGCTGGGGAAGGTCTCACAATCATGACAGAGAGCAAAAGGCACTTCTTACATGGTGGCGGCAAGAGAGAATGAGCAAGAAGCAAAAGTGGAAACCCCTGATAAACCCATCAGATCTTTTGAGGCTTATTCACTATCACGAGAATAGCACAGGAAAGACCAGGCCCCATGATTCAATTACCTCCCCCTGGGTCCTTCCCACAACATGTGGGAATTCTGGGAGACACAATTTAAGTTGACATTTGAATGGAGACATAGCCAAACTGTATAAGGAGGCATATCAACATATCTGTAATTTTTATTGGATTAACATACCAGAAAATATGACCATTTACAAACATCTGAAGGATAATGATATAGTTTATATAATGCATTTGATTATAAATATTTTCTGCCAAGCTAGATGGTGAAAAAGCAGTTAATAACTTTATCACTTTTATAACATCTGATTTTTTATTTGATTATTTATTTTTGAGATGGAGTCTCGCACTGTTGCTCGGGCTGGAGCGCAATGGCGTGATCTCGGCTCACTGCAGCCTCTACCTCACAGGTTCAAACGATTCTCCTGCCTCACTCTCCTGAGCAGCTGAGATTATAGGTGTCTGGCACCACACCCAGCTAATTTTTGTATTTTTAGAAGAGACGGGCTTTCATTATGTTGGTCAGGCTGGTCTTGAACTCCTGACCTTGTGATCCACCCACAGCCTCCCAAAGTGCTGGTATTACATGTGTGAGCCGCCGCACCTGGCCCTGATTTTTAAACTTTTTAAAAACGTGTTTATTGGTTCTTTTTGTGAGACAATTTATTCTATGTAGCTCAAATTTCTGCATGATCTGGTTCTCCCAGGCAAAGTACTAAATAGTAAAGGTTAGACATGTCTTTCTTCCCAGAGACAGTTAGGGTAGTAAAGATAGACATCTCCTTCCCTTCTCCAGAGAATTTGCTTACAATCCAAGTAAATAAATATAAGAACTTTCTCTTTCTCCAGAGAGGAGGATGGACACATCACCAGCAGCCCTATATAAGATCAGTTTCCCAACTTAAGGACTCCTCCTCTTTAATGCTCTCCATTCTGTGTGTAAGTACCATCTGGCTCTGAACACATCATCCTGTTGAGACTGGATTTCAGTAATAGACATAAAATGTTACTCTGACTGCTACTTTTGAAAAAGGTTTTATGTTGTTTAATTGATAAACAATAATCATATATTCATGGTATACAATGCAATGTTTCAATACATGTATACATTGTGGAATGATTAAATCAGACTAACATATCTATCACCTTAAACACTTATCATTTGTATGTGATGAGAGCATTAAAATGCATTCTTTAGCTATTTTGAATATGCAACTTATTATTACCTATAGTCAGCATGCTGTGCAATAAATCACTAGAGCCTATTCCTCCCAATTAATTGAAACTTTGTACCTTTTGACCAACATCTCCCCTTCCTTATCCACTCCCTATTCCTAGCCTCTGGTAGCCACAATTCTGCTCTCTACTTCTATGAGTTCAATTTTTTTTTTACGATTGCACATTGGAGTGAAAGTTGTTTCTCTATTTGTCTCTCTATACTTGGCTTATTTCATTTGTCTTTCTATACGTGGCTTATTTGATTTGTCTTTCTACACCTGGCTTATTTCATTTAGCATAGTGTTCTCCAGAT
Source organism: Homo sapiens (assembly GCF_000001405.40). Classification (NCBI taxonomy): domain Eukaryota; kingdom Metazoa; phylum Chordata; class Mammalia; order Primates; family Hominidae; genus Homo; species Homo sapiens. The sequence goes on from NC_000003.12 coordinate 146,688,130, forward strand.
TCATCTATGCTGCTGCAGATGACAGGATGTCTTACTTTTAAATGGCTTAATAAAATTGCATATATATCACATTTTAAAATTCATTCATCTATTGATGAGCATTTTGGTTGTTTCTATCTCTTTGTTATTGTGCATAACATGGCAATAAACATGGGAATGCAAATATCACTCAATGTACTGGTTTCAGTTCCTTTGGATATGTATCCCAGAACTGAGATTGCTGTACCATATAGTAATTCTATTTTCAATTTTTTGAGTAACTTCTATGCTACTTTCTGAAATGACAATACTAATTTATAATACTACCAGCAGTATGCAAGGGCTCCCTTCTCTCTGCATCCTTACCATGCTTATCATTCGTTTTTTAAATTTATTTTTTAATTGACACATTGTAATTGTGTATGTTTAAATGGTACAATTTAATGTTTTGATAAATGTGTGCATGATAGGATGTTCAAATCAGAGTAGTTAGTATATCCACTAGCTTGTGCATTTATCCTTTCTTTGTGGTGAGAACATCTAAGAGACCTCTCTTTTAGCTATTTTAAAGTATACAATATTTTACTGTAAACTGTCCTCACCTACCATGCAATACAACATCAGAAGTTATACCTCTTGTCTAATTGTAACTTTGAACCTGTTGAACAACCAACCTCTCTTCATCCTCCCCTCCCCAGACTCCAGTATCTCCTGTTCTACACTCTGCTTCTATAAAATCAACTTTTTTTAGATTTCACATATGAGAGAGACAATGTAGTATTTCTCTTTCTGTATCTGGCTTACTTAACAAAATGTCCTCCAGGTTTATCTATTTTTTCTCAATAACAGGATATCATTCATTTTTATGGCCAAGTAATATTCCATTTTGTATATATACAACATTCTCTTTTTCATGTATGCATTGTTGAGGATTTAGGTTGATTCCAAGTCTTGGCTATTGTGGATGGTGTTGCCACGAACATGGAAGTGCAGAAATGTCTTTGACATACTTATTTCACTTCCTGAGGATATATACCCAGAAGTGAGATTGTTGGATCATATGGTAGTTCTATTTGTAATTTTTTGGGGAAACTCCATGTTGTTTTCCATAATGGTTGTACTAATTTTCATTCCCACCAAAAGTGTGTAAGGATTTCCTTTTCTTTACATTTTCACTGAAATTTATCTTTTTGTCTTTTTGATAATAGTTATTTTTACTAGAGGGAGGTGGTATCCTATTTTGGTTTTGATTTCCATTTCCCTCAAAATTACTGGTGATGGGCGTTTTCTTAGATGCCTATTCTTTCGAGAAATGTCTATTAAGCTATTTTAATCTGAATCTTTTCTCTTTTTTCTTAGTCTAGGTTTAATAAAAGTTTGTTATTCTTGTTTATTTTTAAAAAAAAAAACCAACTCATTTTGTTGATATTTTAAATTATTTTTCTAGTCTCTATTTTATGTTTGCTCTGAGCTTTATTATTTTCCCCCTTCTGTGAATTTTGGACTCAGTTTGTTCTTGTTTTTTTTTTTTATTTCATTTTATTTTATTTCTTCAATGCCTAGTTAGGCTTTGTATTAGATTTTTTTTTTTGATGTAGGTGTTTATCACCATATTGTTTTGCTATGTCCCATAGGTTTTAATATGATGTATTTTTATTCTAATTTGTCTGCATAATTTTTAAAATTTCTTTATTGACCCATTGGTCATTTAGGAGCATTTTGTTTAGTTTCCATGTATTTGCAAAGTTTCCGATTTTTTTTGCTGATTTTCTATGTATTTGCATTTTCGATGTATTTGCAAAGTTTCCAATTTTTCTTGCTGATATCATTGTATTCAGAAAAGACACTTGGCACAATTTCTTTTTATAATATCTTTTTAAATTTGTTAAACTTATTTCTTGGTCTAACATGATTTATCTCGGAAAATGTTTCATGTGCAGTTGAAAAGAATGTGTATTCTGCAGCTGTTGGACACAATGTTCTGTAAATAGTTATTAAGTCAATGTAGTCTAAGGTGCAGTGTAAGTCTGATGTTTTTTGTATTGTCTGTCTGTTTGCATGACTTTTCTATTGTTGAAAATGGCGTGATGAAGTTCTCCCATTATTATGTTGTATTTGACCTCTCTCTAAATATGAAACTATTAAAATAGTTTCTTATTATGCTTGGGTGTTCTGATGTTGGGTGCATATATACTTATTATATCCTCTTGTTGAATTGATCAATTTATCATTATATAATAACACTTTTTGTCTCTTTTTTACAGTTTTTGAGTTAAAGTGTGTATTATTTGATACAAGTATATGCTATTCCTGCTTGTTTTTTATTTCTGCTTGCATGGTGTATCTTTTTCTATCCTTTTATTTTTAGTCTCTGTTTGTCTTTAATGGTGAGGTGAGTTTCCTGTAGCGAGTATATAGTTGGATATTCTTTATTTGTCCATTCAGCTACTCTATATTTTTAATTGGATAATTTAATCCATTTACATTTAAGGTTATTATTTCTGAGTAAGAATTTGCTTCTGCCATCTTGTTAATTGTTTTCTGGTTGTTTTGTAGATCCTCTGTTCCTTTCTTCCTCTCCTGTTGTTTACCTTTGTGGTTTGGTGGTTTGCTGTGCTGCTAAGCTTTGATTCCTTTCTCTTTCTTGTTTGTATACCTGCTTTAATTTCTTAGTGGTTGTCATGGGGCTAACATTAAGAAGCTTGTGGTTATAATAGACTATTTTAAGTTGATAGCAACTTAACTTTGATTGCATAAAAATTTTCTAGATTTTTCCTACCCCACACAATTATATGTTTGTTGTCTGAATTAGCACTTTATCTGGTGTGTGTTCTTTAACTTCTAATTATAGCTGTTGTTCCTCTTAATTGTTGTGACTTTTAACCATGAGAGGATTGAAACGTTTATAAAGCACAATTATAACACTGAGGTGTTCTGATTTTCATTATAAATTTACATCAACTGGTGAGTTTCATATGTATATTCATAAGAGTAATTATTGTTCTTTTGTTTCAAGTTGTTGCATTTCCTTAAGTACTTCTTGTCAGGCTAGTCTAATGATGATGAATTTTCTCAGCTTTTTATTGACTGGAAAGTTCTTTATTTCTCTTTTATTTCTGAATAATAGCTTTACTGAATGTAGTATTCTTGGCTAACAGGTTTTTTTTTTTCTTTCAGTACTTTGAATATATAATCTCTTTCTCTCTTGGCCTAGAAAGTTTCTGCTGAGAAATCTGCTGATAGTTTAACTGAGATTTCCTTTTATGCCACTTGACACTTATGTCTTATAGCTTTTAACATTCTCTCTTTGTTTCTTTGACTTTTAAGTTGGATTATTGTATGCCTTAGAGAGAGTCTTTTTGTATTGAATCTAATTGGGGATTTTTGAACTTCCTAGATCTGGATGTCCATATTTTCTTGACTTGACATTTTCAGCATTATTTTATTAAATATGTTTTCTATGATTTGCTCTGTCCTTTCTTCCTCTGACATTCTCATAATGCCATAATTTGTTTTCTTAATAGTGTTCCATAAGTTTCATAGTCTTTCTTTAAAAAAAGAAGTTTCTTCTTCTTTTTCCCCTCTGACTGGAATATTTCAAAATACCTTCTTGAAGTTCAGAAATTATTTCTTCTGCTTGATCTAGTCTGTTTAAGCTATCAATTGTATTTCTTATTTTATTCATTCAACTATTCAGCTCTAAGATTTCTGCTTAGTTCTTTTTAATTATCCTTATCTCTTTGCTAAATTTCTCCTTTAGATCATAATTGTTTTTCTGATTTCAGTAAATTATTCTTCGGTATCTTGTACCTTGCTAAGTTTTGTTAAGATCATTATTTTGAATTCCTCTTCAGGCAATTTGTAATTTATTTTACTTCTGGGTCTACTATTGGGGAATTATTGTGTTCTTTATGGGGTGTGATGTTTCCTTGGTTCTCATGTTTCTTGTGTTCCTACATGATGTCTGTGCATCTAGTGGAACAATCACCTTTTCCAATGTTATGAAGCAGGTTTTGTAGAGAAAGACTTTCTCCCGGAGAGGATACCTAGGGTGTTGGTTGGGTACGGTATGTTGGTTTGAGTTTTGAATATACTCAATAGTGTGGTCTCTGTGAAGTATCTTCGGATGCGATTCTTGTTAGCAATGTCTGTCACTGCCTAGTGGCCTAGGCTGTGGGAATTTGTGGTGATAGTGGCATAGCTTTGCTGGAGGTGTAGGCACCAGTCTGGCTGTCAGTCTGGATGTATACATGTGGGGCAGGCCAACTGGCTGTGCAGTTTGGTATCTGGGAATTTTAGTCACCCATAGGTATGCTGTTCAGCCAGGCATGCGTGCAAACACATACAGCAAGCCAGCCGATTGTGCAATGGGCTCTCAAGACAGTGAGCTTCTGCTAAACTGGCTCTTGGGCCAGGTGCAAGAACATGTGGCTGCAGATGCAGCAGGCCAGTCTGCTATAAGGTGGGTCCTTATTTTTTCATAATAAGCAATCTATCAGGTTTGAGGTAATATTTTATTTTTGTTTTAATTTTCATATCTCTGATGATTGGAGATGTTGAACTTGCACATATATATGTATATATCTGTTGGCCATTCATATGTCTTATTTTGAGAAGTGTCTATTCAAGACCTTGATTTTTTGAATGATGCCCACTCACATTGGTGAGAGTGGATCTTCTTTACTCAGGCTGATGGTTCCAATGCTAATCTTTTTCAGAAATGTACTCTGATACAATCAGAAATAATATTTCACTAGCTACATGGGTGTCCCTTAACTCAATCAAGTTGACACATAAAATTAAACCATCACACCCACCCATTGTCAACTTGACACCTATACAAATTTCCTTAAACCATAGTCAGTTTACAAATAAATATAATAACAAGGTCATAATCTGACCAAACATGACACAACTATCCTGTGCATAACTAAAAACATACCAATCTCTTCCTTAGTAGAGGAGGTAAAGCCCTTGAGTGATGTTTCCTCTTTCCTTGATATCCCATAACTTAAGCACTAAGGCATGAAATTAATAATACTTGCATACCAAAATGAAATCAATGCATTTTATGTTATATGATAAGGGACTAAGAGAAGAAAGAGAAAGAAAACAAAATTATTTGCTTAATGTGTATATACATATATATGTATATATATATAGTTCTAACAAAATAAGGAGGAAATACTCATGGCAATTACAGTCCTCCATAGTCATAGCTGGTATTTGTAACTACCTTATTTCTAAGGTGGTTTTGTATTAACTTCCAGGTCATTGGAGTCATTGCTGTGTCTCCTGGGGGAAGCATCCCCACTTTGGAACTAAGACTTTTAGGCCACAAGAACATAAAGTCATGGGAACAGAAAGCAAAAATTTTGCTAGGGAGTCTCAAGGGGTAATAGTGAGTTGTGCCTCTCACATTTTCACCATTTGATTCCTGGACCTGTGAATCCTGGCTATCAGAGAAAAGTACCTTGTATTAAACAGCAATTCAGAGCACATACAGCCTTCTGGAGAATCTTTTCTCAGCCCTGAAAGATGTTGCCACCTAGCTCATGCTATGACTAGGTCTTCAAAGCGCCATTCCACTGTTCTGTCAAGCCAGCTGCTTCAGGATGGTGAAGAACATGATAAAACCAGAGAATTCCATGAGCATATAGGCATATCACTACTCTCCTTTTACTCTGAAGTGAGTTCCTTGATCAGGAGCAAGGCTGTATGGAATAACTTGATGGGGAATAAGACTTTCTACAAGTCAATGATGGTAGTTTTGGCAGAAGCATTTCATGTAGGAAGACAAATGTGTACCCAGATTAAATGTCTATTCCAGTAAGGACAAAACATTGTTTCTTCCATGGTGGAAGTGTTCCAACATAATCAACCTGTCACCAGGTAGCAGGCTGATCATGCCAGGGAATTGTGCCATATTAAGGGCTCAGTGTTGGTTTCTGCTGTTGGAAGATTGGGCGCTCAGCAGCTGTCATAGGCAGGTTGGCTTTAGTGAGCTCAAATCCATGTCACTAAGCCTGTGTATAACCACTATCCCTCCCACCATGGACACTTTGTCCATGAGCTCATTGGGTAATGACAAGGATTCCTGGGAAAACAAGCTACTTAGCATCACAGAGTAGGTCAACCTATTCATCTGATTATCAAAATACTCCTCTGCTGAGATCACCATTTAACAGGTATTCACATGGGACACAAATATTTTCCAATTTTTTGCCTATTTGAGAGCTATCTCTCAAAAAAACAGTAGTTACCTATAGATGATGGCAAGGCCTTCCTTCAAAATCCTGAAGGTTTGTACTACAATTTGCCTATAGGTGCCTATCAAAGGCCTTAAACATCCATGGAAATTTTAAGCACTAATGGATCTGCTGAATCATATAAGCCCACGTGGCAGAGCAGCTTACACAGCAGCCTGGACCTGTTGCAGAGCCTTCTCTTGTTCTAGGTCCAACACAAAGCTAGTAGCTTTTTAGGTCACTTGGTAAATGGGTCAGAGTGATCCAACCAAATGAGGAATATGTTGCCTCTAAAGCTCAATTAGGCCCACCATTGTGCTTCTTTCTTGGTCATAGGGGGTTCCAGATGCAACAACTTTTCTTTCACCTAAGAAGGAATATCTCAACATGCATAACCTCAGTGAACTCCTATATATTTTACTGAGATAGAAAGCCCCTGTATTTTAGTATGATTTATTTCCCACCCTATGATATACAAATGTCTTACCAGTAATTCTAGTGTAGTTTCTACCCCTCATTCACTAGGTCTGGTCAGCTTAATGTCATCAATGTAATGGACTAGTGTGATATCTTGTGCAAGGGAAAAGCGATCCAGGTCTATGCAGAGTAGATGTTGACATAGGATAGGATAGTTAATATATCCTTGAGGTGGGAAAATAAAGCGGAATTTCTGGTCTTACCAGCTGAAAGCCAACTATTTCTGGTGGGTCTTATGGACAAGGGTGGAGAAAAAGGTTTATTTGCCAAATTAATAGCTGCATATCAGGTACCAGGGTATGTGCTCATTTGCTCAAGCAATAAAACCACATCGGGTACAGAAGCTGCAACTGGAGTCAACAGTTAGTTAAACTCATGATATTTCACTGCCATTGTCCAAGATCCATCTTTCTCTGCACAAGGTAAATAGAAGAGTTGAATGAGGTTGGGGTGAAAACCCACTCCTGGATCTTTCAAGTCTTTGATGGTGGCACTAATTTCTGTAGTCCCTCAAGAGATATGTGTACTGCTTTTGGCTTACTGTTTTCCTAGGCAGAGGCAGTTCTAATGATTTCCATTTGGTCTTTCCCACCATAGCAGCCCTCAGTCTACAGATCAGCAAATCAGTGTGGGGATTCTGTCAGCTGCTAAGTATGTCTATTCCAACTATGCATCTGGAACTAGGGAAATAACTATAGGGTGGGCTTGGGGACCCTCTAGCCCCACTATATGACAGATCTGAGCTAAAACTACATTGATCATCTGACCTCCATAAGCCCCTACTCTGAATATAGGACCAGAGTGATGGTTTGAGTCTCCTGGAATCAATGCCAATAGTTCAGTGTCTAGTAGTACTCAGAAGGTCTGATTATTTCTCTCCCTCTAACCCACTTACCCTGGTAAAAAGCTGTAAGATTAATATAAATTTTTGGTAGTTTAACATGGGTCTTACTCAATGTGACCCAGCATCCTCTTCATCAAGACCTTCTAAGTCTGTAAACTGGCTTAAATCTGGTAATTGAATAATGTGCCATGACTCTCTTCTTTTATAATTAGACTTAAGACTTTTGTTAAGCAGATCTGGAACTTTTCTGCTTATACAGATCTAGGCTTCCTGTTTATTTTACATCTAGAAACATTATGATTAGCTAGCCAATTCCATAAGTAAGCATGAGCCAGACTATCCTGATTGCTGCTTTGACTCTGCTGTTTATTACAGTACCTATGCCCATCTTGTCTTCGTTGGTTGAGTGTTGCCACTCTGAGATCCATCTACCCACAGTGCATATAGGTTTTCCAATTGAATGGCTGCAGTTCCTGCTCTAAGGTCTAGCCTACCAAGGAAAGTGATCACAAAGCTCTTGAAAGATTCTGGGGCTCCTTTCACAAATTTATTGTTTGAAGTATTGGTAAAAAGATGAGTCTTCTGAACACTCCAGTATGGGTAAGTATGTCTTAAATGACAAATTCACTCTAACATTACAATATCCCTAAGGCTTTGAATCCCTTCTTTTTCATTAAACCAATGAATCCTGGGCATTTCTAATTTTTTCACATTTTTTTTCATCCACACTTCAACCAAACAACCAAACGAACTGGTTAGAGTCCTTTCTAACTCCCTGTGTGCAGAAATCTCTGCTTAATGGGCCTATATTAATAAATTTTACCTGTTCCAACTTTGTTTCTTCCACCATTATCCCACACCATTAATATTTTTCCCTATAGAAGTTCCTTGTGTTTCTGCTTCTATAAAGTAGAAAATTCAAGTTGTTCTTTTGGGGTGTAGTATACCTCTTCAAGGGTCACACTTTGTGTCTCACCTTTAGGAACAAGCTGAGGCTTGAGTCCCATTATAGGTTTAGAAGTAAAGAAAGATAGTGGGTGAGTCCTGAGGAGAGTCAGCATTATCTTCATACTAGCTGCCTCAGGGAAGGCCATTGCCTTTTCCTTAGGCTATGCAGGGTTAACTCCTTCAGATGGCAGTGCGAAGGCAACATCACTATGGGTGGAGAGGTCACTGCTTCTAGGGAAAGGGACATCCTGTTTGTCTGCTGGTGTTGGAAAGCCACTTTTGCTAGGGGAGGATAAACCACTTTCATTGGGGATAGATAGGCCATCTTTGCCGGGGTTGGGGAGGCCTCTTCTGGCAAAAAAGACTCATCAGAATTTAGGGGCTTAATGTCCCCATCATCATCACAATCTCCTCACACATTCTCATCCCAACTTATAGGATCCCATTCCTTCCCAATCAATGCCCTCACTTTAGCAATAAATACCTTGTAATGCTGGGAGTTCAACTTGAATTGTAATTCAGCCAATCACAGGATGATGTCCTGACTTTTATTTTCAGCCATTTCAGCCCTGTGACTCTCCCTCAGGGCATACATACAAACTCTTAGATCATTTATGGGTACTTGAACTGGAATGCAAATCCCTGAGCTCATCCTTGTCTATTAGCACTTTGTCTAGTGACATTAGTGGCAACCAATCAATGTCATTAAATTATTTAGTTTTCCACAAATGTTTGAAAGTATATTCAAAGTTACTTATCTCCCTGCTTCTTGTAAGTGGTTAATTATAAGTATTTAATGCAGATATTTTGTGTGCTTCTATAAATAGTTCATGCCAAGAACTATCAGTGCTCTCTTTACTATTGGAAACAGAGTCATTAGAATCTTTAAATCTAATCAGATTAGAAAGCCATTTTCAGAAGCCCAAAACCAATTCAGAAAAGGTCATCTGTTTTTCTAGAATTGCTCTCATTACCAAAGTCTGCATTAGTCAGGGTTCTCCAGACAAACAGAACCAGTAATATATATATATATATACACACAGAGAGAGAGAGAGAAATTAATTATGGAAATTGGGTGACATGATTATGAGGGTGAAGAAGTCCCAAGATATGCCATCTTTAAGAGAACTAGGAAAGTCAGTGGTGTAACTGGGTCTGAGTGTGAAATTCCATGAACAAGGAGGCCACTGGTATAAGTGTTAAGTCCTGGAGTCTGAAGACTCAAGAATCAAGAGCTCTGATTTCCAAGGGCAGTGTAAGATGGATATTTCAATTCAAACACAGAGAGAGAATTCACCATTCCTCCACAGATAGGAAGATGTCCGGTCACATAAATGAGGATGAATATCCTTTACTCAGTTTACCTACTCAAAGCTAAACTCTTTAGGAACCCTCATAGACATACTCATAAATAATGTTTTACCAGCTATCTGGGCATCCCTCTGCTCTGTCAAGTTGACACATAAAATTAACCATCACGAGAAGAGAGAGTAAAGGGAGATAAAAATAATATGTGTTAAGCCATTCTTACATTGCTATAAAGGAATGCTTGAGACTGGGTAATTTATAAGAAAAAGATTTAATTGGTTCACGGTTCTGCAGGCTGTTCAGGAAGCATGGTGCCAGCATCTGCTCCTGGGGAAGCCTCAAGAAGCTTTCAGTTATGGCAGAAGGCAAAGGGGGAGCAGGCACATCACATGGCAGAAGCAGGAGCAAGAGAGAGATAAAGTGGAGGGGGAGGTACCACACACTTTTTTAAAAGACCAGCTCTTTTGAGAACTCACTCACTATCAAGAAGACAACACCAAGCCATGAGGTATCTGACCCCATGATCCAATCACCTCCACCTCCAACATTGAGGATTACAATTGTATATGACATTTAGGTGGAAGCAAATACCCAAACTATATAATAATAATTAATAATTTTAAAAGATACCTTTATTATTATTTTTTTTGGGGGCGGGGGACAGAGTTTCACACTGTCGCCCAGGCTGGAGTGCGGTGGTGCGATCTCGGCTCACTGCAACTTCTGCCTCTCGGGTTCCAGTGATTCTCCTGCCTCAGCCTCCCAAGTAGCTGGGATTACAGGCGCCCACCACCATGCCTGGCTAAAAATTTTTTTTTTTGTATTTTTAGTAGAGGCGGGGTTTCACTATGTTGGTCAGGCTGGTTTCCAACTCCTGACCTCGTGATCCACCCACGTTGGCCCCCAAAGTGCTGAGATTACATGCGTTAGCCACAGCGCCCAGCCTTAAAGATAGCTTTATATATAGTGATTAGGGAGCATGAATAATTAAAATCTTACTGGCGATTATTTTAAGATGGCAGGTATTTAACTGATTTTTACTTTCCTTTTTATATCTTCAAACAGTTTTTGACTTTTTATAATGTGTATATGTTTTTCATAATCAGGAACACTTGCAGCTCTTTTCCTGATGGGAGGAGAAGTACAAGCCTCAGCAAAAAATCGTGTCTTAGAACTCTTGATACCATTGTACTTTAACATCACATAACAAAGACCCTAATATCATTAAACATCACTTATAACTAACCTTCCCCTGTATGTCATTCTGCAGAGGAAGAATCAGCTGCTTATGTTTACATAAGGCTGCCATTCAGTGGGAGTTGTCCTTCTCCTGTATTTCTCTCTGGCAGTGTAGTAGCAATTAAATGCCTTGTGAGTAAGAAACTGAAAAAAAAATCCTGTTTCTTAGGTTATAGAGCCAAAGTTCCTATCTTGATACAATAAAATTGTAAAGATAAATAGCATATTCTGAGGTTGTCAGCCATTCAGCATCTTCTAATAACATTTTTTCCTTTATCTGCATTTTCTTTTGCACCCTAACACACCCATTACTTCCTTCATCCTTTCTTTGACCATTCTCCAATTAAACTTGAGATAAAGCTAATGAGTCTCTTTAATTAAATCTATAGTCCAGACCACTCTCCTGAGTTCCAGAACTCTTTTATTCAAAAGTTTTACTCGATATCTATATTAGTCCATTCTCACACTGTTATAAAGAACTGCCCAAGACTGGATAATATATAAAGGAAAGAGGTTTAATTGTGTATTAGTCAGGGTTCTCTAGAACGACAGAATTAATAGAATATATGTATATATGAAAGAAAGTTTATTAAGGAGAATTGACTCACACAATAACAAGGTAAAGTCCCACAATAGGCTGTCTGCAAGTTGAAGAGCAAGAAAGCCAGTGGTGGATCAGTCCGAGTTCCAAAACCTGAAAAGTAGGGAAGCTGACAGTGAAACCTTCAGTCTGTGTCCAAAGGCTGGAGAATCCCTGGGAAACCACTTTTGTAAATCTAAGAATCCAAAAGCTGAAGAACCTGGAGTCTGTTCAAGGGAAGGAAGTATCCAGCATGGTAGAAAGACAAAGGCCAAAAGACTCAGCAAGTGTACTCTTCCATCTTCTCCTGCCTGCTTTATTCTAGCTGTGCTGGCTGCTGATTAGATGGTGCCCACCCAGATTGAGGGTGGGTCTGCCTCTCACAGTCCTCTGACTCAAATGTTAATCTCCTTTGGCAACACCCTCACAGACACACCCAGGAACAATACTTTGCATCCTTCAATCCAATCAAGGTGACACTCAATATTAACCATCACAAATTGACTCACTGTTCCACAGGGCTGGGGAGACCTTAGGAAACTTACAGTCATGGCAGAAGGGGAAACAAACACTTCCTTCTTCATGTGGTGGCAGGAAGGAGAAGAATGAGCAAAGAGGGACAAGCTCCTTATAAAACCATCAAATCTCATGAGAACTCACTTATTATCTTAAGAACCTCAGCCTGTGGGTAACCACCCCTATTATTCAATTACCTCCCACTGGGTGCCTCCCATGACACATGGGGACTATGGGAATTACAATTCAAGATGAGATTTGGGTGGGGACACAGCCAAACCATATCAATGTCTGTTCTTGGATGCTTCAAAATCCTATACATCAAAAACAAACAAAAAAACCAGGAACAATAAAACAAACAAACAAACAAACACTGATCTCTCATCTTATTACCAGCTCTCAAATATTGTTCTCCAGAATTTCCAGATTCAGTGAAAGGTATCATCAGGTGAACAAGGTAGAAAACTAGGAGTTATTTTTGTATATAGTGGTTGTCATCTCTTCTCACATTCAATCCCCTGACTGTTGTTTTGATTTCTTAACCAAAACATCTCTCAAATTAATCTGTTTCTACTTCATCTGTACTGCTAACACGGCATATTAGTCCACATTATCACCATCTCTCACTTGAATATTCTCTGTTCTTTTGTGTGATGGTCAGTCAGGTGTGGACAAAAAGGAAACACAGAAGATGTGCAGGAAAACAGAAGTTTATTATACTTACAGATTCTAGAAACAGGAGGCACAGCACACTATGCAAGGCCACATGGGGAGGCCTCAGTGTAGTTAAGAGGCAGAAAATAGGAGCAAGGAGAAAGCCTAGGCCGAACATTTATTGGGCTTTCTCAGGGAAAGGTGTCACAACAGGATAGTTTAGGATGGGCTAGTTTGAATTTCAACTGACTCTAAGCTATTGGGAGGATCCCTAGTTGCCTGGTACCTGGCCTGGCAGGATTAAGGCAGAGAAATATTGCCTCCTGAGGTGTATTGGCCAGATAGAGAAGATATGGCCTTGGATTCGTTGGTCTGCATATTAAGGCATGCTCCAGGAGTGGAAAGGTCAGGGAGTCATCTTTCTTCTGGCCCAGTGGCAGAGCATGCCTGGAAAGGAGAGAAAAGACAAAAGAGCCATGAGACCGACAGCCTACCTATGGGCCATTACTCTTAACCACCATCTACTGGATCACAGCCCAAACTACACCACCAAAAAAATACTCTGCTACTATACACCCCTGTGAAACCAAGGGTAAGAATCTAGCCACAAACAAAGATGCTGTACAGACTCTTGACCTTCTGAAAGTATCCAGAAATGAAGCCAATTGACTATACTCAACTTATTCAACTTACGCTTTCACAATTAAAGGAACACCAGCCCTCCAAGATGAGAAAGAGTCAGTGTAAGAATTCTGGCAATTCAAAAAATCAGAGTGCCCTCTCACCTCCAAACAAGCCCACTTGTTCCCCAGCGATGGTTCTTAGCCAGACTGAAATGACTAAAATGGCAGACATAAAATTTAGAATCTGGATGGCAAAGAAGCTCATTGAGATTCAGGAGAAAGTTGAAACCCAATCCAAGGAATACAAGGGATCTAGTAAAACAACCCAAGAACTGAAAGACAAAACAGCCATTTTAAGAAAGAACATAGCCTTGAAGTTGCATGTTATAAAATATATATAATATATAGCTATATAATATATAATATATTAATATATAATATATGATATGTGTATATATATTATATATGAACAAAACTGAACTGCTGGAACTGAAAAAATTCACTACAAGAAGTTTATAATACAATTGGAAATACTAACAGCAGAATAGAGCAAGCTGAGGAAAGAATCGCAGAGCTTGAAGCCTTGAAGACTGTATGAATCAGTTCAGTTAGATAAAAATAAAGAAAAAGAATTAAAAAATAAACAAAACCTTCAAGAAATATGGGATTATGTAAAGAGATCAAACCTACAGCTCATTGGCATTCCTGATAGAGGAGAGAGTAAGCAAGGTGGGAAATACATGTGAGAATACAGGCCATTAAAATTTCCCTCATCAAGCTAGAGAGGCAGATGTGCAAATTCAATAAATACAGGGAACCCCTGTGATACTATACTCTGGGGGGTCTCCAACCCCCAGCACTGGTCTGCCGCCCGTTGGGAAGGAGGCCACAGAGCAGGAGGCGAGTGGTGGCAAGCTAGCTTTACTGCCTTAGCTCCGCCCCCTGTCAGATCAGCAGAGGCATTAGATTCTCATAGGAGGGCCAACCCTATTGTATGCGCATGTGAGGGATCTAGGTTGCATGCTCCTTATGAGAATCTAATGATAAATGTAATGTGCTTGAATTTTTCCAAGACCATCCCCATCCTTTGGTCTGTGGAAAAATTGTCTTCCACGGAACCAGTCCCTAGTGCCAAAAAGGTTGGGGACCAATGCTATACAAGACGACTTTCCCCAAAGGACACAGCCATCATATTCACCAAGGTCAATGGTGTGGCACTTGCAATTCATTTGTCAGGTGTTCTGGGCAGTGGTTTCCCCTGGGTAGTGGCCTCAGCAGGGAGATACGCCCCATCCTTCCCAGATTGGCCCTGAGAAGGGAAGTAGGCTCCACTTCCACACCATTCCACAAACCTGCCCTTCTCACTCCTCTCAGTGCTCTGAGAGTGGGGGCTCCTCTCCTACATAAGTGCAGACCACAGATCCTAGCTCAACACTCCCAACCTATGTCCCCAGCCTGGAGGCTCCGGGACTGGCCTGCAGCTTGGGGTTGAGTTCCAGATGCCCTATGGAATTTAAAATGCTCTCAGGTCACCAGGAAAGTATTCAGTTGCCCCAAAGCACCCAGACTGGACAATGGAGGCTGCACTGTGCACATATCCCTGCAGGATGGCCAGTCAGGGGACCTGGGAGGGGCTGACTAGGAGGAGGGCCTTCAGAATAAGCATGCCCTTGTCTGATGGGGAAGTCAATCCTGCTCTCTCTTTGCCTGCAGTCAACTGGAGCCAGAACTTCTCAGAGGGAGATGGGGAGTCCTGGTGGATGTGTGCCTATGGCCACCCTCTGCCAGAGCTGCTCCGTGCTTAAAAGCCCCTGGGCTCCAAGTGGGCTGAAGCCCTACCTCTACCTACTCTCCAGGCACATCCTCCTGCCAGCTCAAACACCCATGGAAGAAGTGGGGGCTCTGTAGCTAGGATCCCAGAGGTCTGTAGTGAGAGTGAGCTGTATATCAGTCCCTTCATTCACTCCTTGCCTGGGAGCTGTTGAAGGCCAGGAACTAGCCCTAGCATTCAGGTACCCCAATGTTCCCAGCTTCCTCCCTCTTCAGCCTCTGAGTCTGCATTGCTTCTCCATCCGCTCCAGGTAATTTCTCTCTGAAGATATGCTTAAATTACGTTGGTTTATTGGATATTTTGGTCTCTCTCAGTGGAAGCAGCACTTCCTGGCTATGTCTAGTTGGCCATCTTATCCCCTTCTTTTAATTTGATGATTTTGTAATATTACATTTGAAGATTCTAAATCCAAGTCTCTTTTTTCCTATAAATGTCAGTTATATTTACGTTTTCTATAAATGCAGATTATAAATAGCCTAAATCTTGAAATAGATACAAAAGTTAAGCAAATGTGATATAATATTAGGTTGGTGCAAACATAATTGCCGTTTTTGCCATTACATGCAAAAACCACAATTATGTTTGCACCTATATAAATATATAGGAATGAAAAAAATAAATAGAAAATTATATTGAAGAAAGATATGCAAATGAATATAAGGCAGTTTCATAGAAGTTCCTGGGGGAAATTTTGCATTTATATATAAATGCAAATGTCTATATATATTCCACAACATCTAGGATAAGGATTTCCACTTAGTGGAGAGTCAGTCCTATGCAATTAATTGAATGTCTTATCTCAAATAACTTTTGCAAGAAATTAGCATTTAGTATACAAGCACTACATTTTGAGCCAGTTATTTTTTTACCTCTTCAAATAATCAAATGAATGAAATCAAGTAAGGACTCTCATATATGAGGACTATAAATAACATATTACTACAGCAATGCGTATTTTTTCAAGATTATTTAAATGTGAACACATTTGTCCCTATTAAAAAAAGTCAATTTAGACTTAACAAATTAACTTGGGAGAACATCAGATCAAATTTACTAGGTTCATTAAGCTTAGGGAATTAAATTTCAGAAATCTCTATTTTCGAGTAATAGATTCTAAAAGTAATATTTAGCAGCCTGTCAAATATGTGCTTCTTTATCATGTAAATTGACATTAGAGATCAGGAAAAGAGACTAGTATTAGTTTTTCTCTTTCTAGATTCACCATGTGTTTATAATTTAAAATTTTAAGAAAATAGTAATGAGCATGAATCCTCTATAACTTCAGCTTTACGAAAATCTAAAAGCACAATTTTGTTGCTCTATTACCATTCTAGATTCACCAGCTGTTTCTTGATTGGTTGTATAGCTACTAGATTGCATTACTTACCACAAAATTACAAATATTTGTATAATATTGGTTTTCGTATTAAGAACACACAGAATTCTTTTTGAGTTTTTCTTCAGTTTCCTGAATTTTGTGACAGAAGCAATAAATACAGAGGAAGTTATTATTGTTATGTAGTATTTTTAAATTATTATTATGTTTTAGAGTCAGAGTCTTACTGTCACCCAGGATGGAGTATAGTGGTACCACCATAGTTCACTGCAGCCCCAAACTCCTGAGCTCAAGCAATCCTCCAGCCTCAGCCTTCTGAGTAGCTGGGACAAAAGTCATGTGCCACCATGCCTGGCTAATTTTTTTGTTATTTTTTTAGAGACAGGGTCTTGCTTTGGTGCCCAGTCTGGTCTCAAACCCCTGGCTTTAAGTGGTCCTCTCACCTTGGCCTCCCATCGTGCTGGGATTACAAGCCTGAGCCACAGCACCGTTTCTAGTAGTATTCTGATGGATTTTAAAGTAACTCTGAGAGTGTAAGAAATTAAAATAGCATGCAAGTGGAAATTATATTTATGTTTAAAAATAAAGAGACACACATAATGAAATCACAAAGGCCTTACTGTCTGTCAAGGGCACAGATAGATAACGGTACTCAATCACAGTATTTCTGTTTTTAGTCATAGCTCTTTCAGTTGTCATTTCCTTTATGGGAAACTATTGACTAGATTGTGAAATGCTAAGACGGGTGTGACATTCTTATCTTCCTAAAAAGCAGTTGTTGTGATTTTATCTTGACATTGCCTCCTTTTCACTTACTTTCTCTTTCTTTGATTAGACATTGCCTATATCTAAAATAACTAGAATTTACTGGCTCCTAAATATAAATATTTTTTATTTGTGATACCTGAATCAATGCATTTCAAATAAAAATCAGTTAGAAGACAACATAATTTTAAAAATGGCACCAGATGTTATAAAGTTCTGGCCGGTTGGACTGTATAAATTGGGGCTTCTAAGTGCAACTCCACCTCAAAATGACAAACAAAACTTGTAGTAATAATTTTTCAATATCCATTTTTATCCAAGGTTTTCTGGTTTTAGAGAGAAGTTGATAATTATTTTTCATCATTCACTCTTTAGATAAAAGCCATGAAATATGGTAGAGTGAACTGGTGTAGAAAGTCTAGGAAATGAACTGCATATGACATGATATAGAATGACAGACTGTTTCAGTATTTCATATATTCATTTGAATAGTAAGACTTTACCTTTCCTTAAAATCACTATTTATGAATTACCTTTTCTTCTGGCATGTGACTAAACATTATCAAACTTGAAGGTAGATACATAACTGGACTCATTGGAAAATGTTCCATTTCAGTGGAAGTGTAGGTTGTCAGTGGCCAGCCATCTCTTTTCTTGCTTCTTAGATGCATGTCCGTGATTGCAATAAGTTTGGCTACCCCCAACCCATGGTAGCTACAAAGGTGTGTTTGTGTGTGTGTGTGTGTGTGTGTGTTGTGTGAGTGTGTTGTGATCAGGGGTTGGGAGTTAGGGAATATGAGCATTGTGGAATCCATGTAAGATAGCATCATATCTTTTTCAGTAAAATGTCATAGAGTATAAAAGATATTCATGATTTAGGTATCATCTAAGTCATTCATGTTGCCTTGTTCCTGTCCTGGCAGTTATCAGAGTATCTTACAACATGCCCTGCATCTAGTTTTTCTCTTAATATATACACGCGTGCCCTCTTGGGAAACAATTTTGTACACACAGGGGCCAATATAACACTCAAATTATGTCAGGTTTTTTTGGTTTTTTTGTTTTTTGTTTTTTGGAGGTAATGTGGCACAGTGAACAAAGCACAATCTAGACGTAGACTCAAGACACACAACTTCATAGCTGTGTGAATTTAGATTTGTCATTTAGCTCCCCAAGTCAAATTTGCCTCTCTATATAATGGTAATTAGTGGTACTTCTCTTAAGCCGTATATATCTTAGTGGTTATATATGCAGGCACATGCAGAAAATACTGTGGTTTCTATTCCAGACCACCACGATAAAGTGAATGTCACAATAAAGATAGTCACACAAATAGTTAGGTTTCCCGGTGCATATAAAAGTTTTGTTTACACTATACTATAGTCTGTAAGTGTATAATAACATTATGTCTGAAAACAATGTATGTATTTAAAGTAGTTTAGTGCTAAAAAAAATACTATCAATTATCTTAGCCTTTAGTGAGTCATAATCACTTCGCTTGTGGAGGATTTTGCCTCAATGTTGATAATTCCTACCTGATCAGGGTGGTAGTTGCTGAAGATTTAGGTGGCTATGGCAATTTCTTAAGACAAGACAGCAATGAATGTTGCTGCATAGATTGTCTTTTCCTTTCAAGAAACTTATCTCTGTAGCATGCAATGTTGTTTGATAGCATTTTGCCTAGAGGAATTCTTTCAAAATTGGAGTCAATTCTTTCAAACCCTATTGCTGCTTTTTCAACTATGT
Source organism: Homo sapiens (assembly GCF_000001405.40). Classification (NCBI taxonomy): domain Eukaryota; kingdom Metazoa; phylum Chordata; class Mammalia; order Primates; family Hominidae; genus Homo; species Homo sapiens. The sequence goes on from NC_000003.12 coordinate 146,707,224, forward strand.
TTATGTAATATTTTGAATGCTTTGTTGTCATTTCAATAACGTTCACAGCATCTTCACTAGGATTAGATTCCATCTCATGGAATACATTTTATTTGCGCGTTTGTAAGAAGCAACTCCTCATCTGTTTAAGTTTTTTTTTTTTTTTTTGATGCTGATTTTTTTTTTTAATTATACTTTAAGTTTTAGGGTACTGTTTAAGTTTTATCATGAGATTGCAGCAATTCAGTCACATTTTCAGGCTCCACTTCTAACTATCTTGTTATCCACCACATCTGCAGTTACTTCCTCCACTGAAGTTTTGAATCCCTCAAATTCATTTATGAGTGTTAGAGTCAGCCTCCTCCAAACTTTCATTAATGGTGACATTTTGATCTCCTCCAATGAATGGAGTGGTCTTAATGACATCCAGAATAAAGCTGCTTTACGTTCTCATCATTTGTGTGTTCACTGAAGTAGCATTTTTAATTTCCTTTTAGAACTTTTCCTTTGCCTTCACAACATGGCTGACTGGTGCAAGAGGCCTTTCTTTCAGCCTCTCTCGACTTTCAACAAGACTTCCTCACTAAGCTTAATTATTTCTGGCTTTTGCTTTAAAGTGAGAGACATGCAACTCTTCCTTTCATTTGGACACTTAGAGGGCATTTTAGGGTTATTAACTGACATATTTTCAATAATGTTGTGTCAGGGAATAACGAGGTCTGAGGAGAAGGAACAAGATGGTGGAATGGCCAGTTGGTAGCATAGTTAGAACACACACATTCATCAGTTATGTTTGACATCTTATATAGGCACAGTTCATGGCTACCCTAAATAAATACAAGAGTAACATCAAAAATCACTAATCTCAGATCACCACTGCAAATATAATAACAATGAAAAAGTTTGAAATATTGTGAGAATTACAAAAATGTGATACAGAGACACAAAGTGAGCTCATGCTGTTGGAAATATGACACCTGTAGTATTGCCACAAACCTTCAATTTGTAGGAAAAAAAAGAAAGAAAAAAAACCTATAAAGTGCAAGAAAGCAAAGCACAAAAGGTGAGTCATTCCTGTATTTAAAAAATCAGGCATATAATGAGAAATGACTTATTAATTGTTATATCTATTATTGAAAACAAAGGCCATTTTATTTGTGGGGATCATGAACGAGTGCTACATTGATTGCAGCAGTTTTCCCATATGTTTCTACAACCTCGTTCTCATGGACTATTAGGAATCTACAGATCTGTGCCTATCTGTTGTCATTTTGAATTTCCTTTATTCTGTGTGTCTATGTGCATAGAAGCATGAGTGTAAATGTATATTTGTATTTAGTAGTTATCAATCTCTTGCTTTTTACCCAACTGGAGTAGATATTACATTTTAAAAATCATGCAAAAATCTGGCCATATATTAATATATTATTATTTTTTAAAAACCTGATTAAGTGATTATTGAACATTTAAAAGGAGCCTATCATAGATCTCAGTGTTTAAATTTTATAAATATTTGAAAATTCAAATATGCCTTTTATATACCACTTCGGATACATCATTTCTCTCAATTATTCTAAACATCTTCTTTTTTGAATTTTCTATGGTCTGAATGTTTATGTTGCCTAAAAATTCATATGCGGAAATCTTCACTCTCAAAGTAATGGTATTAGGAGCATAGCCCTCATGAATGAGATTCATGCCCTTACAAAGGATGCCCCCTTCACCATTTTGCCATGTGATGTTAGAGTGAGAAAGCTGCTGTCAATGAGGAAGCAGGCCCTCACCAGACACCAAAACTGTCTGTTTCTCGATCTTGTACTTTTTATCCTCTAGAACTGTGAAAAATAAATTTCTGCTCCTTATAAGCCATCCAGTCTATGATACTGTGTTATAGCAGTCAAACAGACTAAGACAGGGCCTAACATTCTATTCCTACCTTCCTAAAATGTTTAAGAACAGACAGACATCTTGATAGCTTTTAACAAATCAGCTTGTTCTAGTTTTAGGAAAACAAACAAAACTCAACAAGACTCTCTGTTCTACACACTGTCTGTGGTTTTCTTCTTTCTATAAACACCATCTTTGCATTTGTTACCAGAGACAATCTTTCTTTCTTTCCCCTCCCTCCTTCCCTCCCTCCTTCTTTCCTTCCTCCCCTTACCATTCCTTCCTTCCTTCCTTCCTCCCTCCCTTCCCATACAGACATTCCATTCTTTCTGTTAGTAGAAGTAACATTGGGAAACTTAATGTGTGTCTTTTGACCATCAGGTCACTGTCATTAAAGTATACAGTGACAGGGAATCTGGTCTCTATTGAGACAACTTGCTGTTGTCTGTATTTTCTTTTGATTGGCACCTATTATAGAAGCAAGGAAGTGGGGTTTGATGGGAAGAATGTCAGACTGCAGTGAAATTCTCAGAAAGCTTTAGTCATGCTGTTGACTAAAGTCACCAGTTACTAGAATAGTGCATCTAGTAGTAATGGACCAGCACTAATAGCCTTGCTGTGCTCAGACAAGCTAGAAGTAGCCTGTGGGACATATGGCTTCTATAAATGCTGCAGTAGATCCAAAGGGGGCACTTACATGGTATTGTAAGTCAGCTATGTTCTCTGCACCAGGTGATTTGGGTGGTGCTCTTTCATGACCACCATGCCCCCATTGCAGCAGTAGCCACACTAATTTATGCCTTGGCATATATTGTCCTAACTTTATCTTTTCTGTGGGTCCCTAATGCAATAGAAGCCTTAAAACTTCAAAACAACTCCCAAAAATTCTCAATCCACTAGGTTACTGCCTGTGGAATTCTGTTATTGTTGACTTCCAAAATAAGTAATAAAAATAAAGAGTTATGCTATTTTTTTCTAATGAAAAGTAACATCTTGACTGCTTAACAGATGTTCAAAATCTAAGTATTAATATTTCCCATCCTGACTTGACTGATACGTCCCTAGACAATGCTGATATGGTACTATTTGTTCATGTGGTTAAGAATGGACTTTCTGAGTCATAGAAAAGATTCATATTTCACTCTCACTTGTAATATTAAATCGTTTTATGAAGTAGTGGAACCAATTTACACTCTTATCAGCAATGTATGAAAATTCCATTTAATCCACATCCTTAACGACACAAAAAATATTATGGAGGGTGTGTGGTGATATTTCTTTCTTTTTTTTCTTAAAAATTTTTTATTGGTAAACAATAATTGTACATATTTGTGGGTTACATGTAATATTTTGATACATGCATATAATGTGTAATGTTCATTAACCTCTTAAGAATTTCATTTCCCTGATGACTAATGAAGTTAAATATTTTTCATGTATTTTTGGCCATTTGAATACCTTATTTTTGAGAATTCACTTGCAACTCTTTTGGAAGTTTTTAGCGTTTTTTTTTTTTTCTTACTGATCTGTATGAGTTCTTTTTATATCTTTGTTAGGATTCTTTGTTGGATATATGAATTGGGAATAACTTTCATCTGTGTAGGTTGCCTTTTCATAGTTTTTATCATTTCTTTTGACGAACAGAATTTCTTAATATTAATATTGTTCAATTTATCATTGTTAAATGTGTGGTTTATAATTTCGGGGTCCTGTCAATTAACTGTCTTACTCTCTCAAACTGTATTAGTTTACTTTAATACTTAGGTCAGAAATTCCTATGGAATTAATTTTTGTGTTACAGTGGGAGGTAGGGCTCAAGATACATATTTTTCTCTATGGGTATTAACTTGACCTATTACCAATTTTATTTAAAAAACTATCCATTTATTCACACCATTTTGCAATGGAGTTTTTGTCACATATTATGTGATGTGTGTGGATTTGTTTATGAACTCTATATTTTTTATTTTTCTATTGATCAGTTTGTAACTTTTTGGGCCAATGTCCCTTGTTTATCAATTTATAATAGGTTTATTATGGGTCTAGATATCTAATATGTATGCCATTCAGCTTTTTAAAATCTTCTTTGATCTCACAATAGTTATTCCAGGGCTTTTCAAAGCCAGTTGTATTTTCACATAAAATTTAGAATCAGTTTGTCAATTTCTAAAAAAATTTCCCAAACTTGTTAGAATTTTTATTGCCTTTATGTTGAATGAATAGATTAATTGACACTGGGAAATTATATCTTTATAATATTGTCTTCTAACACAGAAACATGTGTCTTGTTCCATTAATTTATGCCTTTTTTATTTCTCCCAGTAATGTTTCATAATTTCAAAATGGAAATCTTACACATCTTTTGTTTGCTATATTCCCAGTCAACATTTTTGTGCAATTTTAAATGACATCATGTTTTAAATTTATTTTTGCTTAATGCTAGTATGTATGTATTTACATATATACATGTAAACATACACAAATACATACAAAATGTATATAACGTATTTTGTATTTTGATCTCGTGAGCAGTAACAATGCTTAAACTATTTGTAGTCTAATACTTTGTAGATTCTTTTAATTTTCTAAGTATATAATCCTATAATTTCCAAGTAATGAAAGCTTTATTTTTTTCCTAGTATTTAATCTCCTTTCTTTGTTGCTTCCCTTCCTTTCCTCTCTCATTCCCCTTCCTCTTCTGTCTCCTTTTTCTTCTCCTCTCTCCTCTCCTTCCAACATTTCTTCCTCTGGCTTGAACGTCGAGTACATTAGTGATAGAGGCATTCCCAGTATCATGAGAAAAGTATAGTGGTTTCTGTAAAATTTTTTTGCATATAGTCTTTGTTTATTTTTGTAGTTTACCGAGAATTTTTTTATCCAAATGAATCTTGAATGTTGTCTTTTTCTGCATTTACAGAGATGATCATATTATTTATTTTCTGCTAATCTTGTGATGAAATTTATTGAGTTTTGAATTATACATTTTTGCTATAATCCCTACTAAACTGTGATATATTATCCTATTTATTAGTCATGGATCCATTTTTCTAATATTTAGTAAAATATTAGAGTTGAGTTGACTAAAGGAATGTCTAAACAGTCCTAATGTGGGTAAAGGTCCAGATCTGGGCTAAATAAAGTCAAAGCATGAAAGGAAGGCAGTAGCAGCGATCACACTGACAAGAGCACATCACTTACATTCTACAGGTAACATTTCAAGTATATATATAGTTTTAACCCACAAATAACTACAAGTGACTTTTCTGACAGCTTAGCTTCTTCAAGGGAGAACTGTTCTTCTCAATAACTTTCAGTAAATCAGCTTAACCAAGGAAAAGAAAACTAAAATTATCGGCGAATTTAGCTTTTATAAACTCTGTTTTTGTTTGAAGAAATCATCTTTACATCACTTGTCTCCTTCAGATATGAGTAAACTTTGGCTGTAACTAGCTTAGTGTCTTAAAATTATTCTTTGACATTTTATCGTTTACTCATTTTGACATTTAGTTGTTATTTGATTATTAACTTTTACTATCACTTCATAGAATACAAACTGAGAGAACAGGGAACAAAACTATTTTGCTAACTGCTCTATGCCCAATGTCCCGAAGAATTTATAATACCTGATACATGCTCAATAAATATTTGTCAAATGAATAAATGAGGATATAAGTTAACAATAATATGACATTAGAGAAGTTTCTTACATTTTTGTGACATGAGCAATCAGAGAACTGAATTTGATATTTGTACGTGCTTTTCCAGTTGTAAATACACACACAGACACAAAGACATACACACACACACACATACATTTTATGACCTACAAGCATGAAATTTCAGCTTTGCGAAGATTAATAGATGCAAACTTTTCAACACTCATATGAGTATCTTCTGTGCTTAAGGAATTTAACTTGAAAACATGTGTTTAAAAACGATCTTTATAGAATACTTTGTGCAAATAATATTTAATTACAAACACATTGCTAATAACTGCCTGCTGTAATTCCTGGCATATAGGAGGCCCTAATGTGAGTAATTAAATTCTTGTTGGTAAAAAGTAACCATTACATCCCTTACCCACCATGAGCCATATCCCTTTTCTCTAGAGAATAATCATGAAGTCAAATGTACAAATTGTGAAAGTAACAACTGCTAAGAGTTTGCTTTTACAATTATTATTATATATATTGTAATGGGGAGACATGTAGCAACCATAAGGTATTAGGCATTTGAACACAAATCAGTAAGATCAATATTTATGCATCCATGTAACAGATTGAACCGAGAATTGTTGAAAATAACCATTTCAGGAAAGAAAATATACTATTAGTTGATAACTTTAAAAACCTCAATGCGTGCAGTTAAAAGGTTGAAATCGCTGTGTATTTGTGTAGCATACAACTGTCAGACTTGAAAGATTTTCTAGCATTTTATTGATGGATATACACAATAATGAAGAATATAGACATGGCTTTAGTAAAGAGAATGAAATACACCTTCACCTTCTAGGTTGGCTGAGTGGAAATTATATTCATACTTACAGTTTAATGCTAATGAGAATTCGAAGACAAAGTCAGAGAAATAGGCTAGCATTATCTGTTGTATCTTTTTTATGTACTATGAAAAAGTGGTCCTGGTACCACATAAACTTACAACAACAATTTAATTAAACTCCAAAATACATTTCCCAATCTTTTGCAGCTTAGAGATTTAGACCTCATGCAGAAGACAATATATTAATGTAAGTCTAAATTTTAGTCCCATGTGGAAAAATTAATAGTCAACTGATTTTTTCCAAAATGTTTTAGCTGTTAGCTATGGGAAAAATGCACATAACGATAAAGCTAAATATATCTCACATTTCATCCTTCATATAATTTTTGTTTATGAAGATTCTATGGAGGTATTTATCTCAATTTTAAAATAAATATCTTCACAATCAACATCTATAATAACAAACTCTACATAAATGATAGTTTAACCCTTCTGTGATCTTCATTTTTTTTCTTAATAAGGGGCCAAACATATCTTTCTCCTTGTAGAAATCTTTATCTGGCCTATGCTGGCCACAAAATATCTTCTTTTGCTCTTTGGATCATGCTTACTGAGAAAATTTTGAAATTATGGAATAAAAATAATATATTTATTTATATAATGTGTGAAGATAAAATTTGGGGAATGACTGAGTTTATCAAATAACTGTGTAAGAAATAGTAAATGATATACTCTGATACAATAGAAGTATCCATTTATGTTTCCCTCCCTGTGGAAATTCATGAAGCCTATAGTGACCGTCTGACTAACAGAATCCTGCTACTTTATGAAGCTCCTTGCTAAAGCCAGGGAATTGAGCCCAGTCAATGGCACTGATATATTCTAAGGGTTATTCCCACATAATGAGGACTCTCACACTACTTTTATATTAAGCAGCCATTCAACAATTTTTATTGACGACTAATCCTATCTCTTTTTTAGGCTAGGCATACTTTTGGGTATAGGGTGGAATAAGGTACCACTCCTATACTTAAGGATACAACATACATGAACAAATAGTAACTTTAGCGGATACTATAGTCGTAAGCTGAATCTCTGGATCTCAGAATTCAGAGTCCTCCAGAAATGGTCTCCATATAAGAAATTGACAAACAAATGAATCCTTTGCTTGGAATTAGGCTTCTAGCTTAAATAACTGGATGCATGGTGCTCTTGATTACTGAAATGAGAAAGTAAGATGACAAAGCTTGAAAAAAATTGTGCTAAGCAAATTTTTGGACATGTAGTACTTGCAGTGTATTTGAGACTTCCATGAAATGTCAAGGAGACAACTAAACACGTGTTTGAAACACAGAGGAGAGATTTGTGTTGAAGATCACAGTTTGGCTGCATATAATTGAAGTCATATGGGCTTAACTGAAATTGCCGAAGGAGCGTTAGAGGAAAAAGAAAACAGAGCCTTTGGTGACCATTGAAGAATTCCACCACTGAAGAATATGATAGAGAAAGAAGATGTAAGGGACATTAAAAGCCACTGTAGAGGTAGAAAGAAAACTAAGAGTGTATGGTGACAAAAAAATTAAGAGGAGAGAGTGGTCAAAAGTCTACAATGCTGCTGAGAGTTCAAATTATATAAATAATAAACTATATCCATTGGGTATAAAATGGTAGCCTCAGCTAAAGTTGTTGCAGTGGATTGATAGGAGTAGAAGCAGAACTTGAGGGACTGAAAAGCAAGTACATGATAATGAGCAGTATTTACATGGGAGGAAAGTTCTTTGTACATTTGAGAGACATGAGTCATCAATAGTGTATGTTTCCTAACAAAAGACAAAAGAGGATGGAATAAACAAAGAAATGGAGAAATTGCCTTTAGGACAAGAAACTTCTTTCTATAGTAAATAGATAAAGAGAAATTGGATTCATGTAGAGCAATAGTTCTCAATCTTGCCTGAAATACTATGGTATATTTTCCCTCTGAAATAATTGTAGGATGCAGGTTAAAAAATGACAAAACTACAGAAGTTAGACTGGAACATAGAAGAGGGGATGATTAATGATATCGGAGGAGCTAGATGAGGTAAAATGTGATGATCATGTGAATGAGTTTTGATAATATTAAATAAATAGGAAAAATTCATTTGGGGAAATATTTCTGCTCTAGCTAGAAGATTGCAAGTCTTTAAGTAGGTGCTTAAGTGTAAACTCCTTGGCATAGAATGCAAGACCATTGATAAAATGCTCCCTCGAACGGTTTCCTATTTGCCTTCACTTCTAGACTCCTTCTGTGTTGCAGTTGTATAGACTTCTTAAGCAGTCCCTTCCATATACCATGCTTCTCATGGTTTATTTTATTTTAAAATCATCTTTGATCCCCCACTCTTATGCAATGAAGGTTAGTAGCTCTCACTTCCAAGCACCCTATCATTCTTACCTTATTTTTAATTTTTTAAATTTTAATGTCTTATAAGGTTTATTTATAACTACTTTTTGCTCCACTCCTGTTAGTAAATGGTCTCCTAATTTACCTATTTTCTGGCAACTATCCCTCATGCATCACATAAAAGAGCCACTCAATAAAGTTGTTTCTTAACCAAGTGAATAAATAGATGAATTATGAATAAATGGATGTAGAAAGCACAATCTCAAATAATTTAAGGCAGGACAGAGTATTTCATCTTAATTTAATATCTTCCATTGACAAATGGAGAGGTCAAGCAGAACAGATGAAATGATACCCTTTAGCTCAGGCAGTTAATTTATGGTAAGACTAGGACACAAACTAAGTTCTCCTGATTTTTAGTGATGTTTAGTTTAGTTCTCATACTAGCACATCATAAAACTTGTTATGCCGCCTCCTCCCCTGTAGTCAGCAACCTATTTAAGGCCTTCTCGCCGGGCACAGTGGCTCATGCCTGTAATCCTAGAACTTCGGGAGACTGAGGCGGGTGGATCACCTGAGGTTGGGAGTTTGAGACCAGCTGGCCAACATGGTGAAATCCCATCTCTACTGAAAATACAGAAATTAGCCAGGAGTGGTAGCGGGCGCCTGTAATCCCAGCTACTCGAGAGGCTGAGAATCGCTTGAACCTGGGAGGCAGAGGTGGCAGTGAGCCGAGTTTGAGCCACTGCACTCCAGCCTGAGCGACAGAGGGAAACTCCATCTCAAAAATAAAAATAAAAATAAAGGCCTTCTTTTATGCTGTCAGGTTCTTGGATATTTCCAGAAGAGTAGCATGTCCCTAAGGACACTTTGGATCTCTGGGACCATTCCAAGACAAGCAAAGAACGGTAAGGGCATTGGTAAACATAAAGCAACTTCTCTGAATTTACCTATTTTTATACTTATGGCCTCAGTTTTCAGAAAACACCTCTCTATTCATTATACTACTAATCTTTATGGAGATTAAGTGGTACAATAATCCCCTTAAAAATTTCTCATTGGTATACTTTGCAGCATGCTACTCATGAAAAGTAGTGAGTTTATTTTGTTGCTACAATTAGATTTTTGTAAAAGAACAAATCTTAAAATTAGTTTCAAATCCACTAGGTTTGAAACATTATTCACGTGGTTTATTCTGCCAACACAAGTAAATTAATTCTCTAAATATTAACAAACAAAAAACTGACTTTAGACATTGGCTGAGAGATAATTTACAGCATCCATTTACAAATATTTATTGGTTATTGGATTAGTAAGGGTCCCTTGGTTGAAATCCACAGGATACAACTCTAGTCATTTAAGCAAAATTAGTTTTATTATAAGCTTCATGATTTCTCATAGATAAAAGATAAACTAAAGAAAAAATGTTCCTGAAAGGTTAATAATCATGAGGACTCCAGGAGGAGAAAAAAAAAAAAAAAGGCTCCTAAGTGAATTGTCACTGGAATTAAATCATCTCCATTTCCCATCCTGGAGTAACTTTGCTCAATATTCATATTTCTGAAAGGAAGCAACTTATTGGCCTAGCTCGGGCCACATGCTCATAGGAGGATAAGATTTATTTGACTGATATCCCCAATAATCATGCTTGAAAGAAGATACTGGTCATTCCACAGAGGAAAACTTGCAGTGCTATTATCCCACCAAAGGATATGGATGTTGGCCAGGCACAAACAGACTGATGATAATTACATTAATGATATAGTATTTTTTTAAGCTGGCTGAGATGAGATATGCCTACTTATTTATTTATTTAAAATTGACAAAATTATATATATTTAATCATGTACAACATATGTATGCTTTGTGGAATGGCTAAATTGAGCTATAACAGATAAATTACTTCACATACCTATTTTTTGTGTGTGTGACACTTAAAAATCTTTCTTAGCAATTTTCAAGAATACAATACATTGTTATTAATTATACTCACTATGTTGTACACCAGACTCCTGTATTATTCCTCCTATGTAGCTGAAATTTTGTATCCTTTGACCAACATCTTCTCAACCTCCTTCCCCTCAGCCTCTGGTATCCACCATTTTACATTTTACTCTTTACTTCTATAAGCTCACTTTTTAAAAATTTCGCATGTAAGCGAGATCACACAGTATTTGTCTTTCTGAGCCTGGCTATTTCACTTAGCATAACGTCTTCCAGGCTTAACCATGCTGTTGCAAATGACAGGATTTTCTTCTTTTTAAAAGGTTTTATAGTATTCCATTGCTTCCATATGCCATGTTTTCTTTATCCATTCATTAAGTAATGTATATTTAGGTTGATTCCATATCTTGGCTATTACGAATAATGCTGTAATGAACATACAACTGCAGATATCTCTTTGACGTAGTGCTTTTATTTTATCTGGATATACATCCAGAAGTGGAATTACTGGTTCATAAAGGAACTTTATCATTAATTTTCTGAGGAACCTCCATACTGTTTTCTAAAATGGCTGCACTAATTTACATTCTCACTAACAGCACAAGTGTTGTCTTTTCTCCACATCATCTCCAACATTTGTCTTTTGTCTTTTTGATAGTAGTCATTCTATCAGGTGTGAAGTTTTAGTTCTTTGTGGTTTTAATTTGCATTTCTTTGATAATTCGTGATTTGGAGCATTTTTAATATACTTGTTGGCTGTTTGTATGTCTTCTTTTGAGATATACCTATTCATGTTTTGGGCGCATTTTAAATTTCTTTTCTTACTATTGAGTTGTTTGAGTTCCTTATATTTTGAATGTCCTTTATCAGATATACAGTTTGCAAATATTTTCTCTCATTTTGTAGGTTGTCTCTTTGTTTCTTTGGCTATGCAGAAGCTATTTCATATGATGCAATCCCATTCATCTATTTTTGCTTTTATTGCCTGCATTTTAGGGATCATACCCAAAAAAGAATTGCTTAGGCCAATGTCGTGGAAGTTTTCCCCTATTTTTTCTTCTAGTTTTTACAGTTTCAGGTTTTACATTTAAGTGTTTAATTTATTTTGAGATCATTTTTATATATGGTGGAGATAAGGATATAATTTAATTCCTCTGTATGTAGATATCCAGTTGCCTCAACACACTATTGAAGAGACTGTTCTTTCCCCACTGTGTGTTCTTGACAACTTCATCAAAAATCAATTGACTGTAGCTGTGTGGATTTATTTCTGGGTTCTCTATTCTGTTTCATTGTACCATCTGTCTGTTTTTATGATAGTACCATGCTATTTTGATTACTATAACTTGTGGTATATTTTGAAGTCAGGTAGTGTGATACCTCTAGCTTTGTTCTTTTTGCTCTTTAGGGAACAATGGGTGTTTTGTAACAAACTTTCAGTGAAACAGAGAACCTCTCTGTCCTGATAATGGACCCCATTAATTTGGTTTCTTAAGGAAAAAGATGGCTTTACTATTGAGTTCACCCATTCACTCACCCATATTACTTTGGGCAGTCAACTAACATCTAATAATTACTTATTCTCTTACTACAGATATTTGCTACACCCTGGATTCACAAGAAATTCTTATGTTGTATGTCAAAGAAAGCAAATGTCCAATAAAGATAATAGCAAAGTGAATAAATTTCAAATTCCCTAAAGATAATGCAACATAATCCACAATTCAGACAAATGAAAGAGTAACATCATGGGCAAGTGGTAGGAAATATTCATTGCTGTAAATAAAAAATTTTGGGCAATCAAGTTGCTGATAAACCCAGTTTTTCAATAAAATCCATAATAATTATTATTTAGAAAAGAATTGAGTAGGTTTAATTGAGAGGACCTTGGAATTAGCCTACTACAGTCTGAGGCTCATGTCTACCAAATTTTATCATTTTAACCTCGGTCAAGTGACACGGTTTCTCCATGTTTTTATTTACGAAATAATACAATTTCCTTTATAAAGATTATTGAGGCCTGAAAAAAGACAGCATGTGTATAATATTTTTAGAAGAAACCCATCATATAAGTGTTCAATAAGTGACAGTTGTTAGCTATACTTTAATCATCTGACTTAAATTTATAAAAGTCAATACTGCTTCTGATCCTAGAGCACTGTTAACTAAATATGGATACTCTACTGCAGAGATGGATCATTGTCTAAATACATTTTCAGCTATCATAATAGAGTGCCCAATAATGATTTATAGATGAATATCTGTATCTATATGTATATCTATCTGTAATGATTATATATAATGAATATGTATGCAATTTCATTATTAAAAGTATAATATCAATATTATTTTGATGTTTCCATAAGTGTTTTCTTTACCATTTTAAAGGTAAACTTTTGGCCTAGTAAGGAGAAAATGAGATATGAAAGGTCATCACATTAGACACCACTTAGAAGCTATGTTTATTGCTATCAGAAAGTCTATATTCTGAAGTTTTAAAGTGAAATTTCGAACAGAAACTCTTCTTTCATTATACTTCGCAAACATAAATCTATATATTTATAAGGCTTTCTTCTTCTACCCAAGACTTTGCCATTTACCACATTCTAACTACTCTCTGAAAAATCCATTTCTCTCTTTTTCCACATTAGGCATTTTTTACCTATCTTTTTTTTTCCTTTTACTTTGGTTGAGCCATAAAAATTGTACATATACAGAGTGATATGTGTATACAATGTGTATTGATCAAACCAGGGTAATTAGCATATTCATCACCTTAAATAGTTATCTTTTTTTTTAACTTTTATTTTAGGTTCGGGGGTACATGTGCAGGTTTGTTATGTAGGCAAATTGAATGTCATAGGGGCTTGGTGTACAGATTATTTCATCACCAAGGTAATAAGCATAGTACCTCATAGGTAGTTTTTTGATCCTCACCCTTTTCCCATCCTTCACCCATAAGTAGGCCCTGGTATCTGTTGTTTCCTTCTTTGTGTCCATGTGTCCTCAGCGCTTAGCTTCCACTTAGACATTAGAATATACGGTATTTGGCTTTTGTTCTTGCATTAATTTGCTTAGGATAATGGCCTCCACTTCCATCCATGCTGCTACAAAAGACATGATTTCATTCTTTTTTTATGGCTGTGTGATATTTTATGGTGTATTTATGTCACATTTTCTTTATCCAGTCTATTGTTGATGTGCACTTAGCTTTATTCCAGGTCTTTGCTATTGTGAATAGGATTGTGATAAACATATGCATGCATGTGTCTTTAGGGTAGAATGATTTATATTCCTTTGAGTATATACCCAATAATGGGATTGTTGAGTTCGAATGGTAATTCTGTTTTAAGTTCCTTGAGAAATTGCCAAACTGCTTTCCACAATGGCTGAACGACTATACATTCCCACCAGCAGTGTATAAGCATTCCCTTTTCTCTGCAACCTCACCAGCATCTGTTAATTTTTGACTTTTTAATAATAGCCATTCTGATTGGTTGTGAGATGGCATGTCATTGTGGTTTTGATTTGCAATTCTCACATGATCAGCGATGTTAAGCCTTCCTTAATATGATCATTGGCTGCGTGTACGTCTTTTTTTATCTATCTAGAATTTTTTTTTAATTTTTCTTTAATTTTATTTATTTATTTATTCTTTAAATTCTGGGATACTTGTGCAGAACATGCAGATTTTTTACATAGGTATACGTGTGCCATGGTGGTTTGCTGCACCAATCAACATGTCACCTAGGCTTTAAGCCCCACATGCATTAGCTATTTGTCTGGATGCTCCCCCTCCCCTTATCCCCCACCCCTCGACAGGCCCCAGTGTGGATTGTTCCCCTCCCTTTACCCACGTGTTCTCATTCTTCAACTCCCACTTATAAGTGAAAACATGCAGTGTTTGGTTTTCTGTTCCTATGTTAGTTTGCTAAGGATTGTGTCTTCCAGCTTCATCCATGTCCCTGCAAAGGACATGATCTCATTCTTTTTTATGGCTGCATAGTATTCCATGGTGTGAATGAACCACATTTTCTTTATCCAGTCTATCACTAATGAGCATTTGAGTTGGTTGCATGTCTTTGTTATTGTGAATAGTGCTGCAGTAAACATACATGTTCATGTGTCTTTATAGTAGAATAATTTTTATTCCTTTGGGTGTATACCCAGTAATGGGATTGCTGGGTCAAATGATATTTCTGGTTCTAGATCCTTGAGGAATCACCACATTGTCTTCCACAACGGTTGAACCAATTTACATCCCCACCAACAGTGTAAAAGAGTTCCTATTTCTCTACAGCCTCGCCAGCATCTCTTGTTTCTTGACTTTTTAATAATCACCATTATGACTGGTGCGGGCTGATATCTCATTGTGGTTTTGATTTGCATTTCTCTAGCGATCAGTGATGTTGAGCTTTTTTTCATATGTTTGTTGGCTGCCATTAATTACTGCCTCAATTTCAGAACTTGTTATTGGTCTATCCAGGGATTCGACTTTTTCCTAGTTTAGTCTTGGGAGAGTGTATGTTTCCAGGAATTTATTAATTTCTTCTGGATTTTCTAGTTTATTTGCATAGAGATGTTTATGGTATTCTGTGATGGTAGTTTGCATTTCTGTGGGGTCAGTGGTGATATCTTCTTTGCCATTTTTTATTGCGTCTATTTAGTTATCATTTTTTGTGTTGTAAACATTCAAAATTCTTTTTTCTAGCTTTTGGAGAGTATACAATAAATTACAGCTAATCCTATTTACCCAACAGTGCTGCGGATCACCAGAACTCATTCCTTCTATCGAGTTGCAATTTTGTGTTTGTTAACCAACCTCTTCCTAGCCCCTCATCCTCCCTATTTTCCGTGTTTCTAATACCCACAATTATACTTTCTACTTCTGTGAGCTCAATATTTCTTTTTATCTTCCACATATCTGTGAGAACATGCAATATTTACCCTCTGTGCCTGACCCATTTTGCTTAACATAGTGTCCTCCAGGCTCAGGCTCATCCATGTTGTTGTGAATGACAGATTTTTTTTTTCATGGTTGAATAGTATTCTGTTGTGTATACATACCATGGTTTCTTTATCTATTATCTATTGATGAATACTTAGATTGATTCCATATCCTAGCTATTGTGAATAGTGCTGCAATAAACATGGGGATGCCGATATTTCTTTGATATACTAATTGTCTTTCCTTTGGATAAAAGGCCAGTAGTGGGATTGCTGGCTCATATATAGTTTTACTTTTAGCTTTCTGAGAAACTTTCATACTCTTTTCCATAGTGGCTGTACTAATTTATATTCCCATCAACAATGTATAAAAATTCCCTTTTTTCTATATCCTTTCCAGCATTTGCTATTTGTAATGTTTCTTAAAATTCATAAGGAACTACAAAAGACCCTTCATAGTCAAAGCAATATTGAGTAAAAAGAACAAAGCTGGAGACATCACACTACTTTTTGTCTTCAAAATATATAACAAAAAATTATAAAATTGGTATAAAAGCAGGCAACTAGACCAATGGAACATTATTTTAAAAACCCAGAAATAAATCCATGTATTTACAGCCATTTGATCTTTGACAAAGAACATACATTGGGGAAAGGACACTTTCTTCAATAAATGGTGCTAGGAAAATTGGATATCTGTATGCAGAAAAATGAAACTAGACTCCTATCTAGCACCATGTTCATAAATCAACTCAAAACATATAAGCAATTTAAATGTAAGTCCCCAAACTATAAAACTACCTGAAGAAAACATAAGGGAAAAGCTTTAGGACATTGGTCTAGGCTACAATTTTATGACTGAGACTTCCAAAGCACAAGCAACAAAAACAAAAGTAGATGAATGAGATTATATTAAACTAAAAGGCCTCTGCAGAACAAATAAAATAATCAACAGAGTGAACAGACAACCTGTAGAATTGGAGAAAATTTTCACAAACTATTCAGAATTGAATGTCTTGTAATGTTGAGAATATACAAGGAACTCAAACAACCCAACAGCAATAATAATAATGATCATCATCCTCATCATGATCATCATCCCTTTAAAATGTTGCCAAGGACTTCATCAGACATTTCTCAAAAGAAGACACACATATAGCCAACAACATGAAAAATTAATGCTTAAAATTATTAACCATTAGGGAAATGCAAATCAAAACCACAATGAGATATTAATATCAACTTACCCTAGTTACTTATTTTTTATAGAATGTATCACATTATTTTTTGAAAGTATTTACAGATCCTTCTCTTTTGCTGGACTAAATTCAGAGGCTGGTATCATGTATTCACTTTCTTATTGTGGCTTCTCACACAGAGCCGGGCACATGGTAGAAATTCAATCAAGGTTTGTTAAATAAGTAAATGAAACATTTGGCAAAATAAGCGTCATTTCAAGACAAAGTTCCTACCCTGTTTTCAACAAGAGGCTGGGTGAAGGCAGTGTTTATTTTTTATTGCTCCATTACTTCCTTGGTCCTTAAATTATATTCTTACTTTTGGAAAAAAAATTATCTTTCAAAGCAATGTATCTCATTCTTCGTTAAAGGAATTTGCTCAGGTTCTGTGAACATTTCATTGCCCTATATAAATGTTTTAGTGACTAGGAAACAAAAATATCCAGGCCTATGAAAAGTGTAATGAGTCCCAATATAGCCATTTGTAATGGGGATTTAACTGCTTTGTTTGTGAGCTTCTGCTAAGGAAACAGATTACCTTCATCATGTGCTAATACCCCGGAGTCGATGTAAACTCTGTTCCACTGTAGAAAGGTATCATGGGGATGCCAGCAAAGACTCTAAGATCAATTTTGTAAACCTGTAAGCTGGTAAACAAAAAAAAATTATTCCTGGTTCCAAACCCAGCTCAACACTCTTCTTCCTTGTAAAGGACTTAAAACTAATTAATAAATTGTCATAGATATTTTCAAAATTGAAATCCTATTTTCATAATAATTGAAGCACTTGTGTACAAAATATTGTGTACTGAATGTCTAAGAACCTAAGGTCTAAGAGAGTCATAATGAAAAAGACATAATTCCTTGGATTAAATTATGATAGTGTCACAAATGTCAAAAAATTATTTAATTAGCCTGAACTTGTCACAAAAGCTTTAAGTGTATCTTTGTTTCCCATACAGTTTTACTTTGCTTAATTTCAAATTTGTCACTGTTATATACATATATATATATATCTTATCTTTACATTATAAGCCTTAATAAATGTGAGGTCTCTGTTTACATGCTTGGTAAATACACTTTTACCTTCTCACCTACCACAACAAATAGCACTAAACCATTACGGAGAGAGTAGTCAGATTTATAAAAATTAAAGCAAATGCACATTATTACCATGTGTAAAAATACTAGACATTACATACATTGTATATAAAAATACTATGATATAATGAAAATATATCATATGTAAAAATGTCAACTGTGTAAAAAACATTTAAAAAAATTCTTTCATGCTTATTCAACAAATGTTTCCTAAAAGATTTTCCTTGAAGCAAAGCAATTTAATTTTTTCTGTCATAGTATTCTCAGTGGTTATAAACTTAATTATCTTTGTATGCTTCACATTTACTTGCATTTATGACAAATTTTTTATTTTCTTAGCATAACTTTTTGAAATCAAAATATGAACTAGCAAGGTGTAAGTTTGATTAGAGGAACAAGAACAATAACAAGTAATCATAGCAATGAGATGTTAATTGGTGTCTGGGTAGTTTTATTCATAGTAACAAGGGGACATAATATCTCTGTGTCCTTTACTGCTCAACAACACTTTGCTAGATCTTCTTTTATAATGCCAATTATATTGCACTTGAAATTCACAGGTATTTTAACAGCATAGAGGGATACAGACTGATTAAAAAGACTGTCTCTTCTAACAGGGAGGCAATGTTTAAAATTAAGGCGATATATTTTTCCAAACTCCCTTGTCTTAAATTTCAAAGTCCAAAGTTGAAGAGTTTTGAGAATTATAGTTTCTAAAAAATCCTGGTTAAGGTATATTTGCATTATAAGATTGACCAATTTTCTGAAAAGATTTTTCCTGCAGTAAATGAGAGCAAGAAACACGAAAATCAAGTGTAGTAAAATGTAAAAAGTTTTTCTTAGGAATTATCTTAAGTAATTTTAGCATGGAGCAGTATTTTAGATGCAGACGCTGAAAGGGAATCTTGATTTGTTGTTTTGTGTGTTCATATAGCTAGTAGACACTGCTAGATTGATTGATTCAAAAATAAAACAGAATTGGCCATTTTCTAGTGAATTGTATTTCTCTATAGGAAATTTAGACAATTTCAGGAGGTTGGGAAGTAAAAACATTTACACTAAGCATTATTAAATTTACTTACCTGCATAATCTCAATTCTCAGATAATGGTCAGTTATTATACATTTAAAAAATGATTTTATAAACTCTCCCATAAATTGTCGAAAATACAGAGAAAACTCATTAGAAATAAATAAGCTTAGCTAAGAAATTATTCAGTAATTGGAGCTGTTTATTTTGTCATCCACACAGGAACCCCATCCGTAGGTCACCAACATCAAAGACCAAAAATAGATAAATCCATGAAGACGAGGAAAAACCAGCACAGAAAGACTGAAAATTCCCCAAACCAGAACGCCTCTTCTACTCCAAAGGATCGCAACTCCTCACCAGTAAGTAAACAAAACTGGACGGAGAATGAGTTTGAAGAATTGACAGAAGTAGGCTTCAGAAGATGGGTAATAACAAACTCCTCTGAGCTAAAGGAGCATGTTCTAACCCAATGCAAGGAAGCTAAGAACCTTGAAAAAAGGTTAGACAAATTGCTAACTATAATGACCAGTTTAGAGCAGAACATAAATGACCTGATGGAGCTGAAAAACACAGCACAAGAACTTCATGAAGCATACACTGGTATCAATAGCTGAATCGATCAAGCAGAAGAAAGGATATCAGAGTTTGAAGATCAACTTAATCAAATAAAGTGTGAAGACAAGATTAGAGAAACAAGAATGAAAAGGAATGAACAAAGCCTCCAAGAAATATGGGACTATGTGAAAAGACCAAACCTACGTTTGACTGGTGTACCTGAAAGTGATGGGGAAAATGGAACTAAGTTGGAAAACATTCTTCAGGATATTTTCCAAGAGAACTTCCCCAACCTAGCAGGACAGGCCAATATTCAAATTCAGGAAATACAGAGAATGCCACAAAGATACTCCTCTAGAAGAGCAACCCCAAGACACATACATAATCCTCAGATTTAGCAAAGTGGAAAAGAAGGAAAAAATGTTAAGGGCAGCCCAAGAGAAAGGTCAGGTTACCAACAAAGGGAAGCCCATCAGACTAACAGCAGATCTCTCTGCAGAAACCCAACAAGCCAGAAGAGAGTGGGGGCCAATATTCAACATTCTTAAAGAAAAGGATTTTCAGCCCAGAATTTCACATCCAGCCAAGCTAAGCTTCACAAATGAAGGAGATATAAAATCCTTTACAGACAAGCAAATGCAGAGAGATTTTGTCACCACCAGGCCTGCCTTACAGGAGCTCCTGAAGGAAGCACTAAATATGGAAAGGAAAAAACGGTACCTGCCACTTCAAAAACACACCAAATTGTAAAGACCATTGATACAATGAAGCAACTGCATGAACTAGCGGGCAAAAAACCAGCTAGCATTATAATGACAGGATCAAATTCACAGGTAACAATATTAACCTTAAATGTAAATGGGCTAAATGCCCCAATTAAAAGACACAGACTGGCAAATTGGATAGAGTCAAGACTCATCGCTGTGCTATATTCAGGAGACCTATCTCATGTGCAAAGATACACATAGGCTCGAAATAATGGGATAGAGGAAGATTTACCAAGCAAATGGAAAGCAAAAAAAAAAAAAAAAATGCAGAGGTTGCAATCCTAGTCTGATAAAACATACTTTAAACCAACAAAGATCAAAAAAGACACAGAAGGGCATTGCATAATGGTAAAGGGATCAATGCAATAAGAAGAGCTAACTATCTTAAATATATATGCACCCAATACAGGAGCACACAGATTCATAAAGCAAGTTCTTAGAGACCTACAAAAAGACTTAGACTCCCACACAATAATAGTGGGAGACTTTAATACCCTGCTGTCAATGTTAGACAGATCAACAAGACAGAAAATTAACAAGGATATTCAGGAATTGAACTCGGTTCTGGACCAAGTAGACCTAATAGACATCTACAGAACTCTGTACCCCAAATCAACAGAATATACATTCTTCTCAGCACCACATCACACTTATTCCAAAATTGACCACATAGTTGGAAGTAAAACACTCCTCAGCAAATGCAAAAGAATGGAAATCATAACAGTCTTTCAGACCACAGTGCAAACAAATTAGAACTCAGTATTAAGAAATTCACTCAAAACCGCACAGTTACATGGAAACTAAACAAGCCCTCCTGAATGACTACTGGGTAAATAACGAAATTAAGTCAGAAATAATGAAGTTCTTTCAAACCAATGAGAACAAAGATACAATGTACCTGGATCTCCGGGACACAGCTAAAGCAGTGTTTAGAGGGAGATTTCTAGCACTAAATGCCCACAGGAGAAAGCAGGAAAGATATAAAATCAACACCCTAACATTACAATTAAAAGAACTAGAGAAGCAAGAGCAAACACATTCAAAAGCTAGCAGAAGACAAGAAATAACTAAGATCAGAGTAGAAATGAAGGAGATGGAGACATGGAAAACCCTTCAAAAATTAATGAATCCAGTAGCTTTTTTTTTTTAAAGATTAACAATACAGATAGACCTCTCACCAGACTAATTAAGAAAAAAATAAAGAAGAATCAAATAGACACAATAAAAAATGATAAAGGGGATATCACCACTGATCCTACAGAAATATGAACTCCCATCAGAGAATACTATAAACACGGCTATGCAAATAAACTAGAAAATCTAGAAGAAATGGATAAATTCCTGGACACATACACCCTCCCAAGACTAAACCAGGAAGAAGTTGAATCCCTGAATAGACCAATAACAAATTCTGAAATTGAGGCATTAATTAATAGCCTACCAACCAAGAAAGCCCAGGACCAGACGGATTCACAGCTGAATTCTATCAGAGGTACAAAGAGGAGCTGGTATCATTCCTTCTGAAAATACTCCAAACGATAGAAAAAGAGGGACTCCTCTCTAACTCATTTTATGAGGCCAGCATCATCCTGATACCAAAACCTGGCAGAGACACAACAATAAAAGAAAATTTCAGGCCAATATCCCTGAAGAACATCAATGCGATAATCCTCAATAAAATACTGGCAAACGAAATCCAGCAGCACATCAAAAAGCTTATCCACCACGATCAAGTCAGCTTCATCCCTGAGATGCAGGGCTGGTTCAACATAAACAAATCAATAAATGTAATCCATTACATAAACAGAACCAATGACAAAAACCACATGATTATCTCAATAGATGCAGAAAAGGCCTTTGATAAATTTCAACACCCCTTCATGCTAAAACCTCTCAATAAACTAGGTATTGATGGAACGTATTTCAAAATAATAAGAGCTATTTAAGACAAACCCACAGCCAATATCATACTGAATGGGCAAAAGCTGGAAGCATTCCTTTTGAAAACTGGCATAAGACAAGAATGCCCTCTCTCATGACTCCTATTTAGCATAGTGTTGGAAGTTCTGGCCAGGGCAATCAGGCAAGAGAAGGAAGGAAAGAAAGGTATTCAAATAGAAAGAGAGGAAGTCAAATTGTCTCTGCTTGCAGATGACATGATTATATATTTAGAAAACCCCATCGTCTCAGCCCAAAATCTCCTTAAGCTAATAAGCAACTTCAGCAAAGTCTCAGGATACAAAATCAATGTGCAAAAATCACAAGCATTCCTATACACCAATAATAGACAGAGAGCCAAATCATGAGTGAACTCCCATTCACAATTGCTACAAGGAGAATAAAATACTTAGGAATACAACTTACAAGAGATGTGAAGGACTTCTTCAAGAACTACAAACCACTGTTCAAGGAAATAAGAGAGGACACAAACAAATGAAAAAACTTCCCATGCTCATGGATAGGAAGAATCAATATTGTGAAAATGGCTATAATGCCCAAAGTAACTTATAGATTCAATGCTATCTCCATAAAGCTACCATTGACTTTCTTCACAGAATTAGAAACAAACTACTTAAAATTTCATATGGAACCAAAAAAAAAAGCTTGTATAGCCACCACAATCCTAAGAAAAAAAAAGAACAAAGCTGGAGGCATCACGCTGTCTGACTTCAAACTATACTACAAGGCTACAGTAACAAAAACAGCATGCTACTGGTACCAAAACAGTTGTATAGACCAATGGAACAGAAATGAGGCCTCAGAATTTTGCCACTTATCTACAACCCTCTGATCTTTGACAAAACTGATAAAATCAAGCAATGGAGAAAGGACTCTCTTTTTAATATATGGTGTTGGGAAAACTGACTCTCCATATGCAGAAAACTAAAACTGGACCCCTTCCTTACACTTATACAGAAATTAACTTAAGATGGATTAAAGACTTAAACATAAGACCTAAAACTGTAAAAACTCTAGAAGAAATCCTAGCCAATACCATTCAGGACATAGGCATGGGCAAAGACTTCCTGCTTAAAATACCAAAAGCAATTGCAACAAAAGCAAAAATTGACAAATGGGATCTGATTATTCTAAAGAGCTTCTGCACAGCAAAAGAAACTATCATCAGAGTGAGAGAAAATTTTTGTAATTTATCCACCTGACAAGGCTAATATCCAGAATCTACAAAGAACTCAAACAAATTTACAAGGAAAAAAAAACAACCTCATCAAAATGGGCAAAGGATCTGAACAGACACTTCTGAAAAGAATGCATTTATGCAGCCAACAAACATGAAAAAAAGCTAATCATCACTGGTCATTAGAGAAATGCAAATTGAAACCACATTGAGATACTACCTCACACCAGTTAGAATGGTGATCATTAAAAAGTCAAGAAACAATAGATGCTGGAGAGGATGTGGAGAAATAGGAACGCTTTTACACTTGGTGGGAGTGTAAATTAGTTCAATGATTGTGGAAGACAGTGTGGCAATTCCTCAAGGATCTAGAACCAGAAATACCATTTAACCCAGCAATCCCATTACTGGGTATATACCCAAAGGATTATAAATTATTCTACTATAAAGACACATGCACACGTATGTTTATTGCAGCACTGTTCACAATAGCAAAGACTTGGAACCAACCCAAATGCCCATCAATGATAGACTGGATAAAGAAAATGTGGCATGTATACACCATGAAACACTATGCAGCCATAAAAAAGGATGAGTTCATGTCCTTTGCAGGGACACAGATGAAGCTGGAAGCCATCATCCTCAGCAAACTAACACAGGAACAGGAAATCAAACACCACATGTTCTCACTCATAAGTGGGAGTTGAACAATGAGAAAACATGGACACATGGAGGGGAACGTCACACACTGGGGCCTGTCAGGGGGTGGGGGGGCTAGGGGAGGCATAGCATTAGGAGAAATACCTAATGTATATGACAGGTTGATGGGTGAAGCAAACCACTGTCGCACATGTATACCTATGTAACAAACCTGCATGTTCTGCACATGTATCCCAGAACTTAAAGTATAATTAAAAAAAGATTTAATAATATGAAACAGGTACCGTCTATTCTGGATTGCATTGACCAATTGGAGAAGATGCCAGCCATCTGTAACTGCTAAAAATATATGGATACATCCGATCTGAATCACTTGCTTATTAAATATTATATTTTAGGATAACTAACTCCAAACACAATATAGAATAAACGTATCATTTGCTAAAAATATAATTTAAATATGATATGTGTATTGCATGAACAAATATAGTGCTGTGGTTCCCAAGTAAGATGAGGAAGAAGACTTTGTCTTTCTCCTGCCCACTCTCGTTCCCTTCCAGGGGCTCTAAGTCAACATTGACTGCATATTTAGTTTTAAAAAAGCATATTCAAATTATCGGGCTATGTTTGCTAGCATGCAGTTTACATTGAGATCATTTACTAATTGGCAGGACAATAAGCTTGATTATAAAGTCACTTAAGGTAAGGCTGCATTCTATTTTTTTTTGGAGTTTATAGAATTTATATGCTTCTGTCAAGCAAATCAGCCAGTTTCACTCTCCACAATCAAAATTAAAGATAAATGTGTATCTTGTTATTATTGAAAATTATCTTTGGTACTAATTTGTGAGAAGTCCAGATAACATTGATTAAGGGAATGAGATTTTGATTTTTATCTAAGGGAAACCTGAATTTAAAGTTTCGATAAGTTCTGATGCTAACTAATATTCTTCCTTCACTAAAGAGAGGAATAATGCCTAAACTGAAAGTTTACAAGGGAAATTCTAAATTCCATTCTGTCCTCTGTCTTATTGGATATCCATCCAGGTTCTCTCTGAGTCAACCTTGTGCTCTACCTTCACGGAAGCATTTAGTTTTCACACAGGACAGGAAAACAAATGAGTCTGTGTTTTTAAAGGTGTAGCAATAGAAATAAATCTGTCCTCGGGCAAATATCCCTTATCCTTTTCTGTGACGTGCTCTTCTGTGGGTTTGCCTGTACTTGCCTTTTATAGCCACAGCGTGATTATATTAGTGTGTGAATGCCTTAGCAAAGAGCCAACGGTAGCAGCAGCCTGCATTAGGCCCAAGATCTACAACGAAACCAGCAAGGGCCAATTGAGAGTTCTGGGCTATAGTAATCCTGATTGTTTTTTTTCTTTTTTTCTTTTTTTCTTTTTTAATTATTATTATTATTATACTTAAAGTTTTAGGGTACATGTGCACATTGTGCAGGTTAGTTACATATGTATACATGTGCCATGCTGGTGCGCTGCACCCACTAACGTGTCATCTAGCATTAGGTATATCTCCCAATGCTGTCCCTCCCCCCTCCCCCGACCCCACCACAGTCTCCAGAGTGTGATATTCCCCTTCCTGTGTCCATGTGATCTCATTGTTCAATTCCCACCTATGAGTGAGAATATGCGGTGTTTGGTTTTTTGTTCTTGCGATAGTTTACTGAGAATGATGGTTTCCAATTTCATCCATGTCCCTACAAAGGACATGAACTCATCATTTTTTATGGCTGCATAGTATTCCATGGTGTATATGTGCCACATTTTCTTAATCCAGTCTATCATTGTTGGACATTTGGGTTGGTTCCAAGTCTTTGCTATTGTGAATAATGCCGCAATAAACATACGTGTGCATGTGTCTTTATAGCAGCATGATTTAAAGTCATTTGGGTATATACCCAGTAATGGGATGGCTGGGTCAAATGGTATTTCTAGTTCTAGATCCCTGAGGAATCGCCACACTTACTTCCACAATGGTTGAACTAGTTTACAGTCCCACCAACAGTGTAAAAGTGTTCCTATTTCTCCACATCCTCTCCAGCACCTGTTGCTTCCTGACTTTTTAATGATTGCCATTCTAACTGGTGTGAGATGATATCTCATAGTGGTTTTGATTTGCATTTCTCTGATGGCCAGTGATGATGAGCATTTTTTCATGTGTTTTTTGGCTGCATAAATGTCTTCTTTTGAGAAGTGTCTGTTCATGTCCTTCGCCCACTTTTTGATGGGGTTGTTTGTTTTTTTCTTGTAAATTTGTTTGAGTTCATTGTAGATTCTGGATATTAGCCCTTTGTCAGATGAGTAGGTTGCGAAAATTTTCTCCCATGTTGTAGGTTGCCTGTTCACTCTGATGGTAGTTTCTTTTGCTGTGCAGAAGCTCTTTAGTTTAATTAGATCCCATTTGTCAATTTTGGCTTTTGTTGCCATTGCTTTTGGTGTTTTGGACATGAAGTCCTTGCCCACGCCTATGTCCTGAATGGTAATGCCTAGGTTTTCTTCTAGGGTTTTTATGGTTTTAGGTCTAACGTTTAAATCTTTAATCCATCTTGAATTGATTTTTGTATAAGGTGTAAGGAAGGGATCCAGTTTCAGCTTTCTACATATGGCTAGCCAGTTTTCCCAGCACCATTTATTAAATAGGGAATCCTTTCCCCATTGCTTGTTTTTCTCAGGTTTGTCAAAGATCAGATAGTTGTAGATATGCGGCGTTATTTCTGAGGGCTCTGTTCTGTTCCATTGATCTATATCTCTGTTTTGGTACCAGTACCATGCTGTTTTGGTTACTGTAGCCTTGTAGTATAGTTTGAAGTCAGGTAGTGTGATGCCTCCAGCTTTGTTCTTTTGGCTTAGGATTGACTTGGCGATGCAGGCTCTTTTTTGGTTCCATATGAACTTTAAAGTAGTTTTTTCCAATTCTGTGAAGAAAGTCATTGGTAGCTTGACGGGGATGGCATTGAATCTGTAAATTACCTTGGGCGGTATGGCCATTTTCACGATATTGATTCTTCCTACCCATGAGCATGGAATGTTCTTCCATTTGTTTGTGTCCTCTTTTATTTCCTTGAGCAGTGGTTTGTAGTTCTCCTTGAAGAGGTCCTTCACATCCCTTGTAAGTTGGATTCCTAGGTATTTTATTCCCTTTGAAGCAATTGTGAATGGGAGTTCACTCATGATTTGGCTCTCTGTTTGTCTGTTGTTGGTGTATAAGAATGCTTGTGATTTTTGTACATTGATTTTGTATCCTGAGACTTTGCTGAAGTTGCTTATCAGCTTAAGGAGATTTTGGGCTGAGACGATGGGGTTTTCTAGATAAACAATCATGTCATCTGCAAACAGGGACAATTTGACTTCCTCTTTTCCTAATTGAATACCCTTTATTTCCTTCTCCTGCCTGATTGCCCTGGCCAGAACTTCCAACACTATGTTGAATAGGAGCGGTGAGAGAGGGCATCCCTGTCTTGTGCCAGTTTTCAAAGGGAATGCTTCCAGTTTTTGCCCATTCAGTATGATATTGGCTGTGGGTTTGTCATAGATAGCTCTTATTATTTTGAAATACGTCCCATCAATACCTAATTTAATGAGAGTTTTTAGCATGAAGGGTTGTTGAATTTTGTCAAAGGCTTTTTCTGCATCTATTGAGATAATCATGTGGTTTTTGTCTTTGGCTCTGTTTATATGCTGGATTACATTTATTGATTTGCGTATATTGAACCAGCCTTGCATCCCAGGGATGAAGCCCACTTGATCATGGTGGATAAGCTTTTTGATGTGCTGCTGGATTCGGTTTGCCAGTATTTTATTGAGGATTTTTGCATCAATGTTCATCAAGGATATTGGTCTAAAATTCTCTTTTTTGGTTGTGTCTCTGCCCGGCTTTGGTATCAGGATGAAGCTGGCCTCATAAAATGAGTTAGGGAGGATTCCCTCTTTTTCTATGGATTGGAATAGTTTCAGAAGGAATGGTACCAGTTCCTCCTTGTACCTCTGGTAGAATTCGGCTGTGAATCCATCTGGTCCTGGACTCTTTTTGGTTGGTAAGCAATTGATTATTGCCACAATTTCAGAGCCTGTTATTGGTCTATTCAGAGATTCAACTTCTTCCTGGTTTAGTCTTGGGAGGGTGTATGTGTCGAGGAATTTATCCATTTCTTCTAGATTTTCTAGTTTATTTGCATAGAGGTGTTTGTAGTATTCTTTGATGGTAGTTTATCTTTCTGTGGGATCGGTGGTGATATCCCGTTTATCATTTTTTATTGCGTCTATTTGATTCTTCGCTCTTTTCTTCTTTATTAGTCTTGGTAGTGGTCTATCCATTTTGTTGATCCTTTCAAAAAAACCAGCTCCTGGATTCATTAATTTTTCGAAGGGTTTTTCGTGTCTCTATTTCCTTCAGCTCTGCTCTGATTTTAGTTATTTCTTGCCTTCTGTTAGCTTTTGAACGTGTTTGCTCTTGCTTTTCTAGTTCTTTTAATTGTGATGTTAGGGTGTCAATTTGGATCTTTCCTGCTTTCTCTTGTGGGCATTTAGTGCTATAAATTTCCCTCTACACACTACTTTGAATGTGTCCCAGAGATTCTGGTATGTTGTGTCTTTGTTCTCGTTGGTTTCAAAGAACATCTTTATTTCTACCTTCATTTCGTTATGTACCCAGTAGTCATTCAGGAGCAGGTTGTTCAGTTTCCATGTAGTTGAGCGGTTTTGAGTGAGTTTCTTAATCCTGAGTTCTAGTTTGATTGCACTGTGGTCTGAGAGACAGTTTGTTATAATTTCTGTTGTTTTACATTTGCTGAGGAGAGCTTTACTTCCAAGTATGTGGTCAGTTTTGGAATAGGTGTGGTGTGGTGCTGAAAAAAATGTATATTCTGTTGATTTGGGGTGGAGAGTTGTGTAGATGTCTATTAGGTCCACTTGGTGCAGAGCTGAGTTCAATTCCTGGATATCCTTTTTAACTTTCTATCTCGTTGATCTGTCTAATATTGACAGTGGGGTGTTAAAGGATTGAATCACCTCTCACCAGGCCCAACCTCCAACATTGAGGTTTACAATTGAAAATGAGATGTGAATGTCGACACAGATCCAACCCATATCACACTTCAATTTAAAAACAAAGATGCCAGCACAATTACAAATGCACAACTAAATGTTGATTATACAGAGCATTTTCAATTTTAGGATGCTACATTGGTTTAAGTGAAAAGATGGAAAATACGTGTGTGTGTGTGTGTGTTTGTGTGTGTGTGTGTTTGAGTGTGTGTGTATTTTCCATACTTTCTACATATATATACATACCACTCAAACATTACCCAAAAGATAACTGGTGTGGTTATATAAATATCGAACAAAGTAGATTTTTAAGGCAAGAAGCATCATGAGAGACAGAGATATTTTATAATGACAAGAGAGTTGATTTCAACTGGATGATAAACAATCCTAGAGTTGAGTCAACCTGAATACCTTTGAAATATATGGAAAAAGTTGACTAAAATCTCTGAGGATATGGGTAAAGTCACAATCATAGTTGAAGATTTTTTTAAGTTTTATAGAGTAACCAAAATACAATTGATGTTGCAAAGAACTTATATTTAAATTATACAATTTGATAAATTTTAAAACATGTATACAGCCATTAAACTATAAGCACAAAGAAGACAATAAACATATCCAGCAGTTAACTACCCCAGGTTTAGTCATGTCCCAGCTTAATCCCTCTTCCTCACTTCTCCTTGCCTTCCTTATCTCCAGACAACCACTAATTAATCTACTTTTGGTTATTAAAGATTAGTTTGCATTCTCTAGAAAAGACTGTTACATGAATGAAATTATATAGTTTGTACTCATTCATTGTTGGAATTTCATTTAGCATAATTATTTTGAATTTTTTTCATATTGTATTTATCAGTAATCTATTTTTATTGTTGAGCAGAAGTTTATTGATTTGGCATATCAAATTATTTATATCCATTTATTGTTGATAGGCATTTGGATTGTTTCTACTTTATGGCTATTAATACATAAGATTGCTATGAACATACGTGTACAAATCTTTGAGTGCACTCAAGCTTTCATTTATCTTGAAATATCTAGGAGTGAAATGATTGGATCATATGCTTGGTGTACAATTAACTTTTTAAGAAACTGCCAAACTTATCTCTAAAGTGATTGTATCATTTTACATTCCTACCAGCAGTGCATGGGAAGTTCTGGTGTTAAATATTTGCACAAATGCTATATTTTAATTCCAATGGCTATGTAAAGGTATCTGATTGTAGTTCAAATTTAGATTTCCTTAAGGATTAATGATGTTGGGTACCTTTTCATATGCTTATTCTCCCTCAGTATATCATCTCTGGTGAGGTGTCTATTCATGTCTTTTGCCCATGGTATCGGTTTCACTGACTTCATATAATAACTTGGAAAGTATTCTATCTTATTCAAATTCCTGGAAGATTATCTCTAATATTGTTATTATTTTTCCTTAAATGCTTGGTAGAATTTACCAGTGAAGCCATCTAGGCATAGAGTTTCTTTTGTGAGAATATTTTTTTTAACAACAAGGCCATAATTAATATATATAGACAATTGTCATTATCTATTTCTTTTTGATTAAACATTGGTGCTTTGTGTCTTTCTGAGAATGTACCAATTTCATTTCTACTGTCAAATTTATTGACATAATTTTTTTTGTAATATTTTCATATTATCTTTTAAATATCTGTAGAATTCCTGATATTGGAAAATTTTGTCTTCATTCCTTTTCCCAATAAATTTGGCTAGAGGCTAACTGATTTTATTCACATTCTCTAAGAACCAGATTTTAATTTTACTAAATTTTCTCCATCAGTTTTTATTTTCTTTTAAATCATTTATGGTCTTATAATTATTATTTCCCTCTGTTGACTTTGCATTTTATTTCCTCTTCTTTTTTTAATTTGTTAAGGTAGATTCTGAGGTCATCGATTTGAGATTTTTTAGTGTGATAAATTTTCATCTAAATATTGTAAAACTGGGATAAACCATTTTTGATCATATTTATAATCCCTTTTATAATTGCTGAACTTATTTTGCTAATGTTTTGTTAAGAATATTTGAATCTATGTTCATAAGCAATATTGGTTTATTGTTTCCTTGCAATGTCTTTCATTTTACTAACAGGTTAATAATAGTCTGTTAAAATGAATTGGGAAATATTACCTCCTCTTCTGTTTTCTGAAAATTTTTGTGTAGAATTGATATTATTTATTTCATTAATGCTTGGTAGAATTCAAAATGCAGCCTTCAGGGCATGTTGTCATTGTGGGAAAATTATTTAACTAGGCTCTCAATTTCATTAACTGATACAGAGTTATTCAGCTTATCTATTTCTTCTTGTCTGAGCTTTGCTACTTTGTGTCTTTTAACTAATTTGTTTGTATAAAGCTATGAATAATATTCTGATATTATCCTCTAATATCTATAGGATTTAATGTGTTTCCCTTTTTTAACCCCTGACAATGACAGTTTTGTCTTCCTTTTCCCTTGTTCTGTCTGGCTAGATATTAATCAATTTTATTGATCACTTCAGAGAGCCAACTTCAGATTTTATTGAGTTTTCTCAGTTTTTCTCCTGTTTTCTATTTCACTGATTTTTTGCTGGTATCTTCATGATTTCCTCTTCTCTTGCTTTGAGCTTAATTTGTCCTTCTTTAGCTGCTTTTGGAGCTTAATTTGTCCTTCTTTAGCTGCTGTATTAACTGATTTAAGACCTTTTTTTATGTTCTAACATGATTTCTCTGAATTTTCCTCTAAGCCTACTTCGTGAGAGTTTCCTGCCCTTCCCCAGTGATAGCACTACACATCAGCTTTATGTCTGTGCAGTGCAGGATTCTGTGCCCACCTCTGGGGCAGGCGGCTTCTGATTTACTGCTCTTTCAGTGGCAGTATGCCTTTGCCTGGGCCTGGTGGCAGGTGGGATGTTGTTTGTTTCTGTGGTCAACGCTTTTGGCAGATGAGTATTCCTGTTTCTCACATAAATGCGGTTAGCTTTTGGTTTTAAGACTCCCTCAGCAGCAGTTTACCCTTACCTAAAACGGAGGTGAGAGTGTTTTTTTTTACTTCCCCAAGAGGCAGACAGCTTTTGTTTTTACCCCTCCCTCAGAGGTAGTGGATCATTTATTGAACCCTGGTTGGAAGAGTGTTTCCTTCCTCTCTATACAGCTGAGGGCTTTGGCTTTCTAAGAGAGCAGGTTCTAGGAAGTAGATGGTGTTTCACGCCTTTGCCCTAAAAAGGAGGACTTTCTAAAGCCTCCTGTCGTGACCCCATGAACACATGGTTGAGAGCCACAAAAAAGTGATTTCAATGAGTGCAAACTACACTTTGGTCTGGGGCTCCCACAGATTTTAAAGTGTCATACTATTCCAACTTTAGCAATACGTATGTGTTATATCATTACCCTTTCTTTTTACTGGCATATGGTGGCCATCCCTTTCTCCAATGCTCTACATATGGGAAAACAGTTTGCGTCCTGTATCTCCTCAGAAGAGTTTATTACCCTCTGGCATTCAGTTTATCTGGATGCCTTTTGACCTGGGCTCTCTTTTTGGCTAAGGAGCAGTTTTAATTTTGGAGATTACCTGGATTTTTCTGTTCTTATGGGACTAATATTCTCTTTCCTATCTTCGTTTATGCATAATATTGATAAGAAAATCTGGAAATAAATTTAAATAAATAAAATATGGCCAGGCCTGGTGGTTCATGCCTGTAATTCCAACACTTTGGGAGGCTGAGGTGGGTGCATCAATTGGGGTCAGGAGTTTGAGAACAGTCTGGGCAACATGGTAAAAACCCCATCTCTACAAAATAGCCTGGTGTGGTGGTGTCCACCTGTAATCCCAGCTGCTTGGGAGGCTGAGGTGGGTGGGTCACTTGAACCCAGGAGAAAAAATTTGCAGTGAACTGAAATGGTGTCACTACACTCCAGCCTGGGTGACAGAGCAAGATTCAGTCTAAAAACAAACAACAGCAACAAAAATGGATAAAATATAAGCCAATGACTTTCCTGAAAAGGAATGTAATGATTCAAAGCAAAATATTATCAAAATTATGAAGCAATGTATAAAAAGATAAGACTACAGAAATAAGTTGAGTTATTCTAGGAATTTGTTTTAGAAATAGGGCATTGCTATGTTAATCCAGGCTAATCTTAAACTCCTGGCCTCAAGCAATATGCCTGCCTTAGCCTCCTGAGTAACTGGGATTATAACTTGAACCATCACACCAGGCAAGATTCGATTAAAATTTAAAAACCTTCCAGTATACCTCCCCATAATATCAAAATAAGGTACAGAATTATGTAATAGTTTAAGTAGATCCAGAAATAGTGTTTGGTAAAATTCAACACCTATTTATGATACAAAAAACTATTTCTGAGTAAGCTTTAAATTACTCTAAATTAAAGTCTTCTACACAAATAGAGTACATAGCATACTAATTGGTTATAAATATGGAAAGTTTTCCCTTGGAGACTGGGAATTGGGCAGAGGCACTAACTCCTTCTGTGTCTATTTGTCATTGCCTTGGATAGCACGGCCTATGCAATAAGACAAGAAGAAAGGTATAAAGCTTACAATAGAAGCAATAAAATTGTTATTCACATAAACCTAATGTGCACTATACATAGATCCTAAAACACATAAACTGTAAAATTTAATGAGTAAGTTTAGCAAGGAAATGAAATAGTTTAAACCAAATTAAAATGTAAAAAACTGATACATTTACAATAGAAATACGCATGGGGATAAATTTAAGATTTTTCAGAGAAATTAAAGACATCTTTTCTTTTTAAATAGAGGGATATGCATATTGTTAATAAATTGGAAAGCTCAATAGTTAATTTTTCCCAAGTTGTCCTATAGACATTGCAGGTAAAGCAAAGTAGTCATAAAGTTGTGTGCTCATGATAATACCTACCCTCCACCTCATAGGGTCCATTAAGGTATGACTTCCCCCAGACCCAAGGGCCGGAGTAAGAAGGAGTAGCCAAGACAGAAACCATAGTCTTTTATAACCTAATCTTTTTATTTTCTCTTTGCTTCTAGATTAACCAACCTGGCTTTGACATGTTCTCCCTCATGTGATGCTACAACTCTCAATTAGATTACTATAAAATTTTATTGTTGCCCCAAGAACACTTCTACCTCTTTGAGAAGATTTAGTATGTGTTGTTCTTAATGTTTAATTATTGGATGAAAATCTTCTATCAAGTTCTTTGGGGACCAAAATTTTTGTTACCCAATTATGAAACTGTAGCCATATTGTATTTTACTGAATCTCAAGAGATTCTAATCAATATGTCACATTTTAATTCAACCATTTTCTTCACTCTAGTTATTTATCTTATTATGACTACTTGACACTAGTGATGAGTGTTAAGCAATTTTTTCAATTGCCTTTTTTGAGAGGAAAGAGTGGAATAGGGAAAGTAGTAATTTTAAACCAGCCTCTGAATCTTTATGTAGTATCTAGAAATATACGATTTTAAACTGACTTTAGGATGAAAGCCATATGGCATAAAAATATCACAAGTCTAGTTTTCATATATTTTTTGTAGATATATACATATGCATACACATAAATATGTATAACTTTAAAATAATTTATTCCCATATTATGTGGTACATTGAAGATTTATAACTTGGGTAGTGTATATTCTGTTCACTTTACATTGAAGAGCCTTATTCATAAATATTAAGAGCAAAGTGATACTTTGATAAACCATTCTTACCATAGAAAGATATGCTGGTAAACCTTAATTTTTTAGTAGAGGTTTGTGGAGAAAGGAAGAGAAAATAAAACATCCCCTTAAAAAGTAAGTGAACTAAATATTGCAATGAACTCAAAACATAAACAGTGATTTATTTTTAAAAATATTACCTCTCATTAAAATTGAATAAATAATTCATGTGACCACAATATGACAAAATTGTTTTCCATGAATTTCCTAGCAATAATTTTATATTTCTTGCTGCATCAAATATAAATGCCAGAAGAAATGATATGTGAACACTTTATATAGTAAATACTTCAGTTTCTTTGAAAAGAAATCTTTATTGCTTAATTATATACACGCCCGCATATATATATATAAAACTCTATATACACACATATATACACACAGACATACAATACACACACAAATACATATACACACAAATATATATATACACACACATATAGTTTTGCATGGCATAACGTTTCAGCCAAAAGCAGATTGCATATGACAGTAGTCCCATAATATTATAATGAAGCATATATAGAAACTTAATATACGACACATGATATTGTCATTGCAGATCAAATAAGGGAAATGATTGAAATTCAGTAATAGAGCAGGGACATAGAGTGCAATTACACTCTATGATGTTCACACAACGATAAAATTGCCAAACGACACATTTCTCAGAATGAATTCCCATCACTAAGTGATACATGACTAGATTTCTCATGTTATGGTTGACGTATATTCAGTTTCTAAAATCAAGAGAAATTAAAAATATAAGAAAAGTAGCCCTCAAAATTTAAGGAATGCATAACAATTTGCATGATGACAAGTTCATTTGGGAATATCAAGTTTTTTACCCCAACTTTTGGGAATCATAAAGCCAGAAAGTAGGGCTCTTACAAGGAGAGTAAGAAATTCCTATGAACCCTCTCCGGTCACAGTCAGGAGTTACCACAGGGTACTCCTAAATTTATTTTTAATTTTTCTAAAATAAGAGAATCAGTTTCCTTAAAAATGACTTCAACAATTTAATTATTGCTTGAAATCATATAAAATGCTTTTAAAATAGTTTTCAAAATATGACTTTTTACTGACAAAAGCATGAATATGCATAGTAGGTTTTTATTGCATAATGACACATTCTTGCATATTTGCTAATTAATAATGATTTTTTAATAGTCCAGATATTTAGGACTACGTTTCCCTTCCTACTTAGAAGCCAGTTTTAAGTTAGCTGTATATACATTACTCTGAATGTTTACATTATCTCCACAAGGTTGACATTCTGTGAAAAGGTAGGAATTAAGTAGACTTAAGTCATATTGGGGCTGCAATTTCCCAAGTCATAATAAAAAGAGAGAATATTTATTCTCAACTCCATTGTAAGAAGAATATGGAGACTTCAAAAGGAATATCTATAATTGTCCCCTATGCCGTCATTGGTTCATATGTGGAAAAGTTCTGAATGTATTAAAATGTTTGTTCCAGTCCAAATCAAACTGTGTAGTATATAAGCACCCTTTCTTTCTCTGCTCACTACAACCAAGCCCTAACCATAAATTGGGTGATACAGGAAATCAACAAGAGAGAGTTTAATAGTTAATTATTAATATAGTAAAAATATGCCTGCCCAAGCCAGCCAATTGATACCACAAACAATGAAGTCTGTATATGTATACCTATCTCCTTAGGCTCACTGTGCAAGTTCTACAGAATGTATAGACACTAGCAGAATTGCTAGTATGAAGCGTATGAGCATGTTCAGTTCTGCCAGGTATCACCCAATTGCTTTCAAAAATTGTACCAATTTACACTCTCACCAGCAATATAGGAGTTGTCATTTTCCTATATCTTTGCAAAAGTTCAATATCTGACTTTTCAACTCTTGTCAATCTGATGAATGTAAAATGGTATTGAACTGTTGTGTTTGCATTTCCTGATTACACATCAGGCTGAACATCTTTTGGACATGTCCCATATCCCTTGCTAATTTTTAATTAGGATATCTGTCGTTTTCTTATTGATTTTGGATAATTTTCTATGAATTAAACTTCTATAAAAATTACATTAACTGAGTTAAGAGACCATTGAAGATTGGGAAAATGTTTGAGAAAATCATTCTTCTTTTTCACAGTAGCAGATTTTGTTAGTTGAAAACCTCATATCCACTGCCTGTAGAGACAGTGACAGATTATCTATTGTCTCCTCATTATTCATTCTCTCTTTCTTACCAACAGAACCTGATTTAAATGGAGGCTGTACTTCTTGGCTGTCTTTGTATGGGAGATCATGTTACACAAGGCTGCCCAATAGAATACAAGTATGAGTTGCTGTTTAGAAATTATGGAAAGACTCCTTAAGTAGAGTCAGACTTAACTGGAATGTGTATTTGACCCTCCGTCTTCCTTCTTACCTTTTCTGCTTGGAACATGGCCTCAATGATCAGATATGGTGACCATGAGAGTGAAAGCCACACCCTGAGGCTGAAGGTGAAGAAAATGCAAGGAGACTGGAGTATTGAAGGCATTGTGGAGTGGCTGCACTGGTCCTGAGGTGTCAACCTCAAAATCTTTACTCAGGTAAACTGATGATAGATTCAGTGACAAGTAACACCCCAGGGTTATCAGAGATGGGGACTTCACAGAAAACACAACAGGTAAAAATGTTTGCTTCTGTGAAGCTTAGGTTCCAGTTTGGGGAGACAGACTATAAATACACCGCTGAATAAATAGGTAATATAGGGAAAGGTAAGTTAAATAAAGAAAAAATAGGCAAAATAAGGGGGCTGCCAGTTCTAAGTGTCTGAGGGTTGGCAGAGAGGTGGCATCTTCTTAGATAGACTTATCAGTAAGGCTTTTCTAATAAGGGGATGCCCAAGTACCTGAACAAAGTGAGGAAATAACCCAGAGCACTCAGGTGAAGGGTTTCACGTGGAGAGGTTATCAAGGGTAAGGGCTTCTAGGGAGACTGACAAGCAAAGGAGGTGTGAAGGTGTGAGGGTGAGTGGGAGAGAATAGGTGGGAGACCAAGCTTGGGGTCCATACTATGTTGGTCCTAATAAGGAACTTTGATTCTTTTGAGGACTAGATAAGATACAAATGATATATAAAGTGTCTGGCAAATAGCTTGCTTCTAACATAGAAAAGTAAAGGTTCTATACAGTTTGTATGCCAATATTCTTTGAGCTACTTGGAGGCCAGAGAACTTGCAGTCTAGTAGTGTCTGAATTAAAGAAGGGGTCTCTTGGCTGGGTGTGGTGGCTCACGCCTGTAATCCCAGCACTTTGGGAGGCCGAGGCGGGCAGATCATGAGGTCAGGAGTTTGAGACCAGCCTGGCCAACATAGTGAAACCCCATCTCTACTAAAAATACAAAAATTAGCCGGGTGTGGTGGCATGCACCTGTAGACCCAGCTACTCGGGAGGCTGAGGCAGGAGAACCACTTGAACCTGGGAGGCGGAGGTTGCAGTGAGCCGAGATTGTGCCACTGCACACTAGCCTGGGCGACAGTGTGAGACTCCATCTCAAAAAAAAAGAAGGGATCCCTTTTCTGTATATGAATTTGTAGAAGTATATCGCCCTGTCCCCTCTCCACTGGGCAGGCCCCACACTGAGCCCATGACTTGGTGCACAGACCATGACCATGGCTCCACTTCTATCCGTGGCCTAGGTAACTCTGGGTAGTGCAAATCAGCATAATCACATATGGTGGCCCTGAAAGACTAGCATTACTCATTTTATTTCGAGCTCTGAATATAATCTGCAGTTCTAAAATCATGAACATGGAACATATTTATAGATGTCTCAAATTATTATGCAAGTCTAGTCATTTGAACATTCCATCAACAAGGTACCATCATTGTTGTCCTTACTTTTTATGGGAATATTTTAAACAAGGAAATGCTTATATTTGCAAAGCCTTGTATAATTTTTTTATTCAAGATTTTTTTCTAAAGAATTGTGAATGAGGTTTTTAATACATCTATGTCAGTGAAATAATAGATAGGGAATAAATAGGTGACACAGCATACTTGCTTTCCTCTCCTTACTACCTTTTGGTAGTGGATGATTTTCTTTTTCTTACATGAGGTAGTTATTATCACATACTGGTAGTACCACTAACCCTTTCTTGAAACATCATTTACATTTTAGTGCCACTTTTGTATTATACAAGCATTTTAAACTCAAGGATGATATAGAGATTGTAAATTCCCAGGATGTGAGGTACTTCCTTTCACCATGATTAATACTTTTGGCAGGAAGGATGGAATAAAGAATATTGTACATGCCAGAATTTTATAGTCACTCAGTGTACCCTGGGGGGTGGAAGTTGCAAGAAAGCTCATATTCCTGCCCTCTTTATATATACATCTATTTTTTTTGTTGAAAAAACAGAAGTTCAATAGGTCCATGAAGAGATTACTGAGTCTGCTAGGTCCTGCTGGTGCATACCTGCTGAGACAGGGTAGAAGGTCACACAGTTATCCTCACCATGCTCCAAGGAGGAAGCCTGCTGTGGCTAAAGTATGTGTTCTTATTAAATATATATTGTAAAGTACCTCTGTTGATACTGTTAAATTCCTACCATTAAAAAGTTGCATATAGTGAACGCAGCTAAGTTAATGTTTCCGTAAGAACCTTAGTGTTAAAACTTGCTTAATATGACATTAATCTAGGATTTTGTTTGTTTGTTTGTTTGTTTTGCTTTGGCACAGACAAAAACACATACCATGAATACATGTGTAATTTTAAATGTTTGTAAAATCATAACAAACTACGCTGAGAACATACATCTTTATGGTGTCATTTGTGTTGGGCAAAGCTTGGTTTCCCTATTAACAATATAACTGAAGTTCTCACAGCTTTCTGCCAGTTTGTGGAAAGGTCTTGATTCCTATACACAGATTCAGTTGTCTTTGAAAGGAAAATAACAAAAACAACCCAACTGGTTATATGCTATACATATAACCAGGCTCAAAGTGTGCATTGTAAATTCTGTTGGTATAAATCTGACTTGAAGAATGTCTATTTACAGTGGTTTTATTGAATGCTTGTTCTTAATATAGGCAAGTGAAAGCTGTGGTATTAAATCTAAAATATTTTAAAATGGAACCACAGAGCATGACTTTGATTTACCATGGCAGATGTTTCTGATTCTAGATTCAAGAGTCAGTAGGTTTTAACACAACTACAAAGCTCTAAAGAACTATAATGCCAATAGTTGATCTAAAAAAATAGGAAGTATTAATCTTTGTAGATTTTAATGTCTTAAAAGTATTAAAATTATAAAAAGTCAAGTTTATCAGAATGAAGTGAATGAATTAATGTTATGTATATGTTCTATGACTTGTTTATAATTCTAATATTTAAACCAACCTTTTAAAAAGACTAACTTTTAGAATTACCATAATATTTAAGATTAAATCTTGCTTAGATGGTGGGTTTTTTCCTCTCTGGCATATGAACCGTTTACTTCTAAAATAAAGCTATTTTATCCCTTGTCATCACACAGCCATAAAAATTGCAGGCAGTCAGAAGTTAGCAATGGCTGCTTCACAGACCCACAGCAATACTTAGTAACAGATTTTCAAAGCAGTTCAAAGAGTCCAGTTTCCATCTGTGTTTGGTGAAGGATGCACAAACCTTGAGGCCATCTGAAAACTCAGCTTCATCTCTAACACTTGGAATAACAAAGGTGTTATTTTTCAAAGCTGCATTCTCCCCTCCTGGGGTGGCTCTGCAGATTCAGTTCAGGGAAGGTGGGAAACTTCAGAGCAGGTATTCTCCTTCTAGACTTTGCCTCCTTCGGGGAGTTCTTTTGAGGGTGTTACAATGGTGGCCTCCTGAACATGGGTTACTGCCAATAGAGGCCAAGAGTTAATGAACCTTATAGACAAATCCCTTCTTCTGATTTTCTGAGCAAAATATCAGCATAGAACCAGCCATCTCGTTTCTTCCGGACTAGGAGTGCTGTTTAATCAGGAGAAAGTAGAGGGTGCTCTCTGCCTACAATAAACTCATGATTGCTGAATGATGATAATGTCTCCATTTCATTCAGCTGATTTTGTGAAACCAAAGCAGGAAATCGTTGGGAAAGAAATGGTTGAACATCCTTGTTTACAGTTTGCTATAAATACATGCCAAATTTCACTGAAAAAAATTGCATATCTTTCCTTTTTTTGTTTATCAGTCTATGTATTGATTGTCTGGCACCCTTTTTGATACAGTGTGTTTCTAAAGACTATGTAACATAAAGTTAATATGCAATTAATGAGATATAATGGAAATATAGATATTTATTTGCTATCTTTTTATCACTCAAACTAAGATGGCAAAGTCAAGTCAAGAAGAACATAAGCAGTTTGCTCTTTAGTTCTTTGAATTCAGCTCATGTCTCAGAACTTCTCTAGGATTATATTTTAAATTGATTTTACATAATTCAAAGCAATCTCAAATGATTCTTCATTGAAATCCAAATTCCAGTAACTACAGGTATAGTTTTACTTAGGAATATTTTATTTGAAAATATATTTTCATAAAACCACAGGTTGATATGTCATAAAACACGTTTATAAGAACCAGAAATTTTATTTTATAGGGCTGACAAAAATATACCTTAATGTGAGAAAAAAGATTGAGTGAGGTGATAGAACTTATGCATAAAGATTATAATATCCTTATTGTATCAACATTGTTTCTTGTTTTTTTTTAAAAAAACTTCTTCATAAATAAGACCTCTTCATAAATAAAAATGTACTCATTTCATAAGTAAAATATATATTTACTTGATAAAGAAAACTGAGAAAATTAGTAAATTAAAAATTTTTGCTTTTGACCTCACATTAAAAAATATTTTGATATGGCAAAGCCTACTGTCTGAAGTAAAACAAGAGATTGTTCATGGTAACATTTAAGATATAAGTAAGGTATATAAAAACAGATGCATTGGCATCAAGCTGTGAACTTCTTTTTCAGGAGACTGGGATAGATGGGGATCAAGCAAAGCTTTACTTCTCTCAAGTTTCCAGTCATATTCCCATTCACTCTGAAGGCAGAGTAGAAACAGCAATAGTGTCAAATGTGGAATGGCCGAGAACAAGACTGCTATTTATAGAGAGCCAACATGAAAGAGGATATAATGACCAATTTTTTTCTGCTTTTTTGCATGTGGAACTATCTTTACTCACTTACCAATTCTTCACTATCAATGCCTGTACAAAGAATGCTAAAATAAAGGGGATAGCAAGAAGAAGTCATAAAGAGAATATGCATTAAAGGAGGGCAACCACAAAACAAGATAAGGTACCTAAGAGCTCATAGTAAATGTATTGTCATTTGAGAATCCAGTTTTTGCAGTTCAATTCATGCTAAAACAGTTGTTTTAAATGTATTATGATTTTTAAATTCCCTGCATCTTCTCAGTAATATCTTTGAGTCTTATTTTATTAAAATTATAATTTCTGCTCCTAAAATATTATTTTAGTGATCATGCTGACATTAAAGGCATTAATGGCGATTCTAAATCACTTTGTTTTCTCATGGGCTTCTATACAAATTAAATTTTAGGAACTATTTTTATTTCCAAATTTTATTTTAGGATCAGGAGGTGTATGTGCAGGTTTGTTACATGGGCAAATTTCATGTCATGGAGGTTTGGGGTACAGGCTAATTTTGTCATCCAGATAATCAGCTTAGTACCTGATAAGTAGTTTTTTAATCCTCATCCTTCTCCCAACCTCCACCGTCAATTAGGCCCCAGTGTCTGCTATGCTCTTCTTTGTGTCCATGTGAACTCAATGTTTAGATCTCACTTACAGTAAATGATAACATGTAATATTTGGTTTTCTGTCCCTGCTTTAACTCACTTAGGATAATGACCTTCAGCTCCATCCATTTTGCTGCAAAGGACATAACCACATTTTTATAGCTGTATAGTATTTCATGGTGTATATGTATCACATTTTCTTAGTCCACTCCCCTGCTGATGGGCATCTAGTTTGAGTTCATGTCTTTGCTAAGGTAAATAGTGCTTTGATGAAAATATGTGTGCATGTGTCTTTATGGTAGAATGATTTATATTCCATTAGGTATATACTATGTGATGCAATTGCTGGGTTGAATAGTAGCTCTATTTTAAGTTCTTTGAGAAATCTTCAGACTGTTTTCTACAGTGGCTGTACTAATTTAAATTCCCATCAGCACTGTATAATTGTTCCTTTTTTCTTGGCAACCTTGCCAGCATCTGCTATTTTTTGACTTTCTAATAATAGCCATACTGACTGGTATGAATGGTATTTCATTGTGGTTTTTATCTGCATTTCTCTAATGCTTAGTGATATTTAGTATTTTTTCATGTGCTTGTTGGATGCACTTGTGTCTTCTTTTGAGAAGTGTCCAGTCATGTCTTTTGCCCATGTTTTAATTGAGTCGTTTATTTTTTGCTTGGTGATTTCTTTGAGTTCCTTACAGTTCGTGGGTATTAGAGCTCTGTCAGATGCACAGTTGCAAATTTTCTTCTATCACATAGGTTGTCTGTTTACCTTGTTGGTCATTTCTTTTGCTGTGCAGAAGTTTTAAGTTTAATTAGGTATCACTTGTTAATTTTTTGGTTATTGTTGCAATTGCTTTTGGAGCCTTCCTCATGATATATTTGCTGGGGCTAATGCTCAGTACAGTGGTTCCTTCCCACAGATTTTCTTCTAGGGATTTTATAGCTTTAGGTTTTACATTCAAGTCTTTAATCCATCTTGAGTTGATTTTTGTATATGTTGAAAGATAGGTGGTCCAGTTTCAATCATCTGCATATTGCTACCAGTTATACCAGCAGCAGTTTATTGAACAGGAAGTCCATTCCCCATTGCCTATTTTCATCAGCTTTGTCATAGATCAGATGGTTGTAGGTGTGTGGCTTTATTTCTGGGTTCTCTAACCTATTTCATTGGTCCATGTGTATCTTTTTGTACCAGTATCATGCTGTTTTATGTACAGTATCCTTGCAGTATAGTTTGAAGTCAGGTAATACAATATCTCTGCTTTGTTCTTTTGGCTTAGGTTTGTTTTGGCTATTTGGGCTCTTTTTTTGGTGCCAAATTAATTTTAGAATAGTTTTATTAATTTTGTGAAGAATGTT
Source organism: Homo sapiens (assembly GCF_000001405.40). Classification (NCBI taxonomy): domain Eukaryota; kingdom Metazoa; phylum Chordata; class Mammalia; order Primates; family Hominidae; genus Homo; species Homo sapiens. The sequence goes on from NC_000003.12 coordinate 146,751,252, forward strand.
GTTGGTAATTTGATATGAATAGCATTGAATCTGTAAATTGCTTTGAACAGTATGGCCTTTTTAACAATATTGAGTCTTCTTATCCATGAGTATGGAATGTTTTTCCATTTGTTTGTGTTGTCTCTGATTTCTTTCAGCAGGGTTTTATAGTACTTCTCGCAGAGATCTTTTACTTCCTTTGTTAGCTGTATTCCTAGGTAGGTTATTTTGTCTGTGGCTATTTTAAATGGAATTATGTTCTGGATTTGGTTCTCAGCTAGAATGTTATTGGTGTAAAAAAATGCTACATATTTTTGTACATTGATTTTGTATTCTGAAACCCTGCTGAAGTTGTTTATCAGAACTAGGAAACTTTGGGCAGAGTCTATGGGGTTTTCTAGGTAGAGAATCATATCATCTGTGGAAGAGGTAGTTTGGCTTCCTTTCTTCCTACTTGGACGTCTTTTATTTTTTTGTCTTGCCCGATTCCTTTGTCTAGGACTTCCAGTATTCTCTTGAATAGGAGTGGTGAGAGTGGGCATCCTTGTCTTTTTCCGTGCTCAAAGAGAATATTTCTAGCTTTTGCTCACTCAACATGATGTTGGCTGTGTGTCACAGATAACTGTTATTATTTTGAGGTATATTCCTTTGATGCTTAGTTTGTGGAGGGTTTTTAACATGAAGGGATGTTGAACTTTATAGAAAGCCTTTTCTGCTTCTATTGAGATGATTATGCTATTTTTGTTTTTAGTTCTATTTATGTGGTGAGTCTTGTTTATGGAATTGTGTATGTGGAACCAACTTTGTATCCCAGGAATAAAGCCTACTTGATCATGTTGGATTAGCGTTTTTGATGTGCAGTTAAGATTCAGCTTGCTAGTATTTTGTTGAAGATTTTTGCATCCATGTTCCTTATGGATATTGGCCTGAAGTTTTCTTTTTTTGTCATTGTGTCTCTGCCATTTTTGATATCAGAGTGATGCTGGCCTGAAAGAATGAGTTAGAGAGAAACCCCTTCTCGTAATTTTTTTCAATAGTTTCAGTAGGATTTGTAACAGTTCTTCTTCAAACATCTGCTAGAATTCAGCTTTGAATCCATCTTGTCCTGGGGTTTTTCTGGTTGATAGGTTTTTTTTTTTTCTTCTTAAATTACTGATTCAGTTTGGTCTGTTCTGGGTTTCAATTTCTTCCTGGTTTAATCTTGGGAGATTGGATGTTTCCAGGAATTTACCCATTTTTTCGAGGTATTCCAGTTTATGTGCTAATAAGTGTTCATAATAGTCTCCAAGAGTTTTTTGTATTTCTGTGGGGTCAATGGTAGTGTCTTCTTTGTCATATCCCATTGTGTTTATTTGGATCTTCTCTCTTTTTTTCTTTATTAGCCTAGCTAGTGGTCTATATATCTTATTTATTCTTTCAAAAACCAACTTTTGGTTTTATTGATGTTTTGTATGTTTTCTTCTCATCTCCACTTTATTCAGTTCAGCACTGATTTCTTGTCTTCTGCTAGTTCTGGGGTTGGTTTGTTCTTTTTTTTCTAGTTCCTCTAGGTATGATGTTAGTTTGTTAATTTGAGATCTTTGTAACTTTTTTATGTGGGTGTTTAGCACTATAAACTTTCATCGTAACTCTGCTAAGGTATATCTCAGGGCTTTCAATAGGTTTTAACCTTGTTTTCATTTATTTCAATTTTTTTATTTCTGTCTTAATGTTATTGTTTTCCTGAAAGTGATTCAGAGGCAGACTGTTTATTTTCCATGTAATTTTATGGTTATAGTGATTTACTTGTGTTCATAATTTTTCATTTCAATCTTTTTATAAACATTTAATTTATTGCAAGGGAAGGGAGAATGGTGTTTAAAGATGTGAAACACTATCATGGATACTATGGCTAAGAAATGAAGATAGGAACTGGAGACTAGGATGCTGAGGCTATTGTGCAGCCTCAGGATCTCCAAATTCACCTATCTTTTCTTCCCTGCAGGAATCTAAACTCAAAGGAGATGAGGAATTTGAAAAAAGGTCAATGACAAGAGCTTAGAATGAGCTAGTTCATGATGCTGGTTTCTCTCCCAGTATGCTACTGGTACTTTTACTCATTATCATGAGGTAAAACTCTTGCTGAGCAGCCACCATCTGCCTTATTTATTCTTAACTTTGAGAGATTAAGACATTGAAAACATATGCACAAATTCTTTATGCATAAACAAATACATGCATAAATAAGTAGGTGAATTAATTATAAAAGCATAAGAAGCCGCATTTAGAGATTATGCAAGTCCAGCTCATCAATGACACAGCTATCAAATTAAATCACTCCATGTAAGAGTAATTGTGTTACTTAATTCTTTGATTCTTTTTCCTAGACAGTTGTTTTAGGAAATGGGCACAAATACTAACTCTAACAATAATGACAGAAAAAGGCACCTTTTTATGCATTATTATTCCAGATTGTCTTAGTCACAATTCCCACTCATTCTCAATAGGACGTCTAGATTCTACCAACACTCTTCTGTAAGTACACCTTTATCTTTCTCACTTTTATATTATTCTCATTCATACTACCCTCCAGAACCACCACTACCATTCTGAAATCATTTCCTTCTCTTTTTGCATACTGTATGCTACATGTATGCTGTTTATATATACCAGTCTCCTTTTCAAACCCTGTGCTGTTGGGGAAATCTTTTGTGATGCACTACCCAGCTCCAGCCTCTGAAACCCCACAACACTAATTATTAGATACATTATATTTATTGTTGTCACTTGTTGTCTCATATTTTTCTGCTTTTCTGCATCTGTTTCTCAACTCACAACCTTCTAAAGGACATTGGCCAGATACTAAAACATTTTCAAATTTTCTTGATCATTAGTATTAGTCCGTGTTCATGCTGCTGATAAAGACATATCTGAGACTGGGAAGAAAAAGAAGTTTAATTGTATTTATAGTTCCACATGGCTGGGGAGGCCTGAGAATCATGGTGGGAAGTGAACGGCACTTCTTACATGATGGTAGCAAGAGGAAAATGACGAGAAGCAAAAGCAGAAACCCCTGATAAAGCCATCAGATCTCATGAGACTTATTCACTATCATGAGAATAGTATGAGAAAGACCAGCCCCCATGATTCAATTACCTCCTCCTGGGTCCCTCCCACAACACGTGGGAATTATGGGAGACACAATTCAAGCTGAGATTTGGGTGGAGACACAGCCAAACTATATCAGTGCTTTTCACATCCCATGACACAGGTGAGGTGTTCAATTAATATTTGAGTTGTGATTGCAACTTTTATCCTTTCTTTCTTTGTTTCTTTCTTTCTTTCTTTCCTTTCTCCGTCCCTCCTCTTTCTTTCTTTCTTTCTTTTTCTTTCTCTTTCTTTCTTTCTTTCTCTTTCTTTCTTTCTTTCTTTCTTTCTTTCTTTCTTTCTCTTTCTTTCTTTCTTTCTTCCTTTCCTTTCTCCCTCCCTCCGTCCCTCCTTTCTTTCTTTTCTTTCTTCCTTCCTTTCTTTCTTTTTCTTTCTTTCTCTCTCTCTTCCTTTCTTCCTCCCTTCTTTCCTTCCTTCCTTCCTTCCCTCCCTCCCTTCTTTCCCTTCCTTCCTTCCTTTTCTCTCTCTCTCTCTCCTCTCTCTCTCTCTCCTCTCTCTGTCTCTGTCTCTCTCTCTCTCTCTCCCTTTCTCTCTCTCTATCTCTTCTTTTTAAAGATTTAAACTCTCTATAAATGCCTATGGGCTTATGGGATTGACACACACTTTAGGTCCTAAAATGGTTACTTAGTCATTCATAAATTTTTAGCTAAAAGTGGCAACTGGTGCCAACGTTGCAATAATCATTCTGTGAGTTAGGTGGTCTAAGCCTTTGAGTTTGCTCATTGGCTACAGCATTGAAAAGTCATTGTCTTAGGAAGCTAAATTTTATTGAAATTGCTACCCCGTTTATATTTTATACTATGATTTATAAAAATCAGTTAATAATTAACTTTTGCTTTCATGCCTCTTTTTAAAAGTGCTTTAGTGTTTCACAACTGTCCCATGTGCATATATTTTACACACACCTATAACAATACTTGAATACAATAGATGTAAGATATTTGATCATTAAATCAGATATATATATGCAGAGCAAAACATTCATTGTGAATTCATTTCTTGGATATCTAAGTTCAAAAAGTGAATATGTAACTAGTAAATTGATATGATTTTGAAAAACGAAACTATGTTCCATGCTAGAGAAGGTAACGTATGGGAAAGAATCATGTACACTTCAATATAATTAATTATGTTAAATGAAATAAATAATGTTAAACCAGATTAGAATAGTATTAAAATAATATGACCAAGCAGAGTTTATTCTACAAATGCAAATTTGGTTCAATATCAAGAAATCTATCAGTTTGTCACATCTCTCTGTGCAAAGAAAGTATTTGATTCAACATCTAGTTCTAAAATTTTATAGTTACATAGGAATTAAAAGAAATTGTTAGTATGAGTAAAATGTGATTGAGAATATAAATCTGTTAGCAAATATTGTAAATAAATGGGGAATCAGAGATTCCTTATGTTTGGTTCTAGCCTTGGTATTTAGCAAAGCTTTATTCTGGCTGCTTTGGCCTCAAACTTTGGATATCTCAATCAGCAATTAGTTTATTCAAGGTTATTTCTGGCTTACCTAAACTTGCACATGAACTTTAACCTTGTGATAGCATAATTCACCATTTACTCTAATCAATTAAACATTTATATAAACTAACATGCTATTAAGATTTATTTTAAATAGCGAACTATTCACCTTCAAAGAGAAATAGTCATCTAAATGTAACTTGAAATATTTAAAATATTGAAAATATTATTCATTTAAATCACTACTATATATCAATTATTATAAGAATGAAATGCTACTGTAAGTGGTGATGACTGGAAGCATGAAATATTTTGAATAAAAACAATGATTACTAACATTAGATATTTAAATGAAAATGGATATAAACAATCAAATACTAAGATACAAGGCATTAACTAAACAACATTTAGAAACACATTGTATCTTTTTTGAACAAATTAAAGTTTGTAAACATTTAAAAAAGTATCGCAAGGCCAAATATTTACTTATACCACTTATACCACTGACGCATAATAAGGACTGAAAGAAAGCCAATTGTGATTGGAATTATTCTAATTAGATTTACTATAAATAATCAACGTCAGCAAAAGTCCTGGAATATTACTTTTTTTCACAATCTCACTTCTTCATTCCATTCCTCATTCATTCCATTCATTCATTCTATGTGAAAGAATGCTCTGTGAACACATTATCGGCATTCAGTGTTCTAGTTAGGCACATAGCAAAGAGTTTTGTCCAGGATATAAAACGGTTACTTCTTTTCCTTAAAAAAAAATCACTGCTTGCATGTTCATTATGTTTTATACATTAAAATAAGGTATCACAGAGTCTGCTAAGAAATGTGTAGAAAATATGTCTACGGAGGGTTGTTAAAACCTGTTTGATGGCATGACCTACAAATGGGGTAGATTTTTAAAATAGTTCCTTCTTTGCCCTATATGGGCTTTAAGAGTTAACCACTTTAAACTGGCATCCACATTTAGAGTCTTCTGAGTTTAGTGTCGGGATAATGCTACTGAAATCAGGTCATCTCAGATACTCTGAAGTCGTTTGCTGTGGCCCTCAGTGAAAGGACTAGGAGAAGTGAAGTCACCTCTGATATTGTAGATTCCAAGGAATAAAGACTGAGAACATGTTTGACCTGTTTCTGAGATCTTTGAAAACAAAGAGATTAGTTTGATGGTAGAATTTATATATGAGCAGAATTAGTAGCCATAATAATTAAGAATACATTCATTTCTTAATTCATTCACTCATTTTCTCACTATCCCAAATGTTTATGGATCATAAAAGTATATATTATGAACACTATTTGCAGACCTTGTATCTATGCTAAAAAGCCATAAATCCAAATCGGTAAAGAGATTACAGGTTAGCTAGAAATACAGTTTTGAAAAATTAAAGGCTATTCTATTACCAGTATTATTAGTCCATGTAATTTTTTAAAAAATTGTTATTTTAAGGCCAGGGAAGTCTCTCATAGAAATCTTTGTATAATGTTCATGCTTGTCATATTCCTAAGATGACTCCTGGGAGCATTTTTACATTTTGGAATCTTGTATATTTCCAGATAGAGAAAGAGTAACTCTTCTATGAGCATTCTCTGCAGTGAAAAAGATCACTGGATTGGAAATGAAGAGCTGAGTTATCATATCATCTTTACAATAAATTGCTTTGTAACATAAGGGGAGTTCCTTATTTTGTTTGTATTTAAATTTCCTCAGTAATTAAAGAAGCAAGTTAATGCATATCCTTCTAGTTCTAAAATTCAATGGATTTACTAATTAGAAAAAATGTTAATATCTTGGACTTTTCACTCTCCTCCTTGAAAAACTCATCACTTAATGATCTTCAATAAGTCTCCCTACAAAAAGAGACTCTCAGGTAACTAAAAAGTACGGATTTCTGTTATCATCTGCTTTCCATAAGAGGCAACTGATTACCAAAACACCCATCATCATATTCACTTATCTATTTTTGCCTTCACGGCAGAGACAAATAAAGTTCATTAAATCAATATGTTCCTCTCTATTTTCCAGGATTTATTACAGTTGTATTATGACAATATGACTGTGTTTTGGTAAATAAATATAAGTAGAAGTGATGAATCACTCTGGTTCTGTGCCTGTTAGAGTCCTTGTTTCTCCTTTACCTCTTTCTTTTCTTTGCTAAGGAGACACAGGAGGACACATGTCACAAAGGCAAATTTTAGATTACTATGAAATTTGCTTGATCTCTAGGTCCTTAGATGGAGGACAATCTCTATATACCCCAATATACTTTGTATGAATGAGAAATTAAGTTTAGTTGTGCTAAGCAACTGAGAGTTAAGAATACATTTGTTATTACAATGTAACTTAGTTAATCCTGACTAATATAACCTCTATATTGTGGCTTTTCTATCATAAGTTTCTTCAAAAAATTGAGGTGAATTTACAAGACATAATATGCAGATAGCTATATCAGCATTGAATATGTTAATGATTTTATGTTATCCTATTTTTATTTTTATTTTATTTTTTTTTTGAGACGGAGTCTCGCTGTCGCCCAGGCTGGAGTGCAGTGGCGCGATCTCGGCTCACTGCAGGCTCCGCCCCCTGGGTTCACACCATTCTCCTGCCTCAGCCTCCCGCGTAGCTGGGACTACAGGCACCCGCCGCCTCGCCCGGCTAATTTTTTGTATTTTTAGTAGAGACAGGGTTTCACTGTGTTAGCCAGGATGGTCTCGATCTCCTGACCTCGTGATCGGCCCGCCTCGGCCTCCCAAAGTGCTGGGATTACAGGCGTGAGCCACCGCGCCAGGCCTATCCTATTTTTCTTACATTTAGGGAAAACTGATCAAAGTTTCTTGGCCTTCACCTGACTAATTATTTTCTTCTTAATTGATTGCCCTGAATACTTATAAAGTTTCCACTAATTGAGAAAGAGGACTTCAGAAAATACAATGCTGTTTAAGGGAAGAACAACTCTTTAAATGTAAACTTTGCAGATAGTTTTCTGTTTGAAATTATTCAACTATAGTTTTACATGAACAACTTATACATGCTGATTTATACAGGGTATTTTTATGTAAAATATCTATAAGTGAATGATATAGTTTAGATGTTTGTCCCCTTCAACTTCCATGTTGAAATTTGATCTCCGATGTTGGAGGTGGGGCCTGGTGGAAGATGTTTAGGCATGGAGACAGAGCCCTTGGTAATGAAGAATTCTCCCTCTATTAGTTCCCTTGAGAACTGATTGTTGAAAAGAGCGTAACACCTCCTGTTCACTCTTTCTTGCTTTCTCTCTCCATGTGACACATCGGCTCTATGAGTGGAAGCAGCCTGAAGCCCTCACCAGAAACGGATGCTGGCAAATAAAACTCTTTTCTTTAGAGGCTACCCAGTCTCAGGTATTCCTTTATAGAAACACAACTGGATTAAGACAGTGAGCTTTTAAAGCTCAAATCAATGATTTTTTTAAAATTATAGAATGTGGAAAATAGCCATATGAGATCATTTCCACTATAGCCAGAAGGATAATTACTGCATGATTCCTTGTATGTGAGGTATCTAAAATAGTCACTCGTAGAAGGGCAGAATACCATGGTGGTTGCCAAAAGCTGGGGGTAGGGAGAAAGAAAGTGTTGCTTATCAACAGGTATAAAATTTCAGTTTTGCAATATGAACAAGTTCTAAAGATCTGCTGTACAACAGTGTGCCCATAGATAACAATCTTTGCCTTTTGGACAAAAACTCTACAGTCTTTGGATAATGTAAAAGAACCTTTGTAATTTATGTGGTCATCATTGATTTTCATCACTTTTTCCTCTCATACCAGGGTTTTAGTCCCACCTAATTTTGTACTAACCTCCTGCCTTTTCACGCCTCTGTATGTTTCCATATGTCCTCTGCATAGATGCTATTTACTCCTTGTTTGGCAAAAGACATCATCTTCCTTCACTATCCTTCTTACTGCCATTCTCTCTATTGTTATTACTAATTTCTTCATACACTGCAGGTTCTTTCCTTGTTTATACTTCCAGGGTACATTTCCCATGCTTCTGATTATGTGACAAAAATTTAAATTTTTTTTTAGAATATTCTTTACCCTTTCTATTATGACTTCTGGAGAGTAAGGATACCGTATAATTCATTCCCATATCCTGAGAACCAATCAATGAAAAGCCTTCAAAAATAAATAAAGTAGTATATTCTTTTACATATAATTTTAATAAGAAATTATTGCTGGTTACTATAAAGGAAGACTGACAACTGGAAATCCCATTTTGGAGAGCAGGGTTTCACTTTATTGAATATGTACTTTCGTGAATTTTGACTAGAAATTTTGGTAGAAAGCATTCTGAAAAAATCTATTCGAATTTAATATGATTAAGATTATAAAAATCTATTCAAATTATGCAATATTTACTGGTTGGACACAGTTCAGATAATTTCCAGTAATTCAGAAGCCATGTGAAATTTGGGGCTCAGCCATGTATTTTCTGTAAGAACTTTTTTTTTTCTGCAAAGATGCATTTTGATACTAGCTTTTTAGGCAGGTAGAGGAAACCCTGATGCCATAAAATTTCTGACAATAATTTAAGTGATATAGATGGCATGACGGGATTCTGGCCGGGAAAATACTAGAAGTACCAAGCAGCCATGATTTCCTATGCTAGTTAATCTGAAACAGGGCATAAAATGCAGATGCTCCTCAACTTATAATAGGATTACTTTCTGATAAACTCATCTGTCTTAATTTATGTGTTTTGCTTTAAAGAAATTCAAAGGCTGGACAATTTATAAAGAAAAGAGGTTTATCTCACAGTTCTGCAGGCTATACCAGAAGCACTGGCATCCACTTCTGGTAAAGGCCTCAGAAGTCTTCTACTCATGATGGAAGAGGAAGGGGAGCCAGTGTGCTCGGAGGTCATATGGTGAGAGAGGAAGTAAGAAACAGAGAAGGGGGGGTGACAGGTTTTTTAAAACAATCATCAATCGTTATGTTGGGAACTAACAGAGTGAGAACTCACTCATTATGGTGAGGTCAGCACCAAGCCATTCTTTAAGGATCTGCCCTCATGACCCAAAAAAAACTTTCAGTAGGCCCACCTCCAACATTGGGGATCAATTTCAACCTGAGGTCTAATGGGTCAAAAATCTAAACTATAGAACCATCTAAGTAAAATATATCATGAGTTAAAAGTGCATGTAATGCTGGCAACACAGCAGACGGTGCCTGATTTATGATAGTTTGACTCAGGATTTTTTTGAATTCACAGTGGTGCAAAAGCAATAGGCATTCAGTAGAAATAATAACATCATTGTAAGTGGTAACAAGGTCTTCCGCTAATGTTAAGGTTACATCCAAATAAATCAATTGTAAAGTTGAAAATTCTTCAGTCAGTTAGGGACTGTCTGTAATGATAGCTCCTTGAATATATGGCAATGCTTAAGTTCATCTGAGGTAGAACCAATTGTCAGGAACAATGAAATGCATATTTAGATGGTTTCAACTATAGTGGTAGGGTATTTCTGGAGGACTTAAATGTTTGGTTGTCAGGGTATTGAGGATCATTATAATAAAAACTACCTCTTAAAAATTCTTTATAAAGGTACTATAATACCTTGGAGCTCAATATACAATCTGTGTGTGTTTCCAACCTAGCTAATTATCCTAGCTTATTTTGTGCTGCTATAATACAATACCTGAGACTGAATAGTTTATAATGAACAGAGATTTCCTTCTTACAGTTCAGGACGCTAGGAAGTCCAAAGTCAAAGAGTCCACATCTAGCAAGGGCTTTCTTGCTGTGTCATTCCATGGCAGAAGTTGAAAGGAAAAGAGAGCATGCCAGAGAGAGAGAGAGATAGAGAGGAAGAGGGAGAGAGTGTGCAAGAGGTTGAAGTTGCTGCCACAAGCAATTTATAATTGGCATTAATCCATTTATTAAAGTGGAACTTTCACATGCTAAGCCACTTCCCATTAAGCCCCACCTCCCACCACAGTTACATTGTGGATGAAGTTTCTAATATGTGCTTTTTGGGGGACACATTCAAACCATAGCACAAATATGCCCATATTAGCATATACTGGTGTTTCTTAACTGGAGCATCAGATGAAGAATTGGATCCGCAATTAGGGATCATTTTTTCCAATAAAAAGTTATACTGATAACAAACAGCAACATTACAATTAGTACGAAGCGAAGGAAGAACTGATTTATGCTTCAATTTTGCACTCACAATAGCACAAATCTTCATGGAATAGAATGGGCTAAATTTCCTTTACTATTTAAATTGCTATTGAATATGAACTGTTAAATTCATATTCTCTCTTGCTGTAAGTAAAACAGGTATTTTATATCACTCTCTCTATAAAATTTAATAATTTTTAAATTTGTGTACATACTGTAATCTCTTTGCTGATATGGTGAAGGCCATGACTTAAAGCCTTTGTAAAATGCATTCGTCTTCTTAACAAAAAACCTGTTGTTTCAAAAAATTTTGATAATGAGGGAGCAGGAAAGGGAGTATGTCATTCAATGCAATTCAAGAACCAATCAGTGAACTACAGCTCAATAATATCATTTTGGAATTTTAAAAAGAGTAATTATTTACTTAATTTTTTGTGGAGAGAGGGCCTGGCTGAAATCAACCCAGGCTATTCACAGGCATGGTTCATTGTAGCCTTGAACTCTTGGATTCAAGAAATATTCCTGTCTCAGCCACCCAAGTAGCTGAGACTACAAGTGTCCATCACTGTACTTATTTTTAATAAGTATAATTTTGCTATCTAAAAATCATAATAGTTTATATTAAGTTAATCAATGAAATTCAATTTTTTGAAAAAGAAATAAACCTGCTACTTCAAAGAAAAGCACTGATGACATTTAATAATAATCTTGTGTATAATATGATCCACCTTTAAGGAGAACTTATCCTCTTTCCTTCCACTTAACTTTAATTCATATTCAGGGAATGTTTGCCTAATATCACCTGAGTAAATTATTTCATTTTTCTTAGCTACAGTAGGCAATTATATTTGTTATTTTAATAATATACACCCTAAAAGAGAAGTGGAAGAAAAATTATTCTTGTTTTAATATTTTATAATCTTAAAGTATGAAGATACTCTCAATTTATAGAAGCAAAGCAGAAACCATAAATGGAAAGGTAGGCATTACATCAAATAAGATATAATCAATGTGAATCAAACTTTTTTATTTTAAATATTAATTATTTGAATTCAGTGTGTCTTTTATTGTCAATATGCTGATAATATGATTGTTTGGCTTCATACAATTTCATTGCAACACCTACTGTGTCTAACACAATAAGGATATTTATTGATAATTTTATTTAGTTGGAACTAAACTAGCCGTCACAAAATTGACAAGTGGCCTAAAATGACTCTTTTAAAGATAATACAAATAAAATAAGCACATTACCAAAAACAGCAGAGTAATAGTTCTTTCACTACAAGTTATTTCAGCCACAATGTGAGCTGAAAAAATGACAATGATAAGTAGTGCAAAAAATAAGTTGAAAGTATCAGGATTTTTTGAAATACAGATTTACAACCACTATAATAAATACTGAACTTTATCTAGTATGTATATATTTTATGCTACATGTATTATACAATGGTAAATATAACATTTTCATATATTACTGTCTTTAATACCAAACATAGAAATAAACTAAATTTAGACCCCGGCATTAAAATTTGTTTATTCACAAATATTAAAATATTTTTGAAATCATGAACCATGTCTAACTAACCTGCTCCTAAGAAAATATATAATTAGGGCTAATGCAAGTTTCATTAAAAAAATTGTATGTTGTTCATTAGTAAATAGAAATAAAATAATTGACATTGATTTGTTTCATTTGGTTTACCTTAATTTCTGTGTGAATATTGTGTGATATACATAAAGCAATGTGTTATATAAATCATAGATAAATGTAATATTTATTGGGGTGGTACTTAAAGTATTTCAGTGCCAAGGATTCAAGTACATTTGTGGTTTTTTCTTAAAAGATAAATATCATAGTTTGTATATCCATTGGTAGAAAAAACAAAAATGGTGGAAAGAATACATAATAATGCCAAGGTAAATGGTGAAGCCAGAGTTCAAATTCAGGTCTCTGAATTCTGAGACTAGACCCTCTGCCATTTAATATACAACATCACCTAAAGTCAAAAATCTTAAGTTGCTTTTCAGGACTTCAAATACATTCTGACTATCTCTCCAGCCTTTGAGGTACTTTCATGCAGTTGATAGACTTTCTGGGAAGAATATTATGACAGCAAACAATGTTGCATGTAATGATTTTGGTGATTAGAAGACCTGCTCCTCAATCTACATATATTTCTATTCACACAAAAGATATTTGGGACAGAAAAATTCTTTTAAACCTGAAATTTGGTGCCTAAGTTATTGTCAGGTCACAATAGTGTAAAAATTAAAATGGTCTGGTCTATTTCCATCTTCAACCAGCTCTTTCTATTCAAGAAACATGGAAGTAATAAAACAACATTAAAAGTACGCAATGGGTTTCTTAAAAGTTTTGTTTCATTTTGCTTATCAAAGTTACAAGTCTAATATTAATCCTTTTGAAGCCTAGTAAGTGAAGATTAAAGCATTCTAACATCTATCTATAGGTGTGCCATAATGAATTATGATCCTTACCTAATTCCATGTAATGGAAAAGCTCCAGTAAGTAACAAACTTAATCAGTGCAGTGGCACAGAAGATCAATCTTTGATTCCTATATTCACAAACTGGTTATTTGGTCACATTAGAGAGCAGGCTGAGTGTTGGAACAGATTCCTAGAAATGATGGATGTAATTGTCAAAGCTGCCAGGGTCAATGTATAATGTTCATAAAAGAACCAACCCAATTCAAGCACCTTCCATTTATCATTTATGCAATTTGACCCCTAGTTCTCTTTATAACATATAAAGGAGAAACAACTGCCATGTTCACTCCATTGGAATCTTGTGCACTTTCCACTATCATTCAGGTCACAGCCTTTTTTAGACTGGGGTTATTTGTACATAACTTTCCCTTCTCTGAGGGCATTGGGACAATTAATTGAAATATGGATTTAAAGAAGATAGAAATAGATCCATGAATCTGTATGTAATCGCCATGTTACCATATAGAATGTTTTGAAATCCCCAGTCAGAATCTTTCTGATTCATCATCTACTTACTGTTATAATACACACTCAACTTTGACATTGGCAATATTGTGTTGAGAATTATTCCAATAACCAGCATTTTACAGGTGGGTTTTTCTTATGAAATTTGCACGTGCTAAAGTGTTAGGTGTACAAAAATTTAAAAGAAAACCTCAAATAAATACATATTAATGTCATATATATTTTCAATTGGAGAACAATATAAGGAACTTTTATTTATTTTGCTTGAACAATTGGTCTTCTGTGGCAATTGATGAATTAAATGGACACTATCACAGATGAGTTCAGTTACAATTATACATATTATTAATTCTAGAGTCTTATCAAGAAAAACAGCTGTTTGGAATTCTTGGCTCTTTGTTTTTAGATTTGTGTATTTACAACACTTCCATAAAAGTGTGTTCTTACTGGATATTTGCATTAGAATGTAAGCTCATGAGGACAACGCTTACTCTTGGCCAGATTTTAGATTTCTAGAAGAATGAGTACATTGTAGAGGCTCAGTATTTACTGAAAGAAAAAAATAAGAGAAAGAAGGAAAGAAACAGTAATACAGAAAGGAAAGTGAACAAAGAGTATAATGCATATTATTTTAAAATATGCAGATATTGAAGTGATTTGTGGGGTATTTCCAAAATTAGATATGATTCATTATGATATTATTACCCACATCAATGACACTATTACCCACTTTCTGAAACTAAAGCAGTATATTTCCTAAATTACAATAGATATTTATCTGTTTTAAAAACAGCAAGGTGATCTTACGGAAAATGCAAGTAACGTGAAAAAGGAGCAATCATAACTAAAATGATGTAACATTGAAAAGTGCCTCACTGGTTTTCTTCTTCACTTCAGGATAAGTATATCCTTAAATATACTTCAAAACACTGTAATAAGAAAAATAGCTCTCCAAAACCTAATACTAAATAGAAAATTAGTATCAAGTGACCTAAAATGTAACTTAAATGAAAATGTCACAAACAGTCAACAGATAGTTTCTAAATGTCAAAATAAGCCTGTCACTCTGCAAGAAGCTCAGAGAAGCGTAGTCCTTTCTCTTCTGAGTGTGCAGTTCTAGCAGGCACAGAGATAAATGAGAAATAATAAATGTGATAACTGCTGTAATAGGCAAATACAGAAAGTATACTGAAAATAAGGGCAACAATTTTGACAAACAAAACATTAATAAACAATTGAAACTACAAAAAAGACTCATAATTTTAATAAATTTTGCCTTCTTCATCTCTTCTCAAGAAAACAAATGCCTCTGCTTTATTGGGTGACATGATCATAAGGAGATGTAACAGCTCTGATTTGTATTACTGAATCTCATTTTCCTCATTTGTGAAACACGAGTTTAAAAATCCTTTTGAAGGTCAAATGAGAATATTTGATATTATTGTGTAAACTGTCAAGTGCTACACAAATATTAGTCATTTTTTTCCACAATTGTTTTTAGCATGTGTATGTCACATGGTTAACGTAGCATTCTCATAAAAGAAACCTTGAAATGTCTCTCCTACTCAATTTTTATTTTGCAACTATTTTCAGTCATTATTATGTATGATATGCTTTTTAGGGGCATTTGAATTTTAAAGAGAATAAGTAAAAACTGAAAGGAGAAGGACAATGAAATTATGAGATTACAGTCATAATAATTTCATTGATTAATTTTTCATAGAACTATATTATATTGCTCCCAAAAGATTTTCCGAGAAATTAAAAAATGCTGCACCACCATTTGAAATGGCTGTACAACTGCTGCTTAGGTTAGAGTTAACTTTTTTTTAAGCCTGAAAATACAGTTATATTTTCATATAATAAAATAGGGAAAATAGGATTTTTAGTGCTACTTGCTCTCACCAGAAATAATCATAACCTTTAAACTGTTATTTATGTTAAATTAAATTTTTCATTTTTACTACCTCATGTTTTAGATGAGGCATGTATTTTTTAATGTATTTCCACACTGTTATTGTACCTGTATGATAAACTGCTGACTTACATTCATACCATAATTATTTTTTAGTTTTATTTCTCTGTTCCTAAAGAATCACAGAAGTAAAGAATTGTATTTATGCTTGTATTTTTCAGCAACCTTATGTCAGAAAATGATGCATATTACTGTAGAAATCATATATGCAAGTCCAAAGGGAGATGATGAAAAAGAAAACAAGCTTTAAAGTCTACACATTCCTAACACCGCATTAGGAACTCAGCACTCATAGTGAAATCAAAGAATGATCACACTCAACTCCATCTCAGACCTAGACTGAAATATCAAACTTCAAAAAGAAAAGAAAGTTAAGAACTTTAGGCTAATCAAAATTTTCCAACATAGTTAACATTATTGCTGCCTTCATCGCACTAGAAAACATAAACAAGAATCCAAGTTTTGTATATGCTTAAATAAAAATATTTTTATTTCTATCCATTATGACATATAAGCAAGTAGTAAAATAAAAGCACAATAAAATGATGTATAGAATTGTCTCAGTCTAAAAAAATTCAATTGAGACTATTAATTTTATGAAAACTATAAAGAATTCTTCATGAAATTATATTATACACTAATTTTTAGCATTCTACTTACATTTTACATCATCAACAAATTAAAGGAAACATTTAAACGTTATTTTTTCAATTTTATTATTCTATTACAATAATCTTTTTGACATAAGTATTTCAAATAAAACATTCAAAATAAATTCTAGGTGCTGATTTGAGCTTTTGATGTAATCAT
This sequence comes from Homo sapiens, assembly GCF_000001405.40. NCBI lineage: Eukaryota > Metazoa > Chordata > Mammalia > Primates > Hominidae > Homo > Homo sapiens. The sequence continues at coordinate 146,767,790 of NC_000003.12, forward strand.
ACTTCTGTACCCATAGTAATGTGAAGTTAAACTTTCTCCTCACAATGTAGATCTTTTATAACAACAGTGTTATTCTTTTCTCTGACACAAACCCTGTGATATCACACAGTATCCATATACTGTATCGATACATTACATGGCTCCAAACAGTAGGCTTCAAATAAATGAAAAAATTATATTTGTGACAAAATTCTAGAAAAGGGAATGGTAAAGTGGGAGAATAATTTCTAACTTTTTAACTCTGGGTCAGTGGATTTGGGTACATTTAGATGGACACACATATTTGCACACTGCAAGTGTGCACATGTGTATATATATTTATATGTGTTACCCAAAATATATGGATTGTGTAATCATTTAATCTACGCTTTTACATTTATGAAATTTGATAAGGGATTATCTTACCTATATTCAATTTGATGTAAAGCCAATAAAATCTCTGTCAACATTCATTTTAATTAATCCAATAATGTTAATTGCTGATAGCTTCATTCTCCTTGTTCCCTGTTGGCAACCAGAAAGGTAATTCTCCCTCTAACTTAGCTGTCAGGATGCCATCCAGGAGAGATTGTCGTCTTGCTTTTCACTGTGACCTCTGACCCCACCACTGTCTTCCTGTAACAGTCCTATCTTCGGGTATTTAATGAACTTTATACATGGCTAAAAGGTTAAAAGTGCAGTGAAATGTTAGGCCCTGCTGCGAAATGTTCCATTGTTTCTATATGTCTAATTGACCTTTCATGTTATGCAAGACAAGAAAAGCAAACCAATAGGTTTCTTAGTATCCAGTCCAACACAGTCTTTATTATTAATATGCTAAACATGTTTCTTTCAAGGCATTGACACCTAAACACTGCTAGAAGTATCAAAATGACTTCTCATTAATAACCATTATATTAATCACTGTTGCCCAGAACTAGAATCTAACTGCGAAATCCCCTGGTGGAAATTGCTATAATCGTTCAAACTACAGGAATGAATATTTTTCAGCATAATTACTGCTGTCGTCTTACTGAAAAATATCCCATTAGATGGCAGCTTTTAGTTACATAAATTGTGTTGATTAATTTTTAATTTCCAGCATTTATATGACATTGCACAAGTAAAGATCTTTGATAATTTAAATGGTTAGCTGAGCAATTATTAAAATAACTCACAGCAATTGAAACATTCATTTACTTACTAGAAGTGCCGTACGTCATTAACTCCTGATTAAAACAAAGTTGGCAAATTGCAAGTGCTGAATTGATCACTAAGATATTTATCTCATGGTGTTTAATAAAACTATTTGTGCCATGTATGATGCCTCAGCTGCAAGGATGAAACTTTAGTATAAATGTGTCAAAGCGAAGGAATCTAAACAATACTGGCAACATGGCATCTCAACTGTGTGCTCAAGCGCACATCTGTGGCTCTAGGCAGGCAACTTAAATGCTCTATAACATTACCATTTGTATCTAACCCAGTAACTCTTTCATTTAAAACAAACAAAAGTTTCCATACTTACAAGAAAACAATGAGTTCTTAGTCTTACTTGTGTAATTTATGTTTTTATCGACTTGTTTGAATCTTCATCTTAACTGTGAATTCTCAGATAACTTTCAGTTTCTTTATCAGTAAATTGAGAAGGTAACTGTGCTTATTTCATAACGCTGTACTATGGGATAATATAACTCAAGAAATGTAAATTTGCCTAGATAACATATGGGATGTACTGAGCAATAAATCATCCTTCTCATTATAATGTCTATCACAATTTTTTCAAATGTAAGGCAATAATGAAAAGATAAATGTTTTATACCTGAAAATAAATGTCTTTTGGTTCTTAATGTCTCTCTGCATTAGTCTTCATAAGCTAAACACAAAAACACCCATGTATTTGGTTTTCAGCTGAGTTGACTATCAATTTTTAGGGTTTAATTAAACAGAATAAAAATTTCAAAAATAGATGACTAGATAAGAGAAACCACACTTTTATCATAAATAATAATTATTCCCAAGTCCCACTGCAACTGCAAACTTGAAAGAAAAATTAAATCTGAAATATTGCAATATTGTAACATCTAAAATTTATATTTTGAAGTCAGGTGGCTCATGCATGTAATCCCACCTCTTTGGGAGACTAAGAAGGGAGGATTGCTCCAGGCCAGGAGGCCGAGACCAGCCCAGACAACATAGCAAGACCTACCTAAACAAAATAAATAAATTAATTACATAAACTGGGCATGGTGGCACACATCTGTAGTCCTAGTTACTCAAAAGTTAATGTTGCAGTTACCTGTGATCACACGCTGCACTTCAGCCTGGGCCACAGAGCAAGACTTTGTCTCTAAAAAATAATAAAATAAAATAAAAGCATTTTAAGGTATTTTTTGGAAGTTTGTATAATTGCTCCCAAAACATAGACAGTGTTTAAATTTGAGTACTTCATGAGGAATTGGTAGAGAAAATTGTTCATGTTGTTTTCCAAAAATCAGGATAAATTTGTTACAGTTTCATATACAAATGTCTAATACCTTTTGTAAAATAAATGCTGACAAAATTCAAGAAGTTGTCTCTATAGCCTTTTCCCTCAAAATATTCATAGTTCAATAGGAGAATGAGGAGGAGCAATAATTACAATGTACTGTGACAAGTGTTACAATATATACAATTAAGTAACTTAAGTGGAAAGGAAGTTCTTAACTGGGTTTAGAGGGGTTTTGGAAGCCTTCCCAGGGCGGGGACAGTTGAGTGGATCTTGAAGGATAAGAATTTGCAAGAAAAGTGTTTGGGGGAACAATATTGTAGGAAAAAGAAACATTGTTTGTTTCAATGAGTGAAGTACTAAGAGTGCATATGGTCCCATCTGTCCCGTTCTTAGAACATACTAGGAGCACAATAAATATTTGTTTAATCAATGAATGAATCAATGAATGAAATATATTGGGAAAAGTGTTCCAGAAGGGATTTTAAAAATCCTGTAAATGAAAGGTAAACACCCTTGACTATAATTTTTCCTGTTTTTCTCTACGTTATTGTGATGTTTTTCTAACTCATAAGCTCTGTTTTACTTTTTTGGTCCTTTCACAAATATCATCCAAGTTTCCTGAGACGACTCCTCTCTTGATCCTGGATATTATATTTATCTCTGATACTCCTTTGTGTGTGGTCCTGGATTTGTATGCCCACTGATACATAACTCACCTCTGGCACTGCTCTGTAATACAGAGGCCTGGCTCCTGGGAGGCATGGCTCCTAGGCTCCCATAAAATTATTTCCTGTTTGACTTCAGACAAGGGGTGATAATGGGGAGATTAGAGAACAAGAAGATGAGAAATGCCAGAGTGTGTTTTCCCCTCCTCCTTAGCAGGGGATAAGTATCCACAGTGATTCCATGGCCTGCCAGATAGTTCACCATGTTTCTATTTTCTACATAGTGACCCTAATCCCAGACTCTTCTAACACCATTTCCTCCAATTGTCTTCTCTAAAGGATTTGGGGATTATTTTTGGAGATTTAAATATAAAATATGAGTCTATGTTTCCAATGCAGTGTGCTTTCTATAATACTACAGTGTTACATCATTGAATATATTTGACAAAGAAATTACAAACTATAACTAATGTAAGAGGAAAATAAATGATGGAGAATAAGGAAGAAAAAAGGCATTTTGCCAGTAAGGAATGTTTTTGACTTCATATAACAGATAAATTAAGCATGGATTAAACAGACAGGGATTTCTATTTTTCAGATGTGAACCAGTCATAGTTAGGCAGTTGCTGCCATTGATCAGTTGCTCTGCTACGTGGTAGTAGCAGTGATTCTTTTGCTATTTTCTCCATGGAACATGCAATTTCAGGCATTACGTCCCTAATCAATGAAGGAAGAAGAGGATAAGGGCCCCACAAGTCAAAAGTATCACTTTTTATCTTGAAAGCAAAAGCTTCCCCAGAGTTTTCAGCCAAATTTACGTAAGTCTTATTGGCCAGAAGTGTGTCATATGACCAAACAATTACAGCAGAGGGTAACAAAGTAAATATTTACATTTTTTAGCCTCCTTAGTACAGGCTGGAAACTGAGACTGAGATTGAGTGATGGGTTAGGCAGCCAACAGAGGCATGTAAAACGGAGCTATTTTAATGACAGATAATAAATAAATGCCAGTTTCAAGGAAAGTAAGTGGTGTTAAAGAAAAATCTTTTGCTAATAAGATTACTTGGTTAATGTCCAAGTTTGGGACAAATGAAGTTAAGAAATGTTTGACAAATCATAATTCAGCAAAGACATTTTAATATGTGGAAACTGAGGCTCAGGGAAGATGAGTAAATTCTGCACATTAATGCACCTGATTCATGGCAATGCCAGTTTTCAGGACTAACTTTATTGTAATTCTGGGAGGTGACAGCATGCTGGCAGCCCTCACAGCCCTTGCTTGCTCTCAGCGCCTCCTCGGCCTCCGCACCCACTCTGGCCGCACTTGAGGGGCCCTTCAGCCTCCCGCTGCACTGTGGGAGCCCCTCTCTGGGCTGGCCGAGGCCGGAGCTGGCTCCCTCGGCTTGCGGGGAGGTGTGGAGGGAGAGGCGGGGGCGGGAACTGGGGCTGCCCGCTGCTCTTACGGGCCAGCACGAGTTCCAGGTGGCCACGGGCTCGGTGGGCCCCACACTCAGAGTGGCCGGCTGGGGCCACCGCCCTGGGCAGTGAGGGGCTTAGCACCCTGGCCAGCAGCTGCAGAGGGTGCGCCGGGTCTCCCAGCAGTGCCATTACACCGGCGCTGCGCTCGAATTCTCACTGGGCCTCAGCTGCCTCCCCGCCGGGCAGGGCTTGCGACCTGCAGTCTGCTATGCCCAAGCCTCCCCCCGCCTCTGTGGGCTCCTGCCGAGCCTCCCCGACAAGTGCCGCCCCCTGCTCCGTGGCACCCGGTACCATTGACTGCCCAAGGGCTGAGGAGTGTGGGCACACGGCAGAAGACTGGCGGGCAGCTCCGCCTGCGGTCCGGTGCTGGATCCACTAGGTGAAGCCAGCTGGGCTCCTGACTCTAGTGGGGACTTGGAGAACCTTTATGTCTAGCTAAGGGATTGTACATACACCAATCAGCACTCTGAGTCTAGTTCAAGGTTTGTAAATGCACCAATCAGCACCCTGTGTCTAGCTAATCTGGTGGGGACTTGGAGAATCTTTCTGTCTATCTAAGGGATTGGAAATACATCAATCAGCTTGTTTGTAAATGCACCATTCAGCACCCTGTGTCCAGCTAATCTGTGGGGACTTGGAGAACTTTTGTGTCTAGCTCAGGGATTGTAAACACACCAATCAGCACCCTGTCAAAACGGACCAATCAGCTCTCTGTAAAACAGACCAATCAGCTCTCTGTAAAATGGACCAATCAGCAGGATGTGGGTGGGGTCAGATAAGGGAATAAAAGCAGGCTGCCCAAGACAGCAGTGGCAACCCACTGGGGTCGTCTTCTGCAGCGTGGGAGGTTTGTTATTTTGGTCTTTGCAATAAGTCTTGCTGCTGCTCGCTTTTTGTGTCTGCACTGCCTTAATGAGTTGTAACGCTCACCGCGAAGGTCTGCAGCTTGACTCCTGAGCCAGCGAGACCACAAACCCACCAGAAGGAAGAAACTCCGAACACATGCGAACATCAGAAGGAACAAACTCCGGACACGCCGCCTTTGAGAACTGTAACACTGCGAGGGTCCGCGGCTTCCTTCTTGAAGTCAGTGAGACCAAGAACCCGACCAATTCCAGACACAATTCCAAACTCTTTAAACTTTCTTCTATAATGTATGGCCATGATATGGTTTGTCATTTGCTAGCAAAGAATTCTTGAATCTTATATATGCATACAACCTATCCATAACACTAAACAAATTATTTCCCCACCCCCACAATCCTTATAGTGACTTTTGTACTTCAAAGCTGCTCCTTACGTTAAAGAAAACATGTTTTCATTGCTATGAAATTTTAACAGAAAAATAATGTTTTCCCTAAGACCAAATCTTTTAGAAATGATCTGAGTTGTACCTAGCATTAAAATAATAGAGGAAAATCTTGAAACAACTTAATACTATAGTCTGTATTCACATTTTGGCTCACTGTTACCCTCGGGATATTTTTGCACTAAATTGGTGCTGTTTATGTCTTCTAAGTGCAGTACAGATAATTAATTCTGATGATTTCTAACAATTTCTGCAATGAAACATCACACTAAATGTAACTAATATTTTTCTTATTCTGTCTATTAGAGTGTTACATAAATATTCCATTCAACTTTATAGTTACAGTCTGGTATCTAACATAGAATAGATGTTCTCTTACAATTCTTTTAATTGGTTCTTTCCTAGCCCCATCTGTTATTTTGCCTCCTATACCCCTGCGTCATGACCACCACCATGCTCTTCCCTTGTATTTACTTCCCATTAATCCTAATGGGTTTAATGGGAACCTAAATTCACTTTATTTTAAAAAGCACTGAAGGTTTAAATTGTAAGGATTATTAGTCTATATTAATTTCCCACTCTTTGATTAGTATCTTCTACTACATGTATTGTGGAAAATTTGACCCTCTCATGTCTGCTTAAATGCCAGAGCTGGGAAGTACATTGGCATCTATATCAGCAGGTTTTCCATTTTGGACATCTCTATTTAGAAACCTCCTCTTTGAACTTCCTCCTGATGGAATTAATTCTGTATCTGAATAAATTTTAATCTATATGACATGTGACTTAAAGACACACTGAGTCTATTTCTTTACATTTTTAATAGTAAATGGAAAGGTTGGGTTATATATTCTCTGAGGCGAATGAAGTTCTAATATTTGGTATTTATGTGATTTTTTGTTTGCCATTAGCTACCTCTTTGAACTGTGTCTACCATGATTAGTCTCCAGATCCTTTAACATGGTTATTCTTTAACAAAGTGTGCTTCAATTAAGTAAATCATATTAAAATGTAAGTCAGAATCAGCAACTACAATAATACATTATGCAGACAATAATAGCTACTATTTAATAATTTAAAGTGCCAGACAATGTTGTAAGAATTTTGTGTGCATTATTTCATTTAATCTTCACAACACTTCCTTGAACTAAGTGTGAAGCAGTTTGCTGTGCTCTGGTTACCAACATGTCTTGAGTTGCATGAGACTGAACACATTCATACACAGCAAATTACATGAAGTGGATTGATTACTTGATAGGCGGCAAGGGACAACAGAAGTCTAGGATTCAGTGTGAGCTGGTCACCCAATGCTCAGGCAACTCTGGGGGGTGGATGGAGCCTTCGCTGCATGTGCCCAACTTGTTCCACAGCTGAGGGTACAAATGGGGCAAAAGGCAGCCTGCTCCAGGTTACATACCTCGATATTCCATAACTCACCTGGGCAAAGCATTGAAGGGCATTCTGTTCTGGGGGGCCTGGAAGAGAGCCTAGCTTTTCAAGCCAGCTTCCCCTTTATCTCAGGATGTTGCATTCCTACCATGTAGTATAATTACTCTTTAGAACTACAAGTGAGAAAGTGAGGAGAACTGGGTTTGTCCAAGTTCTCAGAGAACTGTCCCGCAGTAATTCTCTTACTGCTTCATTTAATGATGAGAAACTGGCTCTTGGAAATCTTGAATTTTCCATGAACTTTCCAAAGCTCAAGATCAATGAATCCTCTTTTATATGTATTAGTTTTTATTACCTTTCCCATATAGTTCCATTTAAAAAATTGTTAACATAAACTTGCTCCCACTGTATTAATGGCTTCGTTCTCCTATAATGCCCAAATATTTATTTAAACAAGATTTTAAAACTTGCCTTGGATGGTCAAGGTAACTTAAAAATTTAACTATTAAAGTTAAATTCCAATGAAAGTTCCTCATGTTACTAACTCAAAACCTAATTTCTGAAAATAAAATATATTGGTCAATAGTTCCATCTAAAACTCTTAAGACAAAAAGTTTGCAGATAACTTCCATTTTAATAGGATATATTAACATGATAGGGCTATATTAAGCACAGTTTTTCCAAACACTGAGCACCTTTGTTGGATTCAATGTTAGGCTTTCAACATTTATCCAATATCTTAATATTGTCATATTTTTATCATACTCTCAGAATTAAATGAAGCAAATATACATTCCCACATCTGTGAAAGTAAATGTTTATTCCGTCTACTTACAATGCTCAGAACATTTGTCACCTACATGCAGGGGAAAGAGACATATTTTTGTAGAGTTAATTTATTTGAAAAGTTACACACATTGCATAAATCACCTGATTTACTTTTGTAATAAGATAAAACATGAGATTTCTCCAGAAGGTAGAAGACTGAGATTGAATTGGCAATTTTGTTAGATTAATAATACTAACTTCTTACATTAACTTTAGGTTTACTCTTGGTTTAAAATTAAGTTATTATTCAGGAAGCTTAATAATCATCATTTCAAAGTTCTGAATTCACATTATAACACAGTAGGGAGGGGTTGTTCCATGGTTGTTCTCCTTAATTTAATTTTTCTGAAGTGATAACAACATTAAAGGAGAAGATATTCTGATCAGAAATAAAATCAGTGATATATGTGACTTCCATCATGTGTTGGAATAGTCACACATTCTCTGAGGTTTCCAGTGTTGTGACCAGTTCCCCATTTTCCCCTGAGAAGCCTTCCCACAAAGCATGTCAATTATTGGTCAATGCTAAATTTCTAAAATTCACCATTTACTCTTTGCCTAATCATTATGTTCTGCATGATCATAGTCTTACAAAAAGGAACCAGGACAAATTATGGAACTTCATGTTTACACAAACGTGATTTCTGGTCAGTAACAAGATAAAGAATTAGCCAAGGCTGGCAGTTTGTTCTCCAAAATCAACTCTAGTGAAACTACAAATATGAAACATAAGTAAGGATTCCAGGAGCTAACAACCACCACCACAAAATAATCCCTTTGTAAAACCCCTAGAAAGAATAAAGGATGTTTTTATCTGGATATATCACTGTAACCTGAGGAGCAGAATTGCAGGAGAAATCAACCAGAAGACAGGCCAGAGGAAATCCTTTTAAACTCTACCCATATGCATGCCAGTGCTAGAGTCCTTGAGTTACTTTCAGGGCCTTAAGTGGGTAAACAATTTATTCAAAGAGACATTAACTGATCAACTTCTATAATCATTCCTCCAAATCCTTTAGGGTGTAGATTTTTACCTAGGTGTAAGGACTGATACTAATGTTGTTTCACAATAATGAGTTAAATGTACAGCCCTGCTCATAGCTATTGCCTGGTAGAATAGCTTCAAACAGATACAATCAACACTGAGACCTGCCCCTGGACATTTATCCCATACTGTAAGGAGAGTGGCTGACATCCCAAGAAAAAATGAGATCACAGTCGAAAATAACTAAACACCTAAGTAAGAAAACCTCCTCAAAAGAGGACCTCAAACTGAACAATGTACCTTACCTGCCACTGAGTTACAGAACAGGTAGAATGCAGATTTAAAATAAGCCTATTAAATATCTTCAGGCATTAAATGATGGCAATAGTAATATAAGATTACTTTCACCATTCATCCAACACAGATTAATTTCTCTAGTTTTGGGTTTACCAAAACCAAAGAAACAGTAGCAAAATGTTTGTCACTAAAACTAGAGGCAATATATCATAATCAATAAAACAGAAACAAAACAAAACAGTTTTTTGTTTATTTGTTTATTTTATTGATTTTTGAACCCTTGTGTTTTAACTTTGTGGTACACCAACTTTTGGAACTAAAGTGATATAACTTCCCAGAGTAGTGGTAAAACAGCCATGAGACAGAGTTGAGCCCATAACTAGGCAAATTTATAGATTATCATGTGAGATAATGTACACAAACATATTTACATACATATTTATTTTTCCTGAGTAATACATGTACATAACGTTAAAATGAAATTCTACAGAATAATTAAAGTTGAATGCAGCTGTCTCCTGCATCACTCTTCCATTGTCCAAGTTCAGTTTTTACATCAATGATTTGAAAACATTAGGCAGTTACTTCTGATTCTTCTAAAATATATGCTCCATGAGGACAGAAATTTTCTGTTTATTGACTGTAGTTTCACACTGGCATGTTGGAAACTTTCTTCAAATGTCTCGCTCTTCTTGGACGCAAGTGAAAACCTGGTAATAGAATAGAACCATTCTATGTGCCTTAACAGAAGGTGGGGAGGACACTTACCCAATTGCAGAAGTTCTTATATCAGAGTAGGGGAGAAGACAGAGGGCTCAGTAGTTCAATGCATGTGTCATACAGACCTATACCTTATTTCTGTCCTCAGGCAAAGCTTCTGTTTTCTAGTCTAGAGGCTCTTGGGGATTCTGCAGAGTACTTCTTGGCTGAATTCCCTTCAGACATTCTGCTGACTGTGGCTTTAGCTGCTCTGCTGCCATGCAGGTGACTTTCTCTATCTCTCATGACATTAAAGGTTTTTTGTCATTAGCAGTGTATACTTTTTTCCTCTTTTTTTTTCTATTTACTATCATTTATGAATTTAATGTAGGTCTCAGAGGAGAGGGTAGAAAAAATATGTGGTAGGTTTGTCACTCATATTGACAATTTTCATGAAATTTTTCTGATATAGAAGAGTTTTCTAGTTTTTATGTCACTGTTGAGCTGCCATTTTAAAAGGCCATACTCCCAAACCATCAGCTATGTTCACTTCAGTCTCTAATAGGCAGGGAGGGGCATTAGGTTCTTTACAGGGCCATCTCAAGCAATGGCAAATGAAGGGCAGTTAAAAAAAAAAAGCGGTTGTGTTTGCTCCTATTTAAAGCACAAAGGTAGAGAAGTCGGAGAAAAGTAGGATCATGCGGGGTTGCCTGTCAGTTCCAGGGACTGATGTTTTACATGTAGGTCTACAGACATCATCTTAAATTTGAAAAACAAAAGCTGACCATTTTGAAAAAGGATCTATTTACAATTTCATTAAATGAACAAAAGAAAAAAAAGTAATGAAAAATAAAATGGGAATGTGAAAATATAGTCTCAGATCACAGAGATGTAAGAGATTATGCAGCATATTTTTTCTTATTTCCTATCGGATTATAAAAACTGTCTTAGCTGCTTCAAAAAATGCTGATATATAAAAAAACCTTCAGAGAAAGAAATTAAAGACCATGAAATGGACAAATAAATGTGCCATTCACTGTGGTAATATACTGGTAGAGAATAGATTGAGCTCTGAGTAGTTAGTAAGCAAAAGAAGGCACAGTGAATTTCATAGCTTTCCTAATCAGAAAGAGCATAGCCTGCTGGTTACTTAGAGGAGTTATATTTTAAACTTTTTATTGACTTAAAATGTTTCAGATGTCAGCAAATTTCTTACCTGTGAATCAATAATTTCAGAAGAAATACAGTAGGTTTGTAGGGGAAAAAAATGATTTTTTTTTTTTTTTTTTTTGAGACAGAGTCTCACTCTGTCGCCCAGGCTGGAGTGCAGTGGCGCGATCTCGGCCCACTACAACCTCCACCCTCCAAGTTTAAGTGATTGTCCTGCCTCAGCCTCCTGAGTACCTGGGATTACAGGCGGCTGCCATGGCACCTGGCTGTTTTTTTGTATTTTTAGTAGAGACGGGGTTTCACCATCTTGGCCAGGCTGGTCTTGAACTCCTGACCTCATGATCCAACCGCCTTGGCCTCCCAAAGTGCTGGGATTAAAGGAGCCACTATGCCTCAACAAAAAATGATTTTTGAGTAAGATAAATATGATTTTCACACTGGGCCACATGCCCTCAGAACTCTGTCTTAATTTTTCATCTTTATCTTGTAGGGGTTTAATTGTATGTTGTGTATCTGACACACAGATTTCAGTAAAGGCTGACTACATTTTCAAGGCTGAAATACACTATCATCACCATCATCTTCCCACCCCTCTCTCCTATGACACACCGACTTGCAGTTTTTCTGTTTTGATCAAAATCTGTATCCTTTTTCCTTAAGGAATTTAGGAAAGCTTAGGTTCCTAAATTTAGGTTTGATTGTACAAGGCACATTTTAGAGTAATAGGTTAAAGATACACAACTAAAAATGTTATTTGTATCTTTTGCTGAGATTGGGGGTACCCACAATTTTTGTGTTAATGCTCACAAATAACAGCAATATAGCATACCATTCCCATGCATCATATTTAACTATCTAATTGCAAATTAAAACAATAGGAAAATAGAAAGAAATGTAGAATTCATATCAATGGAAATTGCACATTTTTATGAACAAATGTGATCTGAACACATCAACCTGATTTATATGCAGAGATACTACTTCTATAGAGTACAGAAAGAAGGACTAACTACAGTTTCAAGGCACCCTTGAAAATAATTATTCCCATGTCCTCCTTCTGCCCTTTTTCTTCTTGGTGGTCTTCAGATATTCTTTTTCTTTAATAGCACCACAAGTAGTAGGGGGTAAGAAGAAGGGGTAGGCAAAGCAATTTTGTGTACAGTTATAGATATAGCCTTTTGTAGTTTAATTTTTGAAACTGCAGCCTTTGGTTCTTTGAATCTATTTACACAGATGTTGGGGAAGACGGCTTGTAACCATCTACCACTGGCCTTGTGGTCACCTTTGCCTTTAAGCAATCTCTGGGAGGTACATTAAAAATGATTGTATTAGACACCCATTTCTAAGACACCATGTTTTTATTCCACGTTCTCCTTTTGGAATGTAACCTAACCCCATATTCTTAAGACACAGGGATGTTTACTTAGTATTATATGATTAGTCCATTTGGAGACCTGTAGTTTTCTCATTTTAATATCAGTAGTTTATACAATGTATGTGGGGTAAGCTAACTGCACACCTATTATGCTACTTTAATATTTCAAAAATGGTGGAACTGAATTTTGACACATAATGTCAGCAATTAGCAGTAAAGAGAAAATATATCTTACCTGATTTTAGGCTTCAGACTTTGATATTAAGAAAAATATTTTCAGATGGTAACATTGAATAAAACACTAACTGAAATATAAAAATATGTGGAAATATATCACAATCATTAATGGTAATATCATTAAAAGTTAACAGGATATTTTGTTTTCTCTTTTCCATCATTTTGCTATATTGGCTACTAGAAGAACCATTAAGGAGGATGCAATAAAACACAGTTTAATTTTGTCTTTAAAATCTTGTTATCCCTCACTCCCTCTCTCTCGCTCTTTTGAATGCAGAACAGTAGGTTATTTCTGATTCTTCCCCTTAGGGATGTGTTCTGTTCCTTCAGATTTTGCAGATGCCCATGTCCTGCTGCTATGCCAAATGCTTCATCCTCCTAGGAGTTTTTACCTGGCCAGGTGTCATGGCTGCCAAGCTGAAGGATGAACACTAAATTGAACAGACAGGGAGATGTGTACAACATGGTTTTCATCCTCCAAGTCAGAGGTGTTACATATATGATGGCACTGAGTAATCAGCAATAGTGACTAGGCAGTTTCTCTGCTTTGGCAAACTCGGATCTCGCTCTCTAACTGGTCATATGGACCTCCTGCCGCTATGCCTAATAACTGCAGCTCAGTTACCTACATCCTTTCTCACCTTTTCACCAGGAAGGAAGCATTGTCTTTGATTGTCCATCAGGACTAATCCTTTCTCAGCATGAAACTTGTTAGCATAATTGTAGAGAAAGCTCCAAAAAAAGGACATTAGAAGTTGTTCCTTTTTAAAAATGTATGTAATTTGAATGAAAAGTTACTGTGTGTATTTCGCTAATCCAGCCGTTAAGGTTTCTTCCATTATCATCTTTTTCAATCTTTATATTTTCATTATTTCTGTGTAATTAGAAACCCTTCTCAACTCTAAGAAACAATAATAATCTTTATTAACGATAGCATAATCGAGAGAAGTTTTAGTTAAGATTTTTTAAGACTCTTATCTCCAAAAAAAATAAATTATGAACAATTCCAGTTACTTTTGGGTCATCTTTAGTCATATAATTGGATTGCTCATGACTTATTTAAAAATAGAATGAAGGAACTTAGTTCTGAGATCTCTTTCCAAAAGAACTATGAAGTCACTGAAAGCCTGTTTATTCAAGAGAATAAACTGAGAGTGCCAAGGGTACTTGCCCATAAAGTGAATGTGCTGCAAGCTAAAAAAATAAGATAAAATGGGCAGCAAATGTATGCTTGGATGAATATAATTTCTATTTACTAAGATAATTATATATTGAGCTTTTAAAAAACAGAGAAAGCCTTAAAATTTTTTATGAACAGAAGGGGAAATATTATCATGGGTATCCTAGTTTAAAAAATATAACTTACAAGAGGGTAATGTCAATATTCAAGGTAAAACATAAATATTGAAGAAAAAGATTGTACAAATGGAGAATAAAAATATTATATAGTCATCTATCCATGTACTGTTATTATTATTAATTTGTTAACCTACGGAGCCATTTAGCTTTTGTGTTTTTGCACAAGGGAAACGGCACAGTGTCAGACAGGTAATTGAAGTTATCTGGGGCTTTGTTTGATCCAACTTGTATGTAAAGAAAAACAAGAAGGTTAAAAAAAGGACTTTAAAAGCTGCAATTGGTGCCCAAGACACATCTTGACAAGTATAAAAAATATAATTAAGATTCCTCGAATATTACTGAAGTGAGAAGTTTCTACTACTCTTTTTAGATTTCAGTGAAAATGTAGTGTACTTTGATAATATTAACTTTGCAAAGGTCTTGTTATTTTTTAATGGTATTGTTCAGCTCCTTATGTTTGAAGATACCATTTTCAAGGTCCTAGTTCAAAACAACTTTTGTTTTGAAGCAGAGAATTCCTAGTGCAACCTTCTCTTGTTAGTTTTGTCCAGTGTTTATCATTAACATGATGACCATGACACGAGGCAAAGTAAAAATTCTAAGAAGGGTCTTAACCCCCCTGCAAAAGAAAACACCGTTAACATTTGTTTTCCCCAAACTAAGAACATTTTATAAAAATTAAAATAGCCTTACAGTTTTAGGTTAGATATCATGAGTTCTTCCTTTTCATTAATGATGGAAAATAACTGGAAATTGAATGGTTAACCCATTAAATTAGTTAACCCATTCAGTTTTAGTTAACCCATTTCTGACATGCTTTATAATGTAACTTTGATTTGGAATATTGGAGGATTTACGCCAAAAAAAACCTCAGGCTGAATTTGATACAGGTGGGCTAGGGGAAATCCCCAAACATGGTGGGACTTCAACCCCAGCCAGTATCCAGGCTCTTGCACCATAGTGTGAAGGATGAGTCAGAAAATAGTGAAAGTACAGAGATTTATTGCAAAATGAAATACACACTCAAGAAAGGGGAGTGTATGCCTACCCCCGAGAGTTGCACAAGGGAGTTTGGGGCTGCTCCCTTTATGGATTTCTTTAACCAAGGTGTGGAATATTCATGATTTTTGGGAAATGGTAGAGATTTCTCAGAACTGTGGTGCCATCCATTTTTACACCAGATATGAATGTTCCTGGAACTTTCATGGTGTTGGTGGATGTGTAATTTAGTATGTGAACGAGCATATAATGAGGTCCTAGGTGAAACCTAGCTCAAATCCAGCACCATGTTGGGTACAGTTGTTCTTACCCAGCTTGGCCCTCACCCTGGTTTTTCGGAGTCTTGTCAGCATCTACTTTATGCAGCTCTTTGGACAAAGGTTTTTTTGCTAGTCATGTGAAACTGCTGCCTGGGATTTTCTATTCTGCAATCACAATGTATTTTTCCTGTCTCAAATTCATATGCGCCTTTCTCACTGTTCTGCTCAGGAAACCATACTCTAGGATGTTCTTTTGCTTAACTTTTTAAAGAGCATTGGTAAACCAGTTTCATTTTCCCAAATACTTCTGAGAATTCCTGAGAGGCTTATACATGTCTCAGCTAAAATCCTGGCACTGGAACACTGCCTTCTCAGATGCATGTTATTGATTTCTTTCTTTAGATAAGTTCTTACAGGGCACAACTGCATGGGTTCCCCATGCATGGTGCACTAAAGACCAAAATCGAATGTTTAAAACATTTTAAGTCTTAGATATAGCATAAAAGGGTTTATAGGATAGAAAACAACAATTTGGACACAAAATATTAAGTTTTTTTTTAACTCTTATTCGTAATCATTTTGTAATTTGTCTTATCAGAAATTAGACTCAGAGAGAAGAAATAGTGCCCCCTCTTCATCCAGGCTAAACCATCTCAAACACCTATCTCATTATTTACCTTGTATAAGATCTCCATGTATGAGCTCCCATTAAATGTTGCAAAATTTATACAAATGGCCCTAAGAAAGAATATTAACCTGCAGAGATAAATCCAATGTGGAAATGGTCATAATTCAGACAAACTTTGATATTGTTATACAGAGTACTTTTCCTTGAAACCCTATAGTTCTGGCCGTCTGCATTGAAGATTTTTTTTTTTTTAACCATCTCATAACCAAATGGTCCACTAGGTTAGATTTTCCAGGATAGAGTGTGACTAAAGAGTCAATAATTTTTGCAACAGAGAAAACCTTAGAAATAAGCTTAGAAATTAGTTTGACCAAAGTTTCAGAGATCTCAAGACCAATCATTAGGGCTTAATCTCAGACTGTAATAGTGTTTTCTACAGAACAATGGCTTTAAGTACACAGATATTTTCACATTTAGTGTCTATTGCTGGAAAGTCTGGTCCTAAAGTAGGAGCAGTGGATGCATTTCTTCTTTCATAACAAATTTGACACTCAGGAGATAATAACCTTATGAGAATAAACAGTATTCTTCATTTTCTTTGGCTGTCTATACCCACACGAAATTAAATATATGAAGGATATTTCAAAACATTCTGGAAAAATAAGAAGAATATTTAAAAAAATAAACTTTAACCAATATCAGTCTTTGACAACAAAGTTAACCATTTTAGCCATATAGTATAATTTTAGTTTCTAGGAAAATGTATGAATAGGGAAATGTTTCTTACATTATGCATATTTTCTCGAGTGATGTCCTAGGGACTCCTGTAAAATACCTCATTGATTGAATTATAACTATAACCTTAATGCAAATGGTACATTAGAGCATTTTTTTAAAAAAAGAACACATGTACACATTGGATGGTCTTCCAATTGTACTGTTTCTTATGTATGTGTGTATGTGTATGTCTATGTAATTTTAGGTAGTTATAGAGATTAGATATTGGACAAGTAATTAGAAAGTAACCAGATTTTGTTTGTCATAAAAAAGAAAATGATTAATTTTAATTGAATTTTTAGTTGAACAGTAAAACTGGATAAGAATTTACCCTATTCAGGGAAAAGATGTACTGTGCTTTTCAGACCAAAACTGTTCTTTCCTGAGTGACCCAGTGTTGGCCTTTACTGCAGAAATAGATTTGTTTTGGTAGACCCCTGTAGCCAGCTACCTGCAGAGAGAAAGGAATCCTGCTAAAGAGAATTCTTAATACAGTAGTTAAATATTCTTTCATTTGGGTGAAGTTTCACATATGATATTCTTTTCTATTCAGCATAATTATAAACCTTTAGTTTTAATGCACTTTCAAAATAACTAAAATAATTATAAAAATTAACAAGATAATTGTATATTCCTCATTGAAAAGTTTTAGCCTATTCAAATCTAGCAAGTCTGCTCTGAAATACCTGAGAAAAAGGTGTAAAATGAATAAGAAAAGAAAATACAGCAGAATGTACCAGATGTTTTTATGTGTTGGTTGTACATATATCTTTCTCTGTTAGCTTTTAGTTACAGACAGAATGCAGTGTACAAAATTTTATTCACAATAGATGGCCATGCATCATATATTCACATATGGATATCATTTCTCTGAGGATTGAAATAGAAAGATAGGAAAACACAATATGGTGTATATGCTGAATTCTATATATAAGCAAATGTGAATTATATAGTTACATGCTCTCTTCAAGAGGCTTCTTATCACTATCTCCCTGGGTAGTGTAGGGATTAATTAGTTAAAGTTTGTAGGCTCTTTGAAGCTGGGAAACACTATGGAAGTGCTAAGCATTATCATGGTAACACGAGAGTGAGGCATAAGTGATTTGCAACCCCATCAGCTCTTTGAAATGTGTGTCTAGCCTGATTCACAGTTTTCTCTTACAGTGTTTTATGGATTGGAAAGTTCTTATCAGATTTGAAGATGAAATGTGTTCTATTGAAATCATACTAATCTGCACAATCAATCTTTTTTCTATATATTAGTAAAGTGATGTTTCTCAAAATAGAAGAAAACTTGGGATATGATTTGAAAGGTAATTTAATAAAGTAGAATTTTGACATCAATTATAACTCATCTATTAGCATTTGATTGACTAAGCTGTAGCTCTCTTAATTAGCGCAACTGAAGTCTAGTTAATTTGCATAAAGGTAGCTATTCCCATCTTTTATACTTTAAAAGACAGTCTGGAGACTAGTCACTGTTTCCATAAAGCTTATATAGATTTTATTAGCATGTTCCAATCATTCCTCACTATAATAATGTCAATTCTAAGATGTAATCTGCTCAGGATTTCTTTAAGTAATGTTTTTTACTTTATTTTTTATTTCTGTTTTTACTTTAGATTCAGGGAGTATATGTGCAGGTTAGTTACAAGGGTATATTGTGTGACACTGACGTTTAGTCTACTATTAATCCCATCACACAGATCGTGAACATAGTACCCAACAGGAAGGTTTTTAGCCCTTGCCCCATCCCTCTGTCCCTCTTTTGGGGTCCCCAGTGTCTATGGCTCCCATCTTTATATCTGTGTGCACTCATGAATTAGGTCTCACTTATAATTGCGAACACTCAATATTTGTTTTTTTGTTTCTGCGTTAATTTGCTTAAAATGGCCTCCAGCCGCATCCATGTTGCTGCAAAGGACATAATTTCGTTCTTGTTATGACTGTGTAGTATTCCAGGGTGCATATGGACATATTTTTTATCTAATTCACCACGGATGGGCTCCTACGTCGATTCCATGTCTTCGCTATGGTGATGAGCATGAGAGTGCATGTGTCTTTTTGGTAGAATGAATTATTTTCCTTTGAGCGTATACCCAGTAATGGGATTGCTGGGTGGAATGGTAGTTCTATTTTTAGTTCTTTGAGAAACTGCAAACTGCTTTCCATAGTGCAGAACTAATTTAAATTCTCGCCAACAGTGTAGAATTGTTCCGTTTTCCCTGCGTCTTTGCCAACACATATTTGTTTGTTTGTTTGGCTTTTTAGTAATAATAATTCTTACTGATATGAGATGGTATCTTATTGTGGTTTTGATATGCATTTTTCTGATGATTAGTGATTTTGAACACCTTTTCTTATGTTTGTTGGCCACTTGTATGTCTTAAGAAGATATTTTAAATAAACATAGAATTACTTCCTCTATTCATAAGTCAAATTCTGAATATACCCTTCTGTTTCCTCCTACTGCATCATTTTATATGGATAATGAGTCAATAAAATGATGTACTAGTTATATATTTTATTTCACACTTATATTTGTAAAATGTTTTTCTTTGAAAAAAACGTTTTCCATTTTTTTAAAATTTCTTGGAAGTGACAATGGGGACAGACAAATTTTGAAGCAATTACTGCACAAGGTGATTCAAAGTTAACTATTGTTCATTATAAAGTTATCTGTTTTTGAATAAAATTTTTAAACATTATAAATACAAAACAATGTAATAAAAAGCGATTTAACCTCACCTAGAAATAATTAATGCATATCTTGTCCTATTTACATTACATTTGGTTATAATTGAAATACACCCCCTCAAGTTCATTTCCCTTTCTCCATTTCCAGAGGTGCCATTATCATGAACCTGGTATTACCTTTATATTTTTATAAATGTATCAAAATACGTCTTTCTAAATAATACTAGTGTTTTGTGAATTTTCAATGTTTATGTGAATATCACAGATGGGTATTATTTCACATATTTTTCCTCTTAACATTCTTGTTGAGAGCTACCATTATTATTCTACTGAATTCCATCATGTTCCTAATGAGTTTATTGAAATGGTACAATAGAAACCCTTCTCTACGTCTCCAGGTGCACGTGTGTGAGAGTTTCTAATGAATATACTGGAAGGATAGCTGGATTGCAGTGTATGTACAGTTTTAACTTTGAGGAGACCAAATATCCTCATTTGCTCCCAGAAGTACCACTTCATTACTATTGTTCCTCCATCCTAATTGGATTAACATATGTCCTGGATTTTTCATTTTTAATGAACTATTATTATAAGTTACATTGATTAAAGCCAGCATGGGTTTGTTAAATGTTGATTTTGCTTAATACTTACAGCTATTGTCATGGTTCTACCATTATGTGATGAAAATAAAATGTTAACAGAGTTATGACTTCAATAGGGGGTTAAGTCTGAAAATCAACTTTGTTTTCCTGACCCATTTCACACAAAACATAGATAATGCTTCTCTTTCAAGGACAGCATGCAGAATGCTTGATAATAAACCAGTATCCACTGAGTGAGTGGTGGCTAGGGATGGCTAACTTCTTCCAATCTTGCATGGTGATGGAGGAAGTACTTGACAGTAGTTTTTTATGCGGTCTGCTTACATGAAACTGCCAGACCATCATATGGTGGGTTTGGGAAAAATGAAGGAAGTAATAGGCTAGATATATGTAAATTATGTGCTGTAAATAGACGCTGAGCACACAGAGATGAGTTAATTGGTCTGGCTACAGTGGTTTTGTCATCTCTCGTATACCTACAACTATTTATTTGTAAATTGCTTGGTAATGGCGACTTTTTAAAAAATAATCTGTTTCAGCAGCAATGACCTAAAAAATGCAAGTACATATTTAGTTTAAAATTACTGAATTTCCCTTTCAATCCAATTGTTATTGAAAAAAGCCAACAAACACATTGTACAGTCACAAAACTTGCACAATGTGTTTGTTGGCATTTTCAGTTCGATCCACGATTGGGACCGCAAGGCTAACAATGATATCCTGGAATCCAGAAGATAGAAAGCTGAGGGGAAAAAAATGCTGCTATTTCAGAAGTGAATACTTAGTTACGCCAAGAAAACTATGCCTGAAGATGATATTTTCATAGGTTTAATATGTGAACTTAGAAAAAGTAAACATATAATTCTGAGAAGCATGGCTTTTTTAGATTAAATTACTGTTTTTAAATAAATTGTGTGCATTTTAAATTAATTAATCCAATTTTAATCTAATTTTTCTGATTTTATGAAGTATGCATCAATAATTGTTACTATGTTAGCTTCATTAGCAACAGAAGAAATTTCAAAAGTGTTGAATAATGCTGTTTTCCATCTAACGGAAAATTAGATTAAAACATTTTCCATCTTTCAATCAATCATTGGAACCAAAATAAAGCTGTTGAAAGTTTATTCTGCCAGGAGTAAAAGACTGAACAATATGATAAATGTTTTCTAAAGTTCAGTTAAAAAGCTAAACATTGTTGATAGCCTTTTTATTGGTGACGAGAAGCAACTTTGGAAAAGCTTGAAAGTAATTTTATTAAAAAATCAATGAAAAATGAAAAGAAACACATTTTGTAGAAAAGAACCATGGATAATTATGGCTACAAAACTGATTAATGCATATAAATATGTTCCAGAATAATTATTCTGCCTGCTATTTTTTAATATTTAGGTAACAAATAAAAATAATTTTTCTGTTTTGCTTTAAGATAAGTAATTATGGTTTTGAATTTTTGAAGGATTTTCTTTTCATAAATAGTTTGAAGAGAACTCTTTTATAGGCCCATCAGTATAGTAAAAACAATTTGTGAGTAAATAATATATTAAATGTGAAATAATTTTTTATATTTTAGTACTTTTATATTCTAAAAAAGTTTCAGTTTGAACAATAAAGTTTTTAGTCACCCTAACTTTACTAAATATCTTCAAATAGTTCTGTGGATTGAGGGAACAAACTTACTTTTCCTTACATCCTTGACTGCACTTGGTATTATTAGTTGAACAGTTGCCAAGCTAATGAATGAAAGTTGGAACTTCATGTGGTTTTGACTTATATCCCCTGATTACTAATGAGCTCCAGCATCTAGTCATGTTTTATTGGTCATTTGACTTTCCTCTTTTCTGAAATGGATCTAACTAGTCACTTGTCCTGCTTTCTTCTACTGGGTTAGATTGTCTATATTTTTTCTTGTATATTTCTGAGAGTTTTTTGTCATTTTTTTTGGATATTGGTATTTTACGTATATTTTTAATAGTGCTTTTCTGGAGCTTTAAAAATACCCAAGATAATTTTTAGAACTTATGATCTGAAGATTTTCAACAAGCCAACTTAGAAATTATTTTGTGGCTATAATGCTAACTTCAAATGAACTAAAGAATTTTGCCACTTTAGAAAACATACTTAAAAGACATTCATTAGAAAGTGCTAAAGTGCTCAACTCTATCCATTTAATAAATATTGCACTTAAATAGTCATTTTAACAAAATCATTTACCCTTACAGTAAGAAACAATTATTAAATGTTTTAAATTACCTAGCTCCTGGATGGTTTACTAATATTTTGTAATTGTCATTTTGGTAGTAATCACTTAGCATACTTGTTAAACTACTGGTTCTCCAAGTCTCATTTCAGATTACAGAACCAGGATTTTGAAGGAAAATACCTAGAAATATCTGAATTTTTTGGCCGGGCGCGGTGGCTCACGCCTGTAATCCCAGCACTTTGGGAGGCCGAGGCGGGCCGATCACGAGGTCAGGAGGTCGAGACCATCCTGGCTAACACGGTGAAACCCCATCTCTACAAAAAACACAAAAACAAAATTAGCCGGGCGTGGTGGCAGGCGCCTGTAGTCCCAGCTGCTCTGAAGGCTGAGGCAGGAGAATGGCGTGAACCTGGGAGGTGGAGCTTGCAGCGAGCCGAGATCGCGTCACTGCACTCCAGCCTGGGCAACAGAGAGAGACTCCGTCTTGAAAAAAAAAAAAAAGAAAAAAAAAAAAAGAAATATCTGAATTTTTTTAAGACCCACGTTTTTATTTGGGGATGTTTGGAAAACTCTGCTTTGACGCATAGGAGAAAGTAAAAAACAAAAACACACACAAAAAAAACAATGAAAAGCAAATCAGGAATCAGGAAGAAATACCTTATCTTTTGCTCACCCCCTCCTTCTCAAATCATCTGCCTTTATTTTCTTTTCCATTCTTAATAAATACTATTCCAACAATCTAGCATTTCACAGGCATAAGAAACCTGCTAGTTTGCAATTTAGCAAAAAGTAAGAAACCTATTTCTGAATATTTTCTTTAGGAACATAACATTTCTAGAGACACATTTGTGTTTCAGTTAATGCTATGTCTTGCTATAAAATAGCAGTATTTAACAAAAATATTTTACCACTGTGGCAAATTACCTCCTGTAAATGTTCCACCGCAACTAAGATTATATTGAAAATTTGGAGACTGACATTTTGAATTTCACATATTCATGGAAGATTGGAAAGCATCTTCAGATGTCAGAGGCTATAATAAGAGTTATTACGCTTATTAACTTCCAAATTGTTTTGTGTTAAAGCAGATGCGTGGGTACTGGATACAGAGGTAGGCCACTGAAGCATAACTGTGGTTAAAGTTGTAAAAGATTTGGTGAAATTGCACATGGTAACATCTCTCCAGGAAATTTAGACCTTGGCTCAGCTGGGAGATGTTCTACAAAAGGATATTTCTGATTCTCATTGATTCGCTAGCAGGTTCTCAAAGGGAGATAGCACAATATTGTGGGAGGAGACAGTTTTATAATCTGACATCAGACTTGAAGAGAACTATTTCGAGGCCGGGCGCAGTGGCTCACGCCAGTAATCCAGGCCCTTTGGGAGGCCGAGACGGGCGGATCACGAGGTCGGGAGATCGAGACCATCCTGGCTAACACGGTTGAAACCCCATCTCAGCTGAAAATACAAAAAATTAACCCCGCATGGTGGCGGGCGCCTGTAGTCCCAGCTACTCGGGAGGCTGAGGCAGGAGAATGGCGTGAACCCGGGAGGCGGAGCTTGCAGTGAGCCGAGATCGCGCCACTGCACTCCAGCCTGGGCGACAGAGTGAGACTCCGTCTCAAAAAAAAAAAAAAAAAAAAAAGACCCAAATTTCAAGTGTATGAAGTGGGGTCTAAAATATCTACTACCTGAGGGTGCAGTTATAAAGATCATATAATGACAATTGATCCTATTTGCCTTGTACTTTTCCCTAAAACAAAGACATCATTTAACTTATTTAGTATAGCTTCATGTGGTTTCTTTTGGTGTTTCTGTTTTTTGTTTGTTTGTTGTTGCTTGTTTACTTTTTGAGACGGAGTCTCACTCCGTCGCCCACACTGGAGTGCAGTGGTACTATCTCAGCTCATCGAAACCTCCACTTCCTGGATTCAAGCGATTCTCCCGCCTCAACCTCCTGACTAACTGGGATTACAGGTGCGGGCCACCACGCACGGCTCATTCTTTTTTTTTTTTTTTTTTTTTTTTTGGTATTTTTAGTAGAAGAGACGGGGTTTTGCCATGTTGGCCAGGCTAGTCTCGAACTTCTGACCTCAAGTGATCCACCTGCTTCGTCCTTCCAAAGTTCTGGGATTACAGGCCTGAGCCACCATGCCTGGCCTCATGTGAGCATTTCTAAGAAACATTTTTCTGGTGACAAAGAAAAGAATAGTAATTTTGGCAGAGTATGGTGCTTACTCCAGCATTGACGTTGCAGAGCTCCGGCTGTTCTGTAAAGAAACTAAACTGAGATGGATTGCTAAAAGAAAAAAAAAAAAGGTGGACAATTGCAGGTGCAGGTTAGTTGTTTTCTAAGTGTATATAATTCTTTTTTTTTTTTTTTTTTTTTTTTGAGAAGTCTCGCTCCGTCGCCCAGGCTGGAGTGCAGTGGCGGGATCTCGGCTCACTGCAAGCTCCGCCTCCCGGGTTCACACCATTCTCCTGCCTCAGCCTCCCAAGTAGCTGGGACTACAGGCGCCCGCCACTATGCCCGGCTAATTTTTTGTATTTTTAGTAGAGACGGGGTTTCACCGTTTTAGCCGGGATGGTCTCAATCTCCTGACCTCGTGATCTGCCCGCCTCGGCCTCCCAAAGTGCTGGGGTTCTTTATAATTCTTTTCTTTTCTTTCTTTCTTTTTTCTTTCTTTTTTTTTTTTTTTTGAGACGGAATCTTGCTCTGTTGCCCAGGCTGGAGTGCAGTCGCATGATCTTGGCTCACTGCAACCTCTGCCTCCCAGGTTCAAGTAATTCTCCTGCCTCAGCCCCCAGTAGTTGGGACTACAGCTGCCCACCACGCCCAACTAATTTTGTATTTTTAGTAGAGACGGGGTTTCACCATGTTGGCCAGGCTGGTCTAGGAACTCCTGACCTCAAGTGATCTTCCCGCCTCGGCCTCCCAAAGTGCTGGGATTACAGGCGTAAGCCACCATGCCCGGCCTAAGTCTATATAATGTTTGGGCAGGACACACAGCCTGTGAAGAGTTGGATGTGAAAAATAGTCACTGAGAAAATGCTGCCTCAAGAATTATCCTTTACATTTCTAGCTTGAAATATAGAGTATTTGCTGCTGTGAACTTCTGAAATAGTGAAATACTTCAGGAGGAAACATGTTTTGTGGATGAAATAAAGGTCTGGTTTTGATATGAGGGGAAGTAAAGCAATCAGATGGATATGCCAAGTCTGAAGGTCAGAATAAAGATCTGGCCTGGAGATAGAAATTTGTTAATGGTCAGCATAAAAAGGGTGTTTAAGCCCTAAAAAACAAACAAACAAACAAACAAACAAACAAACAAACAGCAAAGAGGATCCATGACTGAGATCTGAACAATGTAAACACCTGGAGATATAGTAAAAGAGCCAACAAAATACATGCCAAGTTCATATTAAAGTTAATGGGAAAAGACAAACTACTTAGTGAGAGGGTTTCAGACAACTAGCTATTAGCTAGCTAATTTGGGAAAAAATAAAATTTATAAAGAATCCTCGATCAGATATCCAAACGTAAAAAGTAAAAACCACTCACATGCTAGAAGTAAATATATAAAAGTAAATTATTTTTAATGCCAATATTATATAGACAAAAAATAATTACTCTAAATTAATAAATATGTTTTCTGTCACCGTCTTGCTTTTCTTCTCAATTTATTCATGTGTCATTTTAACTCACCATATAATGACTCCTCTTAATCCAATTATTTTTTATTTAACACTTCATTTGTTTTTAATAAGTGTGATATCATATTTCTCAATAGAGGAGAAATGTAGAATTTGGCCTGTTATATTTGAAACACCTTTGCTTTTCAGAGTTGGGCTTCTGGAATGTGGTTAATTTTAGTATTCTCGTCAGGCGTTTATTTTTCAGATTTCTGTGATTGCTTCTCCAAAATAACCAGTGTCTGAAGGTGATGACTACAATAAAATTAAAATTATGCACGCCTTCAAGAAAATTATGTATAAGTAAATTTGAAGCTTTTAAATTTGAGGCCTATTTTAAACACACTTTCATCTGAGTTTTCTATTCACTTTTCTCAGAACCTCAATCTTTTTTCCTTTCAGATCAGATATTACACCTAAGAATATTGTAATATTGAGACTCTTATCTGAAGAAATAGGGACTGCAGGAAAACTTTCAATAGTTAAAATCATTCGCTGAAGTCTCTACATGAAATTTGTCAGAGCAAAATTGTGACATAGTCAAGCATTAATGTCTTTTACTCACTTTCTGCATTCCAGATGTCTTCTTTCCTTTCCCTGCACTTAGTGTCTTTAGTTTAGACAACTGAACTAATTTTTTAAATATTAATTTACTGATGACATTATATGGTACACTTTCATGAGGATGGATTTTATTGAAGGGTATTCCAATGCACGTGCCAGCACTAAAACCAAAGAAAAAAATCACTGTGGAAGAATCCCAAACAGAAGAGATATTTTTAGGCTGGCATTCTTAGATTCATTCTTCATTTTAACTAGTATTTTTAAACTGTAAATGTATGGAGGAAATGAAAGAAAAAAACTAGAGAATAACAAAGAGTACTTCAGCCCAGATGTCTAATTCTCCCTTCTGAAATTGTCCCTAATACAAGTTTGTTTAATTTCTTAGAAATATATGTTATATTAAAATACATGCTTTTAGGTTAAAAATGATTGTATACTCTATATGCTATCGTGTACCTAACTTATTTCTCCTAATAATACTTTAATCAACAAAGAGCAACTATGTTCTCCTTAATAGCCCTAATGGACTATAGCATACCGTTTTCTGGATGTACAATACTTTACTTAAAATTTCCTTCTTTCATAATGAACAATTATGTCATTTCAAGGCTTCTGCTATAACAAACAATAACACAGTAAGATCTTGTACAGGTATCTTTGTATGCATGGGTGAGTACGTTTGAATGCTTTAATTTTTATTTTCTTTGATGTATGGATTCATAAAATTCCTGAGAACTGCTTTATTATGCTTTTTACTTTTTCAAATAAATGGGGACTTAAATCATTTGCAACTGACTTCCAACCTAATTGCATGAGGTCAAAGAACTGGTGGTGTTTAAGTTGACATTTGTTAAGACTTGCTTACATGCTAGTATGCGACTAAATGTAAAATAGTAGTAGTAAAGTTTTATTTGTGCTTGAGAAAAATATTCTCTCTCAAATTATTGTATTTGGAAATTGATATATAACTATCAGAATAAATTTGTTTATTTACTTTTTCAAAACTTGTTTTTTAATGATTTTTATAACCTTGACATCAATCTTCAAGAAATTTTTATAGAATTAATCCTTTTTTGGTTGTATTGTCTGGCTTCTCCAGAGTAGCAATAACTATAGTATGTATGTGCATGTGTATATGCATGTGTAACTGCATATGTGGACACATATACACAAGGCTTCACTCGTGTATATGTGTGTGTACATATATATATATATATTGAGAAAGAGAGAGAGAGATTATAAAAAATTGGTTCATGCAGTTATGAAGGCTGACAAGTTCTCAGATCTACAGTTGGCAAATTGGAGACCTAAGGGAACTGGTAGCATAGTTCTAGTCTGAGTTCAAAGGCCTGAGAACCAGGATGGCCAATGGTGTGGTTCCAGTTTGAAGGCTGGGAACCTCATGATCCAAGAAGAGCCAAGGTTTTAGTTTGAATCTAAAGGCATAAAAACATAGGTGGGAATTCAAAAATGAAAACACTTGGACACAGGAAGGGGAACATCACACACCGGGGCCTGTCATGGGGTGGCGGGGGGTGGTGGGGGAGGGATAGCATTAGGTGATATACCTAATGTAAATGACTTGTTAATGGGTGCAGCACACCAACATGGCTCATATGTGCATATGTAACAAACCTGCACGTTGTGCACATGTACCCCAGAACTTAAAGTATAAAGAAAAAACAAAACAAACAAAAAAACCAGAAAGTTCCAACTCAAAGACAGGCAGTGGGAATTCCCCTTTATTTCATCCTTGTTGTTCTACCTAAGACTTAAACTGATTGCATAAGCCTCACCCACATGGTGAGAGCAATCTGCTTTACTCTGTCTATCAAGTAAAATGTTAATCTCACCCAGAAATACCCTCACAGATACAAAAGGATAATGTTTGACCAAATGTCTGGGCATCCAACGGCCCAGTCAAACTGACACATAAAATTACCAGAAGGGTGGATTAAAAAAAAATTATCCCTGAAGTTTTATCATTTTTGAGTGTATATATGTGGTTATTTTATTAGGTGCACACAAATTTTAAGTAACTATCTTCTTGCTGAAGAAAGACTTCCGTGATGGAGCTGCCTTCTCTATCTTTAAAAATTATTATTTTTTTGTATTAAAGCCTACTTTTTATAAAATTAATATAAACATACCATCTTTTGGTTAATATTTACCTAGTTTATTTCTTTCTATCCTTTTACTTCCAGTCCCCATGTCTTGATGCATTAGACTGCTCTCTTGTAAATATTATTTAGCTGAAATTTAATGAATGAGTACAGACCATTTACATTTATTAAGATTACTGATATTTTGGGACTTATTTCTATCAACTGGCTTTTTTGATATATACGCTCCATTTATCTCTTAATAGCGGCAAGCAGACTTTCCTCCATTTTCATTTTTAATTGTTTCCTTTCAATTATGATACTTTTCAGAATATTCCAAAGTATGAAAAATTATATTATAAATACTCATGTACAGGTACTACAGATGTTGAAGAAATGAGCCACACAAGAAAGGGCATGATATCAGTAAACACACTACCTGGCTTCAAAATCTAGCTTTATGTGAAACTGGGCAAGCCATTTAAACTTTCTTTGCCCAAGTCTCCTGATCCTCAAAATCAGCCTTGTAATAATGCTATCTCCTAGATTTTATTGTTAGAATTAAATCAAGTAATATTTGTAAAGCACGTACAGCCATGACTGCTACATACTAAATAAGATATGTTTATTACATGTAATATAGTAATTAAATGTTAACATTTTCCGTATCAGTTCATTTCTCTTAGAAATCAAAAAAGTAAATAAATATTATGGGAGTAGTGAAAGCTGTACACTACCTCCATCCTTTTTTCCTTTTTTCTCTCCGGAGGTAATCATTATCCTGAAGTTAGTGTGTATTTCTCCCACATATATTTTTATACAGTAAATATTTACCCAGAGAAAATATATAGTATTGCTTTGGAGGTATTTAAAGAATACATAAACATTTCATACCATAGGTATCCCTTTGAAATTTACTTTTTAAACTTATTATTATACTTTTGAAATTGCAGATGCTTATATTTACAGTATGTCATTCATTTTAACTACTGTATTACATTCCATTATATGAAAGAAAAGCTATTTTTTCATACATTCTCTCCATTGAAAGAGAGTTAAATTTTTCCACTAATTTTTTCTTAGCCCCAAAACTTTTTGTCCTGTGTTTTCTTACAAACATATGAGAGTTTTTTTTTAAAGTGTATATCAAGAAATAAAATCTCCTGGTAATTTTCCTGTTTCCAGATTTACCAAGCATGGCCAAACTACTCTCCGAAGTGACCATGTCAGTTCACAGCAACAATGCCTGAAGGCTCGTGCTTTCCCCATACCCTTGTGTCAACACTTGACTATGTTAGATTTTTAAATTTTAGTCAATATCATAGCTAAAAAATGGCATTTTTATTGTAGTTTTAATTTTCTTTCCATGTATTTATTGACCATGCAGCTTTTTTCCTCTGTGAAGTGCCTGTTTATATCCTTCACTCTTGTTCTATATTTTAGCCTTTATCTTATAGATTTACATGTATTATTTTATTTCATACTAACTCTTTGTGCTATAGACATCTCTTTTCAGTTAGTGATATGATTAACTTATTTTTTCATGGTGTCTTTTGTCAAGAAGATTTTAATTTTAGTACGTATACTTTAAAAAAATTTTTATTTTTAAGGCCTTTTAAACCTTATTAACAATATTTTTTTGATATTATAAATTATTCTCTAATATTTTCTTCCAGCAATTTAGCAGCTTTGCCTTTTACATGTATTTTTTTAAATCATCTGCAATTTACTCTTGTGAATACTGTGATATAAGGATTTATTTTTATCTGTCATTAAAAAAATGTGTTTAGTCCACTGTGCCTTCAATTTTTTTCTCAGGATATTATTTAATAGTCCATTATTTCAGTATTGTTTAGACTGTAACTTTTGCCATTATATGTGTATTTATTTCTGGATTGTTTATTATGTTCTAGTTGCAATAGTTTATTCTATACTATGTTGTTTAGAAATAGCTCTATAGAAGTGTTCACTGTTAGGCAGATTGTGCCCCCTTTTCGTTCATTCTCTTCAACACCATCTTGGTCCCCTTCTTTCTCTAAATGTGGCTGAATTAGCCTTAGCTCTTTTCAATTTCTGATTTAGGATCAGCTTGTCAGTGTTCCTGAAGCATCTTGCTGTAATGTTTATTATTACTGCCTAAATTTATATAATAATTTAGAGAGAGATGTTTTATTATGTACATATTTTTAACAGTTGCCTGGTATACCTCTTTATGTATATAGGCTTTCATTTATTATGTCTGTTAATAAAATTTAATAATTTTACTTGAAAGTGTTATTTATTTGTTGCTACATTCATTTTTATATGGCTGGTAATTTTGTTCTTGTAAACTGTATAAATTAAAAGGGGCATTTTCAAATTAATTCTTGATCATACAAATAAAATTATAATCAATATTTCTTAATGTTCCACTTCACTAAACTCTTATTTGTACTGATAAACTATGTTTTCTTTTGATTTGTCTATGTAACCAATTATGTCATATTTTCTGCAAATAATGTATTTTATCTTTCCTATGTTACAATATTATATTTTATGTCACATTATATTTATTAGGATCTCCCAAATAATGTTAAATAGAAGTGTTGATATTGGGAGTCTTTGTTTTATTCCAGATTTTCAATAAAATGGTCTTAAAGATTTATCATTAAGGTGTGGTATTTAAAGTGAATTTTTGATAAATTTGTTATTTGGTTAAAGAAGGTCTCATCTAGTCCTAGATTGCTAAGGATTTTTGTTTGACTTGATTTAAACTCAAATAGATATTAAATTTTTTCAAGAGCTTTTTTCCTGCATGGGGTGAGAGGACAACATAACTTTTTCTTTATTCTATTTAATGTAATAAAATACAGATTTTTCTAAAGTTTGCTAATCCTAAAACCATACTCCATCATTGTGTGTGCAGGGAGGCACCTTCTAATAGTACAATGAGTATTTTGTTTATTTTATGTATTGCTGCATTTAGTTTGACGCTGATATGTTTTAGATACTGATTCTGATTCACGAAAGGTTCTATGTGTGATTTTCCTATTTCTCACTGAGTTAGTTTTGGTAAGTAGTTTTTCTGAAAGCTGTTCATTTCAACAAAATTACAATTTATCAGCATTACTTGGCCATAGTATATGTTTAGATGTAAAAAAAAAAAAACTTGTATTTTTTGTCATTCCTTAATTTCTTTTGTCTTTTATCTTTCTTTTTCTTCTGTGGGTTTGCTTGAGAAGCATCTATTTTATTCATCTTTTCGAAGAAGCATCTTTTGGTTCTCTTGGCCCTTTCTGTTCTGTTTCCATTCTGGTAATTTCAGTTCCACTATGCAGTATCTTCTTTCTCCTGCTTTCTTTGAGTTTACTCTCTTTTTATTTTCATAATTTTTTTTTAAGAATGGGGAAATAGGTAGTGAATTTTCAGTCCATTTTTCTTTTAAAAATATTCACTTAAAGCCTTAAAATTGATTTGTATTACACCTTATTAGGATAGCATAAGTTTAAATAAAGTGCTTATTTTGTCTTTATCTCTATTTTCCAGTTTCCTTAAGACATTCAAATTGCATATATGTTATATATTTTTAAAATATCTTTTTTAAATTTAGATTATACTGTACGTCTAGAGTAGGACTGTTTTTTAAATATTTCATGTTTCCTTACAAGATTATGGGTTTTCTAATGGTTTATTTTCAATTATATGGTTTAAAACTGTGTTTTTACAAATATTTTCCTTATGCATCTATCAATCACTAGGAGAGATTTGTTAAACTTTCCACTTTGAAGCTATATTTATAACTTTTCTGAATAGTACTGTAAATTCACTTAAATATATTTTGAGTCTATTATTATATGACTTTTCTTAAGTAATAAAGACTCTATTCTTGAAAGAAGCATTTTGCATTAAAAATATTTTGTCTAATATTATTATTCAAGGTAGTGGAGACTACCTCCTTTTCTACAATGTATACACATTTATATATATACATGTATATTGATTTTTTAATATTTGTGTTTCATTATGGTTTAGCTATATTTTGTAGTTATTTCTGTCTGTAACTTTAGGCTTCTTTTTCCTCTCCCTCCTTGCTTTCTGTTTACTAGTTTGGTGCAAAAGTAATTGCGGTTTTTGCCATTGAAAGTGATGGTAAGAACCGCAATAACTTTTGCACCAAGCTAATAAAGCTTTCTTAATCCTTTATTTTCTCTGCTTATTTAAATAATGTTTATTCTATGTCCATATATTTAGTGACTTCACCTAATTTGTAAAATAGCTCCAAATGACACAAGGCCTCAGAATCATTTAATTGTGATTATGCCTTCTAATCAAATTGTTTAGAATTTTAGCTGCACCTTATAAATATATATTGCTGAATTATTCATTGTTAGTGTTATTACTTACTTGGTTAGGTTACTAGCTTAGGTTTATCTACTTCTTTATCAATTTCTTCACTCACCTTACTTCTTGCATTTTTCCTTTTGTGTGAAATAGCTTCCTTCTTAAAACATATTTTTAAGAAATTATTTCAGCAAAAAAACTGTATGTACTATGTCCTTTAAAGTATGGTATATCATAAAACATCTTTATTTCACACTCACTCTTGAATAATTTTTTTTAATTTCATTGTTTTACCTCATCACTTTAAAAATATTTGACTCCTTATATCTGATTGTTACTTCTGAGAAATTTCTTGTCAGTGTAAATGTCATTTATTATAGGACATTTGTCATTTAGTTCTAGTTGCTTTTAAGATAATTTATTTATGTTTAGTATCTATTTAGGGTTTTTGATTGTTTGTTTTTGATGAGAACAATAGAGATCCACTCTCTTAACAAGTTTCAAATAAGACAGTACAGTATTGGTAACCATAGTCACCATAGGGGAATGTTTGCATGGGCTACCAGTGAAGTTTCAGGTGTCAAGTCTTGCAGTATATTATAAATTTGCTTTTCCAGATGTCTTAGATCAGTGATTGTATAGCTTACCACTCCCAGCATTTAAATTTTTTTTCAAAAAATCAATAGCTAGTTCCTGCAAATGTGGAACGTTTGCACTCTGCCTGATGTCTGCAAATGTGTATTACCATGCACTCAATTCGAATGTTCTCTATCACACCTATTATCTAATTTTCACCACTGCTGGCAGCCTTATCTCATAGCCTGTGACTAAGGATCAGTGCAGGGGCAAGCAGTGGCTTTCCTAGCACTCCCTATCTAATGTATCACATATAAAATAAGTGAAAACAGTGTACTTACTCTGCAAATACTGCTCTAAGACATACTCCTTAGCATCTTATGTATGTTCATTTAAGTTTAACCCTTACAGATTTTCCAATGACACTGTCCAGACTTATTCTCTACTTCTGTTGAAAAATTATTTTATTTCTTTTTTGTTAATTCTTATTCTGCCTGTGTTTATTCTTTATTTTTTAAAGAGAAGAACAAGATACAAGATTGAAATATATTTATAAAATGTTTACATAGAAGTAACCCTCTAAGTCACTTAAGATGTGTGTGTGTATAAATTTTTGATTTGTTAGTTTCTTTTTATTATTTTGCCACTAAGTCAATAAGTAACACTTGAGTTCTTTTTCATTAATTAACAAAAATAATGCGTGAGTATGGGGTGTGTGACAGTTAAAAATCAAAACAAGCTACTTTTGTCATAAGATTATCAATTTAATTTTGTGAAATTAGAGATACTTTTTGAATATCTTTAATTCAATGTAAAGTCATCTAACTGCTTTTAAATTCAATTAAGTAACTTTTTGTTTCTTAATAGTCCTATATATTGCTTGTTGTCATTTTCTCAGAGAAAATTAGTAACACAATATCAGCTTCACCAATTCAAACTTTTCAATTTGTTACCTTTGTTTGATCTGAAAATCTTAGCTCATTTTATTGGTAGACTTTACTGCCTTTATTTCAACTAAGTTCTTTAAAATTTCAAAACAGAGTGGTTTAGTAAGTTAATTATCACCTTGTTCTCTGGTAGAACTACTCCTACTCAGTTACGGTGCTGGAGATGATAGCTTTTCATGGTCTTAAGTTTTAAATCAAAGAGAAACTAAGCCAAATTGAACTATCCACTGCTTTCCCTTGACCACCTGACATTATGATCCAATCAGTAACACTTCAAAGTCAGTATTTTAGGTTAAAAAACAAACAACAACAACAACAAAAAAAAACCAAGGAGCCACAGAAAGCTAAAGATAACTGAAAGCTTGTCATCATCATCAACTCTGTTACTGTATTATTCCATTAAACCAGAAAGCCAAACTTATGCTACACAGGAAGTGCAAATAGAAGTGGATCTCTATTATCCATATGTTGTTTGCAGTTTCTGGGTTCAACTGAACCAACCAGACCCACCTTGCACCCTGTGGCATAACCTGATCATGTTCCTGTAGCTTCTTAAATATGGTTCATTTTTTCTTTGTATGGCTTTATTTCTTTAGTGATTTCTAGATAGTCTTATTGACTGCCAGCCCCTATTCACTCTCAGCCTCTCAGTTTATTATTTCTAGAATCCACTCTTTTTTTGTTTTGAAACTATATATTTTAGGAAAGACACCTGTGGCTGGCATCTCCTTTTGTTTTATTCTGGCAATAAGGTTGATGTTGGGACATCAATCGCCTGTCTTTAGAATCATATATAACCTATGATTTAGAACGAGGTTGTCATCAAAAATTTGCAAACATTTGCATATATCTTCATTCACCATCTCTTCCCACTCTGCTAATTCACTTTCTTGTCTTCTAAATGCTTTTGCAATTGAACATTGCCAGCCACAACCCCTTTCTAGGAAAATGTTCTTTTTCAACAATATAGACGAGATTGCTTTTCTAACTGCAGTCATTGATCTAATCAGAACTTCATAAATCTTTAATAAATTCCAACTTAATGCATTACTGAGGTACCATCGAAATTATTTCAATTATTGTCAAAATAAATCTTGGGGTGGGGATGGGAAAAGGGGTGCTTTTCCAAAGAGTACCATTAGTTTGTTTCAGTTTTTAAAAAGCATTTTTGAGGGTGGCAGAAGGGAATAACTGAAACTTCAGTGAGCTGGAATAAAGCAAGCCAACATTACTTTAACCTATAAGATCTCCTGAAAAACATGTACACTGAGTTTAAACTATAGTATCACTTCACAAAATTCCTCTTTAATAATACAGTTTTTTTTTTTCTAAAGAAGAACACCCTTTAGTCAGATGGGTTATGTATTCTACAATTGGCTTTAGAGACTGGTGATTTTTCACTAGCAGTTACAGTAACTAGAGAAGAATTACTGCTTCCTTAACTTTGTGGCTGTCTGTCGACGGAAAAAAAATAGCTTAAAAAAATCAAAGCCAGATGGCTCTAGAGGAAATGCCTCTAATGCTTCAGCTGTTGTTAAGACACCCCAGGGGGAACACTTTTATGGCTGGTCACCATGGCCCTGCTTTCCTGGCCCATCTGCTCCCTAGATCTTGTGTAAGACCAGTCATGGCCTCTGTTAACTTTAACTGAGCAGCAAGGTACCTTGTTCTGGCTCCATAGTGCCCACTTAAAAACAAAACAAAGCAAAAAACAAACACAGACAATGCAATTTTTTGAATATCCTCAAATAAGGCCTCAGCTAAAACAGAAGAGAGAAATTTGAGACCAACTGATACACGATTTTTAAATCAGCAGAACTGTCTTCTATTTTTTTACAAGTAGTGACCAGTTGGCAGTGAGAAACCTAGAAAACTTGTGAAAATTAATTTTCTTCCCCAAGAACCTGCCATAAATCATCCTTTATAATTTTACTCAAGTGGCATGAGAGTGATGGTCTGTATATCATCCACAAATTTCTTCATTGCAATGAGGTTAAAAGATAGTGTTATTAAGAATAATGGTTAATACTATACTTGCATGTTAACTAAAAATTTAAAGTTTAAAATGCAGTTTATTTTACCAAGAAATGGATACCCATTATTCCAACTGTATTCATCTGGATGTGTTTGAGAATTAAATACATAATGTCTGGAACACAATATACAGTCATAGTTTATTTTCCCTGTCTTGTAGAAAGGCAATCCACAACATTTTGAAGAGTTGTGTCATTGATCCATGGGTATTTAAGTGAAATAGGTGAAACTAATATCTATCTTGAGTAGCTCTTACTCTTGCTAGAAGCAATGTCAAAGATGCAGTAACGCCAACAAAATTTTATGAATCTCTTCATCACTAGTAAACTATGGCAGAGCTTTAAATTACTATGACTCCTAGGAGGGCTTCTAATTTGGGATTCTTGGAGCCTAGATTTCTGTTCTTCCTACAAATTACAGATTCAATTATTTGGTAAGAAGTCATCTATTTACTGGCAATGTGTGCTGAATGGTTGTGTAAAGTAAAACTAATAAACCTTCTAAGATGAAAAGTATTAGAAAAAAAAGATTGTCAAAAGAGTCTGTTTTTAACAATGGTAATAGAAACTAGCATGTACATATGTTGAAGCCAATAACATACAGAATCTCTTTATGGTTTCACAGGAAAAGGTGGCAACCCAACCTCAGCATGATAGCAATTATGTATAAAGAATAATGCAGTCTCAACTTCAGTGTGATAGAGTTTATATTTTTAGGTACAGTGTGATTTTTAACTTTGTTGGGTTGGTAATTAAAATTAAGGTAGGTGCATGAATAATTCATGATGAATTAAAATGTCTCACATAGAAAAATGACACTACTAGTCAGTTATTTAGGAATTACAAAATTTGTTCTCTTCTGTCAGATATTCATTACTTCTAATGAAAAGTGTTAAAGAGCCCACTTTTTAAAGCAAACGTAAATCTGTCTCTGGAAATATTTTGGTGTGATTGGAACTCATTGATTCATTTACTCCCAGAGGCTTCTAGCGGAGGGATCATTATTGAAGCACAGGTTGAAATATAATCCTGAGAACTTTATTTATGTCAACATTAAGAAGAATTTTGTGGCCGCAGTGGTTCATGCCTGTAATCCCAGCACTTTGGGAGGCCGAGGCGAGCAGATCACGAGGTCAAGAGATCCAGACCATCCTGGCAAACATGGTCAAACCCTATCTCTACTAAAAATACAAAAATTAGCTGGGTGTGGTGGTGCATGCCTGTAGTCCCAGCTACTCGGGAGGCTGAGGCAGGAGAATCGCTTGAACACGGGAGGTGGAGTTTTCAGTGAGCCGAGATCGCACCACTGCACTCCAGCCTGGCGACACAGCAAGACTCGGTCTTAAAAAAAAAATAAAAAGGAATTTTGGAAAATATTTGTATTTATTTCAATATCCATTAATGAATTTTAACTTAAGGTAATTTCATATTTATTTATAACATTAAAGGGTCTTCGGGTTAAATTTTAAATCTTGAATACAGTGAATTTAAGAATTTAGAGTAAGAACAGATATATTTAAGGTAATAATTTTGGTTGAAATATCTAATTTAAGACAGAAGATATGCTGTCTTATCATATAAAGTTACCTTGTGAAAGATCATAGGCAAATCCAGGACTCTGCCCTTGTGCCCTGATTGTACCTTCTGGGCCTTCCTTCAAATCCTAACTGCCTAACTGCAATTCAAGTTTGAGTGGGGCGCGTTTCTTGCCATAACCAATGAAAGCCTAACTGCAACCACAATAAAACATTAATCATATAATCTTATTCAGTGTCCTTGTACCATACTATGCTACTAATCCTGCTAAGTGTAGTTTAGTGTCTGAAATCCTCTTGAATGAGGCCTTTGTTAATAATTTTCCGTGGTGACTTACTTGATGTGGGAAACATATTCCTCTTATTTGCGATATTTAGTTCTGTAAATCTATGATGTGTTGATTAATTCCTGGCTCTTTCACTACAATGAACTATGCATACCATCTAAACAAAATTAGTAAAATCTCCAAAATGTTCTCTTGCCTGTATATCATATATTACCATTTCAAGAACACTAAGTCTATTTATTAAAATGAGGCTATAACAGCAATACTATTAAATATAACATTTTAATTTTCTAGTTCATTATTAAAAGGAGCCCTAAAAAGGTTCAAAACAGATTAAGTTCCAATGCATACCTTTATTAAAATAGGAAGAAATTTTTGAATCAGAAGATGAATTAATGTCAAAATTTGTCATATGGAATGTGTATGATATTGTATATTAATGCTTTTATAACTGTTTTTGGTAACTGGAATATAAAATTCCCCACAAATAAACAATAAATTAATTGTGACAAAAGGAAAAACTTAACATATCAAATTACCTTGTACTTAACCAAAAATAATCTCTACTGATTATGTAAATCAACTTTAACATTTAATATTTATTTGAATTATAATATTAGAAAACAAATTAGCCATGCGGTGTGTGTTTAAGTGTGTATGTGTTTGCGAGAGGGTATTTCTTCTCATAAAATGGGTTATGTTACAAAATAATTTCAAATCAGTTATTTATAAAAACCTTCTATATTTTCCCATAATAATAATATCACACGTACTAGAAAGATACATAACAATCTTTATAATTGTAAGGTCCAAGATTAACAAACCTTGACAGCCAAAACATAATTCACTTTGACTTTAAAATAAGTAGGAAGATGGTTAGAAGAGTGGAGGAAAACGGTCAATGAAAGTGAGAAAAAGACCTGGCAACTAAACACCTCTAAAATCAAAAGTAATGGAAAAGCTGTCCGGGTGTGGATTTCCTTTTTTTTTTTTTTTTTTTGAGACGGAGTCTCGCTCTGTCGCCCAGGCTGGAGTGCAGTGGCGCCATCTCAGCTCACTGCAAGCTCCGCCTCCCAGGTTCTCGCCATTCTCCTGCCTCAGCCTCCGGGGTAGCTGGGACTATAGGCGCAGGCCACCACACCCGGCTAATTTTTGTATATTTTTAGTAGATACCCGGGTGTGGATTTCTAGAAGAAAGGAAACATGTACAAGTCACTTGTAATCTCATTGTCCACAGAATAAAAACCGCCTAACAGCTCATTATTTAAAATTAAAAGTCCTGTTGTTTAGCAAATATCCACACTTTCCATAGCAGAATTGTGCTTTTCTGCTCCTTGCTTCTGGGTAGGGGGCAATGGGATGTTCACACATGGGAAACAAGGAAGGTCTTGAAACGTGTTTGGCAATTGAACTTACCCTCTTGCCTTCCTGCTTTTCTTTACCAGAAGAAAATAAGTTAGCTGTAGGATTTAGGAGAACACATTGAAGAAGACTGAGACAAAACTAAGCCTAACTAAGCTTAGAAGAGTTAAAAAACAAAACAAAACAAAACAAAACAGTTTATCTGGAACTACGAAGGCAAAAAAAAAAAATACATGCTTACTCTAAAATGCCACCAAGTTTTGGTATGAGTGATTATGCAGCAGTATTGATACACTAACTGATATACTCTTTAAAGGAAACAATTAGTTTTGCCAAAGAAACATTTAGTACAGAAAGTGTTAGACTAAGCCTATACAGGAAAATTAAATGTAATATTAACAAGAACAGTAAAGATAACCTTGGTAGCAATTATAATTAAAACAGAAGTGTTTTACTTGCATTATCTCATTTTATATAAAAGACACAATTCACATTGTAAATTGGAATGCTTACAATTTTAGCTTTACTAATTAAAAAAACGTATTTCTATATAAATTGGGTCTTATATTTTCCACTCAAATCAGTTTAGCCATCTCTTGTCCTAGTATGATAAAATTTGGTTTCCTGAATGAAATAGCAGTAACAACAAATATAGATCTCCTTGTCACTGATGCTATTTATGACTTTCTTATCAAAGTTAGTGCCTTTATTATTTTGGTTGGGCAGTCCTTAGCTTTTTAAACAGGCAAATATTTATCCTTAAAGAACATCTATCCTTGCCTCGTCCTTTTGCTAGCATATAACCTGAAGCAGGAGAGACAGAGAGAGAGAAAAACGGAGAGAGAGAGTTTTCAAAAATAAGAGACTATTTCTGCATCTTAAAAGACAGTAAAATTTACCGGTGAGCTTGAGGGAAGAGTTCTACGTCAATTCTAAGCAGAGAAAAGAGAATGTTCAGAACTATGAGATATTGTGGCCCACTGGAAAACAGATAAAAAGGTGGTAAGATTTGAGAATAAATTCAAGCATAGGTGGACCAAGGAAAGGAGTGTGAAGGTCACTGGTCATTAAAAATTTGGGTTGAAATGCAGAATAATTACCTTGAAGTTAGACATTTGTTATTCAATGAATTTGTAGTTTTTAGGAAGGAAAGTAAAATTTGTTTTTTTCTGTTTTTAAAAGCAAAACTCATGTGTTAGTGTGAAAAAAAAGATAGTAGTGCGAAGAACTCAAAGACCAGTTAGGAGTGGAGAGAGACACCTGTTAAGAAAACAAGAGATGTTATATTATTTCAGGTGATACATGCACTTTTGAACTCAAGCAGAGGCTGTGAGGATGAAAAAGAGGGATAAATCTGAGACATCTCAAAAGGCAATGGAAATTCCAATACTTTATAGCTTCAAGGCTTAGCCTGCTCCCTTTTCTTTGGCCTCCACTCCAACTTTAATTTCCAGACCCAGATTCCTGCCCTGTGTATGTGATCCTTCACCACATGAATAAAAGAAGAAAAATGTGGTAATCGAATCTGACAGGAACTAAAGTTAATTTTTTATTTTATGAACAATGCCAATGTAGTCCTGGTTCCACTATACCTTATTTAATTGACAAATTATTTTTAAGAGGGTTGACATTCTAATCATTGATCAGCAAACAGATGCCAATTACAAGTGAATTCGATCCTTTCATTAGCATAAGCGCGAAAGGAGATCTACTTGAAAATACTTAGTTGATTCATTATTGAGTATGTTTAAGAAAATTAATTGCATATTTAGAATATGTAAAACTGACTTAATGCAGCCTGTTTTCTATTTTAATTCAGACTGCTTCTTAACCTAATTTTTTAATATTGAAAATAATGCAATATGTAAAGTTACATTATCATTCACCAGTTAAAAGGAATGGAAGCTATATCTCAGAAAGAAAAGTACTACATCCTACCAAGTATAGTTCAGAGAGTGCTTTCTTCTTGCATTGTTAATCAGATGCAAATATGTATTGGAATTGTTGATACATTCATCTTCATAATGTCTTTTCAGCTTGTTAAAGTGAAGTTTAAGAAGCTCCTGGAGGAGTAATAGGCTGCATATAATGGACTGGGGAGTGAAAACTTCGGTTCTATATGCTTAATTAGTTTCTAATTTCTCTGTAATCTCCTCATGAGACTCTAACAGAAAATAATATTGACCATACATATGGTACAAGTGGGTGCTGGTATTTTGGATCATTCTCAACGGGCTCACTAAATTATTTACTAAGCCTAATGTATTACTAATTCAAATTAAACTCCACCTCCCATGTAATTGTAAATTCAATGAGTAAATAGTGCCCTGTGAACATCATGGGCTTATCATTAGAGATAAGTGAATGAAGTGCCTCTCACAATGTCTGTAAGGAAATAATGTAACACCTTACCCTGCTGCATTAAAAGAATAAGAGTTTACATCATATTTTTAAATTTTTAAAATGCTTTGTACCCTAAGGTAAACAACAATGACAGAAAGAATAACAGACTCATTCTGTCTAGTTCAAGTCCACAAATTAAGTCAAACCTTGAGACTTTGTGGTAAGTCACTGACTCCCTAACAAAAATAAGTTTATCCTGACCTCTGAAATTTTGATGTGTAGAAATTGGAGAATATCTTCTAATTTGATAATAATTCAAAGCAGTTATTAATTTTCCACCATAAACATTACAAATTTGATAAATTAAATTTATTTCTAGTCTATTTTCATTTATTTATTTTTTTTTTTCTTGAGATGGAGTCTCGCTCTGTCACCCAGGCTGGAGTACAGAGGCACGATCTTGGCTCACTGCAAGCTCCACCTCCTGGGTTCACGCCATTCTCCTGCCTCAGCCTCCTGAGTAGCTGGGACTCCAGGCGCCCGCCACCATGCCCAGCCAATTTTTTTTTGTATTACTAGTAGAGACAGGGTTTCACCGTGTTAGCCAGGATGGTCTCAACCTCCTGACCTTGTGTTCCTCCCATCTTGGCCTCCCAAAGTCCTGGGATTACAGGCGTGAGCCACCGCACCCAGCCTCACTTATTTAATTTTAGGAGCAAGTTATGTTAAAACCTGTATTCCAATGAAAATTTTTCTGCAAATGGATTTATTTTTTTTCTAAGTGATTTCATCTCTGACTCTACGTTTGACGCCTGATTTCCAGTGAGTGCTCAATAAAATCTTTTATATTACTGTTATTATTATGGCAGTCATTTTCATAGTGTATAAATATATAGAG
Source organism: Homo sapiens (assembly GCF_000001405.40). Classification (NCBI taxonomy): domain Eukaryota; kingdom Metazoa; phylum Chordata; class Mammalia; order Primates; family Hominidae; genus Homo; species Homo sapiens. Next base: position 146,810,878 of record NC_000003.12, read on the forward strand.
ATTCAAATATATACTCTATGATAAACTTTCAAGCTGCAAGTATTCTGGTGGCTTTAGCAGAGTTAGGAGACATTAAACAAACAATTTACTTCAATTTTTCTTGTTATATAAAGCAGTGATGCATGTTTCCTCCAAGGTTCAACTGAGCATAGTATTCCATGACTACTCTGTGAGGGAATAATGTGATCACACGAAACCAAACCCAGCTGAAACACTGGGGAAAGATTAATTTTGTATACATGGTTATCATTCCATATTTATTCACCAAGTGCCATCTGGATAAGAAGCATAAGATATGTCAACCAGGCATAATCGACTGACTCTATAGCAGAGACTAACTATTCCCAATATATAATCCCTTCTTGTCTGGACACACTGTTCTAGATACACTAACCACCTTAAATACTTTGATGATTCTAGACACTCGGTCAGCTAATCCAGACCAGGGTACCAGTCCATGTCCTGTTAGGAACCAGTCACCCCTCATAGCTCGTATTACCACCTGAGCTCCGCCTCCTGTCAGATTCTCAAACCCCATTGTGAACTGCACATGCAAGGGATCTAGGTTGTGCACTCCTTATGAGAATCTAATACCCGATGATCTGTCACTGTCTCCTGTCACCCCTAGATGGGACCATCTAGTTGCAGGAAAACAAGCTAAGGGCTCCCACTGATTTTCCATTATGGTGAGTTATATAATTATTTCATTATATATTACAATGTAACAATAATAGAAACACAGTACACAATAAATGTAATGTACTCGAATCATCTTGAAACCATCCCCACACCACCCCTGATTGGTGGAAAATTTTTCTTCCACAAAACCAGTCCCTGGTGTCAAAAAGTTTGGGAACTGCTGCCCCAGAACAACCACTCCAGATAAGACACAAATACTGAGTTATATGAGTGACGTGAGAAATTAAAATTTCTAAAAACATGAACCAATCTGGACAAAAAGACTATCTCCTCAACATCCCAGGAGAACTCGGCCTGCCTTACATTCTTACAGGGATAAAGGGGCATGGCCAAGTAGAGATGTCAAATAATCTCTAAGTGGGCCATTCACTCTCTTTTACGTGTATAAAATGTGTACATTTTCTCAAGGTTTAGTTGGGCGTGGTTTCACATAATCAATCCCGATGAGTACTCAAGCACCCTCTGACCTGTTGAAAACTATGCCTGTTAACTTATCAATGCTGTTGCTGATTAATGAAGAATAAGTAATAATTATTTATAAAATTTTAATGCATGTCTTAGTGCTTGTTTATTTAATCTTTTAAAAATTCAGTTAGCTAATGTTTATAATGTGTGCTATTAATGTGTCCCCTCTTTGGAACACCTTACAGAGGAAACTGAAAGTAGGAATGCCTTTACTACTAAGTCTTTTATAAAGATAAACTCGGACAGAAACTATTTTTACTTTCTAAAGCTTATACGTAGTAAAATAATATGCTATACTGCTAACAATTTTATTATTGAACTAATTAAGTGTCATATCTGAAATGAATGAGGTTAGTTGCAATGAACTTTTTGAATAAACAAAATCCATTAATATTTTAGTATGAATTATTAAGGGTTGCTAGAATGATGTATGCTATACTGAGTTCTACCAATTTTCTAAATATTACAGTTAGTCTTATTCATTCCTCAGTCTGTTCAACAGTTTTTTTGAGCATGTATTGCACATTTGGAAATTAGAGATCAACAAGTTGATGTACAATATATGAAAATTATCTTATCTGACATAAAGAATGTAATCTGTTTCTAAAAATAAGCCACACTGAAGGGTGAAATACACGCATTCTATTTATTTACTATTATTATTATTATTATTATTATTATTATTATTATTTTGGAGACAAAGTCTTGCTCTGTACCCCAGGCTGAAGTGCAGTGGTACCATCTTGGTTCACTGCAACCTCCATCTCCCGGGTTCAAGCGTTTCTCCTGCCTCAGCCTCTGGAGTAGCTGGGACCATAGGCACGTGCCACCACGCCCGGTTAATTTTTGTATTTTTAGCTGTGGTACATGCCTGTTATCCCAGCACTTTGGGAGGCTGAGACAAGCATGTTATGAAAGCATAGTTTTAATTGCTCTTTAAAGTCTAAACTCTCTTTAAATTGTCATTCATTCAAATTTTTTAATAATCTAACACATAATTTTTATCCTAGTTTCCATTGTTTTCTACATTGCTGTGCAATTAAATATTTCATTCCAAAATCTACTCAATATTTTATATTCCTCGACATTATTTTCTTCATGCCAGAGGAAGTAAAGTTACTTAAGGAAAAGGTGCAGAAGATCACAGAGGAAGTGGAACATGAGCTGAGCCCTGAAAAGAGAATGGAACTCCAACCAGTTGTGGAAGGGTCTTGACTGTCAGGCAAAGGAACTTAGAGCTGATCTGATGGTCACCTCATAACCTCCATATTCTCTTTTTGTCTTACTTTCTTTTGTGAAAGTCTTTTCTTAGTTTCCAAGTGTGGAGACTTCACTTACTTTGATTCAGAGGTTATCAGGAAATTTAAAAAAGTTTCAATCCAGCAGTTCATAGATTAAAAAATGAACAAGAAAACAGCAAGGACTGTTTTTTCTTTTTTCCCACTTTCATAAAGCTAAGTGAAACACATCAACTTTAAGAAATTCTCCTCTTTCTTAGGCCAAAATTAAGCTCTAAAGTTTAGAGGCAAGTAGAAAATCAAGCATAACTTCCCCTCTTGCTACAAACAAAAGAAAACAAACCTTGCAGCCAGGACAGCAGGAATCTGGCTTGGTAAAACTGCAATCAAAGCTGCTCTGTAGATCAGCCAGCAATGAATCTCAAGTGGTAATATGGGAGCATGCCACCACCATGATGCTTTCAATCCTAGTTAGCAAATACCCCCTTCTAAGATAAAATCTGTCTCCTATGAGTAACCATCAGGGCCATAAGGTTGACAAACCCAAACGAAAGCATCTTTTGTTATCCAAATGCCATTATAAATCACATTTTGTAAACAAATGTTGCTTAATATTACTCCTACTTTTTAACCAAATACAAAAAGTTTTATAGGTTCAAAAGTTATGTGTGTTCTGAGATATGTATACTAATGTAAAATGCATCATGATATGCTATTCATCTTTTCAAAGGTAAAATGAATATATAATTACATAACCATAAGTTAATCTTTCAGAGATATACAGAGAAATAGAGACATGCAACTAAGCCTGTGAAAAATATAAAGAAATGACAAAAATGTGAAGAAAAATCAGACTGTAGCAATATAATAAGGGTCATAGTTGTTTTCCTTTTCTTTTGTCTTTGTAAAAACTGAATAATTTAATTGTCAAGTACCTGAAAATTTGATACTAATTCCCTTAATTACATGGTACTAAAAATTTTCTTCCAAGGTTTCCATAGCATTTAGTTTAGCCAAAAGTAACCTTAGCTGAGGCAAATAGTTTTAAGTGAAAATTTATTTATCAAATACTACTTTGGAATTTTAGGAAAGGTTTTTTTTAAATTATAATATGGTTACTTTGATCACATTTAAAAATTAGTGGAAATTTTGAATAATGACAATTCCTGTGAAAGAAGCAAACAGCTTAGTATATATTATATCCAAAGTGCTATTAGCTTTCTTCTCCCTCTAAAAGAAATAAATTTCAATCATGATGAAGAATTGTTAAATATACTCTTAAGCAAGTACAAAAATAATTAAGGAAAATGGTTAGATTTCCATATTTCAGAGAAATGTATTAGTTTTATAATCTGTATAGGAGACTATATAATCAATATAGGAGACTCACTGAAAAAGTGGTCTTTAGGGTTTTTACCTTTCCTTTTATGTGATGGAGTTTAAAAAAGATGAAAGGCAAGCTTTTGTGTTTACATCTGGAGTATAAAAGCGCCTCAGTATGAGAGAAGGACATTCCATGAAATACTATGTCAGAAACATTCTCAGTCAGAATTCCAGAAATAGCAAGATGTTAAATAGATAATTAAAATGTCTTCAAGGTTTAAACCATAGGGACTTAGGTTTTTAATCATGTAGTGTATATTCATCAGAAGTTTTTACTTTTATCTTGATCAGATTTTGATGCTGTCTTTGGGGGAAGAAAGACCATGGTCTGTACTTCTGAAATTCTTTAGTTTGATAGGATCTGATATTAGCAGGCTCAACTCAAAATAGCTATCATTTTATTAGATGGCTGGCAGAAGCCTTCAGCAATGGCTGTCTTGCAAAAACAATGGGCTTCTCCATTTCTGATGAAATAGGAAAGCTGTGGGAACTTCTGTGTCATGGCATAGGAATTGTGTTACCCATGGTGTAAGATTTTTTCTTTTCAGGGAAGGAATCAAACAGAAGGATGTAACTAATCACAACCTTAATGTAAACAGACTTCATTCCAAATATATATTTTTTTAATTTAATGCAAATATAAGAGTATACATTTGGCAGCAAGGTGCTTATTCAATCAAAAAGCAAATATCTAAATATGTCTTTGATGATATACATTATCAAAGATGTGCAGCTTAGAAACTCACCCATTTCTATCTCCTGGCATATGTGGCATTGTTTTTTTCTACTTCATTCTCTATTTTGAAAAAGGCACCGCAAAGTATACTTCATAATGGTGGACATTAAAATTAAAACAAGAAAATTATCATACATCAACCTATTGTTAGTTTCATATTAAAATATGTGTTGCCTAAAGTTAGATTTAAGACTTAATTTGAAATATAGATGCATATACCTTTAATACTGACAACAGTCATAACGTCATTAGATATTTTTCTATACTAATTCTCATATCAGTCTTCTATCACATTATGCAAAAGTGAGTTGAAATTATTGTATTTCTTAATATTTGAGATTTAAAAATGAGATACTTCTCTAAGTCATAGTGAATGACAACATTGCAAATAATAATTAAATTTTCCTTAGTATTATTGCTAATGAAAAGGGAACAAAAATCATTATAGAACAAGATGTTTCAGGTAATTGATCCATCTAAAATCGCTCCGTATTTTACATAGAATAAATTAACTTACCTTTCTTGTTACATTGGATAAGAAAAAGAGAGGAATTGATAAAGAAATATATCAATGAAAATGTTCTTATTCATAGTGAGTTTTAAGCAGTAAAATTTCAGATTCTGTTTACATTTTAGTTTAATTGCTTGAATATACATGTAGGTGGAGAAAATACTAATTGTGCATGTTAGACTGGATGATTGTTTGGTAGAAAAGCAAAATGTCCTTTACTTGTAAAGACAATTTGTAGCATAATATCAGTTAAATGAGGACAATATGATTGAGGCTTTTAAAACATAATTCATAACTGGAAACTGATTTTTTTAAATTTAATAATAAGAGGTCAAATATAAAACTTTCTAAAAGCATCATTTTATAGTATGTATATGGATATATAGTATATAAGTTCATACTATTTAAATATATACCACAAAAATATAGTATAGGTAGAATTGACTTTTGATAAGATTTAGTTTATCTCAAACTCGTAACAATGTCTAAGTACACTAAGCAACTGAGTTTTCTATTGACATTATTTCAGGTCTAGTTTCTAATCTTATCAATAATGGAGCTGAGGCAGAGTAAAATTTAGACTTCTTTCATAAACATTATTAAAACTGAGGTTCACACCAAAATCATCTGGTTATAAAGGAGGATTTAAATGGATGGTATAATTTTTAAATATGTGAAACAAAAATCAAATTTACTATAGGCACAGAGGCATGGCTGCCTCGTCCTTTATTCTGTAAACATCGAGTCTTCAAATTCCATCTATATCAGCAAATGGTCAGTTTATCTCTTTCCATTCAAAATTCCTAAATTGTTTTCAGCTCTTTTACAAAATCTCTCTCAGTATGAAGTCTTGTCTGGATTTTTTTTAAAAAAAGTTTTGGATTTAATTTGGGGATCTTTTAGAAAAACAATAACGTGAGGTTTTAACTGAAGGAGAAGTTTGAATTAAATATTCTAATTTAAAGTAAGTTAAAATAAATATGTTATTGTGTTTCAATTCCATTGAATTATTGGTCTCAGATGTTCCAGAGTACAAAACGTATTTCAGGCCTGAGGCTATTTTTACACACACACACACACACACACACACACACACACACACACACACACTTAAAACATTCAGTTGAATAAAATAACATTGAAAAGACTTTTCATATTATAGGCCAGATAGCTTATCTAAATTTTCCTCTATTTAAAATAATTAATTACTGAATTAAACTTCATATTTTAGCAAAATGTCATTTATATATAAATAAATCATAAAATATACTTTTCATGAAGTTTTATTGAAATAAAATAATTCTGTCATAGCAATTACCTATAATTTCAAATATATTATATTTTAGTTAATGTTAATGAAAAGTAAAATTAGGTTGTTACCCATCAACTCTTTTAACTCAAATCAGGAATTTTAAATAACTAAGCTTGAATATTTTAAGCACAAACTCATTCATATCAATCAGACATAATTTTTATTTTGCCTTTTTGAGAAATGATCTAAATAATCATTTAGGAAAGAAGATTATAATTAAAACAGTATGCAATTTAATGTTAATCAGAAATTATATGATGTACAGTATCAGGTAAAAATATTCAAATGTCTTCCAAATAACAGAAGTAAAACTGAGAACAGTCTTTTAATAAAGGCTATTTTGCCTGGTAGGAAAAGATTGTTAGTTGTAAAAAGAAACCTTTTAAACTAATATGATGAGGTACATGTAAAAATTAATATTATGCTCTGATGTTCTCTCTAGTGAGTAGCCTAGGTTGATTTATTCATTTAGGTAATTGTGTTCAGCAATATTAGTAATTCACTGTTAAATTGAATTTGGAGAACGAACAATAAATTGAAACTGCAGTGATATTTCTTTCTTACTGTGTAACAAACAGATGTATTGATGTAAGTTCTGAGTGTACTACATAAGTTAAATTCCCTAGACTGTAATTTGATCAAAAGGCTTTAGACATTTACTTGAGCTATATTAGGCGGCTGCCATTGGATGGCAGTAAAATTCTACATCAATCACTTTAAGCAAAGTGAAGCTGGGAAAATAATGGGACTTTTCTTTTATTATTTAACAGCAGAATGCTGATTTAAAAGGCAAAGCTCAGGGGGTTGCATATATTGTGGCAATACCAACTAATTTTTTTTTAACTGTTTTGTTTTCTTCTCTGCTCTATTTAAAGGGAGATGCAATTTTAGAAAAATAATGCATAGTATTTTGTCACAGCAAGAGATGTTTTTGCTTTTCTTTTATGTAATAAAAATTTTCATTTTTTTATTTTTAAAAATAAGTCAATAAAGGGATATTAACAAATTATATATGATTTAAACCTTTGCACAGTATTAATGCCTAAGTCTTCTTTTTGTTTTCTTCTGATTGTAAAGCCCATGTGCATTTTGTTCCGGGTTTAAAGGCTGATTTATATAAAGAGCTGTAAATATTATAATGTCTAATTTTATTGAAACAATTTGAATAGAGAACAAAAATATGAAATCACACAGGAAATGTTGCTAACGATGATATTGCAGAAGAGAGTGTTCCTTCTCAGGAGGCCTTAAATTCTGTGCTTGTACACCACTGAAAGTAGTCAGTATTTTGCCCCTGAGATATGAAAGACAATATTGAATATTTCTGATCTTATGTTAATTTATGGTTACTCACGAACGATTCACAGGGAGGTACAGTCTGAAAGAAAATCTTTGTCATCTTAAACCTGTTGTGTTTATCACACAAAACTAACAGGAATAAATAGCACAGAGAACAAATAAAATGAGATATGTCCTAAATGCTATCTCACATAAGGAAATATATGTTCTTATGTCTCTTCTCACTCATTTAGAATTTTATTTGGTTAGAAGTTGGTAACATCAATTACAATTTATTTGGCAATAAAACGAACCAATTGTTTTCAGAAAATATTCAGGATGGTCTGACACAATCTGAGGGCGATTAATCAGGATTTCCTGGGATCAAACCACAGACTTTTCTGCTATTTATCTTTTCCCTCACTTTATGTTTAAAGTCTATTAAAAGTTTATAGTCTTCCAAAGATCATATTAGGCATTAAAATTCAGGCATCTCATTCCTGCCGCAAAGATTGTTAGAAGAAAAGAAAATAAATGGGTTATCATGAATCCATTCTCATCATGAAGAGTGTAAAAAGCATGCACAGTGGAACAATATTCATTTATTTTTACGACAATGCTCGAGAAGAGAAAAAAAGGAAGTGAAATAAACTTAGAGATATGTAGTATTATTACTTCCAGGCACAGGGAGTTAGAAAGGCTGGAATGAAATGCCTTAGTATGCAGAAAAGGGCATATTTAACTGTGTGTGTGTGTGTGTGTTGTAGGATGCCATTTTTTCAGGCTTTGGTTTATTCAGTTACTGAACATTTCTGATGCAAAAATTTGATTTAACATCTATTTAACTATTTGACAGTATTTTTAAAAGTTTATTTTATTGAATTTTTATGAGAATAAAGAATACATTTGCATGGTTTTTTACACTTGCCGTTCCCCAACATAACCTAGTGGAAATATACATATGTATATAAGCGAACCTCAAATATTTATACCTACAGAGTTTTAAAAGAAAAATATAATCAATTAAATATTTAAAATTTAGATATTTTGCATTTGTATGCAGGGTCAAAACAAAAGCAGTTCTTCCAATGAATTACAAAATTGACTGATGCTCTAGTCTCAATCCTAGTTTGGTTAATTATATCTATGCATTCAAAAAAATAAGCTGTTTTTACATAAAATGTAAGAAAACCTTTGCAAATACGTAACTTCATTTCTTTATATTGAGATGCTGTATATCCAAATGTAACTGATTATTTTCCTTAATTTAAAAAATAGCGATATGGTAAAATTTATTCTCAATAAGCAGGGCGTGCTGCAAATACTGTGTTAAATTTAATGGTAAAAATTATTTAAAGCACCCATTTTCTCATCCATAACTGTCATAGGAAATTTACTACAGACCTCTGAAGAAATTATGTGGCTTTATCCAGTTTACCTGTATAAATATAGCTTTTTATATTAAATGTTACAAACGAATGCACAAAATAGGATAGCTTAGCATCTATGATATCTGTTTTAGCACTCACAGTATGCTTTATACTCTTCTGATGCATATTCATTTAGTGTTATTAAGCCTGTACTTAAGCATAGTATTAAATGCTCACACTTTGGAGCTGAAATTTCTGGATTTGAATATTGGTCCTGAAAATGAGTAACTGTGTGACCTTGGGGAGTGTACATAATCTCTCTGTTTCATCACACAGACACTTATAAGGCAATGTAGTAAATTAAGTGATTAAGCTGTGCTTTGGCTAGAATAGAGCAGGTGGAAGAAGACACTCAACTCAGTCTAGCCTACAGGCTGCACATCTGCAGGAGGTTGGGCAATAGAGAAGCAATTCCATGAAGGGCATACCTTTAACTGGGTCTTCAAGAAGAATAGGAGTCAGCCATGGGAGGAGGAATATGAGAACTATAAGCAGGAGGATCAACCTGTGCAAAGGTATAAAACACAAGAAAATGTTTGTAATTCTTTCATGGCATAGGCATGAGATACATGTGAAAATTGAAACATGATCCTTGCCCTCAAAGAGATTTAAATTTATCAAAAAGAACCAAATAAGAGTACCTTTCCTATATACTATCTTATGCTGTAGTAGAATCTGACTTCTGTCATTTGATTCAACATGCAGATTATCCAGTGAGGAAAATAGGTCTGGGCTTTTATAATAGATTATATCTATATTTTAAATCTGGAAGCACAGAAAATAAAAAAACAAATAATTAGTCCAATTCTTACAGCTAGAAAAATGAGCATGTCTGGATTAAAAATCATCCTCTAATGCAAATAATACATCAATAGTGCTACACTGGAGTCACCATATTTTCAATAGAAATGTAGAATTTTAAAAATAATGAAAAGAGATAAAATTTATATGAAAGATTTTACCAACAGGCTATAAAATTGGTGGAGATTAGGCCAAAATGGTAGATTGCATAGAAATCTTCCAATTAAAAAAAAACTGTAAACATTATAACACCAAAGATATAAACCAGAAATTATGAGTAATTTTATAAGATAGCAAATAGTTGGAATTGGGTTAATAGAAAAACCAGAACTGAACAAATTATATAATGAACATAAGCAAGAAAAAGCTTATAAGAAGGCAAAATGCATTTTTTTATTTTAGTTGAAGGAATTTGCTATTTAAATTAGAAACTCATTAGAAAATAAGAACAGGTAATCTAAAATCACCCACCATTTGAGGGAAAATAATGCCATGAAATAAAGGGACCCAACAAGTAAATATAAGAAATAGCTACCAAAGAACAGACTTAAAAGGGAAAATAGAAAACTAAAATAAATACAAGCAATGACTGCAGATAGAGGCGGTATGATAAAGTATTCATTAACAATAACAAGAATAAACTGTGATAAGAAGAAACTGATCATTAAAATATAAAATTTATGTAAAAATAACCAAATTATTAATATCAAAGATGAAGATACAATTAGTGAGCTGAAAGACTGTGCTAAGGAATTAAGAGCCATTACCCCACAGAATGTTTCTGTGATATTCAAATTTCATAGAACTTACCATTTTGGCTTGTGTTTATGTAGTAAAAATGTATTTCACCTATCCAAAACATTTTTAACAAAGTAATTTGCGGAAAGATTTTGAGTTACAATTCAGTAGTTCCTGAGACTCCTATAGAGATTTTTAAAGCACACAAACTGTCAACAAAGAGAATGAGTATATTGGTAATTTTGGACGATTAGAAAAGTTACTAAAAGTTGATTTTCTTTACCAGGTTCACATTTTTATGTAGAACATTCCTTAAGGCAATAGAATCTTGATATTAAAATGGAAGATATAGCTCAACAGGCAGCACAAAATGACAAAGAGATAAATGAAGACATGGGTGGTACATTGAGAAGACCTACTATCCATTGAAAGTGCATTCCAAAAGACAAGAACACGCAAATGAGACGAGGAAATGCTTCAGAGTTGAAGACATATCTTCACACTGAAACGTCTATCAAGACACGATAAAAAACCAGACAAGTAGACTTAGTGTGGTGAAATCTCAAAACAAAGAAGATAATGATACAATTATAATAAAAAATGCTAGCAGAGAAAAACAAGCAAGCAATTAAACACTCATTCACACACACACAGAGAGAGACACACACACAATCACACCCCTCAGATTATCTACAAACAAGCAAGAATCAAAGTGGCAACAGATTTTCCCTTAGCAAAACAGATTTTAGAAAACAATGAAGCAATACCTTCAAAGTTCTGAAAGAAAATGATTTTAACTTTTCTTTCCATATCTATCTATGTTTATATTATCTATATCTATATATTTCTCTCCCTCTCTTGATGTCTACACACACACACAAACTTTGTATCTCTTTGAATCTACACACACTTTGTAGCTATACACATATATGTGTCTATGTATATGTATGTGTGTGACATATATATATATATGTATGTGTGTGTGTCAATTAAAGTAGTTTTTGAAATGCAACCTGTGGCAGACTGTATTTTCATAAAAAGTCCAGAGCAATATTTCTGGTACCACATTGTCTGCAGAACATCAGCACTCCCTATCAAGAGATGGATGTCTATTCCCCATGTCTTTAAACATAGAGAGACTTTTTGACTGCCGTGATAAACAGAGTGGACAGAGGCAACACTTGTTCACATTTATTATACAAAACTTTTAAAATGCTGGATGATAAAAGAAACCATCAACAAAAAAGCAACAAATTTGTAGAAAATACTTCAAACATACATGAGACAAAAAATTACCATGAATAACATTTCTGAAATACCTTAAAAATTAGTAGAAAAATTACAACCATAATTTCAAAAATGGAAAAATTCAAGAATGATCATGTTACAGAAGAAATACATATGGGCAATGGAATACAAAAAATATGAAATACAAAAAAAAATCAAAAAATGAAATACAAAAATATGAAGATGAAAATTGAAATGGCAGTGAGGTGTCACTTTGGCTTATGATACTGGCAAAAATATTTTTCAGATTTGCAATGTCTAGTGTTAGTAAGAGTTTAGTATACAAAAGACTGTTACACATGATTGATTTTGTGAACAGCAACTGATAGTCTCTAATTAAACATTAAAAGGTGTAAATTTCTTAACGTGAGTTCTATTTGTAAAAATTTATTATACAGAAATATTTCTGTGTGTGTACACATCTACACAAGAAAGTTTATTAGAGCAGTATTGATGACCTCCGGAGTTAAAAATAACCTAAATACTCATTCTTAACTTCTGGCATATACATAATACAAAGTATAGCATAAATAACACAACAGTTGAATAAGATAAAGTAAACATATTCATTTTGATAGGTGTATAGAAATTATCAGATATGTAGTAGAAAATATTTTTAAAACTTCTTATGTAACTTTACTTATAAATGAATACATATGAGTTTATGTAAATACATGCTTATGTATGTATGATATGTGAAAATATACATACAGTGATCCATGTACTGTTAATGGAATTAATTTTGGGGGGCTAGTTGTGTGTGTTCAGCATATGAATAATTTTATTTTTAAAAATTTATGTGGTTCAGTATTTGTTTTGTCAAAAGTGTGAATAATATATATGTGAATATATATTGACATATTATTTAGCTTTTAATGAAAATACTTAGGGTAAAACAAAATTCTACAAGTTGGGCAAGGCTCAGTGAGAATAGATTTTCTTTGCTCCATGTAATGTCACCTGGGGCAGCTTTAATGGGACTGGAAGATCTACTACCAAAATAGCCTCACTTACATAGCTGTCAAATTGATACTCATTCTCAGCTGAGAGCTCAGCTAGAGCTGCTGGCCCAGGATCTCCTCCATGTCACCTCTCAACTGGCAAGGTTGGATATAACACAGTATGACAGTCTCAAGTTAGCTGAACTAAAACTACTGGTAGTTCAACTCAGGGTAGTTGAATTTGAGTCCCACTAAGTTAGAGAGATTAGATAAAAACCTCGAGCTTTCTGTTGAAATTTCAGAAAGGATGCACTTTAGGAAGGAAATCTATATGCCAGGAATAAGGAATTCATAATGAGAATAAGGATAAAACCCAAATAGTCTCATCCCAAAAAGTATAAGACCAGGGTTCTACAGGGTCAGTGTTGCTAGCCAACACTTTCTGCTAGAACGAATGCCAACATTTTTCAGAGAAAGACAAATGAATCCAGTCTCTAAACATGCTACTAAAGTTCATGTAGAATTTTACTACATGTGTATAAAAACCGAGAATATTCTCACAGGAAAGATAAATAAGCAGTCAGACTCCACGATGACCCAGATATTGGAATTAGCAGACAAGAACTTTAAAACAGTTCTTAAAAATGTGTTCAAAGTCTTAAAAGAAAAAATAAAAAGAGTATATTAGCAGAGAGGACTCAATATCTGAAAAATTTTAAAAGTGGATGGTTTTAGCAAGATTTGGAGAAGAAAACAAAGTCAGTGATCAAGAACGTGGTGGGCAAAATAGCTTCTAGATGCTAGAAAAGAAAAGGGAATGGATTTTCTGCTAGAGCCTCCAGAAGAAATTCAGCCTTGCCTACACCTTGATTTTAGCTTAGTGAACCCATTTCAGATTTCAGACCTCCAGAACTATGAGAACACGAAGTTTTATCTAAGACCTGAATAATAAGAACATGTCAGCTATATGAAGAGTAAAAGAAAAAGATTTCCAGGTATGAGAAAAAGCAAAGGGGAAAGGCTCTGAACCAAGAGAGAACTTGAAAACCTGAGCAACTTAAATAAAATCATATTAACTCTGGAATAGGGGATGGGTTTGAGATATGAGGCCAGAGCCTTAGGCAGGAGCCAGATAATGAGGGCCTTTTGGATCATGGTAAAGCAGGTAGGTTTCTTCTAAAACCTATCCTCCACAAAAGTCTTTTAAGTAGAGTGACTTAATATAATGCATATTTTAAAGAGAGGGCAGTATTACAAAGAATGAATTTGAGAAGGCAAGAGTGAAAAGGGGTTAAACTTTAGGGAAGATATTGCAATAGGTGAAGCAAAATATAATTGTGGCTTGGATTTACAGTGGATATTGACAGCATAGTCTAATTAGAGATATTCTGGAACTCATTTTAGCAGGACTTAATTGTGGATTTTATATAAAGTTTTAAGGCAGAAAGAAATTGAGGATAAACCTTTGGTGTTTTGGCTTAAACGGTTGATAGAGGTTTAGAGATATATAACAGTGAATGCCACTATTAATAAATGACTCAGTTGGAAATTGATGCTAGATCTGCCTGAATCCAAAGCTCTTGTTCTTTACTACTGTGCTAAGCTGAAAAATTGTCCCTTCTTGGTCCCAGGTTTTCTTGACTAAACAAACAGAAAAAAAAAAAAAAAAAAAAAAGAAAAGAAAGAAAGAAAAAGAAAAAAAAGTGAGAAAGTGGTTAAGCCAATATGACTTCTCTCACATTTGTGATTCTCTGAGATATCTAAGACTTCTACTCAATTTCTTGGTCTACACATCAAGAAACATGAACTGAATCAATGTATATCCAATTTAAATTACCCAGTTGTGTCAGTCTGAAAAATTCAACATTCACATGCACATTTACATACACACAGTCAAGAAATAATGGGATAAATTGGAAAGCACGTGAACTTGGAGTCACAAATATGCTTGTTTTTGAGTCTTGGCACGAGCGCTTTCTGATATGTGTCACTGTATATGTCATTTAACCTTTCTGAAACTCAATTTTTTCATAAGTAAAAAGCAAATATTAACTCTCAGAGCATTGTAACTAAGCAAGTTACATTTGACTGTGAAATTAAAAACTAGAAATACTTGTTGGTCTTCAGTGGTCCAACTTACAAAAATTACAATCATTGTAACATTTGAAAATAAAAAGATGTGTGTAAAATAAAATTAATAATTTTCTTTTCTTCTTCCAATCTCAAATATAAACACTATTAGCAGTTTGACAAGAATTTTCATGCAGTTAATTTTGCATCTTAAACATTTGCAAAGATTACACATGTGCATGTACACACACTATATACATTCTATAATTTGCTTTTGCTAAAATATATATTTTAGATTTTCTCTCAAAGTAACACATATATCAACCTGGTTTGTGTTAATAACCACATAATAATCAATGTTACATTTATACCAAGGTATCAATAGGTGTACCATTTAATCATTCCAATTTTGAGGAAAATTCAGATTATTCCAAGTCTTTAATATTAATAACAATGCTATAATAACTATCCTGGAATATTTATCTTTTAATCCTCTAATTTTATTTGTATTTAATAAGTGGTTGAAATGGGAGAACTAGTCCAAGTGCTATAAGTACTATTTATTTAAATTATTTAAATATTAAATTTACATAATATTAAACTAAATTATAACTATTTAAATACCAAATTACTTTCCAAAAGCTTGTAATAATCACATTATTCTCATACCTAGAATTTCACCAACAGTGGATGCTATTAATTTTTATTTTTGCTAAACTAATGAATGTAGTATCTGTTATCAACTTTATTTTTTGATAACTAATAATAATCTGCTCTTACGTTTTTGCCTGTACTTATTTCAGTGAAATACATGCTTTTTTTCTTGGACTTTTTAAATGAAAGATGGACTACCTACATTTCTTATTAACTTACGGATCAATTACTTATTTAATACTTGTTTGTCATCATTTTTTCTTGATCTGTAAGTTTTGTTTTGATTTCATTATAACTTTTTGCCAATGTAAGTTTTTTATATTTATGTAATTAAATGTATATATTTTTCACTCTAAGGTTTCTAGGATCTTAGGGTGAACCAAAATATGAAGTCTCCTCAAATTTTAATTTTTCTATTTTCTTCCAGTCTTCTTTGCTTTTTTCACATCTTTATCTCATCAAGAGATTATATGCACATAATGTATAGTAAGGTCTGATCTAATTTTTTGTCAATGTAACTGGTACTTAGCACAAATTATTGAACAATGGATCCATACCCCATGAATTTTTTTAGTTCCTGTATAGGGTTTAATGTTTCCAGATTTCGTTCTGTTCCATTGATAAATATGTCTATTTCTGTGCCAGCCCTGTGATGTCATGATTATCCTAGCTTTTTACTGTGTTTTAATATTTGCTAGTCCAAGTCTTAGCTTATGTTTGTTATCAAAACCTTCTTAGAAATGTTCACCTTTCTATTCTTTTATGTACTTTATGATAATTTTAATTATTTCAAAAACACTTTTTATTTCATTTGGACTCTGTTGTATGAATATCAGTTTTTCTGGAAATATTTGTACTAAAAAACTGGAAACTTGGATGCTTAAATTCTCATTTGATTGAACCAAACCAAAAGGAAACTAAACAGTAAAAGAAAAGCATGTTGTGCCTCAGAGTGCTCCAGGAAATAAGTACAAACCCAGAAACATAAACTTTTGAAAGGAAAGGTAGAACTGACTTGAAGACACTAGTCAGAATAAAATTAATCACAGTTGTAGTTTATTAACTGCTTATTTGATAAGACTACTGTGTGAGATACATGGATTATTCTTTTCTTCATATAAGAATATCACAAGGTACATTTAACTAGAATGACTGGTTAGGCATGTTTGTGGTCAAGGAAGCGCATATTTCATGTTTTGGGAAAGAAGAGATCAGATATCCTCATTTATTTTCATGCTATGAAATGGCTGAGTAGCACTATATTGGATGGCTCACTTCAGAAGAAATATCAACTTTACAGTCTTATGAAAAGCTCTTTTTCTAATAGTGATGGTAGAATAATTACAACACAGATAGTTGGAGAAGAAAGTACCTTTTATCAACTCTACATCCCTGATAATTGGTAAGGAGCAAATGTGGGGAAGTATCTATTGAGGAATCTCTAGAAGTTTTACCTATCCATAAAAGTGAAACATAACAAAATCAAACTAAGTCACAGAAATAAAGTAAAATTGTCAAAAACGTTTAGGTGGTGAGACTTGGATAATACTGAAACATTTCCAAGAAAAGCTCTGAAATACTTTTCAGATAGAAGACATATTTATATGGTTAGGTTAGAAGACAGGAATCTTGCCTGAAGGCAAAGAGAAAAATAGAGAAATTTCAAACAATACCACCACAACAAAAATTCTCTTTAATCTGGTACCTTTATTATTTTTTCTCTCTTAGTTTTTTCTCATCATTCAATATACTCCTAAATCTTGAATGCTCTTTTCCTAAACTGCTTCTGCCAATTTTTCTAACTCTGAAATGTCTGATCCATTACTGAGTTCAAAGACATATGCACATGACTTTAAACTTTGTCACTTCTGAACCCAGAGAAAAATTAAATGAATGACCTATAAAACATTTTATTTAATAGTAAATCTATGTAATATAAAGTATATAGATTATAATGGTATCCAATTTTAATTACAGCATATCCCCATAATGTGTAATATAGAGAAAAGCTGAAGAAATATAAATGAAAAAATATTTCAAAGGATGAAATATAAGGGTTTATTTCAAAAGTGAGAATAGGTTAGCTGTCATATATCACTATCTTTGTATGAGACACTGAGCATATCTGGCTGACTGAGTGGACATTCTCTTCCTTCAGCTTCCTATGTGGTTCCCTAAAAGCTATCTACATGAGGGGAAATGAGAATATTTAAGACAATATGTAATTACTGAAGTAGCATGGCATCTTAGAAACGATAAAACACAACTGTGGATATTTAATAAACAAAAATACACATTAGAAATCTTGCCCAGTGTCCATAAGGCCCAGGAGTAATAGGAATCCTGTCATCTAAGCCTCCTTCCACCATACTCACCACTTTATTTACCTGTCTCCTATAATTTTATTCTTTTTAACTTCCTTCTTGACTACTTATATTTTTGCTCTTGTAATTGATGCAGTGTCTATGTTTAGCCAATTGCTGGAACACCTTTAAAGTTGATACTTCCTATTCCAAATGTAGAATATTACTTAGCTTACTTTACCTAATTTACCAAACTCCTGTCTCCCATTTTCTAGACCCTTTAGATGCCAGGGCTCTCTGTTCTAGGCACTCTGTCCAGGAACTTGAATTTATATTGCCTTCCTGCTCTCCCTCAGACCCTACCAAATGATCTGCAAATGCATTTGAGAATAGAGTCAATGACCTCTTCACATTTGAAATGAATGCAATTTTATGGGGTTTTCATAATATAAAACCAAAAAAAAATTTTTGCATGTCTGTATGTAAATAGACAACATATAGCAGAGTAAATGGTATTTTATAATAGAGTAAAACATAGCAAAAAGTTACCATGTACCAATTAGCATTTTACTTTCAATAAATATTCAATCCTTAATATAAATATGTAATAAAAATATATAATACTCTATATATCATATAATTTTATTATTCAACATCTACAGTGTATTAGGTTGTGTCTTTAGGAAATCATTAATTAATATTATTTGGTGAAATTATATTGGTACAGTTGTTTGCATCACAACAAAATGTTTTCTAAGAAATATTTTGTAATATTAAATGCCAATAATCAATTTCTCAAGAAATTGCCACTAGATTTTAATAAGTTAGTGTTATATTACCTTACATCTCACTATATTTTCATACATTTGAAAAGTTCAGAACCATTTCAAATAGCAAGTCCATTTTCCTGTTCTAAATTTTTGTCTAACCAAACTAATTGATTTTGAATATTTCCTATGTGTCCCATATGTAGTGCTAAAAAAAGACTAATGTTGAACTTTAAAGTGGTATTTCACTCTTTCTTCACTGGCAAATCTCTTATTAAAATGGAAATAATCATTTGGGTTTATACAGTATCATATTATCAAATGTAATGAGAAGAGCCTATTTAGAATTTTTAGATGCAATCTTGGTAATGAGAATTAATTTTGCCAGTCATGTAAGATATATATCTAAAGTTTAATTTGTGTTTAGGTATTATTTTATTAAATATCTAAATCTTGGGAAATATTAATCAATGTGTTTGACTTCAGAAATGCTTGCCATATATCCATCACATTTGTTAATAAAATGAAGTCTTGACAGATTAAAATTTTTGCAGGTTAGAAGTTTTCAAAGAAAATACAGCATATGAAACCATAAATGGTAATATTCTCCAAAATCTTAAGTCAAATGATATAATAGCATTAAGAAACAGGTAAACTCTTCTCATTAGAAAAATATCTGATCTAATGAAATGTCGAAAGGTAACTTAGAAAGAAAGGTGGCTACTGCTTACTCATTTGCTGTGGAAGAATAGTAGAAATAAGAGTGACAATGATTCACCTTTTCATCAAACAAAAATCTCCTTATTACATTGAGTTTTAAATCAGCAGAAGTGTACTGAACTGTCCAGATGGTAGGATTGGACTGAATATTAGACCAAATGCACTAATGGTTCCTGACAACAGTGCATGGATAGTGCTGAAACATGACAATGTAAGCAGAAGGAGTCTCTCTTTCTCAGTCTGCTCTTCCTTTCCTCTCCTCCAACCTCATCTAGCCTGACATTTGACAGTTGGCAGATATTTCATCCCAAGAAATGGGGCCAAATCTTTGATTTGAATCAGCACATGGAAATTGCCTCACTTTAATGTCCATGACAAATTTGTTTGCATTTTCTATTTCTTAGATTATGTGAAAATGCTTATTAAAATAAACTGGAAATTTGGATAAGTTATTAGATTCCTTCTTTTGTTGAACTTTCTCACAGGTGTAAACTATAACACTACATTTCTTTTAGTTGAAGAAAAAAGTACCTTGTCAAGAAAATTAGACTTTGAGAGTTGTTACCTTATTTGTGCTTCTGTCTTTTGAACAACCTATAAATGTAATGTCATTACATTTTTTTTTTTTGCATGTGTTTAGTATTGGAGATAATTGTCTTTTGTATTGAGAGTGGAGACTTAGGATTTGTGGTCAAATAATTCAGCATTATGCATTTGGGCCATATCATATCCATTTTAGAATGAGAGGAGGCTGACAGGGCGCAGTGGCTCATGCCGGTAATCCCAGCACTTTGGGAAACCGAAGCAGGCAGATTACCTGAGGTCAGGAGTTCAAGACCAGCCTGGCCAACATAGTGAAACCTTGTCTCTACTGGAAAAAACCCAAAAAATTAGCCAGGCGTGGTGGCGGGCACCTGTAATCCCAGCTACTCGGGAGGCTGAGGTGGGAGAATCGCTTGTACCCGGGAGGAGGAGTTTGCCGTGAGCCGATATCTCACCACTGCACTCCAGCTTGGGTGGGTGACAGTGGGAGAATCCGTCTCAAAAAAAAAAAAAAAAAAAAAAAAGCCACAAGAAAGAACAAAAACAAAACCTAGAATTAAGCTTTCTAAATGTATAGGTATATGTGCTCCTATAAAATTTTTATTCATTTATTCAACAAAATTTTATTTAGTATACATATCCTGTTTAGTGTTGTGGATACAACAGGGATTAAAGAGTCAGTCCTTCTCCCAAGAGACTTACAGTAAAATGGGAACAGTGGAGGCCATCTCCCATTTTATTTCTCCATAACAGTAAAGAAAATTTCAAAAACAAATTTCTAAAAATATAGAATTTATATTATCATACAAATTATTTAATATCTAGAGATAAATTGAATAAATATTTGTAAGACAATTTACCAAAAACTGTTATTATTGAGATAAATTTAAAAATATTTAAAAATGGGGTAGATATATAACATGTTCACAGATTAAACACTTAATATTTTTAAGATTTAAATTTTTTCTACATGTATCTATAGATTCATTATACTCTTAATCAAAATCTCTTCATTTACCTTAATTGTTAGTCAACTCACTTTTGGATATATACTCCAGAAACACTTGTGTACAGGTAATAAGAAAAGGAGTGTGAAGATGCTTATCTCAGCAGTATTTGGGGTAGTAAGAATTTGGAGATAACCTAGGTGCTCATTACGAAAAGAATAAGTGAAAACAGATGGATAAATTATTTAGAAAAAAGTACATAATTTTAAGATAATGAATTAGAAATATATTCAACAACATAGATAAATCTTAAAATGTTGGAGAGAAAAGTAAAAAACAAAATGAATGCTATAGAATAAATCCATAGCACGATAAAAATTTTTGTACATTTAAAGAATATACACAAAGACACCATATATTTCTCAAAATTACAAACATTTAAAAGATATATTTGAGTAAGTGCCTGTTTTAACAATAGGAATGGAGATTTGCTCAGCTATGTAGATGAAAATGAATTGAAATAAAGAACAGCTTTGCAAATATTAAGGATAACCATGTACCATGAATAAAAGAGTATCTTCTATTCATGGCACATTAAGTTCTCTTCAACTCTATTCATCAGAAAAATACATATAAATATAAAATAAAGTATTGAAAAAACAGGAGTCATCAGTTGGGTCTACTATTCTTAAAAACCTGACAAACATTAAAGAAAAAAACGTTTCTTGAATTTGGCATTATGGAGTTTTTAATGATCTCAACAAGAACAATTTCGGTAAAGTGGGAAGGATACCACAACTCAACTTGCTATAGGTGCCCTCTGGCCCCCAAAATTCACATCTGTCCCAAGTGCAGAATACATTCACACCATCCCAACGTCCCCAATATTGCAACCCATTAAAGCATCAGCTCCAAGTCCAAAATTTCATCTAAATATTATCAGTTTTAAAAGTCTCATATCTTGTATTTTAAAGCCATCTAAATCAGGTATGAGTGAGACTTGGGGTATAATCCATCTTGGAGCAAAGTCATTATTCATTTGTGAATCTGTGAAACTAAAAAACAAGTTATCTTCTTCAAAAATGCCATGGTGGAACAAACATTGAATAGGCATTCTAATTCCAAAAGGAAAAAAAAAAGGGAAGGGATAAAGAGGTTACTGGTCCCAAGCAAGTTTGAAATCCAGCAAGGAATGTTCCACTAGGTTACAAGACATGAGAATAATCCTCTGTGGCTCAAGGCTCTACCCTCTGGGCTCACAGCAGCTCTGTCCTCTGCCTCTGTGCCTGCTGTCTCTTCCTCAGCCCCACTGGCTTCTGCTCCTTCCATGTCAGACTCGGCCTCTGCACTGGCTACATCAGACCCACAAACCCAGGTGGCCTCTGTTCACAGCAGTTCTGTCATTGGAGTTATTCTTTCTGTTTCTTGAAGGACAGCTTAGGTTTGTAGCCAAGTAATTCTGTTAGTTCACTCCTGTTTGTACAATCCTAGAAATCTGACAGCCTTCTGTATTTCATCTCTTCTCTGTCTCCTTCAGCTCAAGCTGGCAGTATTTCTGCTGATACAACATTCTTGCAAACCTAACGAATTTCCTTTATATGTCACAGAGATACATGCCACTGAAAAAGAGGGTCCTTCACAGATCTTTTCTGAATCGCCTATCCTATTCCAGGAGTCTACCTGAGACGACAGGAATCACATATCGAATCTCTTCAGCAAATGATTTCTTTGGCCCTCTCTATAGAGCACACTTTTTCAATAGTCAATAGCTTAATTTTAGCATCTTTTGCAATCTGGATAGATCAAGAATATCCCAGATCATCCAGTCCTGCTCCCTCTTTTCTTAACATTTCTCCCTCAATTTCTTCCTTTCATCTTGCATTTTGCTATAGGCAGTAAGGAGAAACCAGGCTTCATTTTCATTTTCAACACTGCCTGAAAGCTACTTGGCAAAATATTCAATTCTGTTGCTTACAAGTTCTGCATTCCACTCAGCAGCAGAGGGCAATTGATCTGCTTTCTTCCACTTAATAGCAAGGATCACCTTACCTCTAATTTCCAAATATGTTTTTCTCATTTCTTTCTAAGACCTCTCCAGCAATACCTGTAAATTTTATATTACTACCAACAGTCTGTTCAAAGTGATCTAGGCTTTTTCTATCATATGCCTCAAAATTCTACCAGTTTCTACCCATTAGCCAATTCCAAAGCACTTCCATACTTTCAGATATTTGTTACAGTAGCATGCTACTTTCTGGTAACTAAATCTGTGTTAGTTTCCCAGGGCTGCCATAACAAATTACCACATGCTTCATGGTTTAAAATAACATATATTTAGTTTATCACAATTCTGGAGACCAGAAGTCTGAAATCAAGGTGTTGACAGAGCCACACTTCCTCTGAATACTCTAGGGGACTTTCCTTCCTTGCCTCTCTTCCAGCTCCTGGTGGCTCCAGGAGTTCCTTGGCTTGGGACTGCAAAACTCCAAACTTTGCTTCCATCTTCGCATGCCCTTCTTCCCTGTATCCCTCATGTTTTCTTTTAAAAGGACAAGTCATTGAACTTAGGCCCCACCTTAATCCATGATGATCTCATCTTAAAATATTTTATCTGCAAAGTCCCTTTTTCCAAAAATTGTCACATTCACAGGGACCGAGGCATAAACATGTTTGTTTGTTTAATAAGCAGAGAGGCCACCTTTTAAACCACTACACGTTTTTCAATTAAACACATTTAATTTCGAAGTCACGTTGAGGGCAAAGACTATATTTCCTTTTCAATTTTATGTCTCTGTGTCTTTTGCAGCAGCTCTGCACTCAATGAATAATTATTGTAAGAATCAAAAGTGTATTTCAAAACAATAATCAAAGTTTTCTAGAAGTCTGCTAAATAAGTTAAACTAATTTTTAAAAATTAACACATTTTGTATCAGTAGAAGACCATGGTTTCATAGTATTTAAACTAAGAGTCCAGATTCTGATTACAAAATAGGCCACTGTCCCATTTAGCAAAATTCTAATTGTATGAAAAAAAATGGCCTTGTGTATGAGGTTAAATATGTGAATACAATATAAAAAATTTGGCTCTAACTATTGGTAATCATAGATAAATATTGCTTTTCAAGTCTACATTGAAATTGGCTCAATTTACCACCGTGGTCAATTACATAGCCAAATACATTCTTGATGGGACTTGTGTAATGGGCCATCATTCTTTCAAGAACAAAATTGTTTCCTATTCCTGTGATTTGATAATAAGTAATAAACATATAATATATCAATTTATAAAGTCAATTACATAAACAAGAAGAGTGCCAACAGCAATAACCAAAACACTCTGTACTGTATTTACTTTCATATTCTCCACCTTCCCTAAGGCACCAGGCCTGGCATTTTTCCTACTTTCTCAATTTTCTTTGCATAATTTTCCACTTGGTGGACTGCCATTGTCAACAGTAACACTCTTCAACTTCTGCAGGCTTGGTAAGAGCAGTTGAAGAGATGAGAACTGTGTTTAATTAAATCCTGGTTGTCAAATGTAAATGCAAAAGTGCTTAATTATTCAACATTGCTAGTGATGAAAGTCAGAAAAAAGGCTCCAGAAGAAGTTTGGTATATCATGATCTTTTAGATACAATCCTGAAAAGTATCAATTTCCCCTTTACCTCCTTTAAATGAAAAAAAAAGTTTTTAAAGGAAAGCAGATGAACACATATATAACTCATAAAATACCTCGCTGAATAATTCTAGCCGCTGAAAAAGATACATATAGAAATGGATTATGTGGTCTCAAAATTATGTGTAGGCTATGTTTCATGAAAACATCTACAGGCTTTGTGATTCATGTATATTTAAGGGGCATCTTTAAGCAAAAGCAAAAGAGGAAGGGAAGATAGAATTTGGGGACAAGAAACAATTACACTTTAAACTTTGATTTTTTCTTTCTTTCAAAACTTGTTTTAGTTTTCATGGCATCATTTAAACATTATAGATTTAAAAGTGCTTGGGATTAATTAGTTCAATAAATTTAATGTAATTTTAGTCACAATACTAATTCCTAAGGTGTTTTTGAGTAAATATGAGTCAAACTCCTCTCTAAAAGAATACCTACCAAGTTATTTTTTAAGTATAAGCACAAATATATTAGGCATCTACCATAGGCTTACAATCCTATTCCTTTAATATGCATGTAAATATAAATGAGATAAAGTTCTTTGGGTAAATGTTCACATTTTACACAGCATTGTATATGAACTCTTTGTTTCTTTAACTGATTCGTTTTTATTACAATGCTGATGATAACATTTGGATAAGGTGGCATGTTAAGTTTTACCATAGAATAGCTAAACAGAAATAGATTAAATTTTATACAGATGTGGTTATCCCCAGATGTGAATGTAGGAAAAACTTAGTTTTGTCTCTGGGTATTTATTCGCCATATAAATCTACTAGCACATTCTTATCTGTTATGTAAATAAGATGTGGAATTCCAATAGTGTATCAGTGTTCTACAGCAGATGGTACGCTGAGATTTACCACACCATTACATTTAATGGGTTTGAATTCATTTGGATTTCTTGATGTTCTCTCTGTCCTTCTCATAGCAGCAATGTTGCCAATGTTCCTGATTATATATGATTTGAGAGAGTGCTTAAAGAAGAAACACTCCTTTTTCTTAGAAATATGAGTATTTTATGTCAAAGTTTAAGGTGTGTATGTATTGCATTTCAGAGGATTTATATACCCTATGAGGAAAAGATAGTTAATGAATATTCAACAAAATACTAGCAGTCATTACACTCAAAGATATTTTATAAAATGGGAATACACAATTAACTATTATAGTGCTAGTAGGGAGTGTTCATTTGAAAAACAAAAAGAAATTTTCAGCCTAGTTCATCATGGATGAAGTTTTTTAAAAACTTTAATATAAGAATACAAAGACTCAAGAAGGCACACATCTTAGTCATAACAAGGCAAGCTATTCACGAGTATTTCAGCTAACAAAAATTTATATAGTATTAGCTCACTAATTACTCAAGAACAATGAATAACATCCCTAAATGAGTTGGATCTATAAAAGGTCAGACCTCAGCGATAATTGAAAATGACAACACGAGCCATATGAGCATTTTTGTTTCTGAACTTGTGCTATTTAGAAGCAGAGTGAGTGCTGGTGTAGCATTAATCAGTTAGTTACAGAAATTACTGTGGATGAACATAGACTGGAACAAGAATAAGAAATTCAATGTCAAAAATATAACCTATATTTTAAAATCATTTTGTCTCAAAGGGTAGCCAACAAAACACTAGCATCTAAATTACTTCTAAAATGTTGTTAATAATAGAGATGCCTGGGACTTATCCCAGATTCACTAAATCCAAAAATCTATGGGGCTAAAACCTAGGTATGAAAATATTAAAAAGATCCCCTGTAGTGATATTTATTATGCACATCCTGATATTTATATATATATGGCAGGCCAAAATTCAAATTCAATATCTAAAGCAGACTTCTTGGGTTTAAATTGGGCTTCTTTACTTACCAGTTCTGTGGCCCTGGGCTCATTACTTATCCTCTCCATATCTGAGTTCTTTCAACTCTAAATGAGGCTAACATACCTACATCACAGAATAATTATGAGGATTGAGTTAATGTTTATAAAGCAACTAGTACCTAGTACATGTAAACACTAATAATATAGGAGTAAATAAAATGTCTCCTTAGCAAAGGAGATGAAAGATCTCTACAAAGAAAACCACAAGGCATTAAGGAAATAAACTGTAGATGACACAAATTGTAAAACATCCCATGACTATGGATTGGACAAATCGATATTAAAATGACCATATTGCCTAAAGCAATTCACAGATTCAAATCACTTTCTATCAAATAACCACCATTTTTCACAGAATTAGAGAAAAACACTTCAAAAATTCATAAGAAACCAACAAAGAATCAGAATAGCCAAAGCACTCCTAAGCAAAAAGAACAAATCTGGAGACATCACATTACCTGACTTCAAATTATACTACAAGGCTATAGTAACCCAAAGGTTATGATACTGGTAGAAAAATAGACACATGGAACAAGTGAAAAGAATAGAAAACCTAGAAATAAAGCCACTTGCCTACAACAAACTCATATTCAACAAAGTCAACAAAAATAAACAATGGGAAAAGGACACCCTGTTCAATAAATGGTGCTAATAAAATTGGATAGCCATATGCAGAAGAATGAGACTAGACTCCTGTCTCTCACCATACACAAAAGACTCAAGATGGATTCAAGACTTAAATGAAAGAAATGAAACTATAAAAATCCTAGAAAAAACACAGGAAAAACTTTTCTGAACATTGGCCAAAGGAAAAAATTTATGACTAAGACCTCAAAAGTAAATGCAACAAAAACAACAATAGATAAATAGGACTTAATTAAACTAAAAACATTGACACACACCAAAATAAATACCCAACAGGGGAAAAAGACAATCTAGAGAATGAGAGAAGATATTTTCAAATTATGTATCTGACAAAGGACTAATATCCAGAATCTACAAGGAATTCAAACAGAACAACAAGAAAAAAATCAACCCCATTAAAAAGTCGGCGAAGGACAGACATTTCTCAAAAGAAGACATACAAGAAGCCAACAAACATATGAAGAAATCCTCAATATCACTAATCATCAGAGAAGTGCACATTGAAACCACAATGAAATACCACCTCACATTAGTCAGAATGGCCACTATTGAAAAGTCAAAAACCAACAGATGTTGACGAGGATATGGAGAAAAGGGAATACTTTTATGCTGTTGGTGGGAATGTAAACTGTACAACCTTTATGGAAAACAGTATGGAGATTTCTAAAGAAACTAAAAATAGACCTACCATTCAATCCAGCAATCCCACTACTGTGAATCTACCCAAAGGACAAGAAACCACCATATTGAAAAGACACCTGAACTTACATGTTTATCGCAGCACTATTCATAAAAGCAAAGTCATAGGATCAACCTGTTTCCATTAATAAATGATTGGAGAAGGTAAACATGGTAATATACACCATAAAGTATTATTCAGCCATAAAAAAAGATGAAGTCATGTCTTTTGCAGCACCATCTACCTATGGAGCTGGAGCAATATCCTAAGTGAAATAACCCAGAAACAGAAAATAATAATACCACGTGTTCTCACTTATAAGTGAGACATAAACAATGGGTGCACATGGTCATAATGATGGGAAGAATGGAAACGGAGGATTTTTAAAAGAAGAAGAATGGAAATAGGGTGAGGGCTGAAAAATTACATATTAACTATAATTTTTGCTATGTGGGTGATGGGTACACTAGAAGCCCAAACCTCACCATTACACAATATGTCCATGTAACAAACCTGCACATCCATCCTCAAACCTATAATTTAAAAAATTTAAAAATGAAATAAAAAATACAAA
Organism: Homo sapiens; assembly: GCF_000001405.40. NCBI lineage: Eukaryota > Metazoa > Chordata > Mammalia > Primates > Hominidae > Homo > Homo sapiens. The sequence continues at coordinate 146,839,157 of NC_000003.12, forward strand.
TGTCTATTGGAGTTGCAAGATCATAGTTAAAAATACCATATTTTCTATTAAAAGACAAACAAAAACTTCCTAGAAATTATCCGAACCCTAAATGTAACACAAACTATTTTTCCTGATTGGAAGATAATAGAAACCAAAGTGCATTCCACATTGTTTTTGCTTTCTTCTTCATTATAAGGTTATAATAAATATGTTTAATGTTATTAGACTCAGTTTCCAGTCATACTCTGAATAAAACATCTTTTCAAACTTTTTCCATCATGAAATATATCAACTGTGGTGACATACCCATTCTCATGAATGGTTAACATGATTTTCATAGAATAAGATGAGATTTAACTCTCTTGGTGCATATATGTGCCATGTTACTTTCAGCAAATCATTTCAGTAATACAGCATGACAGTAACTTTACAGTGACACTGTAGACACAGTATTCCAGGCACTTTATTTTCAGTTCATTTGTGGGATATTGGACTCATTTGGCAGTAGTACTGAAGTCACATTCATTTATAGGCACTTCAGGGGCATCCACACAACATCTTATAATTGCACTGCAATAGCCTGCCATTGCCATGTGTTTATCAATTTTCAGTTCTTAGAAGACTTTTCAATTATTATCTATAAGCTTGTTAAATTTACAGTCATTTGTCAACATTTAGAACAAGAAAAGATGAGTGCTAAAGACGGAAGAACATGATTATATTTTATTTGACTTATAGCTGGCTTTTTACCTGATGACAATTAATTCCAAAAAATAAACCCCAACTTTAATACATCGTGATGTCATCATTTTACTCATTCTAATATCAAAATCTCAAATTTTACATATATCTCATCAGAATCAACTGACAAGCTTTTCTATATTGAAGGCAATATTTCTGGGAAGTCCATAATTGTACTTGCAGAATTATTCACAGAAGCTTCCAGTAAGTCTAATTACTTCTTCAAATTGGCCTGAAAAGCATTTAGACAGTAGGGCTTTCCGTTGGCCCAGAAGTCATTTGATCTCTTTATGACTTCCCTAAGCTAGCAGCAGCCATTTCAGATTGGCTCTGACTGTGAAACAGGCAATGGTACATCTGTTTTTTGGTTTGTTTTTTAATGGGAAAAACACTTTCTAAGAAGGCAAACTTCATGTCCTTACTTATGCAAGAGTTATGTGTAACCCTTTTAAGATATGTAAATGGATGTACCTCTGGAAAAAAAGGTTCATCTGAATCTAATTCTGAAACTAGAGGAATGTACCCAGGTCATTTTATTATTTATTTACATATATGTGTATGTGTGTGTGTAAAATAAAAATACTACCAAGTTGGTTCAGGCTGACTTTAGTATTTTAAATATAAAATTTAACAAAATTTGGAAAGTGTTCAAATCTTACATTTTAAGTAGTGATAAGTAAAACTAAAACTGAAATGTGTCCTTTGTGACATGATCTTTGCCTTCTTGGAGCTTACAAAATATAGCCACCTAATTTTTTAAAATTAGCATATTAATACTTTAATATAAATATAAATGCAAATGCTTTTGCATTGCAGTTACTTGGAAAAGACTTCAAAAAATAATTTGCTATATACCTTAATCTCAGGCAAAATTAAGACTAACATACTCTTATGAAACTAAAAATGGTACGGTAATAAAATCATAGAGTCATTTACAAAAACTGTTTTAATACATTCAGTCTTTTCCCAGTCTCACCATTTGAGGAAATGTTAATTTATCGTACAATTTGTGATAAACACATAAAGAGGGATTTATTATCAACTGTAAAATCTATTGTAATTGAGATCTGATGTAATAATTTGGATAACTCTTCAAGTATTTGAAGCTATCACTGAACCAACTAGTAATAATAAATCAATTTAAATACTAAATATAATGTTTTTCCTTATCTATAAGTCACTGATATTATTAAAAAATTAGAAAATACAGAAAATTTTAGATCATTTATTTTAACATTACATGGAATTTGGACTCAATGCTGGATTTATTTATGTCATAACATTTGAAGTACCTATAGATATAGATACTTAATCTATATCTATAGATACTGAAATATTCATGACCCAGTTACTATATGTGTATTTGTGTATATATAGATACTTAAATATTCATGACCCAGCTACTATATGTGTATTTGTGTACATATAATAACACACACACAAAAGTGCTTGATTTTTAAAATATTTTAAAGTTTAAAAGAGACCTCAAAATATCTTATATAATGACAATAATAACTCAGTGAAAATCAACATGCAGATGTGTTAAGAAATTCATGTTTTCCTCTGATATTTCCATCTTGGAAATGAAAATATTTAATTCAATATCTGACAGGTGCATCATACATACAAACCTTCTATATTCCTGAAAACCACCTTTGACTTCTGTATATTCTCTATACTTCACATCTAAACAACTTCCAAATCATGCAAATATCATCTGATTTATTTAACAAATGTTTATTGAACATCCACTATATTACAGACACTCTATAGATGCTAAGACTACAATAATAAAAAACCAAAAGTTATAACTTCTTCCCTCATAGGACTTATAGAGGGCACAGGCATCAAAGCAGAAAAATACATAAATCTAATTACAACCTGTGTTATGTGCAATGAAGAAAGTTAAAATAATCTATAGTGAAGGGACCTTAACTCTCTGAAAAATTCAAACAGTTATCCATGAAGAAATACTATTTGAGCCCATCTGAGGAATGAGTTAAAATGAATCAGGAGCAGGGAATTGACTCATTCCAGGTCCCAAATCCCTGAGGACAAGGGAGGGAAAAGTCAATACTGGTCAGCACAGAGAGTGAAGAGGAGAATAGTATGAGATGAGGAAGAAGTTAGGTAAGAAGAACCTTATAGAGTAGGAGGTTTTTTTAAAGAGCACTCTAGCTGCTGTGGACAGAATAAATTAGTGGGAGACAAAAGTACACACAATAAGAACACTTAAGACACCACTGCTACAGTCCAGGCAGAGGCGACAATGACTTGGAGTAAGATAGGGCAGCGGAAATGCAGAAGAGGATAAAATTGAGAGATACTTAAAAGAAAGAATCAGAATGACTTAGTAGAGTTGGATGTAGGGAATGAGGAAAAAAGAGATATCAAGGATGATTTCTAGATTTCTGGGATGCATAATTAGATGGGTAGTGCTACCATTCATCGAGATACAGCAATGTAGAGTAGGACTCAGAAAAGGCAGGAGAAAATCTATTCCAGCTCTGAGTAAACTGAGTTTAAAGTTCTTTTGAGACATAGAAGTAGAAATGCCAAGGAAACAAGTATAGAGACACAATGATTGTAAGTGAAATAGGGGCTTAATTTTTTAATTTTTAACACCAATAATTCAAAGATAGTAATTGAAATCATGAATTTGAGTGGTAATCACTATGAGGACCTTAATAGATGGAAAACAAGGGTTTCTCAAAGTAATTTGTTGTGAATATTGGGAGTAAAATTAAAGGGAATAAAATATAAATAAAATATAAATGAAAAAATAAAATAAAGACACATCATAGTTTCCAGAGAATATTAAACAGAATCACCTGAAAATTGTTGATCTATGAAGAGACTTGAGTTAGGATGTCAAATATGACAATAATGTACATTTTTCCCAGAGGATAGAATACTACAAAATAATTTAAACATAGTACAAGTCTGTAGACAGAGAAACCTATTAGGAGCTATAAGAATTATAAAGGACTACTTATGTTGTTCTGCGAACAATACAGCCCCTTCCAGATTTATATTATTAGTACATGTATAACTGGAAAATACGTTGTAAAATACGGCTCAATTTAATCTCTCATCAATAAGCCAATCTCTTGCTCTCATATTCTGTCTACCATTAAGTATTAGCTTTACGGTGTAAAGAGGTAGGAGGATGTTACACAGAACAAATAAAAGAGATTCTTGCTCCTTTTGTACTGAAAAATCTTAAGAGTAGGAAGAATAAGAGACATAAGAATAGAAAGAGGGTGGGACAGGTAGATCCTGAACTTTTCTTTCTGTGTTTAGCCCAGAGAAAGGAAAGTGTATTAAAAAGTTGAGAGAAACAAAAAAAGTTGAAGAGTTTTGCCCAATGTAAGTTTTAAGATTTAAAAACATGTCCTTTAATGTTAGCTTCTTGTTACCTCTAATTCTTACTCCCAAATCCTGTCCCTGAATGAATTTGGAGAGCAACTCCATGGCAAGTGAACTTGGCACCTCAGTGGTTAAGAAATTAAATAACTAATGTTTAACTGTCTTAAACTGTCCTTCCTATGTTGTAAGGATGTGACTCAGAGGTTTTCAGTCTCCTTGGGATTGGGTGCACAGTATGGAGTTGGAGCTTTCCAAGGGCACTGGGGAGACTGAGGAGTGGACACCTTGTCAGGGTCTAGATGAAAGGTATGGTGAAGCATTGGAAAGGGCTTTTTCACCTATGCATGCTGAGAGAAGTTCGGAACCTGAAGATGCAGACCAGGCTCTGACCAAGCCTGCAGAGCTCAGATCACATGCTACACAGAAGCCAAAATAAGCAACCAGGTGAGCACTGAATTGGCAGTCCAACTGGACACATACTAGTGGGGAGAAGGCTAAAGCAGTCAGAAAAGACTGCAGTGATTAACAGCAACACAAGCAAAGCCTTTTCTTTTCACTAGTACAAAGTCCCTCTCATACATCAGATACCACCTTGGATAAGAAAAGGAGGAAAGTGAAAAGAGAAAATTGAAGAATTGAGCATTTTGCTCAAGTGACTATTCTCATTGCATTAAGCTAAGACTACTTTATTTTCTTTTTTTAATTTTTAATTTTTGTGAGTATGTAATAGCTGTATTTTTTCCCTATCTTGAGGTTCAAGAGGCTCAAGAGGAAGGTCACGTAACTTAAACACATAATAAAGAAGTTACCTTTTTTTAATACATCTGAGGATGATGCAAATCAATTTAAGCCATCATATAAAGTTCTTAAAACCTATATCTAACTTGCTTGTAAAAACCTTGAAACATTTTTAGTCCTTTTCATAACAGTGCGCACTTCATCATCATTCTTCAGTTTCAGTATTTCTGTTTTAAAATTTTATTAAATTCAGTTTGGACATTGAAACAGTAGAGCAGTATCATAAATTATACGGTATCATGTATTCCAATAAGATATGATACCATTAGATAAGAAGTGCAGTGCATAAACAAATTCATTTAATATATTATTTTCATTTATTTAAGCATTTTAATCTGGATTAAAATTAACAAATTTAAGAAGGAGTTCAAAACTAGGATGTAAAAAACTGGACCTATTGATGAAACATTGTTAATGTTTTAATCTTTATTAGTTTGAGATAAAAATATGAGTTTTAGATTTGTAACATCAGTAACTTGTAAAAATTCATATGTGTGTGGGCGTCTATCATCTATATGTATAAAACTTAAAACTATAGATAAAAAATAAACTTTATATAATCTTTACAGTATGCAATTTTTCTTCTGGGCATGATAGGCTTTATTTAGTCCATTTCATACACTATGATTTCAGAATACTATCAAAATATATGTATTAATGAACTAACTACTCTACATTATTAAACAGCTATATATGTGAACACAAAGGTTGGGATAAGAACCGAATATAGTCATTTTTAATAAAATAGTCCAATGCATCACCATATTCTATGTTCTAATTAGGTTCTATTGTGGATTTGAATTTTTTTAAAAGCTCAAAAATAAAGTATTTTTGAAGCTAATTAACTTCAGTAGTTTCCTAGAGACAAGATGTCTTATTCCTTCTGTTCAGCAGGTGTGTGCATGTCTTAGGCAAGAATAAGACAATTTAGCTGAGGTTGTATTTGATTAGATTGATTAAATATGCATTTTGCTCTGTAAAGACAAATTTTATGTATATTAGTTGGACAACTATTTCTAAAATCTTTGAGCTTTTCTTTATTTCATGCTGTCTGCTCATGTCTGCCATGGTTTTGAACAAAGAAACAAGCTATTTTCCTGAAAATGTTAATATATTTCCAAAAGGTGTTTTCTACCTCATCTATGATATTTTGTACCAATAGAGTCAATGCATTGCCCGTTTCACTGTGAGTAGAAAAAAAATTTCTATGTTCACTTTTTGGCTGAAAAATACCAATGTGAAGACTATATATTTGCATTTGTTTTTAATTAAGAAAAGAGTAAATTCTTTTGAAGTAATAATTGCAGGTAATGCTCAGAGCCAAACATTGTTTTAAGAGCTTCAAACGCAGTAATTCATTTAATAGTCATAGAAAATCTACAAGACAGTTATTATTATCTACATTTTATAGCTAAGGAAATTTGGACACAAAGAGTCTGAATTGCTTGGTCAAGGTACATAATTACAAAAGAGTCTAACTGAGATTTTTAATCCAAGCATTTAACCACTAATCCGTATAGTCTCGGTTGGTGTTCTATTACATTTAAGTACCTCCAGACACTCAGAAACCTCCCTCTATATTTTTACAAACTATGCCAACTCAGCTGCCAGTACTTGTCATTTACACTTCTTCAATATTTCTCTCATTAATAGCTATGCTGTATTTTGTGTTCTAAATTGTGCTGTCATCTCATTTTGCCTTTTTTTTTTTCATAACATCTTCATTGTCTTCCACTTCCAATCCCATTTATAAACATACATCAAAATAAACATTCTGGCATCCCTTAGTAATAGAAACACTCAAACTAGGAATCAAAGAAAACTTTCCCAGCCTGATAAATGACATTTACAAAAACAATAACTAGCATCATAATTAATGGTGAAAGACATGACTATGATGTTCTCCATTGCCACTTTTGTTCAATTCTTTACTAAAAATTTAGCCAGGACAATTAGGCAAGAAAATTAAATAAAAGATTTCCATATTGGAAAAAAATAAAGAAAAATATCTCTATTTGCAGATGACATAATATTTACATAAAATCCTGAGAAAAGCACTAAAAAAACTATTAGCTAATAAATGAGTTCAGCAAGGTTTCAAGATACAAGATCAATACACAAAAATTTCATTTCTATATACTTACAATGAATTATCTAAACACGACAATCAGACAATAATTCCATTGGCAATACTATCAAAAATATATAATACATAGGACAATTTTAACAAAAGAAATGGTAAACCTATCACCTGGAAACCACAAAACATTGTGTGTACAAAAAAATGAATTTTATACATCAAATTGTTGAATAATATGGAATCTGAGTTATATCTCCATAAACTTTATAGATAGATATATAGATAGATAACTTTTTTGAAGTACTCCCTTCTCAGAATCCTTCAAGTGCTCTCTCTAGTCTACAAATTGGAGACAAAATGCCTGTGCATAAACTAAAAGCTCTCGTGATCTGGCCTTTACCATTTTGTTCCTTTCTCACTCCATTAATGATGCATTACAACTAATTATACCTATTGCTCATATTGTCTCTATATTTTCTCTTTGTCCTGCCTTCTCTACTCAAGAGATACCTATCTCTCCATATTTCCGTGTAAATCTTTTCTAACTTTTAGTCCTCATCCCCAATGCCATCTCTTCTCTGAAAGAAATGATTCTCTTCTGCTGTACCCAACCTCTCTCACCTCTGAAACTTCATAACACTCTACCTCCGTACCTCTCTCATATCACTGTTCACTTTCTGTTTTCTAGCATGGTTGAGTCAACATTACAAAAATTCCTTGAGAGTGGGATTTCTATCTGATTTATTTATGTATTTATTTTATTTTTGAGACGGAGTCTCACTCTGTCGCCAGGCTGGAGTGCAGTGGGGCGATCTCGGTCAGTGGCGTTATCTTGGCTCACTGCAACCTCCGACTCCCTGGCTCAAGAGATTCTCCCGCCTCAGCCTCCCGAGTAGCTGGGATTACAGGCATGCACCACCATGCCTGGCTAATTTTTGTATTTTTAGTAGAGAGGGGGTTTCACCATGTTGGCCAGGATGGTCTCGATCTCCTGACCTCCTGATCTGCCTGCCTCAGCCTCCCAAAGTGCTGGGATTACAGGCATGAGCCACCATACCGAGCTTAATTTATTTATTTTTTTCACCTCCTACAAAACTAATAAAATAGCCTGCATGTAACTGGTGCTCAATAAACACTTTAAATGAATTAATTATTTATTCAAGAAAGAGAACATGAATAAATGGAAATAAATAAATAATCCAATGAATGAATGAATCTTATTTTTTCTCTAAGCTTTTTAACGAAGCGTCTGGGTTCTTATTTGCAAATAACAGAATCTGGTGTGATTAATTTAGACAAAAATTTTTTTAAAGTATATAATCTCACAGAATCTCTGAAAGGGCTAGAAAGCCCTAATTCTCGTTATCAGGAACAAAGCGAAAGCATACTGCAGATGCTGATGTAGAGAAAATGCCACCGGTACCTACCAGCTGATCAGCACTCATGAGATGCAAGACAGGATCACAAAACTCTGTTAATGTCACCCTTCAACTGAACACAAGTTTTAGCTAGAATCAACAGAATTAATATGTGTACCTTCCTAGAATCCATGTTGAATACCTCTCCTTTCAGAATCTATTGCTTGTGGAAAGTCAAATATGTTTAGCAAGGCATGAAACAACTGTAGTCATTCATCAGTGGTCACAGAGTCACATTTAAGCATAACTTTAAAGGTTTCACAGACTTTAGATTTATTATTCTGAATAAACATTACTCTCATGAAGATGAACTGGTGGTTGAAGGCCTGTAATTCCCCTCCATCTAGGTACACTGTCATTAGCCATAATGAAAATGTCTCTGGGTTTCCATGTAAGTGCACATTGTCCACCTTACAAGGTAATACTCCTTAGAAATGAGAATTCATTTTTTTCAATCAACAAATATTTATATTGTTCAGATATGTCCAATTTTGCCTTGACAGTTATGGTCCAACAAAGAATTTAGAGAAAAAATATCACAGGTAAAGTTGACAAGGACCAGAATAATTTTAATGAAAAGACAATTAAATTATTTTTAAAAATTCACTGAGGCCTTTCATTTCTTAGCATAATTATTTTTCATTATGGTTAAAGTAAGATTCTGGAGCCAGCAACATAAGTAAAAAAAATCCAGCAAAATTTATTGATGAAAAAATTAGGCTTTTTTTTTTTCAGTTGAGAAACTCTAGAAATGCTGTGTTTCTCCTCCCAGCACCCACAGCCATCTATCCTGTCCCACAATTCAACCTGCAAACAGATTAAGCAGCTGAGTTTGTGGAAAGTATGTTTGCTCTACGCTAAGAACCCTTGTGTGACACTATGGTGACACCCCTGACACTTGGAAGAGTACTACAGATGGTTCTTACATGTCAGCAGGAAAACCAGGCTGAGAATTCACAATTTGTTTGTAACCCCAATTTCTTCGTAGAAATCAGTAGTTGGTAAAAAAGCAGAAAAGATTTTAAACAACTTTTTTTTGGTCAATACTGCTCAAAAGATATAGGGTGTCCTATATTTCAAAAGACAATCTGCAACTTAAAAAACCTATAAATTGAAATGTTTTAACCTGATTGTTGATGTTTTAATTATGCTATAAAAATTTAAGATGAGCAGAAGTCCTGTACATTTTAAATAATGGATTTTTTCTTTTTAAAAAAGTATGGAAAGCATGAAAGTTCTTGAGTTGATACATCTTTTCTTGCAAATCTGTTTAAAAGTTTACAATTTTTTCTATATCTCTTTGCCTCATCTATTCATTATATAGTTACAGTATATAAACTTCCATGTCTTTATAGGCCCCAACATTCACTCAACCAGACCAAGCGCATACCAAGCTACCCTTGGGTTTCAATACTGACTTCGCAAACCAGTGGACTGAGAGAGATAACAATTCAAGTTAAAAATGAGTGCAGTAAATGTTAAGCAATATCACTTGCCAGTCATAAAATGAGGAGAAAAATAGTATGACAAGGATAACCCTCAGTAGAAGGAACCAAATTATCTGATTGTAGTATTATCAGTCTTAGAAAAAGTCCTGATTTCGTTTTCTTTTCATGAGTATCTGATGTAATTTTGTACAGTTACTTAAACAAGTCAGATGGATATTCTAGTCTTTTACTTAAAAGTGTAAAGACTGGAAAACTCCAAGAACCTGAAATACCAAAGCCCGAGAATGGTGGAACTGGCATTGTGGGTCAATCATTTAATTACTATTGAGCCTCAGTTTTCTTAACTCTAAAACAGAAAAACTATGAAATACATCATATGGTTGTTGTAGATACTAATTAAATGAGATACATTTAAAGGATCTAAGAGACTGCCTGGTCTATAGTAGGCAATAGATAATTGGGAGCTATAATTACTTACTTAAGCATAGCATGATTTACATATCAAATATATTTGTAATTATCATTATTTTGTCCGGTATAATAGTTTCCTATGAATAATTTATAGAAATAGCACAAGCATTATTTTCAGCACTGAACAGGTGGGAAAACTCAGACAAAATGAAGTTAAGTGATTTAACTAAGAAGAGCAGGAAAGACAGAGCTACAATTATTTTATCTTACAATTATACTCTTTCTATTAATTGGGTGGGTGGCATATGCGAAGGAAAAAAAGAGCCAAATTATAATTGACATAAGAGATAAATTAACAGGGTAAGAGAGGATAGGTTCATTTTTAATCCACAAATCTTTAAGACACCATTTTTCTTTATAAAATCATAGACTTCATGAGTATTAAAAGGTATTCATTTTTGGCTACCCATGATATCCCTTGTCCCCCATATCCAATCTTCATTTTTTTTGCAAATAATTTTTGGCTAATCATATAGCCACACAGAGCAATACTTTATATTCCAGCTTTGCTTGAAGTCAGGTGAAACCATGTGATAAAGTTCTGGCCAATGGAATATATCAGAAAAGGTGTGTGCAAATTTTGGCTATTCCTTTAAAATAAGGGAACTGGCATTCCATTTCCCTTATAATTCATCTGGCTGGCTAGAATGTAGCTATGACCACAGGAGTCGGAACAGCCTTCTTGGACCATAAGATGGAAGTTGTCTGTTGAGGATAGTAGAGCAACTAGAGAGAACTTAAGTCTTTGAAAACTTTGATGATTAGAAGCCACTACATCAGCTTGGAATTGTATATGAAAGAAAAATAAACTTCTATCTCATTTAAAGACAGAATTATATTTTAATGAAGGTCAGCTCATTTATTCTACTGTTGCTACTATCCCTACCATTATTATATGGGCACCCTTTATCACAGAATCAAAGAAAGCTATCAGACAGGTTCTCAGAAAACAACTAGATCAGCATCTTGCCACCCCCATCACATATTTGTCAACTCAGGCAACAAACTCTCAAATGCTAGGATTTTAAATACATCTCAAAAATTGCAATTTAATACAATTTCTCCTGAATCATGCCTAGGTTTTGGTTTTTGCTTTACTTCTCCATTCAGTAGTAAAATAAAAAAGAATATATCAATAATCATAACATAATGTTATATCTATGTTACTTATTCTAGTAATTTAACTTTTAAATAAAGAATATAAATATTCATAAAAATTATTAATTTATAAAGTGAGGTTTAAGAACCACATGTATTCTATGATGCAGTTTTGGCTTGAAAATATACATTTGTATATTTGTGCATATTTGTATGAAGTGTCTATGTCTATTCGATGAGAAATTATGAAAGTTTACACAGCAACTTCTCAGTAATGCCCTTTGGGAGAGCAATTAAAGATAACAAGTAAAGAAATTTGGCTTTTTTATTATATACTTGTGTATTAATTGAACTTTCCAATGAGCAATTATAGTTTTTGTTACCTATTTTCAAAAATTTGCTTTAACAATTGTATATGATCCCATCAAAAACAGCCATAAACTATTCAAAATACAAGAACATAAATACAACAAAATGAATTTTTATTATTTCAATATATTTTATCTTATCTTTTATCTAGTTAACATAAACTATATGGAAAAAAAAACTTCTCTATACAGAGCACTAAAGCAATAGTGAGTAACCCAGCAGGAACTTCTCCATATTCAAGAGACTAAGAGTAAAAGCAGTGCAGGTAATTGCCAAGGTCTACTGACAAATACTAAGTCAGGGTATATACAGGAACTGTCTTCCTCATTGTAAACAGCCCAAAATAGGGTGTGTGTGCTAAAAAAAAAAGACAATGAAGATGAAGGAAAAGGAGAAAGGAGGAGGAGGAGAAAGAGAAGGAAAAAAGAAGAGGAAGAAGAAGGAGGAGAAGGACAAGAGAAAAAGAAAAAGACAGAAGAGGGAGAAGAGGAAAAATATTAGGACTGAAGAAAAAAATATAATCAGATTATTATTAATCTCAAATGTAACGATTATTTCTGAATAAAAAGATAAATCTAACATTTTCATTAGTCAATGCCTCTACTATTCAATTACTGAAAAAAATAACTAAGTATGTTCTTGATATAATTAAAGATTTCATCAACCACGAGCAAACTTCTAAAAAATGTGGAACTTTTATAATAAAATAACATATTAAAGTAGAGCTTCAATATATACAGTAATTTTAATTTTTTTAAAGAAAATCTTCCAAGTACCAAAGCAATCTACTTTGCTTTGCCTGTTCTCGTTATCTGTCAATGTTTTGCCTGAATTAAACAAATCATGAATAAAATTAGTAAAACCTCAAATACAAAAGATACATAATAAAGAGCTAAAGAGTTAGTCTATAAATACCATAGTTTGTATGTTCATTGAAGGTAGTAAATATGACTCATCTTCTCGTTAAATTGACCATAGAGGATTGTGAAAAAATTAATACTTGATGTGTTATTCATAAAATAAATAAATGTTTATATTTTGAAAGTAAATAAAGAGCAACTTTTTTTGTTTTAATCAGTATAGATTGGAAATAAAATGTAAATGACAAGTGATATTTATAATCAAAACCCTAATATCTAGATATTGTCTTTTTGAACAAGGTTGTGGGAGGTGAATGCAGAGCTAGAGGACACCTAAAAATAAAAGACAGAGATGTAATACGTTTTCCTTAATAAATAAATACTGTGACAGAATAGGGTGAGCTTCTGCTTTGATATGTTAACTTTTTTCCATTTAAATTTCAGTTCTGTTAAATCATGCAGGGAACAAAGATAAAGTTGGGATTTAATTTAGGGGTAGGTTGGAGAGGAAGAAGCAAAGACAGGAAAACACCAGTAGAAAACGCTACAGAAACTTAAACAGTAAGAGAGCTAAATTAAAGTGATTAAAATTATTAACTTCCAATGCAACCTGATGATGTAAAATCTGTTGTTTCAAGATTGAAACTATAAATCTAAAACTCCTGAAGCAATGGTTAGTTAAAATAAAAAAAAATGAATAGTTTCTACCACACAATAAAATTATTATTATTATTATTATTTTAAGACGGGGTCTCGCTCTCTCACCAGGCTGGAGTGCAGTGGTGCAATCTCTGCTCACTGCAACCTCTGCCTCCCGGTTTCAAGCGATTGTCTTGCCCCAGTCTCCCGAGTAGCTGTGACTATAGGAGCGTGCCACCACACCCCGCTAATTTTTTGTATTTTTAGTACAGACGGAGTTTCACCGTGTTAGGCAGGATGGTCTCGATCTCCTGACCTCGTGATCCGCCTGCCTCGGCCTCCCAAAGTGCTGGGATTACAGGTGTGAGCCATCGTGCCCAGCCTAAAATTACTTTCTAAATAGGTAACTGAGCTATAGAAGAAAAACCAAGGTTTAATTCTAAATAAGGGACAATTAAATGAAAATTACAATGCAAGTCTAGTTACAAAATTCTTTCTTACTATATTTCAATTGAGTAATATAATTGATTTTTAAATAACATGGTTTTAAAAATTTGTTTCTTAGAAGAAAAAGAGAAGAAGAAAAACAAGGAGGAACAAAAATAAATAATGAAGAAGCAGCCATTGCTCAGCTATTTTTCTATTGGCTTTAAATGAAAAGAGAACTGCTTTGACGTGACCATTACAAGGTACCAACAACATCCGGCAGCAATTATCTTGTATTACAGTCCTAACATACCTGGATAGACTAGCCAATCTTTATGCCATTTTAGTGTTTCGTTTTTAATAAAAATGTCCATAAATGTGTATGCATTTGCATGTCTTATATAGATAGGAAACAGAATATTTGATTACTTTATCAAGAGCTTGTTCAGAAGGTTTGTACAATGAAGATAATAGATGTTCTATACAAAAGAAAATACAATGAAGAGCAGAAATATTACAAAATGTGCAATAGTAAAATGGATAAAGTAATTAGATAATAAAATCCTAGTTTGAAATATAGTCTAAGTTCTAAAGTTGTTTTTTTCATTTTTTAATACATATTAGTCTTTTATGGAAGACAATCTTCTTAATCATCTAAAATTATCACAGGATTTTGATAGTTCTTATATATCATCATTCTTTATCAATTATGTCCTTCATAGTATTCTCAAAAGTATAAATAATTTAGGGACATAAAGAAATGTCCACCTCATAATGACTCCTATTAGATCCACATATACTCATTCATCCCCCAACTACTTATTTATTACTTATATATTGAGCACCTACTGTTACTCAGGCACTATTTATTAAAGTTCTAGGCATAAAATGGTGAACAAGATAAGGATAATCTTTGATTCCGCATATTTTCTGTACGCTCAGGAAACAGACAATGAACAAGCAGGCTAATGAAAAAAATAGTTTCAGATTGTCTTAAGCACTATGTGGGAAATAACCAAGGTGCTGTGCTAGAAGCAAGCTGTTGGAGGGAGTGGGAAGTAATTTTCAAAATCTTTCAACAAGAAGCCTAAGAAATTCCTCACTGGGAGATGACTTTTCAGCCTAGACCTAAAGGATGAGAAGAAACTGGATGTGAAAAAAAGTCAAAAAAATAGATGAGAAAAAAGATCCTGAAGGGTGAAGCAGCTTCCTTGATTTAATATGTATTTTTAGGGTGCAATGAACTGGGGGAGAGGGGTTGAGGTGAGTTTGGAAGATGGAGGAGGAGGGGAGGCCAGACCCTTCAAGTTGTGGTAGAAAGTTTGTATTTTATTCTACGTGAAAAGGAAATGCTTTTGAAGAGTTTTAAGCAACTTATTGACATAGACCAATTTAGGTCTACAGAAAAGTTAAGTATTGTAATGAGAAAAATATTTGTGGAATAGTAAACCAATATATTATTTGCCCTAATTAAACACTACTTTTTAGAAGCCTGAGCTTGCTCTATCAAGAACCTAGCCCATCTGACTCAAATTGTAGATATTTAACATTACCCAAAGTGCAGAGAAGGCACATAAAATAATAATTGAAGAGGAGTTTTGGGTAGACAGAGAGGAAAGGTAATGAAAAATGTTTATGGTCCAGTGAGGTCTGGGAAGAAAGTCACCAAAGTGGAGAAAAAAGCAAGGAGTAAAACATAGAGAGCACAGCTTTCACCTGCTCTTCTGAAATCCCAGAGTCAGAGGTGTGGAGCTAATTGAAGGGAAAGGTTTTTGCCCACCTCTGTTTTGATCTCTGAAAAGATAGCTTCATTGTGTGGTGTTTGCGTCAACATAGGTCAGCCATGGCACAGAAAAATAAAATGACGATATGGCATTTTTAAGCAGAGAGAGAATGTTGAGAGAAGGTTCAGAGCTGCCCTTGTGAACGGGGACAAGGACGGGACTCTGAAGTGCCCACATGTCCCCTGGAAGAGATGGAAGAGAGCTGAGCCCAGAGCTGGGAAGCATTCCTGGGATCACCCTGACAAGAGACAAGGCAGTCACAGTGCTGAAGCCACAGCATGAACAGCCTTGTTGGGCATCTAATGGAGGGTGATTTAGAAAATAAAAGCAGAGCACAACCAACTCCTGAAGTATCCAATAGAACAAGTCAAAAATGTTTGCTGCAGCTCAGAACATAGCATAAGAATCTCAGGAATGAACCAGATGTCGGCCGGGCACAGTGGCTCACACCTGTAATCCTAGCACTTTGGGAGGCTGAGGCGGGTAGATCACCTGAGGTCAGGAGTTCAAGAGGAGCCTGACCAACGTGGTGAAACCCGGTCTCCACTAAAAATACAAAAATTAGCCGGGTGTGGTGGCGCACGCCTGTAATCCCAGCTACTGAGGCAAAGGAATCACTTGAACCCAGAAGGTGGAGGTTGCAGTGAGCCAATATCATGCCACTGCACTCCAGCGTGGGTGACAGAGTGAGACTCTCTCTCCAAAAATAAGTAAATAAATAAATAAACTGGACCTCCTACAGCAAAGATTGGGAGGATCCAGGGGCCCAAAGGACACCCCAGGAGTCCCCCATCTCTTCTCCACTTCTGCAAGGGCAAGTGGTCCCCTTGTGTCCCCTCCCCACATTCTCATTTGCCACTTTGGGACTTACAAGTGGCAATCTGTAAAACAAATCCGTTTCCTGAAAAAAAAAAAAAATTAAACCAGAGTGTAAAATACTATTAATTAACCAGTTAAAATCTCCACTATAAATTCCTTCTCTGTTTGTCAGGGTCAGGGCTTATGAGGAAGATTAGACTTGTAAGAGACAACCAAGAACCTTCAATTACTTGTACATCCGAGTTGTTCTAAATGTAAATTTGTAGCACTAGCACGACACTTAGACTTAATTTAATTCCATCTATTGCAGTTCATTGACTGTTCATATGTAATTAGTACACATTTAAAAATACATGCTTAAGATATGGGTACCGCTATTAATGAAGTGATCTGAAATGAAAAGTATTCCGAACCAGAGTAAGAAATCATATGTTCTGTGGCTGATGCTGTCACTGCTGCCAACTGGCCCTATAACCTAGGGCAAGTCATTTAATTTCTCTGGGCATTAATTTTCTCTGGAAAATGAGGAGACTGGACTAAATCATTGTTAAGGTCAATTTTGATTTCTGATGTCTGTCATGTGAGTGCTAAAATAAGGCCTGCTGAGATGATGGTGGTTAGATTTGCATTAATCAAGAAACAATGATAATAAGTGTAGAACCACTTAGTGAGTCCAGGCCATTTGCCTGGCACAAAGTAAGTCATTTTATGTAGGTTATTTCTAATCATCTAAACAAACCCATGAGGAAATGGAAGTTCAGAGAAGCTGTAATTTGCTCCATGCTACACAGTTGGTAAGTGCTATAGCCAGGCTTCTAACTCATGTTTTCGCTAAAGTTTCTAAATTATATACAATAGTACTTATTATCCATCTTTTTACAGTGTTTGATTTCAAGATACCAGCTTGCAGGCATTATTAAAATCCTATATATCCTTCAAGCTCCTCATTCTCTATGAAGTTATTTTTATAGCGTTGAGGCAAAGTAAACTATATCCTGAGCTCATGAAGAACTCTGATCATTCATTTAGCACTTTTTTCAAAGCTAACACATTTTTCTAATCTCTTCTAACTATCTCCTGTGTACTCCCAACAAAACTATAAATGCTCTGAAGGAATGCCAAGAAATGCTTAGGGGGGATGTAGCATCAACAGCGGTGGAACTCAAGTGAAGAGAGTAAGGTGCCTACAGTCCAAACTTCAAGGGGTATCACAGTCAGGATCACACCACTGTGTAGGGTCACCTCAGCGCATTCCTGGTTCTGTACAGCCCATAGCAGCTGGTGGAAAGCTAGTTCACTGGGATGATCTGAAGTTCAACAACTTTAGTTCTCAGCTATGATGCCTACTGATTTGGCTGCCAGTGAAATCCAACATAGTGCCTGAAAAATCAACCTGGTGAAAACAAAACTGAAGTTCAGAAGGCAGAGTAGAGGTAAGCCAGAGTAGAAATGCCTTCCTTGGTAGCATATTTGTTTTTTGTTTTGTTTTGTTTTGAGACGGAGTCTCTCTCTCTCGCCAGGCTGGAGTGCAGTGGCGCAATCTTGGCTCACTGCAACTTCCACCTCTCGGGTTCAAGCGATTCTCCTGCCTCAGCTTCCCAAGTAGCTGGGATTACAAGCACGTGCCACCACGCCCAGCTAATTTTTGTATTTTTAGTGGAGACCGGGTTTCACCATGTTGGCCAAGATGGTCTCGATCTCCTGACCTGGTGATCCGCCCGCCTTGGCCTCCCAAAGTGCTGGGATTACAGGCATGAGCCATCGCACCCGGCCTGGTAGCATATTTTTATAGTATAATGGGTCACCAAAGAGCTGAAACAAGAAATGAGAAGATACATTTTTTTTCAGTTATTCCCTGGAGCTAAAAGACCCAGTGATACAATGTTGTAAATGGAAAGATTTTGGAAGCAACTCCTGTAGATTGACCTATGTGTGTTAATGCCATAACAAAAAATCATAGACTGGGTGACTTAAAAAACAGAAATTTATTTTCTCATAGTTCTGAAGGCTGGAAGTCCAGGTCAAGGTGTCTTCAAGTTTGATTTCTTCTGAGACCTCTGTCCTTGGCTTTCAGATGGCGGCCCACTCTGTGTGTTTACATGGTCTTTTCTCTGTGCTCATGCACCCCTGGTGTCCCTTTGAGGGTCAGAATGTCCTCTTCATATAAGGACACCAGTCAGAGTGGATTAAGGCCCAATTTAATTGTTTATTTTAATCACCTTTTTAAAGGCCTTATCTACAAATATAGTCATATTCTGAGGTAATGACATTAGGGGTTTAATATGAATGAGTGGGGGCCTTGGGAATTCAGTCCATAATACCATGAATCTAGAGAATTATAAGCTGTCACATAGAGAGATATACTCATGGTGGCTAGCAGAATGCCATGCATGTTAATAAATAAGTATTATTTATTTATTCATGTTTTAAGATTCAACTCTGACAATATCTAGGTAAACAATAAATTTTTGTTGAATCAATATGATTGATTCAATGAATAAATTTGTTTACTATCTTGAGTGGTCACCATCACACTATGTGAATAACACAACTTAAGGGTTAGAGACTTAGCTGAGATACAAGTTAATATATTACTCCCATCTTTCTTATTTAAAAGTTAGTATTTTAATTAAACAATTGAACTTAAGCAATGTTACAAGTTAAGCAGATAAATCTTATTTAGCAAGATCTTTCTTTAGTAAATATCTAGAATTGAATATTTTTCTCGCTTTTTCTTCTTTATTAGCTTTAATCAGACCTAATTCATATACTTAAAAATGGAGGACTGAATATTTACTACAATTAAATCCTATACTGATACTAAATCACTTTTGGACTGACCCTCTGGTTTCAGATTATCATAAAGTAAAACATATTTTATTTAGTTCAGCTGCTGAAAAGGTTCTGCATTATGAGTACTTATTTTAAGTATTTACTGAAAGCATTAGGATAATAATGGATAGTCTTCAATTTCTATTTATTCATTGTATTTTTAGCATTACACATCCTCTCATCAGCCAAAATATCTGGGCCTTTCCCCTTTGCTCCTTGGCTCTAAGATCCCCTGATTCCCTTTTTTAATATGGCAATAAAAGGAAAAAAGAAAACTAATTTTGTAGATTTTCTTCTTTTACAGATTACAACTTTTTTGTCTAGATTGTTTAATTAGATGGTATTTTCCCACTTGGCTTTAAAAATAAAATAGCCCATCACTCATCAATTACTATGAACAAAAATCATTGTTTAAACATGAAATTTAAATTGAATAGTTTACCCTTAGCTACAGGCCAGCAACAGGTGAGGTCACAGTGTAAACGAAGGTCCTCAAATATATGCTTTTGGAAAAGTATGTATTCTTATTTATTAAATTTATCTTTGCATTGTCTTTTTACTTGAAATATTCGAGCCGCATTGTAAATTATGAGATTAAATAAGTATATTTTTATATCAAATAGAATTTCTTACCGAGTTTTTATAAGATTAATTTATAGTAGCACTTAGCAAATAGAGCTTGTGTCAAGTTTAAAAGACCACAAAAGACATAAACTTGAGTAGAAATAATCTAATCACTAATTTTACAGGTGAAAAATTAAAGGCCAGATAGTAAAGCTAAAATCGTAAACAGAGGAATTATCTTGAAGTGGCTTTCATTTTTAGGTTCAGAAATTATTTGAGAAATGTGTTTTGGACAGAATCTTTGAGAAACAAGTAGGTGTGATCGCAGGTAATCATGCATAAACCAAAAGCATCAATAATTAATTCAATAGAAGTGAGAATTGAGGGACTAGTAGCAGGTTTTGCAGCAAATGTGAGTTTGAGGTTTGTGTGTTAGAAGATGGGGAGTCAGTTGAGAACTGATATACAGAAAGTTCAATGTGACAATTACATAGTTTGAGACAATGCTGGTTGACAAAATGGACTAATAATAGAAGAGTGGACCTAAAAACACCTGTAGGAAAAGGACATTCTTTGATCCATTTGTAAACTAACTTGGTTTTAGAGAAAGACTACAGTAATGCACATGAAGAGAAGAAAGTGAGTCCACACAATGTAGTAAAGAAAAATACAACAGGATTGTGTCATATATTCATATATATGTTACAAGTTCTAATAACAATTTCTTGACACTAAAATTAATCATGTTGAATTTTGTTAAAGAAAAATAAATTATTATAAAGAATGTAGGAAAAAGGCCATCAAAAAGGACAAAGATGGTTAAAAATTGAAAACATCCCAAATTTGGTAATATTATTTGTGTGGCATAAATGAACTAAGTCAAGTCCCCTTTCATAATAATGCCTTGGGAAATACTTCACAGAAGTGGTTTAAAATTAATAAAAGGTGATGGTCTTAAAAAAAAGAAAAAACCTAGTATGTGTTTAATTAGACTATGTAAAAAGACTTTCACCTTTTGTACTTTCAGTAGCTAGCCAGTCTCACAGACAGTCTTATGTTTTAGACCTCAGAGCTGGTCTACATGACAGCACATATTTGCAGTGATGAAGGCTAGGGGGGAAAATCTCTTGGCTTTCACATATCTTTGTACCAGAGTCATTTGCCAACATAGAAAGTCCATTTTTTTATTCCCAGTGGCGTTTACGGTAAAGGAGAAGCTTATTGTTTCATAGTATGCGTTTGCATGTTGTTTGGATGCTAAGCATTCCACCTCAGAGAACCTTGAGATGGTGGGAAAGCTCAGAATCTAGTCACTTGAAGTAGGAAAACAACTCTGATGCAGTGCCCCTCTTCTTTGCGTTTTCCTCAACTGATCAGACACCTACGGTGTTTTCAACTCCAGAAATGTGAACACCAAAGCAAAGCTAAAACATCAGCAGGGCTAAGGATATGCCTAGTTTTAGTCTGTTCTTGTGCATACAATCATTGACTGTATAACGCTTTCTAAAAAAGGAATATATCACAATTAAAGGCTGAGAAACTTCGTGGAAAAAAGAACTATCGTAATTGTGGTTAGGGAAATGACTTCTTTGCATTTTCTAAGTAACTGGTCCCAGGTCATGAGATTTTACGGCTTACCTAAGTAAAAATATTCTGCATTTGTTACCTTGTCCTTTTTATTTTTTAGTAGAAATATTAATTTGTAGGAATTAGTGTCAAAATTCCAAGAATTATTTGATAATACACTGTAGTTGGTTGAATTACATTTCCTAAAAAACCTGTGTTGAAATTATAAACCTGGATACATGTGACTTTAACCTTATTTGGAAATAGAAACTTTTAAGATATAATCAAGTCAAGGTAACGGCATACTAGATTAGGTTAGGCCCCAAATTCAATGACTTGTTATCTTTATCGAGAAAGAGAGATTTGGAGACACAGAGACACACAGAGGGAAGACAGCCATGTGAAAACAGAGGCAGATGCTGGAGTGATATAGCCACAAGCTGATGAATGCCAAGGATTACTGGAAACCACCAGAAGCTAGGAAGGGCATGGAAGATTTCACCTCTAGAAACTTCAGAAGGAGCATAACCCTGGCAACACCTTGATTTCAGACTTTTAGTTTCCAGATGATGAAAAAATTTATTTCTGCTTTTTAAAGCCATCCAAAATGTGATGATTGTTTATAGTAGCCCTAGTAACCTAATACACTCTCGGAACTATAATTCTCCCCTGATTATAAATTGTGTACCCATTGTTATCTTTTTAAAAATGTTCTCATTGCTAATAAAAATATATAATTTCAACTTTTGTGTATAGAAGGTGTTGATATGTCTTTTAAAACTTCTAGTAATCTTAAGGATTTCTGTATAGAATATGGAAATTTAAAGAAAAAAAATTTAGTCTTCTTAATGAAATCAATGTTGATTGGGTGAAGACAAACATCTTCATTCTCCCCTTCAGTCTGGCCTCTTGGCCTCTTCCTGTAAGCATCCAAGAGTAAATCATATAGCTTGTTACCGTACAGTGAATTTCAGAGGGAGATGATGATGATGATGATGGTGATGATGATGATGGTGATGACGATGATGGTGATGATGATGATGATGATGGTGATGATGACGGTGATGATGATGATGATGATGATGGTGATGATGATGATGGTGATTACTAGAAACAGGAAAATTCATATCTTAAATTTTTTGTTTGATTGTAATTTGTTAACATTTACTGGTATGTATCATGTATATTATACATCCACACACACAAACCCCTTTGAATAAACAGTATTATGTTTCCCTTTACCTTTGTCTTAGCTTGAGTTCCCCAGCACACAAGCCTGAAATAAAAGAGTATGTGTGGAGTACTTTAAAGGAGTATATGAGACACAAGAGAAGCAATACATGGAAGGAAGAAGATTTACTATAACATTTTATCAATTAGACCAGTTTGATAGGAAGTTTGGGCAATTCTAGAGTTAATAATTTATGATAAGGAAGCTCCTCTACATCTTCAACAATCTCAATTAATAACCTTCAACCTTTCTGCCTGAAATAACCTAAGCTCTCCATAATGGTCACTACTTCTCTTGCAGCCCACCCAAGCAGAGGCCACTTAATCTCTCACAATCCGTATGTTATAAGGCCTGAGTGAGGTCAGGATTCTTGTTCCTTCCTTTCTAATATCATATTCAAGCACACTCTCCTCAATTTATGGACCCTTCCCTTTGACTTTCACCATCTTCCTGTCCATTCCAATTCCTGCCAATGATTACAGTGAATTCAACATTCACACAAAGGGCTCACCAAACACTACCAGTTCCTGAACTTTCTAGTTTCCAAAGACCTTCCCCTTAACTTGAAACTTGAGTTCAGCTATTTTCTTTCACTGTTTTCTCTTAACCATTTTGTTTCTTGTGATAGGGTCTCACTGTGTTGCCCAGGCTGGAGTGCAGTGGCATGATCATAGCTCACTGCAACCCTGAACTTCTGGGCTCAAATGAGGCTCCCACCTCAGCCTTTCAAGTGGCTGGAACTACAGGTGCATGCTACCATGCCAAGCTTAATATTTATTTATTTATTTATTTATTTATTTATTTATTTATTTATTGTAGAGATTAGGTCTTGCTATGTTGCCCAGGCTAGTCTCAAACTCCTATCCTCAAGCAATCCTTCTGCCTTGGCCTCCCAAAGTGCTGGGATTACAGGGTCTTGCTATGTTGCCCAGGCAAGTCTCAAACTCCTAGCCACAAGCAATCCTCCTGCCTTGGCCTTCCTAAGTGATGGGATTACAGGAATAAGCCAATATGACTGGGGCTCTTAACCTTTTATTTTACCAATATTTAAACAACCTTGCCTCTATACCTCACTTGTGGAAGCCTAAATGTGGATGACCTCATTCATCCCCTGTCCAAGCTGTTTCCTAGAAAGCTGACTGTCATGTTTGAGCTGCATTATGAACAGGCCCATGTGGCAATAAACTAGAGGCAGCCTTTAACTAATAGCCAGTTAGGAACTGAGGCTCTTAGCCCAACAGCCATGAAGAACTAAATCCTGCCAACAGCCATGTGAGCAAGCTTGGAAGCAGCTCTTTCCCCACATGAGTTTTAAAATGACTGAAATCCTGGCTAACACCTTGATTGCAATCTTGTGAGAAGCCCTGAGCCAGACATACCCAGATAAATGTGCCCAGATTCCTGACCCACAGGAACTGTGAAGTAACAAATGGTGTTTTTTAAGCCACTAAGTTTTGGTGTAATTTGTTACTCAGTGATAGATAACAAACAAAGTATCTCTGCCCCCTCAGCAAAGTCATCTGTCCCTCTGGCAACTGGAGTGTATGCTAGAAACTAATGTTTTGTGATTAAGAAATTGGTAACTTGGAAGCAATGGTAGACCCTCTAAGAAAGTCGTCATAATAAAGACAGAAAGTAGCTGAAGGGAAGTCATGTATACCCCATGACACACCCTGTAAATGCATCTAAATTTCTACCTTCCCCATAAAGTATTTGTTGTTGTCATTGCCTACTTAAAAGTCAGCTCTTAAGGACTTGGTGGTCTAGTCAAATAGTACTTTATGAGTAGAATTGCTCTAATGCATTATATGAGCTCTTTCTGAGTTATCTGAGCAATTTGGTAATACTTACTTCTTCCTATTCTCATCCTTCCCCTGCTCAGTTTAATTTAATAACATATTCATCTCATTATCCTGCTCCCACCAATAGGATGTATCATATCTCAAATACTTCTTTGCCACATTTTGGTTTTCTGCTATTGCTTACATGTACTATGATAATGATACTAACAAAGGACAGTGGAAGGGCATAACTTTATGCAGGAGCAGATCACTATTATTATCCTTTGTTTCTCCATGCCCAGAGTTCACTGTTTCCATTTAGACAATGTAAATGTTTTGATTTCTCTCTTCTAACTTTTTCCTAGGATTGGCTTGCACTGTATTTTAAGGGCTTATATTTGGAATCTCTCTTTAAAATATTATAGTTCAACCAATTTATATATCAGTCTATTGATCTCATAGCATAATTACAGCATAGCATACGTATGGCACTAGTTCAATCAGTGACATCCATAAAACATTGATATAGTATAGGTATTAATAGCATGAATGAGTTACTCTGTCTCTCAGTGTCTCAGTTTACTGCTATGTCAAATGGGGTTGATAATCATTTACTTCATACAGAGATTGAGAGGATTAAATGAGTTAAATACTTAAATCACTTAGAACAGTGACTAGCACATAGAAAGGCATTAAGTGTTTGCTGCATGTACCAAATATAAACTTTCCACAAATAGGATTATTAAATTTTATAAACAATTTCTATATTTCTAAATACATTATCTCACCTGATGATGACAAAAAACCATTGAGTAAGAAATGGCAAAGGTTATTGTATTCATTTTACAGATAAAGACACACAGGTTAAAAAATAAATAAATACCAACATCAAAACTCCTCAGTGTCAGGGCCAACATATGAATCTAGATTTTCTTCTGGAAACTTTTCTGAAGCTTCTTCTGCCTGCTTTAGAGAGGTCAAGAGGTGCCAACATATGATCTTATTCATGAGGACTCAATGAGTCGTGATTTTCCTACCCTCCACCAGCACATAGCCAGCTCAGTCTTTCCACTGGGGAACATGGTGGGGTGTGTGTGTGTGTGTGTGTGTGTGTGTGTGTGTGTGTGTGTGTGTTCATTATGGGAATTCAACAAAGAGTTGATGTGAATATTTGTGAAGACAGAAAAAATTGCCATGAGATTTGGAATTCCCTTTGGGCAATCATCATATTGTAGCTCCTTAAGCATGGAATGATGTACATCCATTTCCTGGTGGAGGTTGTGGGGTATTTTTTTTTTCCAATATCAGACAGTAACATAGTAATTTGTGGCCAATACTCAGGGATGTTGGAATAAAGATGCTCAGGACAACACTTATCAGGCTTTCTTGAAAGTGTAGTTTTGTTTTATGTTTGTTTTAAGAGAAGAAAATTTCCAGTCTCACCATTTGATAGAGTAAAATAAAACCCATAAAATAAAGCACAATGTACATTTCCTATTTTTACAGCACTTGAGTGGTGTTTCTGGTTTGAACATAAGCTAATGCATTGTTTTAGCTGTACAAAAATGCAATAACACAAAAGAAAGAGCTTGTACTAATGGAAGTGAGTAAGCCACGTATTAATCAGTCCACCTAGGGACTTAAATCCCTTTGTTCTC
This sequence comes from Homo sapiens, assembly GCF_000001405.40. Classification (NCBI taxonomy): domain Eukaryota; kingdom Metazoa; phylum Chordata; class Mammalia; order Primates; family Hominidae; genus Homo; species Homo sapiens. The sequence continues at coordinate 146,865,091 of NC_000003.12, forward strand.
ACTCCCACTAAGTAAGTGCAGCATTGCCAAGAGTCATAGGTATAACAGTTATAAAATATCAGAATACGATAATTTTTTAAAATATCCAAAACCTGTTTTTAATGTCTGGATTTAATGTATTTTATATTTTACTTTTTTATTTTTTATAGCAAGTCATTGTCAGCAGAGAGCTATCAGGTCGTAGTGTTTTATCTGTAACACCGGTGAAAGCTCCGCCTCCTACTTCTGGCTTGTGAGAGTTTCTTTCCTTTGGGGTGGTGGCTGGTGCCAGAATGAGAGGAAATATCATGCCCCCCGAGAGTCAAGAGCAGCTGGTGCAGTTGTCCTGGTGTTTATGGGATATTATAGGCATAAAGGCACATTTGGAACTGGTTGAGGAAAGAACTTAATGCTTCTTTCTTTTATCTTTATAATCCACTTTCCTAGCAAGGATTATCCTGCCGTTCATACTAAATTTAGCAAATGCAGATTAAAGAAAAAAAAAAGCTATGTTGCCACAAGGTGCTGTGAGAATGCAATGCATGTGTTAGATAGATAAACCGACTTTTATCAAATGAAACAATAAAGACACAAAGAAACTTGTTCAAACTGGTTTTTTTTTTCTTTGAACAATGAAAGACATTTTTGTAAGAATTAACCAGAGGGAGTTGTACATCTGGAAAGCGGTGAACACATAGCTTCTATTTGGGAGAAAACTAACATTATTGCCAAAAAATTATCCATCTGTAGTATGATCCAAATTTGTCAAGCTAGGAGTGTCATAGACAGAAATTTGCTACCAGAAATTTGCATTAGATAGTATTTTCACTATTTATTTTTGATGACATCTTTTTTTGTTTGGGCAGAATTTTTATGGTGTGTATTTAGTGAAGAGCTACAGAACCTTAATAAAATAAAATAGTAAAGCATCAGCATGGCAAAACTAGGGTCACAATGGTGACTTTTAAAAAATTTCCCTACAGAAATCAGGTCTCAGGCACTTTTTGCAAGTCACAGAAATTATTCCTTAGTGTTGGGTTGTCGGCTGTTTTATATTCTTACCCTTCCCATTATTCCTTATTATTTTTTCTGGAACACTTGGGGTTCCATCGTCCACCTTCTCAATGAACATCAGCATTGTGACTATTATAGGGCATTCACGTCTGCTTTATTCATTTATTAAATGATTAATTTAGGAAACAGTGAGAAGTGACTCTGGTCCACAGATTTAGGAAGGCCCTGGAAATACAAAGATGAATACGTGTCCGGTTAACATAGCAGAGTGAACTTTTCCTCCAAAACATAGAAATGCTGTATAAATGAGAACTATTAAATATTATATGGTTGAACTCAAAGAAAAAAACTTTAAGAAGTTGTCACATGCGGGAAACAAAGAGCACAAAGCCAATGCATTAAGATAGCGCTGAACTCAAGGTGGGCTTACTGATTTCCAACAATTATTTAAACTTTAAGGGGTGAGAGCACAGGTTTGATTCCCAAATAAGGGTTCAAGATGAGCCCCTCATATCTTGAAAGGCACAAAGCCTTCATATAAACTCAGAAACTATGGACATAATCTGGTCATTCTCCTGGAATATGGCATGGAATTGTTCCTTCTACACATAACTCGGTGGTTGTTGGGGGAGAGTGACCTATCAGAAATTGGAACCCAAGCCTACCCACATGTAACTAAATTTGAATTTTTACTTGCGGTGTGTTGAGAGTAAATTTTGCCTCCTCACAGAGGCAAACTGGAAAAGTATGTGTGTACTTGCATCCAAAATACAAGGTACTTGCAGAAAAGACAATGCCTACTAGAAATAATTATACCATCAGAAATCACTAAAAGTTACCCTAATGAAGTAGACACCTATGATAGGGTCAATAGATGCACTAAAGATAAGGCAACTGGAATTCCTTCATAATATTTGACACTTAATGTGTTATGTGGAATAATGTTTTAAATTTTTGCACCAATATTTTAATCTTTTCTCAATTTTTTCTTTAAAAATATGTAGACTCTTAATTCTCATTCCTACATATGTCTATCCCATGGCTTGAATTGAACTTCAGTTAAAGAAATGTTGTCAAATTCTGGAATTTAAGAAAGATTTCATATTTGTTTGATTACTCATTCTCTCAACAAATATTATAGAGAGCTATGGTGTATCAAGCACTGTGCAACATGTTAAAGATACAGCACTTAAAAAGACAGTGTTAATGTGGCTAAAGTGGTAAGTGAAGCCTATGAGACAGGGAGAAAGGTCAACAGGTAGTTATAATTCAGCAAGATAAATTAATGACATAAACAACACAGCACACATTGCTTTTGAACTAACTTCACTTTTACAAACTGGGAAAGGTGTTGGGTTTGCCCTGGTCAAGTTTTTGAATTTAATGTGTTAAAAAAAAACATTTTATGGCATACGAATAAAATAAGAATTCTCCTGAATAGAAATCACTGGTCAAATTACCCTCACATTATGTTCTACAAAAAAAACTCCAGAATATATGGCAATGTCTAAGAATCCTTGATAAAGAATATGGCATGACCCAAAATTTCATACACCTAAATTTTCAACCTTATGGAAAATTAATGAAAAGACAACTTTACATATTTGAGACCTGAGAAAGTATATGCGATACTACCCAATGAAAAAAGTTAATAAAAAAGCACATTGCAGTTCAACCAATGATAAACCAAAATAATGAATTAAAAAAATGCATTATAAAAAGATGTGATTCCAAAGAAAATATAGTTTCCGAACAAAAAGAAAGTATTAAAAATCATTCCCAAAGAGGAAAATATACTCTCTAAAATAAAATTAGCAAGAATAATCAGGGATATTTGACTCTTGATATATCAACATATTGATCAGTAAGAATGAGCTCCTTAATAAACGTAGCAAAAAGGAAGCCAAAAAGAAAATGGTTGGTCTTACCTTAAGTAAGATTGGCATAATACGAAGCTCTGTTCAACATAAGAAATACTTTGGCAACAACAGTGATAAGAGCTCATGGAACCAAAATTACATAAAATGACCGCAAATTCATTTTTTTAAGCATTTTTTTTTGCTAATTTGCAGAATGATTATATTTTATCTACAAATTTCCAATTTAATTTAATTGCTGAGGTCTTTTAGGCCAAAAATACTACCTGATCAACTTTTCTAAAATTTATCTTGTCTATGATAAAATGTTTATTATGCATGTTAAAAATACTTAAATTCTACCTGACATAAAAGTTGTTAATGAATATTTACTTCTTTTACTATCTTCTCTGTGTGTTTTATTAGAAAGTACCACAAATAAACCTCAAAGACTACTTTGAGCAGTATCAACAGGTTCATTAAATTTGGAACAAGAAGATGGAAATGACCTAAAAGATAGCCATCAATAGTTTAAAATAAGTGGTCAATATTTTCCCACAGAACACTGGTAAAAATTAAAACACATTCACTGTCCATTTATGCAGTGTATATTATTATATTCATGTTTTGTTTATTAGAAAAGTCAAAAGATTGAAGAAAGTCAAGTTTGTAATGGAAATTTTAATGGAATCTTAGAGTAAAGGTAAAGTAGTTGTGGAAAAATAATTCTTACCAGTAGGAAAAATAATCTAGGTAAAAATAACTGTCAACGTGAACCAAAATTTAAAAGTTGTTTTCTTCATTTATAGAAAGGAGAAATCAACCATTTCTGTAATTTTGACAATATAACTGAAGAATGAGCTGTGTTTCAAAATTATAAATGTAAACTCTAGGAGAATTAATACGGACTATTTACTTTTTAAATCACCAAGGAATAAAAAATGAACAGGAAAAAAGGAAGAATGTAAGATAGAAAATAATGAATAAAATAAACAATGGTGACTTAGAAATCTGAAAATAAAAATAATAAACACCATACTTTTCATTATTATTTAGTTAGTTTTTAATTTCAACATTTATTTTAGAGGTGGGGGTACATATGCAGATTTGTTACATTGGCATATTGTGTGATGCTGAGGTTTGCGGTATGATTGATCCCATCACCCCGGTAGTAAGCATAATACCCAACAGGTAGTTTTTCAGTCCTTGCCCTGCTCCCTCTCTCTCCCCTTTTGGGGTCCCCAGTGTCTATCATTCCCATCTTTATGTCTACATACACCCAATGTTTAGCTCTCACTTATAAGTGAAATCACGTGGTATTTAATTTTCTGTTTCAGCTTTAATTTGCTGAGGATAATGGCCTCCAGCTCTACCAGTGTTTCTGTAATGGACATGATTCTGCTCTTTTTGTGGCTCTATATAATTTTGTGGTGTATATGTACTACATTATCTTTATCCAGTCCACAATGGATAGGCATCTAGGTTGATTTCAAGTCTTTGCCATTGTGAATAGTCCTGTGATTAATATGTTAGTTTGGTGCATCTTTTTGGCAGAATAATTTATTCTCCTTTGGGTATACACCCAGCAATGGGATTGCTAGGTTGAATGATAATTTCATTTTAAGTTTTTGAGATATCTCCAGACTGCTTTCCACAGTGGCTGAACTAATTTACATTCCCACCAATAGTGTATAAGAATTCCCTTTTCTCCATACCTTCCCAGCGTCTATTATTTTTTGATAACAGCTATTCTGACTGATATGAGATGGTATCTCGTTGTGGTTTTAATTTGCATTTATCTGATGATTAATGATGTGGAGTATTTTTCAGATGTTCCTAGGACATTTGTATGTCTTCTTTTGAGAAGTGTCTGTTCATGTCTTTAGTCCACTTTTTAATGGGCTTATTTGCTTTTAGCTTGTTGAATTAAGTTCCTTGTAGATTCTGGATATTAGACCCTATTCAGATGCATAACTTGCAAATATTTCTCCCAATGTATTTGGTATCTGTTTCCTCTGTTGATAGTTTCTTTTGTTGTGCAGAATCTCTATTTTAATTAGGCACCCCTTGTCAATTTTTGTTTTTGTGTCCTTTAAGGTCATAGCCATAAATTATTTGCCAAGGCTGATCTCTAGAATGGCATTTCTTAAGCTTTTTCTAGGATTCATATAGCTTGAGGTTTTATATTTAAATTCTTAATCTATCTTGAGCTAACTTTTGCATATGATGAAAGGTAGAGGTCCAGTTTTAGTCTTCTGCATATGGCTGGTCAGTCATCTCAGCATCATTTATTGAATAGGGCGTCCTTTCTCCGTTGCTTACTTTTGTCAACTTTGTTGAAGATCAGATGGCAGTAGGCATGCGGCTTTATTTCTGAGTTATTTATTCCATTCCATCAGTCCATGTGCCTGTTTTTCTGTTTGTTTGGTTTGTTTTCGTATATTTTTATCAGTATCATGCTGTTGTGAATACTGTTCCCTTATAATATTGTATGAAGTCAGGTAATATGATACCTTCAGGCTTTGTTCTTTTTGCTTAGAAATGCCTTGGTGGCCTGGCGTGTGGCTCATGCCTGTAATCCCAGCACTTTGGGAGGCCAAGGCGAGTGGATCGCCTGAGGTCAGGAGTTCAAGACCAGTCTGGCCAACGTGGTGAAACCCTATCTCTACTAAAAGTACAAAAAAAAAATTTAGCAGGGCATGGTGGCAGGTGCCTGTAATCCCAGGTACTTCAGGAAGCTGAAGCAGGAGAATCGCTTGAACCCAGAAGGCGGAGGTTGCAGTGATCCAGGATTGCACCATTGCACTCCAGGCATGGGCGACAAGAGCAAAACTCTGTCTCAAAAAAGAAAAAAAAAAAAGAAAAGAAAGAAAGAAATGCCTTGGCTATTTAGGCTCTTTTTTGGTTCCATGTGAATTTATGAATTTTAAAATAGTTTTTTTTAATTCTGTGAAAAATGACATTGGTAGTTTGATAGAAACAGCCTTAAATCTGTAGATTGCTTTGGGCAGTATGACCATTTTAATGATATTGATTCTTCCAATCCATGAGCATTAGATGTTTTTCTCTTTGTGTTTGTCATCCGTGATTACTTTCAGCAGTGTTTTCTAGTTCTCCTTGTAAAGATCTTTTATCTCCTTGGTTAAATATATTCCTAGGAATTTTATATGGTTATTGTAAATGGAATTGGCTTCTTGATTTGGCTCAATGTTTGGATGTCATTGGTGTGTAGAAATGCTACTGATTTTTATAGATTGGTTTTGTACCCTGAGACTTTACTGAAGTTATTTAATAGTTCCAGGAGACTTTCAGAAGAGTCTTTAGAGTTTTCTAGGTATGGAATTACATAGTCTGTGAGGAAAGACAGTTTTACTCCTTTTTTTCCTATTTGCATCCCTTTTGTTTCTTTGTCTGGCTAGAACTTCTAGTACTATGTTGAATAGGAGTGGTGAGAGAAGGTATCCTTGTCTTTTTCCAGTTTTCAAGGGGAATGGTTCAAGCTTTTGCCCATTCTGTATGATGTTGGCTGCAGGTTTGTCATAGATGCTCTTATTATTTTGAGCTATGCTTCTTTGATGCCTAATCTGTTGAGGGTTTTTATCATTAAAGGATGTTAGATTTTACAGAAAGCTTTTTCTGTGTCTATTGAGATGTTCATATGGTTTTTGCTTTTGATTCTGTTTATGTAGTGATTCACATTTACTGATTTGTGTATTTTGAACCGGTCTTGCAACCCAGTATTAAAGCCTACTTGACTGTGGTGTACTAATTTTTGATGTACTGATGGATTTGGCTTGATAATATTTTGTTGAGTTTTTTTTTGTTTGTTTGTTTGTTTGTTTTTTGTTTTTTTTTTTTGCGTCTCTGTTCAACACAGATACTGGCCTGTAGTTTTGTTTTTGTTGTTGTGTTTTTGCACTATTTTTGTTTCAGGGTGATGTTAACTTTATAGCCTGAGTTAGAAAAGAGTGCCTCCTCCTTGCTTTTTTGGACCACTTTTAGTAGAATTGGTAGCAACTTTTCTTTGTATGTTTGGTAGAATTTGGCAGTGAATCTGTCTGGTCCAGGGCTTCTTTTTAGTTGTTATGATTTTAATTACAAATTTAATTTTGGAACTCTATATTGGTCTATTCGGGGTCTGAATTTATTCATGAATCTATTTAAGGAAGTTTCATATATCAAGAAATTTATCCATTTCCTCTAGATGTCCTAGTTTGTGTGCATAGAGATGTTCATAATAGTCACTGAGGATCATTTCATTTCTGTAGAATCAATTTTAATGCTACCCTTGTCATTTATGATTGTGTTTTTTATCTTCTCTCTCTTTTTCTTTGTTAGTCTAGCTAGCAGTCTATCGATCTTGTTCATCTTTTCAAAGAACCAATTTTTGGTTTTGTTGATTCTTTGTATGAATTTCTGGGTCTCAGTTTCATTCAGTTCTCCCCTGGTGTTAATTATTTCTTTTCTTCTGCTAGCTTTGAGATTAGCTCTTTCTTGTTTTCTCTACTTACTACAGTTTTGATCTTAGATCATTGATTTGAGATCTTTCTAACTTCTCGATACAGGTGTTTAGCAGCACAAACTTTCCTCTTACTACTGCATTTGCTGCATTCTGGAGATTTTGGTATGTTGTATTTTTATTTTTTATTTCAAAGAATTTTTTGGATATCTAACTTCATTTCATTTTTCATACAAAAATTATTCAGGAGCAAGTTGTTTAATTTCTGTGTTGTGTCGTTTTGAGAGTTCTTCTTGGTTTGATTTCTGTTTTTCTTCCACTGTGGTCCAAGAGTATGTTTGGTATGATTTTGATCTTCTTGAATATATTGAGTCTTGCTTTATGGCTGAGCATGTACTTGATCTTAGAGTATGTCCTGTGGACAGACGAGAAGAATGTATATTCTGTGGTGCCTGGGGGAAGTATTCTGTAGATGTCTATTAGGTCTACTTAGTCAAATGTTGCGTTTAATTCCAGAATTTGTTGGTTTTTGGCCTCTATGATCTGTCTCATGCTGTCACTTGGGAGTTGAAATCCCCCCACAATGATTGTGTGGCTGTCTAAGTCTTTTTGTAGATCTAAAAGGAATTTTTAAATGAATCTCGTTGCTGCATTGTTGGGTGCATATATATTTAAGATAGTTAAGTCTCCTTGTTGAATCGAATCGTTTATTATTATGTGATGCTGATATGGTTTGGCTCTGTTTCCCCACCCAAATATCATGTCAAATTGTAATACCCAGTGTTGGAGGAGGGGCTTATGAGAGGTGATTGAATCATGGGGGCAGACTTCCCCCTTCATGTTCTTGTGATAGTGAGTTCTTGGAAATCTTGTTGCTTAAAAGTGAATAGAACTTCCCCCTTTGCTCTCTCTTCCTCCTGCTCTGACCATGTGAAGATGTACCTGCTGCCCCTTTGTCTTCTGGCATGATTGTAAGTTTCCTGAGGCCTCCCCAGTCACGCTTCTTGTACAGCCTATGGAACTGTTAGTCAATTAAACCTCTTTTATTTATAAAGTACCCAGTCTCAGGTAATTCTTTATGGCAATGCAAGAACAGACTAATACAAATTCCCTTCTTTATTCGTTTTTACTATTGTTGATTTAAGTATATTTTATCTGATATAAGAATAGTGATTCTTGCTCTCTTTTGATTTTCATTTGCCTGGTAGATTTTTCTTTGGCCTATGGATGCCATTACATGTGAGATGTACATCTTGAGGATAGCAGATAGATTGGTCTTGTTGTTGTTTTAATCCACCTTGCCACTGTGTGCCTTTTAAGTGAAGTGTTTAGACTATTTGCATTCAAGGTTAATATTGATATGTAAGTTTTTGATCCTATTGTGAAGTGTTAATTTCTGGTTCTGGTTGCTTTGTAATTTCTATTGTGTAGTTGCTGTATTGGGTCTGTGAGCTCTGGTATTGGGTTGATGGTAGCAGATATTGTTCTTTCTTTTCCATGTTTCAAACTCCCTTTAGGATCTCTTGTAAGGCCAGCCTAGTGGTAACAAATTCTCTTAATGCTTGCTTGTCTGAGAAAGATTTTTTCTCCTGGAGTTATGAAACTTAGTTTGGCAGGATATGAAATTCTTGGTTGCTGTTTCCTTTCTTTAAAAATGATAAAAATATGCCCCCAATCTCTTCTGCCTTGTAGGGTTTCTGCTGAAAAGTTAACTGTTAGCCCAATGGTGTTCTTTTTGTATGTAATCTGCCTTTTTTCTGGCTTCCTTTAAGATTTTCTTTTTTAGTGTTGATTTAGAGTAGTCTGATGATGACTGTATGCCTTGATGATGCTCATTTTGTATAATACCTTGCAGGTGTTCTCTGTATTTCTTGTACCTGGGTGTCTATATCTCTAGCAAGATTAGGAAAATTGTATTGAATTATTCCCTCAAACATGTTTTCCAGTTTGTTAATTTTTTTGTTCCTCTCTCCCAGGACTGGCAATGATTTATAGACTTCGACTTTTTGCATGAGTCTTTTTACAAAGTCTTCTTGAAGACTTTGTTTATTTTTTTAAAACATTCTCTTTATTTTCGGCCAGGCACAGTGGCTCATGCCTGTAATCCCAGCACTTTTGGAGGCCGAGGTGGGCCGATCACGAGGTCAGGAGATCAAGACCATCCTGGCTAACATGGTGAAACCCCGTCTCTACTAAAAATACAAAAAAATTAGCCGGGCATGGTGGGTGGTGGGCGCCTGTGGTCCCAGCTACTCGGGAGGCTGAGGCAGGAGAATGGCGTGAACCCAGGAGATGGAGCTTGCAGTGAGCCAACATTGCATCACTGCACTCCAGCCTGGGCGACAGAGGGAAACTCCATCAAAAAAAAAAAAAAATCTCTTCATTTTTGTCCAACTAGGTTAGTTTGAAAGATTGTGAAAGACTGTTCTTCAAGATCTGAAATTCTTTCTTCTGCTTGGTCTAGTCTATTGATTAGGCATTTGACTGTATTTTAATATTCCTTAAGTGAATTTTTCAATTTCAGAAGTTCTGATTGATTTTTAAAGGTGTTTATCTCTTCCTTCATTTTCTGAATTGTTTTAGTAGTTTCTTTGTATTGATTTTCAATCTTGTCTTGAATATCATTGATTTTTCTGGTAATCCGTGCTTTGAATTCCTTATCTGACACTTCCGAGTTTCTATTTTGGTTTCAGACCATTACTAGAGAGCTACTGTGATCCTTTGCTGGTATCACAGCATTCAGATTTTTCGTGGTGCTAGGATTTTTACACTGGTTTCTTCTCATTTGGAGATGCTGGCACTTCAATTTTTTGTAATTGTTGTAATGCACATAGAATTTTTTTTCTTTCTCAATATTATTGTTTTTTTTCCTTTCATTTTTCTCTCCCTTGCTAGAGAGTGTAACTGTAAAGTATGTTGTGTAGGGTCTTTTCAGTTTGCTTCTATGGTCCTATGCATTTCTGTCCACAGGTTTTATATTGGTCTGGTTTTATACAGGTCAACCCTCAAGCCAGTAAAAAAGCAGTAGATAAACTAACCTGTAGGTTGAACTGTAAAGTCCAATACAATTGGGTGCTTACAGGTGAGGGCCAGCAATAGCACAAGCAGATGAATATGTATCTGGTGTTGTTTTTACTGTTAGGTACTTTCTGTTGTTTCAGGCGATGGGCTGGACCTTGGAGTACTTGGTGCCGTGTGCTTTCTATTCCATAGGAGTTGGGGAACACAGCTTGTAGCATGATTTTTTTTTGTAAAAGCAGTGGGAGAGGCTCTGCCTTTGGGCATTTGCTGCAGTGTGTTGGTCATGGTGATGTCAGTTGGTTGGGTCTGTCCAAGCTCAGGCCTCCTGGAGGAAATGGTCAGGTGCCAGCAGAATTGGAATGGAGTAGGTACTTCTCTAACTCCCTAGCCCCTAGAAGGCCTGTTGGACAGCATGCATGAGTCCCGATGGGGCTGGATGGGAGGGAAAGTGGCTTAGGTGATGGCTGTGAAGGGAAGGAGTGGGCTGGTCACTAGGTCACCGGCTCAACTATCAGGTGGGGAGAAACAGAGCACATAGGCAGAGGGAGCGAGAGGGAAGATCACAGGCCTATAGGAGTAAGGTTTTTCAGAAGGCCTCTAGGCCACAGCCAAAATGCCCAGTAGAGGGGCAAGGGTTGAGTGCGCTGGAAGTCAGAGGGCAGAAAGGCCTGTTTGGGAAGAAGCAGCAGGGGCAGGGGCACACTGAAAGCGGTCTTGATGCCTCTTCAGAGGATGGCTGCTGGTATGCTTGAGGCTTGCAAAAGTGTTCAGGCTTTTTGTTCCCTCCCCAGTCTGGGGGCAGCAGGATAAGGGACTACAGCAACTGCAATGGCAGAGGACTTATCAGTTGCCTCTGGGAGATACACCCCAGAGAAATGCAGAGCCTCCAACCAATTGGAGTAATCAGATGGGGGTGGTATGGCTGTGCTAGAGTCCCAGGCCAGTGGGCCTTGCCTGGCAAGGAGGAGTGGAGGTGGAGCTTGCAGTCTCTCCCTCCTCAGCACCATGGTTGGAGCCCCTATCCCAGGGGCATGTAAGAGAGTCTGTCCTTCCTTGTTGGTAGGGCTATGGCAGCTGGCACTGGGGTTCTCAGAGATCCCAGGCCCATGGGTTTCCTTATGGGCTTGGGCAGTAGTTCTGCCCAGACACAAAGCAGATCTCTGTGTCAGTGTGGAGGCCTGGGGAGGGGTCAGGGGATATCTCCTATGCCTAGGATTACAAAGGTCTGTGGTGGAATTATGAGTCCCTGAGGCTCTTCCTCACTGACCCTTTCCCCAATGTGGGGAGCTTCCCCTGGTTCTGCACCAGTCAGTCCTAGATGGATGGCTATCCTGCTTTGCTCCTCTCTGCTCTCCATGGGTCCCTTTGCTTCCTTGATAAATCCCGGTGTGGCCTTTTGGATTATCGACCTGAACAGCTAGTGTTCACTTGCCATTTTGTTTCCTTTTCAATAGAGTGGCATGCACCAGCTGCTTCTTGTCAGCCATCTTGAAATCTCTACATTCTTTACTATTACAGTGAAGCACATTAAAATAATTCCTCATCCACAATATATTGCATTTACCTTAAGTACATATGCCTAGTTATGGGTGTTTTTAGAGTTTATAGAGCAGGATACTTTTCTGGCCCTTATAAATGTTATTATATAAAGGTTTTGAGAAGATGATTAGCTCACTCTATTAAAAGAGAGAAAAATATGTAGATGTAATGGGTTATTACATTCAAATTAAGTTCAAATTATTTCATTATGATTTATGATTTAACTTGTGTTATGCAGTGATTCAATAGCTTTTCTTATTTTGTGCCTAGATTCATTATATTATTTGTTATAATCAAATAATATTTATTCAATTTTATAAAAGCTGTCATTATAACATCATATTGAGTAAACTGCCATGTGCAGACATTAAAACAGTCAAAGCAGACTTATTAGTTGCAAAGTATCTTTCTAGTTAATGAGCACTGATTTCCCTTTTCAGTGAAAAATAAAACCAAAATGTGATACAGATGAAAGGTACTTGCTTCCAAACCAGGATGAGAGTTCAAGAGATTGTATAGATTTTCAATATGTGTAAAGGAAAAGCCGCTTTCAACTTACAATAAACTAAATCTGGAAAATAACTTGAAATGAGGTTGTAATGTGACCACTATCCTTTAAGCTATACCTTCCTGAGTGTTGTGCTCCCTCTTGCCATATAGGATCTTTGCACAGCCCGCTTCTTGTGCCTGAGGGACAATTTTCCTCTACTTCATTTGTTCAATCTCTACCATTTCTTTAGGTCTCAGTCATATGTCAAAAATTCATTCCTTAGGGAAGTTTCCTTGACCTCTTTAAGAAAGTCTATTTCTCCTTTTATGCTTTCTGCACACCATTTTATTTATTCGACAAATATCTACCATACTTAATTGAAACCAAGACACTGCTGATGGTAAGACTTATTTTATTTTATTTTATTTTATTTTATGTGTAGTCACTAGGAAAGACAAGGAGATGCTAATTAAATGATGGCACAATGTTTTATAGTATTCAGAATTTTTATTTTACTTTTATTGAAAGAGCTTTCTTTGAAATATTTAGACATAGATTTCTACCATATATCCATCTTATGCATATATAAAAGGGAAATTTGATATGAAATAAAGATATTTCTAAAATATTTACATTCAGAATACAACTTTTCCTAGTTTAGTTCAACTCAAAGCAGTCAATATCTATGTATTTTATATAATATATTATTTAAACTATAAAAAGCATTGGTAATGTACTTCTCAAAAATTTGCTTCAAGTTCAAAGTCAGTTACTTTCTTTTGAGAGTTTGCTGCAATCTTCTTCTTCGTAGAAGGTTTACATAGGTACTTTACTAATTTTTACCACAAAGTTTCAAATTAAGGTTTTCTGATATGATCAGAACTTCTAATTTCTTCCTCAAATGAACTTTGAAGTGTTTGATCAAGCCACCAAAAATATACAACCAAGATCAACCATGTGTAGATAATGCAACCTATCACACCTTAGCTAAGTGAATGTACCATATTACTGATTATAGTAGCCCAATATCCAAAATGTTAAACTATACCTTTTAGATTGATGAAATGTGCTGTGTAGATGTCAATGCATCAAGCCCTACTTTAAGCACTTTATGAGTATTAGCTGTTTAAATCTTCATAACAACACAATGAGGTAGGTACGATTATTATTCCCATTTCCTATGTGAGAAATCAGAAACATTTCTGAGGTTAAGTAACTTGCTGAACTTAATACATCCAGGAAGTGATAGAATCATTTACACAGTTGTAAACTTGTATATCACCTATAACTAAAACCAAGTTGTAATTTATACTTGCTGCTTTAAAAAATTAATTTTTTCCATGGCCACATTGTAAATGCAATGAGAACATGGAACAAAACACAGTGCTTAACACAAACTGAAAGCTCGACAGGTATTTATTGTAGAGTGAGTATGAAGAGTCTCTGCAGCATCTTCTCTAAACTTAGCATCTTTCCTTCCCTGTTCCTTCCTCTTAACTTTGACTTTTGCAGTGTAGTCTTATGACTATAAGAGTCATATGTCTCTTATAGTCATATGTCTATAAAAGAATATGTTTTCTCTTATGTGGTATAATTTTATGAAAGTCAAAAGATTTTTCACTTGAAATTATCTTCCTTAATGATTAGTGGAAATCCACAATTAGTGATTCATACTTTTGTGTTTGACTTTTTTTTTCTTGAAGGTATTCTTTTTAGATGTAAATATATGAGAGGTATAACATGGTAAATAATATTGTGTAAATTTATTTGACTTGTCTGTCCTGTTGATAAAAAATGGGTTTAACATGAGGACTCAAGATGCTTTCTGTGGGAATCAGTATGAATTTGGTAAAACTGGAAGGGTTAAAATCAAATTTCACCAAAACCAGATTGTTTTAAATTTTTATTGAAGTATAACAGACATATAGAAAAGTGTACCTATCATAAGTGTACAAGCTGGTGCATTTTCATAAAGTAAACAAACCTTAACCAAACACAGGATAGTATTGCCGTCTAGAATCTCTTGTTACTAACCCTGCAACAACTACCACTTTCTGACTTCTTTTATCACTGATTAGTTTTACCTGCTTTTGAACATCATACAAGTAGAATCCTAAAGTATATAATCTTTTGTGTACGACTTCCTTCACTAAATTTATATCTGTGAGATTTGCTTATTTTTTCATGTAGTTATAGCTCATTTATTCTCATTGCTGTACTGTATTCCATTGCAATAAACATATCACAATTAATTTACACATTTTACCGTTGATGAGGATTTTCCAGTTTGGGGCTTGGCAAACAACACTGCTATAAATCTTTTTTGCACCTTTTGATAAAAAGTAAGCAATAACTTCTTCTGGTTATATGCTTAGTAGTAGAATCTGGGGGTTATATAATATGAGAAACGTTCAGCATTAGTAGATACTAACAAATATTTTACAAATAGATTGTACTATTTGTCTTTTAGTTTTTTTTTTAAGAAGCACCCATCCTGGTAATCTTACCTAATCTAGAATGACTTTCATGACACACTGACTCCTTTATACAACATATACATATTGAGAACCTTCCATGTGCAAATAATTATTAATAGCAAACTTTATGCTTTTGTATTAAAAATATGCTTATATATTCATTTCCCCTTGATCTCACATAATTGTTTTAAAATAGGTGGTAGAGACATTATCATTCTTTCTTATAGTTAGATTATGAGGCTCAGGGAGGTTAGATGATCTGCCATTCACAACTGGTGAATGGTGATGTCTATACGTGAACCCAAAAGTTCTTTTTTTTTTTTTTTTTGAGATGCAGTCTCACTCTGTTGCCCAGGCTGGAGTGCAGTGGCACAATCTTGGCTCACTGCAACCTTCACCTCCCGGGTTCAAGCGATTCTCCTGCCTCAGTCTTCTGAGTAGCTGAGATTACAGGCAACCTCTACCACACCCGGCTAATTTTTGTATTTTTAGTAGAGATGGGGTTTCACTATCTTGGCCAGGCTGGTCTTGAACTCCTAACCTCAGGTGATCCACCCACCTAGGCCTCCCAAAGTGCTGGGATTACAGGTGTGAGCCATCGCGCCTGGCCTAAAAGTTCTGACAACAAATTCTATGATTGTTCTACTTTGTCATGTCACTTCATTGTACGAATTCAACAATTTTTTTTCTGTCAATCCACTTGTCAGTTGTAGAACAGTTAAAGACATGGTACTTCAGAGATTATTTTGGCAATCACACCTACTCCATCATGCTATCAGGGAGGTGACTTCTATTCATTGCTTTTTATCATTTTATTAATGGGGTAGCTGGGTACAGGAGCAGTTCAGGGCTTTCCTTTCTGAGCATGCCATGAAGTAACCTAGAGGTAAAAGGAGGCTTAACTTTTCTAGATGTCCCTGGGAAAAGCCAGAGGAAACAGGAAGGGAAATGGAGTCAGCATTGTTGAACCCGTTCAGTTTTGTTGTTTCTGACAACCCCTTATCCGACAGACTCTCTTATACCTCATCTAATTTTATAAATCGATAATCATTTTATCATCTGGAACAAAAGAAACTTTGACTAATAAAATTTAGTCTCATTGGCGAAATGGTTCTGTTTCAATAGGTTGTATAAGGGAAAAGACAGATAAATATGAATAAATAATTATTTTCACTCTAATATTGACATAGTATAAATACATTAAGTCAAATATCACTGCACACACACACAAAAATCCAGTTGTTAATTATTTATATAAAGAAAAAATTCAAGACAAAATGTACCTTTTATGACATACACATTTACGTCAGAGTACTTAGATTAATTTAGGGTACTGAATGACAGGCTTTAATTGCACACAAAAGTACTGGAACAATCTTTTGTTTCTTTATTTACTTCTATTATAAAATGTCTTTGTAGACTTAGCCATTAACATTTTCTGCTTTCTCAAGGAAAAGATAATTTACCCACTTAAAGATATTAGACTCTTGTGTATTGTTTTTCTCCATTTGGTACCCTTGATTCCTCCTCTGAACACTTGAGTGCTTGCAAACAGGGCACAATGACACTCACTAATAACAACTGAACCACTGCACCCGCCATAATGCTGTGCAGCTCCCAGACTCACCACCGCCGAGCCCCAGCAATGTGGAACGGCGTCCCTGTGCAGAGGCTGGCTCCCCTCCACAGCTGCATCTGTTCCCCATTCTCCCCTCAGAGCATCCACTGTGAAGCATAACCCCTGATGAACACATGTAGACCAAAACTTGGTCGTATTTTCCCCCTGAAATTCTCAGATCCTAAAATTCTAGTTCTTTATTTCTAATACTTAGACACCACGAGCCATTGAAACAATTCTGTGGTTCAGAAGAAATCATGTTCATTTTATTTTCATTAAAAGCATTTTCCACTGACAGAAACAGTTGAAAGAGGCTGGTCTGACTTTTGTGACATACAAAATATATTTTTATTTTTGTGATAGGTGGTGAAGAAATTGAATCTTTAATACAGACGATATGAATGCAAAGATTGTCCATTTTGGGGGAGCTGTGACACCCCCTCAATTGTATTCTTTTTCAATGCCTAGCTTCATCCCCATAGTCAAGCTTGTCTTGTTTTATCTTAATTGTACAAGAATTAAAAATATTTGGCCATCGAGGATCAAAAGACAGCATGATCCCCTTGAAATATTTGGAGATAATCCAGTAAGTCATAAATCAGAATTTTTTAACCAAACTAAATCATGAAGAAAGGATGGAATTTTCTCCCACAAACAATGGAATAATCAGATTTCTAGTGACTGTTTTGACTCTTTAGGGGCAGATTATATTGAGCCCAGGGACAGCATTCATGGAACTATATTATGGCTGGGCTCTCTCACCACTGTAATCTTACATAGCTCTTTAGAAATTGTAACAGTGTAACATGGGAGATTCCGGGAAGAAAGAAATCCATCTTTGTTCTTTAAAAAATAATCCATCTTTTTGTTCTCTCCAGTCAATAGCTCTAATGTTTTATTGGCCCAACAAAATTCACATCTGTGTATAGTCTCCTTTTTTTCTCAAGTATTATCCAACATACTTGATCGTCTAGTCTATAAACCCTCTGAGAACAGTGGGCATCACTTATACAATCCAGCAGTGACTGATGCAGCAGCAAAGTATGCAGAAAATATCCATTGAATAAGTGAATGATTAAAAGCATGAATTACAGGATTTTCCATATGCTTAGACTAGACATTTACCTTAGGAATGTCTATTATTTTAATGCCAAAATGTGAGGTATGTATAATTTAAATCATTTTTTGAAGCATGAGTTTCCAGTTGTCATCTCACAATGGCCTGCAAAGACAGACAGATGTCTGCACTGTGCTAAGAATAATCCCCGATTTACCTTTGGTCTTTTGCTCACCTCCTCTCTCACTAACAAGGTAAGTGAACTAAGAGCTGGAGTCTATTTCACACTATGTGGGTCTGGATTAGCACTGAGCTTTTGTTGGCATGGTTTTGTTTTGTAAAAGATACTAGTAGGGATGAAACAGAAGTAGAATACTGCAGGACCTTCCTACTCTTTCTCTTTGAGTTCTTTCAATTTCCCTTTTCTCCGGGTTATTTGTAATACCTGTCACCATGAGCAGATTTACCAGCAACAACCTTCACCATCCAGAAAAACCAGGTTTCTGACTCTTTCCACTGCATACCAAATATCACTGACATTTCTCTTAAGCATTAACAGTCAGCTTTCTGCGTCTGTGTGGTGTATCTGCCCTCCCTCCTCCCCTGCTTTTAATAGTAGAAATTAGGTATAAAGCTCAGTGTTTATATTAACTTCATCATTACCTCTCAGAGGAGTCAGATGATCAGTCAACTAACATATAAAGGGAGCAGAATGTCTTTGGGGACAAGATATAATATTAATTACTGGGGTGTACTTCCTGTTCCCTTTGTAATATCCATATGCAGCCCTTGTCAAGTGCCTCTACTGGAGCCTGGAGGGATGCTCATCACTCTGCAAGCAGGAATTTGGCTGAGATTACCATCTACATAGTCAGAAAAGCCTCTCAGCAGCAGAAGGGCTATTTGTGTGTGCAGTTTCCTGCACATGGGCTGTGGGTTACCTGTGAGCATCAGCCAGTTAAGGCCACATGCCAGTGAGGAGACTCAAGTCTTCACTTCCTTCCACAGATGGGTATAGACACAGATCTGAAACACAGGGGATTTGAAGCATGCAGGGCTGTACCAACAAAGATAACGGTCCCTCACAAATAACTGAGCCCTCTCCAGGCAGCTCAAGCCAACAATACGTTTTATGTGTCTTTCATTTTTATAAGGCACTGGCGAGTTCTAAAAAAAAGAAAGAAAGAAAGAAAGAAAAAACAACTGGCAAAACAGAGAAGAGGCCATGCAAAGCTACAGAACAGCAGCTTGATGCTTCTCCCAAATAGGCAAGCAGAGCTTTAAATCACTGCAAAGCTTGCTATTTACTTATTTCATTTGTTTTCTGTTCGAATTTGCCCAAAATATTGACCCAGCAAAGGAAGTGACTGGAGAGCACAAGTCAGGCTTTCTCATTAGCTCTTTCTAAATCTTCATGGCCCTACAAAAATCTTTATTTGTGTGTTCTGAAAATGGCAAGAGATACGTATTGTATATTCAAATAATATAGCAGTAAAACCAAGATTCGAGGGTTGTTAATCTCAAACATATTATGGGATTGCAGCGCAACTAAGGTACTGAGTGTCTCCATTTTAATTACCAGGGTTGGCAGAGGAATCCAATTATGTTGCTGTGTCCCCAACATAACCCTTTCTCTTTGTTTTCTGCTTGCCTATTCTAAGCATGTTTTGATCACCTTTGTTTATTTTTTTGTTTGCTGCATTTTATTTTCTACTATGCAGTTCTCCTGTTCTAATTTGAGACATATTTTTGGAGGTTTTATTCTCATCAAGAGTTGCTCATCATCCTCTTGCAAGCATAAAATGTTTCATGTTAAGAATTTTTTTTTCTTTTATCATTCCCTAGTGGAATTGAGGCAATGAGGATGACTGGCTTCCCATATGTGCCAGACCATTGTTTGAATCTGGTGGTTATAGGCATGGGTTGCACAAATTAATCTATCGCTGAGCTTCTGACATCACTGGGAAATTTCAGACTAGAAGCAAATTTTTTTCCACTCGAATTCTTAGTATATAAGTAAGAAAAAATGCATGGCCTTTCTGCTTTTAAAATATTTCACACCCTATTACCTATAAGATCTCAGGATAGAGAAAAATATTACACATTTTTCAATCAAAATTATCACTCATATTCATAGTTGGCCACAGTCATTGTCTGCATAGATTAAGGACAAATCAATCACTAAGTTCTTTCCATTCTACTCTCCTTTATCTCTGGAATCCACTCTTTCATTCCTGTTCCTTACTGCGACTACCCTCGTTCTTCTCTAAATATTTTAATAATTTCCTGACTATTCTCTGTTTCCACTCTCTCTTTGCTCTCTCCCTCACTACCACTTACACGCTAAAAGCACACACATGGCCATCTTAATTTCCTTCTGAAAAATCTTACATGGTTTTCTGCTACCCACACACTATTATTCATTCTCTTCATTGAACATTCAACATTTCTCTGGCCTGCCACCAAGCTAACATTTCTACCAACAGGCTTATTTTCTCATATGCTGCACTTCTGTCGAACTGCATTATTGACCCTGCTTAAATATAAAATATGCTTTTATATCACTGCTTTAAAAAATTTCCTGTGCTCTATAATTAGCCAAGAATCTAGTCTTTCTTCCATTTTCATATATTACAATCTCATCTTTCAGGATTAAGCACAATTATTACTATTGTCCTACTCATAGTCATTGAAGTCTCTGCCACAATACTTTTTTATAACATAACATTTTGTACTTGTTTTGTCTTCATTACGTAAATATTTATCTCCTCTACAGCTTATAGTCTGTGGTCTATGTTTTACACGTTGTATCTCTTCAGTTGCCTTAGGACTGTGGCCTTCATACAGGTGCTCATTCTTTCATTCAACAAATACGTATTGAGTTACTCAGTAACAGATGCTATGCTAAATGCTGAGGATGTAGCAGTGAATTTAACACACTTGTGCTTGAAATATATATTCTATTGAAGAAAAACAAGTAAACGAAAGAAATTAGTAAATATATGAGCTATGGAAGAAAGCAAGCCTGGGAAAGCAGTATAAAAATTAAGAAGGGTGCCCCTGTACTCCAGCCTGCTTGACAGACTCAGACCTTGTCTCAAAAAAAACAAAAAATTGAGAAGGGTGGAATATAATTATTGATAGGCTGGCCAGGGAAGGAGACATTTTAGAAAGTAAGACGCCTGTAGAAAGTGGGAGAAAAGGTCACTAGGGAGGGACATTGCAAGCTGATGGGTTAGCATGTACAAAAGCTCTATGAAGGAGCTGCTAATGGTGAAAGAGAAAGGAGGAGAAGGGTAGGAGAAGAGGTGAAATCATACAGTGAGTTGGGTATACAGTAGTAAGCAATCATAAAGTACTCTGTAGTTAATTGTAAGAACACTGGTTTTAATCTAAATAATATGGCAGATTATGGAAGGTTTGAGCCGTAAAGGAAAATTATATCAATTATGTTTTAGAGCCTCACACCAGCTTCTGCCATTAGAACGGATTGAAGGAGGCCAAGAGTGGGACCAGTGAGAACAATTGCAATTTTATGAAGATTTGGACCAGGGCGATGTAGTGGGTGTGGTGAGTTCTGGAACAAACTGTATAGGATCCTTATTAATCTTCTTTCTAGCCAATAGTATGAAGGCATAAGAAAAGGTTAGATATACACTCCATGGTCTTGAAAATAAGTGAGGGACTCCTTGCCTATTATAACGATGCCCTGAATGACAAAGTTAACTAATTATTATACAGTGTGACCTAAATCAAATTAAGATGACAAGAAGAAAGTTGAGAAGAAGGATTAAGAGGAATAGAAAGGGGGAGGGGGATGAGAAAAAGAAGAGCCTTTCCAACTCTTTTTGCACTGACCCAAGAGTTCCACTTATTCAAGACTGGATATAGTTAATAGTAGAATATAGTGCATGGCAAATTTATATAGCTTCTTTAATGGATTGTTTTCTTCAGATTTTTTTATCCTCCAAGAACAAGCTTCTTAAAAGAAAAGGTAAATTACTTTGATTTTATCCTTACAACTAAGAGTTTTTTTTTTTTAAAGTTTTAGGATGTAGAAATTATCTTTCCTTGGCTGCTCATCAATTCTGTCATATGTTTATCAATAAAAACACAAGTCTTAATAAGCACCTACTGCATACAAGACATCATTCTCCACATTTAAGGCAGTCTTACAGGATACTACAATGCAGTTGGGAAGTCAAATTATTACATGTGTTCTAAATAGGGTTATGGTTCAATTATTAATGATTAAAAGAGAAAACAAAAAATAAACAATATATAACCAACTAGTTGTTTCTTATATGCAGAAAAGAAAACTTACTGTTTCTAAATAAGGACCACCTATTGTGTTGATGTAATTAATATAATAGTAAAGATTTTATTGAAGAATGAGTATAGATTAGATAGAATGAGAAAAAGGAGTCCAGGTGTAGATGAGGTATAAATAAGTTCAAGGAGGAGTGTTTAAGTAATAAATGATCTAGAATGGATCACATAGGTGGGAATAGGAGAAAAAGAAGACTGTAAAGAAGGTTTAGCTCTAATAATTACGGATTTTACATCCAAGTGAATAAAGCATAAAGTTGGACATTAGCCAAGGGAACATGAAGAGCTGCTAAAAGTTTTTAGAAAGTATAAGAAGAAAGTTGAAATGATGAAAGCTTCATTTTATTTTTATATATTTTTCCCTTTATTTTTAATTAACATATTAAACAGGCACATACTTACTGTATACAGAATAATGCTTTGAAATATGTATACATTGTGGAATGGCTAAATAAAGCTAATCAGCATACACATTACCTCACATATTAATCATTCTTTGTAGTGAGAACACTTAAAATATATTCTCTTAGACATTTTTAAATATGTGATACATTTTAATAACTGTAGCCACCATGTTGTGCAATAGCTCTCTTGAACATATTCCCCCAGGTAGCTACCATTTTACTCTCTGCTTCTATGAGTTCAACTTTATAAAAGCTTCACTTTATAAAGATCAACAAGGAAGCCATGTAAAAAATGGATTGGAGGGGAGAGGAAGTTCTGAGACCACATAAAATTAAATGTTGACAATTCTGAGACCTCACTAAGAGTCTAACTATATATGTCTATAAGTCTCCTGTCTTATATAATGCTCCTGCACTTCTCTTTTAACATCTACATTGGTATTCCATTGCAATCATAAATGAAATGAACAACATCCGGGCTGAATCAATACCACTATTCCATTTGTAGGCCACATACTTTTTTTTTTTTTTTTTTGGACAGAGTCTCGCTCTGTTGTGTAGACCACATACTTGGCATATAACTTTGATTAAACAGTTGCTTTGTCATCTCAAAGCCAGTAAATAAAAGTTAGCACAACATTTATGATAGAGCTTTCCTGTCATTTTATAATCTTGGATAAAACCACAAAGCTTATAATATTGGGTGCTAAGTATTCCACAATCCAAAGAGAGGTACTACATTCATTATGGTGTGGCCAGATAAAAGAAAGCTGAACTGGCTCCGTACTATTTTTTACTTGCAACCTATAAAGATCAAGGCTACAGATGTATTGGTGAGAAGAGCGTTTCCTGAAGTGAGGAAATGTAGGTGTAAAGACCGCTGTCAGGATTTTCCTCCGCTCCTGCAGATGGCCCTATGGCAAATCTGAAGGCTCTAAAAAACCCTTGGAAATTGAGACAAATTGGAGTCAAGAAGAAACTGACTTTTTACTCCTTAGCTGCAGAAAACCAGAAATGGGCCTCATGCTTCTACCAGGGTGGGGAGCGTTGTGATATCTTAGCAGAGCTTGTTCTGTCACCCCTGGAGTTTTGACAGCAAAGAGAGACTGCAGCCTGGATTTCATAATATAAGTCTGAAGCTGGGAGGAGGCTTGGAACACCCATACAAAGAGCAGAAAGGCCACAGTAGAAACAGGCTAAAATTCTACAATTTGACAAACAAGGAAGTTTGAGGTCCTTTGAACCAAGTGGGTACTGTGGAAGTTAGCTAGGATGAGGTCATTCTGAAAGTACTACCCTACTTACCCCCTTATAAAAAAATTATGACTTGCCATGGTGAAGACTTTGTGTGATGTTCTGTCAGAGGTACTAGTTGAGAACAAACTCCAAAAGGTCAATTCAAGATTATCACATTATCGTCAGAGAATATGTAATATTGAAAGGCACTGTGGGGTAGATAGACAAGGGTGATCCATAAAAATTCTAACAGCACATACTTCATAAAAGTTTGAAAGTCTTCATGTCTGCCATGACAGAGGGGAATAATCTGCCAGTTATTGCTACCTAAGAATTGCCAATAGTTCCACCTAATAAAAAAGAACATTTCTTTCTTCTCCTTTTAATCTTCTTCATTATGTTTGGTTTTTGGAAGAACCATGAAGATGAGAAGGAAGAGTGGCCTACATAACAGAGCGAGACTGTGTCTCAAAAAAAAAAAAAAATGTATGTGGCCTACAAATGGAATCGTGGTATTGATTCAGCCTGGATGTTGTTCATTTCATTTATGATTGCAATGGAATACCAATGTAGGCATTAATAAAGAAGTGCAGGAGCATTATATAAGACAGGAGACTTATAGACCCATATAGTTAGACTCTTAGTGAGGTCTCAAAATTGTCAACATTTAATTTTATGTGGTCTCAGAACTTCCTCTCGCCTCCAATCCATTTTTCACATGGCTTCCTTGTTGATCTTTATAAAGTGAAGCTTTTATAAAGTTGAACTCATAGAAGCAGAAAGTAAAATGGTAGCTACCTGGGGGAATATGTTCAAGAGAGCTATTGCACAACATGGTGGCTACAGTTAATAAATGTATATATAGAGAGAGTTTAGTCTACAATAAAAGGAAAGAGAAGAAAAGTAATCCAAGGAAGAGAAAACAAAGCAACAAGTTGTGATAATAGTAGTAGTAAAATTTAACATATAAAGTCCAAAAAAAAAGCTGAAATTAAATCAGATTGTGATTTCAGATTTGGAGTGTATAGAGTATATTGTTTTATGAAGTTATAATGTTTTGTTTTCTTATTTATCAGAATGTCTATGAACATACTATAATTTGCATCCCACTAGTTATAATCAGCTCATCTTTGATGTGAGATATGTCATTTTTTCTTAGAACATTGTGCCCTCAAGTCACATGTATTATACTTCTGGTCCCACCACAAAGCCTTTGGAATACAGAGTGCTATTGAATTGGATTTCCATTTGGATTTCTTCCAAAGCCTTTGCTTTGAGAGCAGCATATGAAATAACAAAATTGGCATGGGCTGGTTTAACTCCATGCCTAACCGTTGTTTTCTGTTGATGATAGTGTGTGGGATAGTTGAAAATGCAATCCACAATGTTGCTTTTCTATGCAGACAAATTACATTATATATAATTTAGCATTTATCTTCAGTTATATTCTGAAGCTTCACACATTTCAGTAAACATCTCTCTTATAGCTTATGATAGATAATTGATAACAATAGAGGACTGAAAATAAAGAAGCAGAAATGATTGTACTCATTTACTCGCTAGCACACAATAGCCAACCTTGGATTTTTCTCCTTCATAGTTTTCTGGCAAAGGCGGTAATGTGAGATAACAGTTTGTTCAAAAGCATTCAAATAGAAATAAGATAAATGTGTTCAAGAAAAGAGAGAAGACAAGCATGGAGGCAACATGGTAACCATGTAGGGGGGCACTCAGAGTAGGAGAAGTGGTGTCAAAGGAGGCAAGACCAAAATCAAGTAAAGTTTAGAGGCATATACAAAAATTTGTATTGCGTTTTAAGTGTGTATCTAAAGTACTGGAGAAATTTGAGCAGGGGTGGTATACAATAATGATTTACATTTTTTTATATCACCCTGCATGGAAGATAAGACCATAGTGGGAGAAACTCGATACATGTATTAGTTAAGTGTCTATTGAACTATTTTGGTTTGTAGAATAGTGAAAGAGAAAATAGCATTCAGAAATATGACTAGTATAGATTATAAATCATATGGTTAATTGTATTTATATCATTAGTAATTCTGATAACTCATATTTCTGGTATGATATTTTCCTCTAAGTATCCTAAATAGCAGTTTGGAGTATACTTAGCAAGAGTATTTTTTAAAAATACATGAGCCCAAGATAGATAAAGGCATATGTATTTTTATATCTATGAGTTTTTAAAAAGTTAATGGAAGAATTGGATTGAGTAGGCAAAAACTTGAAAGTTTAACCGTGCATTGTACTCAGAACATCTTTTTCTAAGTTTAAGCAAGAATTTAGCATTTACTAAATTTTATGAGGTTTGCTATTCTATTCTAAGAAAGCTGTTATGATATTAGAGTAATAACCCTGAACTAGGTGCTAAGAACCTGATTTCTAATCGAAGAGCTGCTATTAAATGTTTGATTTGAAGGACCTAGTGTTCATTCAGGATATTTTTAACTCAAATATTCTATGATAATCATTGTAACTTTAAACGATACAGATAGAACTAAGGAGCATAATTAACTGTATTATCCAATGTTATTGAGAATAATTGTTAGCCATTACTAAAGTGTAATACATATATTACATATATTTATATTTTACATATATTTATATATAAACGTATACTAATATTTTGTATAAAATACAGAAGATAATATGTATAATATAAAGTATATAAATATTTTTATATAATATTCATATATAAAAATATATAAACAGATATATTAATATAAATTTATGTACATATATAAAAGATATGGGATCTTGCTATGTTGCCCAGGCTGCTGGCCTCTAACTTCTGGACTCAAACAATTCTCCCATTTCAGCCTCCTGAGTAGATGGGGTTATGGGCACGTAAAATGTTGGTACAATGTGAACTTTTAAAAATCTTTTTGAATTTCCACTTTTGGGAAGAGGGAGTAAACATACTTTACCTTATGCCTTCCACTAAGTATAACTAATAGCTCTGGCCAGTATATAGAAAACAAGCATAAGAAGACTCTAAAAGTTTAGAAAAAAGGCAGACCAAGTAGGGAACTTGGGACCCAAGGAAAGAGGATGCTGAGTTCTTTGTGGTTTTTTTGTTCGTTTGTTTCGTATATGCCAGCTTAAGAAGCTGGCAATCCACAAATGGCAATGGGTACAAACAACAAAAAAAAAGGTTCTAACAAAACTCTGCTCTCTGTAGTCAAAGGGCTAGTAAAGAAGCAGCTTAGCAAGATAGAAAACTTTTATATAATAATCAATATAATTGGCAAAAATTCACCAAGCCATTTTAACTAATAAAGAACAAACACACACAAACTTGTGCGTGTGTGTGTGTGTGTATATGTGCTTATAGACCCATGTATTCAGAGCCTCCAAAATCTGCAATGGATGAAATGTCCATACAATTAAATAATCAAATTGTAGTTAATTTTAAATCTGCAACATGGCTGTATCATAGAGGAAATCAACTGATCAAGGCACATCATTGTTTTAAATGTTCCTGCTGCTACTTGTATTATATTTGGTCATTCTTGCATTGCTATAAAGAAATACCTGAGACTAGGTAATTTATAAAGAAAAGAGGTTGAATCGGCTCACAGTTCCCCAGGTGGTACAGGAAGCATGGTTCCAGCAACTGCTTGACTTCTCGGGAGGCCTCAGGAGCTTTTACTCATGGTGGAATGCGAAGCAGGAGCAGGCACATGACATGGCAAAAAAGGGGAGCAAGAGATCAGGGGAGGAGGTGCCACACATTAAAAAAAAAAAAAAAACGGATATCCTGAGAACTCACTCACTGTCAGGAGGAAAGCACTAAACCATGAAGGATCATCCTCCGTAATCCAAATACTTCCAACCAGGCCCCACTTCCAACACTAGAAATTAAAATTCAACATGAGATTAGGCAGCGACATATATTCAAACTATATCATCACTATTCCCAATTCAAATTAAATGTTAGTAATAGTTTATCTGATTATGGATCAGGTACTCATTTTCCTCTTGCAAGACATTTAAAAACAGCAACAGTAGCCTAACCATCTCAAACTTTCAGAAATATAGATGTAGTAAATTTCAAATAAAGCATAAACCTAGATTACAGCTATTTATAGAAAAAACTAAATATTATAGATCGTTAGAATAGACATACAAAAACATACTAAATATTTTAATGTTGCAGTTTTAAAGGATTCTAACTGACATTTTACAAATACATCTATTTATAATTGTCATACCTTAATGGGACAATGAAATTAAAACCCCTTATTTACAAAAATCCTCCTCTTCCCAAAATGGGCTTCCTAAATATGTGGTCTAATTTTGTTGTGAAATTAGATTATATGTTATAGTACCAACCTTTAATCTTGTACAATTAAATATACAATTAAAATGGAAGTTTTTATTCATTTACTAAAATCATGTTATACAATAGTTTTTAGTTTATGCAAGCAGTTCTTCATTTCAGAAGGAAAAAATAAAATGGCAGAAGTCTAAAATTCAAATAATTATTAAATAATTATTGGGTAAGTAAATCTTAAAGTTCAAAAGGTTTTATATCTCTCATTTTCTTTGTTGCCCTTCACAGAGCTTTGTGGAGGCATCTTTCACTGGTCTTCTGGAGTTACATTTAATTCCTTCTCCTAAATAATATATTTCTGTAGGAATGTCTTTTCTAGGTTGTGTTATTTTGGTTGTTTACTGTTGCTTCTGTTTTTATTTTCTATGAGAGAGAGAGAGAGAGAAGAGAAGTAAAAGAGGGAATGATTCAGGTCCAAATAGAAAATATTACCCAGTATAAAAAATTATAAATCTGTTATTTAAGTTCAAAAGACCTTTTTAACCCCTATCTTCACTAAGTTGGGGAAAATTTTTATCCATTTTACAGATAAGGCCGTAGAGGCAAAAAGAGTTAAAGTGTTTTCTAAGAACACTGCATGGCACATTATAAAGACTTAAATAATAATAGAATGAATGTTTGAATGACTAATACTAATAAGTGATAAGTGGGGAATATAATCTAGGCTTCTCTCTGTTAATGATTACACTGCCACTAACTACATTGCTGATCACATTAAATATAAAAAATCTCATGAAGCTATTAAATTCTACTTTGTTTCAAGGATTGACATTTCTTAGAAAATATTTATTTATTTTTTTCTCTTTCTCCAAACCATGTGCTATTTAATGACTGAGAAAGAAAAAAGTCATAATCTTTTGGACTTTGGGAAATAGTACATAATTCACTTAAGGTACTGTATTTAGTCTCTTAAACATATGATACTTAATCCAGACCTTTCCTTTAAATGTCATATTTGCCTTCTTCTAGAACTTATATATTTTTCAAACAAATGAGATGTTTTCTATTCCTACACCTTGCTATATCCACTTACATGAGCTTCTCAGTTTACAATCATCTTAGTCTTATAAAACTTTATTTTTGTTGGTTAACATATACATTTTACACTTAGGAACAGGTGTAAACTCTGACATCTGGAACATCCATCAGAAAAGAATGTCCCTGAGGCACCTACACGAGAGGATATCAATACACATTCAAACAATGACATTTCAGACAGATAAATGCCCTTATATCAGGGCACCAAATAAGAAAAATAGGAAGCATGAGCAGAGAGCACATGACATAAAATGAAATACATATGTAGAGATTGACCATCATTTGCAGGGGTTAGGGCCTGATTCCATGGTGAAACTAAAGTCCATTTTAAAATGGGAGATTTAACATTTAACAGCTAAGCACATAAAAAGGAATTCATAACAGAAAAACCTACATCAATTGAAGTGACCTTTCTCAGAGATATCTTTTACAGATTTTCCTTCTGGCTGTTTCTTTTCTTCCTTGTCCTACCGTAGACCTTTTTCAATAGGGACCTTTTTCTTTTCTTCCCTCATGTATACTCTTATTTTACCCTCCTTAGTCTTATGAATCAGCTTCCACTGGAGAAGATTTTGAGATGATATTTCTGTCCTGGTGTGTGAATACTTTGGAACTTCCAGAATCCACCATACTGTATGAGACTTTTTCTCTCAGGAAATTGGCTCATATTATTGTAGTAGGGAAAACAAACAAACATGAAATCCTGCCACAGTTGATGCACATGAAATTCCTCAAAAAATTTTTTTGTCATGTTTTCTTTATTTTATCCCATCCATGTAGAAGTCTAAGGGATGCCTTTTGCTAACTCTAATTCATAAGTCCAAAATCAGAGCATAAGAAGAAAGTTACAAATTTGATATGGGAATAATTATATGAATGATAAAAGGAGTATTATTATTATAATAAATTAGATTAATATCCACTGAAGAATGAATTCAATAAATATCATAAAAATACAAAATCATCATCCTTTTGTTTTCTTAATCAGAATCTTTGTTTGCATGGCAACTAATATAGTTCCACAGAGGAAAATTTTGAGAATTTATAAAATTGATCTAAATATCTAAATCTTAAGGTTCATTTTACTATCATAAGCTTAAAGGACACAGCTTTTCAAAAAAGATAAAAGAAAATATTGTTCTTGGGAAATGCAATGACCAGGGCTTCTGGAATCTCACCCCCACACCCTAAGTTGCCTCATTTAAATATGCACTCTTACTAAGCCAACATCACAATGTGTATGTAATCTCCACGGAATATGTGAAAATGACAAGGCATCACTCATATGTAATGGCATTGAAAATATGTAAGAATGACCAGCATGGACATATGCCATTACTTAATTGTTACACACAAGGCTTAGGAGTAACTGAGCCTAACAAATCTGACTCTTAAGGCTTATTATGGTGAAAAAAAGGAATTTCTTAGAGAAGTGCTTTTTAAGTAGATTATTGTTACAAGTCAAAATGATGCGACTGGTGCTTCAATCTCCTGAGAGTTTTTGACAATGGCCAGTGTGGTTACTTCTGGCAATAGAACTCTAGGAAACTCAATCAGTGACCTTGGCACTATGCCATCCAAAATGATATTAAGAGGTAATGCTCGTATTGTTCCTCTATTAGAAAGTTCAGCTGGTTCCAAATATACGTCATGGCACATCAGGGATAATTCCAAGAACAAAATTAACTTGGATTCAATTCACTGACTACTATATATAAAATAATGGAGACAGTCTGTTCTCAAATGGAATATTATTATTGGAATATATGTACATGTATGGTGAAGAGATCTTAGCTTGAGAGACTGTGTTGAATTCATCCTAGGATTCAGATACATTTGAGCAAATTTAATGAGTTTGTTCAAGTTGGTCTGGTTGCATAAAGTGCTAATTAACTTACTAGGAAAGAACAAATCTCTTGGAAAAAAGAGCTAAGTGCACACAAACTTGCTTTAAGTTTCAAAAAAATATGAAAATTTTTGACTATGGATCAGATGTTAGCTGTTTCACCCCTTAAAGACAGGTAGTAGAGAATTGAGTAGAGAATAAAGTAGAGCTGGTTCCCTAAAATCTCTGTAAAACATGAAAAAATATAAGCAATCATAGCCTATGTAGCAGAATGTAGTACTTTCCATAATTTTGATAATTATTGACCTCTGTGGTCACATTACTGAAGTAGCAAACCAATCCAGCCTCTGTGTACAATGAAGAAAAAAAAATAACTATATAAGAGCTGAAACATCAGAGCATTAGAAGAAAGACATATCCTCACAATCGCTGGAGTAGGAGAAAAGATAAATGGAGGACTACTTGTGTTATCCAAGAAGAGTATGCAAGAGGAAATCGTACTCTCTGCTTATCAGTTGAATAAATGCTTTCAGCGATCCCCATGGGGACAGCTTGAAGTCTGTTGGAGAAATCTGAGAGATGTCAAAACTTCTGAAATCTTATGGATAGTGGCAACACCAGAAAAATACTATTTTATTACTCTGGAGTCATTATATTTACTCCTAGACTAGTTTATTTTGGAAATTTGGGTAACAAATATCTATTGTTTGGGAATTTCTTCTTCAGATTATTCTCATAATGATTTCATCTTGGAAATGGCTGAAGTAAAAATCAGTCTGAATAAGGTTTTGATAGAACTCTCTATTTTGAACAAATGACCTAGATAATTTTGCACCATCAGCTGGCTGGAAGTACAAGTCTGCTTTCAAGATTAATTAAATTTTGTCTCTTTAATCGATATATAATAAATGAGTCAATAATGATTAAGTCTTGCCTGGACGTATGATCTTACACAAACGAACAAAGAAGTGTGCCTGCATCCAGTGCCCTGAGTGGCAGAATCAGGAGGGAGGTGAAGTAAAATGCTGTCTCAGTCAGAACATGAGGCACCTCATGCTTATCATATGATGCAGTAAGACAGGGTGTGAAACCTTTGACTTTTCTTCTTGCACAAGCAGTGACGTCATGGGCCCGGGTGTAGATCAAGATCAAGATTACACATTAGCTGATACCATATATTTTACCATTCACTTCCATTGTGAGGTAAAAATGCTTTTATCAGAGTTGGGAGAATGGGAATCAAGGAAGCAGTAAAAGGGAAGAGATGGATGTCTTATGCCATTTGCTTCTTTGCCTTCTTAGGTGCCACAGTTGGGTTTTGTTTCTTTCTTTCTCTTCATTTTTTTAGCCTGTCTGTTTCTAAATACACAAATGAAGTGGCAAACATTGGTAACTTAGGGAGAATCAATAATTGCTAAAATTCTTCTAACTCAAAAGAAGTCACTTAAAATATATATTTAATATGCTCTCTCTCTCTCTCTCTCTCTCACACACACACACACACACACACACATATTTTCACATTAAATTTACCTAAAGACAAAAGCAGAAATACATACAGATACCTTTATTCCCTATTTTGGTATCTTTGTATTTTGTTTTTCTATCCTATTCTTCAGAAGAAAAAAACTATTATGCATAACCTTGTCACCAGACCTGGAACCATATTAAAAGCTTCCCCTTTCAACCAAGTTTTCTCTTATTAGGTAAATACCATGGACTCATGCTTATGTTTAGGAAAAAAATATTGTGTTATTTGTGTAATTAAAACGACCCAACATTTTGGTATCTGGTAATGCTTCTCTTACATGGCAATGTGTCCGGTGTCTGTGACAGGATGTTCTCAGTAGAAATGACTGCAGGGGAAATGAAAACAAATCAAAGTCTTAGAACTTGAGTTTTTGGTTTTTCTAAAATAAATGTTTTCCTCCTCACAGAAATGGGAAGTCAAATACCTAATTTATATGCTTCATTTAAGCATTAAATAGGAAAAAATGGCCAAACGTGATTGAACATTATGCTAGCTGCACCAAGATCAGAGACCAATACTCAGTACAGGCCCTTTTGCCTCGTTCTGTTTCATGGTGAAGAACTAACCCTCCAATATGACCATTAGCCATCTTCAGATGAATACTTTTAAACAAGTTGTTAATGATTGAGTAAAAGCCATCCCAATTACAGGAAAAGTGCCTCACCAGTACAGCTACTTCAATTAATAAATTAAATTATTTCATTTTCTAAATGAAAAACACCGTGTTTTAAGCAGAGCCCTAAGGGACCATCAGTATTTTTTATATATCTAATTGCTGTGTTACGGCTATGCTTTCATAATGTTTTGTAACTTTCTAATCCATTGTCCGTCAATAAAATTATTTTGCCCTTAACATTGAAAGCATGTTTACTTCAAACACCATCCTTCCCCTCCCACGTACCAACAAAAAGGGGGCGGGATTAAAAAACAAAACAAAACAAAACCTTTTGACTATAGAAAAGAAGAAAGCATTTATAAACAGCAAAGCTTAGGAGACAAAATTAAAATGATTTTAATTTGTTAACTCGACGGAAAGAATAGGTCACCTTTTAAATGTGTATTCTGAGAACTGAGTTTTCTCAGGCATCTTTTAAGTGAGTAAAGGGAGAGATAATTGAGATTGGGAAATATAATATGCTAAGAAGTGCTCATGTAAGGAATACACTGCCCCTGAGATCTCAAAAGTCTTTCAAAGACTGAAATATCATGGGAAATACATGATAGTTGAATTCAGTCAGTTTTATTCCCAGTGTGAAATAATTGTGATTAAATATAGTCATAATATCTCTTAATAAAGTTTTAACTTTTCCTATAGCATATAAGTTTAAAGTTAATCTGAAATGAATTCTTCACCTTGGAAAAAGATGAATTCGTTTGTCATAAAAGATAATTTTATTTGCCAACAACAATGCAAACATTTTACCTCCTACAGAAAGCAAGACCATCAGGAAATATGCTTATTTACTTTTCAATTTTGATTAAGTTCATACAAGTGCATTGGGGGAAAATTGATTTTTGTTTCCCTTTCGTTAAACTGATGATCTTCTGTATCTTCTACACAAAGATCAAATGTGTGACTTTTCTTACATGTAAAAAACATCTGTGGTAGCACTCCCTTAAGTATGTTTTGCACAATGAAACAACAAAAAAATGGTTCTTCATATTACTTTCATAATATTCTATATGTACCAACAATTGATACTGATAGTAAAAATGAGAAAAAGCAATATGGGAAAATTCTAAATTAACAACTTTTAATGGTTAGAAACTATATTTTTAGCTCATCATTGTAAATTCATACATTATTTTCATATTTATATATGAATATATGTACTTTTTATAAACAAAAATAATGGAAAATGCAAAACCTCTTCAGTCTGTGTCAATCCCAGATTACTACCCTAACAAAATGTTACACAGCAATAAATCCAGAGAAAGAATTCTAGCGAACTATGTACATGTATCCAGCATACAAACAGACTTCCTCTTTGGCAGGAATAACAACATGGGTTGGAAGCAGGGCTCTGTGGCCCATTACAAAAGACTGAGTGAGGAAGTTGTTATATCTCCAGAAGGTAGAGTAAGAGGATGTGACAGCAGCTAATCAGACATTCCATTCCAGAGTTTCAAACTTAGAGAGTATGAGAAAAAAGAGGATCCAGTTGAGCTTATTTCTGGCAGATACGTGGAGTAGTTAGCACAACAGTTAATGTCAGAGATCGCAGAGGGTCCCAAATTATGGTGTATCTTAAGTTGACAAGTTTCAGGGTCTTGGCTTTTCTGCCTAAGCCTGGTTTTCCAAGACTTCCTTTCTATACCATGATGTGCCCTTCCAGGAAATCCCTTTTGTGTTTAGTTAGCCAAAGTGATTTCCATCATTTACGCCCAAGAATCCCACTCATACCATACCTCACCCATGATAGCTTAGGCATGACATGGATAAATACATGGCTTAAGTAAGGTATGTGTTTAGAATTAGCATTCACTAAAGAGGAAATGTAGTTAACTTTACTTGTATAAACACACCTGATATTTAGTTTGAAACTTCAGATTGTTAGTATTTGATTATTTTTGACACTCACTGGCAATTTCATAATTTTTAGACTAATAATGAGAATATCTCATTGAGCTGAACAAACCATTCTATGGCATGCTTTCTTTTTAGGGATCATAGAATGGGGTTTTTGTTATTTTTATCCTAATTTTTTATCTCCCAGGAGCTACTGAATTTCTATGATTACCTATAAAGTATCAGAATCTTAACTGGGGCTCCAGATGGATGCTTTCATGATTATAAAGGAAATAAACTTTGACTATGATTTATTTAGACAGAAGTGGGAAGTGGTTCATTTTGAAAAGAATTATGCATGCATATATAATTCACATACAAAACACATTTTTCTGTGAGGTCACAGATTTCAGGATGTAGTCTTAACTAGCATATCTCTCTTTAAAGAAACTACTGGAAATATCTGAAATAAAAAATAGAATAAGACTCACTTTCCAACCAATTCAGAACAAAATGCCTAGAAAGTAATTACTTGTAATAGTCAAGGTCAATAAAGCTAATATTTATTATGCCTCTCCTATGACCTAGGCAACA
Source organism: Homo sapiens (assembly GCF_000001405.40). NCBI lineage: Eukaryota > Metazoa > Chordata > Mammalia > Primates > Hominidae > Homo > Homo sapiens. The sequence continues at coordinate 146,900,442 of NC_000003.12, forward strand.
TGTTATGTTCTTTATATGCATTATCTTACTTGATATTTATGGCAAACCTATCAGAAACATATTACCATTGTGTGCATTTAACAAATGAAAGATTAAACCTTAGATAGGTCAGAAAATCTATTAAACATCACAGGGTAAAAAGTGGCATGGCTAGTACAGTAACCTAGATCTGTCTGACTCTAAACCCCATAATTACAAACCCGTAATTACCCCCAATTTAGCTGGATACCTGGATATTACTGCTAATTACCAGATAAAGAGCAACTATATGAAACACCTTAGGTGCCCAACAGAATAGATATACTTTGATCTTCTTTTAATCCTTGGACATTGATGGTTCAGTCTATCAGTAAAGCTATTGTTTTATCCTAGGGCTCTCCATTTTCTTCCACACTATGAATTTTTTCCTTTTTCGGGAGTCAGACGTTGCCTATCTCAGTCTTCTGGAAACTGACCATGACAATTCAGCTGTGCTACATTGCCAGCCAACCTGCTAAATGTGGGCAATACTGCCTGTGCATTTATCCCTATTGTTAATGTGTAGGTGTCACACGTGAGAGAAGGAGGGAGGGGAAAGGGGAATAAAGAGAGGTATTTTATATAATGTAGATATGTATTTCCTTTTCCAAGTAGAGGGTAATATGTCAATTGCTTTGTAGTTCCTAAGCCTCTGCTTTCATCCCTCCAGTCTACACAGCCCAACACAATACCAAAACATTCCATTTAGGCTTTCATAACCAAACCAATACTGGCCACCTTGAAACAAATAAACCTGTTCGTGACCAGGTTACTTTTGTTGCCTTCTAGCCTAGGTTACGGGTGGCCTCTAGAGAGTTTAACAATGTGTAGCTCAGGCAAGGTCAAGGGAAAATATGATAACTTGAGTAGCTTTCTCTTTACACAGTCGTTATGCCAACTGCTAGGAGAATTGGCATTCTCAGTATCCATCCATATTCCCAACTTTGAAATTCACATTCATATCCACAAGACAGTAGACATTTGTCCTGAAAGTCTTTTTTTTTTTTTTTTTTTTTTTTTTAGATGATGGAGTCTAGCTCTGTCGCCAGGCTGGAGTGCAGTGGCACAATCTTGGCTCACTGCAGCCTCCGCCTCCTGGATTCAAGCAATTCTCCTGCCTCAGCCTCCTGAGTAGGTGGGACTACAGGCATGTGCCACCACACCCGGCTAAATTTTTTTGCATTTTTTAGTAGAGATGGTGTTTCATCATGTTGGCCAGGATGGTCTTGATCTCCTGATCTCATGATCCGCCTGCCTCAGCCTCCCAAAGTGCTGGGATTACAGGCGTGAGCCACAGCGCCAGGCCTGTCCTGAAAATTTTTACATCTGTCTGTTAGATTAATTTCTCTCAAAAGGATTTTAACCAACATATTTTATGGATATAGACAGACAAAATTTGTTATCTTTATTATATAAAGAAAATCATTGGTAACTAAACTATAGTGAGAATGCAATTGCTTCCACGATAACCTATGTTCTTTTGGAAATTCCAAACCTGTGTAAGCTCTTTGATGGAGCAGGAAAAAATAATGGAGAAGCATAGAGGAAGAATGATGCAATGTACCATTAAATTACTATTTCTTCCTATCATTCACTTGACTATCACAATATGATACAAGCTCTGAAAAAAATTTAAGAGAGGTTTCCAAGATACAGAATAATAATCTACTCTGATGCAAATTAAGTAATATCATTCATTAGCTGCTGAAAGCATCTCCAAAAATAAAAACATTCTCTTGTAGGATGATTGTTTTGGTATTATCTTAATTTCCTTCTTTGAGTATGAGAAGAATTGAGGGTGAATAATAATGAAAGCATACTGTGCACGATTCAAGTGGCGCTTAGAACCTTATTCTACTTCTTGTGCCATCAGAAAGTCAATTTCACATAATATTTTTTTACTCCCACTTGCAACATAAACCTTCTACATTTTAAGTCATGCTTAGCATGTTTTTCTTCTGTGTGTGTCTGCATGCACATGTGTCTGTCTGTACCTGAATATGTCTGTTTGTGTGTGTATTTGTGTGTGTGAGAGAGAGAAAAAGAGAAAGAATATGCTAAGAAGATAGAAAAAGGAAGCTTGTTTTGCTTTTATATTTCAGCAGTCTTTATTCTAAAAGAATTCTCCTAGATTTAGGGGAGAAAAGATATGCCAGGAAAGAAATTTATTTCTTCATTCAACAAATATTCACTGAATGCCTAGAACATGTCAGGTACTTGGGATGATATGTAAGGTTTTTTTAAAAAAGTTAAAAATAAATCTTTGCCCTCGTTAAACTTACATTCTTGTGTGTGAGACAATGAATAATAAACAGTAAAAGTATAGTATTCTTTAAATATATGTCATATTGAGAAAAAAAGTAAGGAAAATAGAATCTATAGTGCTGGGAGAGGGCGCAGGTAGTAAGGATAGGCTTAGTTAAGAAGGTAACATTGAGAGAACACTTAATAGAGGTGAGTGGGTTAGCCTTGTAGATGTTGTAGGGGAAGAGAGCTTGAGGCAGAAGGAATGGGTAGAACAAATTTTCTGAAGTGAAAGAAAGCATGGCACATGCGAGAAAAAAGAAAAAAAATACAGCAAGAAGGTCAGGATGGTGGATTGAAAGTAAACTTTCAGGAATTCAGGTCAAAGAGATACTAATATGAGTGAAGCAAATTTTGTAATCTATTATAATAAATTTATATTTTCTTTTGAATGGAGGAGAATCATTGGCAGATTCTGAGCAAAGGTGTTATAGGACCTCTCACTAATATTTTTAAAGTAGCATTCTGCAGTATTTGGAATAATGATAGAAGGATGGTCTATCTGGGACACAATTACAGTAAATCAGGTGAAAGATAATGGAGGCTTGGACCATGGTGATAGCAGAGGTTGTGATAAAAATTGATGTGGTCCTAGAAATATTTTGAAGACAGAAAAAAAATAGATTTCCCTGATGGTATAAAATATGAATGAAAAAGAAGTTTTGGAGAGGGATCTAAGGTTATGAAAGGGTGGTTTCCATCAACTGAGATCAGAAAGATTGTAGGATGGAAACACTTGTGAGAAGAAAGTTCAAAAGTTCATTTTTTGTAGACAGCAAGTTTGAAATGTCTATTACACATCCAAGTGGACATGTTCAGTGGGCAACTGGACATGTGAATCTGGAGGAGGATTATGGCTGGATTAGATCACAGAGGGAGTGTGTGTAGATAGATGAAAGATGAGTATGAATTACTAAGTTTTGGGGGCAATATCAAGAGGTAGGAAAGAAGAGAATGAACCAATGTCCGATAAGGAAAATAGAATCTATTCTAGTGTTTTTGAATAGAAAGATAACATGAGAAATGATTTTACATGTTTTTGTGAGAGGGCAGAAAAATGAAAAAAGAGGAAGGTCCTGTTTCCTAAAGATTAGTTACTACAGAAAGATATTAAGGTCTCCACAATAGCAAAATATCAAAAGCTTGTCTAAGCCCACAATGTTCTCTGTAGTTGCTTCACAAGTCTCTGTTGTTTGAAGGATATTGCCTCTTAAAGAGTCCAAATTCACAATAGCAATGGATCTCTGCCAGATCCCCAGAGCTATTAAAATAGCCTGCAATAACCTTCAGTGGCCCAGAATCATCCAATGTTACCACTAACTCGGCTACATTTGGAACCCTGGCACAAATGCTGGAACCACCTGTACTTTTGCAGGAATTTATGGTCGCTCAGTGAGTGCTGCCAGAAGGGAATGGTGTTAAATCACTGACAGCCTTCCCATCTTTCACAAGTGTCCCTATTGATAGAAGGTAACCAGAACCCAGCTGGCAAGAGAGTATTTTAACGCTAGCTTTGTACAAAGGACAGTATAGAAGACAGGGATATAAGCAGGCTCAAGTGCCAATGAATAATGTCTAGTAATTTCCAATATTTATTATTCAGTATCCATATGCTCTCTTACTATATTTAAACTTCTAAATAGTGACAATAATGCAAAATAATATTTCTACTGTCATGATGCAACTATCTCACATATAAATGATGATATTTTCATTCTTTCCCCTAAAAATAGAAGAAAAATCTTATCACTCACTGTAACCATTTTTGTGGATGTTAATTTGATGTTAATTGCTCTTCTAGTTCAGTCACAGTTTTATTCACTATATTTATTATTTAAAATAATTAGAAAAAAGGTAGGTAAAAAGAACAGAATGGTGTGTATGTGTGTGTGTGTGTGTAAAATTACAAAATAGGCAACAAAACGTATGCATAGCTGGTTGCATCCTAGTTTCTGTAATTGATCACAGACAGTATTTTCCATTTATGATTTCCTTTCTCCACTATCCATTCTGTGGTTCTTTTAGCCTAAGCTAGCCAGAATTTTCCCCAGTAAGATAGCTTAAAACCTAAACCTTTGTTTCTCAATGTCTAATTTCTAAGTAATACTACCCTTTATTGGTTTACATACAGTCTTCTAAATATTAAAATAAAGGAGATCACAAATAATCTCTTGGGGTCTATACAAAGAGCTCTCTCTCTCCCTCATAATAACGGATATCTGTCATGACAGAGCAGAGCACCCTTTTCTTTGCCTGTTGGCAGGAGAAACCTTAAACAGCCAAGTGGCTATCACAACTTTCAATTCCCAAAATCACTTTTAGTCCTTTATTGAAATGATTTCTCTATTTTAAATGAAGACTTTTAAACTAGCAGAACCCAAGAGTTTCAGGACAGAAAGCAAAAGATAAAAAAAAAAAAACTTAAAGGAAATATTAACTTTACGAGAGAGAAGACATTTTTACTTCTATCTTTCAATTCTTGGACCTATATACACGAGCTATGGATGTCTGTTGGTTCAAAGCATGCCCTGAATTTTGTATGACAGTGCCTAAATTTTCAAGATTTTGACTTTCAGCTCTCAGCAAGTAATTCTACTGTTTTATTGCTCTGTAAGGACACCTGACTTTGGTAGAGTACATTTTAAGAGGAGTAAATATCATAGGTATGAGAAGATTGCTGCATGACTCTTTTCACTAAATGAGTTCCTTAGTCAGAAACATTATGTGAAACATCATGGTAGAGAATAAGGTCTTTAGTAAGTTCATGGATGTCAGTGCTAGCAAAACTAAAGCAAAGAGGAAAAGAAAAGATTTAAATAGAATAAATATCCATTCCAGTGAGGATAAATTGCTGTCCTCTTCATGATGAAACTGTCCAGTGAAGCCACTTTGCTACCAGATGGACAGATAATCCCCTGTAATTCAGAGGTCAGGTTTGGAATTTAGCTTTAGTTTTTGCTAGTGGCAAGTTGGGCACTTCTTAGTGGCAATTGTCAGAGAAGTCTCATTGAATACGGATAGGTGTTGCTGAGCTCATTCATAATCTCTTTTTTATGCAGCCATGGTCATTCTGTACTGAATCCATTGGGCAAATGCAGAGGTATTGGGGAAAGAAAGGTCAACTAACGTGTATAGAGAGAATCATTGTCTCTCTCTTAATGATTTTCTCTGTAACAGGTGTTCTTTTGCAAATGAAATTATGAGATGCAAATATCTTTGCTTTTTTTCAACAGGCTTATTTTTCTAGTCTGTTTGGGCTGCTATAACAAAGATATCAAAAACTAGGCATTTTATAAATAGCATAAATTTATTTCTCACAGTTCTGGAAGCTGGGAAGTCCAAGATCAAGGTGCCAATGGTATCACACTTCCTTGTGGGCAGTGCCTTCTAGCTGTTTCCTCACCTGGTGGAAGGGACTGTCTGGGTCTCCAGAGTTTTTCTTATGAGGGCACCAATCCCATTCCTGAGAGTTCCAACCTCATAACCTAATTGTCTCTCAAAGGCTCCACCTTCTACTACCATTACATTGGAAGTTAGAATTTCAACACATCAATTTTGGGGGCATACAAACATTCAGATCATAGTATTTATCCACGTGCTTTGTCCTCTATCACTAAACTTTTTGTATTTTTTTAAGTTCCATCATATCCATCCAAATAAGAAAAATGAAAAAGAAGGCAGTTTAGAAGAATATGCGTTATTTATTCCCCAAATATTTATTGATTACCTATGCTTAGTACTCTACTACATGCTTGGTGATATAATGTTGAGCAAAACAACAAGGTAATCCAAAAGTGAATAATGCTGAGCAAAATAAACACTGGTCTAAAGGAGTTTACAGTTTAGGAGGGTATACACTAGTTAAATAATTGCACAAACATATGATTTAAATTCTTATAAGTCCTATGAAGAAAAAGAGCATGGAGTTAAGGAGGCACACAGAAGATCTGGTACAGAGGATCAGGGATGATTTCCCCTAAAGTGATATTTGAGCTGAGATATAGAGCTGTACTCTACAGCAATTAATTAAACAAAAAATTTGGAGGAAGGAAGAAATATCTTTCTAGAGAGAGAGAAAGCATACATGTAAGTCCTGATGTATTTTAAGCATCTGAGATAAGGCCAGTGTAACTAGAGGGCATGGTCTCAGGGGAAGAGAGATTTGAGATGATGCTGCAGATGTGAGATGTGGGAACCAGCTTATGGAGTGCCTTGAAGGTTAGAGGAAGAATTGGGGTCTTCAAACACAGCAAAGGAAAGCCATCAAAGAAGCAAAAGAAATATGTCATCAGATTTAAAGAGATCACTCGGGATTCAATATAGAGCAAGTGTTCAAAAGGGGTAATAGAGAAAAATGGAGACCATCAGTGGTTGAAATATCACCATTAGTAAAATAATTTTGCCATATTTTAAGCTAAATGGGCTCTGGGGTATTGGCTTTAGAAGCAAATTGCCACTTAAATTGAATATATAGAAGAATCCATTCTTTACATACCTCACAACTCAAGTATATAGACACCTCTGTTACTCAAATGGTAGTCATTGGTCAATATAGCTCTTCTCAACCCATTCATTATCTGCATGGTGGGGAAATCTGCACAAACACCCGTGGTAAGGGAATCACCACTTCTAAGGCAATGGCAGTGAGGAACTCTGTGGTCCTATGTGGAGACAGGGTAGCTGAGAAAGGCATGGACTTTGGAGGAAAGGAACTTGGTTTAGAAATCAGATTTCTCCCTTATTACCCATGTGCCTTTCCGTAAATTGTTCATCTCTTCAAGCCTCGAACTTCCTAACTTGAAATATTTGGTTTACCAGCTGGGTGCCGTGGCTCATGCCTGTAATCCCAGCACTTTGGGAGGCCGAGGTGGGCAGATCACGAGGTCAGGAGTTCAAGACCAGCCTGGCCAAGATGGTGAAACCCTGTCTCTACTAAAAATACAAAAATTAGCTGGGCATGTTGGCGGGTGCCTGTAATCCCAGCTACTCGGTAGGCTGAGACAGAGAATTGCTTGAACCTGGGAGGCAGAGGTTGCAGTGAGCCAAGATTGTGCCACTGCACTCCAGCCTGGGCGACAGAGTGAGTCTCTGCCAAAAAAAAAAAAAAAAAAAGAAAGAGAGAGAGAGATAGAGAGGGAGGGAGGAAGGAAGGAAAAGGAAAGAAAGAAAGAAAGAAAGAAAGAAAGAAAGAAAGAAAGAAAGAAAGAAAGAAAGAAAGAAAGAAAGAAGAAGGAAGGAAGGAAAGAAAGAAAAAGAAAGAAAGAAAGAAGGAAAGAAAGAAAGAAAGAAAGAAAGAAAGAAAGAAAAGAAAAGAAAAGAAAAGAATAGGAAATAAATATTTGGCTTACCATGTATATAATAACATCTAGTGCAAACAGTTACCACAATGATTAATAGGAGATACTGGTTACACAAGACCTAGCATACGGTGTAGTTCGTAGAAGGTAGCCCATTCATGTTCATTCCCTTTGTTAACTAATCTAAATGTTCACTGATAGTATCTTCAGGTCAGTTAATGTTACTTCCATACAACAATATCATTAATATTTATTGTATTTTTTGCCTAAAATTGTGCACCATTTTAATGCAATTCCATTAATTAAATTATATTATAAACAAAACATGGGAATCAAATTTTATTTTTCTACTTAAAGTTAAAACATCTAGGATATGGGAATTTTGCAGTAAAAACAATAAATACTGATGAATTCAAACATTCATAAAACTCAGAAGCAATTAATCTAGAAAAAATTACTTTATTACTGTTAAATTTAGAAGTCTTGAAATTATATGATTTTTCTCTCTTCCAAATAGCCAGCAATTCTCTCATTATCTTTTTTGTTAGAAAGAGGAAAAAAGAAAATAATAAGTTAGAATTTGATAGAAGTCAGACTCTATGGTAGACTTTTTTATACTTGTCTCAATATTTTTTTCTAAGCATCCCCTGTGATATATATTATTGTGGCTATTAGACTGGAGATGAAAGATGTTCAGAAGAAGAACTCTCCCGGGAGATTAGCATATGAGAAAGGATGAGAGCGATTCCATAGGCAAATGGCTTCTTTAATGTCATCAAATCCTCAACAGAACTCAACAGCAAACAGAAACTTAGTATCATAAATAGTAGATACAAACTTATTACTAATTTTTACAAAAATTACAGATTTATTGCAAAATTATTACTAGTTTTTCTTCACTATTTAGTTCTTCTTTTATATATTTATCTCAGGAGAAATTGTTCTCATGAGAAACTACTTAAAAATATTTAACTCTGGTGTCTGAATATCTGCTAGCCAAGCAGTAGAAGTAATGTATGTGATGCTTTTATGACAGGCATGTTTCCCCTGGCTGTTGTTTAAAACCACATACGACTTAGTTATTGTGTAATATACTAATAACATATTTCTTTTTTGTCCATGTAGGCCAATTTGGGAAAATGTGACATTTATCCAGATGTTTAGTCAAACACATTCTAATTAAGTTGTACAGGTTTACAAAGAAAACAAATTAAGGCAGTTTAAAGGAAAAATGTCTTGGAATTTAGTTTGAAAGACAGCTTGCCTTAATAATTTTGATGATATTCTGAGACTTGATTAATATATTTTTCTCTGAAATTTGCAAGTTTTAATGAAGACAGTAACAAGCTGGGCATGGTGGCTCAGGTCTGTAATCCCAGCACTTTGGGATGCCAAGACAAGAGAATGGCTTAAGGCTAGGAGTTTGAGACCAGACTGGGCAACATAGAGAGACCCCCATCTCTATAAAAAAATTGAAAAAATAAAATAAAATTTAAAATTAGCCGGGTGAGGGACGAGATGGTGCTCACCTGTAGTCTCAGCAACTTGGGAGGCTGAGGTGGAAGGATTGCTTGAGCCCAGGAGTTCAAGGCTGCAGGGAGCTGATTGTGCCACTGTACTCCAGCCTGGGTCACAGAGTGAAACTTTGCCTCTAAAAATAAATAAACAGCAACAGAAAGGTAAAATTTTCAAACCTTCTCCATATATGTTTACAGGAGGTATCTTCTAAACTTGAAAATGAAAGCTAGTTATAAATGTCAATTACATAAAGATTAAATTTAGAAACTGACAAGTGTAGGGTATACAAAGCAGTGAGGTGTCTTTATAAATTCTGCCTTCAGGAGTTGAAATGTGCAAGAGTCAAAAGATGGTGATTCAGGATGCTCCATGTTCAATGAGGTTTCTTTGTTCAGAAACCAGTGGTCAGAGAAATGACTGAGGTTTCAGTAGAAAACCTTTTTTTCGTCTTTAATGACAATATTAATGAGTTTGTAAGTCAGAAAAATCTTAAACACAGGTTTTCCACACTTAGCTCAACTACACATAAACATACACACACACACACACACACACAAGAATGGCTACATAACAGAATGGCCATATAACCTATTAACATATAAAACATATATAACATAAAATGGCCACATAACAACATCAGTAGGTTATTTTTTAATCAGGAACACTTTTCCTTGCCAACTTTGCTCTGAAGTAAAAGAATGATTTAGGAAAATTTACTGGAATGATTCAGGAAAGCTGTACATTTTATCATACACACAATCAAAAAGTTTAAAAGTCATTATACTCTTGCTTTGTAATTATCTGTTAGGAAATTTTCAAAGAAATATCAGAAGGAAAACAGTGTATTTTTAAAAGTCATGTAGTACAATAATTCTTTTTAGTGGATGAAATACACTATCCCAGCAAATCAATCTCTGGTTCTTGTATGGAAGATGATCTCTTTGTAGATGACACCTTAATGCTGTCCATTTTGATACACACTACGAGAAAATAGTTACCAGTAACTACTCTCTCCCCTGGCATTCTTTTGGTGGCCCAGCAGATAGACTGTGACATCACTGGTGGAAATGTTGACATAACGTAAAGATCACCTCTAGCATTGATCTGAGGTCAGGGAAGATTCTGAGAGCTACGAGACATTCTTAAAGTGCTTTATACATACTAGGACATAAAATCCATTTACAAATTTGCTTTCATTGTTCTTTTAGTCATTAATAGAATTAACTGGATTTGCACTTGTACGTAGAGTTAAAAGGAAACCTCTTAGACCAACTGGCCTTTTTAAAGCACACACATACACACACATACAAATCTGTATTTTCTTATAAGGAAAGATGCAAAATATATTGTTATATGTATTTGCTTTCTTTAAAATAGATATCATATACATTTAAACAGCTATTATCCCTATGGAAACAGCATATTCTAAATTTCCCAATGAATTTCTTTAGTGGATGAGGAGACAAATTTTAAAAGAAGGAGCAGAACATATAAGATGTCATGCATAGGTAGTGCCCTAAACTCTTACCTCTATAGAAGTACAGAATGAAATAAACAGATGAGGCAAATATAGATAAAAGAAAATTCAATGTAAATTGTCTTTGGGGGAAAAGGGATAAAAATATTGCCTCTCATAGTGGAAAATATTTGATTAAAGGATTACATACTGACATCAGGTTTCTTTTTTCTTCATCTGTCTACTCCTCCTTGGCTAGACTCTTTTCTTATTCAGAGTAACACTAACCATATTCTTCCAGGTTCAATCAAGAGTAAAACGGAATACCTTTCCCTCCAGGCTAGATCCTGGATTACTTTTTAATTACTCTGATTGGGTCATATATTTATCCATGAACCAATTATTATGGCAGGAAACGGATTAAGAGTGACATAGGTAGTGCTGCTATGAAATGAACTCTGGATATATTAGTAAAAGAAGTGGGGAATCAATGGTAGGCAACTAAATATGCAATAAATGTTCTCTTCATCAAGAACAACTCTGGCAGGGCAAATACTTATAGAATGGCCTTCCATTCTAATCAAATTATGAGTTCAAAGGGAAAAAAGTTCAAGTATGTTTAAAGAATAGATAATAGGTCAGAATAGACAGAAATCATAAAGAGTTTGACATAAAACTATAAGAAAATAAAGACCAAATTTAGAATGTGACAAAAATTTGATGAGCCAATGAGTTTGTATTTTAGTTCTGAAACCTATGAGGAATCAAAGCTGATGTTTGGGGAAAAAACTGTTACCTGCACCTAGCAAAGTACCTGGTACCTCATATGCCCTTAATGAACAATGCATCTTAAAGAAACTAACTTGGTAATAACTTGCACTGTGAATTAGAGTGGTGGGATAATATACTCAGTTAGGATACCAGTGAAATAAATCAGTAATGCAATTCAAAGAACCTATCAACTTCTTATTTATTAAGTGTTTTTAGGTACATGCTAATTGATTCAAACTGTATTGAAGTGTTTGAAGTTGGTTCAAAACTGTTGGAATAAAAAGCTGTTAAGAAAGTTCAAAATAGATACTTTCTTTTTATGTTTGGATACTGGCTCCAACTGATTCAAACTGATTGTAAATAATTCAAACCAATTAAGAGCTAAGACAAAATGTTTTATATTGAAACTGAGTAACCATAAGTATTTGGAGTCCCTTGAAGCTATTGTTTTCTTGAATATTCTTTGAGTTAAATTGGAGGTCTTTTAGAAAAGAGCATCAAAAAACCGATTGAAAATTTGAAACTTGGAGGCTACGTGCATGAAAAATTGGAACAAGCTGTGAGAACTTTGGATCCTTTTCAGTGATACTTTTACTGCAAACACTGCTGCCGTCGATAAAACCATTCCTCACCCTGGAGAGCAGTAGCCACTTGACAACAGTTTTTACTTGTATTGGAAGGCATGCAGAGAAAAATTAGTCTTGGCACTTGTCTGTGAGAGTCTGTTCTGTCTCTTTCAGTTTGAGGTTTGCAACCTACCCAATTCTTTCTCCCCAATATATAACAAGTGATACTTGATACTTTTTCTTCACTCATGCTTGAGCCACCCCCCTAAATTTGGATATCTGACGATTTACCAACTTGTTCTTTGAATGAAGCCCCTCATGGAAATGTCTCCATCCCAGCACCCCAGAGGTTGCTGAATTTCATTATTTCTGGCTTTTCCTGTCTTGTGTCTAACCACAGAGGACAAAGATTTTTTGTTTAAACCAACAGAGGCTGAGAACTTCGTCAAGAACATCCTGTAAGAACAATTAGGCAGTTTATTTTGTGTTGATAGTGTGGTTCTCACATTAAACATAATAGAGTCACATGTCAGAAACGATCTCGTAGATACATGTTGCTTATTCTTGCTAAGCCTCCATTTCCTTATCACAAAATGAAGTCAGTAGCATTCCTACTTCCTAAAATTATTGTGAGAAAAATGTGATAATGCAGTCAATGTGCTCAGCCTGATATCTTGCACATAATAATCTCAATAAATATTAGATCCAAGAAGAACGGGACCTCAGAAGAAACACTTTATACATTTGACTGATTACGTGTGGGGTGAAGGGGAGTGGTGGGAGACTCTTAGAAGATGTGGGATTTACAATAAATTTTTAATTAGTGCAAGGAATAGAGTAGTTTGCAGCTTATATTTTATGGTGCCATATTAGAAAAGAGATGGCAGAAGGTAGAAAAATCAAGTGTGACCCTGAGGAATGCTAACAGATTTGATGGCTTAGGAAAATTCTGAAAAATAATGTGCCATTTAGCACATTAGTAAATATATATCTAGAGTAGAAGCCTATAATACAGGCAAAGCAATCCACGGAAGGCCACTAAAGAATATTGGAGATTCAAAATAAACAGTTTGATAATGGGAGGATTGTCATTCAATGAATAGTGTACCAATGATGGTTGTGAAAACTTCCTAAAAGTAAAAGTTGAAAGCTAAAGAAAACAAAATCTGTTTAGGAAAGGCCTGAGGAAGAAGACATTAATATATTCCCATGCAAATCTCTAAGTGTCGTTTTAAAAACTAGGTTTATATTGTAGCAGGTATGGAAAACTCAGACAATAGAATTGAACTAATGTGAACTAATGTTTTCTCATGAATCAAAATGTAAAATATTAAAAAAAAATTTTATAACTATAAGTGAAAGTTCATTCTTTTATGGATTTTATAATCATCTCTTCTCAGCTAAAGGAAATTATCACCTATTTTAAAGCTTTTAATTAAATTAACATATGTAATTGAATTAGATTTTACACATATTGGTCTACCATACTTACTCCTATTTGCTCAGTGCTAGCCAGGTAAAAAGATTTAAGAGGAGTCTGTGAGGTGCCATCTAACCTCAAGGGCAGACCCTCAAGTAAATCTTATCCATCTCACTGCTCCAACTCTTCTCTTCCAGAGAGGACTAGCACATAGGCTATCCTAGGATAAAAGTAGATATCACACAAAATTCTTATACCTTTAATTTTCTTTCAGTTGTTTTAAAATCTATAAGCTTAGCCTAAAATTACCAGCAAATACCTTTCTGTGTGTATATAGTCTACCAGTTACTTTATTAACGTTTAATCAGAACTTTAGAGACCTCAGAGATGTGAACAGAAGGTGGAAAGAAAAATAATTTCATAGTATTGCAAACAATAATAATTATTACTAATTAAACTTCTATTCTTTTCAAGGTCCATGACATATTTATCTTATGTCAACCTCATCCAACTGTATGATGTAGATACAGATTTTACTATTTTAAACCTGCCGAAAGATAGATGTTAGTAAAACAAGGAACTAACTTTTGAACCCAGATGTTCTGTTTTTCATTTTTTAACAGTTTTCTTGAGGAATGTTTTACATATCAAAAAAATCAAGTGAATGATTCAATGGTTTTTGAATTTTACTCAAGTAAAAATTTAACAGCCATCACCATAAATCAGTTTTAGAACATTCTCTTTCCTCTAAAAAGATTACTCATGTTCATGTACATTTAGTTCTCATTTTCAACCACAGTCTCAGACGACCACTATCAACTTTCTCTCTTGACAGATTTGCCTTTTCGGGACATTTCATATGAATGCACTCTTATGCTATGTGGCCTCCTGTGTCTGACTTCTTTCATTTAATGTAATGTTTTAGGTCCTCCCATGATGTAACATGCATTGATAATTCATTACTTTTTATTGCTGAATAGCATTCTGTTGTATGAGCATAGCACATTTTGTTCATTCATTCATTAGTTGATGGGTATTTCACTTTTCCCTCACTTTTTGCTATTAAAAATAATGCTGCTATGAACATTCACACACACATCTTTGAACAGACATATTTTTAATTTCTCTTGGGTATATACATAGGAGTAGAATTATTGAAACATATGGTAGTTTTATGTTTAACTTTTTGAGAAAATGATGAACTGTTTTCCAAAATGGCTGTATTATTTTACATTGTCACCAGCGTTGCATGAGGGTCCCTATTTTCTAAATCCTCCAAAATAATTTTTTCTTGTCTGCTTTATTGGTTATAGCCATTCTAGTGGGTATGAAATGATATTTCATTGTGGTTTTATTTTGCATTTTCCTAATGACATGATTTGAGCATCTTTCTGAGTGCTTCTCAACCATTCATGTAATTTCTTGGGTGATACATTTGGCATATTTTTCCCCATTTCTTAATTGGGTTGTATTCTTGAGTTCTATGAGGTCTTTGTAAATTCTTGATACAAGTTCTTAACTTAATATTTGTTTTGCAAATATTTTCTCCCAGTATGTGGCTTGTCTTATTAGGTTTTAATGGTGTTTTTTGAAGTACAAAAGTTTAGAAATTTATTATGTCAAATTTAGCATTTTTTTTCTTTTGTGGACCATGTTCTTTGCTGGTATATAAGAAATTTTTGCCTCATTCGGGTCATAAAGATTTTCTATATTTCCTTCTACAATTTGTATTTTTAAGATATTATATTTAAGTCTATTATTCACTTGAGTTAATTTTTAGATATGGTCTGAGATGAGGGTGGAAATTTACCTCTTCACATGTGGATACATGAGCTAGGCATTTCTGTTTCCAATAACAACCCTGTTCTACCATACCAAACAGGCTAGATAAATATGAGTGGAGATCATGTCTGACTGGCTTCCTATAGTGATTTAATAGCGGTTGGATGAAACTGCATACCTAGGGACAAGAAGCTGCAACTCACCTGAGCCAAGAATTGTTGATTGCGATTAGTTCAATTATTTAACATCAGAGTTCCCCACATCAGTTCTTGCTCTGTGATGGATTTTTCAACTTTACCATGATACAAAAGTAGAAACCATACTTGGAATTTTGAATTTTGATCTTCTCCAGGCTAGCATTATACAGTACAATATTCTTTCTTGTGATGCTGGGTAGTGACCATGAGTTATAGCTCCCAGTCAGTGACACAATCACTAGGGCAGACTACCAATACTCTACAGTGTCCTGAGTTGCCAGCAGTTTTCGGATATTGTGTTTTGTGTTTTTGCATCTGATCTCGTCTACAAAATGTCAGTTTGTTTCTCCTCCTTCTGGTGGGAAGAAGAAGAAGAGGAAGGCAATTACTCTTGAGACAAACTTGAGATAATTTCCCAGCATGAAGCTGGCAAACCAATAATGGCCATCACACATGAGTTAGGACTTTTGCAATCTACGATCTTGTTCATCATTTTTTTTTTTTTGAGACGGAGTCTTGCTCTGTCACCAGGCTGGAGTGCAGTGGCCCGATTTCAGCTCACTGCAGCCTCCACCTCCCAGGTTCAAGCGATTCCCTTGCCTCAGCCTCCCGTGTAGCTGGGACTACAGGCACACGCCACCATGACAAGAAGTGGATCAATGATGCGATGAAATCATCAGCATCAGTTAAATCCACTGCCAACACAAAGAAAAAAGCTGGGCCAGCTAATGATAAGAAAAAAATTACTTGTCACATGGATGGAAAACCAGATAACAGAAGTATATAGGATATGGCTTGGCTGTGTCCCCACCCAAATCTCATCTTGAATTGTAGCTCTCACAATTTCCACATGTTGTGGGAAGGATCCAGTGGGAGGTAATTGAATCATGGGGGTGCATCTTTCCCAAGCTATTCTCATAATAGTGAATAAGTCTCATGAGATCTAAAGGGGAGTTCCCCCGCACAAGTTCTCTTCTTTTGTCTGCTACCATGTGAGATGTGCCTTTCACTTTCTGCCATGATTGTGAAGCCTCCCCAGCCATGTGAAACTGTGAGTCCATTAAACCTCTTTCTTTTGTAAATTTCCCAGTGTTGGGTATGTCTTTATCAGCAGCATGAAAATGAACTAATACAGTATACTCTAAGCCTTCTGACAATCCAGAGTAAGACAGTGTCTTTCAATATAATAAAAGAGTGTGCCAATGGTCCTACTTATAAGCAAATGTTTATAGCAAGTCATAGTGGTTCCATTGCTTCAAGTAGCTTATAATTTTCCTAATATGAAGGTCAGCAATGAGGCAGTAAGTGCAGATACTGAAGGTCTTGACCTTTTTAAGGAAGAGCAGCATAGAATAATTGTGGATGAGAAATACTTTCCAGAACAAATATTTTACATCAATAAAACAAGCTTATTTTGGAAGTGTATGCCAGTGGATACACACATTCCTCAAGAGTCCAAGACAGTGAGAGGATTCAAGACATTGAGAGATTGTTTGACCTTGCTTTGGGATGGAAATGGGAAATACCATAGGGTTCAAATTCAAGCCTTTTCTAATCTACCACTCAGAGAACCCTAGAGCATTCAAGAATGTGAGCAAGCATACATTGGATGACAACAGCTTTGTTTGAAAACTGGTTTTTGAACTGTTTTATTCTGCAGGCAAGATATTATTGTAGGAAAAACAACATCCCATTTATGATTCTTCTGATCTTAAACAATGCTCCAGGGTATCCACAGCATAACAGAAACATACATTCTGATGTAAAGGTTATATATTTGCAGCTGAACATCATCACACTCATTCAACCAATGGACCAAGGTGCAATAGCAGCATTCAAAGCATACATTTGCACAGGCTGTTGAAACAACTGAATGTGATTGAATGATCCTAGATTTCTGGAAAGGTTTACACATTCTAAATGTTATCCAGGACATCGCTGCAGCATAGGAAGAATTCACACAGCAATGCATAGATGGCATTTGGAAGAAAGTTTTGAATGCATATATGAACATATGCAAAAGCTTTAATATAGATTCTGCTGTTGATGAAATAGTAAGTAACAAGATATTAGTGCTTGGGAACCAGCTAGAATTGGATATTGATGAAGAGGATATTCGTGAGTTTGTTTGCACTGAGGCTGAAGAGCTCTGCAGTGAGGAGCTAATTGAACTAGAGGAAGAAAGAAGAAATTGAAGCACAAGAAGAAGTTACACCTGAGGCACCAAGAAAGCTCACAACAAGGAAACTAGCAGAGGCATTTGCTACTATCATCAGTGGCTTATGGGTGTTAGACAAAATGGATGCCAAGTATGAGGGACTCATAATTGACAGGCAGTTACAGGTGCTAATGCTTGCTATAGAGAAATATATAATGAAAATAAGAAAACTGTAGTCAAAATTTGGTATCGTCCTGAAGAACACTATGCCTGCTAATCCGTCAAGTATTGATGGCTTCTGTCAGCTATTCTCAAGCCTCATTCAAAGAGAAATTAATGACCCTGTCACTGTCGCATCCCGTCATTCGGCAATTAATTTTTATTCAATGCTTCAAACAATCTTCAGGAGCAGCGTGCTTTCAGCTGTGTACCTAAGTGGTGAGTACCCATACAACCATTCTGCTTTTCACTTTCACTACAGTATTTAATAAACTAAAAGAAAGATTCAATGATTTATTATAAAATATACTTTGTATTAGGTGACGTTACCCAACTGTAGACTAGTGTAAATGTTCTGAGAATGTTTAAGATAGGCAAGCCTAAGCAGTGATGTTCAATAGCCTAGGTGTATTAAATGCATTCTTTTCAACTTAAGATGAGTTTACTGGATATAACCCCATCATAAGTTGAGGAGCATCTGTACTATTCAGCAACAGAAAAGAGACAATTACTGATTCACATAACAATGTGAATGAATCCCAAAACATTATCCAGAGTAAAATAACCAAACACAGGAGTAAATGCTGTACGATTCCATTGATATGAAACTGTAACAAAATTAGTCCCTGGCAGTAGAAATCAAAGCATCAGTTTCCTGGAAAAGAAGATTGGTTGGAAATGAGTGGTGAGTGATTTTTTTAGATAATAAAATATTCTATATCTTGATATGAGTGTGGCTTTCAGAGGTATATATTTATTAAAACCCATTGGGCTGGGGCTGGGGGCAGTGACTCATGCCTGTAATCCCAGCACTTTGGGAGGCTGAGGTGGGCGGATCACTTGGGGTTACTTGGCCAACATTGTGAAACCTGGTCTCTACTAAAAATACAAAAAAGTTAGTCAGGTGTGGTCGCATGTACCTGTAATTCCAGCTACTTGGGAGGCTGAGGCACAAGAATCGCTTGAACCTTGCAGGCAGGGGTTGCAGTGAGCCGAGATTGTGCCACTACACTCCAGCCTGGGGAACAGAGCAAGAATCTGTCAGAAAAAAAAAAAAAACCCGTTGGAATATGAATTATAATTATAAATTATAAACTGTAAATTATACCTCATTAAAACACTACATTAAAAATATTTTAAGATCTGTCCTACTGTATTAGTTTTCTATTGCTGCTATAACAAATTAACACAAACTTACTAACTTAAAACAACACAAATTTATTATTTTATTGTGTTTAGGCCAGAAGCTGGAATTTTATCTTATTGGGCTACAATTAAGGACTGCCTTCCTTTCAGGAGGCTCTAGGGGAGAATCCATTTTTAGCTACTAGAGGCCAATCACATTCCTTGGCTTAATTCAACTTCAAACCCAGAAATGACCAGTCAAGTCTGTATTGCATCACATCATTTGGACACTCTTCTGCCTCTCTCTTCTACATTTAGGGTCTCTTGTGATTACATTGGGCTCACCTAAAATAAGGGTAGTCCTTATTTTAAAGTCAGTGGATTAGCAATCTTAATTCCATTTGCAACCTTAATTTCCTTTTGCTTTGCAATATAACACATTCACAGGTTCCAGAGATCTGGACACCATTTTGCTGGGGAGGATGTACGAAGGAGTGCTATTCTGACCACCCCTAGAAACCTAGCCATCACACCTAATATTGTTTCTATGAGAAAATAACAATTATTGAATAATCTGAGCCATTCAATCTATAGCCATCTGTTGAATGGTTACTATTACAAGACACTAAAAGAGTAATCCATAAATAACACACTTTCTGTGTCTCATTGACAATATTATACAAGGTATTTTCAGATATATTGTAAGCATTGTAAATTGCTAAATGAGGTTTGATACAGTGGCATGAACCAATAGTTTTCTGTATCCTCTGTTATATAGTAGACACTTCTATATTGAGGAAAAATGCTTTTTACTGTAGAAAATACTGGAGATTCAGATATTTATTTCAAGCACATACCTGAACATTAAAATTACTTATTGCTGTGAATGACTAGGAAACAAAAAAAGCAGCAGCCCTGCCTAGCAGGTATCATATTGAGCCTCAGGGTGAAGAACACTTTTGAAATCTTCTGACCATTGCCATCTCACTCATGCTATCAATTAACAAAACAGAGGTGGGGAGGTTAACTTAGCAGTTAGAGCTAATTCTTCCAAGATACATGTTTCTGTTTCTGTAAGATTTTCTTTAAGACATAGTCTTCAGATTTGTTCCACCTCATAGTGTTGAAGTCTAACTTTCCTTAAACAATATTACAATTATCCTTAGAAATGTGTCAGTAGACTTGATTTAACAGAGAAAAACAAAGTGGATCATTAGTTTTGTGTTAGTTAATAACTAACTTTATACCTTTAAGCCTTGAGCACAGTCCCTTGATTTATTATAAATAACCCAGAAACCTTTCATAATTTTCCTAGGCTATGCATTCCTGGATCCCACCCCAAAACATTCTAATTTAATTTATCTGGGTTCCAGCTAGTATATCAGGGTTTAAAAGGTACCCGGTGATATTTATCTAGTATTGAGAACTACTGTTTTAAGGTCAGAGTTAAGAACTACAGAAATAAAGCAAGAACATGAATGATTTGGCTAAAAAAAAGCAATCTGAGTTTACCACCCCAAGAGCTGTATTACAAACTTAAGCACTGTCCACAGCCTGAACAACTGGTATTTTTGTATAGTAAATTATATAGCCACATAGCCAATGTATGTCTGATAGTAAATACCTGATAGTAATCCCCATATATTTAAGTACATAATTATTGAATCAATCAACCTGTCAAGTATCATCACACAGTATTTTGTTCTTCAGTCATCTCAGGATGATTGAAAAGATATTAAGAATTTTAAAACACATTGATTTTTTCACATATTTTGATTCATTTAATGTTTCAGTTAAAAAAAATCTGAATTTTTTTTTTTTTTTTTTTTTTTTTTTTTTGAGATGGAGTCTCACTCTGTCACCAGGCTGGAGTGCAGTGGCGTGACCTCAGCTCACTGCAACCTCCACCTCCCGGATTCAAGTGATTCTCCTGCCTCAGCATCCTGAGTAAGCTGAGACTACAGGCACACACCACCACTGCCAGAGCTAATTTTTTTTTTTCACTTTTGGTAGAGATGGGGTTTCACCGCGTTGGCCAGGATGGTCTCAATCTCTTGACCTCGTGACCCACCTGCCTTGGCCTCCCAAAATGCTGGGATTACAGAATAGTCTGAATTTTTTAAAAAAATCCATGGCTCAAACAGCGTGTTAATGTTTGTTCCCATTTTTAAGTGTCCAAGATATCAAAGTGAGGTAGGAAATCAGCAGGACTTATTTTCTGAGCGATAATCATGACCCTGCCGATCAAAGCAGAATGCAGTAAAGAAACAAGCGGAAACTAGCAGATGGCGACAAAAGCAACCTCCAGTTGCCTTCACTGATTAAAGACCACCAGCGCTATTTTTAAACATAACTGTTTAAAAATGCCATGACAACGATCCAGAAGTTATCTTATATGGTTTCAGGAATTTCCCCACCCCTTTCCTATAAAATTCTGAAAACCAGCCCCTTAATTAGCATACAATTAAGAGTAAGGATAAATATAGCTGGCCAGCAATCTACCCGGACTGCCCCTCTGGACTGCTCTGTTTGGGTACACTGCTGGGGCTGCTGCTGCTCTGGTCTGTTCTGCCTATGGAGCAGCCACTTTGCTGTACACCGCTACTCCGGGCCACTCTGCCTATAAGGAAGCACTGCTCTGTGGGACAGTGATACGGCTGCACACCGCTACTCCCGGGAACTCTGTCTTTGGGTCAGCCCTGCTCTGTCTACGGAGCAGCTATTTTGCTGTATGCTGTTGTTCTAATAAACTTCTTTCTTTCACTGCTGGCTGGCGCTTGAATTCTTTCCTGAGTGAAGCCAAGAATCCTCCCAGGCTGAACGCCAATTCGGGATAAACCTGCATCCGCTGGATAACTTGATAATGAATTTTTAAATTAATTTTTTCACTTATTGATCCACTGTAAGTCCAAGATTTCTATAATGTTATAACAGATGCGGTAATAAATAGAAAACTATTTAGTGCTAAAAAATCGGTCGTATTCCTGGATAGAAATCTTTACAGGAAATTATTTGTTTGATTGTTTTGTTTGTTTGGGATGGGATGTCTACCTCTAAATTTTATTTGAATCTTAATATCAAAAAGTGCATGTGTCCCCTAAGGGAAAAATATTCTCAAACAATAGTGAGTAAGAAAACAGTTTGATTAGAAGTCTTAGTCCTCCTTTTATCCATAAGGTTGATTTGCCTTTATTCGTTGGATACATGTAATATGGGCCATTCCCTAATCTCCCTTAGATAATTATGGGTACTTTCCTAAGTAACTGTGCACCTGAAAAGGAGAGCTAATTATAATTTTCATGCACTGGCTCCAATAAAACACTGTTCTTGAGTATGCAGACCAAAACTTTTAACAATATTAAAGGCTTAAGGGTGGTAAACAGAATTCAAAGTAAATTAATCTCACAATCAGTTCTGTGTGGTCCAAGCCCCACTCTGAGGATAGCTTCATATTTCCTTTATTCATGGTTTGAATCACTATCACAGCGTATTGCAGAATTCCATACTGGCTTCCTGGTACATAGAGTAAAGGCTATTACAGTACCAAGTAAAAGCAAAAGCCACTGAGCCTCCCTTTTCCTAACACAGCAATAAGTGAAATATTGTAATATATGCATAAGGGTATTGAAGTGATTATTATTATCATTAAATATGATATGTATTAAAATATTTCTTTTTTTTTCTTCTCTTGTACACAGGAGATAATGGTGAGGGTTAGGTATGTGGCTCGCCTATATTTTGTACAATCTCACAAGAGAACCATGACAGAACTAGAGGAAAATAGATGCCACTCAGAGATATCAGACACAAAGAACAGTGATATCATTTTTATGTTTAGCTTTTGGACATGACTTTGGGTTAGCTCCCATTGAGAGGGAAAAGCCCACTTAAGATCGCATCATAGAAAAGAGTTATGTTCAGGGGGGCCATTTTAGAAATCATGTATTTTTTAAAAGAAAGTATGGTATGGGAATTTAGGTAGCTATTGTTTCTCACATGAATACATTTCTTTCTTTGCTTTTCAACAGGCTTGCACCCCTTGGACCTCTAAAGTGAGTTACATTCAGTAACAGATTCTTTGTCCTTGAAATTTCAGTATTATCAGTGATGACCAGGGTAAAAGATTGAGATTTAAGTAAGATTTGAGTTATCTAATAGTAAGAAACCAAGTAGAAAAGCCACATGTTACTATTGAGGAGATAACAGGAGAGTCTATGTCCTTGTCTTTAAAAAAATGCTTTTCTTGAATTTGGTGAGGTACCCCAATGTCCTTCTAATAAAAATCTCCTCTCATTTCTCTCTTATTTTTTACTTCTCTTTTCTTCTCAGTTTCTCAGTCATTTTCTGTTTCCTGCAACCGAAGACCCCTAAGTTACACAGAAATCAGATTTAAAAATACAGACTCAGACGAATGTAAATATTTTGAATTGAATGGAGTGAAAAGTGCTGAGACTCCTACCCATGTTCAGAGATATGAAAGTGGTGGTCAATGAGAAAGAATCTTTAAACAACCACAAGCAGTGACCGGTTGGAACCTGGGCCTCCTGAAGATGAAGTTCAGAGAGCAGGTGGCTGTTGTCATAGAACTGCTTAAATAGAATGAGGAATGGTAGGCCCACCGAGTAGAATGGCTACATCTGACAGGCCTAGTAATGAAATTGGAGACTGGAAAGCCCAGGCCTTATGGGTTTCAAAGCACAGGATGAAATTCAGAATCCTTGTGTGAGTGTACAGAACAGTCCCTTATTACTTGTAGCTATGCTGCGGAGCACACAGAAAACTAATTCCACGGATGCATTTTGCACCTTGCTGAATTATAATATTAGTTGAATTCACAAACTCTCATGTATGTGAAAGCTAAGGCATTAATTAAGAAAGAGTGGACTCGGTATAAAGTCATAATAACACTCTGGCATCCAATTTCCAGAATTTAAAATTATCTCTCTGCCTAAATAGCTGTGGGGTTCTAAATAAGTTACTCAAATTATATGTCTTACTTTTCATGGGGAATACTAACAATATTGTTAGTAGCATTATTTCATGAATAGCTATATTTTAAAGAATAAATTAGATAACCCACACCAAACACTTAACACAGTGCCTAGTACAAAGATAGTACTTGGATGTTAGCTAGTAATTCAAGTAAAATCTTTAATAATTTTCAAATAGATGAAAAAGAATTTGTATTAAGTGTATTTATCAAACGATTACTTACTCTGCTACACAATCTTCATGTTCAAAGAAATTTAATGCATATTTCTTACAATCAGAAATCTTCCAATTATTCTGGGAAGGTCTGAATAAAACTTGCAAAAATTTAAATGATAACATAGGAGAAATAGAAGGTCGAAGTAGTGAGACAAGAACTCAGTCATAAGGTTTTATAAGATTAAGTGCTCAATGAATGCTCTTGGAAAAAGGTGTTATATTTTTCTTAAATATCTTTTTTATCAAATGACTATTTGATCTACTGTATTTGAAGAGTTAAACTCATTTCTACATGTCTTATTTTTCTTATGTTCTTATAGCAAGGATCAGTCAGATCTAAATACTTGTTTCAGAACTGCACACTTTGGGTTTTGACATTTATTTTTTTATTTCCTAAGCCAGAAAGTGAATCTTTGAAAACTGTAAGACAATAATCCAAGTGGAAAATGCTTTGAAAGCTCTTTGTAGTTGGCAATAAGGCTTTATTAATGACAATTGTTCTCACATGATGGATGTACTTGCCATAATACCTATGGGCTTATACTGTGACTGTTAGTATTTCCTTGAACAATTCCCTAAGTGACCATATATAATTTAATACACCTAGCCTCCCAAAACACATTGTCTTGTGGATTTGTCAGTAGTGTATCTTAATGAGAAAAAATGTCCTCCTTAAATCAAATGTAAATTACTTTTTTAAAAAAATCTAACTACAGATAAAACGTACTTTTAAAAATATAATCTTGCAATACATTTATTAAAATTTTGTTAAATGAATCATATTTTCCATTGATTTGCACTATTATATTAGAGATGTGTTCCTATGGTAAGAAATTTGACCAAAAGTGAATATATAATACAACTTAGAAATGCAGAGTATTTTAGATTACATATTCAACAAGAAAACATTTTGCTGAAATAATATGTAAAAACATATCTGTAAAGTTTTCTGCATTCCTGTATATGAATTAGAAAAATAATACCTTAATCACATAGCTATTGTCGGGAGCAATTAAATAAGACTTTAAATGCTATAAATTTCACAATACTGTGCAATATTTTTATCATAATCCCCTTTACAAACAATATGGCTTATCTGTAGTTTGCCTTGCTTGCTATACAAATGCTCAGGTGACCATCTGGTACAAAATGGTGCTCAGAATCATTTACATCTCTCTTTTTCTTCTAAGTTATTTCATTATCTGTTTAGCAATAATTTCACATAAAGATAATAACATCTATTTTGCTTAATTTTCTATTGATATCTAGTTTCCAACAATATTTTAGCTTTCTATTTACTTTTAAAATGTGGTTTGCAACATAGCAAGTGAGTTCCTCTTTCAGTAAAGATCGAGGACAGAGAATTTGGGTCATCTCGCCTAAAGTGTGTAATAGCTAAAAAAATACCAATCTGGTTTCAAAGTGGAAAAAGTGACATAAAGATGTTGAGCCGACCCCTTCTCACTTTATTTCTATGGATCATGTCATCATTCTAATTCAAGTGTAACAGCAGAAGTTGGATTCTCTTCATGCTACAATCATATAAGAGATGTTGCTAAAATGTACACTTGTCATATTCCTTTAAATACACCCAGAAAGGATTTATTCTTTCCATTCTGTCTTCTCCATTCCACTACCATAACTTGAGTTCAGGGGGACTTTTCTCTCCCTGGACCATATATCCCAATAATCTAATATAACTACATATAACACCAATCATTTCACACACTAGATGCTGATCTAATCTTCTGCTCACCTCACTAATCTTATATTCTTGAAAACAACTCTAATCGTATTACTGCAAAAATATCAATAGCTCATTACTTAAGCAGTAAAATTTCAAACTCTTAAATCTACAAGTGAAGGTCTACTGTCATTGACCCCTGCTTTTCATCCAGACCCCAATTCTTCCTGACACTCCCATGAAACTGGAGTACTTGCTCTTACTTATCAGTACCATTCTAGCACTCTTACCTCCATTTGTTCGCTTGTGCTAGTTCTGGGTATACTGCCGCCGTCTTCCCACACTGATGATCGCACCCAAATAGAAGGTCATTCATTGATTTTTTACTATCAAAACATTTAATTATTCACAAGACAATGGCCTCCACTTCATCCATGCTGCTGCAAATTACAGGATTTCACATTCCATTCTATGTATCCCCTAAATCTGTCAAAACAAAAACAAATAATTTAATGCTCATTTGCTTGATTTATTTCTGTCTTAAATTATTTGGGGTACTAGTAAAAGAATGAGATTAGATTCAGACAATCTCTAAGCCTCCTAAAGTTCAAAGATTATATTCCAGGCACTCAGAATATCATGACAAAATGTGAATATTTTTGTTGATTAAAGTGTTATGTTAAAGCTTGTGTTTGACTAAAAGTGAACCGCTGGATGAATTTTCACAATGTGAACACACCCAAGTAACCAACACCCAAAGAGACAGAATGTCAGTGGCACCCCACAAAACACCTCTAGTAACCCCTTCCAGTTCACCAGATCCATCAGTAGGCAACTGCTATCTTGACTTGTAAAAGCACAAATTAATTGGAATATTTTGGAACATCATGGACATGGAATTTCTCTCACAGTTTGTACTGTTTTGTGTCTGGCTTGTTGTTGTCGTTGTTGTTTAACATTATGGTTGTGAGATTCATCAAACAAACAAAGGTTGTGTTTGAAAGACATTTTGCAAATATTTGTTTTTAAGTTACTGTCAATACTTGAAAAGGTCGCTAGATGTAGATGTTCTTAGCCTTCCAAGGTATCATGATTTCTCAGTTTCCTGCTCTACCTAGCACAGACAGCACCTAATTCTTATTAAACACAATCAGCAAACCGTAGAAGTGTAATAATACTGTTAAAAAATCTCGTTCCCAGCCAGGCGCGGTGGTTCATGCCTGTAATCCCAGCACTTTGGGAGGCTGAGGCAGGTGGATCACCTGATGTCAGGAGTTCGAGACCAACCTGGCCAACATGACAAAACCCCGTCTCTACTAAAAGTACAAAATAGCCGGGCGTGGTGGTGGGCGCCTGTAATCCCAGTTACTCAGGAGGCTGAGGCAGGAGAATCGCTTGAACCCGGGAGGTGGAGGTTGCAGTGAGCCGAGATCGTGCCACTGCACTCCAGCCTGGGCAAAAAGAGTGAGACTGCATCTCAAAAAAAAAAACAACAAAAAAAAACAAAAAACAAAAAACAAAAAAACCCCAGCTAGTTCCCATTTAATAACTCTCTAAAAAGTCTAGATCCCTTAAATTAAATTATCCTGTTTAGGCACAGTGGTAAATATTTAGCAAACTACAAAATATTTAGAAAACATTATAGAAAATGTTGCTTCAGAAGCTAAACTTTTTTAGGTTTAATATAATGACTTCAGACATCCCAAAAGATGTAGTCAGAACTTATAAACTGATAAGCACAGTTGTTTTGAACTGAAGATTTTTCTTATTTATAACTTCTCAATTACAGTTCAAAAACTAAGGGAAAGTGGCTGTTTATATTCAATTTTCTGAACAGTTTAAATTTGGATTAAACTCTGATACTTTAAAGATCAATTTTTTTAAAACTTTGACAAAACTTGATGGATCCCAAAAGAGAGGAGATTTGAATCATTAAAATAGGTTCCACGGGCAAGAAAAACGAACTGAAATCAATATAACATTTCCAAATGAATTTCCATCATTTTCACAGCTGTTCAGAAGACAGAAGATAGATCTTTACCCTTTATTCATTTATTCATTCAGCCAACAAATATTATTGAACATATACTGTGTGTGCCAAGCGCTGTTTGGAACAATGTGCCCCAGCAGTGAACAAGTAGGCAAAAATCCCTGCCTCATGGAGCGCACATTCTAGCAAAAGAAGAAAGATACAATTAATAAATAAATTATACACTAACTTAAAAGGCAATATGTACTACAGGAAAGAGAAAAAAAGATATCTGGGTGATAATGGTGACATGATTTAAAATAAGATAACCAGGGAAGGCCTAACGGATGCTGTGGTTCTTGAGCAGAGCAGGCTCACTCTTCTTATTTGCCAGGCACCCCTGGAAACGATAGGGTAGCCAAGAAAGGAGCTGCCAGTTTCAGGTAGGTGTTTCTCCTTGGCTTGGAAAACTCTGCTCTGCAGGGGGTGAGACTCAGCAAGATGGGAAGTAGAACTGGCACTGCTAAAAGAACAGACACAGGGCAGAGGTCCATTCATTTCCCACATTTAGAAGTAGTGCTGGGGAACGGACATGAAGAAGATGAGGGAGATAGATAGGGGCACATCTCAGGAAAAACATCCCGAGGTGAGGGCACTACAGAGGCTCTGAGACCAAAAGTGCCTGGCAAATTTGAAGAAGCTAGAGTTGAGGCAGAGTCATCTGGTGGCAAATGGTGGGAGATGCGGTCAGCATGTAATAAGGGACAGAACAGCGGGATTCTGCAAAGGCTTTTAAGGACTGGCTTCTCATCTAAGTGAAGTAGGGTGGGAGTTGTTGCTACAGGATTTTGAGCAAAGGAATGACGTGATCAATTTTGTGTTTTAAAGAATCATGATAAATATCAAAGTACTACAGTAAAGCTTAGTAAACATCTTCAAGTAAATATTTTAATTTACTTGCATTCTCATTCAGGGTGTCATCTCTTTACATCAATTGTTACCTGCATAAATAGTTCTGTGGTCCTGGAGAAAAGAAGAGGCTTTTGTTTTACTTGCAGGTAGATGCATGGTTTTGGAAAAGGCCCTGCATCTCTCTGCAGTTTTTTCCCCTTATCTGTAAAATTAACCTATTAGGCCAAATGGTCAAATATTATATCTTACTTTGTGAAAAAGGTACTGAAAATGTGCACCACGAAGTTTCTTGAATTATTCTCATTTTCAAAACTTAGTTTAAACATTTTCCATCTAATTTTAGGCTTTAAGCAACTTTGAAAATCAATGATTTCATTCTGGCAAAAGTTTAGGAGTTCGTTCTGATATTAATAAAATTGTTGTGCTACTCAAAATAGAGCTTTTTGGTTGCCTATTGCAGATGGGAATATTCTCCTGTGTTTTCTCTGTGTACTATAAATAAAGTTTATTATTAAACTCAGAAACATTTATTGGGAGAAAACTGCATACTTCATTTAAAATAAGAATGGTATACAGCATATATTACTTTTCTATTAAAAATGGATTAATCGAAAGTATCTGAATGCTGATAATTTCAATATTCCTGAGATATTGTTGTTTATAAGCATCTTAAAGCAGAATGTAACTTTGTGATCATATAGCAACTAATAAAAGAAAATTTACATAGACTTTAGCATTTGATCAATCCTAGAAATTATTCCTGGAAACATCCAAGTGACTTTCTTAACTGGAGTAAATTTTTAAAATAAGATTAATG
The DNA here is from genome assembly GCF_000001405.40 of Homo sapiens. Taxonomy (NCBI): domain Eukaryota; kingdom Metazoa; phylum Chordata; class Mammalia; order Primates; family Hominidae; genus Homo; species Homo sapiens. The sequence continues at coordinate 146,929,863 of NC_000003.12, forward strand.
TAATAGTTTAGCATACTTATGAGTCACATCATTGGCACAGTCAGTGCAGTCTGGATATAAATGCAACCTAGATGTTAAGAGCATTTTCTACATCTTGGAATAAACTTTTTGGGAGAATGTATTTTTTTCTTTTCTCATCCGAGTGCCCACTCCAAGTCCTCACAGTCAGCTCTGTTTGACCACCACTTTTAAGCACATAACTGCTCAGTAACTCACACATGAATAGCAACTTCAGAAGAGAGCCCTATTCATTGAACAAGTTGGTGAATAAAATTTGGGGAAAATTAAGTCTCTCAAGTGCTGATCAACATTTCCCTTGGCATCCTATTAGTCTCACGCTGTAACTGCCTGACAATAAGACTGTGCAATTATCTTACAATTACAGCTTCAAGATTTTAACCTGAATGGGTTTGTTGGGTCCCACTTTCATTATTTTTGCCATATGTTATACTAATGAATGTTTTGTTGTATTCTTTCTTAGCCAAGTCTTTCTCCTGAGACTAGGAAGTCAACACAGTAATATCTAATCTACTGCATAATGAGAAAGATATATTAATCATTTGATAGTTTCTTTTCTTGCTTTCTTTTTTTCCTTTTTCATGACTGACTGGCTATTAGACCTTTCCTGTTGAAGTGAATTAAATGGGAATTTTTAGAAAATAAAATAGAAGAAAAGGGGAAGAAAATCTTAAGAGGAGGAAGAAAAGTAAGTAGAGAAAGAGGGAAAAAGAAAGAAGAAATATGAGAGACAAAAATTACAATACAAGAAAAACTGTGGTTAAAAAGAAAACAACTCTCTGATTTGCTTCCCACTTCATTTGTCAGGCTAACTAGGGCCTAAAACCTTTAAATTTTACCACAAGAAACATATTACCACTCATTTTTAGAGTAAAAATGGACAAAATTAGAAAGTTATATTTTTATTCATTTATTCCTGTCTCAAATCATATTCTTTACTAGAATTCCAAAATTTTGAATTAGAGCTCACACCTCGAACCATAAAATTAGTGAATATATTCAGGTTTCTTAGTTTTGTGTTTAACAGTGTACTTACTTCATCCTGAAAATCTTGAGTATCTGTTTCTATACCAAATTTCATTCATTTATTCACTCACTCATATTTACGTATTCAGGCACTTAACCTATCAGAAATGTTGCTTATTTTACACTGTATTCATGTAGGAAATCAGGGATTTGTTTGATTTAACATCAAATTATGAAAATTTGTTTCTGGTCAAATATTTACAGCATGGGGGAAAGTTTATTCTGAGAGCTTCTTCAGAATAAAAGATAGAATAAATGATAAATACCATTCTGTTTCTAGACAGAAACAGAAATAAGAAAAAAAAGTCACCCTACAAAGAAGCTTCTTTGATAGTCTGATTTCCTCAAACCAACTAAATCATATGTTTAATATTTAAAATGTCCCAGAAATAGTTCTTACACCTATCAAAACATACTTCAGCATAAAAAATGTAAATAGATCAGTGGAAACAGAGCCTAGTATATGTAAAAACTCAATATGCAATAAGGCAAACATAACAATTTAATGAGAAAAGAATTGACTATTTTAGACGTGCTATTGGAAAAACTCACCATGTACTGAGAAAACAAAAGTCAGCTTAGATTTTCATCTCTGTCTTTACAAAAAGAAAGTCTAGTTGAAGAATGAGTTTGGATTGGGGGAGGAAATAACAAAGATAAACATTATAGCTTGTGGAAAACTAGATGTGAATGTATCAGGATGAAAAATAGTATTTCCAAAAACAAGGAAAAAATAAGAAAAAAAAACATTTACTATCTAAAACTTTAAGATATCAGCATGCAAATTAAAATGTAAAATGACAAATATATTCACAATATACATGGCTGAATGTTTAATAACCTTACTATATAATGAAATTTTATAAATAACTCAGAAGAGTATGTGTACCTCAGTAAGGAAAAAAGGAGGTAAAGAAAAACAAGGCACCAAAATCAAATGAAAAATGCATTATTAAATAAATTCTTGTGTATTTTAATTATATTAAAAGATTTATATTTGAGAATGATCAAAACAATATAAAAGTAAAACATTCCATTTTTTTCTAACTTCATGGGCTATGGTGAAATAATGCTACATCTCTACAATGGAAATGCTTCCATAAATATCATAGCTTACACAAGTAATTCCATGCAAAGGGGAAAATTTGAGTGAAAAAACAGAATCAAACTACATAGAGTATTTTTTTTCTAATTCTTCATAGACAGGTAAGTAGATAGATGGTAAATAAATAAGGGCTGGAATGAAATACATTTGACCCTGGAGCAATAAGGATTTGAACTATGTGGGTCCACTCATATGCAGATTTTTTTCAACAGAACCAAAATCAAAAATACAGTATTAGCAGGATGTGAAACTTGCATATACTGAGGCCCAACTTTTCTATACACAGGTTCCACTGGGCAAATTGGGGTACTTGAGTATGTATGGATTTATGTATATATGGAGGTCCTGGAACCAATCCCCAGTGAGGGAAGACCTTACATAGCAATGTAAACAGTGATGATGTGTTGATGATGACATTATGGCTGGTTTCTATCTTTGAAATTTAAATTTATTTATTTATTTTATTTATTTATTTTTAAGACAGAGTTTCGCTCTTGTTGCCCAGGCTGGAGGGCAATGGCGCGATCTTGGCTCACCATAACCTCCGCCTCCTGGGTTCAAGCAATTTTCCCACCTCAGCCTCCCGAGTAGCTGGGATTACAGGCATGCGCCACCATGACCGGCTAATTTTGTATTTTTACTAGAGATGGGGTTTCTCCATGTTGGTCAGGCTGGTCTCGAACTCCCGACGTTAGGTGATTCGACTGCCTTGGCTTACAGGCGTGAGCCACTCCACCCGGCCTAAAATTTAAATTTCTTAATTTATCTTTTTACTTATTAATTTACAGTTTTCTATACTTAAAACAAGGATGTTACAGTTATAATAAAGAACCGGTAAATATTTTTAATAAAAATGCATCATCCTCCAGCTGTCCTTTTCTGCCTTCACATGCCAGAAGGACTTTACAAAATCAACCAACATGAAATGTGAAGATTTGGAAATGAGTGCATTTGACCCTGAGATAGCCTGCTTCTTTTCTCAGACCACACTCAGGCCACACTTTCCTTCTACTTCACCATCAATACTCACCTTCACAATTTGTGGGCATGTCTGGCTTCTGAACTAGACCCCAAGATCCTTCAAGAGCGTGAAACTCTCTGCTTCTACCCTTATCCAGCTATCCCCACCTCCCTCTATCATAATTCTCAGTCATTACAGCAGCCAGAAGGCCTCTTAAAATTTGTATCAGATTATTTTACTCTGCTCAAAAGCCTCTGATGGTGTCTTTTCAATGAGAGTAAAATCATCTTCTTACAATAGCTTACCACGCTGTCTGGCCCACCATTATTCACTCTCCACTTTCACAACTTCCTCTACTCTCTCCTTTGTTCTCTTTACTGCAAGTGTTCTAGTATCTTTCTTGATCTTCAACCTTTCCTAGGATGGTTGCACCACAGGGCCTTAGAAGAGGCTATTCTCTCTGCCTGAAACTCTTACTGAAATCACCCCGTTTACAATCACACACCTGTAGTCCTCACAATCCCTTTTACTCTGGTTTACTTTTGTCACTAGCACTTATCACCTAATAAACTTTAAAGTTTAGTTATATATTGTGTTTTTGTTTGACTTTCCTACCAGTATGTAAATTCAGTGAGGCTTGGGATTTTTATTTCTTCTCTCTGTTATTATCTCCTGTGCCTAAAATAGTGCTTGGCTTGTAGTATTTGTTGACAAAATAAAAGTTTATAGTACTGGCCCCTAAAATAGGAGGAAACACACATATAAATATATATTTAGTAAATGTTTTTTACCAAAAATTTAAAAATCACTTTATATAAATTATTTATCTTTATCAACTTCAAGTTGTTTCTTGCTTCTCCTACCTCCAAAATATTTATTAAAAGGGGGTTGAGGGAAATGGGACAGATAAACTTCTACATTCAACAGTGTAATACCAAATTTTATTTTTAATAATGTTGTTTCCTCAGTTGAAGTACAAAATTTAGGGGATAAAAAGTAAGATCTATTTTTTTACCATTACATTAGAAATTTTTTTTGGTAGAACACAATCAGAGATCTCTTATCTCATCAAAACTTGTTACATGTTTTTGTCTTTTGCTTTAATTTATAGAATGGATATATACAATGCCGATATTTTCTCAATAATTTGTTTCCAGGGAAATGTTTCTCTCCTGCCCAAGATATTGGTGTTAAATTAGAAAAGTTGGATGATAAATGAGAGTAGCAGAGTTGAAAGCTGGTTGTTTAATTAGGAATAGATAATCTCATGCAATGAGAAAAGACTAATCCAGTAAGATTTGTAAATTTCTCTGTAAATCAGAGTAAATAACTCACATACGATATTAACTCATTTACTTACAATGCTCAGAATGAATGTTAATATGGTATGTGAGTTATTTACTCTAGGTCCTACAATAGGGACAGAATACAGAAGTGCACCCAGGAATTATCTAATATGTAGCCTCGTGAGCACTGTTGTGCCCCCCAGCCTAGTGCTGTGAGGGGCAGTGAGTTGCATTTAGAGACACTTGGGACTCCTAGGCACCGGTGGAGTCCTCCTCACACAGTAGCAGCATTGGCCGTCAACTTTCAGGAAGTCTCCATAAAGTACTGCAGGTTGGCTGAATGAGTGGAGCAACTTCAAAGGGAGTCTCAGTGATCCTCTTTCTCAATCTTAAAGCTGGTCAGTTCCATCAGTTTTTATGGCTGCATAGTATTCCATGGTGCATATGTGCCACATTTTCTTAATCCAGTCTATCATTGTTGGACATTTGGGTTGGTTCCAAGTCTTTGCTATTGTGAATGAGTTCATGTCCTTTGTAGGGACGTGGATGAAATTGGAAATCATCATTCTCAGTAAACTATTGCAAGGACAAAAAACCAAACACCGCATGTTCTCACTCATAGGTGGGAATTGAACAGTGAGAACACATGGACTCAGGAAGGGGAACATCACACTCTGGGGACTGTTGTGGGGTGGGGGGAGGGGGGAGGGATAGCATTAGGAGATATACTTAATGCTAAATGAGGCGTTAATGGGTGCAGCACACCAGCATGACACATGTATACATATGTAACTAACCTGCACATTGTACACATGTACCCTAAAACTTAAAGTATAATAATAATAAAATAAAATAAAATAAAATAAAATAAAATAAAATAAAAAAACTTTATAATAAACATTTCAGCATAAGTTTCAAAAAAAAAAAGAAAAAAAGCTGGTCAGTTCCTAAAGGTTGGCTTAGTTCATCAGCCCTGTTTTTAATCTATTTTGAAAAAGTTTCAAATTAATTTAAAGCTTAATGTGGCATATAGTATAAATATGCTACCCATTCAAAATCCTAAAAGCCAACTAACCAAGATAAGGGTCTTGTCTAGTTTCCAGAAGTTTAACAGGACAAATTCTCCAAGATTTGGCAAATGATGAGTACAATTATATGCCCCAATTTACATCATAGGCATAGGTTCACATTCCTATCTACTCTCTTCCTCCAGAATGAGGCTTTAACATGATTGCCACACAAACTTATATAATACTGGGAAGATTGAACTACAAAGAGATTGACCTTTATTTACACCTGAGAGGGTTCTCCTGACACTTTTAGCTTATTCTTGTTCTTAGAAGGGGAGGGTCCAATTTCAACATAGCTACAACTTACATCTTATTCTAGCAAAAATTTACTGAAAAAAGTATGTATGTTTTCTGGTCATAAAATAGACTATTTTGTGAAAATAGTCTGCATGCTGAATTGTGCTTTCACCACTAAATGACAGACAAAATCAACAGATTATTCATCTTATGCTTTGGTATAATTATTTAATCAACTTAAAATTGCACAAAGCTATCCTAGCCTACAAACAGTGGACAATTAAAAAAAAAAAGCATTGTAAGAATAAGATATTTAAAATGCATTCATGGAGCAATCCCTAAGTTTAGCTTGAAGGAGTTTATTTTACCTCAGTAAATTTCTACCTAGTTATCAATTGTCCTCAGAAATGCCATATTAGCTCACTATTAAATCTAAAAAAGAAATCTTCAAAATCAGCAGTGAATTTTTCTTTCTTAACATAAAACATTTGAAATGACCTGTTTCTCTGTTTTTGCCACAGGCAAAAAATGTGACCTATTAGTCTCTTAAAAAAAAAAAAAAGCCACAACCCCCAACAAAACAGAAAGCTGAACATCTGGAGAAAATCTAGTACCCTAAGATTAATTATACAATGTAGTAGCAGGTGGTGCTAAGAACTATTAAGCTGATTTAATAAAAAGGGCAAATATCTCCAATTCCATTTCTTCCAATAAATTCCTACAAGCAGGTGCAACAGCACAGCCGACTTAGTTTTCTCCTGTTAAGTAAAAAAGAGCTTTCGTTATTTTTTTATTTTTAGAATCTCTGGGCCATTACTGTAATAAAATATCACTGTACACTATGTTTTATTTTTGTCATTGAAAGGAAATATAAATAATGCATAATCAAAGTATCTAAATTTCTGAAACAACTGTTGATATGCTGACAGATTATGTGGATGAAAATAAACCAGTCTAAATATAAAGCTACTTTTCTTTTCATTAAAAGGGGTTAATGTTTTGAAGCTAAATCCAAATAATAAAAATATCTTAAGAAAACAGCCTTTTAAAATGAAAGAAAATCCTTGTTCTCAGAGCATGTATACATTTTATTTCATTAATGTCACTTAAACTTCTCAGGTCTCAATTTTCTCATTTCTGAAGTAAAAATAGACAATTTGATCACTCCATATTTTAATAATGGCCTAATTCTAAGCTTTTTGGGTAATTTTCCTTTTTAAAAAATGAATGTCCATCTTTTCCATCTTCCATTCCAAGATGGCCAAATAATACAAGATTAAGACAGGATATGGAATCTGAATTCAGCTAGATTGACACCTCAGTAAGTGGAGTTAAGTTTTAATTGCTGGCAATCATTGAAAACACTAAGGGTAATAGAGTCAGAAATACTGCATGATTACTTAAATGTTGTGACTACTGTCATGGTTAGTACTGAGTGTCAACTTGATTGGATTGAAGGATGCAAAGTATTGATCCTGGGCACGTCAGTGAGGGTGTTGCCAAAGGAGATTAACATTTGAGAAAGTGGGCTAGGAAAGGCAGATCCACCCTTAATCTGGGTGGGCACCATCTAATCAGCTGCCAGCACAGCTAGAATATAAAGTAGGCAGAAAAAGGTGAAAAGACTAGACTGGCCTAGCCTCCCAGCCTATATCTTTCTCCTGTGCTGGATGCTTCCTGGCCTAAAATACTGGACTCAAAGTTTTTCTGTTTGGGGAGTCAGACTGGCTCTCCTTGCTCCTCAGCTTGCAGATGGCCCATTGTGGGACCTTGCGACCATGTGAGTTAATACTTACTAAACTCCCCTTTATATATATCATATATATATAATTATATATATGTATAATGAGTTGTGTCTCTAGAGAACCCTGACTAATACAGATTTTGGTACCAGGAGTGGTTCTAGAGGAACAGAATATTAAGGATGAAGGTCTTTCATTGGTACCAGGGTTTCTGGAGTTGGCTGCTTAATATGATTAGACTTCAAAAATGCTAAGGAATCTACTTATAAAAGGATGGAGCAACTAATAGTCCTTGATGTGAAGTGTTTAGAGAGTTATGCAAAATAAATGCATGAGATACTCCTGATACACTGCTCAAGAGAGGTGAGGAGTTTAGTGACTCTACGCATACTACCTTTTACCATATGTGGTGAACCAAGGACATAATGAAGCTGGTTAAGTTCAGTGGACAAAGAGATGAAATAAAATAATGAACTCAGGGATTCTAACTCCTGCTACAGAAGCAGATATTGAGCCTCAAATCTGCTAAGATTGCCCTGAGTGGGAGTCTTATCCGTGGAAAAACAGACACAAGCTCTTATCATGTGAGTGGCTGACCTGCAATGAAAGAGGCATGCACAACCTCGCCAGGTGTCTACTGTTAAAATGAGGATATTGATTGGAAAAGAATGGCACTTTGCAATTTGGAATGGGGACATGAGGGAGCACTCTGATAAAGCTGGGGGTCACTGAGTTTCTAAACTCTGATGAACCTTTTTTGTCAGAAGAAACAATTTCCCCACCTCTCCAGTAGAGGTAACATCCCCTCCCTGACCCATGCTGCCATCAGCCTTTCCACCTTTGTCTGAGGAGATAAACCCTGCACTGCCTGAGACAACAGTGACGGTATCCCCTGAGGTAGTTGCCAGACACGATAATGTTGATTCTCCTAAGGAGCCACCGCCAACACCCTTGTTTGCTTCTAGACCTATAACTAGACTAACGTCCTGGTGGGCCCCTAGAGGTGAGGTTGAGACTGTGACCCATGAGGAAGTGTGCTACACTCTAAAAGAACTGCTTGAGTTTTCCAATTTATATAAGCAGAAATCTGAAGAACAGGCATGGCAATTGATATTAAGGATGTGTAATAATGGTTGAAGGAACATAGAGGTGGATCAGGCTGAATTTATTGATTGGGCCCACTAACTAGGGGCTCTGCATTTAATGTTGCATCTTGGGGAGTTAAAAATGGTTCTAAGAGTTTATTTGCTTGGTTAGCTGAAATATGGATTAAAAGATGGCCCTGGCTGGGCATGGTGGCTCACACCTGTAATCCCAGCACTTTGGGAGGCCAAGGTGGGTGGATCACAAGGTCAGGAGTTTGAGACCAGCCTGGACAACATTGTGAAACCCTGTCTCTACTAAAAATACAAAAAAAACAGCTGGGTGTGGTCGTGGGCACCTGTAATTCCAGCTACTTGGGAGGTTGAGGTAGGAGAATTGCTTAAACTCTGGAGATAGAGGTTGCAGCGAGCCAAGATGTGCCATTGCACTCCAGCCTGGCTGACAAGAGTGAAACTTTGCCTTAAAAAAAAAAAAAAAGGTGGCCCACTGTGAGTGAGCTGGAAATGCCTGATCTCCCTTGGTTTAATGTAGAGGAAGGGATCCAAAGGCTTGGGTGATTGGGATGGTGGAGTGGGTTAGTCACTTGAGACCTACTCATAACAGCTAGGGGGGGTCCAAAAGATATACCCGTGACCAATGCCTTGTGAAATAGATTTGTGAAGGCAGCACCTGCATCTTTGAAGAGCCCTGTAATTGCTCTTCTCTGTATGTCAGATCTAACAGTGGAAACCACAGTCACTCAACTACAAAATTTAAATATAATGGGAATAATTGGATCCTAAGGTGACAGGGGCCAAGTCGTGGCACTCAACCATCAAAGGCAAGGTTAGCATAGCTACCGTAATAGACAGCAGAGGCAAAGCAGCAATCAGAATGGTCTGATTTGCAGAGAGCTCTGGCATTGGCTAATTAATAAGAGTGTTCCTATAAGTGAAATTGATGGGAAGCTTATGCAAGCAGAAAACTGCTAGATCGAATGGACAAAAGGCTAATTTGAATTATAAAAACAGAGAATCACAGCCCCTCAATCAATTTTCAGACTTGAGTCAGTTACAGACCCAGAACCCCTTGAATGAAGGGGAGGCCGGGTCCCCTTGAGGAAAGAGACCTCTACATTACCAACAATTTATGCAGTGACTCTCCCATCCTTCCATAAGGAGACCTCCAACCTTTTACCAGGGTAACTGTGCATTGTGGAACAGGAAATGACCAGATATTTCAGGGACTACTGGACACTGGTTCTGAGCTGACGTTGATTCCAGGGGACCCAAAACGTCATTGTGCTCCTCTAGTTACAGTAGGGGCTTATGGAGGTCAGATAATTAACGGATTTTTAGCTCAAGTCTGACTTACAGTGGGTCCAGTTGGTCCCTGGATTCATCCTGTCATCATTTTCCCAGTGTCAGAATGCATAATTGGCATAGACATACTTAGCAGATGGCAGTACCCCCAAATTGGCTCTCTGACTGGTAGGGTGAGGGCTACTATGGTGGGAAAGGCCAAATGGAAGCCATTAGAGCTGCCTATATCTAGAACAATAGTAAATCAAAAACAATATCACATCCCTGGAGGGGTTGTGGATATTAGTGTCATCATCAAGGACTTAAAATATGCAAGGGTGATGATTTCCACCACATCCCCATTCAACTCTCCCATTTGGCCTGTGCAGAAAACAGATGGATCTTGGAGAATGATGGTGGATTATCCTAAGCTTAACCAAGTGGTGACTCAAATTGTAGCTGCTGAACCAGATGTGGTTTCATTGCTTGAGCAATTTAACACATCTCCACACACATATATATATATGTGTGTGTGTGTGTGTATATATATATATATATATATGTTATATTAGAGTTCTCTAGAGAGACAGAATAGAGAGACAGATATATATATACACACACACATATATATGTGTGTTTATTAAGTCACACCGTTCTCTAGAGAGACAGAACTATACACATATATGTGTACATATACATATACAATATATAATCTGTCTCTCTATTAGTTCTGTCTCTCGAGAGAACGCTGACTAATATAACTACCTATATTGCTTTAAAATTTTAGCACTTATAAACTGACATGTATAAAATGACATTTTTCATTAAGTTTTTAATCGATGCCAGTCATAGAATACTTGCGGGCAATGCCAATAGAAGTCTGTGATAACTAATCTATTTTGCAGACCTCACACATTAATGTGGAAAACTTTAGTGAATCATGAAGTCTGAATTTTAATTTTTTAATCTATATCTTAATATACTTTTTTTTAAATTATACTTTAAGTTTTAGGGTACATGTGCACAACGTGCAGGTCTGTTACATATGTATACATGTGCCATGTTGGTGTGCTGCACCCATTAACTCGTCATTTAACATTAGGTATATCTCCTAATGCTATCCATCCCCCCTCCCCCCACCCCACAACAGGTCCCACTGTGTGATGTTCCCCTTCCTGTGTCCATGTGATCTCATTGTTCAATTCCCACCTATGAGTGAGAACATGCGGTGTCTGGTTTTTTGTCCTTGTGATAGTTTGCTGAGAATGATGGTTTCCAGCTTCATCCATGTCCCTACAAAGGACACGAACTCATCATTCTTTATGGCTGCATAGTATTCCATGGTGTATATGTGCCACATTTTCTTAATCCAGTCTATCATTATTGGACATTTGGCTTGGTTCCAAGTCTTTGCTATTGTGAATAGTGCCACAATAAACATACGTGTGCATGTGTCTTTATAGCAGCATGATTTAGAATCCTTTGGGTATATACCCAGTAATGGGATGGCTGGGTCAGATGGTATTTCTAGGTCTAGATCCCTGAGGAATCGCCACACTGACTTCCACAACAGTTGAACTAGTTTACAGTCCCACAAACAGTGTAAAAGTGTTTCTATTTCTCCACATCCTCTCCAGCAACTGTTGTTTCCTGACTTTTTAATGATCACCATTCCAACTGGTGTGAGATGGTATCTGATTGTGGTTTTGATTTGCATTTCTCTGATGGCCAGTGATGATGAGCATTTTTTCACGTGTCTTTTGGCTGCATAAATGTCTTCTTTTGAGAAGTGTCTGTTCATATCCTTTGCCCACTTGTTGATGGGGTTGTTTGTTTTTCCTTGTAAATTTGTTTGAGTTTATTGTAGATTCTGGATATTAGCCCTTTGCCAGATGAGTAGATTGTAAAAATTTTCTCCCATTCTGTAGGTTGCCTTTTCACTCTGATGGTAGTTTCTTTTGCTTTGCAGAAGTTCTTTAGTTTAATTTGATCTCATTTGTCAATTTTGGCTTCTGTTGCCATTGCTTTTGATGTTTTAGACATGAAGTCCTTGCCCATGCCTATGTCCTGAATGGTAATGCCTAGGTTTTCTTCTAGGGTTTTTATGGTTTTAGGTCTAACATGTAAGTCTTTAATCCATCTTGAATTAATTTTTGTATAAGGTGTAAGGAAGGGATCCAGTTTCAGCTTTCTACATATGGCTAGCCAGTTTTCCCAGCACCATTTATTAAATAGGGAATCCTTTCCCCATTGCTTGTTTTTGTCAGGTTTGTTAAAGATCAGATAGCTGTAGATATGCGGCATTATTTCTGAAGGCCGTGTTCTGTTCCATTAATCTATATCTCTGTTTTGGTACCAGTACCATGCTGCTTTGGTTACTGTAGCCTTGTAGTATAGTTTGAAGTCAGGTAGTGTGATGCCTCCAGCTTTGTTCTTTTGGCTTAGGATTGACTTGGCAATGTGGCCTCTTTTTTGGTTCCATATGAACTTTAAAGTAGTTTTTTCCAATTCTGTGAAGAAAGTCATTGGTAGCTTGATGGGGATGGCATTGAATCTATAAATTACCTTGGGCAGTATGGCCATTTTCATGATATTGATTCTTCCTACCCATGAGCATGGAATGTTCTTCCATTTGTTTGTATCCTCTTTTATTTTGTTGAGCAGTGGTTTGTAATTCTCCTTGAAGAGGTCCTTCACATCCCTTGTAAGTTGGATTCCTAAGTATTTTATTCTCTTTGAAGCAATTGTGAATGGGAGTTCACTCATGATTTGGCTCTCTGTTTGTCTGTTATTGGTGTATAAGAATGCTTGTGATTTTTGCACATTGATTTTGTATCCTGAGACTTTGCTGAAGTTGTTTATCACCTTAAGGAGATTTTGGGCTGAGATGATGGGGTTTTCTAGATTTACAATCATGTCATCTGCAAACAGGGACAATTTGACTTCCTCTTTTCCTAATTGAATACCCTTTATTTCCTCCTCCTGCCTGATTGCCCTGGTCAAAACTTCCAACACTATGTTGAATAGGAGTGGTGAGAGAGGGCATCCCTGTCTTGTAGCAGTTTTCAAAGGGAATGCTTCCAGTTTTTGCCATTCAGTATGATATTGGCTGTGGGTTTGTCATAGATAGTTCTTATTATTTTGAGATACGTCCCATCAATTCCTAATTTATTGAGAGTTTTTAGCATGAAGGTTGTTGAATTTTGTCAAAGGCCTTTTCTGCATCTATTGAGATAATCATGTGGTTTTTGTCATTGGTCCTGTTTATATGCTGGATTACATTTATCATTTTGCATATATTGAACCAGCCTTGCATCCCAGGGATGAGGCCCACTTGATCATGGTGGATAAGCTTTTTGATGTGCTGCTGGATTCAGTTTGCCAGTATTTTATTGAGGATTTATGCATTGATGTTCGTCAGGGATATTGGTCTAAAATTCTCTTTTTTTTTTTTGTTGTGTCTCTGCCAGGCTTTGGTATCAGGATAATGCTGATCTCATAAAATGCATTAGGGAGGACTTCCTCTTTTTCTATTGATTGGAATAGTTTCAGAAGGAATGGTATCAGCTCCTCCTTGTACCTCTGGTAGAATTTGGCTGTGAATCCATCTTGTCCTGGATTTTTTTTGGTTGGTAAGCTGTTAATTATTGCCTCAATTTCAGAGCCTGTTATTGGTCTATTCAGAGATTCAACTTCTTCCTGGTTTAGTCTTGGGAGGGTGTATGTGTTGAGGAATTTATCCATTTCTTCTAGATTTTCTAGTTTATTTGTGTAGAGGTGATTGTAGTATTCTCTGATGGTAGTTTGTATTTCTGTGGGGTCAGTGGTGATATCCCCTTTATCATTTTTTATTGCGTCTATTTGATTCTTCTCTCTTTTCTTCTTTATTAGTCTTGCTGGCGGTCTATCAATTTTGTTGATCTTTTCAAAAAACCAGCTCCTGGAATCATTGATTTTTTGAAGGGTTTTTTGTGTCTCTATTTCCTTCAGTTCTGCTCTGATTTTAGTTATTTCTTGCCTTCTGCTAGCTTTTGAATGTGTTTGCTCTTGCTTCTCTAGTTCTTTTAATTGTGATGTTAGAGTGTCAATTTTAGATCTTTCCAGGTTTCTCTTGTGGGCATTTGGTGCTATAAATTTCCCTCACACACTGCTTTGAATGTGTCCCAGAGATTCTGGTATGTTGTGTCTTTGTTCTCGTTGGTTTCAAAGAACATCTTTATTTCTGTCTTCATTTCGTTATGTACCCAGTAGTCATTCAGGAGCAGGTTGTTCAGTTTCCATGTAGTTGACTGGTTTTGAGTGAGTTTCTTAATCCTGAGTTCTAGTTTGATTACCCTGTGGTCTGAGAGACAGTTTGTTATAATTTCTGTTCTTTTACATTTGCTGAGGAGAGCTTTATTCCCACTATGTGGTCAATTTTGGAATAGGTGTGGTGTGGTGCTAAAAAAAATGTATATTCTGTTGATTTGGGGTGGAGAGTTGTGTAGATGTCTATTAGGTCCGCTTGGTGCAGAGCTGAGTTCAATTCCTGGGTATCCTTGTTAACTTCCTCTCTCATTGATCTGTATAATGTTGACAGTGGGTTGTTAAAGTCTCCCATTATTATTGTGTGGGAGTTTAAGTCTCTTTGTAGGTCACTAAGGACTTGCTTTATGAATCTGGGTGCTCCTGTATTGGGTGCATATATATTTAGGATAGTTAGCTCTTCTTGTTGAATTGATCCCTTTACCATTATGTAATGGCCTTCTTTGTTTCTTTCGATCTTTGTTGGTTTAAAGTCTGTTTTATCAGAGACTAGGATCGCAACTCCTGCCTTTTTTTGTTTTCCATTTGCTTGGTAGATCTTCCTCCAACCCTTTATTTTGAGCCTATGTGTGTTTCTGCATGTGAGATGGGTTTCCTGAATACAGCACACTGATGGATCTTGACTCTTTATCCAATTTGCCAGTTTGTCTTTTAATTGGAGCATTTAGCCCATTTACATTTAAGGTTAATATTGTTATGTGTGAATTTGATCCTGACGTTATGATGTTAGCTGGTTATTTTGCTTGTTAGTTGATGCAGTTTCTTCCTAGCCTTGATGGTCTTTACAATTTGGCATGTTTTTGCAGTGGCTGGTACTGGTTGTTCCTTTCCATGTTGAGTGCTTCCTTCAGGAGCTCTTTTAGGGCAGGCCTGGTGGTGACAATATGTCTCAGCATTTGCTTGTCTGTAAAGTATTTCATTTCTCCTTCACTTATGAAGCTTAGTTTGGCTGGATAGGAAATTCTGGGCTGAAAATTCTTTTCTTTAAGAATGTTGAATATTGGCCTCCACTCTCTTCTGGCTTGTAGAGCTTCTGCGGAGTGATCAGCTGTTAGTCTGATGGGCTTCCCTTTGTGAGTAACCTGACCTTTCTCTCTGACTGCCCTTAACATTTTTTCTTTCATTTCAACTTTGGTGAATCTGACAATTATGTGTCTTGGAGTTGCTCTTCTCAAGGAGTATCTTTTTGGTGTTCTCTGTATTTCCTGAATTTGAATGTTGGCCTGCCTTACTAGATTGGGAAAGCTCTCCTGGATAATATCCTGCAGAGTGTTTTCCAACTTGGTTTCATTCTCCCCGTCACTTTCAGGTACACCAGTCAGATGTAGATTTGGTCTTTTCACATAGTCCCATATTTCTTGGAGGCTTTGTTCATTTCTTTTTATTCTTTTTTCTCTAAACTTCTCTTCTCACTTCATTTCATTCATTTGATCTTCCATCACTGATACACTTTCTTCCAGTTGATTGAATCGGCTACTGAGGCTTGTGCATTCGTCACATAGTTCTCGTGCCGTGGTTTTCAGCTCCATCAGGTCCTTTAAAGACTTCTCTGCATTGGTTATTCTAGTTAGCCATTTGTCTAATTTTTTTTCAAGGTTTTTAACCTCTTTGCTATGGGTTCGAACTTCCTCCTTTAGCTCGGAGTAGTTTGATCGTCTGAAGCCTTCTTCTCTCAACTAGTCATAGTCATTCTCCATCCAGCTTTGTTCCATTACTGGTGAGGAGCTGCGTTCCTTTGGAGGAGGAGAGGTGCTCTGATTTTTAGAGTTTCCAGTTTTTCTGCTCTGTTTTTTCCCCATCTTTGTGGTTTTATCTACCTTTGGTCTTTGATGATGGTGACGTACAGATGGGGTTTTGGTGTGGCTGTCCTGTTTGTTAGTTTTCCTTCTAACAGTCAGGATCCTCAACTGCAGGTCTGTTGGAGTTTGCTGGAGGTCCACTCCAGACGCTGTTTGCCTGGGTATCAGCAGCAGAGGCTGCAGAACAGCGGATATTGGTGAACAGCAAATGTTGCTGCCTGATCGTTGCTCTGGAAGTTTTGTCTCAGAGTACTCAGCCGTGTGAGGTGTCAGTCTGCCCCTACTGGGGGGTGCCTCCCAGTTAGGCTACTCGGGGGTCAGGGACCCATTTGAAGAGGCAGTCTGTCTGTTCTCAGATCTCCAGCTGCATGCTGGGAGAACCACTACTCTCTTCAAAGCTGTCAGACAGGGACATTTAAGTCTGCAGAGGTTTCTGCTGCCTTTTGTTTGGCTATGCCCTGCCCCCAGAGGTGGTCTACAGAGGCAGGCAGGCCTCCTTGAGCTGTGGTGGGCTCCACCCAGTTCGAGCTTCCCAGCCACTTTGTTTACCTACTCAAGCCCAGCAATGCAGGCGCCCCTCCCTCAGCCTCGCTGCTACCTTGCAGTTTGATCTCAGACTGCTGTGCTAGCAATGAGCAAGGCTCCGTGGGTGTAGGACCCTCCAAGGCAGGCAGGGGATATTATCTCCTGGTGTGCCATTTGCTAAGACCGTTGGAAAAGCACAGTATTAGGGTGGGAGTGACCTGATTTTCCAGGTGCCATCTGTCACCCCTTTCTTTGACTAGGAAAGGGAGTTCCCTGACCCCTTGCACTTCCTGGGTGAGGCAATGCCTTGCCCTGCTTCAGCTCACACTCGGTGCACCACACCCACTGTCCAACACTCCCCAGTGAGATGAACCTGGTACCTCAGTTGGAAATGCAGAAATCACTCGTCTTCTGCGTCGCTCACACTGGGAGCTGTAGACAGGAGCTGTTCCTATTCGGCCATTTTGGCTCCACCAAATATACTTTTTCTAAAATGTATTTCTCAACTATTTCTGTATAAGCTTGAGGCACAAAATATATTATATAAAATAATTTTATTTCACATCTGAAACAAAACACTTCTCAACTTACTTTTAAATTATTGTGTTTTCTTTTTCATTAATTTACTACATTTTTTAAACTTTTAAGTTTAGGGGTACATGTGCAGGTTTTTTACATAGGTTAACTTGTGCCATTGGGGTTTGTTGTACAGATTATTTCATCACCCAGGTATTAAGCCTATTACCCATTAGTTATTTTTCCAGATCCTCTCTCTCCTTCCATCCTCCACCCTCTGTAGCCCCTAGTGTGTGCTGTTCCTCTCTATGTTTCCATGTGTTCTCATCAATGATTGTGTGATTTATTTCCTCCAAGAGTCCATTAGGCCAAGTAGTGTAAATTATACAACACATAGGTGTCGAATATTTGATTTGTATTCATTATATGATAGTAAAAATATGCTTAGTTATATTTACTTTCTAACCTTTATACATGGTTCCCAATATGTATCACAATTTGGGCTTCAGCGATACTGCTTGCCACATTGCTAAATTCTCTGCATACTTATTGCTGAAAGACGACATACCTGCCTCACCACATAGCAATTTCTATCAATACATTTCCCTATTAAACCATCAAAATAATTTTATACATATATTTGTAAATATAGCATTTGAAAACATTGTAGCTCTCTGGTTGTAAGATATTTTTGAAAGACAGGTCCACTGTATTTTGAGGATTGGTTCATCTGTTTGTGTTTTCAAATCCCCAGATAATTACCTCAAAAGTAAAACCATAATGAACCTGATCTTTATTCCATTCTTCTAATATAGCCTTCTACCTCACAGCCTGAGAAACTCAGTGAAAAGAAGAAAGTTATTATTCATTGAAGATGATTAAAGCAGTCCCTGTGAATTCTTTCTTTAAAAGTGAACAAGACAGCAAATATTTGGTGTGTTTGAAAGAATACTACTGAAATCCAAGATAAGAAGAGGCACTGAAAATATTTTGAGATGCAGCCCCCAGCCTTTAGAATGAGTGTTTCCTTTTCATCACAGATAAGTTATGTTATATTCTATAGCAATATAACAAAATATTATCATATTACTTATCCATTTTGTATAGCCACAAAGAATGATGAGCTTTTTTTACTGATAATGTCAAGCCAAAATAACTATTCAATGAGGAAAAAAAGGAAGATAATCGATACTTCAGCCTATCTACTATCTTTTTTCTAGCCATCACAATTACTCCTCTACATATTTTTTCTTTCCTTCTCTCCCTAATTCTGGCTTTCTCTTTCCATCACCTGTAAATCAAACATGAAAAATTTAAAAAACATATATTATCTCAACCTTTAAGGAGCTTAGAACCTCAAAGAGTAAATATAAATGATTAAAATAAACTGCATTGAGGTTTGGGCAAAAGATTATGATAGGGTAAAAGATAGGATAGAAGCAAAGTATCATAGGAGTAGAGAGAGGAAGTTACCACCAACTGAGATCTGAAGGGTGAGTCTGAGTCCGATGAAGAGGGAGGGGCTCCTGGGTGAGGAGAGTGTGGGCATTCCAGATAACAAAAGAAATTAAGTGAGGCTTAAAGATAGAGATAAAACTGTGGTAGTGTCTGCCAGCTGTGTGCTACAATTCATTTTGTCTCCTTCCTGGACATTCATCAACACTATTTCCCAGCTTCTCTCTCAATTTTGTATTTAGGTGTGGCTTGTGACAATTTCCCACCAATAAAATGTGAGCAGAAATGATGTATATTACTTCTGAGCCAAGCCCACCCTCCCTTTCACATTTGTCAGTTAAATACCAAAATGTACCTTCAGGATGGCAGAGTCACAAGACGGGAAGAAGCTCTGTTCCTGAGACACTGTCAGAAGAAGGCCTCGCCCCTCTATGCACTATTGTCTAAACAAGAAGTACACATCCATTGTGTTTAAGCCATTACACATTTGTCCTATCTCAGCTAACATAGGGGCTAAATGGTGGTAGTCATGGGGGAGACTTGCAGGCTAGATTAAAGCATTTGATCTTTATTATAAGGGCAATAAGGAGCCACTGAAGGGCTTTTAATTGGAAAGTGTCATGTTCAAAACACCGGTTATCTTCAATTAGCTTTAATGAAGATGAATATATAGCCATTGTTTTAAATAATTCAGGTAATTTTCCCCAGACTCCTGCCCTTCTCACATGATAAATAATATATGCATGATTTACTCGATTTACTCAAATAGTTTTAGTAAATCATTGTATGCAAAATGATAGCCCATCTTTTATTTATTTATTTATTTTTATTTTTTGATGAAGTCTCGCTGTGTTGCCCAGGCTGGAGTTCATTGCGCAATCTTGGCTCACTGCAACATCCTCCTCCCTCGTTCTAGCAATTCCTCTGCCTCAGCCTCCCGAGTAGCTGGGATTACAGGTGCACACCACCATGCCTGGCTAATTTTTTTCTGTGTTTTTAATAGAGATGGTGTTTCACCGTGTTGGTCAGACTGGTCTCGAACTCCTGACCTCAGGCAATCCTACCCGCCTCAGCCACCCAAAGTGCTGGAATTACCAGCGTGAGCCACTGTGCCCAGACCCATAGCCCATCTTGATACAGATAATAATCATAAATATCTGGAGTTGAAAGGATTTAATAGATAATTTTCTCATAGTCCATTATTTTACAGAAAAAAAGAACCATAAAGGTGAGATGCTCAAAGTCACGAGTGGTTGTTAAGAGCAAAGTGTGAGATTAGGAACTACAACCAAATTCTTTTGCTATCATTCCAAGGCTTTTTACACTTTGTTTAGCTGTTTTAATTTCTTTAGCCCAAGTACTTGAAACCTATCAGATTACTCTGGGGACATGAATTAAATGATTAGCCACTAAAAAGTTAAAGTTTTGCACTAAAAATAAATAAACTATCAAGCCATTAAAAGATGTGGAGAATCTTTTTTCCATTTATGTAAAAAATATCATTGGTATTTTGATAAAGAATGCATTAAATCTGTGGATCTCTTTGGGTGGGTATGGCAACTTTAGCAATATTAATTCATCCGATCTATGAATGCAGGATGTCTTTCCATTTATTTGTGTCCTCTTCAATTTTTTCATCAATGTTTTATAATTTTCAGTGTAGAGATCTTTCACGTCCTTGCTTAAGGTAAGGCATCTTACTTTTTTGTAGCTATGTAAATGGGATTTTTAAAAATTTCTTTTTCAGATGGTTCACTATTAGCATGTAGAACCACAAAGGAGCTAGAATAGCCAAAGCATCCTGAACAGAAAGAACAAAGTAGGAGGCATCACACTACGTCTTTCAAAATATACTATAAATCTATAGTAACCAAAATAGCATGGTACTAGCATAAAGGCAGACACATAAACCAAAGGAGTAGAATGAGGCCCCAGATATGGATTCATACACCTACAGCCACCTAATTTTTTACAAACATGCCAAGAACACACACTGATGCAAAGATAGTCGCTTTAAAAAATGATACTGGGAAAATTGGATACCCACATGCAGAAGAGTGAGACTAGACCCCTACCTGTCACCATATACAAAAAACAACTAAAAATGAATTAGACTTAAATGTAAAACCCAAGAATGTGAAATTAATAGAACAAAACATAGGAGAAATACTTTATGGCTTTGGGCAGGGATAACAGACTTTTGAATGTTCTTACCACAAAAAAATTATAAATTCATGCGGTGACAGATACACTAAATACTCTGATTTAATCATTACACAACATATACACATTCTGAAACATCAAATTGTACTCCATAAATATGTACAATTATAATGTGTCAATTTTAAGAAATAATAAGAACACCCAAGGACATAAAAAAGCAATTTATAAAAGAAGAAGTATGCTTACTTTATAATTTATTACCTCTGAAAGAATCAAACATCTATTCAAAGCTAAATGAAAACCCCCCAAAAAAGACATGGAGGAAACTTAAATGCATATTAGTAAGTGAAGAAAACCAATCTGAAAAGGCTATGGACTGTGTGATTACAATTATATGACATTCTGGAAAAGGGAAAACTATGGAGACCCTAAAAATAATCAGCTTTTGCTGAGGAAAGAGGTAAAGAGGGATGACTAGGTGAAGCATAGAGGATTTTAGGGCAGTGTAACTACTCTCTATGATACTATAATGGTAAATAAATATCATTATACCTCCATCCAATGCCAAGAGTGAATGATAATGATATGTCAATATAGGATCATCAGTTATAACAAATGTACTACTCTGGTGGGAGATACTGATTATGGGGAGGCTATGTATAAGTAGGGGCAGGCAGCATATGGAAAAATCTCTGTATTTTCTTCTCAATTTTGCTGTGAATCTAAAACTGCTCTAAAAAATAAAGTCTATTTTCTAAAAAGTTATAATTTTGGCAATAGCATTATATTTATGAATTTGGAAATATCTATGGAATTTTAAGAATATAGAAATACAATAAATTATTTCTTCTGCCTTTGATTAATTGAGACTTCGTTGAACTAAAATGAATGAAATATTTTTACACCTTACATCTCCCTACAAACAACGTCTCTATATCAGTTAAAGAAAGTATTGTGATGACAATTTTCTATCTTTGTCTTTAAAATGTTATGTGTTCATAATCTGACTCTTCTGTACATCTTCCTATACTCATTTCCTAGTCTTGAAGGGAATTGCCACAGCCCCTAAGTGTTACTCTGCTGCCGTTTGTAGAATACCTGATGTGACTGAATTGACTTAGATCGGCATTTTGCCTGTGCTGCCAAATAATAAGAGATAAAAGGCACTCTGTTGAGGAAGTTGGTTTTTAATTTTCCTGGAGTAACTAAAAGCCCATGGCTGTTACTGGTAAGAATGATAGAAATATATCCATCTGCAAATATAAGTATAAGAGAGATGAATATATCAAATAAAAATGAAGGAACATTAGAGTAGCTTACAGATCAGTAAATAAGAGACTATAATAAAGCACATGATGGCACATATTAAGAAAGTATTAGCCAGTGTGGACATTTTCCTGCAATTGATATTAATTTGGTGCCAATACAGATCCAAAGAAGGAAAAACAATCTTAGTCTCTAATGGCAAACTGGAAACTAATGGAAATAATATGTGTAATGTGTGTTAAAACTTCTGAATAGCACAGTTGCATTTAGCTCTTTATCTTCTAATCTCATAAACACAAAGGTATAATCCATAATTAATTGTAAATAAATGAATCAGTCTAAATCTATATATTTAAAATATATAGTATAAATATTTTAAAATTACATGTACTATATATTTAAATATATAGCATACAAATATTTTTATTTATATAAATATATAAATATATAAATAAATAAATATATTTATTTACATATAATAAACATATATTTATTATATATAAATAAAATATTATATATAAAATGGAATATCCACCTTTAATGGTGCCTTAGGTTATATACTATACATATATATATATAGTATATAGTATATACGTCTACCTAAAATAATGACTATATGTGTGTGTACAAAATATGTAATTAGAAAATATACATCTCTTTGAGTAGTGATATTTCAGTTAATCTACATGTTAATGGAATATCCGCCTTTACTGGTGCTTTAGGTTATATATTATATATATAATGATTTATATATCATATCTATAACCTAAAGGATATAACATATATATATATATATATATATATATTATATAACCTAAAGCACCAGTAAAGGTGGATACTCCATTAACATGTAGAAATCATTTCAAAGTAAACTTGAAATAACAAGTGATTCTAGTCTTTCAACATTGTATGGCTCATGATGGTAGGTTCAAGAATAGGTTATACCCATCTGCACATTGAACATGCTTTTACAAATGAACATTGAATACATTAGGAATGGCAAACATATTGATAATATGTATGACAGCCAAATCTGAGAGAACAGGAAGTTGACCTAGGATAAGAGATGTAGGAATTGCAGAAAGAGAAACATTCAGTGTAATTCTAACTTTGGGTGAGAAAGCTGTCGATTCCTCATTTTCCTTACGTGTAAAATGGTCATGATCATAACTATCTTATAAGTTTTATGTGAGAATTAGAAATTGTACACACCCACATACAACACGTGATGTCTGGCATCGTATCTGGTACATGGCAGGCATCTTAAACACGGTAGCCTAATTATCATTATTATTAATATTATTTTTGGATTACAATTATTGTCACTTTAAGCACCACAGATCAAAGTTCTCATTCAGTTCGTCAATACACTGTTTCTTTCAGAATGAATGGTAAATGACATGAATATTTAACTGAAAGATTACTACTTGAAGAGATGTACATGTTCTAATTATATATTATGTGCACATATATAGTCATTACTTTAGGTAGAAGAATATACATATTTTATTCTACTAGGATTAAAATAAATGATATTATGCTACAGAAGTATGGTTACTAATTACTTGATTATTTCATAAGAAAAAAATAATTTGCCACAGCTGTTATCTGAAGTTTGAAAACTTTTTGCGAAAGCTGTATGAAAGTGTTCTTCATTTTACAAGAATGAATAAAAGGTAGTTAACTTAAAAAAAAATGCTTCAAGCATATTATTTCATGATGGCCCTGGAGAGTATTGGACAGAAAGTTCAGGATAAACTATAAAAGGCAGTGTGAAGAGACGGGGCTGGTGAAAGGGGCCAAGGGGCTATGGGGCCATGTGAATCCATGTGGAAAAATGATCGGTGCTGGAGAAGGTTAAATTCTCAGTCCCTGAAGTCTCGCTGTTGTGGCTACAGCCCAAGAAAGTTAATGAAAGAAAGGAGCACTGACAACTCCTGCTGCTTCGACAGGAGCTTACCACCTCATTACTGGCCAGATTCTTACAACCAAAAGAAAAGAATACTTCTGCCAAGAAAAAGAGTAAGAGCTAGAGTGAGAGAGTCATCCAAGCAAAGCATTGCTGATATTGGGTGAGGATCAAAGTAATATCAAACAAAGAGAACTGGACAAGAAATAGCTGAGCCAAGAGCTATGACCAGACTAGACAAGTATCCAAACCCTAGGCAGGAGACATGGAAAGGACAGTTAAATCTCTTAGTCCTCCCTGCAGCACAGGAAAAAGTAAATGAAGTGACACCATCTGCTCACTTTCCCAAAAGAGAGAGTTTCAACTCCTCATGGTTAGCAAGGCAAACACTTTCAGAAACATTATTCTAATTGCAAATGATTAGAAATGATTCCTAGAAGTGAAGACTTAACTCACAGTGTGCCTGATTAATGAACATTTTCTGCACATCCCACTGCACCTTGAGTTTACTTTGAGAGCACTGGCTAGAGACAGTTTCTGAGGCTTTGAAAACATCCTCTTAAAGATAATAGGATGTTACACTTTTTCTCTCTGTTTCTCGAAGCATACAAATACATGATTTTTTTTTCCCTAAAGCACCATAGGAAATCACAGTGTTCTTTCAAGACTAGCAAATGCAGTTTTTGTTTCAGGTTTGGGGAAGGGGGTTTTGGGGTGTGTGTGTGTGTGTGTGTGTGTGTGTGTGTGTGTACCAAACTGGAGATGTGAGGGGCGTACAGATCCACTAAAATTAAATGTTAAAACATAAATGTAAATATATATATAGTAATACCTTCCATGGAGATATATTTCTTGCTGTAGATTTAGATATTTAACTCCTAGTGTCATCTCTTTCAGGAGTAGATCATCACTATACCAAAGTTAAAACTGACAATACCAAGCATTGGTGGAGAAGTGGAGCAAACAGAACTCTCATACATTGCTGGTGGATGTAAATTCAGAAAGCTGTTTGGTAGTATCTAGCAAATCGGAACCTAAACTCTCTCTCTGTCCCAGCAATTACATAATTCAGTATAAGCATAAACAAAACACATATGTATATGTACCTCAAAAGACATGAACTAGAATTTTTTTAGAATTATTAATCAAACTGGAGACAATGCCAACAGAAGACTGGATAAATGAACTGCGGTATATTCTCAAAATAGAATACTGCACAGCATGGGTTGGCAAAATATGACCCACGAACCAAATCTGGCCCACCACCTGCTGTTGTAAATAAAGTTTTATTAGAACACAGACTTGTTTATTAACTTATATATTGTCTACTGTTGCTCTCATATTATCACATGCTACAAGGGCAGAATTGAGGAGTTGTGATAGGTACCATACAGTCCCCAAAACACAAATATTTACCATATTTACTTTTTATAGAAAAGTTTTGCCGACTGCTGCTCTCCAGCAAAAAACATAATGAGCTATTGTTATAGTCAACAACACGGATAATCCTCACAAACAAAATATTGAGTAAAAGCAGCCAGATATCATGGTGAACTTACTGTTTGATTTCATTTATATAAAATTCAAAAGCATATAAAGTTAATCTATGGTAATGGATGTCAAAAAAATTACATTTGTTGGGGGATTAAGGTCTAAAAGGAGCATGAGGCACCTTTTAGTACTGCCTCTATGTGAATAATGGTTTCATGACTGTGTTTATTTGTGAAAAATGACTTACAACTTGTGAACTTTCCTGTATATTTCAAAAACTTTGCTTACAAAAGTAAAAAAAAGAAGTTAATCAAAATTAAAAATGAAGGCCGTTTCAATTCTGTTGAGAGTTACTTAAAATATTTTCAAGATTTTACCTGTCTCTTTTAAGGGTTGTTTCTACTAATGATAGAAAATAAATGTTAAATAACAACAAGAGAATATAAAGCCATAGATACTAAAGACGAAGCTTATTTTAAAGATGAGAGTTATAAACTGAAAATGAACACCTTACAGTGAGTGCCTACTTAGCTTTATATAACCAAAATATATAGATGCTACTTTTTGTCTACAAATAATTTTTGAAGTTTTCTACCTGTTTTCTAAACAGCATAGAAAATAACCCTCTAAGTTGTTCAGTTACTACATTTCCTACAATAAAACACTTAAACAGCAAAAACGACAGGTTGTTTTTGAGGTTCTTTCACTGATATTCACTCTACCATATGTCACTTAGAATATTTAAAGTTAATTAAAATTTATTTTCTTTCTCAGATTTAATTAAAAGATACCTTTTAATTTATTAATACTAATTATGCACTTTTCTCATTGACTAGGTGAGCAGAAGTAAATAAAGTACATGACATTTCTAATTTGCATTATTAGAAACTGCAACACTATCTAGAATTACTTATCTTTTTAAATTATGAAGTAACACAGATATAATCAAGAACGATCAATCATCTTTGGAAATCCATATGAACTGTTTCCATTTGTGCCCTCCCTCTCTCACTTATCTTTCCTCTTTATCATTGAATCTTTAATATTACTGAAGAAATGTCACTTAAAATATAGCAGAAGCAGCTAGAAAACTTTTTTATGGAATACAAAAATCAAATGATAAATTCTCCTTTAATACATTTTATTGCAAAGAGAGTGTTCGAAAAACAGCTCACAGTTGCAGATGTATATCTGATTTCCTGAGATTGACTTGGTTTGTTTGTTTTCAACTTTTAAAAAAATACACAGACTATAAATATAATTTCTGTATATAAATAGTGAAATTGAAAAGTGAAATTCAATGTTCTAAGCCCTTGAAAATCCATGAGTTCTTCTAAAAGAAGGTATTCTGATACTAGATTGTTTAATGAATCAATAACATGTCAGAAGGAAAATCAAATAATTATCCAATCTTGTGGAGGAAGAGTACCTAGATTTATGGCTGGAAGGATTTAGGACAGCTAGAAAGTTGTTAACACTTCCACAACATGATCCGAATACACACACACACACACACACACACACACACACACACACAGTGGCAGATGTTCAAATACAGAAAACTACTGAATGCCACATAGTTTTTGAACCTTGCAGATTATCTATGTTTTCTTTTTCTCATCCCCCTAGAAAATAACTCACTTTTAAATTGAGTTCTAAGCCTTCCCTTTTGTAAATACTCTCTGTTATAATTTGCTCTCCTAACTATAAGTTCCAAGAAAGCAGAGATAACATGTGTTTGCTCAATATTATGTTCCCAAGACCTGGCATTGTACCTAAAACATAGCAGGAGGTCAATGAATATTTATCATATGAAAATAAATAAATGAATGAATGAAGGCATACAAAATCAATCCTAAATAACTGCAGATGCGAAAAACTTCAAAAAATATAAAATCATCCAGAAGTGAAATAAACAGCAAGAACAGGGAAAAGGAAGTTTTTGAGTTGCAGGTCTTGTTTATTCATCTTCAACCACAAGTTAAATTCAATTAGAAAAATTAAGACACTAATGTTAGCAATGGCTGTTTCAAGATGATAAAGTTGAGCAATTAATGTTCTTTATATTTGTAGATGTCTATCAAATATTCTACAATAAAGTTTATTATTTTATATTCAGAAAAAGTGAAAATAAAACAAAACACTTATTTTAGCAAATACTTACTTATTGTCTAGTATATGTTAGGCATTGCCCAGATGTCTAGATATGGATATGAGAAAAACAAGGTCCCTGCCATTCAGAACTCAAATTTATGCAGAACACAGACAGTAAAATGAATTATTATAAGCAGTATAATGAGTGCTACAATCGGTGTGTTCATTAAACACTAGAGAGAAAGCAATCATCTGTGCATATGTATAGCAGAGTGGAGAGGCCTGAGAAGAGTCACAAAGTGGGTGACCTGTAAACTGTTTTCTTCTAAATTATATTTAAAGAAATTACTAAATGAACTATTATGTTTAGTAAAACTGATCTTAAAACCACTGTTACATTTTTTTAGTAAAATTATGAGACCTTGAGAACATAACTATAAATAAACTAACCATTTATAATTTAAGTAATAATCACAAGCATGAAGCTAGAAAAGCACTAAGTATTTATAGATGGAGGAGAAAAGGGATTTTCCTTTTTTCAGAGAATACCAATTTTAATAAAAAATGAATGAGCTTTTATAAATCAGTAGCTCCAAAACGTTTTCCTTTCAGAAAATGATACCTCTTTTTTTAGTGATCTCTTATAATAGAACAGTCTGATAATCTCACAACTTTGCCAGAATCAGATGAAACTAAGAGGTAAATGTTGCATTTGTTCATTCAAACAGAAACAATAAAACAGAATGAGGGAAAGAAAGAAACTTATGTTTTCTTTATTTGTCCTGCTTGTACATATGTTTTTTTTTTAAATCCCACAATAGTGGATTAGTTTAGAATAACACTTATCTCCTCTTCCTCTTCTGGAATCTTTGAAATCAGTGGGAGCTGCACATACACACACACACACACACACACACACACACACACACACGAAGAGACTGAGTATGAGAGGAATAAAAAGCATCAGCCTTTTGAAGCCAAAACTGCATTTATATCAATGCCCATGTTAAATATACTCAGTTTGAAAGAGTAACCTTTTGAATATTTAGCTAGTTAATGAGTTAGGAGATTTCTGATTTCAGGCAGTGACTTTCTACTTTTTAAGTGCTTAAATAAAACAATCTTTGTTTTAAGAGTGATTTTTACTGTAAATCAATTTCTGAGTTTGGTGTAGGTTCCAAACTGTGAAACTAAGGCAATAAGATGATGTCCTCATTGCTCAACTGATTAAAAATAATGTTTAATATTTATTTAGTATATTAAAGCTGTGGCTATCCAATGTAAGAAAGTGATCAAGTCATCTTGCCCAAGGAGCCTATTATTGAAATGTGTCTGGTCTTACTCTCAGAATATCCTGAGTGATTAAAGTTTAAATAAGCTATGAATTGGAGTGTTTTGAGAGTGAAGAGTCTTCAGTGGCAGGGAGTGTTTTGGAAGGATTACCCTCTTTAAATTTATTTGGAAGGTATTGGGCACCTTCCTTATCATGTATGCCACCAGAT
The DNA here is from genome assembly GCF_000001405.40 of Homo sapiens. Lineage (NCBI taxonomy): Eukaryota > Metazoa > Chordata > Mammalia > Primates > Hominidae > Homo > Homo sapiens. The sequence goes on from NC_000003.12 coordinate 146,958,717, forward strand.
GAGACATCTGCAAGATGTTTACCAGATAATCTATACCAGATAACAGGTATATGTTATCAGATACATTACAGGAAAAATCATGAAGAGTGTGAGAGAAGAGATTTTAAGGGAGACGAACTGCATAAATATATACTTATTCTATAGATCCAAAAATAAAATAGATTAAAACTAAATAAATAAAATAATATGCATAACATCATCTTCCCAACCTAAGGGTAAAGATAGTGTCATAAAAATACTTGGGTCCATTCTTCTAGATTCAACTATAAATTAAACTTGTCTATCAGATATACTACCAAAAACATTTTTATTGAAACATTATGTGATTTGCAGATGAACCGTATTCCCCAGCTCTTCTGCTGGTAACAGATTTTCCAAGATGTGTTCAATAATCTGAATTCCAATGAAGAATACTTATAGCAATCTGCAACATAGAGGAAACGTCTACTATGAACTCTTATTTTAGTTGCCTATTAGGAGAGGATCATTATTAGTCTTCCACTCTTCAGAATTTTGTGAAGAACAGGTTCTTCTATTACTCCAGAATATCATGAAGAACAGGTCCTTCTGTAATACTTCTAACACAATATTACCCTAGTCTCCTCTACCCAAACTTAGAAGAATGAACAGAGGCCTGGACATAAGTATATGTCATAAAATGCATTTTTTTAAGATAATCAGGATTTCAAGTAAGCTACATTTTAAAATAACTGCCATTTTTGTCAGAGTGAATTGGAAAATCAACATGCAACAAGAGTGAAGATGCGAAATTTAGGAACAAAGCATTAAGACCTGTGCCAGAATTGTAGTTTCTTAAAAAAAAAAGTGAATTAGCTGTCACATCCCAGAAAAAATGTTCATAAAGTAAACTAAATCTCCAGGCAGTGAGCAAGTCTTGAGGGGAGTCCCTCTCCCATTCTGCTCCATGTATCAAGAGAACCATTGGTCCAGATCCACATTCAACAGGGACCTCATCTGCCCTCCTTTCACTCCACTAGGTTCCATCATTGCTACGGGGACTACAAAAAGGCATTGTAAGGTAAGGTCATTTATTAGCTATTCCCATTTCTAGTTATTTTTATTTTATCACAGATACATATAATTTTGAACATTGTGCTGTGGGTTTTTAATGTTATTTACAGAATAAAGATTTTCATTGCTAACTTGAAAGAGTAACCATTATCACAATTGCAGCCCATAATCATGATAGACAGTTTCCTACTGTAATTTCTCTGCCTCAATCTCTTGGCTTCATACTAAACTCAGGTACCATTTATTACGCACCTGCTATACGACAAGTGTGAGGATAAGGTCATGAGAATGTAGGCTTATGAAGCTTATATTCTTTATGGGGAGATGGAGAAGATAAGTGAATAGGTAAATAAAGATTTTGTGATAGGAATTCTGAAGGTAACAAAACTGGGTGATGCTATTCAGCACAGAAAGTAAGTGAGTTGGGAGGGGAGGAAGACACTCCTTAGACTAAAACATCAGAAAAGCCTCCCTGGAATGAAAAAGTGACCTGATTTCGAAGTGATGAGGAGGAGGTGGTTATGGGCTAATCTAGAGAAGATGGGGGCAAGCGGAAAGAAAATCATGAGTGTATTAGTCCATTTTCACACTGCTGATAAAGACATACTCGAGACTGGGAAGAAAAAGAGGTTTAATGGACTTACAATTCCACATGGCTGGAGAGGCCTCACAATCATGGCGGAAGGCAAGGAGGAGCAAATCACATCTTTTTTTTTTTTTTTTTTTTTTTTTGTACTTTAGGTTTTAGGGTACATGTGCACAATGTGCAGGTTAGTTACATATGTATACATGTGCCATGCTGGTGTGCTACACCCACTAACTCGTCATTTAGCATTAGGTATATCTCCTAAAGCTATCCCTCCCCCCTCCCCCCACCCCACAACAGTCCCCAGAGTGTGATGTTCCCCTTCCTGTGTCCATGTGTTCTCACTGTTCAATTCCCACCTATGAGTGAGAATATGCGGTGTTTGGTTTTTTGTTCTTGCGATAGTTTACTGAGAATGATGATTTCCAATTTCATCCATGTCCCTACAAAGGACATGAACTCATCATTTTTTATGACTGCATAGTATTCCACGGTGTATATGTGCCACATTTTCTTAATCCAGTCCATCATTGTTGGACATTTGGGTTGGTTCCAAGTCTTTGCTATTGTGAATAGTGCCAGCCACAACAAACATACGTGTGCATGGGTCTTTATAGCAGCATGATTTATAGTCCTTTGGGTATATACCCAGTAATGGGATGGCTGGGTCAGATGGTATTTCTAGTTCTAGATCCCTGAGGAATCACCACACTGACTTCCACAATGGTTGAACTAGTTTACAGTCCCACCAACAGTGTAAAAGTGTTCCTATTTCTCCACATCCTCTCCAGCACCTGTTGTTTCCTGACTTTTTAATGATTGCCATTCTAACTGGTGTGAGATGGTATCTCATTGTGGTTTTGATTTGCATTTCTCTGATGGCTAGTGATAGTGAGCATTTTTTCATGTGTTTTTTGGCTGCATAAATGTCTTCTTTTGAGAAGTGTCTGTTCATGTCCTTCGCCCACTTTTTGATGGGGTTGTTTGTTTTTTTCTTGTAAATTTGTTTGAGTTCATTGTAGATTCTGGATATTAGCCCTTTGTCAGATGAGTAGGTTGCGAAAATTTTCTCCCATTTTGTAGGTTGCCTGTTCACTCTGATGGTACTTTGTTTTGCTGTGCAGAAGCTCTTTAGTTTAATTAGATCCCATTTGTCAATTTTGGCTTTTGTTGCCATTGCTTTTGGTGTTTTAGACATGAAGTCCTTGCCCATGCCTATGTCCTGAATGGTAATGCCTAGGTTTTCTTCTAGGGTTTTTATGGTTTTCGGTCTAACGTTTAAGTCTTTAATCCATCTTGAATTAATTTTTGTATAAGGTGTAAGGAAGGGATCCAGTTTCAGCTTTCTACATATGGCTAGCCAGTTTTCCCAGCACCATTTATTAAATAGGGAATCCTTTCCCCATTGCTTGTTTTTCTCAGGTTTGTCAAAGATCAGATAGTTGTAGATATGTGGCGTTATTTCTGGCGTTATTTCTGAGGGCTCTGTTCTGTTCCATTGATCTATATCTCTGTTTTGGTACCAGTACCATGCTGTTTTGGTTACTGTAGCCTTGTAGTATAGTTTGAAGTCAGGTAGCTTGATGCCTCCAGCTTTGTTCTTTGGCTCAGGATTGACTTGGCGATGCAGGCTCTTTTTTGGTGCCGTATGAACTTTAAAGTAGTTTTTTCCAATTCTGTGAAGAAAGTCATTGGTAGCTTCATGGGGATGGCATTGAATCTATAAATTACCCTGGGCAGTGTGGCCATTTTCACGATACTGATTCTTCCTACCCATGAGCATGGAATGTTCTTCCATTTGTTTGTATCCTCTTTTATTTCCTTGAGCAGTGGTTTGTAGTTCTCCTCGAAGAGAACTCCTACATGTTCCTTGTAAGTTGAATTCCTAGGTATTTTATTCTCTTTGAAGCAATTGTGAATGGGAGTTCACTCATGATTTGGCTCTCTGTTTGTCTGTTATTGGTGTATAAGAATGCTTGTGATTTTTGTACATTGATTTTGTATCCTGAGACTTTGCTGAAGTTGCTTATCACCTTAAGGAGATTTTGGGCTGAGACAATGGGGTTTTCTAGATATACAATCATGTCATCTGCAAACAGGGACAATTTGACCTCCTCTTTTCCTAATTGAATACCCTTTATTTCCTTCTCCTGCCTAATTGCCCTGGCCAGAACTTCCAACACTATGTTGAATAGGAGTGGTGAGAGAGGGCATCCCTGTCTTGTGGCAGTTTTCAAAGGGAATGCTTCCAGTTTTTGCCCATTCAGTATGATATTGGCTGTGGGTTTGTCATAGATAGCTCTTATTATTTTGAGATACATCCCATCAATACCTAATTTATTGAGAGTTTTTAGCATGAGGGGTTGTTGAATTTTGTCAAAGGCCTTTTCTGCATCTATTGAGATAGTCATGTGGTTTTTGTCTTTGGTTCTGTTTATATGCTGGATTACATTTATCGTTTTGCATATATTGAACCAGCCTTGCATCCCAGGGATGAAGCCCACTTGATCATGGTGGATAAGCTTTTTGATGTGCTGCTGGATTCAGTTTGCCAGTATTTTATCGAGGATTTTTGCATCAATGTTCATCAAGGATATTGGTCTAAAATTCTGTTTTTTGGTTGTGTCTCTTCCTGGCTTTGGTATCAGGATGATGCTGGCCTCATAAAATGAGTTAGGGAGGATTCCCTCTTTTTCTATTGATTGGAATAATTTCAGAAGGAATGATACCAGTTCCTCCTTGTACCTCTGGTAGAATTCGGCTGTGAATCCATCTGGTCCTGGACTCTTTTTCGTTGGTAAGCTATTGATTATTGCCACAATTTCAGAGCCTGTTATTGGTCTATTCAGAGATTCAACTTCTTCCTGGTTTAGTCTTGGGAGGGTATATGTGTCAAGGAATTTATCCATTTCTTCTAGATTTTCTAGTTTATTTGCATAGAGGTGTTTGCAGTATTCTCTGATGGTACTTCGTATTTCTGTGGGATCGGTGGTGATATCCCTTTTATCATTTTTTATTGCATCTATTTGATTCTTCTCTCTTTTCTTCTTTATTAGTCTTGCTAGTGGTCTATCAATTCTGTTGATCCTTTCAAAAAACCAGCTCCTGGATTCATTAATTTTTTAAAGGGTTTTTTGTGTCTCTATTTCCTTCGGTTCTGCTCTGATTTTAGTTATTTCTTGCCTTCTGCTAGCTTTTGAATGTGTTTGCTCTTGCTTTTCTAGTTCTTTTAATTGTGATGTTAGGGTGTCAATTTTGGATCTTTCCTGCTTTCTCTTGTTGGCATTTAGTGCTATAAATTTCCCTCTCCACGCTGCTTTGAATATGTCCCAGAGATTCTGGTATGTTGTGTCTTTGTTCTCATTGGTTTCAAAGAACATCTTTATTTCTGCCTTCATTTCGTTATGTACCCAGTAGTCATTCAGGAGCAGGTTGTTCAGTTTCCATGTAGTTGAGCGGTTTTGAGTGAGTTTCTTAATCCTGAGTTCTAGTTTGATTACCCTGTGGTCTGAGAGACAGTTTGTTATAATTTCTGATCTTTTACATTTGCTGAGGAGAGCTTTGCTTCCAACTATTTGGTCAATTTTGGAATAGGTGTGGTGTGGTGCTGAAAAAAATGTATATTCTGTTGATTTGGGGTGCAGAGTTCTGTAGATGTCTATTAGGTCTGCTTGGTGCAGAGCTGAGTTCAATTCCTGGGTATCCTTGTTAACTTTCTGTCTCGTTGATCTGTATAATGTTGACAGTGGGTTGTTAAAGTCTCCCATTATTATTGTGTGGGAGTCTGAGTCTCTTTGTAGGTCACTCAGGACTTGCTTTATGAATCTGGGTGCTCCTGTATTGGGTGCATATATATTTAGGATAGTTAGCTCTTCTTGTTGAATTGATCCCTTTACCATTATGTAATGGCCTTCTTTGTCTCTTTTGATCTTTATTGGTTTAAAGTCTGTTTTATCAGAGACTAGGATTGCAACCCCTGCCTTTTTTTGTTTTCCATTTGCTTGGTAGAGCAAATCACATCTTATATGGATGGCAGCAGGCAAAGACAGAGAGCTTGTGCAGGGGAAGTCCCCTTTTTAAAAACCATCAGAGACTTATTCACTATCATGAGAACGGCATGGGAAAGATCTGCCCCCATGATTCAATTACCTCCCACCAGGTCCCTCCCAAAACACATGGGAATTTAAGATGAGATTTGAATGGGGACACAGCCAGATCATATCAATGAGAAAACCCTGGGGCAGCTCCATGCTTAGTATGACCTAAGGATAGACAAGCAGCAAGTGAGTGCAGAGAGCACCAGAAAGCTTGGCATGAGATTTAAAGGAGAGAGAGAAAGGTCACAGAGAAATTATATAGGGCTTTTAGGCCTGAAATTCAATATGTTATGAAGCTATTGATGGATTCTATGCTCACGTATGGTGTTATCTAACTCATCACTCTGACTGAATGTGCAGAACAGATTATAAAGAGAGCCCAGTATGGAAGGTAAGGATAATTAAGAGGCTCTGGAGAGGTCTAGGTGCCTAGGTGACCCATGTTGGAGGTTTGCACTGAGGACAACAATGGAAATGGATGGGGTGCATCCAAGTTATTGGTTAGAGAACATCCTTTTTTAAGGCTTTCATAGATCCCAAAGCCCTTGCCTCTTTTTATACAAGTGTTGATGGTGATAAAGAAGGGAAGCGATTATTAAACAGCAAGGAAATAGACAGTATGTTTTATTTTTCTCAAAAAAAGTTTGTGTTAAGCAATTTGTAAATTTATATCTTTTCTTTCTTGTAATGCTGTGAGATATTAAGGAATATTAATTTTAGAGATCAATTTTTTCATTTAAAAAAGTCTGATAATTATAGATTTTTGATCTAATTTTTACATTGTGAAACATAATTTCTCCAAATAACAACAATACAAAAGAAAAATTAAGCAAATTCACACACACACAAACACAGAGAGAGAGAAAGAGAGAGAGTTGTGGACTGCATTTTTATTCCTATGTCATGAAAGAGCCATTATATAACTTTTAATTTATGTTTATGTGGGCTTGAAAATTTAAACATTAATTCCTTAGATGAAAAAAATATAAAAATTATTATTTTGGAGATACTGGTGTTTGTGAACATTTGGCCTTTCCATTTTTTTCATAAATTCAAAGAAAATATTTTAGCAAGAAAATTAAATTAAAACATAACCATTTATAAATATTCTACAAAGATTTCAAGGTGCAACATGTTCCAAAAATAAACTGTAAACAACCTTGTCATTACAAAGCTGACTTCTAAATCCAAACTGTTGTTCTCTATCTTCTTCCAACTGAATAAATGAAAAACATATTTAGCAGTGTCTGTAGCTATCATATTCTCATGCTCTCAAGAAACGAAGTATGAAATACATGAAAACACACAAAAGCAATGGAGTAATGAAAACTTGGTGGAAAAAGGAATTAGCTATTCTGGAAAAGCTAGAATAAGAAGATAGGAGGCTCTTGTATTCAGTTTATGAAAAGGTATAAGATGAACAAAGTGCCCCTGGGTGCACTGGATTAAAATCGTGAAAACAAACCATTTACATGTAAAAGGCAAAAATAAGTGTGTATCCTAGAATAAACTGAAATCCAACCATAAATAAAAATTTTTCTGTCCACTTTTTGTGTCATATACTCATTTTATTACACACTATCTTTTTTTACACTGTTTATACATACTAACTTGGAAATAGGAGAAAAAGTATGGAAACATGATAGGCAAAATCCTAGAGAATTTAGAAAGTTTTCATTTGAAGAGAGAAATAGCAACAAAAAATATTATAAGAATAAATGATCATCTTGCAAACTAATCTTAAAGGTAGCAGGCACTCATCAGTAGCTTTTGCCACCATGAGAGCTAATATTATCTGTGATGGTAAAGCTTACTGGGATTTCTCTAAAGGAACACAGTTGGGACTCGTTCCTAGCAAAATGCAGTATGCTCTGTGAAAGGTAGGGGTCCCTCCAAAGGGGATTACATCCTGCCAAAAAGCTCATTTGTATGAGCTTTCCCCCCTCCCAGGCTCCCCAGCAATTCTCCCCTTTGCTTGGCACCATGCAGCAGCATCACGTGAATTTTTGGATTGGCTGATTGAGTTCATCGAACATACAGCCTTGGCAGTGGCAATTATCCTGGCAGTGTCAGAAGCCAGGAAACATATACCAGTAAATGGATCTCATTTTAATCACTGTACATAGGGTTTGCTTGATTTATCCCATATCATACCAAGCTCTAATGTGGCAGCCAAACTCTTTACTCAGTTGCCATGCTCAACAAAATGGTTAACGTTGAACTTCTATTACCTTGCCAATGTATAGTTTTCTATGGTTATCTTTTCCTTTTTGATTGTTTTTCTGACATTTTTGTTTCCTTCCCAGTTAGGGTTCATTAATAAGGTTGAACAGGTTCAATTTTATTCAATTACTAGAAACTATGTAGGAATAAAGATGTTTCTGTTTGAACCACAAACTACTTTTAACAAAATTTTAAAAGAGAAACTAAAAATTATTATTCCAAAAAAGATTAGTAGAGTTTCTTGCTCTATTAACTTTTCATGTAATCCAATTTCTTTTGAAAATTGTGGCTGGAAGTTTTTATTAAGCCCCTTGGTGTCTCAGTAAGTGCCTGAACAGAGATTGAAAAAAGAAAGGTCACACTGACACTTAACATACTGTCATGGTCTTTTCGATGTGTCCACTTGGCTAGGCTACAGTCCACAGTTGTTTAATAAAACATTAATCTATGTGTTGCTGTGAAGGAGTTTTGTAGGTGTGATTAAAGACTATAGTCAGTTAACTTTCAGATAATCTTAGATGATACGGGGAACTTGATTCAATTAATTGAAAGGTCAAAATCACCACCAAGGCTTCTCTCAGGAAGAAGAAATTCCACATGTGAACAGCAGCTTCACTTGATGTGCAAGAGCTCCACCCTCTCCTAACTGATGGCCTGTCTTGTGGGTTTCAGACTTGCCTATTGAGCCCCCAAAATTACATAAGCCAATTCCTTATAAATCTCTCTCTCTCTCTCTCTATATATATATATATACACACACACACATATATACACACACATATATACACACACATATATATATACACACATATATATACATAGAGAGAGAGAGAGAGAGTACACATTCTACTTCTCAGGTTGAGCCTTGGTTGACACATATTTGGGTAACTAGAAGTGAATTACTACTGTAATAAATACCTAAAAATGCAAAGCAGCTTTGAAATTGGGCAATGAGAACATTCGAGCAACATAACTTTTAAACACTACCTAGATTGTCTTAAACATACTATTAGTAGAAATACAGATATCAATAACTCTGTGGATTAATTACTCAGAAGAAAATGAGGAGCATGGAAGAGAAAAGCTAAATCACCTTAGAGAATATTCAAATTTTCATGAACAGACTTGTAGTAAATATATGTATATTCTAGATACTCCTGGTGAAGGATCAAGAGAAAATGAGGGATATCTTATTAAAAACTAGAGAAAAGGAGATTCTCATTACATAGTAACAGAAATCTTAGCAGAATTGTGTCCTGAAGTAATGTGGAAAGCAGACCTTAAAAATGATGAAATTAGACATTCAGCTGAGGAAATTTCCAGGCAAAGTGTTGAAATTGTGATCTAGTTTGTTCTTCCTGCTTATCACAAAAGGAAAGAATAAAGAGCTAAATTGAGAAAAGATGTGCTAAACACAAAGAAACTAGGCCTTGATGATTTAAAAATTCTCAATCTACCAAAATTTCAAAAGACCCTATAATTAAGAGATTTGCCATTGAAAATGGAAGTTGCAGAGGAAAAAAGAATCAAGAATATGGCCAGGCAACCTTTAGATAATACCTCAGGAAGACTAAAAAGCTAAGTATTTAGTCACACAAAGCCTTCTTGAAAAGAATGTGTGTGATTCATTGATTCCCTCAGTCAACTAGGCAGAAGCCAAAAATAGAGATGGGATCTTTCAGAAAACATCTCTGGAAAAGATTGTTGTCTACTGGAGTGAATCCTCATGACATAAACAGAAAACCACCAAAATTCTTGAGAATTTTTATACCAGGAGGAATACTGCCAGCTTGAATTGAAAGAAAGAGAAAGAGGATAAAATGAAAGAAGTCTTTCTGACCCCCAAAATTCTGCAGGCAGGAAATAGGTGATAAAACCACCCAGCAGCAAACCCAGGATATAAATGATGACTCACAGGGTAGATCTTCAAGGGAAGAGAATGAAGCCTCAAACTCGGACTGCAGAGGCTGGAAATGCAAATCACAATCATTTCCAGAATTCGAAATCTAATGTAGTTTGCCTGGCTAGATTTAAAAGTTGTTTGGGATTGATGACTCATTTTTTTCTTATATTTTCTCCTTCTTTGAGAAGGAATGTCTGTAACTACTCTCCTATGCCAGTCTCACTATTGTATTTTGAGAGTAAATATCTTGTTGTCTAGTTTCATGGATCTACAAATGGAGAGGAATTTTGTGTCAGAATCCAATGCACTCATACCTAATTTAAATTATTTTAGTGATAATGAAATTTGGGACTTCTGTGCTGATGAGATTTAGATGAGATTTTGGACTTTGAGTTGATGATATAATGGGTTTTGATTTCATGGACCTTTGAACAGAGTGAATGTATTTTGCAAGGGAGATTAGGTTAAATTTTGAGGGTACAAAAGAGAAACTGTGATAGGCAAAATAATGACTTCCCAAATGTATCCTAATCACTGGAAGCTGTGATTATGTTATTTTATATGGCAAAAGGAATTTCACAGTTGTGATTAAGTTAAGGACCTCAGGATACATGTATTATCTTGGATTATCTGGGTAGGCCCAATATTTACAAGGGTCCATAAATGAGGAAAGATAGGGAAAAGAGTCAGAGGGAGATATATCCATGGAAGAGGTCAGAGTGATACCATGTGAGAGATGTGAAAAGGATTTAATTCAGCTTTTCTAGCTTTAAAGATAGAAGGAGTCTACAAGTTTAAAAAATGTTGGCAAGCTAGAAGCTAGAAAAGGCAAAGAAACAGATCCTACACAGAGACTACAAAAATAATTTAATCCTGTTCTAAAAAGTTTATTTTTACCCTGGTGAGACTAACATCAGACTTTTGACCTACAGAACTGTAAGATAATAAAGTTGTGTTGCTTATGTGTGGCAAGAGGCTATACTGATTCATTACCCATGGCTAATGGTTTGGCTGGATAGTCAAGTATTTAAAAAGAAACACAACTGCAAATTTGGTTACAACAAGGTCTTGGAGAGAGAGATATATGAATAGAACTCTCTTAGTGGACACAGAATATAAAGATATTTATGTTTCCTATGAATGCTCACCAAAGGGTGGTTTCACCAGACAATGCTTTTAATACATAGTTTATAAGATGGTCTGTTCTGTGGATGCCAATGAGCCTCTTTCCCCACTCATTTCTCTGATTTCACATAGGGTTCACAAACAAAGTGGCCATGGTTTCAAGGATGGAAATTATGCATGGGCTTAGCAATATAGACTTGCACTTACAAAAGATTACATGGCTAATGTCATGTGTAAGTGCCCAATCAGCCATCATCAGAGACGAACACTGAGTCTCTCATATGACACCATCCACTAGTATGATCAGCCAGCTGATAGGTTGATTATATTGGACCATTTCCATTCTGGGAGAAGCAGCATTTTGTTCTTACTAGAATAGACACTTATTCTGGATATGGATTTGCCTTCTCTGCCACAATGCTTCCACCAAAACTACCATCTATAGACTTATAGAATTCCTTATCTGCTATTACGTTATTTTACATACCATTACTTGTGATCAAAGAACTCACTTCAGAGCAAATAGGGTACAACAACGGGCCCAGGCTCATGGAATTCACTAGTCTTACCGTCTTCTCTTATTTTGAAGCAGCTGGCTTGACAAAGTAGTGAAATGGCTTTCTGAAGGCACAGTTACAGTGTCAACTATGTGGCAACGTGACAATTAGTTGGAGCTAGGACAAGTTCCAGGCTTCTGTATGTGCTTTCAATTAGCTTCCAATACATGATTCTCTTTCTTCCATAGCCAAGCATCTTAGTCTGTTTTGTGTTGCTATAACAAAAAACCACCACTGAATAATTTTATAATGAGCAGAAATGTATTGACTCATAGTTCTGGAGACTAGGAAATCTAAGATTGAGAGGCCATCATCTAATGAGGGCTTTTTGCTGCATCATTCCATGGTAAAAGAGAAAAGAGAGGGTGAAAGAGAGAGTAAAAGGGGGTCAAAATTCCCCTTTTATAATAAACCCATTCCTATGCTAACTGTATTAATTTATTCATTCTGCACACGTGGTCTAATCACCTCTCATTAGACCCTACCTCCCAACACTGTTATATTGGGAATGAAGTTTTTCAACACATGCTTTTTAGGAGACACATTTAAACTATAGTTCCGCCGGGCGCGGTGGCTCATGCCTGCAATCCCAGCACTTTGGGAGGCTGAGGCAGGCGGAATCACCAGGTCAGGAGATCGAGACCATCCTGGCTAACACGGTGGAACCCCGTCTCTACTAAAAATACAAAAAATAGCTGGGCGTGGTGGGGGGTGCCTGTAATCCCAGCTACTCAGGAGGCTGAGGCAGAATAGCGTGAACCCGGGAGGCGGAGCTTGCAGTGAGCCGAGATCGCCCCACCCACTGCATTCCAGCCTGGGCGACAGAGTGAGACTCCATCTCAAAAAAAATAAATACATAAATAAATAAAATTAAAAAAATAAACTATAGTTCCAAGATTCACAGGTACAGGAATCAAACAAAATAAATGGAAGTGGCACTACTCACTATTACCCATAGTGATCCACTGGCAAATATTTTGGCTTCCTATCCCTACAACTTTATGCTCTGCTGGTCTAGAAGTGTTAGTTCCAAAGGGAGAAATGCTTTTGCCAGGAGATAAAATAATGATTTTGTTGATATTGTCAGAGGGCCACTTTGGGGTCTTCATGTTTCTAAATCAATATGCAAAAAAGTGGGACACTCTGCTGGCTGGTGTACAGAGGAAATTGGGTTGCTGCTACACAATGAAGTTAATGGAAATGTATGTCTGAAATACAGGAGATACCTGAGGGCTTCTCTTATTCCAACCATGTCCTGTAATTAAATTCAATAGAAAACAACAACCCAATATAGGCAGGACTGCTAATGGCCCAGACCCTTTAGGAACAAAGATTTGGGTCCCCAGTGAGCAAAGAATTACGATCTGATGAGTTCTTATTGATGGCAATGGGAATATGGAATAGGAAGAAGATAATTGTAATTACCTGGTGTGACAACACAACTAGCTGGAAAAACAAAGATTATATTATGAGCACATCTTCCTTATTTTGTTACAAATGTTTGTGTATACATTATTCAAATACTTTTTTTTGCTTTTATCACTCTCTTGTTCCTTCATTATCTATAAAAAGTGTATCAAAAAGCTAACTTTCAACTTTCCCTTCACAATACTGAAATATATAAAAGAAAAAAGAGTGAATATTCCTAAAGGACTTTACATCCTCTTTTAAGGCAAGGGTTAGTTTGTTCTGGGTTGTACCCAAGAAAGTTTCATCATGTTGGGCAAAAATATGATTTTGTTGTTGTCTCTATTTAAAGATTAAATAAGGTTTAAGATATGCCTTAAGTAGATAAGTGCCAAGTTGACAAGGAGTGGACTGTGATGGCCTTTTTGTTTGGTCTGCTTGGCTAGCCTATAGCCACTAGTTATTCAGTCAATACAGGTATTGCTGTGAAGGTATTTTGTGTATGTGATTAAAGTCCACAATCAGTTGAAAGTGAACATTCTTCAAGAATTGAATAAAACTGGGTATTTTCTGTAAATTGAGAAATTATACTAGCTGTCTGGAATGTAATTTAAAAGAAGGTGAGCTGAAGTGCTTTAAGTGACTTCATGCAACCCTGATTTATTGCTTCATGGGTTGAATGTAATGTGGCTTTGAAACAGAGTAGCAGAGAATGCCTAACATAAGGTATAGGCTGCAATTATTAACATGAAGAACAAAGTGGTTGAGTTCAGAGAAGGGATTGACATCAATAAATCAGAAGGAGTTGTTTGGAATATAAGGACAGTAGATGCATGGAATTAAAAATATGATTTTGCTATGGAAATTTATTTTTACATACAGCATGAAAGATAAGTACTGAAGAATAAAGTAGTAACAATATGCAATAAAGACAGTGTACTTAATGGGCTAAAAATATTGTAAATTAGTGCCAGCAATGTGGAAGTTAGAAAAAGATGATACTAAGGTAAATAGTGTCTTTTAAATAACCAGTATCTGTGTGAATAACTGTGAACTATGGCCACCCAAAGAGAACCACTATCTTAGCATTCTATTGCTGCAAATGAAAAAACTAGTCTCATCTTGTCATCTTAAAAATTAGAAAACAGAGGCCCAGACAAAGTACCATTGTTAGTGGCATGAGCTATGTCAAGGTGGCAGAACTAATAGAATTTATGTTTGTTTGTTTTTTGTTGTTTGTTTCAGTTGCCAAGCTAATTCTCAACATTCTTACTTTGAGAGATAGCATGGTATACTGGTTAACCGCACAGGCTCTCAACCCACACACACTGGCTTCAAGTCTTGAATTTGTCATTTATAAACTATGTAACCTTAGCCAATGATATATTGTTTCCTCATCTTCAAAATGGAAATGATGAAAACTGTGTTTATTTCAAAGGGTTATTGAACATAATAAATGAGTTTGTTCATTTAAAGTATTTAGAATAGTGCTAGGCACAATTGTAAATGCTGAGCAGATGCTAGCTATTATTGTAAGAACAATTCTATGAAATTATAATGGATAGATTTTGAAGTTTTAGGTTGCAATAGACATGGAATACCTGATGATGAATTAAAATTCTAGTCTCAATATCTGCAAAGCTAAAGTGAAAATATGGATTAAAGAGTAGGATGAAGGAAAGACAATCATGGTCTTTCTTCATTTTGTTGAATTAAAGATTGTAGTAGGTCATCCATTTAGAAAGTCAAACACAAGTGATTTTTTTAAAAACATGAATAATGGGTTCAGACATTTAAACGCTATCAAATAAAAGAATTTGGCCAGTAGAATAGAAGCTTAAGTCACTTGTTGTGTCTTCAATGATGGTGAATTGAGAAAAATACAAGTAACATCTTAGGAGTTATTTCTATGATGGGAATGGTTATAAGGAAATTTCTGAGGAGAAACCCCAGATAAGTAGTAAGAAAGAGAGAGTAGAAAACAACTTTGTTTCTTCATGGAGGGATGCTTAATAAGCCTGTGAACTGCTGATAAATGTAAATAATCATAGCAGGAGAGTCGTTTTGGATACACTATGTAGAACGAAGCAGGGACTGGGCGCCATAGCACCATATTCAACTACTCAAATGAAGAGTTGTTAGACTAAAGTAGACCAATAAAGGCAAATATAACTCAGATGAAACCTCTCAGTGGCATCACTGACTTTTTTAGAGCAACTAAAAGTTAAATGTATTTAAAATCCTAAGCTCTGTGACGAAATATTTTCTGGATACATTGCCATGAGAATGGCTTTTTGAATGGGTGGAGCGGTTGTCTAACCCTAACTTAACAAGACCCCATATGTTTTTGGTGTAGGAGTTACATCAGTGACTCACAAAATATAGTTAAGGAATTAACCATTTATAGTGCTAGATACTAGGAATTTTTGTATTTGGCTACATAACATATTTCCTTTCCACAGGAGGTAGTTATGACAAATTAGAAGTCTGAAAATTTTCTGATGGTGTAAAGGCCCAGCTGTCACTGGGGAGTTAGTGATCAGATTTCATAGCTGCGTGGTCCCGTGGCGCCACGGAGAGCTCCATATGGTCACCCAAATGTTCCAGCTAAATCCACTGAAAATTTCCAATCTGAGTTTTACTTGTAAAGAATAAAACTCTTGCATGAATTTATCATTATGTGCCTACCAAGAAGAAAAGTCTTGTTAGCTGGTTACATTTTAAAAAATGGAAAAAATAATCTATCTAAGAACAACTTTGTACAGCTGTTATGCTATCCTCATGATAAACAGACAAAGATGCACTCCTGGGAACTCCACAGAATTTAGTCTACAGCAATTGTAATATATCTAGGGTAGGGGGACTTTT
Source organism: Homo sapiens (assembly GCF_000001405.40). Taxonomy (NCBI): domain Eukaryota; kingdom Metazoa; phylum Chordata; class Mammalia; order Primates; family Hominidae; genus Homo; species Homo sapiens. The sequence goes on from NC_000003.12 coordinate 146,974,515, forward strand.
TAATGGATGTATAGTAAATAATTAAAATCTGTGGAAACATCTTCTTATGATAAGAAACAATTTTATGAGCCACTGTTCTCTCATTCGCCCAGAAAATCACCTCGGCTAATTTGTTAATGTAATTACTATGTGCTGTGACACTTGTATTCATGTCAAAGATGTCAGCTTAAGCCTTATCTAATAACAAATGACAAATGCATAATTTATTGATTCTTAAATGGCTATTTCTTTTGATATATTCCCTATAAGCAATTTGCTTGGAAACACATCTGGCTCATAAAGGTAACAGCTGTTTAAAAGAAGGTCAGTTTTATGTCTTAAAGAAAGAATACACTAATCTTTTATTTGTTACATTTCTATACCAAATCAGGAAAGCTTTATGTTTTGTAATTCCATTTGGGCTTTGATGATATTAACAATATAACAAAAATATTTCACTAAAGTTTCCAACTATTAAAAATATAGGCATTAACTCAAATATTCTTTTGTGAAAAGTTGTTTCATTTTTAACAAAAGGATCCGGTTTACCTAATTTTTATAACAACACCCAGTGGACCCTGCTAGGTTGAATATTTGTTTTTATTGAAATTTAAATGCATGCATCTGTCATTTTGTTATTGAAAAAAACAAAAATATTATTAAGGGTGCTTCAAATATTTAATATTTCTCAATTTAAAAGGTTGAACCATTAATTCTTAATCACATAAAGCTGACATAGCTATTTTCATTCTTTGTAGTGGTTTTCAGACTTTCTGGATAGTTTCATTCCTCTTCTAAACATAAGAAATTATCACCTCTTATTAGTTATTTCATCCTTTATGTTTCTCTGGTGAAAACAAAGTATAACTTTTGAAATACACTTTAAAGATTTTTGAAATTTTTATTTTCTTTGTGTACAAAGAAATGCACATAGAGAACAGACATTTTTAAATCCCTATAATAAAGAGCCAGGCACCTTTAACTTTACATTTCACCTTGCAGCACACACAAAATGTTTAATTATTTGAGGATTAATGGAGGTAGTTTATAATTAAGCTGAAGTATGAACTGATGTCATCATCTCAGTATGATGATATACATTTTTATGCCAAAGCACCTGTTGTTTTGGAAGGAAGCAGCTGATATCATTATCTGCGCAGCCAGATAGCCCTGTTTCCTGCTGCTTAAAAAATTATCCTAAGGGTTACCTAAGTTGGAGTAATTCAGCATTTACGTTTCCATACCCAGAAGAGGACAGAATGGAGAAAATGACTTCTCCAGCAAAGAAAGAGAAAATGAGAGACACACTGGGAAAGGAGAAGGGAGAGGAAAAGGAGAACATCAATGTAGGTGACCAAAGGATACTAGAATGGTCTTTGTAATTTTTCTAAGAGCATTTGTAAGTTGCAAAAGAAGAAAGTAATTGAAGCACCTAATTAATTTTATTAATGTAAATGAAATGTTGCATTGCTGGAGGAAGTGGAGTAAAAAATATACACTTTATACTTTAATGCATCATGTAACAAACCACATTTCTAAATACTAAGAAAAATGTTTTCATTTACAACTTTAGTGTGTACAAAATCAATGCACCACTGACAAGATACCAGTGACCTAAATTTTCATTTTTTCACATCTAGTACTTACCCTGCCCCTGAATTTTTTTATTTACTGGTTGGCCTTTTGGTCTACTGATATACATTAGTTAGGAATAAAGGTAACCCATAAATACAAATTGCCATGTAAACATATCAATCAACATACTCTCTTGCCCTGTCACTGGCTTCATCCCCAAATTGGGAAGAAATCTCTAAGTGTCTCAGTATAAGACAACTCTACAAAGTCTCACACTGCCAAAACATGTCCAATATATATTAACTATATTTATTGATCCCATGCATGTGGACCATGTATGCTTCCATACTCTTCTATAAAAAGTTGTTGCCTAGTCAGTGCTACTTCTTACCAAACAGAGTTCTTCTCAACTTAGTTCTTACTGTTTATTCCTCATTGAAACTCACTGCCCTAATCAATAAAGCCCATCTTCCACATATTATTTTATACATTTTTTTCCTCTACACAGGCTATCTCACATGGTGCCTACACACTAGTTATTATATCTCCAAAGATTATTATTGTTGATTATTGAGCTACATTTTATTCATACAAATATATGAGGTAGGTACTATTATTGTATTAAGATTGTACATAAGGAAGCTAGACATTATAGAGTTAAAGTAATTTGCCCCTGGTCATACAATTAGTAAATGGTAGAGTTGATATGCGACCTTAGTCTGCCATATTAAAGTATGTTGTCTTAATCATTACATATATCCTTTCTGGTACAACCTTTTCAAGTATACTATTTCCTTTCCTTAAGTGAAACCTGATTTTTCTCTGAAGACCACACTTACAAAACTTGTGTCAGGATTGCTCAACTCTCACTTTCACTCTTTTTCTCTCCCACTCCAACACTCCTAATAGGTCAAGGGTCATGATAAGCAGCCTCTTTGCTACCTGCTGACCCAAATAGTCACACACAGTTTTCTGGTTTTTTTGTTAGGCAGCTACAGGAATTTACCTGGAATAATACAGCACAGATACAGGTCACACAGATACTGAGTTCCCAGTCACTCAATACTCGTAACATCAATGGCCTATACTCCACACTATTTCAGTCATCATGTGGGCTTCGTCATAATGGTATGCATGTAAAATTTGAAATTCTGAAACACTGCTCTAACTATGAGATATTCACCCTACATGTATTTTATTCTCATACTCCACTTACCTTGTTGTTCATCTTCTCATAACTTCCAGTTTCTCAACCCTTTCAGAGTAATTTATTTGATTTCTCTGGTTTTTAGGTCACTTATTTCACTTCCCAGCTTGAATGCATGACCCTTGTGGTTTTGCATTTCAACTATTATCTTACTGCCACCCTAGAATCCCTTACTCTTATCATCTTTTCTCTCACCAAGTCCAAATCTGGTTATTTATTTTATATGCTTTCATTGTTGGAGAATATCTGAAAGTCATGTTAATTGGTTCAATTACATTTCAGGCTATGTAATCTTAATGATGCCTATTGCTCTACTCCTTAACACCACACTTTTTCGAAAGTTGAAAGTGTCTTCAGATACTTCAAACAATGATTTCAGCCTGCCGTGCTTTTAAAATGGATTGTTCTCTTCAATGTTCATGCATCAACTTGCAGGTACATTTTAGGCCCTCATTGTCTTGATTTCTAAGCAACATTTGAACCTTTTCATTACTTTCATCTCTTAAACTTCCATGACACTAACAATAAAATATTGTGGTACATGTCTATAATGCACATATTTGTATTTTTTTAATCCTCACTGATAGTTTCTCCTAATCTTTAGGTAGTATTTTACAGATAACAGACGCAAAGCTAATACAAACCAGCATTTTCTACCTATTGCTGATGAAGGGATTTTACACAGGAAGTGTCATTATTGTGCAAATGGAAGTCTTGTGTCACATATTTCCATAAGTGAGAAAAAATTTTTCCCAACATAAAGGGTTCAAAAATCCATCAATAAGTACAGAATTCAAGATACTCTTTTAAAAACATAAAGTACAATAACATTTTATGTTTCACTCATCAGATCAAAAATTTTGTAACGTACTGTTGATAAGAGTGTGAGGAAATAAGCAATCCATTTGTAATCGTGTACAACCTCTGTGGAAAGCAGTATCTTTCAAAATTAATAATGTACATGACTTTTGACCCAGCAAATCTAATTTTAGGTAAATATTTTTAGGTGTACATATCCCTTCAACATAATGGTGTATGTGCAAGGATATGATCTGCAGCTTTGATAGCAACGGGAAGACACTGGAAACCACCTAAAAGTCCACAAATTATTGGAATAATTAAATATAACAGAGTATTGTGCCACAATTGGAAAGAATTATGTAGCTTTTATGTAATGATATATAAAATTTTGCAATATATTTTAGGAGAGAAAACACGGTACAAAAGACCATACATCATAAATTACTCTCACTTTCTCTCTCTCTCCTTCCATACACACACACACACACACACATGCACACACACACGTACACACAGAGAGAGAAAAGGAGCAGGATGTTCCATTATAGCTTAACAGTAAGAGTCACCAGATGGAAGGTGAAACTATGAAATGGGAGCTGGAGCCACGGAGCAGCCTCAGTTCTGCAAGAGATGTTGCCTGAGATAGAGAAGTATCTTGTCCTCTCTCCCTTTCTCTAGCCTCACAGCCTATTACCTGTGCATTCCACTGGCTGAGTCCAGTAGGAAATAAGCACACGAAGGCTTGGAAAATGAAACACTCAGGGATCACTCCGCTGGATATACAAAGCAGAAATGGATTGGAAGGAAAATAGGCCAGCTAGCTTTTCCTTTTTCTTAGCAGCCATTCACATTTTTGTACCCACAAATAAATTACATATAATAATGTCATGTTTTGTCTAACATGAGGCAACCATTCATTATATAAACTGAGATCCTCTTGCCCTAGCTCCAACATTGTATCTCTCTCAAATACAGAATCTACAGAAAACTTCTGTCCAGGTGTGGCACCTCATGGCGTCTGTTGACACAAGGACTGAAAATGTAAATTAAGCACTATTAACACTCCTTAAACAAAATAATAAGTGTATGGGGGGAGTGATTTAATTACATATATATGTGAAATATATTAAAATATATACTGAAATACATATGTCTACCTGTATGTATACACATATGCACATACACATACACACACACCTGCATACCAAAGCAAACAATCACAGCTGCGGAAGTCCTCAGTTCTGAAGATAATTATAAAGGTGTGATTAATATATTTATCGTTTCTTTTCCCTCTACTCATAACATATTACTGTTACTCTCAAATCAGTTAATCAGTACTTTTTATTTTCAAGAGTGTCTGAGACCTAAATTCCAGAAGGTTTTACCTTTATTGTATTGGCCTCTATAATTAGCCAGGAAAGTAATCTGATAAATTCGAGGGAATCCTATGAGTTCCAAATGTAGTATTTCTTGCTATTATTTTACAGCAACAATCCAATATTTCCTTGATAAGTTGGGACAGTGAACCCTACTAATACTAGAATTTCTCCTCTGACTGTTAATTGAAAGGCATAAAGAAACATGCCTCTGAAAATAACCCCATGGCAGCTTTAACTTCTGGATCTATTGTATCCCATAGTAGACACTTAGACAAGTTTAAAGAAACTGAAAGAAAAATGTCTGTGAATGAATTATTAGGTATAATGGTGAGAGGAATTCTTCTCACTTCCATTTCTTGAACGCAGAAACTGTGAATGCTGGCTGTGAGAGAACTAGCATCACATAACGGTGGCAGATTCAGAGTATAATACCACATGTCATAGGAGAAAACCTCAACTTCACCTGGTTTCCCATCAGGTACCATAACTGTCTTCAGTGGGCTATCCACCAGGCCTGCTGCTTCTGGGTATTGGTGTTTGTGGTTAGGCCAGAGAACACCCTATCAGCTTACTTTTGCATTTCTCTTGCAGCAAAATATGTTCCTAAGTCAAAAGCAATGTTATACAGGCTAATATGATGGTGCATAGGGAATTCTCTAAGTCCATAGGTGGTGCTGCTGACAGGAGTACTGTGGGCATGGAATTCAAATTCATATCAAGAATGAATATACCAGTAAGGAAAAATTACCTTTACAATGGAAAAATTTCAGCGTAATCCACCTGCAAGTTGATTGACCAGTACCTACAGAGAATCATGCCATAAAACACTCAATGTTAGCATCTGCAGTTCATAAATTAAAGACTTATCAGAGACAATATAAGGTCAACCTTGATAAGAGAAAGTATATGCTGACTTTGATATTCTAGGCCTGCTTACCGACAATCTTCCAATCCTGTTCTTTTCAAGTCCCTGACCAATGAGAACAAACATTAATCATTGCCCACGACTCAGTGTAGAACTTTTCCTCAAGTCATCGCTCCTTCCACACAAAATGAACAGCTATATTTACTATCTAAAGTCATCCTAAGCACAAAAAAAAGCGTTGTCCCACTCCCAAATGTGATTTGTAAAGCCAATGAACTTCAAATGAAGTATAACAAGTAAATTCTGGGGAAAAAAGTCAACCATGGGGAGGTTGACCTTTACCGCTATCCTCTAGGATTACCCCTAAGTGGGACTGTAACATGGCAGCAGTCCACCTGCAGCTTGTGCCAGCATATTGTACAAGGTCTCTGTAAACCAAGACCAACCATTTCTCTCTCCATCAACAGGTCATAGAAAGTCTACATGAGGCCATAGCTGCTGGTTAATGAAGGAGCAGAAATGTAATTTTCTGAATTACAGAAAAAGTAGATGTCATACAAGTATAAGCCACCTTTTCATGGTATTTACTTGTGCTTTCAGGATTGGCTCAAGCAGTTGCTCAAATATTATATTCCAATATCATTTCACAATGTACTACTTCTGAATATATGCAACCTTAATATAAGATAATTTTCAGGTTTCTTTCTGTTAAATTATAATTCTACAATTCCACAATTTGGACCATCATGTTTGGAAGACCTCAGTTATGTCTGCATCTCTGCTACTACAGAAGATACTCTTTTATGGTGCCTGTAACAACTCTCTGATTATTTAATCTTGACATGAACAAGGAACTCAAAGCTGTGAGCCTATACTTGTCTTTCTGTAAGTTCATCAAAGTTGTCAGAAACAACGATTTCAAAAACAATTCTTGAAATCCTTACTGTGATACTGGTAAGAAGAGTTTGCTACTTGTTTTCCCAAAACCTTGCCTTTGACTGGCACTTCATCCAGTAAATGATAAGCTCACTTAAGCAATTTAAGCCATTGTATGCCAGCTATTAGTAATATCTCATTTTCCACCTGCACGGAGCTTATGTTTGTGTTTGCACTCAAATGGGAAGAAACACAATCTAACAAGCCCATTTTGAAAGGCTAACTCATGGGATTAATCCAATAATAAGAAGTTTGTCAATCAAGGTTCAATCAGAAAAATAAAGTCATAAACAAATAAAAATTAATGTGATAACATAGTTAGATAGGTGACAGAAGAGACTGAGATTCAAATCAGGGAGTAGGGGAGAAATCCAGAGATTAACAACAGCAGAAACTGCTTTTTGCTTTAGGCTGAAGTGGCAGAGAGATCAGGAAGTATTAACAGAATTCAGGAGCTCATGTAAATAGAAGAATCTGAATTAGAAGCATCTGGAGCAAAAGAAGAGACATGACAACTTCCTCTATACTATCTGAGGCGGAGTCCTTGGGTGACTCTGATATCTTCTTTCTACTTGTTTCTTAATATTTGACAGAACTTCCAATAGCTAAATCCTAATGGAAAAGAGCTATCCCTGGAGCCTGGGAAGTGCAACCTACAAGAGATCTGCCCACCTATAATTCAGCAGAGCAGGAAGGTGGGCAAAAAGTCACTTCTCTTGTCACATCTGGGTTTTGAGGCCAACATGTAAAATAATAATCTGGTATGGTAAAAAAAATGATCTTGGAAATTCCTTAAGTTGCCCATAAGGTGAAGAATGGGTCTTTAAATACAAGAAGTATATCAGTATGGAGATATGCTCATGCCGCAAGTGTTTCTAGAAGAACAGAAATCAACCAAACAGAAGTGTAACTCTGTGCCCTCTCCCACCCATGCTCTGGGATGTATGTAAATGGAGTGAAATAATAGAGACAATAATTAAATTTTTAAAAATGTGTACATGGCCTAGCGTGGTGGCTCACGCCTGTAATCTCAGCACTTTGGGAGACCGAGGCGGGTAGATCACCTTAGGTCAGGAGTTTGAGACCAGCCTGGCCAATCTGGTGTAACCCCATCTCTACTAAAAAATACAAAAATTAGCCGGGCATGGTGGTGGGCTCCTGTAGTCTTAGCTACTCATTAGGCTAAGGCAAGAGAATTGCTGGAACCTAATTCTCTGGTTCCAGTGGAGGTGGAGGTTGCAGTGAGCCGCGATCCTGCCATTCCAGCCCAGGGTGACAACAGCGAGACTCCGTCTAAAAAAAAAAATGCATACATGTATGATGTGACTCCACTATTCTTTAAGTAGTTGTATGGGCAAAACTTAGAATTGTTAATAAGACTCTGAGGCAAAAATTGACCAACCCACTTAATCTACACCAAATTGTATGAGGCAAGAGATGTGGACCTAGTGTAGATGGAATAGACTAAAGACATCTAGAAGTTATAATAATAGTAAGCTTGATTGAAGTTTGTATAGGAAAACTAATATATAATCATCCAATCTACTACATCTTTGAAGATAATAAAAGTGCCACTAACAATTATACCAGGAAATGTTGTCCCAGACAAACTCAGATACATCACATCCAAGTTATGATGATCTGTAAATGTAATTCTTTGGATTAGGGAACTATGAGGCTAGTCTGTGCATTCAATGATGTTACAAAATTATGTTAATTTTCTTAGAGGTGATAGTGGTGTCATGGTTATGTAGGAAAATATCCTTATTCTTTAGATATGTGTGTATACTGAAGTATTTAAACATAAAGTATCATGATGCATTCAGCTTTTTATTGGATGCTTTGACAAAAAGGAAAGATGTGTGTGTGTGTGCGTGCACACGTACATGCGCATGTATGTGTGTGTGCATGTTTGTGTGTAGAAAGAGAAAGAAAGATGGAACTAGCACAACAATATGTTAATGGTAACTTAGATAAAGGGTATTATGTTTCTATTGTTCTGTACTTTCAACTTTTTCATGGGTTATAAATATCCACTCCCTCTCAAAATTATATTGCCTAGGGAAGAAAAAGAGGACAATATGGTAGATAAGAGGAAAATACATAATACATATTTGAATATATGTTTGTGGGGGCAATCACATTGATTCCTAGCTCCTCCACACCCCTAGTGATTCAGATTTAATTGACATGAGATGAGATCAGAAACAATATATATTAATGCCTCTCAAATAGGTTTGAGAACCATTAGCTTTGACAATTAATTATGTGCTGGTGACTTTTAAGCCATACTCACTGTTCTTACTCCTCTCTTGCACTATAGTTCTGCATTTCTAGCTGTCTGATCCATACTTTCTTCTGTAGAGCTACCAGGTCCCTGAAACTTAAAATGCCTCCAGACAGTGTTATCATCTTTTCCTACCACCCCCATTTCTTCCAAACAGTTTTTATTTCTTTGCTTTTCTATTTTATTTTACTAAAGACACCTAAATTCTTCCAAGTACCTGAACTAAAATACATCAAGTTATTCTTTCTCTACCTCCCCCATCCAACCAGCATCAGATGTTGCCAATGCCTTCCTCCCAATTGCCATCTCCATCACCGCCATGCAAGACCTCATTATCTCTCTCACTGTACCACTACAAGAGTCTCATCGTTGGTCTCTTACTTCTATTTTATCTCTCCTCAATGAATCATAGGCACTGAAACCAGAGTAAGCTTCCAAAACCACACCTCAAAAACAAATAAACAAAAACACCAAACTTTTGATTATACCCTAATACCTACTAAACTAAATGAAAATTTCATTTTCTAACTTTTAAAATTCTCCATCATATTATCCCAACTTAATATTCCAAGCTTATTTTTCATAACACCAGATACATACCTTATATTTGAGTAAAAATTCAGAACTGCATTTTCATGATCCATATCCATATTGAAATTGTTCTTTGCACATTGTTTTCCTCTCTTAACTTTCTCTTTAGAAATTAACTATTCTTTAAAGACAAAGGCACTCCTTCCTACAAAAAGTTCCTTTTATCTTGTTTAGTAAATTGCCAGAGGACTTCATTAATATCAAGCCCACTTTCTCACCTTTACTATTGGATTGAAGTTTTGCATAAGAGAAATACCATAAGAGTTCAGTGAGTTACAGCTGATTCTCTAACAATAAATTAAACTCTAGATTTTGGAAAGAATAAAAATGGGAGAAGTTGTTTGGAAGGTAGAATAGGAGGATTGTAGAAACTGACCAGTAAATGAAAATTAATGCTCCCTTTTAATAGACTAAACCAGCTTGAAACTATTTTAAAATAACTTGAAACTGTTTTTTATTAAAATTTAAATTGATAAATGCTCCAAAACAGTGCACATAAAGCTGCAGCTATCTTGTGATTCTATCTTATCATTCTAATGTCAATGAAGAACCAAACTAAATGTTTTCTGTCATTTTTTATGTCACTATAACCTTTGGATAAAATTACAATCTTATACTAATGAGCATTTGAAAAAATAAAAAGGCTGCCCATATTAAATACACTATATAAAAAATTATACGTAATGAATATCTGTATAATTATGTGAATACCTGCTAAGTGTAAATATGCTATTGTGCTTCAATCTCTAATCCTGTGATTGTTTAAAATGCAAAGAGAAAGGAGAAACAGAAATGTTCTAATGCTTTATCTCAAAGGAAAATGAGATATGTAGTTTCCTGTAGGATTTTTGAGGCTGTAAAATATGATGTGTTGTTTCTCTTGGCAGCACAATTATTCTTAACATTTGACATTCCACTCAAAATAAGAAATATTTTTCTTTATCTTCTGTCCATATTTATGATTTAATTTAACAACATGTCAAAAAAGTAACAAAATCATACAGAATTCAAAATGCAAGGTATAAAAGTGCAAAAGAGAGAAAAAGCTGTCATCCGGAAATGAAAGAAGTAATAGACCAAAGAGAAAATCAGTGATTAAAAATATTCGTGTTCCAATCACTTCTCATGATGTGAAAGACAAATATTAAAAAATAAATGAAAATCTCTACTGTAGAAGTGAACAGAAGTAAAATTATTTTATCTAAACAAATTTGTCATAGGAAATGAAGTATCTAGAATGAAAAGAATTTCAACAGAAATCATGAAGGTCATAATAAAATTCTTCTAAAAATGAATTAATATGACTATAATATATCACGACATATTTTTATTAAAGGTATACTTCACAATATATCATATTATTTCTATTTACTACTTAATTAGTTTTCTTTGTAAAATTTTCTTTAGTGACTTTTATATATTTGTTTTAAAGGAATAAAGTATTTAATTATGTATTTCTTTTCTTAAGTGAAAAGTATTCTCTCAGTAGTAAGAGATAAGTTTTTACACTTTATGTAAATAATAACATACAATTTCCTTGGTTACTTAAATAAGTTTTTCTTTTTTTTTTTTAGATACTAATTTTTGCATTGCTTTTTTTTCAAATCACTATTCCTTTCTGTTGAGAAAAGTATGGCATTGTAGTGAGTTTCTAATTTTTTTCCTAAATAATTATCATCATATTTTCCTCTACAATTTTCCTCAACTATAATTAGGTTTGGTTTGTATGCATACTTTACAAGATTCCAAATAAATTTTTTCTTTTAATTTCTTCAAAAGACTCTAATTTTTGTCTTATTCCACATTCCACCATCAGTCATGAAATATATTTCTGGCTCCAGAATCATCACGTTTCTTATAACATACATTTTAAATGCTAGGGTCTCTAGGAAGTAAGTTAATCTGACACTGAAAAATACATTTTATATATGAATAAGCACATACACCCTAAGTCATTCCTTCCTTTCACTTACATACCCACATCCTTTTAGTCAATAATCCTATTGGCTCTGCTGTCAATATGTCTACAGACTCCATCCACTTCCAGCTATTTCTAATGTAGAAGTGGATGTAGAGATTATCAGCAAATGTAGAGATGTTAGAAGTGGATGGAGTCTGTACACATATTGACTCCTTTCTAATGTATTATTTCTCACCTGAGTTATCATCACAGTTCTCCAACTGGTCTCTTGCCTCTATCTTTGGCCCACCTTTCCTCTCTCTGCTCTTCCCCTCCTTTTATAGCCTATTCCCAAATACTGTCAAGCTATAAATCAAAATCCTCTCCATTCTTACCATTTTACTCAGAGCTTTAGAGCCAAAGTCTTGCCCTTTGCCTAAACTGCGGTGCATGATTTGACTCCCATTGCCTCTCTGACCTCATCACTTACCAATCTTCCCTTCACTCTCTCTGCTTTATCCACACAACTCCTTGCTCTCTCTGTAGCATACCAGACTTGACCCCTGCTTTAGCATCTAAAGGGATAACCCAAAGTGTTTTATCCTCATCGAGTTCAACAGAACATGATATGTCACTACAATAGCTTTTTTTCTCATATTTGTTCAGAAAATAGGTATTGAACTCCTCCTATTTGCCAGATACTCTGCTAAGCTTATGAAATACAAATATGCAAAAAGAAATCAGTTTCCATACAAAGCAAATAATCTAGCAAAGGAGATAAACGCTATGATAGAGATAAGCAAAGGGAGCTATGAGCCCAGAAGAGGATATATCAGTATACATTGTAGACACTCCAGCTTCAGAGAAGAGTTCAGCCCTGAAGAATTTGTAAATGTTATAATGGTTAAGAAGGAATTCAGAGGGGATTTCAGCCAAGGAATAAACAAAGGCACACAATTAGTAGAAAATGGGATCAGTTTGGAGAACTGCAAGATAGACCCTGACATTTTGAGCTAGAGTGCTAACTAGAGATGTCCAATAGACAGATGGATATATGAGTCATAAACTCTGGACAGAGATTAAAAAATAAAGTTGAGATATAGATTTGGGAGTCATCTCAAAATGGCTTTTACAAATTAATTTTAATGTAAATAAACTAAATTGAGTGAGAAGCCAGATCAGAAAAGAGATTGTTTAGTGAATCAAACTAAACATGATTATTACAAAGGAAATCCTAGGAAGGAGCCCTGGGGACCATCAGAATTTAAGGCAAAAGCAAGGAAAAATGGACCCATAAAGGAAGGTGAACATTATGGTCAATAAAAGAAAACCAGACAGCACTACAGAAGAAGAAAACATTTCAACACTGTCAAGTGATACAGAGAAGTCAGAGGTGTAAGAATTCTATTAGTTGAGGAGTTTTTTGTTGGTCTTAGCTAAAAAGATTGTTCAGTAGTTTGATTGCCTCTAAAGCCAGATTATAACTCTTGATGTGTACATAAGTGATGTTAGTAGGAGGCGGCAGATACTTAACGATTGCAAATACAGACATGAGGTGGTGGGCTATGAAAGGGAATAAAAAACAGAATGCTCACTGAAGACAGATGTGCAATAAAGGTAGTTTTTTTAAGGTGGAAGAAACATGGATGCTTACATTTGAATGAGAAGTATCCAGAGAAAAAGAAATTTTGAATAATAACAACAATAGATAGCATTTATGTCATGTTTACTTTATGAGGAGCTCTATTTTAAGTACTTTATTTGAAATAAATTATTCAACACTAGGGTGAATTTTTGTCCTCCTCACTTAATAAATAAGAATACACAGGCAAATACGTGATTAAGTAGTTTTCACAAAGTTGCACAGTTAGTAAATAAGCGAGTCAGAATTTCAAACCAGGAAATATGGCTTTAGAATTTTCTCTTTCTCTCTCTCTGAAGGTACAGTAGATAGATTAACTTCAAGGGATCACTTCACAGAATTAAGGATATGATTGAGATTGAAGATAGATAATGAGTTTAAGGTAGAATAATCTGAGAACACCCACCACTCTTCTCAGGGAAAAAACATGTGACTCCCAGAAAGATACTATGTAAGTATGGCTCTCCTCATTTGGAAGATTCAAGGAAAGAATTCAGTTAATTAATTTAAGGGAGAAGCCAGATAAGAAAAGAAAGTGGCATACATTTATGTAGTAATTCATGGATTATTATTATTATTATATAAGGAGCAGACACAAAGTAATGGGAGTAGGTAGAATTTTGTTTATCCAATCAACTATGCAGTCTAAAAAAATAAAGCTCATTGTTTTGGTGGCAAATTACATTTTTAAAGGTAATTTAGCAGCCTTCAGGATCCCCAGAATACAGTTGATAGGTAGCTCCACTCAGAGCCATCTTAAGCCCAAAGGAGCAAAAATTCCAAGGAACAAGAAGGAATAGGGGATGGCATCCCATTGTTCTGTGGGCTCATGTATTGTATTCTAATGTAATCATCTGGGATATTATCTTAATATCACAAAAATATTTATTTAAAAAGACTATAGATTGATTAATTGATTTCACAATTGATTTTACAATTAATCTATGGTCTTTAAAATAAGTATTTTATAATATTAAGCATTGCGATGGTTAATATTGAGTGGCAACTTGATTGAAGGATGCAAAGTACTGTTCGTGGGTGTGTCTGTGAGGGTGTTGCCAAAGGAGATTAACATTTGTGTCAGTGGACTGGGAAAGGCAGACCCACCCTCAATTTGGGTGGGTACCATCTAATAGCTGCCAGGATGGCTCAAATCAAGTAGACAGAAGATGGAAAGAGCAGATTTGCCGAGTCTTCTGGACTTCATTTTTCTCCTGTGCTGAATGCTTCCTGCCCTTTAAACATCAGACTCCAAGTTCTTCAGCTTTTGGACTCTTGGACTTACACCAGTGGTTTGCCAGGGGCTCTCCAGCTTTCCATCACAAACCGAACACTGCACTGTTGGCTTCCCTACTTTTCAGGTTTGGGACACGGACAGGTTTCCTTGCTCCTCACCTTGCAGACGACCTATTGTGGGACTTCACCTTGTGATCGTGTGAGTCAATACTCCTTAATAAACTCCCCTTTATTTGTACATCTATCCTATTAGTTCTGTCCCTTTAGAGAACCCTGACTAATACAAGTATAATACTTATTGTAAAAAGATTTGAAAAATATGTAGAATTGCTCATAAAAAATTCATGTGTAATCCCACCAAGGAGTGAAAATTCTAAAACTCTTGGGATTTATGTGTTTCTAATATTTTACAGATACACATATGCCCATGTTCAAGATCACATAACATAGAAAATCTCTAAATCCCCTGCTATTACTTACTTATTAATTATCAGATGAGTATGGTCTAATATAATTTGAAAGTCTTTTAAAACCTTATTTAATGTCTATTTAACATCTTATTCAACTAATAGTCTATAATTTATTTGGCCATTTTCTATTGTTTGCCATTGAAGCCATTTTAAATTTTGTGTTAATATAAATAACCCAGCAATGAATGTCTCTATAATTAAGATTTTATTTTTAATTTTTTTCTCAGATATTTTCCCAGAAGAAAACTATTGGATTAATAAATTTGAGCTTTCAAAAGTCCTTAATGTATTTTTCTAAATCTTTTTCTAGAAAAACTGACAATTTACCCTCCACCAGAGTGCATGAGAGAGACTTCTTTACCTATTGAAGGAGGAGACCATTTATTATCTAGAGAAAAAACAAACAACTTTATTGATTGCTTGTGAATGGGAGAGATGTACTTATTTATATATTATAGTCACTCTAAGCAAAACAAGAAGTTAGAGGAAGTAGTTAAAGATTTGACAGATTTTCAGAATGGGGAGGTTTAGGGACTGGATGAGTTTCATTCTTGGGAGCATGGTTACTGGAGTTAGGCTGTTGTCGATTAGCTAACATTCAAACATGTGGCATTGTTATCCATTGTCTGACTTTCAGAGCCATGAATACGGATCCAAAGCATCTGAGTAACCGAGGTAAGATTAACCTCTATTCTGCTTTGTTACCTGACCAAAGTTTAGGATTATGGTGAATAAACTGTTCATTTTGTCATTATTTGGATTTTGAAAGTATAAAATTTTTGTTTTACACCCTATCTCTAACATAACTGAGAATTATATTTTAAATATCTGTTAAAGGTAAAAAACAAGTAAGATCTCATTGAAGTTCTAAAGTGGATTAATAATGAGGTTTAATTTTTTTATATGTTTCCTTTCCTAATGCCTGTCATGTACAAGTGTACTAGGGGATCCTAAGACAAATAAGGCCTATAAACATTCACATGACAGTTGGAAAATCTGGGAAATAATCAGACAATTGCTATAGAATGTGCTGAGAGTTGCCATGGATCTAAGTTAAGGTGGGCAAGTGCAGAAGAAGGGCATGCTTCTCACGGGAGATAACGCACGAGCTGAGTCCTGAAAGCCAGAGAGCCAGCTACAAGGATTCAAAATGGAGAGAATGTGTGAAACATCTGAGAGTTCTAAATAGTTCTGCACAGACAGAGCAGAAAGGGTAATCATTAGTGACGAGGCTGCAGAGGAAAATATGGATGTATTTATAGTGTCACACCAAGGGAAAAAAAGTGTGAAGATTCTGTCAGACTATATAGTTGACTATGTAATTGTCTAGCTGATAGAATGTGGGAGAGGCAGAAGTAAACGGAGTGAAATCATTTACACTCGGATGACTCCTAGTTTACCGAAGTAGACTAGAGAGGAGATGCTGCATGCACAGACATAGGGAGTTGGAAGAGAAGGAGCCTTGAGGCAGGATGGAGGATAAATTCAGTTTGGGACATGTGGCATTTGAGCTGCCTGAGGAAAATATAAAAGAGGTTTTCTCCTCTCTGCCCTTACCCACAAGTCCTTCCCCCTAGAGTCCCCTCCTTGTGCCTTCTCACTCTCCAAATCCTACCCAAGCTATAGCCAAAGTTTAACCCATTAGTCATAATAATCTTTGCCTACCTGAATTCAGTTGAAACATTTGCCTAAAAACTATTTAAATAACACTTATCCAGACATATGAGTTTTGTCCTCTCAAAAAGGTGCTCTTACCTTGTTGTATGGCCCCTGTATGAGACAGGATCAACATAATGGACAGCAAGTCTGTTGGCTACTTGGATTTCAATAAATGGCAACCAGAAATGAACAACTCATTGAGTGAGGTAAAAAACAAGTTGGAGGCTGATTTGAGGAAAGAATGCATGCTTTGGGGAAAATATGTACTTATTACTGTAAATTGTTTAGCTCAGTCACAGTGAGTGACAGCTGAGATGTGATAGAGTAGAGAAAGTGTTTTCCTAGTAAAGGGTGATGAGCTGTGTTGGGTTTTGTGTAGATGGTATGCCATGACCATATTATATTTTAATAGATGGAATTCCAGGGTGTGATCACTGCCATGGTATTGTACATTAGTGACTTATTTGCTTTTATTTGTATGTAAGGGAAGAGCACCTTCCTAGAGATTAATAGACATTGAAATGCATAGATACAAGGTTTGATTATTACTAAGGCTCCCTTTTCCCCCTGCCTTACAACATAATAAAGCTTTAATCTAAATTAGGTTTTCAAAATTATACGTAACAAAAGAGGAAGACACATAAGCTATGCTGACATTCAGAATATACAGTAATTGCCCAGGGAGATGCACTATGCCTGTAGCTGATTAATCATAAGCTTTGAATATCATTTAGTTATTTCATATACACCACCCAAAAAAGTATCACTAATGCTTTAAATGATACTCATGTAGCAACTGTCATTGCCTAACAAATGAAACAGACAGATGTGAACAGTGATAACAAAGATGTATATCTTTTTTCTAAATCAAATAGCACCTTCTTAGAGATAATAGTTTAGCAAGAAAAAAGAAGTGCGAATGAACAGATTTTTTACACATTTAACACAATGGGAAAAGAACTGTATGTATGCATGTCTGATTTTTGTGATTTGACTCAAATTAAAATCACTATGGGGTCAGGAATTAAAAGGAGCCCAGTTCACAGTAGTATGGATTAGCAATTCTAAAATTGCTATCTGTGGATCTTAGGATTGAGCATATGAGTGAGTAATGCTGAGAAAAATGAAAGCCACATTACTGCCAGTTGGAGAATGGAATTAGAAATATAAAAAGAAAAAGATAAGAATAACCTCTGTTATAATAAATTTAAATGGAAGTAATAGTATGCATGCATAGATTTTAATATATGAATAAAATTATAGCTATTGATAAGAGATATAGATATGGATATATGCATGTCTATATTTTGTAGTTCTTTCTATTAAAAGGGACTAAAAATAAAGATGCCTGTATAGCAATGAGCAAACTTATATCTCATATATTAGTTTCCCTTTTTTAATAGTCCATGTTTCTTTATTATAGTAAATTATACATAATAATTTATGTATTATGTATTATGTATTATGTAAGATGATAGATAAAATCTATCATCTTAGCCACTTTTGAGAGTACAGTTCAGTGATGTTACGTACATTCACATTGTTGTACAGAACTTTTTCATTTTCCCAAACTGAAACTTTTTACCCATAAAACACTAATGCCCCATTTCCCTACACTACCCAGCCCCTGGCAACCATCATTTTACTTTTACATGTTAGTTTCTGTATACTATACCCTACTAACAGAAGCCAGAGCTCCATAGAGAAATGAATGAGTCCACAGCTATGGCAGTGGAGTACGAGACCTGTCTGGAACATATCATTGTGATATAAAGCAAGGATATTTTAAATAAAATAATAGGAATATAGCAAAAGGACACTGGAGACAGATTGAAGTGGCTCTCACTTGACAAATTTCAGACAATTTCATGAAAATGGATAATGGGACTAACAGACTCTTCCTGAAACAAAATAATAATCTATGATTATTACTAATATATTACTAATATGATTTACTAATATATGTATGTAAACAAATATATACATATATGTATAGAGGTCCTCCATGAGGGTCCCACCCCTGCAGCAAACTTCTGCCTGGACATCCAGGCATTTCTATACACCCTCTGAAATATAGGTGGAGGTCCCCAAACTTTAATTTTTGACTTCTGTGTACCCTCAGGCTCAACACCACATGGAAGCTGCCAAAGCTTGGTGCTTGCACCCTCTGAAGCAATGGCCTGAGCTATACCTTGGCCCTTTTAGCCCTTGATTTAGTTCTCAGCTAGAATGTTATTGGTGTAAAGAAATGCTACTGACTTTTATGTATTGATTTATCCTAAAACGTTACTGATGTTACTAGGTCCAGGAGCCCTTTGGCAGCATCTTTAGAGTTTTCTAGCTATAGAGTCATATCATCAGTAAAGAGAGGTAGTGGGACTTTAAATCTTTTTATTTTTCTATTTGGATGGCTTTTATTTCTTTCTCTTGCCTGATTACTCCATCAAGGACTTCCAGTACTATGGTAAACAAGAGTGGTGGGAGTGGGCATTCTTGACTTGTTTCAGTTCTCAAAGGAAATGGTTTCAGCTTTTGCCTGGTCAGTATGATGCTGGCTGGATTTGATATAGATGGCTCTTATTATTTGGAGATATGTTCCTTCAATGATTAGTCTGTTGAGGGTTTATAATATGATAGGATATTATATTTTATTGAAGGCTTTTTCTACAATTATTGAGATAATCATATGGTTTTTGTATTTTAATATTTTATATGGTGAATTACATTTACTGATTTGCATATGTGGAAACAACCTTGCATCCCAGAAATAAGCCTACTTTGTCATGGTGAATTAATTTTTTAATGTGCTGTTGGATTAAGTTTGCGAGTATTTTGTTGAGGATTTTTTATGACTATGTTCATCAGGGGTATTGGCTTGTAGTTTTCTTTTTATATTGTGTCTCTATCAGATTTTGGTATCAGAATGATGCTGCTTTTCTAGAATGGTTAAGGAAGAGCCCCTCATCCTTGATTGTTTGGAATAGTTTCAGTAGAGTTGATACCATTTAATCCTTGTATGTCTGGTACAATTCAGTTGTGAATCCATCTTCCATCTGGTCCAGTGATTTTTGTTTGTTTGTTTTTGGTTGCTCAGTTTTTTATTACTGATTCGGTTTTGAAACTTCTTGTTGGTCTGTTCAGGTTTTTCTTCCTGGTTCATTCTGGGAGGTTGTGTGTTTCCAGGAATTACCCATTTCCTCTTGATTTTCTAATTTGTGTACATAGAGTCATTAATAATAATCTCTGAAGATCTTTTGTATTTCTCTAGGATCAGTTATGATGTCATTTTTGTCACCTGATTGCACTTCTTTGAATCTTCACCCTTGTTTTTTGTTAATCTAGGTAGTGGTCTATTAATAATAACAAGCTCATGATTTTATTGATCTTTTGTATGGATATTTACATCACAATTTCATTCACTTCCTCTGTAATTTTAGTTATTTCTTTTCTTATGCTTTTTTTTTTCCTAGTTCCTCTAGGTGCAAAGTTACATTGTTAATTTGAGATCATTCTTACTTCTTGATGAAGACATTTAGTGCTATAAACCTTTTAACACTGCTTTGAATGCATCCCAAAAATCTTGGTAGGTTATTCTCTATTTTCAATAATTTGACAGATTTTTAAAATTTTGCCTTAATTTCATTTTTTCACCCAAGAGTTATTCTGGAGCAAGTTGTTTAATTTACATATCTTATGAAGTTTTGAGAGAACTTCTTGGTACTGATTTCTATTTGTATTGCACTATGGTCTGAGATTGTGCTTGGTATAATTTTAATTTTTTGAATTTACTGAGACTCTTCTTATGACTGAGCATGTGTTAAATCATAGAATATATTGTGTGTGTATGAGAAGAATATATTCTGTAGTTTATAGGTGGAATATTTTATACATTTTTTTAGGTCCAAATGGTCAAGTGTTGAGTTTAAGAATTTATTTGTTAGTTTTCTGCTTTGATGAACTGTCTAACATTGTCAGTGGGATGTTGAAGCCCTTTGCTGTTATTGCAGCTTTCTAAAAATTTGTATAGGCCAAGAAGAACTTGCTTTATATATCTGGGGGCTCTAATGTTGAGTGTGTATATATTTAGGACAGTTAAATTTTCTTGCTGAATTGAGCCATTTATTATGTAATGGTCATCCTTGCCCTTCGTGATTGATGTTGGTTTAAAGTCTGTTTTATCTGATTTAATAATGGTGACTTGCTCTTTGTTTGTTTTCCATTTGCATGGTAGATCTTTCTCCACCCCTTTACTCTTTGCCTATGGGCTGTCATTACATGTGAGATGTATCTCTTGAATACAGCATACAGTTGGATCTTGTCTTTTTATCCAACTTTTCACTATGCCTTTTAAGTGGGGTGTTTAGACCACTTACATTCAGGGTTATTATTGGTACATAACATTTTTATCCTGTCATTATGTTAATAGCTGGTTGTTTTGTAGATTTGATTGTGTAATTGCTTTATATTGCCTGTGGCCATGTCTGTAAGTTGATTTTTTGGTAGCTAGTGTCAATCCTTCATTTTCATGGTTAGCACTGCCTTAAGGACCTCTTATGAGGCTGGTCTGGTGGTAATAAATTTCCTTGGTGATTGCTTGTTTGAGAAGTATCTTATTTCTTTTTCATATATGAAATTTAGTGTTGTGAGATATGAAATTCTTGGTTGGAATTTCTTTTCTTTGAGGATGCTGTAAATAGCCCCCCAACATCTTCTAGTTTTATGGTTTCTGCTGAGAAATCCAGTGCTAGCCTAATGGGTTTCTCTTTGTAAGTGACCTGATCTTTCTTTCTAGCTGCCTTTAATATTTTTTCTTTCACTTTGACCTTGGAGAATCTGATGAGTATGTGACTTGGTGATAGTTGCCTTATATAATATGTCACAGGGTTTGTCTGTATTTCTTGAATATGCATATCAGTCTCTGCAATATTGGAAAAATTTTCATGGACTATCTACTCGAAAATGTTTTTTAAGTTGCTTATTCTCTCTCCTCTCTCAGAAATGACAGTGAGTCACAAATTTGTTTTTTTACATAATTCCACTTTCTTGGAGGTTTTATTGATTTTAAAAATTATTTTTTCTTTATTTTCATCTGACAGAGTTAATTTGAAGAACTGGCCTTCGAGCTCTGTGTCTCTTTCCTCTGCTCAGTCTATCTGCTGTTAATGGTTCCAACTGTATTATGAAATTCTTACAGTGAATTTTTAGTTCCAGAAGTTTAGTTTGCTTCTTTCTTAAAATGGCTATTTTATCTTTCAGCTCATAAATCATTTCACTAGATTCTTTGGATCCCTTGGATTGGGTTTCGACTTTCTCCTCGATCTCAATGAGCTACCTTACCATCACATTCTGAATTATTTATCTGACATTTCAATTATTTCAAACTGGCTAAGAACTATCAGCCTGGGGGGATAATGTGTTTGTCCAAAGGTAAGGAGACACTCTGGCTTTTTGAATTGCCGGAGTTCTTGTTCTGGTTCCCTTTCCCATCTGAGAGGTCTGTTGTCCTTTTAACTGTGGTGTAGGTTGAGTATAGGTGGCTTCATTTCTAGGTGCTTTCAGAGAGATAAAAATATGGAACACTTTATGAAAGTCCATGTCATCTTTGCACAGGGGCCATTCTAATCTTCTCTGTATCATCCCAATTTTAGTATATGTTCTGCTGAAACAAGCACTGAAAGACTATTTGACCATATATATGTGGGTTTAATTCTTGGTTCTCCATTCTGTTCCACTGTTCTATTTTTATACTAATATCATACTATTTTAATTATTGTTTCTTTATAGTAAGTTTTGAAATCCAGAAGGGTGATACTTCAAGCTTTGTCCTTCCTGTTCAAAACTGTTTTGGCTATTTGGAGTCTTTTGTTATTCCATATGTATTTCAGTATAATTTTTTTATTTCTGCAAAAAAATGATATTTTGATAGGGATTGCATTCAGTTGGCTTGAGTAATATGGATAATTTAACAATATTACATCATCTACTCCATGAACATAAGATATCTTTCTATGTGTTTTTGTCTTTTACTATTTCTTTCAGCAATGTTTTGTAATTTTCAGTGTCCAAGTCTTTGTCTCCTTTGTTAAGTTTATTCTTAAGTATTATATTCTTTTTTATGCTTTTGTAAAAATAAGGTTGTTTTCTAAATTTTCTTCTCAGATAGTTTGTTGTCAGTGTATGGAGATATAATTGATTTTGTTGCACATTGATTTTCATATTCTGCAACTTTGCTAAATTCACTTATTGGTTCCTTTAAAAAGAGAGAGAGGGAGAGAAAGAGGGAGAGAGAGATGAGGCCTCATTCTGTCACCCAGGCTAGAGAGTAGTGGCACAATCTTAGCTCAGTGTAGTCTCAAACTCCTGGGTTCAAACAATTCTCTCGTTTCAGCCTCCTGGGTAGCTAGGATTATAGGCATGCACCACACTGCCTGGTTATTTTTTTTAATTTTTTTAATTTTTATTTGTGTGTGTGTGTGTGTGTGTGTGTGTGTACAGCCTGGCTGGGTCTTGCTATTTTGCCAGTGCTGGCCTTTAACTTCGGGCTCCCACGTTAGCCTCTGAAAGTGCTTGTCTTACAGCCTTTAGCCACTATACCTGGCCTAATTTATTAATTCTAACAAATTTTTGTTTGTGTAGTCTTTAGGATTTTCCAGATATAAGATTATGCAATCTGCAAACAGAGATAATTTTACATCTTCCATTACACTTCTTGTAAGGCAGGTCTAGTAGTGCCAAATACCCTCAGTTTTTGTTTGTCTAAGAAGTCTATTTCTCTTCTTTATTTTACAATGACAGTTTTGCTGATTATAGCAGTCTTCATTGGCTGTTTTTTTTTCCTTTTAACATTTCAAATATATTATCCCTCTGTTTCTGGCCTGCAAGGTTTCTGCTGAGAAATACACTTATAGTGTTCATATGATTGAGTAATATCAAATGACTGTCTTCAAGTTTACTGGTTCTTTCACTATTGAAGCTCTCTATTGAGTTTTTTGGTGCAGTCATTGTGTTCTTCTGTTCCTGAATTTCTATTTGGTATTTTTTAAATATCTCTTCAGAAAACTTCTTCCTTCATTCATGTATTGTTTTTCTGATTATTGTTTAGTTGTCTATCTGTATTATAGTTCACTGAGCTTCTTAAGATTATTTTGACTTTTTTTTGTCTTGCAGTTCATAGCTCTCCATTTATTTAGGATTGGTTTCTAGTGAGTTATTTTGTTTCTTTGGTGGTGTCATGTTTTCTTGGTTATTTGTGATCCTTGTAGCATTTCATTGACATCTACACCTTTGAAGAAGTAGTCACTTATTTTAAATCTTTACAAACTGGCTTTATCAGGAAAACTTCTTCACCAGCCAGAGATTCTGAGCAGGTTGCCTCGTAGGGTCTGTGGATGGGCCTGCTGATAGGTTTCACAGGTGAGCAGGTCTGGTGCCTTAATCTATGGAGGCCAACCTGGTTCCAGGATCCACTTGGACAAGCGCAGAGCCAGGATCTGTACAAACAGCCCTGGAGCTTGAGTCCACAGAAAGCAGGCTTTCAAAGAGGGTCAACTGGAGCAAGCCTGGATTCTGGGTCCATAGGGGCAAATTTGGAAACTTTGATCTACCATTTTCTCATTGTTTCAAAAGTTTAAAAACTATTTCACATTATTGGATTTCCAATAAAGAAGCATAGATTTAAGAGTATTCAAGTTCCTGAAGTAGCTAGAACCAAAACATAACTATGTCCTCTATATTATATGTTGACAGAATGGCTACTGTAGTAAAATTACGCTGTATAAATGTTATTTTACTAATGTTACTAGTGTCTAAGATAGAAGAGCATCTAATATATTTTTGATTGGCTGTTTGAATTGTATTTTCAAAATAATTATAAACATTTTAATCATTGTTCAAATATGTGGTTTTAGTATTTTATACCAATAAAGTAAAAATATAAAAATATTTTAGTAGTTTAGTTTCTATTTAATTTATATAAGAATGGTTCTTATGTCATAAAATGTGTAGGAATATTCAATATAAAAGGATTATAGTAATAAACTGTACCAATTCTGAATATTAGATATTTCACAAAGTACTAAAATGAGTGGCAGCTGCTCACATTTGAAGATAATGCTCATGTCATTAAACAAAGATGTCATTCTAATTTAAAGTTATATTAATAGAAGATTAAACAAAATCCAGAGCATCATGCTGAAAATAGCATTATTAAATTGTAGAAATTTTTACCATTACAAATGTGTTTGACACAAATCAAATATTTTCTGTTTAGTCATTACAAAATAAGTGTTAACTATTAGGACCTATGACAAGAAAGCCTAAAAATTAGGTAGAATTTATTATATTTATATGAGATCTGGCTCTTAAAATTGAATTTCAATGATTTTAAGATCATATTAATACTTAGCATTCTTTAAATATTTTTACTTTTAAAAATATAATTTAGGCCGGGTGCAGTGGCTCATGCCTGTAATCCCAGCACTTTGGGAGGCCGAGGCAGGTGGATCACAAGGTCACGTCAGGAGTTCGAGACCAGCCTGGCCAATATGGCGAAACCCCGTCTCTACTAAAAATACAGAAAAATTAGCCAGGCATGGTGGTGCATGCCTTTAATCCCAGCTACTTGGGAGGCCGAGGCAGGAG
Source organism: Homo sapiens (assembly GCF_000001405.40). Classification (NCBI taxonomy): domain Eukaryota; kingdom Metazoa; phylum Chordata; class Mammalia; order Primates; family Hominidae; genus Homo; species Homo sapiens. The sequence goes on from NC_000003.12 coordinate 146,999,682, forward strand.
AATTGCTCGAACCAGGAGGCAGAGGTTGCAGTGAGCCAAGATAGCACCACTGCACTCCATCCTGGGCGACAAGAGCGAGACTCCATCTAAAAAAAAAAAACCATAATTTAGTCCAAGATGAACCTGCGCAACATATTAAGACCCCAACTCTACAGAAATATTTTTTAGAATTTAAAATTTAAAAACCTAAAAAATAATTAACTAATGAAACTTAAAAAGTATGCAAAATATTTAACAGTGACTTCATAAAATAATATATACAAATGGAAAGTGTTCATAAAGATGTGGAATAACTGAAACTGTCATACATTCATAACATTGAAGAGACACTTTCAAAAACAGTTTGGAAGTGTCTAAAAAGGCAAACATAACGTGTAGCATATATGGTAAAGCAATCACCTATGCAGCTATTTATCCAAGAAAAGTGAAAATGCACATTAGGAAAAGACTTGCATTTATAGTTTTTTAGTATCTTAATTTATATCAAAAACTGGAATCAACTCAAAAGGCCATCAACTAATGAACAGAAAAACATACTGTGGTACATGCATACTGTGGGATTTTACCCAGCAATAAAGAGGTAAAAGCTAGTGAGACACTGCAGCAACACAGATAAATTACAAAACCATCATTCTAAGTGAAAGAAACCAGACTCAAAAGACAACATATGAACAATTTCATCTATATAAAATTCTTTAAAAGTGGCTAACTATATTAACAGAAAACATATTGTTTGCCAGGGTTTAAAGTCACGGGAGAAGATCAACTGCGAAGAGGAATGTAGGAACTTTTTTAGATGATGTCATGTTTAATATCATAATCTTGGTGAGAATTACAAGACTATGTACATTTGTTCAAAACTTGTCAAGTACTACCTCAATAAACCTTAGTTACCAAAATTGCTTATCATGGAAATAATGTAAATAATTCAGAAATGTTGGATATATTTTTTATTTGATAATCATGATATGCTATGTGTCTTTTTCTTTCTTTTATTATACATTACGTTCTGGGGTACATGTGCAGAAAGTGCAGGTTTGTTACTTAGGTGTACACATGCCATGGTGGTTTGCTGCACCCATCAACCTGTCATCTACATTAGGTATTTCTCCTAATGCTATCCTTCCCCTAAACCCCCACCCCCTGACAGGCCCCAGTGTGTTCCCCTCCCTGTGTCCATGTGTTCTTATTGTTCAACTCCCACTTATGAGTGAGAACATGTGGTGTTTGGTTTTCTGTTCTTGTGTTAGTTTGCTGAGAATGATGGTTTCCAGTTTCATCCATGTCCCTGCTAAGGACATGAATGTATCCTTTTTATGGCTACATAGTATTCCATGGTGTACATGTGCCACGTTTTCTTTATCCAGTCTATCATTGATAGGCATTTGTGTTGGTTCCAAGTCTTTGCTATTGTGGAGAGTGCTGCAATAAACATTCGTGTGCGTGTGTCTTTATAGTAGAATGATTTATAATCTTTTGTATGTATACCCTATAATGGGATTGCTGGGTCAAATGGTATATTTCTGGTTCTATATCCTTGAGGAATTGCCAGACTGTCTTCCACAATGTTTGAACTAATTTACACTCCCACCAACAATGTAAAAGTGTTCGTCTTTCTCTACATCCTCTCCAGCATCTGTTGTTTCCTGACTTTTTAATGATTGCTATTAAGTGTCTTTCTAGATGTTCATCAGAATTCATTCTTTCTGTCTAACACAGTACTAGAATTACAACTGGAAAATTGTTGCCTAGCTGGGGACTGTTTTTTTTCAGATTCTCTGCCATGGTCAGGTGATTGAGCTCTATCAATAGCATGTTAATGAAAATAAAATTTGCAATGTCTGTTTCACTTTATTAAAAGTATTTACCTTTAGTTTTCACTCTTTGTCCCTACTCTCTGGAATGGGGATGACTAGAAAGACCTTAAAAACCATGTATATAAGATGGTGTAGTTACTGCTGGCTTCTGTGAAATAGAACTACTAATTCATCACAACGATTCATATTTGACTGATTTTGAATAAGAAATGATTTCTTTGTTCTTTAAGCCAATGAGTTCTGGGAGTTTCTTTCTTATTACGTAGCCTATTCTACTCAAAAATCACTTTTCTTAATGGAAATCTCTCCTCTGATAGTATGAACTCTCAAATAAAGACTAAAAAATTCCATCACATTCCACTTACTAAGGATATGAGAAATAGAATCTTTGTCCCTTCATTCTATTTTTGAGTAATAACTTCTATCTTCTTAAAAGTGTGTATCTTCCTTTGATATTTATGTCATGTGTTTATGTTAGCATCTGCTTTTCCTCATCAGAGAGAGCTGCTAACCATTCTTTTTTCTTCAGTAATGAAAAACTTTTTCTATGTTTAGGTCTGACATCAACATAGTCATCTTAAAGACTTGATGGATGATGTAACACCTTGGTTTCATGAACTTATTTCCATTTTTTAATTAGTGAATGTATTTATTTCAATAGTTTTTGGAAAACAGGTGGTTTTTGGTTATATGGATAATATCTTTAGTGGGGAGGGGTGATTTCTGAGACTTTGGTCCAATTATCTTTTAAACACTAGTTCTGCCTCCACTCTGAAAATTCTTACTAGCCTCCCAGGTTCCAGCGATTCTCGTGCCTCAGCCTCCTGAGTAGCTGGGATTATAGGCATCTGCCACCATGCCCAGCTAATTTTTGTATTTTCAGTAGAGATGGGGCTTCGCAATGTTGGCCAGGCTACTCTCAAACTCCCAACCCCAGGTGATCCACCCATCTCGGCTTCCCAAAGTGCTGGGATTACAGGCCTGAGCCACAGCACCTGGCCTAACCAACATATCTTGATCTCTGAAATCATTAATTCATAATTCCATTATCTCATTTATTTTCTTCACTTCCTCCATTGTTTGCTTAATCACTGGTGCTACACATGTTCTATCTCATGGAGATCACATTCTATTAGCCACCTCATGCCTTCATGTCCTTTATCATCCCAGTTTAAAACTGAGGGTCCATCATTTCAATCATTCTCTTGCTTCTTCCCCAATCTCTCTTGCTACTTTGCGACCTCTTAGTTTTCATATAAAAATATTTCCAACTTGCATAGCCGCATTTATTCATGCAGTAGGTGGATGCTGATTAAAACAAACAACTTAACAAATTATTACCACTTAAGCTCCACCAGTTCCTGAAACATTACCCACTAATTCCACTGCATCTCTCTACTCCCTCTGCTATTGTGGTAAGAGTAGCAATGGTGGTTAAGATGCTTTGAATAGTTTTTCTCATACCTGCAGTAAAATATCCTGACTAATGACCATTCTCTTACATATTAGTAAATTTTCTGTTGCCATAGAGTCTAACATAAAAATACATTGTACATTAGCATACATTATACTTGTTCTATACATTTTCAATGTCTATGTTGCATATTGCTGATCCAAATCTCAAACATTTAAAATATAAACTGACATAAAAAGACCCCATGTAGAATGTCAATGGAACAGATTTAAAAATCTAGCAGAAAACTTTGCAAGATATATGCAATATCTGCACGAAATAACATGAATACTAAGGGACACTAAAGAAGAAATATTTAATGCACACAGATGTTTATATGTTGTCAAGAAAACTCAACATATAAAGATTTCCATTCACCTTAAGTAAGTTTTAAAACTACCTAATATCTACAAATTTAATGTGATTTCATTATATTTTAAGAGAAAGGAGAATAATTAAACTGACCCAAAATTGTATGTGAAAAAAATAGCAAGAAAATTTCATAAAGAGTATTGATTGGGAATTAGATACCCCCAATGTTATATCATACAATAAAGCTACTATAATTTAAAAATTTTAGTAGTAATGTATCATTGCTCATATGTAGTCAAGAGAGAAAAAGTTTACATAAAGACACAAATGCATACAAATATTTAGTATTTAAAACAAATGAATTTCACATTAGTGGGGTGTATTAGTCTGTTCTCACACTGCTATCAAGAACCTGATATTGGGTAATTTATAGAGAAAAGAGGTTTAATCAGTTCATGGTTTGGTGGGCTGTACGAGCTTCTGCTTCTGGGAGGCCTCAGGAAACTTAATTATGGCAGAAGGTGAAGAGGAAGCAAGCACATCTTCACAAGGCTGGCAGAGGCGGGAGGGGCAGGGCTACACACTTTTACAACAACCAGATTTCATGAGAGCTCACTCACTATCACAAGAACAGCATGGGGAAAGTCCACTCCCATGATTCAGTCACCTCCTACCAGGCCCCTCCTCCAACACTGGGATCACAATTCAACATGAGATTTCGGTGGGAACACAGAGCCAAACCATATCATGGGGAAAAGACAGTGAATGGGACAACTGACATCAGAAAAGAAAATACTGTATCTTTATATTATAACTTATAACTGTTGAATCATAGTTCTGGAAAATTATTTTACATATATTCTCAAAAAATGCATGAAATTTAAAAGGCTATGAATCCTGCTATTGAAAATAGCCTAAGACTAGAAACAATACACTAAAAGAGAATTAGTAAAATAAATTATTGTACAGTTATTTAACAGAATACTACAGAAGCATTAACAAAATGAGAGGATTCCTAATGTATTGACTGAGAATTTTCCCAAGAAATATTGTTAAGTAAATTAAGTGATTCAGAGAATGATGTACATTGTATACTATCATCTGGGTAAAACTATTGCAAATTTTTCCGGGAGGGGTGGAATTAAATAACTTGGATATCAGCCCCAATAAAGTGTCTAATATATACATTCAATATATTCTTATTGAATGAGTCAATAAACCCAATACCAAAGTAAGACTGTCAAAAGGCAATGTAGAAAACATAGGATTGATTAAATAAATGAGAAATACAGGCAGTGAGTTTAATAATTTATAGAAAACAAAAATAATTTCGTATAGGAGTCATTTAGAAAGCCTTCATGGAAAAAGTAAATTTTTAAAAGATTACAGTTTTCTGTAAAACTTTGCATACCCTTCCATGTCTGATTGCTTTGGCTAGGACTTCCAGTACTATGTTGAATAACAGTGATGACAGTGGACCTTCTTGTCATGTTCTACATTTTAGAAAAAATGCTTTCAGTATTTCCCCATCCAGTAGATCCACAGATCTAGCTGTGGATCTGTCACATAGGGCTTTTATTATGTTGACATACATTCCTTCTATTCCCAGTTTGTTGAGGGCTTTTTATCATGAAGTGATGTTGAATTTTATCAAATACTTCTTCAGCATCTATTGAAATAATCATATGGTTGTTGCTTTAATTCTTTTAATATGATGTATCACATTGATTGATAAGCATATATCGAACCATTGTTGCATCCATGGGATATATCCCAGTTGGTCATGATGAATGATTTTTTAATGTGTTGCTGAATTCAGTTTTTAAGTATTTTGTTGAAGATTTTGCATCAGATTTCATCAGGAATATCGATTTGTAGGGGTTTTTTTTGGTTTTTATTGGGGTTTTTTTTGTTGTTTTTGATGTGTCCAGTATTCCCTTCTCTTCTATTTTTTGTAATAGTTTAAGTAAGATTGGTATTAGGTCTTCTTTACACGTTTGGTAAAATTCAGGGTTCAATCTCGACAGGTTGTATGTATCTAGGAATTTATCCATTACTCTAGGTTTTCCAATTTATTGCCATGTAGTTGCTCATAGTAGTCTCTAATGATGCTTTGAATTTCTGTGGTATCAGTTATGATACCTCCTCCTTCATCTCTGATTTTACATATGTTAATCTTCTCTCTTTTTTTCTTAGTCTGGTTAAAGTTTTTTCTATTTTGTTTACACTTTCATAAAAGCAACATTCTGTTTTGTTGATATTTGTGTTGTTTTTCTTTCACTTTCATTTATTATCATCATTATTATGTCTGCTCTAATTTTCTTTTCTTCAAATAATTTTGTGTTTGGTTTGCTCTTGCTTTTCTAGTTTTCTAAGATGCATCTTCAGATTGTGTATTTGAAATTTTTCTACTTTTTTATGTAGTTACTTATTGTTATAACCTTTCCTCATTGCGTTATTTCCACTGTATCTCAAAGGTTTGAGTACATTGTGTATCCATTTTTATTTGCTTCAAAAAATTTTTAAATATTCTTCTTAATTTCTTTATTTACCCACTAATCACTTGGAGGCATATTGGTTTATATTCCCTGTGTTCGTTGTTTGTACATTTTCCAGAGTTTCTATTGATTTCTGATACCATTCCATTGCAGTCACAGAAGATGTTTGATACAATTTTATTTTTTTGATTTTTAAAGACATTTTGTGGCTTTGAGAATGATCCATGTGTTGAGGAGAAGAAGGTGTATTCTGCAGCTCTTGGATCAAATGTTGTGCAACTATCTATTAGGTATACTTGGCCTACAGTGCAGATTAAGTCAAAAGTTTCTTTGTTATATCTTCTTGCTGAAATGACCCCCTTATCATTTTATAATGCCCTTCTTTGTCTCTTTTTGTAGTTTTGTCTTGAAATTTCTTTTGTCAGATACAAGTATAGCTATTCCTTCTCTTTTTTTGGTTTTCATTTGTATGAAATATCTTTTACCATCTCTTTATTTTCAGTAAAATATTTGTGTCTTTATAGGTGATGTGTGTTTCTTAACGTATCATTGGGTCTTGTTTCTTTATTCATTCAGCCACCCTATGTATTTTGATTGAGAGTTTAGTCCATTGCTATTATTGTTCAATGTTATTATTGATAAATAATGACTTACTACTGCCATTTTATTATTTGTTTTCAGGTTGTTTTGTCATCCTCCCTTCCTTCCTGCCTTCCTTTTTGTAAAGCTGATTTTCCCTAGTGGTATGTTTTAATTTATTGCTTTTTATTTTTTGTATATCTGTTGTAAATTTTTTCTTTGAAGTTACAAGGCTTGCAAATAACATCTAACTTAGTATTTTAAACTAATAACAACTTAACACTGATTGCAAAAAAAAAAAACAAGCAAAAAGAAAATCAATAATAAATCTACAATTTAACTTCATCTTTCCACTTTTTAACTTTTTTGTTTCTATTTATATCTTATACTGTGTCTTGAAACATTGCTATAGTTATTTTTGATAGGTTCATCTTTTAGTCTTTCCACTCAAGATATGAGTAGTTTACACATCATAAGTACAGTATTATAATATTCTGTGTTTGGCTGTGTACTTGCTACTACTAGGGAGTCTTGTTCCATTCAGATGATTTCTTGTTGCACATTAGCATCCTTTTCTTTCAGATTGAACAACTCCCTTTAGCACTTCTTGTAGAACAGGTCTGGGATGAAGGAAATCCTTCAGCTTTTGTTTGTCCAAAAAAGTCTTCATTTCTCCTTCATGATTGAAGGATATTTTTGCTGGATATCCTATTCTAGAATAAAAGCATTTTTTGTTTGTTTTGTTCGTTTGTTTGTTTTTCCTTCAGCATTTTAAATATGTCACGCCACTCTCTCCTGGCTGGTAAGGTTTCCATTGAGAAGTTTGCTGCCTGATAATTATTTGAGTTCCTTTGTATTTTGTTTCTTTTCTCTTGCTGCTTTTAGGATCCTTTCTTTATCCATGACCTCTTGGAGTCTGATTACCAAATTTCTTGAGGTAGTCTTATTTGGGTTAAATTTCTTTGGTGTTCTATAACCCTCTTGTACTGAATATTAACATCTTTCTCTAGATTTGGAAAGTTCTCTTTTTTTATCCCTTTGAGTTAAGTTTCTACCCCAATGTCTCTCTCTGATTCCTCTTTAAGATCAATAACTCCTAGATTTGTCCTTTTGAGTCTATTTCCCAGATCTTTGAAGAGTGCCTCATTCTTTTTTACTCTTTTTTTTTTGGTCTCCTCTGACTATGTATTTTCAAATAACCCGTTTTCAAGCTCACTTATTCTTTATACTGCTTGATGAATTCTGATGTTGGGAGATACACATTCTTCAATATGCTGATCAAATTTTTCAACTCCAGAATTACTGCTTGATTTTTAGAAATTATTTCAATCTCTTTGTTAGGTTTATCTGATAGGATTCTGAATTCCTTCTCCATGTTATCTTGAATTTCTTTGAGCTTCCTCAAAACAGCTATTTTGAATTGTCTGTTTGAAAGATCTCATACCTCTGTCATTCCAGGATTGGTCACTGGTGCGTTATTTACTTTGTTTGGTGAGGTCATGTTTTCTTGGAAGGTCTTGATGCTTGTTGATGTTTATCGATGTCTTAGCATTGAAGAGTTAGGTAACTTTCCAGTCTTCATAGTCTGGACTTCTTTGTACCCATCCTTCTTAGGAATGTTTTCCATGTATTCAGAGGATATTGAGTGTTATGATCTAAGTCTTTGGTCACTTCAGCTGTATCTGCCTTAGGAGTAGCCCAAGTCCAGCAATTCTGTGACTCTCACTGACTCAGAGATACTGCTTTGCTGGTCTTGGGTAAGATCTGGGAGAATTCCCTGGATTACCAGGCAGACTCTGATTCTCTTTCCTTACTTTCCTCCAAACAAACAGAGTCTCTATCTTCATGGTGAGCTACCTGGAGCTGGGGTTGGAGTGATACAAGTGCCCCCTTGGCCACCACCACTGGTACTGCTCTGGGTCAAACCTGAAGGAACAACAGCACTAGGTCTCACCCTAAGCCTGTGGTGCCTGGCTACCATCAATGTTCTCTCAAGTCCCAAGGACTCTTCATTCAGCAGGTGGTGAATCCAGCCAGGCATGTATCCTTCTTTGCAAGCTACTTGCAGCTATGGGCAGGTCCAGAAATGCCATCTAGGGGTCAGGGCCTGGAGTCAGGAACCTTAGGAATCTACTTGGTGCTCTATTCTATGGCAGCAGATTGGGCACCCAAGCCACAAGTCAAAGAGCTTCCCATTCTTCCTTCTCCTTTCCTCAAGCCGAAGCAGTCTCTCCCTGTGACCTGCACTACCCCAGGCCTATGACCAATACTGCCTGGGTTCCACTGATGTTTACTCAAGGCCCAGGGACTGTTCAATCAGCTTGTGGTAAGTGTTGCCAGGACTGCCTAGGTCTCTTCCTTCAGGACAATAGGTTCCCCGCTGGCCCAGTGCAGGTCCAGAAATGACATAGAAAAGCCAAGGCCTGGAATCAGGAACCCCAGGAGGCCATTTGGTGCTATATTCCATTGTGGCTTGGCTGGTACCTAAGTTTCAAGATGAAGTTTCCTTTACTCTTCCCTCTCTTTTTGTCAAGCAGAAGGAATCTCTTCCTGAGCCACCACAGCTAGGAAAGTGCTGGGTCACACATGAAGCCAGCACAGCAAGCCTTGTGGCAAGGATTTTCTGGCTACCACTGATGTTTATTCAGCTGTGGGCTCTTTAGTTAGCAGGTGATGAATACTGCCAGAACTTTCCTTTCCTTCAAGTCAGTGGGTTCCCTTCTGGCCCAGCATGTGTCTAGAAATGTGATCATTTCTGGGCAAGCAGGACTTGCCCAGAAATTGCAGTCCGTGTGGCCTAGACTGCCCTTTAATTTTATTTAGGATCCCAGAGCACTTTACTCTGTGATTTACTAGCTCTGGGCTAGCCAGAACTCTGGCTCTGACTACTGGGATAGATGATTCCCCTCTGAGTAGGCCTGGTCTAAATGCTTTCTCTATGGTCTAAATGCTTTCTCCATTCAGCAGTCCCTGGCTGAATTCTGCCCCATGTTGCTTTCCACTGTGACAGGGCAGCACTGAGCTCCAATGCAATGTCCCACAATTACTTTTCTCTCCCTTCCCCAAGCACACAGATTCTTTTTCCTTGTCATGAGGCCACTGCCAGGGAATGCAGCAGGAGTAGTTTAGGCAATACAAGACTGTCTTTCCTACTCTCTTTAGTGCCTCTTTCTTTAACATGATGTTAAAACCAGACACTCATCTAATCACTCACCTAATTTTTGGTTCTTATGAAGGTGTTTTCTTGTGTGGATAGTGTTCAAATTTGGTGTTCCTGCAGGGGGAACAATCACTGAGGGTTCTATTTGGCTATCTTGCTCTACTCTGCTGTATTAGACACCTTCAGTACAACAATAAGGTCATTGCAAAGTCACTGGTCCTTGAAGCATTTACTGAAAGTTTGACTTGTTACCATAAAACAGTAACTACTCTTTACCACTAATCACTAGTATTCAAGACTAAAAAGCGTCTTCCTTAAGCAGCAACTACAGGCATGTCGTCCCTAGAATACTGTGCCTAAGACCGCTGTCTCACATATCATATGGGACAGTAATTGTAAAGAATGTGGTTGTTTTTCCATACCTCAATGCAGTTTTCATAAAGACATTAACACATTTTAAAATAATGGTGTCATGAGATATTCATAATGTACATGTTTCCTATAAGGTCATGTATATGATCTTGAAGTAATTAAATTATTCTAATTTCATCTCTCTCATTTTTCTTTTAATCTTCCTTCTTTCTTTCTCTTTCCTTATTTAATTCTTCTTCCCTTTCATTTCTTTCTTATTCATTTTCTCCCTTCCATCTTTTCCTGCCTTTCTCTTTCCTTTGTTCTCCAAGTCAGAAATATTATTCTTCCCCATTTAATCAACCCAGAGGCTCAGTGATATTAAATAATTTTCTTCTTATGCCATATCATACTGAAAAGAAGGAGAAAAGCGTTTTAAAATTTAATTTTCTATATGGCTATCTAATTTTGTATATGGCTATCTCAAATCCACTACTTGTTCAGAAAGATCCCTTTGAAATATCTAAGTAAGAAAAAAATGTCCATTTTTCTTGGGCTATACATCAAACTGCAGCTATCTTTCTATAGCCCCATTGTTCTCTCTCAAATGAAGTCTGTAATAACCTGATGATTATATTAATATTTTGAAACAGCATAATACAGTCAAATGGACAGTATAGTCCTTGCCAGCATATAGTAGTATGGCATTGACCCCGTTTCATTTTCTGTTGCTTGACAGCTTTGTGCTCTTACATGGCTATTTATGATAATCATGTGGAAAATTATTGCAATGATGCATGTTTAGTTGAGGAACTACCAAAATTCCTGTGTAATTTAATCCAGTTTGGAGGAAACCTAAACCCATTCTAAAAATCAACAAGCAGTAAATACTTAAATAGGAAGCATATATGTCTCCTCTGGAAATATGTTTCGAATAAGCATTATGAATACAAAACAATTCTAAAAGTTTTGGATTCCAACACAATTACTGTTAATAACTGTTTATTTTAAATATGTTAATAAAGAATAGTTTTTCCTAATATGAAAAAAGAGTAAATTATTTATTTTTAATTCTTTACTATTATAGCAAAGTGTTCAATGTAGTAAAACCTGTTGGATTTTTCTACAATAAATATGGGTACTTTGTCACCTAAAAAAATCATTGGTTATTGCTGTTCTTTGAATTTTAATATTCCTGAAGGTTAAATGAAGGCTTTTTGTCTGATATGACAGATTTTTCCCACAGCAGGGCAAAATTTTGAGAAAGCTGGATGCATGATTAGACACCATAATCTTTCCCACACATCAGGTACAAATAGTTAAATTATCTTCATGAATATGAGATTATGCATGCAAAATAAACAAATTTAAATGTGTATACAATTACCTGTAATCTGGAAATGAAGTACATATTGCTCATGAACTGTAATTATTTGCTGTCACACATAGAGATTTTTGTGTGGTTACTGATGTCTCCTATTAGAAGCAGTCCGTGAATTGCCATTACTAAAACTCACCAGTTTTTATGGTAAAATGGCAAAAGATCTTTTTCTGTTCTTAAGAAATTCAAAGTTTTTAAATCTATTTTCTCTCACCACAACCTGCAGAGACTTGATTTTATGGGCAATTAAGATAAATTTTACTCAATTATAGAAATTGTACTAACTTAGAAAGCATAATATATTTTTCATAATTTTCTGTCATTCTTTACCTCTTCAATAATAAAGGCTTACAACCAACTACTAATGGGTTTCTTTTAATGCTAATATTTCAATTTTTTGGCTATTCTGAGAGAAGTTTCTCTAGTGATAATATCATTTAAAATGTAATTTTTGCACTCAAATATTTATTTTATTTTCTTGAACACTATCAAGTGTTCATGAGAAGCTCACAGAATCTTTTGTTTCATGGGCCATAAATAAACCCCAATCCACCACTTCAGCACATTTCTAATTGTAATGCACCGTGTAATGTTATAGGCCATTATACAGATGTTTTCAGTTATTGTAAGGTGGCAGACAGTGACATTGAAATGTCTGCTTGCTTTAAAGAGATTGTATGAACTCAATCTTGACTCTTAACATAATAGTTTTTTTAAACTATCAAAACCCAAATGAATTCAAGCGTGTTTGCCCTTCGAGTTAGCTGATATATTTGAATTTTTCAGCATAACAACTTGGTGAAAGGTATGACCTTGCTTGTCTTAATTAGATACAAATAAAAAGATAAGGATATTTCTCTGATTCGTACTTCACTGTATATCTTTTCCGAAGAGGTTCAACAATTGATATCAAGCACACCGTTCATATAGAAAGTTCCTAAGTTACAGTCTTTGGGCTTATGATTATAAACAATGCTACTCTCTTTTTCAACGTAATAAAACTACAATCTGAATTTGTTAGTTTTTTTTTTTTTTTTTCAGTTTATGGTTGTAGTTCTCTTTATGTGGAATGGATGAACCCTAAGTACGGATGAAGGTATATTCATTTAAACAACATGGTGCACAATTTTGTTTCAAGACTAACATTTCCCTTGGAAAGGGAAGTTTATTAGATCTGAATTTCTTGCCTACAGATCCAAATGTTGGATGTGAATAATCTACTTTTTGTAGGATAGAGAAAGAATCAGACTCACTTTAAAGCCAAAATATACTAGCTATTAACTTTTAGCCAAAATTAAAATGTTCCCCAAAAAAGAATATAGACAACACTAAGAAGTCTAAGGAGGATCTACGTTGAATGTTTTCATCTATAACAATAATAATATTGATGAAATTCTTATGATATTAGTAAGTATCAGGAATTATGCTGAATACTTTGTAGATACCACTTCACTGAATCCTCAAAACAACATGAAGAAGTAGCAACTAACATTTATTCAACATTTAACTAGGTATTTTATTATTGCACTTAATCTTCAAAATACATTCAAGATAGTACTATTATTCTTTATCTACCAATGAGAAAAACTGAATAGTTGTATAATTTATCAAAGATCTTTGCAGTGGTTTTCTATTGCCACATAACAAATTACTACAAACTTAGTCATTTATAACAGTGCCCATTTGTTAGTTCTCAGTTCTATTGATCACAGTTCTAAACACAACATGGCTGGGTTCTCTGTTCAGTGTCTCGCAAGACTAAAATTGAGGTGTCATTTAGACTGAGTACTTGCCTCGAAGTTCCGCGGTAGAATCTGCTTCCACACTTACCAGGTTCTTGGCAAAATTCAGTTCCCTATGACAGTAGAATCCCATTGATTTGCTGGATGTCAGCTGAGGCTGCTCTCAGTTCCTAGAGGGTACTCACATTCTTTGGCCATTTGGCCCCCTGCATCTTTAAAGTGAATAATGAAGAATCTTCTGTCAAATTCCTCTCATAATTCAAACCTCTTTCACAGGAAGACTCTTGTCCCTTTTAAGACTCACTTAATTAGAAGGATATTCTTTTCTTAAGGTCAACAGTGTCATATAACAACCTAATCACAAGAATACTATCCCATCACATTCACAGTCTTGGGGACTATACAGACTGTGTACAAAAATGGGCAATAATCTTGAAAGACATCTTAGAATTTGCCTATCAAGGTCTTACAGTAAATGGAAAGCAGGCATTTTTTTTTTTTTTTAAATCTCTATGGTCAAAGCTCTAGGCTTAGCCATTTATCAGTTCTAGTGGGGTTAGTATAGGAAGGAACCTCTAGATTCTCCAGAGCTATCTCAAAGTGAGAAAGAGATTGCTTTTTCACTCTGGGAAGTTCTGCTTTTTTTTTTTTTGAGACAGAGTCTCACTCTGTTGCCAGGCTGGAGTGCAGTGGCGTGATCTCGTCTCACTGCAACCTCCGCCTCCCGGGTTCAAGCAATTCTGCTTCAGCCTCCCTAGTAGCTGAGACTACAGGCACACGCCACCACACTCAGCTAATTTTTGTATTTTTAGTAGAGACTGAGTTTCACTATATTGGCCAGGATGGTCTTAATCTCTTGACCTCCTGATCTGCCCAACTGGGCCTCCCAAATTGCTGGGATTACAGGTGTGAGAAGCTCTGCTTTTAATTCAACTTTTACACGTTGAGTTTATTTATAAAATTTCATTTCATTTGAAGAAAAGTTCAGCAGTTAATAATTTTGAAAAAAACTGTTGCTCGATATACTATTTTTAATACTAATATTACATGATTTTTAGTAATGGAACTGTATGTATGCACAAAAGTATAGATTAATTTTTGAGGAATAATTTACATGTAATGCAAAACTGTAAGTTTTGACAAAAGCATAACACCCAAAACCTATAAGGTAGAAAGCATTTTCAATGCTCCAAAAATTCCCTCTAACCCTTTTAAGTCAATTGTTTCTCCCCTACGCAGAGGCAACCTGTGTTATTTATACCACTGTATTTTAGTTTTTTCTATCCTAAAACTTCCTATAGATAAAATCACACAGTGTATATTTTATTGTGTCTTGCTTCTTCTCGCTTCTTAATGTCTTTAAGATTTAGTCATGTTGTTGCATACGTCAGTAGTTCATTCATTTTTAATATTTAGTAAAATTCCGTTATATGATATGCCACAGTATGTTTGTCCATTCTCAAGTTGATGGATATTTAGGTTGTATTATCAGTTTTTGGCTCTTATAAATGAAGGGTGTTATGGCTTGGCTCTGTGTCGCCACTCAAATATCATGTTGATTTGAAATCCCTAATGTTGGGGGACAGACTTGGTGGGAGGTGATTGGATCATGGGGGCAGACTTCCCCCTTCCTGTTCTCATAATAGTGAGTGAGTTTCCATGAGATCTGGTAGTTTAAAGTGTGTAGTTCTTCTCCCTTTGCTCTCTCTCTTTCTCCCACTCTGCCATTTGAAGAAGGTGCTTGCTTCCCCTTCACCTTCGGCCATGACTATAAGTTTCCTGAGGCCTCCCCAACCATGCTTTCTGTACAGTCTGTGGAACCATGAGTCAATTAAATCCCCTTTTTTCATAAATTACCCAGTCTCGGGTAGTTTTTTATAACAGTCTGAAAATGGACTAATACAGAAAATCGGTACCAGAGAAGTGGGGCATTGCTATAAAGATACCCGAAAATGTGGCAGCTACTTTGGAACTGGGTAATGGCAGAAGGTGGAACAGTTTGGAAGGCTCAGAAGAAGACAGGAAGATGAGGGAAACTTTGGAACTTCCTAGAAATTTGTTGAATTGTTGTGACCAAAATGCCGATAGTGATATGGTTAATGAAGCCCAAGCTGAGGTGGTCTCAGATGGAGATGAGGAACTTACTGGGAATTGGAGTGAAGGTCACTCTTGCTATGCTTTTAGCAAAGAGACTGGTGGCTTTGAGCCATGCTCTAGAGATCTATGAAACTTTGAACTTCAGAGGATGATTTAAGTTTCTGGCAGAATAAATTTCTAAGCAATGAAGTATTAAAGATGTAGCCTGGCTGCTTGTAAAAGCCTAAACTTATTTGCATAAACAAAGAAATTACCTGAAAGTAGAGTTATATTTAAAAGGGAAGCAGATGATAAACTTTTGGAAAATGTTCAGGTAGTCCAAGCAGTAGAAAAGAAAAACCAATTTCCTGGGGAGAAATTCAAAGCTGCAAAAATTTGCCTAAGAAAACAGCCAAATGTTAATAGCCAAGACAATGGGCAAAATGCCCCCAGGGTATTTCAGAGACCTTCACGGTAGCCCCTCCCATCACAGGCTCAGAGGGCTAAGATGGAAAATGGTTTTGTGGGCCTCACCCAGGGCCCAGCTGCCCTGTGCAGCCTCAGGACATGGTACCCCATGTCCCAGATGCTCTAGCTCAAGCCGTGGCTGGAAGGGGGCAAGGTACAGCTCAGGCCATTTCTCAGAGGGTACAAGCCCTAAGCGTTGGTGGCTTCCATATGGTGTTGGTCCTGTGGGTGCACAGAAGACAAGAGTTGAGATTTGGGAGCCTCCACCTAGATTTCAGAGGATGTATAAAAATGCCTGGAGGTCCAGACAGGAATGTGCTGCAGGGGAGTAGCCTACACAGAAAACCTCTACTAGAGCAGTACAGAGGAGAAACGTGGGGTTGAAGTCCCCACACAGAGTCCCCACTTGGGACTGCCTAGTGGAGCTGTGAGAAGAGGGCCACCTTCCTCCAGACCCCAGAATTGCAGATCCACTGATAGCTTGTACCATGTGCATGGAAAAGGTGCAGGCACACAATGCCAGCCCATGAAATCAGCCACATAGTCTGTACTCTGCAGAGCCACAGGAGCTGAGCTGCTTAAGGCCTTGCGTGCCCATCCCTTGCATTACAGTGGCCTGGATGTAAGACATGAAGTCAAAGGAGATTATTTCCATGCTTTAAGATATAATGACTGGGTCGGGTGCGGTGGCTTATGTCTGTAATCCTAGCACTTTGGGAGGCTGAGGCGGGTGAATCACTTGAGGTCAGGAGTTCAAAACCAGCATGGCCAATATGGTGAAACCCCGCCTCTACTAAAAATACAAAAAAATAAGACGGGCATGGTGGCAGACACCTGTAATCCCACCTACTCATGAGGCTGAGACAGGAGAATCGCTTGAACCCAGGAGGCAGAGGTTGCAGTGAGCTGATATCATGCCACTGCACTCCAGCCTGGGCAACAGAGTGAGGCTCCATCTCAAAAAACAACAACTATATATATATATATACACACACACACATATGTATATATAATGACTGCCTTTCTGTATTTTGGACTTCAATGGAGCCTGTAGCCTGTAGCCCTTTTATTTTGGTCAATTTCTCCCTTTTGGAATAGGAACGTTTGCCCAATGTCTGTACCTCCATTGTATCTTGGAAATAACTAACTTGTTTTAATTTTACAGGCTCATAGATGAAAGGCACTTGCCTTGTCTCTGATGAGACTTTGGACATGCATGGACTTTTGAGTTAATGCTGGAATGAGTTAAGACTTTGCGGGACTGTTGGGAAGGCATGGTTGGTTGTGAAATGTGAGAAGGACATGGAATTTGGGAGGGGTCGGGGTGGAAGGATAGGGTTTGGCCCTCTGTCCCCACTCAAATCTCATGTTGAATTGTGATCCCAGTGTTGGAGGAGAGGCCTGGTGGGAAGTGATTAAATCACAGAGAAGGACTTTCCCCTTGCTGTTCTCTTGATAATCAGCGAGTTCTCACAAAATATGCTTGTTGGAAAGAGTGAAGCACTTCCCCTTTTGCACTCTCTCTCTCTCCTGTTACCATGTGAAGAAGGTGCTTGCTTCCCCTACACTTTCTGCCATGATTGTAAGTTTCCTGAGGCCTCCCTAACCATGCTTCCTGTACAATCTGAAGAACTGTGAGTCAATTAAACCTCTTTTCTTCATTAATTACTCATTCTTGGTTCGTTCTTTATAGCAGTGGGAGAACAGACTAATACAAAGTGGCTACGCATATTTGTGCACAAGTGTTTTTTTGTGGCCCTATGTTTCATTCCTCTTGGGTAAGT
This sequence comes from Homo sapiens, assembly GCF_000001405.40. NCBI lineage: Eukaryota > Metazoa > Chordata > Mammalia > Primates > Hominidae > Homo > Homo sapiens. Next base: position 147,017,303 of record NC_000003.12, read on the forward strand.
ACCTCTGAGTGGAAATTCATCTTCTTAGCAATTTTGGGGAATTTGTCTTGGCAATTTTATTTTGGTTTTCTTATATGGGTACATTGTGTGGTGCTGAAGTTTGGACTTCTAATGCTCCTGTCACCCAAGTAGTGAACAAAATGCCCAATAGATGGCTTTTCAACTGTTGCTCCTGTTCCTTTTGGCCCACTTTAGAAATCTCTAGTGTTTATTGTTTTCATCTTTGTGTCTGTGTGTACCTATCTGGAAGTAATATTTCTTAGAAACTCAAATGTAGAGAGGGTTTTATAATATATGCAGAAGTAAAATATATCTATAGGATAAAAGATAGAAAGGGATAAATGGAAACCTGTTATTCTAATGTTCTTACCTTATACATGAAAATATTTAGTATTATTAATAATTCCAAATAGATTGTTGTAAATTGAGCATGCATATTTTAATCCTTATAACAACCACTGACATAAACTAAGAGATGTAGGTTAAAAGCCAATAGAGGAAATAAAATGAGGTTTAACCTAAAATAAAGCAGGAAAAGATGAAAAAGGAACACAGGACAGATGGGACCAATAGAAAACAAAATAATGAGAGTACAATTACACCCAACCATATCAATATGGCATTAAATACTAATTGCTTGTATTTTAGCCTAAAGAACTGTATATAATTTTTATTGGAATTAATTTTGCTGGTAAAAATTCTCTCAAATTTTGTTTGAATTAAAGTGTTTTCATTTTTTTTGAAAGAAATTTTTCATTTTTGATGGAAAATTCAAGGATGACAGATTCTTTCTCTCCTTTAGGCACATTGAATATGTTATTCCATCATCTGCTGGTTTGCATTGTTTTTAATAACAAGCCAGCTGCATTTTATCAGTTCCCCTCTATATAAAGTTCTTTTTGTACTTTTTAAGATATTTTATCCTTGCTTTTTAGCATTTTTCCAAGATGTACCTGTGTATGTGTGTGTCTGTGTGTATGTGTGTGTGTATGCACACTTATTTTGCCTGGAGTCTGTTTAGCTTCATAGGTCTGAATATTATTAATTTTCATCACATTTTAACATTTTTAGTCATTATTTTAAAAATATTTTTCTACCTCAGTCTATTCTCATTCTAGAACCCTAATGACACGTATATCAGACTACAATTTTATATTGTCTAACATGTTACTAAGCTTCTGTTGATTTGAATTGTTTTATCACTTTACCTCAATTTGGCAAATTTCCGTTGCCCTGTGTCATATTCAACATTCATTTCTTCTAAGTGCTCTATTTGCTATATGTCCATTCTATGATTTTTTTTCTTCAGGTACTTTGTTAAGAATTGGAATATTACCTTAGTTCTTTTTTTATAGTTTTCTTTTTCTGCTGAGAATCCCTCATCCATTCACTCATTTTGACTGTCATTTTCTTTAAATCCCTGAACATATTTATAATCACTATTTTAAAGTCTCTGTCTTCTATTCCCAACATCTGTGTCATCTGTTTATCAGCTGTTTTATTTCCTGCTTATACTTCATATTTCTTGTTTCTCCATGTTGAGTAATTTTTAATTATATACTGAACATTTTAGATACTATCTTGTTGAATTGTGGAAATTATCTTTTTTTAAAAGAGTGTAAGTTCTTTTAAAGAGTTTTTCTTCCATATTAGATTTAAAGAGTATACATTCTTTTAAATAGTTGTTTTACTGGCATATCAGGCTTCCCTTTTCAATTTTGTTTTTAAGCTTTGTTGTGGCTGGTGTAGAATAGCGGTTACTTTTAGACTAACGTAGACCTTATTTTAATGCATGGTCTTTCTGGGATATTACATTTGCAGTGTGCAGCAAGGTTCTTCTCTCTGGTTGGTTAAAACTTCAACATTTCCTAGCAGAGGATAACCTGTAGAGTCTCTTTCAACTCAAATCTGCCAGTAGCTTTTCTTGGCCTCGTGGATTCTCACTTTAAGCATGCCTAGCTTACTTTTTAGCCAAATACTCAAGGGTACTTTCATAAAGATTGTGGAGCGTTCATGGCACAGCTTCTCCCAACCTAGTACCCTAACCCATAAATTTATGCACTTTCTGCAGCCCTAAATCCAGTCTTTATATCCTACACCAAGCAAAACTGAAGCTTTGTGTTTTGGCTTCACTTCAGTGCCATAATATGGAAAAATCCCCCAGGCAGAAAGATACCATAAATATAGAACTCACATCATGTACATCCCTCTTTTCTCAAGGATTACTCTTCTACTGCGTGTATGTAGTGCCTAAAATTAACTGCTTAATATATATTGTCAAGTTTTATAGTTATTTTAGAGAAGAGAGTAAGTTCAATTTCTATAACTTCATCACAGCCAAAATAAAATTTATTTCTATACTGTTTTCTATGCTATTTCCAATTTAATCTCATTAGGAGACTTGAGTGACCAAAACAATCTGTCTGTATTGGTTAAGCACATAAACCTTGGAAACAGCATTTCTAAGCTCAAATCTTGTGTGGCCATTTCTGAGTTGTAATACTTGGGCAAGTTACCTAGCCTTCCTGGGCCTCAGTTTTCTCATTTGTAAAATGAACATCATGATACTTCCGAACTCAAAAAGTTTTAGTGAAAGTTAAATACATTAATATATTATGGGGATATCAGCAAGATGACTGACTAGAGATGCCTGGTGTTCATCCACCACCCCCCAAACTCAAAAAAGAAGGGCCAAGGCAATGAATAAATAGTTAAGATTTGACTGGTGCTTTGAAGGGAGAGCACTAGAATGGAGCAAGAGAGTGGAGATGCACCTGTGGCTATTGGAAGTTCAGGAGAGGCACTAAGCCTCTGTAGCCCCTGCTCAGATCAGATCTACCTAGAGTCTGGAGGGACTTCTCATTGCTGGGAAAAGGTAAGCAGAAGATCTCCACTAGACCCCATTGTCACTGCAAATACCTACGGTCATTATAACAGAAAAATCACATAGTCATAGCAAGTCATAATCTGAGTAAAGAGCTTCCAGGAACTCATGGAACTGCATTGCCCCAGATTAGGAGCACAAAGTGTGTACTCCCCACACTCCATCCACGCCATGTAAGTGAAGCTGCTGCAGCAAAGTGCCATCTTGAGGGCAGAGATCTCTGGAGTGCACCTTGCTCTGGAATCCAGTAGCCACTGCAACTCTCCAGCACTGGAGCTTCATATTCCACCAAGCCCACTCAGGTGGCTAAACTCCACATCCCCAGAGGCACAAAGCCTTGGCCCAGGATCAGATGTGACTCTGATCCTGTATTGCAGGGAAACCAACCCTCACCACTGCACTTCTAGCTGAAGAAATAATCTGGCAGTCCCACCATGGATGAACCTGCTTTTAAGCTGGCCAAATTGCTGACCACTGTTCCTCAAGCAGGAGAGGCCCCTGAGCCTCCAAGCAACTGATAGGCCCCCATTGACTACATATCTATGATCAAGACCTGAGAAATAGCCCCACAGCAACCCTGCTCCGCAACCCACAGACAAGCCCTTGGCCTGTCTATATAAAAGATATATAGAACAACCAGAAAAAAGTAAATAAAACGGCAAAAGTATGTTCTCATATATCAATAATAACATTGAATATAAATGGATTAAATTCCACATTTAATATAGTAGATTGACTAAATGGATTAAAAAAAAAAAAAAAAAAAAAAAAAAACAAGCATGACCCAACTATATGCTGCCTACAAGGAACTCACCTCACCTGTAAATACATACACAGACTGAAAGTGAAGGGAGGGAAAAAGATATTTTACGCAAACAGAAACCAAAAGTGAGCAGGAGTAGCATACTTATATCAAGCATAGCAAACTTCAAGTCAAAAGCTGTAAAAAGACATAAAGAAGGACATTGTATAATAACAATGGGATTGATTCAGCAAGAGAGTATAATCATTGTGAGTATACATGTAACCAACACAGGAACACCCAGATATATAAAGCAAATATTATTAGAACTAAAGGAAGAGGTAGACACCAATACAATAATAGTTGAGGACTGCAGTACCTCGCTGTCAGCACTGGAGAGATCATCGGGACAAAAAATCAGCAAAAAAGCATTGGATTAAAACTGCACCATACACCAAATAGTCTTAACAGACATTTATAGAACACTTCACCCAACAACCTTAAAAAACATTCTTTTCATCAGCATACAGAACATTTTCCAGGGTTAAATATATGTTAGGACACAAAACAAATGTGAAAATATTTTTAAACATTGAAATCATATCAAATATATTATCTGGCCACAAGTAGACTACAATCTGACCAAAAGTAGACATTAATCACAAGAGAAATACTTGACCCTATACAAATATATGGAAATTAGGCAACATGCTCCTGAGTTATCAATGAGTAAAAGAAGAAATTAGAATAAAATTTAAAATTTATTGAAACAAATGAAAATACAAACAAAATCCATGGGGCACAGCATTAACAGGTGGGTTTATAGCAATAAATGTTCACATCAGAAAACTAAAACGTTTTCAAATAACCTTATGATGCATCTCAAGGAACTAGAAAAGCAAAAGCAAACTAAACCTAAATTTAGGAGAAGGAAAGAAACAATAAAGTTTAGAAGAGAAATAAAAAGACAAAAAAATGTAAAAGGTCAACAAAACATAACTTTCTTTTTGAAAAGATAAACAACAGTGACAAATCGTTAGCTAGACTAACAAAGAAATATCCAAGACCAGATGGCTTCTACCATCTGAATTCTACCAAACATTTAAAGGAGAATTAAAACCAATTCTTTTTGTACTATTTCAAAAAAATGAAAGCAAAATTTTCAGATTAGCAAATAGTATTTGTACATATTAATCAGGTACATAGTGATGTTTCAATTCATATGGTATATGGCTAAGGGTAACTAGAATATTCATCATCTCAAACATTTATTATTTCTTTGTGTTGAAAACAATCAATACCTTCCCTCTAGCTACTTGAAACTATATAATATATTGTTGTTAACTACAGTGATCCGACAGTGATATAGAACACTAGACCTTATTCCTCCTATCTAGCTGTGCACATTGACAACACTACCTAAAGCAATCTACAAATTCAATGCAATCCTTATTAAAATACCAATTATATTCTCCACAGAAGTAGGAAAAAAAATCCTAAAAACTGTATGACACCACAAAAGACCCTGAATAGTCAAAGCAATCCTGAGTGAAAAGAACAAAGCTGGAAGTATCACACTACAAGACGTCAAAATATAATACAAAACTGTACTAACCAAAACTGGATAATAGTGGCATAAAAGCAGACACATAGACCAATGGAAAAGAACAGACAACCCAGATATTAATCTACATCTCTACAGCCAAATGATTTTTGACAATGGTGCCAAGATCACTCATTGTTTAAACGACCATCTATCTCTTCAACACATGGTGCTAGAAAAAAACTAGATGCCCACCTCTTACCCTATGCAAAGATCAACTCAAAATGGATTACAGACATAAATGTAAGACCCAAAATGATAAAAACTATTAGAGGAAATTATATGGGAAGTGCTTCAGGACAGTGGTTGGAGAAAAGTTTTATGAATAAGACCTCAAAAGCATAGGCAAGAAGAACAAAAATAAACAAATGAGATTATATCAAACTAAAAAGCTTCTACACGGCAAAGGAAACAACCAAAAGACTAAACAGACAACCCACAGAATGGAAGAAAATATCTGCAAACTACTCATCTGACAAAATATTAATGTTCAGAATATACAAGGAACTCAAACATCTCAACAGCAAAAAATAAAAGTCTTATTTTTTAAATGGGAAACTGATCTGAATAGACATTTATCAAAAGAAGACATGCAAATGGCCAATAAATATATGAAGAAATGCTCAGCATCACTTAATCATCAAGGAAAGGCAGATCAAAAACCACTAGGAGGTATCAACTCTCCCCAGTTAGAATGGCTATCATCAAAAAGACAGAAAAGGTAACAAATGCTGGTGAGAATGTGGTAAAGGGGAACTCTTACGTTGGTGTGAATGTAAACCAGTGTGGAGAACAGTATTGGCGTGCCTCAAAAAGACTACAAATAGAACTACCAAATGATCCAGCAATCCTACTACTAGGCATTTGTCCACACACAAAAAAAGGGAAATAATATTGAAGCTACATTTATATCCACATATTTATTACAGCTGTATCCACAATAGCCAAGATATGGAATCAACCTAGGTGTCCAACAACAGATGAATGGATAAAGCGAATATGGAGTACTATTCAGCCATAAAAAGAATGAAATCCTGTTATTTTCAGCAACATGGATGGAACCAGAGGACATATGTTATGTGATTTAAATCAGAAAAAGAAAGTTAAACACTGCATATTCTCAATCATTTTGATTTCACAGAAGTAAAAAGTAGACAGAGGATACCAAAGACTGGGAAGAGAAGGGGAAAGGGAGGGATAAGGGGACTTTTGTTAAAGGATACAAAAGTACAGCAAGATAAGAGGAATAAGGTCTTGTGTTCTATACCACTGTTGGATAACTGTATTTAACAACACTATATTATACAGTTTCAAGTAGCTAGAGGGAAGATATTGAACGTTTTCAACACAAATAAATGATAAATGTATGAGATGATGAATATTCTAGTTACCTTAGCTATATACCATATGAATTGAAACCTCACTATGTACCCTATTAATATGTACAAATATTATTTGCTAATTTGAAAAATTTGTTTAATTCAGAAAAAAAAACTTTGCAGAATATGAGCCATCACAGCTCATTACCTTAATTCTGTTAGAGAAAAGCCTTCCCTCATGGTACTAAAGTTGTTAGCTACTTTGATGTGTAGCAATAGTTGTGAGTTTTATTTTCAGGTTTAACTACTATGTGGGGTATTTTAAACATATATGTGAACTTGGACTTTTCCTTGAAGGGACTAAGTATAATTAAATGGTCTGCCCATACAAATTTGTTCAAGCCTTGCAACACAGGTTCATGAAAATCTAAGAACTCTAAATTATATTTTTGACAACTCAGAAGAAAAACACAAACACAAATGAAATGTAAGAACTTTATTTTAAAAGTTGATTCCTTTAAAGTTCATATGGAATCAACTTTTAAAATAAAGTTCTTACATTTCATTTGTGTTTGTGTTTTTCTTCTGAGTTGTCAAAAATATAATTTACAATTCTTAGATTTTCATGAACCTGTGTTGCAAAGCTTGAACAAAAACCACAATGAGATACCATCTCACACCAGTTAGAATGGCAATCATTAAAAAGTCAGGAAACAACAGGTGCTGGAGAGGATGTGGAGAAATAGGAACACTTTTACACTGTTGGTGGGACTGTAAACTAGTTCAACCATTGTGGAAGTCAGTGTGGCAATTCCTCAGGGATCTAGAACTAGAAATACCATTTGACTCAGCCATCCCATTGCTGGGTATATACCCAAAGGACTATAAATCATGCTGCTATAAAGACACATGCACACATATGTTTATTGTGGCATTATTCACAATAGCAAAGACTTGGAACCAACCCAAATGTCCAACAATGATAGACTGGATTAAGAAAATGTGGCACATGTACACCATGGAATACTATGCAGCCATAAAAAATGATGAGTTCATGTCCTTTGTAGGGACATGGATGAAATTGGAAATCATCATTCTCAGTAAACTATCACAAGAACAAAAAACCAAACACCGCATATTCTCACTCCTAGGTGGGAACTGAACAATGAGATCACATGGACACAGGAAGGGGAATATCACACTCTGGGGACTGTTGTGGGGTGGGGGGAGGGGGGAGAGATAGCATTGGGAGATATACCTAATGCTAGGTGATGAGTTAGTGGGTGCAGCGCACCAGCATGACACATGTATACATATGTAACTAACCTGCACAATGTGCACATGTACCCTAAAACTTAAAGTATAATAATAAAAATAAATAAATAAATAAAAAAGTTGATAAAACTCAAATACAACATTTTAACTGTAATTTAGAAAGATACCTTGGGACATTTCAACAGCACAAGTGATAAATTACAGACTCCTGATGTGGATACTTTGGTCATATTTAAATTTATTTTGTTAAAGCATTGAGATAAAATTGAGATTAAAAATTAATGGAATATGAAACCAAAGGGTTAAAGATGAGTAATAAAATCAAGAGAAATTATTCTGGGCATTGAGAAATAAATAGTAAAAATGAAATATTTCAATTATAACAAAAATGGAATTCATTGAGAAGAGACTAATCATTTCACAATGTATATATATATAAAAACATCATCTTGTACACCTTAAATATATGTAATTTTGTCAATTATATCTCAATAAAGCTGAAAACAATAAAATTGCAAATGAAAGGAATTTATGAGCTTTTAAGTTATTTAATAATTGGTAGAATGAGTTATATAAGCTCATCGAAATATATTCAAATTTCTTTCTCATTTGATCTCAAACTGTTTTGACAAAGATGACATAAAACTCAATACATAATTACAATGAGTAGATTGGTAACTGAGTGCCTTCAATTCAAAGACTATGTAAGATTAGTAATTGTATAAGAAAACTTGGAATGTGATGAAATGCCTATGTAAAAAATATTTGAGAGAGCTTTCTGAAATTTGACAAAAATAGTATGTATATACACACATACACATACACACACAGATATAAATATATATACACACACATACATGTATATTGGTTATATACTTTTATATAGCCAATTATATATAGCCACAGTTTAAACTGTGAAAAAGTATAAAATAAATTTTCTAAACTATCACTAATAAAAAGTAAATACTGATGAATCAAACTATAGAAAACACTAAATTATCTTTCTATCTCTCTTTAGAAAATATTACAAACTATTCTTATATGAAGAGACCATTAAGGAGTACACAGCCATAAATTGTAAGAAAAAAAGTATGAAGCGGTGTGCCTGGCAGTTAATTAATAAAATATATATAATTGAAGAACCCAAATGTTATAATTACTTATTACTACCCAATAATCTTCTACAGACCAAACAAAAATCATAAACACAGGCAAATTGTTACTACCACGAGTCTGTTACATATATGATTATGTACCTATATTCTGTTTTCCAGGGAGAATTTCTTCCAACAGAAAGAAAAATTAAGTAAATTGGCATAAAGGCTAGCAACAAATTAGCCAGTAGTTTGTTGCTTGCTATTTCTTTGCTCCTGGTCTTCTCCAAATGGGTAAGCAAGTATACTCCATATATTTATGGTTAAGGTAGGAGGAAGATACCAACCATTTTACTAAGTATTAGCTCAAAAGTCTTCTATAGAACAAATAAATGCTGACATTTAATGAAAATTCTGATCAGTGCCAAAGCAATACAGAGTTTGTACCTTTGTCTGAGAATTAGGTGTTTGTTTATCTCATCTATTGCCTTATATCACAAGTTGCCCTGGTGGCTAAGCCTTTAGAAAAAAAATGCTATGTAGATGATTCTTCAATTTTTAATTCTACTCCTGACTGAGTTTAATTTCTTATCGTGTAGTTGATTCCTTATTTAAGTCCTCCTCTCACACCAGGACAACATACCTCCCCATGGAAAATTGGAATACAAGTCTTTATCCCTTCTGGGTTATTACAAACTTTTGCACCTCAACTTTCAGGCGGTTGCCACTAGAGTCTTCACTACTCTGGCTCCCCCTGCCCCTTAAAAAGGGAAAGAATTAGTTCTATTCCTTTTGGAAATGGGGAAATAGATGTTTTTGTTCATTCACCAGTACTATGGCCAGGCTACCTCTTACCTGATGACTATTACAACTTCACATAATAAATGTGAGATTATTTTTTTCTCCAAAGATCATCCACTCCATTGTACTTGAGACAAATGGAAGAAATAATCTTCTACATTTTAACATGACTCTTACATGCTATTTATAAAATAACTCTATTATGCTGAACATATCCATCTTCTGGCCCAGTATCAACCCAAATAAATTGAGAGTACCTCTGCTTAAAACTTGCAGATACGAAGAACGATCCTTACATTGTTTCTCAATGCAAGCCTTTGATTTCTCACCCAACAGCAAGCACAGGTGTTTTACTTTAACTAGCTTCAAGTCTCTCCTCTCCAACATCAACTACACCCTTGTAGGTCAAACTTTATCTTCTGCCTTTCCTTCTCTTTTGGCTTCCTCCCATCAATACTTAAATATGTTTAAGTCTCTCTCATCTAAGAAAAAAACCCGCTAAAATGTCATTGATCCATATGAAACTCCAACCATGTGTTGTATCTTTTCTGTCTTTTATAGCACAGCCTTTCAAAGTTTTCTTTGTAGTCTGCAGTCACTTTACAGGCACTCATCAATTCATCAATCTCTGGTTGTTGAATCTGTTACATAATATAAGTCATTTTTACCAGGGTAATAGTGAGTAAACCCACTGTTCCTTTCTCAGTCTTTTATGCAGCATTTGGTACTGTCTAAATGCTCTCTTCCTCTAGGTCTCTGAGTCTGTGTCCTCTTGATTGACATCTTACCTTTGGCTGTAATTGTGTTTCCTTCACTGGCACTTGTACTCCCTCTAATTAAATACTAGTGTTTCCTGAAGTTTGATCCTAAGCTATTTCCATAGACAACAATATTTTATCTCAGAAATTCAATTGCCATCTCCATAGTGCTCTCATTTTTTTTTCCTTGTTCCATAAGTTTCTTCAGTTTCAGACTAGAAATGCTTACTCCGTCTCAAAAAAAAAAAAAAAAAAAAAAAGAAATGCTTACCAAACGTTTACCCTTATAAGTTTACAGCCACCTCAAGCTTACCAAATCTCAAACTAAACTCATAATTCATTCATGGCTGTATCTTCTCATGTCCTCTGTCTCAGTGAGTATCACCATTGTCTTCCCATTTACCTACATCAGAACCCCAGGCATAATACAGAGCTCATTTATCTCCTTCTTTATATTTAATCAATGACTAAAACCTGTCAATTCTTCATCCAAGATATCTTACAAATCTGTTCATTGTTCTTAATATTCATCATTATTACTTTACAGGTATTGTCATCTTCTAACTAGAAAATACTAGTATAAATACTAATTCCTTTTCTTGCCTCATTTGGCCCTTATGGTATATAATGCTGCCCCAAAGATCTTCCATAAGTGCAAGCTTGTATCTGCTACCCACCAGCCGAAAACCTTTCCACAGCCCCTTCTTGTGGTAAGGAAAAGTCCAAACACTTCATCCTACTTACAAGGCTTACATGACCACATCCCTGCTTATTGCTGCAGGCTTATTTCTTATATATATCTCTTCGACTTATCTTCTGAGCATCAGCTATACAGAACTTATTTCAATTCGCCAAGCATGTCCTATACCTGCTTGCTTCCAAGCCTTGCCATGTGGTGCTCCCTCTTTCTAGAAAACCCCTCCCACTATTTATCCCTTTTCATCCCCATGGAGACTTGGTATCACTTCTTGCATGTTAATTTCTTATGGATATGTATGTACTTCTCTAAGTGATTTGGGATCTATCCCAAGCACTTTCATTTTATCCTATAATCTCCCTGTAAAGTTACATATATTATTTCCCTCTACTATAAATAATAAACAACATGAATACAGTACTTATACATTCCTTGTTCACCATTGTGTCCCACATGCTAGGCACAGTGCATGGTATATAAATATTATGTTTATATAATATATGAATGAATGAATATATGCATTAAAAATGACTTAGCAAAACATTTTTAAAACTTCCATGTTCTTCACCATGCCTTTCTTTCTGGCTTTACCACCTCCACATAGCCCAATATGGTACATTACACATGCAATTAGGGTTTCCAAATGGATTATGTTTTCTGCCACCTCTGTGTCTTTGCACACTCGCCCTCTCTGGAGTGCTCCCATATGGCTTCTTCACATGGACTACTCAGCTGAAACTTCAACTCTTCTAAAAACCAGTTTTTCCAAAAATTCACTGACATGTCATCCGCTTGACTCCTAACACCTGTTAGGCCATTTCTCTGTTAAATCACCTTTCACTACTACTACACAAATAAGATTCTTCTTTTCAAAGCTAGTGATGATATTTTGGTGTAACTTTTTATCAAATATCTAGCAGAGAAACTAACAAATAAGAACCAATCACTGTTTACTGAATAAAAGAGGGAAGAGGCAATCCTAATGACTCATGATGTTTTAGTGGCCTGATGGGTTAAAAAATTTTAGGTATGACGTTATATATCTGAACGTCAATTCTCAGGAGTAATTAAATAAAATAAAAATTACATACACATTAGCTTCCTTTACATTTCATGTTCACTAACGGTAAATTTTGTTGAACCATTTCTTCATAGTCAACAAAAAGGAACTATTTATATTTTAGAGTTGAGCAGTAAATCAGAACCTCTAAGAAATCTTACCTGATTTGAGTAAACCAAATTAGCCTTACTACCTTTATACCATGAAGAGAATTTCTGCTGCCAACTATATTTACATTAGATGAAATGAAAGGTGAAGGCTTCATTTATTCAACTACTCACCTGTTCCTCAGCAAGAACTTAATATCAGCCCAATTTTTTGGAAAAACTTATTTTGATTTAATTTTAAGGTATTTCAATATTTCCAGTTTTCAAATAACATTTTAACAATATTTGATGCCCTAAAAACTAAAAGAAAATGTATACAATAACATACACATGAAATAAGATATTCTCTAGATTTCTCTGAATCTCAAAACTAATTAATGAAGATTTTACAACTCAGAAAATAATTATTACTTGAGTTCTTAAAAAATAGAAGAAAAACGAAGTTGCAACAACATTTTTTTTTCTTACATACAAGGACAATTGTTATTCATTGCTTTCTTGAAGCAGTTGATGCATCTTTGGCATGATTAATTTTTCTTAACAGCTATATCATGTTTTGAATTTACTACATAACCAAGTTTTAAGCTTATAATGTTCCAAAGTTGAAAAGAGAACATAACTTATGAAGTGCTTGTAATACCTATATGTATGTTTGAAAATCATTAAGTAGTTGTTACTCTCTCTTCCCCAGCATCAATTACTCCACTCTAAATTTACTTACTCCACTCAATATAATGAGCTCCCAGAGCACGTTTCATTTCAGGGGAAAGTACACATTCTTCACTTGTGGTCAGTGGGATGTGGTTAATTTGAAATCACTTAAACTATTATATCTGTCAAGTGCAGTTATTTTATTTTCAATTCACATCAGTGTTTTAGTATGCATGTCAGTTACTAGGTCAAACTGACAGATTAATTCAGGAGCATTTTGTTGCAATGCTCTTCATCACTGTCATTGTATGTAGGCCACTACCGAAAATTAATACCTGCCCATTAAAATTGATTGCCAAAGATATCACCTTTAATGTAAACAATAATGTATAGATAAGAAAATGGTGCTAAATTAGCTATTATGGTTCACAGCTCCTATAGTATGGGCCATTCAGTTATGGAAAATATTTCAGGAATATTAAACTTTGAAAGCAACAAGATACTGAAAAAAGCTTTTGGAATGCTGTAATAGTCCTGGAAATAGTCTGGTGAGGCTTTTAGTATTATTTTAGTCTGTTGCTCCTTATTATAGCTAGGATTTCAAATGTGTGTGTGTTTGTGTGTGTGTGTGTGTGTGTGTGTGCAGGGAGAGAGAGACAGAGAGAGAGACAGAGAGAGAGACACAGAGAGAGAGAGAGTTGATTTACTTTAAGGCATAATATTTAAAGGTGAATATTGCATTGGAAAAAAGGTCTATGTTAAACTTGTAAAAAAAAATAGAGACACTGAGAAACTGGCTGGGTCTATCTCAATAATAAATAGCCATGAATTAATAAAAAGTAATAGAATTTAAATGAGCATTTGGAAAATATACTGCCACAATAGCATACATGCTGCATTAGTAAACTGTATTTTTGCCACATGTAGCCATGCTTTCATCATTTTATAATACTGCCAACAATACTGAGCATTTGATAGTGAACAGGTCTACAGTTTTCTTGGGAGTTGTATAAATAAGGTGAAGCTTTGATTAATATTATATAGTAGCAAAGATATAAAATTCAAAACAACAACCATAAAAACTTATCAAACACTAAAAAAATTCATTTCCTCATAAAAGAAGAACTATATACTCTGGAAATAGTGCTTTGAAGTTACACCACTTTTATTAAAGTGGTAGTACAACAGGAAATACAGCATAACCTTTATTCACAGGCACCCAGAGCTGAAACCTTCAAACATCTATGCAAAACTGGAAACTACACAAAAAATAACTAGGCACAGCCCAAGAAGACCCAGAAATGTAGTATAGAAGCAACCCCCATGAAACCTTTTGGCCATGGCAGAAACACCAAAAGATGTTACTTTGAAAGACTATGCAACACTGCATCAAGAATGAGAGCGCAATGAAGTATTCCTGGTAGAAATTAGTGAAATCTTTCTTATCTGGGAAGTGTGGATCAGCACTCTCCATATCGCTTTCCTGATAATTCAGAAATATTCTGCTTCTGACCTGCAAGCTTTGATTCCTTACAATATGTGTATCTTTTCAGTACGCTAATCCAGTCAGTAAATCATCAGCTACAGTGCAACAAAAGTGTAGTTTTAAATTAAACCAATTAACAAAAAACCTTGACTCTTCTCATTAAATTCTGAAATTCTTGTGTTCTACCTGTGTGTTCTTTGAAGAATGTGTTTTTAATATTCTGAATTAATCCGTGTAGCGAAATATTGAGAAGAGCAAATCTAACTTTGTTTTTAAAATATATTTCTAGTTCATTTGACATTGCTGATTAAGTTCTAGTGGCTAGTTCAAAAGTATACACTTATGGAACAGAAAAGGGTTGAAAAATAAACATCATTCAAACTATCTTAATCCTATAGTAAATAACTGAGTTTATAGACTAAAAGCAGTTAACTAAAAAATCCTTAATTTTTGAAGTCGACACAGTTATACTTGAGAGCCCCAACATAAATTTCTATTCACATTTGTTTCTTTGGAAAATAATTTAGTAGGATGATAATTGGTACACTGTTACTAAAGGGTTTGAGAAGCACAGAATTAAAACTGTTAAACTGCTTTTTTGTGTTTGGTATGGATTTTACTGTGCTATTATGCACATATTATGCATATGCATATGTGCTAACATAATACGACTTTTTTGTAATCTCAGAAAATCATACTTTGGGGCAATATACAAAACATTTATCTCTAGTAATGTTAGTAAATATGAGGGTTAACCCAAGTTAATTTACGGAGTTACCTCTAACCCAAAGGTTCTCAATGTTATTCATGAGAATCTTCTGTGAGGCTTTATTAAAAATGCCTGCAATACATCCAGATCTATTGAAGAGGAGCAATGGGGTAAGGTCTTTAATTGTATAATTTTAGTAAGTTCGATAAAGGATTCTCAAGTTAACTCTTGTTTAAGAAACACTGCTCTGAATATTGTTGTTACTTTCTCTCCAAGATTCATCTCCATTTATATCTCTATAGCTACCTAATCATATTGTTTACATGTTGTAGCTCTAGTCTTCCCTTACAAGCCAGATTAAGATGGCAATATTCAAGACAGTCTTGAATAAAAGCACCTACTAACAGAAAATTTGTAAAATTAGATGCTCTAACAGAGTTTATATCAATCCCCAAAACTTGAAGCTATAATAAGGGCATTAAATACATAATAATAACATGAAGATAAAATATAATTCTCTAACAAATCAAGCTACCTTTCTCTTTCAAAATCCAACTTAAGACTTTCAGTTTTCAGTTCTGCATGTAAGTATCCTGGAAGTTGCCACTCCTTTCTAACAACTAGTGAAAAGCTGAACAGACTGAAAAAACCAAGAACTCTTCTTGAATTCATAAAAGAGGTAAGGACACAGGGCAAACTTCTACACCTAAAATTGGGAGAAAGACAGGTGACTACAGGGAGTCACAGCTTACCAGAACAGAAACTCATGAGTGGAAATCACTTCAGGAGCCAGTTCTGGATTAGGAAAACTTGAACTGTAATTGATGAGTTGCTGGAGGCTTGGTGTGGAGAGTATGAGAATTAAAAACTCCATGAAAACTCAGTTATTGTGGGGGTCCCTGCACATTTGTGAGTTTTACCTACAGAAGTCAACCAGGTTCTCAAAGTAAATAGAGAAAAATTCCCTTGTGCTTTCAGCAGGAGAGGGGCAAAGGAACTATTTTGAAATATGCCAGAGCACCCAACTTCTTAACAAGGCCTGCCCTCAGGAGAATGTATTTAACCAGGGCCTAATCTCCTGGTGGTTTTATCAGAGCCTAACAGACTCAGAGGAAGGGAGAATACCCAACTCCAGCCAGTTTTAGACATCCTGTCTCACCTAAGGGAGGTGGGAGAGACTAGAAAATACTTGTGAATTTCACAGTCCAGCAGCTATGATTAGGTCTCAATAAAAGACTGAAACTCAGTCATAGGTCCAGCAAGTACTTTCCCTCCCCCGCCAAACACCTTACCACCATATTACTAAAGGTCTATTTATAGCAGTTCTTTTTGCCTGGTATATCATGTACAGCTACCAAGAAAAAATTACAAGGCATACTAAGAAACAAAAAACACAATTTGAAGAGATAGAACCAGTCCTGGCAGGGATGCTGAAATGATCAAATCAGTATTTAAAACAACTATGGTTAATACGTTAAGAGGTTTAATACATAGCACAGACAGCATGCAAGAACAGATGGGCAATATAAGCAGAGAAATGAAAATTCTAAGAAAGAACCAAAAACAAATGCTACAGGTCAAAAACACTAATGGAAATGAAGAATGCCTTTGATGGGCTCATTATTTGTGTGAACGTGGTTGAGGAAAGAATCTCTGAGCTTGAGGATATATCAGTAGAAACCTCCAAACTGAAAAACAAGGAGAACAAAGTCGGGGAATAAAATAGAAAAAAAAATCCAAAGACTATGAGAAAACTACAAAAGGTGCAACATATGAATAATGAGAATATCAGAAGGAGGAAAAAAAAGAGCAAGGAATAGAAGAAATATTTAAAATGATAATGACAGAATTTCTTCCCAAGTAATGTCAGATTATAGCTCTTGAAGGCTCAAAGAATGTCAAGCAAGGTAGATGCAAAAACCACGAAACGAAACAAAAACCTACACCCAAGCATATCATTTTTAAACTACAGACAGAAAATAAAAAAAAAATCTTGAAAGAAGCCAGAGGATAAAAGACCTTACCTATGGAAGGATGAAGATGAGAATCATACCTGACTTCTCCTCAGAAACTATGCAGGCAAGAAGACAATGGAATGAAATAGTTAAAGTGTTGACACAGACAAAAACATCAATCTAGAATGCTGTACTGTGAAATTATCCTTCAAAGGCAAAAGATAAATAAAGACCTCTCACATGAACAAGGTTTGAGGAAATTTGTTGCTAGTAGACCCGTCTTAGAAGAAATGTTAAAACAAGTTCTTTAGAGACAAGGAAAATGAGACAGATCAGAAACTAAGATTTACAAAAAGAAAGGAACACTAAAGAAGGGATAAATGAAAGTAAAGTGAAAACTTTTATTTTTCTTATTCTTAATTGATCTAACAGATAGTTTCTTTAAAATTATAACAGCAGCAATGTATTTGATATGCACACATTTATATCTTCTCTGTGTATATATATTTACATATGTTTATATATAATAAAATAAATGACAGAAATTGTAAGAGGAATACATGGGGAAATTAGGATTATTTTGTTATTATATAGTACTCACACAACCTGTGAAGTTATATGGTGTTATCTGAAAGTGACCTTAGATTAGTTGTAAATGTATATTGCAAAATCTAGGGAAGCCATTTTTTTAATTTATAAAAGAAGTATAACTGATATGCTAAGAAAGGAGAGAAAATAGAATATGAAATGCTCACTTAAAACCAACAAAGAGCTCATACTCGTAATCCCAACATTTGGGAGACTGAGGCAAGAGGATTGCTTGAGGCCTTGAGTTTGAAACCAGCCTGAGCAACATAATGAGACCCCCATCTCTACAAAAAAAAAAAAAAAAATAGCTTGGCATGGTCATATGCACCTGTAGTCCCAGCTACTTGATGGCTTAGGTGGAAAGATTGCTTGAGCCTGGGAGGTTGAGGCCATAGTGAGCCATGATCACACCACTGCACGCCAGCCTGGGCAAGAGAGACCCTGTCTGAAAACACACACACACACACACACACACACACACACAATAGAAGAAGAGTGGAAGGCAAAAATAGGAACAAAGAACAAGAGCAACCAATAGAAAACAGTAACAAATGTGATAGATATTAGTCCAACCATATCAATAATCACTTTGAACATCAACAGTCTAAATGCACCAATTAAAAAACAGATACTGTAAAGTGAATGAAAAGCAAGACCCAACTATATATTGCCTATAAAATAAACCCACTTTAAGTATACAGACATATTTAGTTTAAAAGCAAATATATTAAGAAAAATATACCATACTAATACTAATCAAAAGAAAGTAGAATTACTATATTAATTTCAAACAGAGCAGACTTCACAGCAAGACAAATTATCAGAGATAAAGAAAGGCATTACATAATAATAAAGAAGTCAGTCTCCAAGAACACATAACAATACTTAACATGTAACAACAGACCATCAAACTATTTGAGAGAAAAACTGATAGAACTGTATGGGAAAGATAAATCCACTATTACAGTTAAAGATTTCAACACTCTTTTATCAGAAATGGACAGATACAGCAGGCAGAAAATTAAAAAGGGTATAGTTGAACTCAACAACACCATCAATCAACTAGATATTATTGACATTAATAAACTACTCAATAGCAACAGAATACACATTTTCCTCAAGCTCACATGGAATGTTCATCAAGACAGACTATATTTTGGGCAGTAAAACACATTGTAACATATTTAAAAGGTTAGAAATAACACAATGTCTTGTCTCAGACCACAATAGAATTACATTAGAAATCAATAAGAGAAGGATAACTGGAAAGTTTCAAAAGTTGTAGAGACTAAGTAACACACTTCTAAGTAACACATGAATCAAATGAGAAATTTCAAAAATAATTTTTAAATATTTTGAACTAAATGAAAATGAAAAAATTTATCAACTTTTTGGGATGGAGCAATATCAGAGCTAAGAGAGAAAATTATAGCACTGAATGAATATATTAGAAAAAAAACAAAGATCTAAACATCAATAATCTAAATTTAAACCTTAGGAAACTAGAGAGAAAAAGAGTAAATTAAAATCATAATAGGCAGAAGGAAAAAAAGAATTAGACCAGAAATCAATACATTTGAAATCAGAAAATCAGTGGAGAAAAATTAACAAAACCAAAAGCTCATTATTTGAAAAGAACAATATAATTAATTAAACTTTAGCCAGCCTAGCTAAAAACAAAGAGAGAGAACACAATTATTAAAATCAGTAATGAAAGAGGGGCAACATTATAGATCCCATGGACGCTAAACAGATCATCAAGAAATACTATGAATAAGTCTATGTCTACAAATTTGATAACCTAGATGAAATAGATCAATTCTTGAAAGATACAATCTGCCCAAAACTCTGATATAGCCAATCTGAATAAAATTATATCTATTAAATAATTTGAATCAATAATTAATAAAGTTTCAAAACAGAAAGCACCAGGCCTAGATGGGTTCACTTGTAAATTCTACCAAACATTTAAGGAAGAAATTTACCAATTCTTGGTAGTCTCTTTCAGAAGATAAGAGTAGAGGGAAGGCTGGGTGCTGTGGCTCAAGCCTGTAATCTCAGCACTTTGGGAGGCTGAGGAGGGCAGATCATTTGTCATCAGGAGTTTGAGACCAGCCTGGCCAACATGGTGAAACCCCATCTTTACTAAAAATATAAAAAATTAGCTGGGCGGGGTGGCTCACACCTGTGGGAGGGGAGTGATGGGTGGAAGTTGCAGTGAGCTAAGATTGTGCCACTGCACTCTGACTTGGGCAACAGAGCAAGAATCTGTTTCGAGAGAAAGAGAGAGAGAGAGAGAGGGAATTCTTTCTAACTTTCTCATTCTATAGGGCTAGCATTACCTTAATACCAAAAAAAAAAGAAGTCAAAGATATTATAAGAAAAGAAAATCACGGACCAACATCTCTCAGGAACAAAGATGCAAAAATCCCCAACAAAATATTAGCAAATCAAATCCAACAATGTGTTAAGGGAATTATGCACTATAACAAAGAGGGATTTATACCAGTTATGCAAGGCTGGTCTAACATTTGAAATCAATGAATGTAATCCATCACATCAACAGATTAAAGAAGAAAAATTGCATAATTGTATAAATAGATACAGAAGATGCATTTGACAAATCCAACATCCATTCATGAATTAAAAAAAAACTCTTAATAAACTATTTCTAATTTAAATTATTATTTTAAAAATATGTTTATTTTAACTTTCCTGAAAAAATACATTTTTGTTTTCATTCCTTTTAAGCTGTGACCATTCACAAAGTCAACAGAACAGTCTACTCTAGTTTATCAGGTTATTTATAGTTGAAGACTGCAGACTACATTAATGGCAACTATACTTTGAAAAAGACAATTATTTTCACTGGTAGCAGAAAAATCTATTTTGACTATACCTTTTGTCAGCTGGTTAATCATATTTTAAGAGTTATCTTAAAATATAATCTCCCCAAAATTAAGCTAAACATTTAATAGCCAAACTTTCAATAACAAATAAATGTACCAATTCATTGATAATAAGTATTTGCTTGTGGTACATGGAGGATGCTCAAATAGGTGTTGTAATTTCATGGTCATGAGACTTAAGCAAACAATATACAAAAATATTACGTGTATTTGCTTTAAAAATGAAACCTAACTATCAAAGTACTTAAATCGTAAAATGATACATTTCTGTGGCTTCTTTTCTCTCTGACACTTGGCATGTAAACTTGTTGTTTCTTCCAAAATATTTGATTAAAGCAAAAACATCATTTACTTAATTAGAACGAGTCATGTCAATACTGCCTTTAAAAAATGCTAGAATATTGTTCTTGTGAATACCGAATCAAAATAGAACAAAATGCAAAACTTCCAGAAAGTTAATATCAAAGTAATGACCTTCATAATATTAATTATGACATATTTTACGTGTTCTATTAAATTTCTGTTATCTTAAAATATTAAAAACTGCCTTAGTCTGATTTCCAGAATCTATATGGAACTTAAATCAAAAAGCAAAAAACAAATCACCCCATTTAAAAATAGATAAAGGACATGAACAGAAACCTCTCAAAAGAAGACATAAAAGTAGCCAACAAACATGTTTTTAAAAATACTCAGCTTCACTAAGCATCAGAGGAATGCAAATTAAAACCACAACGAAATACCATCTCACACCAGTCAGAATGGTTATTATTAAAAAGTCAAAAAATAACAGAGGCTGGTTAGACTCCAGAGAAAAGGGAATACTTATACACTGTTGGTGGGAATGTAAATTAGTTCAGCCACTATAGAAACAGTTTGGAAATTTCTCAGAGAATTTAAAACAGACCTACCATTTGACCCAGAAATGCTATCATTGGATATATATTCAAAGAAAAATAAATTATTGTACCAAAAAAGACACATGCAACCATATGTTCGTCGCCACACTATTCACTATAGCAAAGACATGGAATCAATCTATGTACCCATCAATAGTGGGTTGCATAAAGAAAACATGGTACATATACACTGTGGAATACTATACAGCCATAAAGAATGAAATTGTATTTTTTTGCAGCAACATGGATGGAGCTGGAGGTCATAATACTAAGTGAATTAATGAAGAAACAGAAAACCAAATACTACATGTTTTCACTTATATGTGGGAGCTAAACATTGAACACACATGGACATAAACCTGGGAACAATAGACATTGTGGGCTACTAGAGGAGGGAGGAAAGGAGTAGGGCATGGGTTGAAAAACTACCTATTGGGTACTATGTTCACTACCTGGGTGCAATATGCCCATGTAACAAAACTGCACATGTATCTCCTTATCGAAAACAAAAGTTTAAAAAAATGCCTTTGGGAAAAGCCTTCAAGACCAGTTTACAAATCATTTGAGAAAAGCAGCTTTATTAAGATAACAGTAGCCACTTTTAATGGTTATTGTATATTATGGAAATTGGCAATAAATGTAGCTATGTTGGTAAAATAAACTTTAAGTTGAAAAATATTAGAGGTAAGACCTAAAAAGAAGGGATAATATGAACTTATCTAAGGCTAAGTACCCTTACTGACTGATTTGTTTGGGAATTTTTTAAATACATAAATATCTTTTTAGCTGAATTTTTTCATTGAATTTTAGTTTTATAATATATATTTTAAACTCAAGAGTAACTGCACTTTTACCCATCTCTAATACAATATTTCCTTTCTCTAAGAAGCAGAACAATTTCAGAATAATAACTTTCAGTGAAATCAATCAGCTGATAAAAATGGCAGGTTCACACCTCTGGTAGGAGTACAGTGTTGATGAAGACAAGTTCACAGGTTTGATCCCTAAGTGGGCCAATTTACTTTGCTACAGGCAGTCCCTCAGACCCAGGACTGACATCCTGAAAATGGGAGCCATCAGTCATAAGGAAAAAGTATAGGTGAAGTAGACCTAACTTATCCCCACTGTGGGAGAACAACTCCAAATACAAACCAGCTAAAGGTTATGCCATGGCATTTTTCTTGTAAATAAAAGAGGGAACTTGGCTGGGCTTGGTGGTTAAGACTGTAATCCCAACACTTTGGGAGGCTGAGGCAGGAGGATTGCTTGAGTCTGGGAGGTCAAGGCTGCAGTGAATCCTGATTGTGTCACTGCACTCCAGCCTGGGCAACAGAGCAAGACTCTCTCAAAAAAAAAAAAAAAAAAAAGAGGGAACTTTCTTCCAAATGTAGTCATTGGCCCTGGTCAGAATGTAAATCTGATCTCCAGAAACGTACTTTAAGATCAAGTATGTCAACAATTACTGAACTAGTAATGAATTATTAGATAGATGTGGGGAGACACCAAAATAGTGTATGAATTTATTTATAATATATTCTTTACCAACTTCCCATAAAGATTGGCTGCTGCTCAAAAAGAAAATACAGCTACTAGCTAAGAAATTATGGTAATAGATTGGATAGAATAAAAATCATCAAAGCATTCTGTGTCAAAGTTTCATTTCACTCATTAATGTGGGAACTAGCAAGATGACAAAGTAGTTCCAAACAGTATTTGAAAAACAGAAACTTTTAGTCAGTAGGAAAAAAGAAAAACCTGAAATAAAGTGCCAAATTAGACACAAAGTTGGTAAAATTACAGGAAAACAAAACCATCACGCCTTACCAGTTTTACAGAAGTATAAAAAATGCCCTTAATCTGTACTGTAAACAAAGCCATATTCTGTTAGAGAATATTAGAAACATCTGGGAAGCTTTTTAAGCTGCCAATAAGTATGTCTTACCTCTGATATTCTCATTTAGTTGGAAACAGGTGAGGTCTGAGTAGAAGGAGTTTTAAAACCTCTCCAGGTGATTTTAAGATGCAAGCAAGTTTGAGAACCACTGCGTTAGAAAGAGACATGGACTTTTACATGGGTTTTCAAAAATTTGCCCTAGCATCTTGTTACTCAAAATGTGGCTTATGATTCAGGAGCATTGATACCACCTGAGACTATTTAAAATTGAGTATCTGGGGGCCCCACCCCAGATGCACTGAATCAGAATCTACAATCTGAAAATATTTCCAGGTGATTCAGGAGCACATTAAACTTCGAGAGGCACTTCTGTAACATGATATTGAAATGACTGTAATCATCTTTTTGCCTCATTTCCAAGTTTTAGGAAACTTTTCCTGGGATAACACCAACATGAAACTGCCACCATACTGAAACACTCAAAATTTTAAAAATTGGTAAATATCACTAAAAAGACCTCAGGTAGCACTTTAAAGATAAGAATGTCTGTGGTAAAGGGAGTCAGCTGTAAGCTGGAAAGTCTGAACTAAATCAGTCAATGGTCCCACTTCCAAGGATTCTCAGGTACCAGTTGAACCTGGGACAATCGGACTAGAAATATTTAAGATAAATACATAGTTGCTTAAGGAAGCCTAAAGTTAAGATCATGTTTTATGTAGCCATCAATCACCTTTACTAAGAGCTGCTGGGAACTTGGGGCTGGCAGATTCCACATGTGTCCATTGTTTGAATGCCTAATTAGGGAAAGGTACAAAAATTTCAATGAAAGTGTTTTAAGCCACTTACCCAGCGTCTAATTGTTAAAATTTTGATGGTCCACGTGTAAATGCAGACTTAGTTTTAACTCCGTTCTGTAAAAGCCTGGAAGGAAATTCGCTGCCTTTTGACTATTAAAATTAGGGGCATAGTATTCAGGCAACAGTACCTTCTGTATGACTATTGACACTCATATTCTCTTTTCTTTAAATAACTCAGGAAGAGAAACATTTTCCAGAGATTGTTCAATGATTCAAGGTCCTTACACATAATCAATAGGGAAATGGATCAAATAAAGGGGTCCTAGTTGCCAATTCTTGAATTTTTCTTAATAAGAGGAATATGACAAAAGAGAAAGTAAGAACTTTCTGAGGAAATGTTCTCTTTGTATGGTAGAAGATTCTCTGCTGTTGAAAATGGATGCATTATGCTAAGAAGTCACACTACAAACATGTTTAATTCATTCATTTAATTCAAAAATATTAAATTTATCCATGCTCGTTATAACGGCAGGCACTCTGGTAGCTACTAGACATACAATATTAAGTGATACTATATATTTGCCACTCTCATAGAGCTTACAGTCCAATGAGACAGACAGTAGACTAATAGCAATAGCAACATGAACAATAAAAATTAATTAAAAGTTAATAAAAGTGCTGGGAAAGCAAAAAGAGCATGTCATGGTAGAGAACACTGCAGCAGGGGCTACTTCAGTAGGGTATTCAGAACTTCTCCCATTCAAAAGACACTGTGCACTATTGTAGAGAAAAAAACATAGCAACCTGCCCCCTCTCACAGCTCAACTGAGACCTAGTATTTCCTCTGAGAAACATCATTTCCAACTTTTTAAAATCAAAGCAACATTTACCATTCTTTGGTCTGACCCCACCGTGGAGATATGTTTCAAATTTTACAGATGCTGATTTAGTGTCCTATCCGCAGATTTAGCATCGCCTCTGGAGGATAGGTCCTACACCAGAGTTTTTAGTCAGTCAGTTATAAACTCCACTCTCCTGATATGCAAATAATTTCAAGCCTGCTATTTTAGCATTTTAGTATATTCTCTTACCCACACCAATCATTTTATAGAAGGTTTCTCAACAGTTGCACTATTGACATTCTGGGCCAGAAAAGTTTTTATGGAGATAGGGGCTGTCCTGAGCTCTGCAGGATATTCAGCAGCATCCGTGACCTCTACCCACTAGATGCCAGTAGCACCTATCCCCTCCGTAAGTTATGACAGCGAAAAACATCTTGACATTGCCAAATGTGCCCTGGGCTGGCGGTCAAAATCTGCTCCCCTACCCCTATTGAGAACCACTGAATTAATACTTTTGCTACTCTGTTGCTAGGTAGAAATACTGATTTAATTAGAGATTTAAACTACTCAAGACAGGTTCTCTCTGAGTTTTATATAGATTACAGAGTTTAAGACCTCATGATAATTAATACTGAAAAAATCTTTTGTTACTTATTAAAACTAAAACCTCATTAAAACAGCTAAATTTAAATGTTGAAAAATTAAAATGCATCAGAGCCTGGAGTCAAGTGTTTAAATAAACAGCTGAAGGTGCTTTAGGGGCACTCCTCCAGGACACATGCTGGACACCGAGACAGGTAAGCATCTTGGCCACTGGATTTCCCTCCATTGCTGAAATCTCTGCCACTGCAACAAAAGAACACTTTACAGCTCACCACCTGTCAGTGACGAGGATTATTCTGCTATCCTTATTACATAATTCCCAGGTCTTCCGCACTTTTGATTCTAAACAGATGAAGCTGGAAGAAAAAGAAAAAAGGAAAGAAGAAAGTTGTAAGATGGATACAGTTGAATGAAGCATAGACTGAGATCACTCCTGTTAGGGATGTAACTTCTCACATAAAGAAGTAGAGAAAGCTCCTTCCCATCCTTGCTTGAGTCGAGAGTTTATTAAATTAATTTGCATATAATGGTTAATTTACTAATGAACAATTTTTCACAAACTGTTCCAGTAGCACTTATCAATTTGTGACTTCTCCTTATGCCGTAGTAAAATCTTCAAAAACTTACTCTTAGAGTATTTTGACAAGACGGCTGGGCGCGGTGGCTCATGCCTGTAATCCCAACACTTTGGGAGGCTGAGGCGGGTAGATCACGAGGTCAGGAGACCGAGACCATCCTGGCTAACACAGTAAAACCCCGTCTCTGCTAAAAATACAAAAACAAAAAATTAGCCAGGCATGGTGTGGGGCGCCTGTAGACCCAGCTACTCAGGAGGCTGAGGCGGGAGAATGGCGTGAACCCGGGAGGCGGAGCTTGCAGTGAGCCGAGATTTTGCCACTCCAGCCTGGGCGACAGAGCGAGACTCTGTCTCAAAAAAAAAAAAAGAGAATATTTTGACAAGATGTTAGATCACGGATGTACAGTAAAGAGTACGATGAATATTTAAAATTATGTAATTCTCAGAGCAATTTTTAAAGAAAATAACTATTATCTGTTTAAAAATATTTTGCCTGGGAGTATAATATGGTATAAGTATTTTTCAGAACTGTTTGGCTATCTCTTACAAAGTTAGATTACATGTACCTATGATCAAATAAAATGAAAACATATATCCCAGAAAAGACTTGTATAAAAATGTCCACAGCAGTCTTATTTGTAATAGCATAAAACTGGAAACAACTAAAATGTCCATCATCAGGAGAACGATATACTATCATTTTGCATATGTAAAATGAAATATTTACCTCTCAATAAAAAGGAAAAACTACTGATGTATGCAGTGTGATGTAATCATGTACACTGTAGAAATAATGCTGATAAAAAGCGAAACAAAGTCATTTATATAAAACTCTTGGCAGGCAAAACTAATCTATGATGATTGGAGTCAAGAAACAATTACATGTATATGAGGGCAGGGAATTAACTGCAATAGGACACATGAGAATTTTGTGGGGTCATGAAAATATTTCATATCTTATTTTTAAAGAGTCGCATTAGTTTATATAATTGTCAAAACTCATAAAATTGAACAACTGAAAATCGTGCTTTATTGCATGTAAATTATAAATTATAAAACAATATAAAATGTATTACCTACTTATATTAGAATATACAAAAAGAATAGACAAAATCATAATTTTTTCACCTGAATATTATTGTCAAGCTGTTTGAGAATATCTTTCTGTTTGTTTTAATTATTTTTTCAGATTTCCCGAAACTTTAAACATAGAATTATCCCAGGGCTCAGTCCCTGAATGTTCTTTCTTTTCTATTTGTACTCACTCTTTTTGTGATCTCATCTTGTCCGATGGCTTTTAATGTTATCTTTATAGTAATGGTTTTCACAGTTCTTTTCTGTCTACTTGACACTCATGTAAATGTCTAATCAATATCTCAAAATTTATCTAACAATGAGACCCTAAACTTTCCACCAAATCAACCCTTAACTCATAGTTTTTCCATTTCAATGAAAAAAACTGATTCTTCCAGTGGCACAAGCCTAAACCTCAAGTTCATTCTTTACTCCTCCTTTTCTCCAATTCACATATTCAGGAATCCAACCATTTTTCACTCCTTCAAATGCTACCACTCTATTTTGCGCCACCAGTACTTCCAGTCTGGATTATTACATGGCTAACTAGTTGTATTAGGTTGTTCTTTGCATTGCTATGAAGAAACACCTGAGACTGGGTAATTTATAAGGAAAAGAATTTTAATTGACTCATGGTTCTGCAGGATGCAGGAAGCATGGCACCAGCATCTGCTTGTCTCCTGGTGAAGCCCTCAGGTAGCAGGCACATCACATGGCAAGAGCAGGAACAAGGTTGGGGGGAGGTGTCACACACTTTTAAGCAAACAGATCTCATGAGAACTCACTATCATAAGGACAGCACCAAGACATGAGGGAACCACTGCCATGATCCAAACGCCTCCCACAAGGCCCCATGTCCAAAATTGGGGATTACATTTCAACATGAGAATTGTGCAGGAGACACCCCCACATCACTAGTCTCCCTGCTTCCACCCTTTCTCCTCTACAGTCTGTTTCCACACAGCAGGCAAAATGAACCTATGAAAACTAAGTCAAATCAAGTTACTCCTCTGCTGAAAATCTTTTAATGGCCTCTGCCTTGATTCGGAGTACAATGATGTGAAGGCCTTATGAGATTTGCCTGACCCAACCTCCTTCACTTACCTCTTCATTTTCATCTACTTCTACTGTCGTCCTTAATCCTCTCCAGCTATAGCTCATCTTCTTGTCCCTTGAAGACACCAGGTATGCAAACACTTCAGGGCCTTTACATCTCCTGCTGCATCTGTCTGAAAAATCTTCCCCAAGATGTCTACATTACTCACCATTTCCTCTCCTTTAGGTCTTACTTAAATGTCATCTTCTCTGTGAGGCCTTTTCTGGCCACTCTAGCTAAAATTGCAAACTCTCTTCTTCCAACATCCTCAATGCCTAGAATGACCATATTATTTGTGCTTCAGTGTAAGTGACTTGGCAATGTTCTTTGGATTTGCATTATCAAATCCTCTACTTTCTTTCCGTTTATGGAGTTGAACTCAAAAGGGAGTTAGGGAGATACACAACAATTAAGGCAAAAGAATGTGTATTCTCTGTAAACAAATCTGAATGTGGGTTTTTAAGTTCAAAAAAAAAATAAGTGGCAGAAAAGGAAGTTGACTTAAAAATAAAAACCTGGATATTTGCACAGGTTTTGGAGGCCCTTAAGCTTCTCTATCAAAGAAGCTTGTTATTATCTAATTGTGAGGAAAATATGAAATATTCACTAAGTAAATAGTTATTGCTTATCTATTAATTAGAAGTCAAAGAATTTGGTAATAGTATGAAAGAGACATTATGACAAGATGGTGAGGGAAGGAGCAAAAGCACCTAAACCATACCAGGCCCTGCCACCATTTCTCCTGTGTCCCAAAATGGTGTATCTCCAATTCACCCAGCTTGCTCCTACCACAGCACTTGCACACCAGAGAACACTGCTATTTCATCTATAAGGATTAAGTATGGGAATGCCTAATTCTTCTACTTTAGTACTACAACCAGTAGTAAAGACATTCAAAATTCATTCACAGAAAAAATGGAAAACGTAAATCACAATGAGGTAAATAAAGGCAAATAACAGAGAAACAAGAAGGTAATTTCATAAAATGGAAAGCACAGTGTTGACACAAAAAAGAATTCTAATAACTTTTTTATGACAATAAGTCTTTATTTTTCATATAGAATGCCAGTGCAGGTAACCATCAGAAAACATACTGCTTTTTTAAAATATACAGAACTGAAAAAAAGAAAAATTTTAGCAGGGTACCTTACTATACACAGAAATCTAATGAACATCTTCAGGCACTACGACTAGGACGTAAAATAGTTAATGTTATTTGTTGATACATTATGAATCACTAAGCATTATTATTACAGGCTATCTTTACCTGAAAGCAGAATTACAATCATTCTGACAGCACTGGGTAATTCTAAAATGTAGGTCTAGTGAAAAGTATGTACAGCCAGCCAGCAAGCAAGGAACAGATGCCATGTCATTTTCTGAAGGGACAGACTGATTTGGAACCTGGCTCTGTAGATTTTAAGAATTTATATAGCCATCTTAACAGCTTAATATTGAGATTCCCTCACTGTGTATGTTGGCAACCAGCAAAAGTGAGAATTTCTGTAACATGATCTAAATAGGTCTAGGATTAAAAATGAGAACACCATCCATATGACAGAATTGCTTCTTCACAACTGACAACAATTGTTGCCCAGTTCTCACCTGTTGTCCTGCAAAAACCACTCACCTGATGAGTTTTCTCTTATTGAATTGCATTCCACTACATATTACTTATCAATTAAATATTGCTTAAGTATTCATGAATGCATCCTGTGATGGCTAATAGTGAGTGTCAACTTGATTGGATTGAAGGATGCAAAGTATTGATCCTGGGTGTGTCTGTGAGGATGTTGCCAAAGGAGATTAACATTTGAGTCTGTGGGCTGGGAAAGGCAGACCCACCCTTAATCTGGGTGGGCACCATCTAATCAGTTGCCATCATGGCTGTAATATAAAGCAGGCAGAAAAATGTGAAAAGACAAGACTGGCCTAGCCTCCCGGCCTACACTTTTCTTCCATGCTGGATGCTTCCTGACCTCGAATATCTGACTCCAAGTTCTTCAGTTTTGGTACTCGAACTGGCTCTCTGCTCCTCAGCTTGCAGATGGCCTATTGTGAGACCTTGTGATCAGGTGAGTTAATACTTAATAAACTTTCTTTTCTTATATATATACATAAACTATATATATTATATATACATATATATATATATATATCTCCTATTAGTTCTGTCCCTCTAGAGAACCCTAACATATATCCTTTCCTCTCCATTTTCTCTATTACATCTCTCTGTGTGTGCATGTTATGTATATAAATGTTTCAAGTCCCACCATGTCTTATCTGCCCAAATACAATAGCCTTCTTGTAATCTCATTTTGTCATTCTACTTGCTCCTCTTGCCAGTGTATCACCAAAATGAACTTTCTAAAAGGCAATTCAGATCTTGTTACTCTCCCACTGAAATTCTTCTGAAGTCCTTCTACAACCTTGGGGCTAAAGTCAACAAGTCCTTATCTTACCCTTAAAGTCCTCAGCAATGTTTGTCTTTGGTAGCTTTCCAGCATTTTCTAGTCTTCTCTAGTCGTTCATAAAGATTTACGTTTTGGCCACGTTGACAGAAGCCTCTGCAGGATATGGAGAGAGTACATACAAGGTGGGCAGAAAGGTTTGTAGAGGAAGCTTTCTGGAGGGTGGAGAGGGAGAGGGAGATGATGTTTCCCAAACAAGAGAGCAGGGTGAACAGAGGCAGACACAGGAGGCACAAGGCCTGGTAAGGAATCAGGATGTGGTTCAATAGATCTGAGGCAAAGGCTTACAATACAGTATGTTGGTGATGGGACTAGACAACCCCAAGTTAAGGAAAGAGGTTGAAGGGTAAATTCCTGGAAATCTTTTTATGCCAAGGTAAGGAATTTGATTGAAATATGGAGAGGCCATTATCATTCTACTAAAAACACTGCAGATTTGTTAAGAGAAGAGATGGCAAAACCACAAGAGTTAGCAAAGTCTTCCCTGAAAATAAATCATTTTGTGCTTGATCACAGTTATATTAAGGTTCATAATTATAAAGCATCATATGTGTGGCCTCCCTTCTACCTTTCAGCCTGCTATAATAAATTATCACAGGGCCAAATTAATGTTTTAAAAACATAAATCAGATCATGTCACTTCCTTGCTTAAAAGCTTTCATGGCTTCCTAGAGCATTTAGAATAAAATGGAAAATCCTTACCCAGTCTTCAAAAGTCCTAAATGATCTGGCCCCTGACTACCACTCCAACCCTGCATCTAGCCTTCCCCATCATGCTTATGATGACACTTCAGCCACAGGGGACTCACTTCTGTTTCCTAATAATGCACACATCCATCCTTCTATAGGGATTTTGCACTTGTTCTTTCTGCCTGAAGTTCTTATTACCTGATTTTTTTTATTAAGACTCCTGCTTGTTATCCAGATTTCAGCTCGACTGGCATCCTCTCATAATTACCTTATTTGTGTACTTGTTTATTATCTGTCTGTCTCTCATGCTAGAATATAAATTCCTTGAAAAGGGAGATATCCTCTATTTTATTTATTGCTTAAATGCTGCTACTCAGAAAAATTCATGGCACTTAAGACATACTCAACAAATACGTGTTGAATGAATAAAAGAGAAGCAGAAATTTCTGTTTTATAAAAGTAAAAAAACACATTAAAGTAGCTGTTACTTTGTGTTTTATATATGTGTATGTCATAAATATGTACATGTACATGTATTTTTTACTTCTTTGTAATGAATTAGCAAAAATGAAAAAATTAAACATGGCAGCTGCAAAAAATAAATAAATAAATAAATTAATTAATTAATTAATTAATTAAATGTGAAAGAACACTAAACGTCAAAGAAACAAATCAGAAAAATGTAGGTGGTCATGCATTAGAAATATTTAGCCTGTGAAGTTTGTCTCTTCCTATTCTTGCGAACGAAATAGTTGTAAGGAGAATAAAATGAGGGGCAGAAAGAACTCATCCTTTATCCCATCTGGAGAGCTTGTACAAAGAGAGACTTAGAAGAAAGGACAAGAAAACATGCTGGGGTCACAGAAGGAAACTGAGTTGAAAGGAGGGAAAAAATCTGCATTCCGAGTCATTTGGAACAGAGAAGGAAGAGAGACATTATCTGAAGACCATGTTCACCAGAGGCAAAAAGGCTGAAAAAGAAATCGACATCTGTGAAAGGCTCGTGCACCCCACATCTGAGGGGGCAGATGAAGATTGTTTATGTAGCACAAGAAGATGTTGGGAGAAGGAAGGAACAGGCTCACATGGAAACATATGCTCTCCGAAGCGACTTGAAAAATAAAGCATGCAGCCGAGAGAGAAACATCTGTGTTGCACACGGGCAGACCACCAGTAGTGAAGCAGACTAGGGGTAGAAGGAAAAGGCGTACACAAACAAGATCGGACATTATGTCTTGTCAAAATGACATGTAAAGGCACTGGGTCTGCATCTCATTCTCTGGTGAGTTAATGGGAACTCAGCCACCTGGGGAAATCACGGATGAGTAAATTAGCTGCTTTACTGTTTTCATAGTTTTGCAGAAATGACAAAGTGTTCACAGGTTTCTTCAGGGCTTTTTATTCCTGCTGGAAAAAAAATTCTTTAGAGTACAGATTATTTATAGTTTTTGAGAAACATATTGTAGAGCTCTTATTCCAAATCTCCTGCAATAATAGACGCAGCTGGATTTCTCATCCTTTGACCACATTTTCAGTACATAATAGCTTTAGAAAAAATTATTTCACAATAGTCAATGATCGTAGGAATTTCATATAGAATTAACCAGATATCAGTTTCCATTAGGTATTAAGGGTTGACAATGTGAAATATTTATTTTAATGATACATACTAAATTTTTAAAACTATACTTAATAACTAAAACTAGTTATAAAATTTAATAGTTTCTTAAATTATAGAAATAAATTTTCAAGTCTTTGCTATTCTCTTTATACTAACTCAATTTTATTGGTTAAACAAAAAGTTAAACATTTTTAAAAAGGCCAAATGACAATTGACTATTGGATTACATATAGCTTACACTATAATTTTATTATGTTGTAATTTGCTATGACTTTATATATATATACATCTGTAAGTTTATATAAAACATATAGTCATATTCATCTTTACACAGACATATACATAGCATAATTTTATATGCAGATATAATTTTTATTATAAATACCAACTTATTTTTAAAAGTGAGGGTCTCAGATAAGGAAGCCAAAATGAAAAGAGAGAAGTAACTTCAAGTATGTGGTATCTGATATCCACTGCACAATTCCTGAAATGATTTTTTTTTAAATTACATAAACATGTAGAAAACACAAATATTTAAGGACAGAAAATTATTGAAATTATAAAAATACGTTTTGTGGTATCTTGATAGTATAAGAATGTCAAAGAGCTAAGCATACACAACAATCAGAGAGAAAAAAGTAACTGCAGGGTAAATATAGAAACCATAGAGTACCTTTAGAATAAGTGTACGGTAAGCGTGAATCAACCACGGCTGAGAAAAATAAACTGAAATAAAAATCCATTGGTCTATATTGCAGAGATAATAAACCAGATCCTGGTAAAATCCCAAAAGTTAAATTGGTGATGTTCAGTTTTTACAACATCTTGGTATCATTCCTGCCTTTCTCTCTAAACAAGTGCCCACTGCCCAACACTCCATTAGGTTGTTGTGAGTGTAATTCACAAAACTTTTCTTTCTCTTCATTCACCTACTCTTCATATTACCACTCTTATGTATTACTTCTTCAGCACTCCTTGATATCTGCTGTGGAAGGAAAGGTGAACTAACATTTATTAGGAGCTTACTAATTACCAACTTTTTAATGTGTTATCTTAATTCTTATGACAACCTTATAAGGTTTTATTTTTTTCTTTTTTAAAGACATGGAAGCTAATACTTGAATATAGTAGTGAGATAAAATAATGAATTAAGACTTAAAACAGATATGTCTAACTTCAAATATCATGTTTTTTCTCTCACACTATATTGCCTATCTAATAAATTACTCCTGACTGCATTATTAATATCTAATAATGACATGTCATGATTCCAAATTATCATTGTCAAATGCCAACCAGTTCAAAAAGAGTCTTCTTTTGCATTCCTCTAACTATTCAAGTGATATATGCTCACTATAGAAATTTATAAAATATAAAATAACATAAAGACAGAAGAAATGTTGCTGTAACAAATCACACAGAGGGGAAAGTCAGTCACTGCTAACATTTTAGAATAACACCTTTAGTTCTTTTCTGCTCCTTCTGTATGTTGTGCTCCTTTTTAAAATCTACAAAAACAACTGATATATTTGAAAAATTTCAAGCAGAATAGTAATCCTTTGAAAAATGTCACTTTGATAAAGTATTTCCCAGTGTCTCAATCACCTATTTCATTTAATGGTGAAATTTTCACCAGCAAATAGCCCAATTCTAATATTCAAATAAAGGAAGACTAGAGATTGACTTACAGAATGGTGGAATGAAAATCTCAGTGAAACACTCAGTCTCTCACAAAAACAACAAAATACTGACAAAACAATAAAAGTAATCATTTCTAGAACTCCAGAAATTAACCAAAGCCAAAAAACTATGTTATAAGGCCAATATATTAGAACAGACATTTTAAGGCCATGTGCTGCCTTATTTTCTTTGAGCCTTATAGGGCCCAAAGGCTCAGCAATGGGTTTGCTTGATCTTGGCAGATATGCCTCCCTCCCAGCAGGACAGGTTCCTCACTGAGGTGATTCTCTATCCACTGCATCAGCTGCATTCTACCTGGCCCTCTACCTAACCAGTTTCACCTCCTTTCCAGCCTGCAAAATTATTCAAATGAGCCAATCACATTTTCCTGTCAGAAATAAGGAGCACACCATCCTTCTGTTATTACAAAGCTTGTCCTTCACAGTCCTTTCTGGTTCACTCTATTTCCAAGCACCACTCCCATGTGGCATATGGTGTTCTCCCTCCCCAGGCTGAGTATATGTAACTAATAAGCTGCTCCCAGTCTCATCTGCCCAGCGTCAAATGTAATGTATTTGGCCATTTTGTATTGTTTAGCGCAAAGGAACCCTCCTTCACCCATGGGGTCAATGGGAGTGATCAGAATATAAATAAACTGAAAATCATCTATGCAAGAGAAAATACTGAATCTCTTTAGACAACAGGCATCTGTGACATTTAGATTGGGCTATTTCCACTCCCCAGCTCTCCACATCTCAGTAGTGCAATACCGTGAAAAGCCAGCCATCTTGCAGCCAAGATGGAACTGCACTCTCTTGGAACTCAAAAAACAAAAACAAATAAACAAAAAAACAGCATTCATCCTCAGAACACAGTAGGTATAATGTCCAAACATCCAGCTCCATGGAAAATTTCTTTTCTCAGAATGTTATGACTATTAGATTTAACCCAGATTTCAGCTTAGCCAAGGTAAAGAGGAGGGGAGTACTATCCCCAGGTCATTACTGAAACCATGTCAAACTGCTCACAATATTGCAGCAGCAACCAAATTTGGACAGTAGAGGGAGGTCCGATAACAAGGTTGTTACAATATTATTATGGACTGAAAGTCTGTATCTTCCCCAAAATTCATATGTTGAAGCCCTAGCATCCAGTGTGACTAGATTTGGAGATGGGCTTCTAAAATAATAATCAAGGTAATTGAAGTAAAATGAAGTCATAAGTGTGGGGGACCCTAATCTGACAAGATTAGTATCTTTGTGAGAAGAGACACTCTCTATATATAAAACTCTTTTTCTGTTGCCCATATGCACAAAGCAAGGAAAGGCCATGTGACCTCACAGAGAAAAGGTAGCCAACCACCAACCAAGAGGAGAACCCTTACAAGGCACTAATGCCTGCTGGCACCTTGATCTTGGACTTCCAGTCTCCAGAACTGTGAGAAAATAAATTTCTGTTGTTTATGTCACCCAGTCTATGATACTTTGTTTTGACAGACAAAGCAAACTAATATAGATTTATTAGCTAGAATATCAAGTTTTCAAAAAAAATATGAGATATATAAAATAAAACAAGAAAGTGTGCCCCATAAAAGAGCAAAAATCAGCCAACAGATCATTTCCCTGAGGGGACCTAGATTTTTGACTTAGTAGATAAAGATTTTAAATCACCTTTTTAAAATGTGTTCAAATTACTTAAGGCAATCATATCTAAAGAACTCAAGAGAACGATGACAATCATGTTTCACTGAGAGTATCCATAAAGAGATATAATTTTTCTGAAAAGAACCACATAGAAGTAATTCTGCAGCCCAAAGATAAAATAACAAAAAAGAATAAATTATTAGATGGGCTCAAAATCAGACTCTCACTGGCAGAAGAAAAAGATCAACAAAATTGACAGTTTAAGAGATTATCCGTTTTGAAAGGCAGAGAAAAAAGCAATGAAGAAAATAAACAGGACCTCACAGACCTGATGGATATCATCCAGCATATTAACATGCACATAATGGGAATCTCATTAATAGAAAAGAAAGAAGAAGAAATGATATTTGAAGAAGTGATGGTCAAAAATTCCAAATTTGATGAGAAATATTAATCAACACACCCTAGAAACTCAATGAGTTCCAAGTAAAACAATCCCCCAAAAAATCACCACATCCAGACATGTTATAGTCTAATTGAGAAAAGTCAAAAAAAGAGAGAAAATTTTGAAAATAACAAAAGAAAAATGACTTATTATATACAACTAATCCTCAAGATTAATGGCTATGTTTTATCAGAAACCATGGAGTCTATAAAGCAGTGGGATAAAATATTCAAAGTTCTGGAAAAATAAAATTTACAAACTAATAATTCTATATCCAGTAACATTATCCTTCAAAAATGAAGAAATTATGGCATTTCCATAAGAACAAAAACAAAGAACTTGCGATTAGGAATTCTGCCCTGTGAATATCATTTGAGTGCATCCTTCAAGCTAAAATGAGAGGACACTAGACAGTAACTTGAGTCCACACAAATAAATTTAAAAGCATCAATAAAAGTAACTATATAGGCAAATATAAAAGAGAGAATAAATGTCTTTCTGTTTGTAACTTTTCCATGATCTTACTTAAAAGACAATTGTATGAAACTATAATGATAAAATTTTGCTGATGGGCTTATGACATCTAAAGTGTAATTTGTATAATAATTGTAGCACAAAGAAAGATAATATATCTCTGTTATAGCAAAATGTTTGTATGCTATTGAAATTAAGTTGGTATAAATTTCAATTAGATTGTTTTAGGATACTAATTATTAGTTATAATCTCAGGCAATCACTAAAAAAACACTAAAAACTTTAAAAACAAGGAAATTAAAATGACATATAGAAACTGTATTTTAAACACAAAAGGAGACAGTAATGGAGGAAACAAAAAAAGATAATAAGACATACTGAAAACAAGCAGCAAAACATTTAATGTAAATCCTTCCTTATTTATAATTGTAATAAATATAAATGGAGTAATCTCTTCAATCAAAAGGCAGAGATCAGAGGGTGGATTTTTAAAAATCTCATATGTTTTTGATATCTATGAAAGGCACACTTTAGATTCAAAAGCACAAGTAAATTGAATGTAAAAGGGTGGAAAATATAACAAAAAAAAAGCTTAGAGAACTACATTAATATTAGACAAAATAGACCATAGAGAAAAAATTGCTTCTAGAGATACAGATATTTTTAAATGATAGATCAATCTACTAGGAAGTATAAATCTATATGCACCTAACAACAGAATTCCAAAATAAATGATGCACAAAAAGACAGAATTGTAAGAACAAATAGAAAAGATAACAGTATTAGTTAGAGATATCAGTATCTTACTTTCAATATTAGATAGAAATTTGATGAAGGGCAACTTCACTTGTTAATTAGAGGCACCATGAAAATGCCTGCTTTCTGGTATAGGATGCCTACACCAAGCAAGCTTTTTCACACATCATCTCCTTTACTTCCATCATATCCATCATCATATCTCAACATATACCTTAAATTCATTGACTTGTTCTCTGTATAAATAGTGTCACCACCCTAGTCCAAGCTACTATAATCTTTCCTTAGCCTAGCCTAATATATTCTTATACCAATATCTCTCACTTATCTCTTTTCCTCTTCCTGTTAATTTTTCACACAACAGTTAGTGCCATGAAATTTTTATTTTTATTTTTGTATCATAGCACTACACCTGAAACACTTTATAAGCTTTTCATTGTATTTAAAATAAATTTAATTTTTTTTCCATGGACTACAGAGATCTGCATTACCTTGGCCTGCCTAATTCTCCAAACTAATTTTAAATTTCTGATTCTTCATCTTCTTGCCACATGACGTCTTTCTGTTTATCAAACCCACCAAGCTGTTTTTCAGCTTTACTTTCAATCTTGCTAGTCCTTCCATGAGATATC
Source organism: Homo sapiens (assembly GCF_000001405.40). Lineage (NCBI taxonomy): Eukaryota > Metazoa > Chordata > Mammalia > Primates > Hominidae > Homo > Homo sapiens. The sequence goes on from NC_000003.12 coordinate 147,056,135, forward strand.
CATCAAATCTCAGCTTAAAGATACTCTTCCCCAGAGAGATATTTCTTAATCCAAACCACATCCCTTTGCCACTCTCTTTCACTGGTCTCTACACATTTTTTTTTTCCATCATAGGGCTTATTACTCTTTCTTATTACATATTTGTTAGTGATATTACTTGAAAACTGAATTCAGTATTCATCTGTTTTACCTGATGTTTTTAAACAATTCAACCTAAGGCAAAATATATACCACAGAATTTAATTTAATATGGAAAAATAATTACAATGAACATAAATGCCTTCTAAATTATTCAGACTATACTTCTGTTCTGTGAATGATTCATGAATCTCTTTAGATTTATGTCACCTTTAAAATATGTTTTCTGGCTAAATTCTGCATTGATATCTCTTTCCCTAGGATCAAAAATTATTTTTATCTCTGGTTATTCTATTTCCCTCACTGACAACATGCATAATCCTCAATATTCTAAATTTTAAAAAAATCATTCAAATATTCTTTAATCAGACCTTGAATGCATATCCTTTCATGCTCTTTATTATTAATAATGACAAATAGTTCATGATTTATGATCATTTCAGAGAAATTTTGAGGCACATTAAGGAACATTGGGCTAAGATCTTGAATTTCTCATCAAGTTGTACCTGTCAAGTGAGTACAACTAAAAATGAAAATGTATGCCTATAAAAATGGTATATGTTTTAAACACTTCTCTTTTCTTAAAATGGTTGTAATAGTAACACTTTTTACAATAAAGCAGATTGAAACTTTTTCATGTATTTTATTTCAATAAAATTTTAACAGTCTTTTCCATTTCTGCTTTTTGGAAGTTACAGTGACCTCCCTGGAAAATCTTTTTTCACTAAAAGTGATTGATCAAACAGAATGTTTGGCTAGAATAAAGTATGTTACATTTATTCACACTCCTTCAACATTTGGGGCCATTTAAACAACTTTTTCCGACTGACATCAATACATGAAATTGTGCACAGACATTATTTATCAGAAGTTAATTATATGCACCAATATTCTTTTGGAAGGAATATCTTCTGATTGTTTTTCACTTGCAGTGTACAAAAAGGGTATATCTTTTTAATTTGTAAAACTATATACCACTTATGTTGTATAAGAAGTTAGTTAATATCATATAATTTGCCACCATATAACTTACCATTATGTAATTGCCACATGGTCAGTGATTTCTATCTGCCTTGGCCAGAAAATGATTTTTTATGAAAACACATATATGCATGTCTACATGCATTAACAAGATATTTTGGTGAAAATATTTCATTAAAATTAGTATATGAGTAGAGGATGAATAATCAGGACTCTATATTTTAATGATCCTGTTCATCTGCTCTGTAATTGCTAGGCCATAAATTTCAAATTCAGCATCTTTACTAATAACAACCAATCACTGGGATAATATTTAACTCTTAAGTGTACAATTTCCCCTGGAAAACATTAAAATTAATCTCAAAATATGTGTTCACCTATAATATAATGTTCTTAAATAATTCTTTTCTAAGAAAATTAAGATAATCTCTGACAATTCCTATATATCACATATACTTTTTAAATTTTTCAAATTCCAATTGACTTGAGGGAAATGACCCATTCTGTTGCTTAGTGGTAAATATAGACATCAAAAATATTCAGAGAGAATTCATCAATGCTCACTTCATCAGGACAGCAAAGAAACGATAAATAGAGAATATGTGGGATGTTTTTCAAGATGGATGAGTAGGGACACTAGATACCAGTTTTCCTCAGAAGGAAGGTCAAAGTTACAGGTGAATGGTCATGATTCAAATGGAAAGCTGAAGGAAGAGAGCAGGAACTGTTAGAGAGCACTTGGAAAGATGCAGGGATGCAGAAAAGGAAAGAAGCAAGACTGGCAGAAATCAACCCCTGAGGAAATCCTAGTCCCTTAGAAAGGGGCTAGAACACCACCAGCACATTTTGTGATGGCTGCACCGTGTTGAGGGTAAGCCTACCACCACATGGGCTTTCACAAATAGTGGGACCTGTCTGCCCCTCCCTACACAGAGCAGTAATATCTTAGGTGAAGGTGTATTTCTGTACTCTCTCATTCTTGTGACAGTCTGCTGACTATCAAATTGTTAAGAAGCCCCTGCACCATCATGATCCTGGGCAATTCTGTCAATGGCAAGTTGGGAACTTCCCAGGGACAAAGCACCGGGTAGCAAGCTCACATATGTGTGCCTGCAATCTCCTCAGGTGCAAAAGGAGATGATGGGTGCCATACACTTGTGCACCCATGAGAGGCCACTGCCCTGCCTGGAGAATCTCAGCCCATGTGCCTCCACTAGATCTTCTGAAAATATACTCTAGAATCTACTCTGACTTTGGCAAGCACAGGGGATCAGTAGGTACCTGAGGAGCTATGGGACCCTTAGAGATTTAGCCCTTAAGCATGGCTGCCCCTAGGGGAGGGTGAAGCCCAGACTGCCAAAGCCCCCTTGAGATGAAAGAAACATGGGCATGGTGCCAGTTGATAAAGGGGACAACACTGATTGCCGGGAATGAACTTGGAGAGGGGTTCATCTCCCACTCACCCATTCACTGTTACAGACATAGTAGAGGATTACCCTACTGGGGGCTGGTATGAGTGACTTTGGAGACAACCTTACCAGTACTTCTTGTAGTAGCTGCACCTCTGTTGACGGTGAGCCTGAGGCAGGAAAATAGGGTCTGGAGGCAGGGAACATAAGGCTGATTCACACTTCAGCTATAACAGGAAATATCCTCTCCACAGGGCAACACCCAGTAAATGACTTTGTAACTTTACTTCATCCTCTTCATTTACATAGGGCATACCCCAAATAGAGGGTATTTAAACTCACAGAAACTCCGTAACAGGGCCTTTGAGCCCCTAGGCTCAAGCTCACTCTCACACTGTGGAGTGTACTTTCATTTTCAATAAATACCCTCATTCCTTCTTTGCTTTGTTTGTGCATTTTGTCCAATTCTTTATTCAAGATGCCAAGAACCTGGACACCCCCCCACCATTAACATATTTTGGCAAGCCAGCCTGGAGGAAGAGGTGAGCCCAAAGTTTGGGATTTATTCTTCTCCTTTTCCTTTCTGCTCCATACAAGGGAATCACCTTCTGCCTCTTTTCCTTTCCAACCTGGGACTCTTGGGCAGCGCCTAAACATGGAAGCAACTGCAGGTTTCTGTCCATGGCCAGTGAAACTAAGGGATTTCCATGTGGAGAAGCCTGACCACCACTGCCCAGTACACTTAAGGAACCTGGGGCTTTTTCATTTTGTTTTCCTCTGTTTCTTTTTCAGTCTTTGAGTGGCTGTTTCCTAGTAGCTCCTTGGAAATTGAGGGCAATTTCCAGGGGTCACTCCCTGGTATTGCCTGAAGGCCTAGGAGTGATTGGGAATACTTTCCCTGCCCCAAAGTGGGGACTTTTTAAAAATCTTTTCCAAGAATGGTCCCTGATCCCTACATGCTTAAAGCAAACTCGCACGTTTCAGGTGACTTAAACCTTCTTTTCTTATGCTAAATTCTTCCCTTCCCTTATTCAAGTGGCTAAGGGCAAAGGAAACCTACCCAGCCTCCAGTTCCTATCATTAAAGTTCATGGAATGGGAAGCATGGCAAAGTGAGAGACAGGACTAGCTGGATTTCCTAGGCCGACTAAGAATCCCTAAGCCTAGCTGGAAAGGTGACCGCATCCACCTTTAAACACGGGGCTTGCAACTTAGCTCACACCCGACCAATCAGGTAGTGAAGGGAGCTCACTAAAATGCTAATTATGCAAAAACAGGAGGTAAAGAAATAGCCAATCATCTATTGCCTGAGAGCACAGCTGGAGGGACAATGATCAGGATATAAACCCAGGCATTCGAGGCAGCAATGGCTACCCTCTTTGGGTCCCCTCCCTTTGTATGGGAGCTCTGTTTTCACTCTATTAAATCTTGCAACTGCATTCTCTTCTGATCCGTGTTTGTTACGGCTGGAGCTGAGCTTTCGCTTGCCGTCCAACACTGCTGTTTGCCGCACTCACAGACCTGCCGCTGACTTCCATCCCTCCAGATCTGGCAGGGTGTCTGCTGTGCTCCTGATCAAGCGAGGTGCCCATTGCAGCTCCCCGATCAGGCTAAAGGCTCGCCATTGTTTCTGCACAGCTAAGTGCCTGGGTTCGTCCTAATCGAGCTGAACACTAGTCACTGGGTTCCACAGTTCTCTTCTGTGACCCACAGCTTCTAATAGAGCTATAACACTCACCGCATGGCCCAAGATTCCATTCCTTGAAATCCGTGAGGCCAAGAACCCCAGGTCAGAGAACATGAGGTTTGCCACCATCTTGGAAGTAGCCCGCCGCCATTTTGGAAGTGGCCTCCCACCAACTTGGGAGCTCTGTGGGCAAGGACCCCTGGTAACAAAAGTATGACTTTATCAAATCATAAGGATGCTAAAAAATCAAAGATTATAACCAGGTACCAAAGGAAAGCTCATAGTAGGCTCTGGAGGGAATGCATGCAAAGTGGCACCAGTACCCACCTAAGGCCAGAGGTGATGTCTGGAACTCTAAGATTGGACCCCACAGGAGGACACTCCAGAGGATCCTCCGGATCTCAAACTCTCCAAAGAGGACACTCTTGACAGAGGTTCTGAGGTCTAATAATAAGCCCTCTTTAGAATTTTCTCTCGAAGTTGCAAGGCTGCTTGGCCCCAAAGTTGTTTAGAATCTGAAGTTAACTGTTTAATGGGAAAGTGGGATGGCCTTGCATATATCCAGGCTTTTGTACTGCTGTTCTAAGCAGAGGGCCCGGTTAACGTGTGATGCCCTCCTTTGGTACTGTTTTGCCCCAGTGTTCCTTGGAGTCTGGGAAGGTTTAGCCTTAAAAAAACAAACTGCCATGGAGACTGCTTTACCCAAAATTTTGGTTCACAGCCTTCCTTGGATTATCTACTGGGGCAAAGTAAAACTCACAAGCTTATATTGTTATCTCATGGCTAAGGTTCCAAGCTATTGGATCTTTGTTTATGTGTGTGTATACATGTCTAGATGTGTTTATTTGTATGTACACTTATTGTTTATGTTGTGTCTACCAAATTGGCTTATAAGTAAAAGAGCACTCATAAATTAAGTAAATAAGTCTAAGCAATTTTCAAGTTCACGTAACTTAAGTATAACTTTGCTAAACAAACTAGCTTTAAAATTATTGGAGGAATAAAAATAGAAAGGCCTTCCGAATTGTAAGCATACATTTTGTCTGAATTTTATGTCTGTCTTTGCTAGATATTTTGAAATGACAGTGTTAATTCAAGCTGGAAGCTGCATGAGGTGAGCCTGCCTCCCATTCTATTCAAAGTCTCACTGAGATAAATGCATATCTGATTGCTTCCTTTCGAAAGGCTAATCAGAGACTCAGAAGAATGCAACCATTTGTCTCCCACCTCTGATCTGAAAGCCCCGAACCCCCTCCCCACCTTGGATTGTCCCACTTTTCCGGACCAAACCAATGTTTGTTTTACATATGTTAATTGATGTCTTATGTCTCACTAGTTAGAAGTAAAAATTAAGTACAGCGAATAGGATAAATGTTCTAGTAAACTTTTTGTGTAAGTTAAAATCTTAAAGTTATTTTGATACTCATTTAATATCTCGGTCATTTCCAATTTAAAAAGCGCTGTGATAGGGGAAAACTGTTTCTAAAATTGTGAAATTGTTTTTATGTATAAATGCCCATATCTGATAGTTCAGGATTTCTTGCTTTTTAGGGTTTCACTAAAGTTTTAGGTTGCTAACAATAAAAAATTTTAGTTAACACACAATTCTGTATACAACATGTGCCAGAAAGAATTATATTATTAGTGGAAAAAATAATTTTGTCTAATTCAGAAGTCATCTAAAAGTTAGTTCAAATTACAAATTTGAAAAGGTTATTTATAAAACAATGTGGTAAGGAATCATTAAGTAGGGGAGAAAGATGTGGAAAAAGTTTAAATAATAAAATATTCTTTAAATCCTGATAGAGAATTGGAGACATTTGGCTAATTAATATTTTCACAGATAAAGCTCTTAGTCTTAATCAAAATAATAAGTATTATAAATAAATGCATCAGCAATTGGGCAATTCTTTTTTAATATAGTAAGCATGAAGCTGGATTTAGTGTGGAGTCAAATTTCACATTCATGCTTGCATTTCTTCACAGTATGTTTAATTTACTGTTTTGCATGGATAGTGCTAGAGTACATATTGGTCACCTGCCTAAAGTGGATTTCTTGATTGCACAGAATGTATAATGATATTGGTGAACTTAAGGATATTGAATTGTGTAATCAGGAGTAAAATATTCAATATGTGGGGTTTTGAGGGCCGTAGATAACACTGTAGTCTCCAGGGTAAGTTGAGTAGGAAAATGTAGGGGTGGTTTCCTGTTTTTTTGTTTTTGCTTCTAATTTTCATTCATTTGCTGTTCATTCTCCTCTGGCTTTGCCTGTGTATCCATATATATAAAACCATGACGCTTTTTAGATTCTAGTGGAAGGCTTTTATTTGGTTCTGTGAATAGTTATTTTGTTTCCTATGCATTTCTAGCAAGTCAGCACCCATTCAATTTATCTGGAGTTACTAAGCTACCTTTGTTGGGCTGCAGGAATTAATGGAGCACACCAGCTTTTTATCCTTAAACTAACTGTTTGGATTTTAGGCTTCCTGATACTTTAAGTGTGTTGAGTATATTCTTACAAGTATAATTTAAGTCATATTTCTCTCTCTGCCTAGTTTCTCCAAAATCTGTAAACTATCTATGAATATTCTAAATTCATGGCAATGTGTTTGTCTGCATACCATCAAGCAGGGTCACCAGGGCCACTCAGGGAGAGATAACCCAGAAGCCTGGCATGCCAGCAAAAGGGTAAGAATTTCTTACCGGGCAGTCTCTGGCCTCTTTCTGTCTGTGCAGACTGGTTAATCACCTCTTTGAAGTTTTAAATTAATTGGTTTAATAATAATAAGAGCTTAAATCAGGTATTTTGTCAGAAAAGTAGAAAGTGTTATGCGTTTTAGTTCATGTGACTTTAGCAATATTTGGGAAATAAGGACGGTTTTCAAGATTATTAGTAAAATACAAATTTCTTCACAATGTAAACGTGGTCTAAATTATGTTCAAATATTAGGTTTGCTAAATGCTTTAAGGTCATAAACTGCTTCTTTGGCTTTTGAAAATTGTTTAACTTGCCTGCTCTCCAGCTAGGTAAAGCCTGGGGACATGTGTGCTTTGCCACATCCGCGGCTATGCTGGAGATAGTCAAATCTTATCAGAACACAACTTACCAGGTCTTATTATAAAATTTGCAATCATAACATACAATTAAGACCACAATGCACTTATTCCAAAATTGAACACATGGTTAGAAGTAAAGCACTCCTCAGCAAATATAAAAGAATAGAAATTATAACAAACTGTCTCTTAGACCACAGTGCAATCAAATTAGAACTCAGGATTAAGAAACTCACTCAAAAACACATGACTACATGGAAATTGAACAACCTGCTCCTGAATGACTACTGCGTAAATAACTAAATGAAGGCAGAAATAAAGATGTTCTTTGAAACTAATGAGAACAAAGACACAATGTACCAGAATCTCTGGGACACATTTAAAGCAGTGTGTAGAGGAAAATTTATAGCACTAAATGCCCACAAGAGAAAGTAGGAAAGATCTAAAATCAACACCCTAAGATCACAATTAAAAGCACTAGAGAAGCAAGAGCAAACACATTCAAAAGCTAGCAGAAGGCAAGAAATAACTAAGATCAGAACAGAACTGAAGGAGATAGAGACACAAAAAACCCTTCAAAAAAATCAATGAATCCAGGGGCTGGTTTTTTGAAAAGATCAACAAAATTGATAGACTGCTAGCAAGACTACTAAAGAAGAAAAGAGAGAAGAAACAAATAGACGCAACAGAAAATGATAAAGGGGATTATCACCAACGATCCCACAGAAATACAAACTACCATCAGAGAATACTATAAACACCTCTACACAAATAAACTAGAAAATCTAGAAGAAATGGATAAATTCCTGGATACATACAGCTTCCCAAGACTAAACCAGGAAAAAGTTGAATCTCTAAATAGACCAATAACAGGCTCTGAAATTGAGGCAATAATTAATAGCCTAAAACCAAAAAAAACTCCAGGACCAGATGGATTCACAGCCGAATTCTACCAGAGGTACAAAGAGGAGCTGGTACCATTCCTTCTAAAACTATTCCAATCAACAGAAAAAGAGAGAATACCCCCTAAATAATTTTATGAGGCCAGCATAATCCTGATACCAAAGCCTGGCAGAGACACAACAAAAAAAGAGAATTTTAGACCAATATCCCTCATGAACATTGATGGGAAAATCCTCAGTAAAATACTGGCAAACTGAATCCAGCAGCATATCAAAAAGCTTATCCACCATGATCAAGTTGGCTTCATCCCTGGGATGCAAGGCTGGTTCAACATACGCAAATCGATAAACATAATTCATCACATAAACGGAACCAAAGACAAAAACCCCATGATTGTCTCAATAGATGCAGAAAAGGCCTTTGACAAAATTCAACAGCCCTTCATGCTAAAAACTCTCAATAAACTAGGTATTGATGGAACGTATCTCAAAATAATAAGAGCTATTTATGACAAACCCACAGCCAATATCATACTGAATGGGCAAAAACTGGATGCATTCCCTTTGAAAACTGGCACAAGACAGGGTTGCCCTCTCTCACCACTCCTATTCAACATAGTGTTGGAAGTTCTGGCCAGGGCAATCAGGCAAGAGAAAGAAATAAAGGGTATTCAGTTAGGTAAAAAGGAAGTCAAATTGTCCCTTTTTGCAGATTATGTGATTGTATATTTAGAAAACCCCATCGTCTCATCCCCAAATCTCCTTAAGCTGACAAGCAACTTCAGCAATTTTGTCACAGGATACAAAATCAACATGCAAAAATTACAAACATTCTTATACACCAAAAACAGACAAACAGAGAGCCAAATCATGAGTGAACTCCCATTCACAGCTGCTACAAAGAGAATAAAATACCTAGGAATCCAACTTACAAGGGATGTGAAGGACCTCTTCAAGGAGAATTACAAACCACTGCTCAACAAAATAAAAGAGGGCACAAACAAATGGAAGAACATTCCATGCTCATGGTTACGAAGAATCAATATTGTGAAAATGGCCATACTGCCCAAGGTAATTTATAGATTCAATGCCATCCCCATTAAGCTACCAATGACTTTCTTCACAGAACTAGAAAAAACTACTTTAAAGTTCATGTAGAACCAAAAAAGAGCCTGCATTGTCAAGAGAATCCTAAGCCAAAAGAACAAAGCTGGAGGCATCATGCTACCTGACTTCAAACTATACTACAAGGCTACGGTAACCAAAACAGCATGGTACTGGTACGAAAACAGCATGGTACTGCTACCAAAACAGAGAGATAGACCAACGGAACAGAACAGAGCCCTCAGAATTAATATCACACATCTATAACTGTCTGATCTTTGACAAACCTGAGAAAAACAAGCAATGGGGAAAGGATTCCCTATTTAATAAATGGTGCTGGGAAAACTGGCTACCCATATATGGAAAGCTGACACTGGATCCTTTCCTTACACCTTATACAAAAATTAATTCAAGATGGATTAAAGACTTAAATGTAAGACCTAAACCATAAAAACCCTAGAAGAAACCCTAGGCAATACCATTCAGGACATAGGCATGGGCAAGTACTTCATGACTAAAACACCAAAAGCAATGGCAACAAAAGTCAAAATTGACAAATGGGATCTAATTAAACTAAAGAGCTTCTGCACAGCAAAAGAAACCATCATCAGAGTGAACAGGCAACCTACAGAATGGGAGAAAATTTTTACAATCTACTCATCTGACAAAGGGCTAATATCCAGAATCTACAAAGAACTTAAACAAATTTACAGGAAAAAAACAACCCCATCAAAAAGAGGGCAAAGGATATGAACAGACACTTCTCAAAAGAAGACATTTATGCAACCAACAGACACATGAAAAAATGCTTATCATCACTGGTCATCAGAGAAATGCAAATCGAAACCACAGTGAGATACCATGTCACACCAGTTAGAATGGCAATCATTAAAAAGTCAGGAAACAACAGATGTTGGAGAGGATGTGGAGAAATAGGAACAGTTTTACACTGTTGATGGGAGTGTAAATTAGTTCAACCATTGTGGAAGACAGTGTGGTGATTCCTCAAGGATCTAGAACTAGAAATACCATTTGACCCAGCAATCCTATTACTGGGTACATATCCAAAAGATTATAAATCATGCTGCTATAAAGACACATGCACATGTATGTTTATTGCATCACTATTCACAATAGCAAAGAGTTGGAACCAACCCAAATGTCCATCAACGATAGACTGGATTAAGAAAATGTGGCACATATACACCATGAAATACTAATGCAGCCATAAATAAAGATGAGTGCATGTCCTACGGAGGGACATGGATACAGCTGGAAACCATCATTCTGAGCAAACTGTCACAAGGACAGAAAACCAAACACTGCATGCTCTCACTCATAGGTGGGAATTGAACAATGAGAACACTTGGACACAGGGTGGGGAACATCACACCCTGGGGCCTATTTGGGGGTGGAGGGCAGGGGGAGGGATAGCATTAGGAGAAATACCTAATGTAAATGATGAGTTGATGGGTGCAGTAAACCAACATGGCCCATGTATACTTATGTAACAAACCTGCACGTTGTACACATGGACCCTACAACTTAAAGTATAATAATAAAAAAAAGACTACTAGAAACAGTTTTACATGCAAGGTGTGTAAGAACAATAGAATGTTTCTGTGTGTTTTTTAAGGTTATAAAGTGTTTTTGCTTCTTTAAAATTTCTGAGTTATCATTTTGGGAAAATAAATAATTTATGGTATTCTGGAATTCCAAAATCAAAATTGGCTTTCCTAATGCCTGGCTTTCTGGATGAATCACAGTGCTCTTGAAAACACCCAGAAAAGAGGTCAACAGGATTATCTGACATGTTTAGATACATGGGATTGCCAAAAGGATGTTTCATCTTCTTTTGGTTATATATTTGTGAATACTACTAATATATATTCCTAAATTGTATGGGATTCCTAAAATTCTAATGCCTAACTATATTCTATCAATTATAATTATGATTGTTATGTTATGTTATTGTAAACCACAATAATAACCAAATTTCTTTTCAGTGCTATGCACTTAATTTGGAAAAACAACTGGTATCCAAGAGGATATAAGTTTAATGTTTAAGCATGGACTCATGAAGAAACAGGATAACCACCTTGTCCTTCCTGAGTCCTTAAAGCTTTTATTATTAAAAGTTCTGCATTCCATGACTCATGGAAAATATATAATGATCCAAATTCAATACATTGGTGTAGTGATGTACAAATTACTGAAATAGTTTATAACCAATGCTTGATCCCCTATTCCTGGGAAAACAATTAAAGCTTCAAGTACATTTAGTCACTTATATGGTGGGCCATATAAGAATTTTATAAAGGAATTTCATTCAATTGTTATTTTCAATGTATATTTTCTGGTTATATAAAAGCTTTCCCATGCCAGAGGGCTGATGTTATAACAGTAGGTTATTATGCTACAGTGTATTTTCACCAGGTAAAAACCTTTTTATGGTTTGGATCTTCTGAGAATATTGGAGAAAGACTGTCCTTGCCATCCACACTATAGCAAAACTTCAGGACTTTGGGCTTTCAGTTCTTGATGTCACAACTGAGAAAGGTCCCTCCACACTTTTGGAACTGTGCATCCAGTGGAACCCTTGAGGTAAAGCTAACCAGAGAAATTTCTCCCAAAAAGAAGATAGCATCCTTGATGTGAACAGCTTTTCCCAAGTTCACAGATTAAGAATTCTACTGTCATGAAACTCTTATCTTTGAATGTTTTTTCTTGCTTATACCTCCATGAACTATAGAAGTGGAAAAGGTGCCTGTTATGTACACTTATGGGGTATGCTTTTATTTGTGAAGGAGTTTGCCGCCAGCCTTATACATGGATAATCTTATACTTTGAAAGATAAAGGATAAAGGCCCAATGTAAGTAAGAAACTGTAATGGTACATGTTTCATAGTACATGGCTCATAGTCGGTAGAAAACAAAACATTGGTTCACTCCTCTTAACCCACATCATGGGTTAAAGAGAACACTGCCAGAAGGCCTTCCCTCTTCTAAAAGGACATCATTTGTTAGGTCCTTTTTGCATGGTTTAAATTAAAGGAAGCAAGGATTAGAAATGTATCCTTCATGATAGGTTCCATAGCAAATTCTACTGTAAAGGCTACAGTTACACAACAGACTTTAAATTCTCTTGTGAAAGTAATGCTAAATAATAGAATTGGCTAAACAAAGAAGTATCTGTGCAGCTGCTGGCACTTGTGGCTTATGGATAAATACATCACATGAAGATTATAAAAATTTAATGGTAGGGGATTAATGAAGAAATTGCTTAGTCAAGTGAGTAAACTCTTTATCTAGCTCATTCTTTGATCTATTTGATTTTAGGAGGTTTGGTTTATGGGAACCCTGGGTAAGAAGCATACTCCAAACTCTTGGTATTATCCTCCCAATAGTCATAATAATAGTCTCCCTGGTGCACTGTACTTTCTTAAAGGCTTTAAGTGCTTGCATGTAGCCATCTCTAGAATGTCATATGGTCTCTCTTCAACTGGAATAACAGGAGCTGAAAGAAATGTGCAACCATGAGGACACCATAAGCTATAAATGACACGCTGAGACAGGAAGTCCAAAATGATGGTAACTGACAGTGGCAATAAGGCACTAAGTTTTGGTCACACTCTCACCTGAGTGAGAACCTGACCAAAAAGGGGGAATTTATAATTTATTTAACAAAATTCTGGGAGGCCATTGTTTTGTACTAAGCTCATGCACTAGGCCCCAAATAACCAAACGAAACAAAAATGGAGTCGCTTGTGCTAAGAATTAAAGGAAATACTTAGATTCTAGAACAGACCGGGTTTTGTTTTTTCTCCCGCAAATCTCTATTACAAATATTCCTGACAGCATAGGTATCCACCCCCTGAAGTTCTCATTAAATCTTTTAACCAAATTTATTTCCTGTCACCTGGAGACCATCAAGCTTCAGATGATCATGCAACAAAGGCTCCAGCCAGTTTTCTAGCAGGGAATTCTCACCAAAATGAAAATTTTGAAATGACAGAGAAATAATTCAAAATATGGATTGCAAGTAAGCACAATGAAATCCAAGAGACAGCTGAAAATTAACACAAATAAATCAGAAAAAATGATTCAGTATATGAAAGATGAGATAGATATAATTTTTAATACAACTTCTGGAATTAAGAGAATCACTAAAATAATTTGAAAATGCAATTGAAAGCTATAATAATAAACTAGACCAAGCAGAAGAAAGAATTTCAAAGCCTGCAGACTGGTCTTTCAAATTAACCCAGTCAGACAAAAATTTTAAAAAATAATTTCTTTTTTTATTATTATTATACTTTAAGTTCTAGAGTACATGTGCACAGTGTGCAGGTTTGTTACATAGGTATACATGTGCCATGTTGGTTTGCTGCACCCATCAACTTGTCATTTACATTAGGTATTTCTCCTAATGCTATCCCTCCCCCAGCTCCCCATGCCCAGACAGGCCCTGGTGTGTGATGTTCCCCTCCTTGTGTCCATGTGTTCTTATTGTTCAGCTCCCACCTATGAGTGACAACATGCAGTGTTTGGTTTTCTGTCCTTGTGGATAGTTTGCTTAGAATGATGGTTTCCAGCCTTATCCATGTCCCTGCAAAGGACATGAACTCATCCTTTTTTATGGCTGCATAGTATTCCATGGTGTACATGTGCCACATTTTCTTTATTCAGTCTATCACTGATGGACATTTGGGTTGGTTCCAAGTTTTTGCTATTGTGAATAGTGCCACAATAGACATACGTGTGCATTTGTCTTTATAATAGCATGATTTACAATCCTTTGAGTATATACTCAGTAATGGGATTGCTGGGTCAAATAGTATTTCCAGTTCTAGATCCTTGAGGTATCACCACACTGTCTTCCACAATGGTTGAACTAATTTACACTCCCACAAACAGTGTAAAAACATTCCTATTTTTCCACATCCCTCCAGCATCTGTTGTTTCCTGACTTTTTAATGATTGCCATTCTAACTGGTGTGAGATGGTATCTCATTGTGGTTTTGATTTGCATTTCTCTTGATGACCAGTGATGATGAGTATTTTTTCATATGTTTGTTGGCTGCATAAATATCTTCTTTTGAAAAGTGTCTGTTCATATCCTTTGCCCACTTTTTGACGGTGTTGTTTCTTTTTTTCTTGTAAATTTGTTTAAGTTCTTTGTAGATTCTGGATATTAGCCCTTTGTCAGATGGGTAGGTTGCAAAAATTTTCTCCAATTCTGTAGGTTTTGTCTTCACTCTGATGGTAGTTTCTTTTGCTGTGCAGAAGCTCTTTAGTTTAATTAGATCCTATTTGTTAATTTTGACTTTTATTGCCATTGCTTTTGGTGTTTTAGTCACGAAGTCTTCCCATGCCTATGTCCTGAATGGTACTGCCTAGGTTTTCTTCTAGGGTTTTTATGGTTTTAGGTCTTACATTTAAGTCTTTAATCCATCTTGAGTTAATTTTTGTATACAGTGTGAGGAAGGGATCCAGTTTCCTACATAGGGCTAGCCAGTTTTCCCAGCACCATTTTAAAAAAGAATTTCTAAAAACTGAACAAAGCCTTTAAGAAATATGAGATTATGTAAAGTGACCAAATCTATGACTTACTGGCATTCCTGAGAGAGAAGAGGAAAATATAAGCAGTTTGGATAACATATTTGAGGGAATCATTTCGGAAAACTTTTCTTATGTTGCTAAAGAGGTAGACATTCAGATATAAGAAATTCAGAAAAAACCTGCAAGATACCATTCAAGACAAACATCACCAAGGCATATAGTCATAAGGCTGCCAAATAAGCCTAATAAACAAAAGAGAAATAAAGACATTCCCAGACAAACAAATGCCAGTGGAATTCATCACCACTAGGCCAGTCCAGCAAGAAGTGCTCAAAGGAGTTCTAAACATGGAGATCAAAGGATGATACTTGTTACCAAAAAAGCATATATGAGTCTCAATTTCACGGATTTTATAAAGCAATCACACAATTAAGATTATGAAACAACTAGCTAACAGCACTATGGCAGAAACAAAACCTCACATCTCAATATAAATGTTGTTTGCAAGTGACCTAAATACTCCAGTTAAAAGAAATTGATTGGAAAATTGAATAAAACAAGATCTAACCATCTGTTGCCTACAAGAGACCCACCTAACATGTAAAGACACCAACAGGCTCAAAGTAGGGGGTAGAGAAAAATAGATCATACAGAAGGACAACAAAAAAGAAGAGAGGTTGCTATTCTTATATCAGATAAAGCAGACTTTAAACCAACAATAGTAAAAAAAAAATACAAAAAATGAGTTATGTAATGATAAAGGGTTCAATTCAACAAGATTTAACTATTTTGGGCCAGATGTGGTGGCTCATGCCTGTAATCCCAGCACTTTGGGAGGCCTAGGATGGAGGATCACTTGAGACCAGGAGCTCAAAACCTTCTCTCTACAAAAAAATAAAAAATTAGTCATGTGTGGTGGTGCATGTTTGTAGTCCCAGCTACAAAGGAGGTTGAGGTGGGAGGATCCCTTGAGCCCAGAGGCAGAGATTGTAGTGAGCCAAAATCACACCACTGCATTCCAGCTTGGGCAACAGAGTCAGACCTTGTCTCAAAGAAAACAACAAAAAAAAATTTAACTATTATACACACACACACACACACACCAAACACTGGAGCACCCAGATTTAGAAAGCAAATACTACCAGGCCAAGAAAAACTGTGAACAGATATATAATATGAGTGGGAGTCTCACATACCCCTAAACACCCTACTAACAGCACTAGATAGATCACTGAAGCAGAAAACTTAACCAAAAAAACCTGGACTTATATTGGACACTTGATCAAATGAACCAAATAAATCTATACAGAACATTCCACCCAGCAACTGCAGAGTATACATTTTTCTCATCTGTGCATGGGATATTTTCTAACATTGACTGTATCCTTGGCCATATGGCAAGTCTCACTAAATTCAATAAAAAATGAAATCATATCAAGTATCTTCTGAGATCACAAAATTACAAATCTATACCAAGAGGAACTCTGAAAACCACACAAGTGCATGGAAACTAAACAACTTGCTCCTGAATGATTTGGGGATAAACAATGAAACTAAGAAAAAAATCAAGACATTTTTTAAAAACAAATGAAAATAGAGTCATAACATATCAACATCTCTGGAATACCACCAAAAGCAGTGTGAAGAGGAAAATTTATAGTGCTAAATGTCTATATGAAAAATATTGGAACATCTCAGATCAATAATCTAATGTCACACCTAAAGGAACTAGTAAAATAAGAACAAACCAAACTCAAAGATAGCAGACAAAAAATGAAATAACAAAGATCAGAGCAGAAGTAATTGAAATTAAGACAAAAAATATATAAAAGATCAGAGCAACAAAAAGCTGTTTTGTCAAGAACAAACAAAATTGATGGGCTGCTAGCTAGATTAACCAAAAAAGAAAAGATTCAAATATGTACAATCAGAAATGATAAAGATGACATTTCAACTGATATCATGGAAATACAAAAGATCAACAGAGACTACTATAAACATCTCTATGCACACAAACTAAAAAATCCTGGAGAAATGGGAAAATTCCTGGAAACATACTATCTCCCGAGAGTAAATTAAGAGGAAACTGAAATTTTGAAAAGACAAAAAATGAATTATAAAATTGAGTCAGTATAAAAAATCTACCAACCAACCAAAAAAAAAATAGTCAAATTCTACAAGACTTACAAAGAAGAGCTGGTACCAATTTTACCGAAGTGATTCCAAAAAATTGAGGCATTCCTCTGAAACTCTTTCTATGAAACCAGTATCATCCTGATACAAAAATCTGGCAAAGACACAAAACATAAAATAACTACAGGCCATTATCCCTGAAAAACAAACACACAAAAATCCTCAATAAAATATTAGCAAACCAAATCCAACAACACATCAAAGGTAATTTATCACTGTCAAAATGACTCAACATATCAATAAATGTGATTCACCACATAAACAGAATTAAGAATAAAAATTATATTATTATCTCAATAGATGCAGAAAGATCATTCAATAAAAATCAACATCTCTTATGATAAAAACCCTCAACAAACAAGGCATCAAAGGAACTACCTCAGAATAATAACAGCCATATAGAACAAATTCACAGCCAACATCATACTGAATGGGAAAAGTTGAAAGCATTTTCCCTAGGAATTTGAACTAGACAAAGATGTCTGCTGTCATCACTCCTATTCAACATACTGCTGGAAGTCCTTGCCAGAGCAATCAGCTAAGACAAAGAAATAAAAGGCATCCAAATTGAAAAAGAGGAATCTAAATTATCTCTGTTCAGTAATGACAAGATCTTATACCTAGAAAACTTTAAAGATACCAAAAGACTCCTAGACCTGATAAACAACTTCAGTAAAGTTTCAAGGTACAAAATCTACAAAAATTAGTTCTATTTTTATATACCAAAAAGATCAAACTGAGGACCAAATCCAAAACTCTATTCAATTTACAATAGCCACAAAAAAATAAAATACCTAGGAATACCTTTAACCAAGGAGATGAAAGACTTCTAGAGGGAGAACTATAAAACACTGATGAAATAAATTGAAGATGATACCAATAAATGAAAAAAACAACCCATACTTAAGGATAGGAAGAATCGATACTGTTAAAATGACTATAGTGCCCAAACAAATCTACAGATTCAACATAAAACTTTTCAAATTATTAACGCCATTTTTATGGAATTAGAAAAAACAATTCTAAAATTCACACAGAACCAAAAAAAGAGCCCAAATAGCCAAAGCAATACTAAGCAAAAAGAACAAAGCCAGAGGCATCACATTACCCAACTTCAAATTATACTGCAAGATTATAGTAACCAAAGTAGCATGGTAATGGTACAGAAAAACCCACAAATAGATGAATAGAAATATAACAGAATGCAGAACCCAGAAATAAAGACATGTAACTACAACCAACTGATCTTTGGCAAAGTTGACAAAAACAAACGATGGAGAAAGAACACCCTATTCAATAAATGTTTCTGGAAAATTGGTTAGTCATATGCAAAAGAATGAAGTTGGACCTTTATATCTCACCATATACAAAAATTAACTCAAGATGGATTAAATACTCCAATGCAAGACCTGAAACTATAACAATCTTGAAAGAAAATCTAGGAAAAACTCCTCTGGACAGTCAAAAATTTATGACTAAGACCTCAAAAATAAGTGCACCAAATATAAAAATAGACAAATGGGACTTAATTAAACCAAAGATCTTCTGCACAGCAAAAGAAACAATCAGTAGGCCTGAGCACAGTGGCTGATGCCTGTAATTCCAGGAATTTGCAAGGGCAAGGTGAAAAGATTGCTTGTTGGCAGTGGCAACTCCAGAATTTATATGAAAGAATTTAAGGAGCAACGATTTAACTTAAATATAAGGCCAGAGGGATTGCTTAAAAATGACAAAAAAGACGATTTTAATTAAATTCCATATTTATTTCGGATGGCTTGAATCAAAATTTGCTTAGAGTGTACAGTTTTTATTTTATTTTATTTATTTATTTATTTTTAATTTCACTTTACGTTCTGGGATACATGTGCAGAATGTTCAGGTTTGTTACATAGGTATACATGTGCCCTGATGGCTGCACCCATCAACCTGTCATCTAGGTTTTAAGACCTGCATGCATTAGGTATTTGTCCTTATGCTATCCCTCCCCTTGACCCTCTCCCCCTGACAGTCCCAGGTGTGTGATGTTCCCCTCCTTGTGTCCATGTGTTCTTATTGTTCAATTCCCACTTATGAGTGTGAACTTGTGGTGTTTGGTTTTCTGCTCCTGTGTTAGTTTGCTGAGAATGATGGTTTCCAGTTTCATCCATGTCCCTGCAAAGGACATGAATTCTTTCTTTTATATGGCTGCATAGTATTCCATGGTGTATATGTGCCACATTTTCTTTATTCAGTCTATCATTGATGGACATTTGGGTTGGTTCCAAGTCTTTGCTATTGGAAATAGTGTAGCAATAAACATACGTGTGCATTTGTCTTTATAGTAGAATGATTTATAATCCTTTGGGTATATACCCAGTAATGGGATTGCTGGGTCAGATGGTATTTCTGGTTCTAGATCCTTGAGGAATCGCCACACTGTCTTCCATAGAGGTTGAACTAATTTACACTCCCACCAACAGTGTAAGGGTTTTCCTATTTCTCCACATCCTCTCCAGTATCTGTTGTTTCCTGGCTTTTTAATGATCACCATTCTAACTGGTGTGAGATGGTATCCCATTGTGGTTTTGATTTGCATTTCTCTAATGACCAGTGATGATGAGCTTTTTTTCATATGTTTGTTGACTGGGTAAATGTCTTCTTTTGAGAAGTCTCTGTTCATATCCTTTGCCCAGTTTTTGATGGGGTTGTTTTTTTCTTGTAAATTTGTTTAAGTTCTTTGTAGATTCTGGATATTAGCCCTTTGTCAGATGGATAGACTGCAAAATTTTCTCCCATTCCATAGGTTGCCTGTTCACTCTGATGATGGTTTCTTTTGCTGTGCAGAAACTCTTTAGTTTAATTAGATCCAATTTGTCAATTTTGGCTTGTGTTGTCATTGCTTTTGGTGTTTTAGTCATGAAGTCTTTGCTCATACCTAAGTCCTGAATGGTATTGCCTAGGTTTTCTTATAGGGTTTTTATGGTTTTAGGTCTTACATTTAAGTCTTTAATCCATCTTGAGTTAATTTTTGTATATGGTGTAAAGACAGGGTCCAGCTTCAGTTTTCTGCATGTGGCTAGCCAGTTTTCCCAGCACCATTTATTAAATACAGATTCCTCTCCCCATTGCTTGTTTTTGTCAGGTTTGTCAAAGATCAGATGGTTGTAGATGTGTGGTGTTATTTCTGAGGCCTCTCTTCTGTACCATTGGTCTATATATCTGTTTGGTACCAGTACCATGCTGTTTTGGTTACTGTAGCGTTGTAGTATAGTTCAAGGTCAGGTAGTGTGATGCCTCCTGCTTTGTTCCTTTAGATTAGGATTGCCTTGGCTATATGGGCTCTTTTATGGTTCCATACAAAATTTAAAGTAGTTTTTTTCTAATTCTGTGAAGAAGGTCACTGATAGCTTGATGCAAATAGCATTGAATTTATAAATTACTTTGGGCACTATGGCCATTTTCACAATATTGATTCTTCCTATTCATGAGCATGGAATTTTTTTTCCATTTGTTTGTGTCCTTTCTTATTTCCTTGAGCAGTGATTTGTAGTTCTCCTTGAAGACGTCCTTCACATCCCTTGTAAGTTGTATTCCTAGCTATTTTATTCTGTTTGTAGCAATTGTGAATGAGAGTTCACTCATGATTTGGCTTGCTGCCTATTATTGGTGTATAAGAATGCTTGTGATTTTTGCACATTGATTTTGTATCCTGAGACTTTGCTGAATTTGCTCATCAGCTTAGTTTTGGGGCTGAGACAATGGGGTTTTCTAAATACACAATCATGTCTTCTGCAAACGGAGACAATTTGACTGCCTCTCTTCCTATTTGAATACCTTTTTTTCCTCCTCTTGCCTGATTGCCCTGGCTAGCACTTCCAATACTATGTTGAACAGCAGTGGTGAGAGAGGGCACCCTTGTCTTGTGCCAGTTTTCAAAGGGAATGAAAGTAGAGTTTTTAACTTAGATTATGTCTTTATTTGGTGACTTGGTGGAGACAAGGGACACAATCAAGGACTCTGTTGTTTCCACTGTGCACAAAGAATCAAGATTAGACTAACCCACGGGAGATCACAGTAGGCCATAAATGCTGTTTCTTAAGTTGTGAAATCAGAATGTCTATCTATAAAGAAGGAGTATTATAAAAACTTGCAGGGACATAAAGATGACAATAATAGACACTGGTACCTACTGGAAGGGAGAGGGAAAGAAGGAGGAAAGGGTTGAAAAACTAACTCTTGGGTACTATGCTCAGTACCTGGGTGACAGGATCATTTGTACCCCAAATATCAGCATCACAAAATATACTCAAGTAACAAACCTGAACATGTACCTACTGAATCTAAAATAGAAGTTGAAATAAAAAACTTGTATGTGACTGGAATCTTAAGGATGTTCTTAAGCAGTTTACTTCCTGCCATCCATAATTATAGTGTCACCTATATGCCATATATAAAGGCACTGGATAGAAGTCATTTTAATACCATCAATCATGACCTTAATTGTAATTATTATGCCATCCCTGCCATCCCTGGTGCATTATTACAAACTTGTGGTCAAAAATGTCTTCACTTGTGTAATAATTATTTAGGGGCCACTCTCTGCTTACTACACCTTGTATCATTTCATTGCATTCAGTATTCATTCAGTAAATGTTTGCTGAGTTTAACTGAGAAGCCGAAAGTGGCTCTGCTGCTTTAAGAGGGATCACTAGTCTAGACTGGTCTAAGAAGCATTCTGGAATATACGCCATGTTCATATCTGGTTGACATTTAAAATGCTCTTCTTTGTTTTTTAGACCTCTTCTAAGTTACCTTCTTTATTCTTCTATATGTTACTCACCTAACAGCACAACCAAACAAGACTTCTTAATGTTTCCTACAAATGTCTCACAGTGACCTACCTTTATGCCTATGATCTAGCAACTTCTTCATTCCAGAATGTTCTTTAGAATTCTCACACCTATATCTTTCCTCTTGAAATACTACTTATCTCCCAAAAAGCTCTCAAACTGCACATCTTCCAGTATTAGCATGGGCAGTGCCTTACCAAGTTGAAGAGGCAGGCTCAACCTGCCTAGTCACTGGGGTAATGTTGCCACCCTAGTGGGCCTTGAAAGCAGAGCATCTGAGTGGAAGAGGATTATTCTTGAGCCTTAAGATCACCTAGGGTACACATTACTATGTTTTGGGCCTCCTTGGGACCTTTTACCCCCTTTCTTCCATCTTATTTCTCCCTTTTGGAATGGGAATGTCTATCCTAAACCTATCCCATCAATATATTTTGGAAGCATATAACTTGTTTGGTTTCACAGTCTCACAGCTACAAAGAAGTTTTGCCTTAGGATAAATTGTACATCACATTTTACCTACTTCTGATTTAAATGATCTTTAGATGAGATTTTGGACTTTATAGTTGATGTTGGAATGAGTTAAGACTGTTGGGATGGAATAAATATATTTTGTGTTCTACAAAGTCATGAATTTGAGAGGTTAACAGTACAATGTCATATGCAGAATTTTTTGTCACCCAAAATTTCTGTGTTGAAATTCTAACTCCCAGTGTGATGGTATTAGGAGATGTGTCCTTTAGGAGTTAATTAGGTTTAGATGAGGTCATGAAGTTGGGTCCCCATGAATGGGATTAGTATCTTTGTAGGAAGAAATACAAGGATTGTCTTTCTCTCTCTGGACCATATGAGGATACAAACCTAAAAACTAGGAAGGGCCCTCATCAGACACTGTATCTCCTGATGCCTTGATCTTGTACTTCTCAGCTTTTAGAACTAAGAAATAAATGTTTATGGTTTAAGCTGGCCAGTCTGTCTATAGCAGCCTCAACTAACACATTTCCTGAAACGTTTTTTGTTTTCTCCTCTATTACACATAATTGGCACTTCATACCACATCCTCCTTTATGCCTTTTCTATTGACTTATGTAATTTTCTGCCCCGTATTTCAGTAGCTTTTTATTCTTAGTTTTCTCTCTTTTTTAAACTGTACTCTTTTTGAGGAAAAAGGACAGATACTATCCAACCCTTTGGTTAGTATTATTTGTAATTAACTGTTAAGTTTTTTTAATTTTTTAAATTTTTTTTAGTTAACTGCTTATTTGCCAAAATTGTATTTCCCTGGGTTGCATATACATAGATAATTATTGCAACTGGTACTATGGTATACTGTAAAGCAGCATAAATACCACCTGCCAGCTTGTTAGAAATGTAGAATCTCAGGCCCCATTCTAGATTCACTGTATCAGAATCTACATTTTTGAAAGATCCCGGGTGACTTATATGCACCATAAAGTTTGAGAAACACTGTATACGTTCATGTATTAGTATCAAGATGGCTGAGTGTGAATCTAGGCCTCACTGTTTGCTAGCTAAGCCTCACTAGACACATTAAAAAGGTTCAGTAGTTTCAATCCTGAGTGACCAATAGAAACATCGTAATAGAGAAGGCACACAATAATCAGCAAGAGGAAATTTATTTAAACAAAGATATCGGCATTCTAATGACACAAAAAGAAGACTCATTCAGTATTAGATACTATATTAAAGCACATTCTGAATCACTATGTCCTTTACTGCAATATGAAAAAGGTTGATATCAGGGTATTCTACTCAAAATTGTAAATAGAAGTCATGGAAGTCTGTAGAAGATGTCTATAACAGGAAGATATTTTCATAGAAAAAAAGGATGGATTGTAGGAAAACAGATTGTCAAATGGCAGAAATATTAGAAGATTATTGCAGTAGTAAAATGAGAATTATACTGGTCTCAAAAAAGCAGTATCATTAGGAGTGCAATGAGATTTAAAATACTTTGAAAAATGAGCATCAATGAACTGTGGAGGTTGGTTAGCGGTAAAAAGAAGAGAACTGAGGAAAACTGAAAATGACTGAGCTATGGGGTCTTAGAATTCACAAGCCCAATTCAATCTGTACCATTGGACAGTCACAAATTCTGTATCCTTACTACTTGTCATTATTAAATCTACTGTAACAAAATGAAATTGACATATGAGGAATGAGAACTTTCCCTTTATTCTATTTACTTTATTTGGGAGATGGTGTGGTTGGTAGAAATTTGCAATAGAAAAAGTCCATGTTCAAGGTCTGTCAGAACCCTAGAAAACGAATATATACATTTCTTCCAAGGAAAGCATTTTGATTGGTAATAGAATTATTTTAGATACATATGTGCATATAAGGTTGTGAAGAATCTAAATAAATGAAAATAATAGCATATTATAATCAATATCTGTCAACCAATTTTCTCCATATATTTATAATTCTTTGCATTTTGTAGTACAATTAAATTAGCATTGCACTAAATGTCTTAAAATTTGGAAACCATAAATACTTTAGACATAAGATTTGAAAATAAATGTGACTTTACTATTCTATGTAGTTTATTCACTTATAAAGAGCTATCTTTTCTGTGATTTCATTTGTAAAATGAAATTTGTGGTTCATTTAAATTTGGTAGATGTAGATACACTGGGTTAATTGAAGAGAAAAATAATTTTAAAAACATATTTTCAAATATATGCATAATTTCATACCTGTTCTTGATTTTATCTCATGTAAGCAATTTAAACAAGGTTTAAAGAAAAAATATATTTTAGGAGCTGTAACACTCTAACTTTCTGCTATAATTTATCACTGTAAAAATCATTTCTATAATTATGCAGTCTTGCTTGCATTACTTGATAATTAGCTTTAATTATACTTTCAGCCAATTACTCAAAATGTGACCTTTTCTAACAAAAGTCAGGCAAGAAGAATGTAGGTGAGGCACAGAAACGACACAGTACACAATAAGCAAATTGGTGATAGTAATTTTTCATTTTTTGCTTATCTACTCAACACTTCGGCAATCCATTACTAGTTAACGTTTTCTCTTATCAATTTTTTTTTTTTTTTTTTTTTTGAGACGGAGTCTCGCTCTGTCGCCCAGGCCGGACTGCGGACTGCAGTGGCGCAATCTCGGCTCACTGCAAGCTCCGCTTCCCGGGTTCACGCCATTCTCCTGCCTCAGCCTCCCGAGTAGCTGGGACTACAGGCGCCCGCCACCGCGCCCGGCTAATTTTTTTGTATTTTTAGTAGAGACGGGGTTTCACCTTGTTAGCCAGGATGGTCTCGATCTCTTGACCTCATGATCCACCCGCCTCGGCCTCCCAAAGTGCTGGGATTACAGGCGTGAGCCACCGCGCCCGGCCTCTCTTATCAATTTTTATGAAATCATTACCTTTACTACAGAATTCCTTGACAAACTAGAATATCCAAATGTTATTTAACCTTTAAATGGATTTTGATAAACTGGAATGTACTAAGTCTATAGCTGTCATGTAGTCAAGCCTTCATTTATTATCATATATTTGAAAAAATATATTCCATAAAGAAAACTTTGAGTTATATTATCTGTATATAAAAAGTCTTTCATTTTTAAAAATTTGCTAATGCTACTCTTTCTTAGAGAAAGTTTTATCAGCTACATTAACTTCTACAGTATATAAATTTAGCACAAGTCAGTAAATGGGGCATGAGGAACTGAAAATGCCAATACCTTGTTTTTGTCTTTTTTGATAGGTGAATCACCCATAGTCTATAGCTATTGAAGCCTGAAATTCATCCTCACCAAGATTTGAGAATAATTAAATATTATGTGATTTCATATATTTGGGGGGAGATTTTAAAACACACCATCTGTTAAACAGTAGAATGTGAGAAACTGAAATCCATGTAACACTTGTTTAAAACAATCTTTATTTTTACTGGCAACAAGTATAAGTGAAAAATGTAAATCATTAATAATCTTTACAATATAGGTCCTCTCAGCGTTTTATATGACTCTTTTTACATAGTTGTAATTATACTTTATTATCCATTTTATTTCATAGTTTTACAACAAAAAAACCCATAAGTATTCAATATTATTTTCAAAATCTTTCATAAAAGTATTTTAATGACTGCATAATAGTCCATGCTATGTGCATGTTCATTTATCTTAACTATTAACATAATAATTTAACTTAATTATAAGTGACTAAGGTTTTCAAGATATATTGCATCTTTGGACTCCACAAATTCTGCTTTACGATGATATTTACTAATCAAGTCTACTTGCTTCTATGCAAGATACCTGAAGGGGAGATTCTCAAAGTCTTAAAGACACATTGCTGAACATTTAAACTGCTTCTAATGCTGCGAATATCAGGTAAATAAATAAAATTTTGTTTGAATTTTATACAATTTTATTACTTGTTTAGTACCTTTATAGATTTGGTCACTTTGTTGATGTAAGGAATTAACAGCAGTATGTAAAAGTTGATATTTTCAATAAAATTAGCATATTAGCTTTTCTTAGACGGTGTGGAAAAATATGAAAAAGTATGGAAAATCTTTGCTTAAACCCCCAATTCTCTTTGATTTCCTTTCAGACTTTCAGAACTCTTACTTTGATGTTCTTGATTCCCCACTATACAGTATTTCAAGTCCCCTGAGGTTAGGGATCATATATTAACATTCTGGAATTCCACAATTTCTCACACGACATTCTCTACATTTGGATCTCAAATTTTAATAGTGATGAATATGATAATAATGATATAAAAACAAAGGGGGAGGAATGGTAATCTTTTAAATACGAGTGGTCAGATAAGGATTAGTTTTAATTTCATATTTAGTGCCATAGATACTCTCTTAAAAGCTCTCCATTCCCCTTGCATAATGTACTTATTGACGCATACAGCTCACAGAGCACTGAGCTTGTCGTCAACTCTAGCCCACCCTCCTATGTCTGCTTCATTGGTTATGTGTTTAATAGAAGTCAGTTATGTTTGAGCTGATAGTATTTATTTCAAATGGCCTTGTTACTGAATTTATATACCATTAATTAACTATTTAACAACCCAGTGGACTATGAGTGCAGAAATAAAATTTTTGTTTTCATGAGAGTTCAATACCTTGATACAACTAGATAAAGGCCAAAGGCTTTAAAAAATGTTGTGGATTTAGACATAATCCAGATACCATGTAAGGTTAGAAAAAAATAGTCTTTCTAGTCCAGAAGAACCCTGAACTCAGATTACTTAAAATGTGTTTTTTTAAATTGTAGCTGCTATTCAAAAAAAAACTGAAACAAGAAATTATAGATAATTCAAACGGGTTGGGATTTATTCAAGAAGGATGTTGGAGACCTCCAATCAGCATATCCATTCTATAAACAGAAACATCTGTATTTCCACAATGTTTTAGGATTAAATGAAAAAAATATTTAAGGTATGAATGTATCTTTTTTATGGTTTCATATTTTATACTACTTTTTTAGAAAATAAAACCAAAAGGAATTAATTTTATATTTAAAGCAGGGTCTAAGTTGATGGCTCCGCTCTATCATTAACTAGCAGAAGTAATCTGGGCTAAGCAGCACTCTTCTATAAGCTTAATTCCCTCATCAATGAAATGTAAGAATCAGAGTAGACTACCTTTATGGTCATCTCCAGCTTTTAGGGGGAAAAATGTATGATTACACAACCAGCAAGTTCCAACATAACATGATACAGGACAAAATATGAAACTTATCAAACCAAATTTGGTTAAACTAAATATTAACATCATTGGGGAAATGAGGAATCAGTAGGTAGGTTTAGTTAATTATGAAATGCCCCCCTCCACTATCCATTCTTTTCTTCAGTCTTTTCATAATTAAATAATGGCCACCCCACTAAGCCTTAGCAGGGAACATAACATAGTACAGCACTCCAGTGGCTTTGGACTGACCCAGCTCTTTCCTTACCCTTCCACCTCTTGCTTGTAGTTTTCAAGAATAGTTGTGGAATGTCCTGGGAATGCAATGTCCTGAGATAGGGAGAAACCACCTGAAACAGCCCAGGCAGTGTTCCTGTTCTTCCTAGGGAATGTTACATCTTGAGTGAGGAAGAAACTGCCTATGAAAGCCCAGGCTTTTCTCTTTTATTCCTTGGAAGCAGGATGTCCTTTAAAGCTTTGGCCAGTGAGTCTCATTACTTCTGAGGTGGTGCAAGTGAGGCACGCATCAAAATTTCATCCATCTTGGGTAGCTTTCTTGGGCCTTGAGGGGCTGGCTCACAACGGATCTGAGACCTTCTGTTCCTTGCTGCCTCTCTGTAAATAATAAACTCACCTTGCATAACCTGTGTGTGAGCGTGTCCTGTCTCACCAGGTTCTGACAAATTAGGAACCAGTGCATGGTGGACCTGAACAGTAGCCCAGGATGCAGTGGGCAGAAGTATTTGGACTCCTGTTTCTAGTGGTTGGGTTCTCACGTGGCCAACTAGGCCAACACTATATTCCCAAGATTCCTTTGCAACTAGAGGTGCCTAAGTATTTATTAAATGGATGTAAGTAGAAGTGATATATGCAATCTATGGGCCCACCATTAAAACGCTTGGGTATGGCTCCTCTCCTAGACTAAAAAGGAGATGTGCCACTCAAGAGTCAGCACTGACCATACAAACCAGAGAAATACCCTAGAAGATGGTGAAACATCAACATGGAAGAAACCTGGTTCCTTGGATGACTTTGTGAGCCAGAGAGACCCCTCACAGACCACCCAACTGCCTCAGGACTGTTGTACAAACATTAAACAAGCATAGAACTTGTGTATATATTGTTGTATCACTACAATATAGAAACAATTTTCAAACTGTTGGAAGTTAAAGTCTTACTTCTTTGAAGCCCCACTGTCGAGTATGAATTTCAGTAATGACAACACTATGCATACTCACAGTCTGTAAGAAGTAGTTTAATATGGGCTTGGACTAGTTCAAACCTCAGCTCTTATGCTTATTTACCAATAAACCTCAGCTGTTATGCTTATTTGCCAAATGACCTTGAGCCTAACCTAAGGCTTGCCACATTCTAGCTACTTAATAAATGCTCTATAAAATTTATAGACAATTGCCAAACAAGGTGAAAAAGTTTTGTAGTTCACTACCACTTTATTTTACTTATTTTTTTTCTTCTCTTTGGGACCCATCATAAGCTACTTTAGAAGAATTTTAATGGAATAAAGGAATTTTATTCAATTATGTTTTCTATAATATGCTTTTTACCTTAACTGGGTGAATCCACTGAAAAAGACAATTTGGATAATCATGGATACATCAGATCTACTTATCAATATTTTTTGTTTCCTTTATTTTCTTTAAAATGTTTAAAAAGTTTTCCATAGTTTCAAGTTATTATATTTCACTTTTTAAGACTCAGGATTAATATAATAAAAGCTAAATGTAGAATCTATTGGAATAAATATGATTTTAAATATACATGTTATTTTGTTTCTAATATTATTAATATGATATCTAAGCTAATGTTATATTACAATGCTGTTGTTTATTTCTTTAAACTGTGTTAATAAAGAAATTAATTTAAGAAAATAAAATTATTTCCATTTCTATATGCTAGTTAATATCTTATTATTTGAAGAACTGAAATTTAATATATGATGTTTTGTCATGCTTCAAAACAAGTTTTAACAGTACTATCTTTGAAATTTATCAACCATAAGTGAATACAAAATTATTCTTGATAATTTCCAACTTTAGTAATACTACTCCTTTATTTGCCATTCCAGCAGTGATGTATTAGGAAAAACAGGTGTATTCTTTTTAAAAATATGACTTTGATCTCTCCTTTGATCTTAAATTTTACTATTCACTGCTAGTGGAAATGTACATTATCATCACAAATTTATAAGGAAATTTATTAATAAAAAGCAAAAGTCGTTCAAATTTGCAATCCATAATGTAACAATTTAAATTTTGGAAATCTATGCTAAGGACATAATGATATATGTATACAAGAATTCATGCAAGAAAGAGTTTATGGTAGAATTATTTAAACAAGAAAATTCAAAATAACCTAAATATTCTGAGGTGATAAACCAGTTAAGTAAATTCCATGTTTAAGTGAAATAATTAGAATTATATTGTATGAAAAATTTTAAATTATTTTGTTAAATGCTTATAATGTGGGAAAAAATTTTAGAGTAAAAATTTTCTATAAAATATATATTAATTATGCAATAGAATAACTATGCAAAAATATAAAAAAGGCTTTTTACTTCCATGTTTATGCTTTTCTGTATTTCCTACAATTATTGTATTGAAAATTATTATATTTATGATTTAAGGAAAAGTATTCTTTTTAAAAATATGACTCTGATCTCTCCTTTGATCTTAACTTTTACTATCTGTGCAATACTCTGCACAGTTACTCTTTAGGAAAAGATTTCTAGTGTGCTACAAAAGATTACACATAATACCTTAAAAGATGGTTGGAATATTTCAGCCACTGTTTTATTTATTTTTATTTTTACTTTTACTTAAAGCAATATTATTATAGTTGGAGTTATCTTCTCTTTTATCCTCTCCTGATTACAGAACCCCTTCCTTTCACCTTTCACTTTAACTGGTTGGTAGCCTCCAGGTTTTTCCCACACTTTCTGTTTGCACAGGGCTCTGTGCCCTATTGCTTATGTTAAAAAAAAATTAAAAAGAAAGAAAGAAAAAAACCTGGGTTTTGAAAAAAGCAAATATTATAAGAACAAAGGCATGAAAGATGGATTTTATTTTAGTACAGGCTATTGTTCAATCATAATGACTTTCTTTTGTCACATAAACACACATGGCAGATAAAACATGCTGAGAGAGCCTCCCTCTCTCTTAAAAATGTCTATGTAACAGCAAAATGTAAAACTAAAGTTGAGATAATCATCTGAAAGTTTCCTTCTATGAACATGCTATAAAGGATAAAATTAGGAGCAGAGTACTAATTATTCAGAATATTGTCGGTATCAGTGCTTTCCAATGGAACATTTTGTGACAGTGAAAATATTTTGTATCTGTGTTGTCCAATACCATAGTCACCAACCTCATATGGCTATTAGCACTTGAAATGAGGCTGATGTGACTGAAGAACTTAATTTTAAATTTTATGTAATTTTAATTAATTTAAATTTAACTAGTCACATGTGCATACTGGTTATTATATTGACAGTCTAAGTATATTGAAATTTAACCTGAAATCCAGATTCAATATCATTATTTAACTATAATTTCCTATTATCTGCTATTAAAAATAATTTTTCATTTTTAGGAAATTCAAGAGCTCATAGCTATTATTATCACCAAATTTAGTCACAATTAGAAAATCCAACACAATTTTTAAAATATAAGGAAATAAAATGAGGTCATATTATAACACTTTTATATAGTACTGACTTACTTTGCATAATCAAAGTAAAATGAGAAAATTAAAATTCTGTAATTGAAAAAAAGCCAAAAAAGGAAAAGTAAAAGAAAAACCCTATCTATATTATACATTCATATGTCCATGCTAACTCTAAGAAATTAAATGGAATTTCATTTAATTTTTTTAAATTACAAAACACAGCTATTGAACAAATTCCATTTATATAAGTGCAGTACATTGCATATATTAGGACATTTATAGATTTTTTAAAATAATTTTAAATTACTTTATAAAAAGCTATAAACGATTGCTCAATATAAAATGTTTTTGAATATTTAGAAAAGTAGAAGTGAAAATAACCCTGTATTCCAACTAACCAGACAGGTACTATGATCATAATATGTATTTCTTTTCTCATTTTCCCTAACTTTGTTATATTTTCCTATGTAATTGTGCAACATTAGTAAAAACTCTACATAAACGTTTTAATTGACTACATAGTATTCCATTGAGTGGCTACATAATATTTAACTTAATCATTCCTTTTTAGAACATTTAGGTTATTTCCAATGTTTCATATTAAAATGAAGCTAGAATAAATATTCACCAATTTTTTAAAACCTTGTTTGCTATCATCAACAGTTAATGTTCTTGCCCACAAAGAAAACTTATAATGGCCATATTTTGAAAGAACTCTTACCAGCATATACTGTAATGACCATTTCTACAGAAGGGAAAAAAACAGATGATCTTCACAAAAATATGTTTGGGTAACTAGAATTCAGACTTGCCTTATTATCAATATACCACAATAAAGTCATCATTAGTTTTTCTCTGTATTAGGTAAAATTACATCGAACTACAAAAACTGTATATTTTCTTTTCTTGCTTACAGACAGTGGCAGTTTACTTCTTTCAAACCTATTTTTATTCCTTCCAACTCTTGTTTTAAGTTCAGTGTATACATGTGCAGGCTTGTTACATGGGTATACTGCATGTTGCTGGGGTTTGGTGTACAAATTATTTAATTACCCAGGTAGTGAGCATATTACTGGATAGGGAGTTTTCCATCCTTCCCATCCTCTACCCTCAAGTAGGCCCCCGTGTCTACTGTTTCCTTCTTTGTGTCCATGTGTACTCAATGTCAAACCTTTAAAAAAAAAAAAAAAAGGAAAGAAACAAAACTGCTACACCTAGGCAGTTGCTGTTTTGATATCCCTTGATGATAAATGTTTCTTGTCAACAGGGAAAGCACAGAAAGGAATCTGCTATACCTTTTTGGTGTTGCATTGGCTGAGGAAAGGAGAAATCTATCAATATAGTCCTATAGGTTCACTAGCAACTAACTCTCAAATCTCCAATTCTTTTATTCTTTAAAACTATTCTTCATATCAAGTAACAGACAATTTGGAGATGCCGAAGTTATTTCCAATTTAGAAATCTAATAGACTTCTCATACCTAGGGTTTTCAATTAATGAAAATGAAGATAAACAGGTCCATTATTGGTCCTGTCCCCAAAGGATTTAGTAAGCTCCCTGCTAAGGTAAAGCATAAGTTCAAAACAAAATAACAATTATGAATATAAAAATGCTTTAAAAAAATTAGACAAACATTTAGAAGAGAAAAACTCTGTGCCACATTAACCAGAGAGAAAGAGAACAACATGAAAAGAGAGGGTTATTTACATTTGATGTATTTTATTATGTTTATCAGATATTAGCAATTCTGATATTAAATTAATACCCATAGAGCTACATAGTCTTTATTCATTCCTTCCTGCCAATTAGTAATGTACATAATTCCATATATTTCTGCTCAACTACAATTTTTTGATAGTTTAGAAGTTGTTGAATTTTTATTTAAAGGCTAAAACAAAAGCTTAAGTGGTGTGCTTTCTGTTTTGTGAATCGCAGACACTGCTTTACTGATACAACACCCAAGATTCTAAGCTGACATCAAAGCAAAAAAAAAAAAAAATCATCTGAAATGACAGCAGCAGCTGCAGCATCTGCCTCTAAATTAGGCTGTGTTTCAAAGTCTGGACTCAACTGCTAAGCAGTATAAAGACCCAGGAGGAAGGCTGCCCAGAAAAGAGTGAGCCTTCCGACCTAACACATCAAAGTAA
Organism: Homo sapiens; assembly: GCF_000001405.40. Lineage (NCBI taxonomy): Eukaryota > Metazoa > Chordata > Mammalia > Primates > Hominidae > Homo > Homo sapiens. The sequence continues at coordinate 147,089,509 of NC_000003.12, forward strand.
CACATGCTAGGAAGAGCAATAAACGCATGTGGCCCACATTCACGTGCCGCCTAATTGCACTGGGCTCATGAAACCAAGACAAACCTTCAGCTGATTCCTGGTTTAAGAGAGGATTTGAGATCTTTTCTATGCAGAAAGCTGACACAAATTGGTTGCAGATTAGAGTCTGACTCTGCAATGAAGCATCCCATAATTTCAAAAGATGGCCATTTTGGTGTCATATGGCATCTTCAAAACACTGACTTCTTAATGTAGTAACATATAAACTAACCATTAGGTATAAATAACAGCTAAAAAATAAGCTTCATAAATGAAGAAAGCCTTAATTTGTACATTCAAGGATAGATGCTTTGAAGAAAGGCTTTTTCATTTGTTTTGCATATAAATTACCAATTTTGAGGGCATTTATCTTTTAAAGCATAAGCTATTTAACAAGATCTTAGAATACTAATATCTATTAAGAGAAGAGAGAAATAGATATATGTTTTAAAAGTAATCTTTAGTAGAAATGCCTACTGTCATAAGGTTTGCATTAAGGGATTATTACTATATACAGAGGATGTAATATATTCAACTGCACAATTTGCAATTAGATATATAGCAACACACGTAAGAAAAGCTTAATAAATTAGAACTCTGAATTCTTTTCTTCTGTGTTCATGCCCTTATGCTATGCTCTTTACTCTGTTTTGCAGTACATTGTGCTATTATTCTACAAAATATTATTCTGTATGTGTAAATTGCCAAAGTTAACTTATACAATTACCTGAGGAGACAATTATAATTAGTGGAAAGATGATAATTAATCTTATTAAGTGAAATATGCATGAGTTTTCACCGAACATGTGCAATGAAATAAAAACCTCAGAAATATGCAGGGTGATTATAAATAGATGGGAATAGAAAGAAAAATTCATCCATCCTAAAACTCTAAAATTTTTGCCTGTAAGTTTAACTAAATAAACATGATTGCAAAGCACTGAGAGTCAGAAAATTTTAGAATTAATCTCTTTACTGCTCAGATGATATACATCATAAAATAAATTCTGTAAGAATATAGTTTCATTATATATTAAGAGCCTATTCCAAGAATTTTGATAAGGGCCAAATTCCATTGACAATAATCAGCTCTGAATTTATGTCTATAATATGTAATAGGCTGACTCACGTTTTCTCATTTCTTGGAAACTATAAGCATTGTATGCTTCAAAGAAGGGCAGCCATGTAATGGACCATTTTCATTAGGAAGGTAGGGATTGAGGGAGTAAGAAAATCATTCCAAAAAAATCATGCAGTCGTCTCTGTTACCAATATCTGGTGCTTATTGTGGCCTCCAAGGTGGAGAAAATAAAACACCTTTTTACTTTTGTGACAATTCTGATTGTTGTGTGTTTCGGGGCATTTTTGCATTCCTTAACATCACAAGATCATCCTACTACATAATGTACAAAGTGACCTCAATGAATGCCTTTTGTCAGGGCTATAACATTGGTAATATGGCCAAATCACAAAGACCATAGTTCATGTCCCAAAAAGTTGGAATGGATTTACCCCTTTGGGAAATTTCCCTGATCTACACCCATCTCAAGTCCCTTGAGACTACATAAATGGATCCTGACATTATAAAAGATTTGCCACAGAGGATGTCAGGAATAACCCAACCTAACAAGAAGTCTGCATTTCCCTGGATGGGTAACAGTCTCTCTGCTTGGTACATGCCACAATCCCAATTCTGAATTGTGCCGTTTTTTTCTGACAGTTGTTGATTTTTTTGGTATCTTAACTGACCAATAACTTTAACCATCTAAATAATCATATACCATTGCAAGCTGGTTCATGTTATTTCCAGAGCCATAAATAGCCAGGATTATGGAGTCAGAAGGAAGACTAAGGCAAACAGACAAATGGGCTTGGCTTGTGTGTGTACAGCCCACATTGCGGAAGGGTAATGATGTAGTCCTCAGCCTTCAGTCTCAGGGATCCACAGGTGGGTGGTACTGTGCCTTTGCCTTTGAGATTTAAATTTTATCTTCTCTAATAGCAATTCTGTGCTCAAGACCAATGATAACTACTTGGAAATTTTCAGTGCCTATGAGCGATTTTACTTATGGCACAAACTCTTTCAACTACATGGAGATATTTGAAATGAGACTGAAAACATTTTCAAAATAATTATAACTAGCACTTATATGTGCTTTACAGTTTAGAAACTTTGTTTCACATGCGCTAACTTGTTCAGTCTTACCAGCAACCCATGAGGCATATTATTATGCCCAATTTTAGGTGAGGAAACTTGAGCTCAGAGAGAGAAAGAGTAAAATGCTCTAATTCAGTTAGCAAAGTCGTATATCCAGAAGTCCCCCAAGACATTCAGCTTGCAAGAGTTTTGCAGTTTCTACATCACCCACAGACAACTTCTATGTATTCAGTAAACCTCTCACCCATGGGTTGAATGGAAAAGCAATAACTTTTCCAGTGTTTCATTCTCAAATTTATCATGAAAGATGAAAGTAATTTATTAAAAGTCCTTGGTAAAGGCTCATTTGAGATCTTTAATTATAGCGTTAAGTAAAATTATAATTTTGTCTTATTTATGCCTTAACAGTTTCACAAGGGCATCTTGATATATAAGTCCTTAATTGTTAAAAAAACTGTATCATGATGTACTTGGCTTAACACAAAATGAGATAAAACATACTGGAAAGTAAATAAGGAATAAAGTCTTTAGGATGACTATTTAGAGTATTTTTATTTCTGTTCTATGAAAATATCAATACATAGTTGATCTTCCTTTCTTATTTTACAGCATGAGAAATACTACGATTTAATGTATTTTTAAATTAGGCAATATTGCTTTTAGACACCATTATTTATTAACAAGCATTAATCACTATAAAGTGAAATCACATATAATTTGGATAATGCAATCCTATTAACCTGGTTTACTCAGGGCAATTCCATGAAAAGGAAAACAAAGAGATTCTTAGGTTTCTTCATGAATATCTCAATATATTGACTTTTCTCACAATCCGTTCAATAAGAATTCACAGCACACGCGCTATGAATACATCCACACACGTGTGTGTGTGGATGTATATGTGTGTATGTGTTGCGTGTGTGTATATATATAACATATATATTATATATAAAACATATATATTATGTTATATATATTATATATATAATATATAAACATATATATAATACACACTCACAAACACACACACACACAAATAAACATATTCTGCCTTCTTGAAGCACTCTGTCTACAAACATAAATAAAATTTGGAGGCCAGGTGCAGTGGCTCATGCCAGTAATCCCAGAATTTTTGGAAGTCAAACTGGGAGGACTGGTTGAGACCAATAGTTCAAGACCAGCCTGGGGAACCTGTCTCTACAAAAAATAAAAACTAAACTTAAAAAAATTTAGCCAGGCACAATGGCATGCACTTTTAGTCCCACCTACTTGAGAGGCTGACGTGGGAGGATTGCTTAGCCCAGGGGTTCAAGGCTATGGCGGCTATGATGGCACCACTGCACTCCAGTCTGGGAAACAGAGCAAGACTCCATCTCTAAAATTACATATATGTATTATGGAGAATTCTTTCCCCAACTTTTCACTTGTCTAACTCCTACTGAATTTTAATGCCATTTATTCAGAGATGCTTAGCATGGCCTTCACAGTGTTTCATTGTCTTATTTACTTTGCTTCATAGCTCTTATCAAATTTATATATATGTAATTATATATATTATTTATATAAATATATAATATATAAATATATAATATATATTATATTGTCTTATTTACTTTGCTTCATAGCTCTTATCAAATTTATATATATGTAATTCTATATTTATATATAATACATATTTATATATTATATATTTATATATAATATATATAATCTATTACATATAATATGATATATAATGTAATATATAATATAATATAATATATATGATACATAATATATTATATAATATAATATATATGATATATAATATAATATATAATATAATATAAAATATATAATATAATATATAATACTTAATATATATAATATATATTATATATTTTTATATATATAATATATATAATTACATATATATAAATTTGATAAGAGCTATGAAGCAAAGTAAATAAGACAATGAAACACTGTGAAGGCCATGCTAGGCATCTCTGAATAAATGGCATTAAAATTCAGTAGGAGTTAGACAAGTGAAAAGTTGGGGAAACAATTCTCCATAGTAAACAATCAGTTTGTATGAATTCCTATTCAAAACAGCTTTATTTATTGAAGATTCAAATACAATAATTAAGTGCCTACTATATGGCAAACTCCATTCTAAGTACTGAGGTAACAAAAAAGTTTTCATCCATGGAGCTCACATTCAAGCAGGGGAAAGAAAGAATTAGAGCGAGGAGGTAGTGGGGAGAGGCTTGTAATTTTGGGATAGAGACAAGTGCATCAATCTAAGGATGCAAAGTTTCTGTATAGAGGAATAAACTTCTGTAATTTGTTGCACAGAATGGTGGCTATAATAAATAGTAATGTTTTGTATATTTCAAAATTTCTCAGAGTATATTTTCAATGTTTTTACCACAAAAAAAGTATATGAGGTGATGAATTTGTTGATTAGCCTGATGTAATCACTTCACATTGTAAACATATATCAAAGCATCTCACTTAATAATTATATACAATTATGCTTTGTTAATTAAAAATAAAATATAAAAATAAAGAAACAATACTAGAAAATGTAACAGAAAGCAATTGAGGTTAGGGGTAGGAGGAAGATGACTTTTACATTTCTTGGACAGAAAAACCCCTCCTAAGGAGGTGATAATTTAATTGTGAGGTTTTTTTGTTTGTTTCTTGGTTTTTATATTATAATACTTTGCTGAAAACAGAAAACTAGCAGAGCTAAAAATTACAAACAGGAATGTGGAATCATAACAAAAGAAAGAAATGAGAACCAAAGGTGAAGCTAGCAGGTGTGGTTATTATGTTTTGATTGCCAAAAGTGAACCAGCCAAGCAAAGATCTGAGGGAAGAAGGTTCCAGGTAGAGGAAAGAGCAAATTCAGGGACTGTATGGTAGAAATGAATGGGTGTGTTTAGGCAATGAATAATCAGAGGCCAGTATTGTTGAGTTGGGAGAGGAGCAACACTAGCAGAGCTTAAGAACATGAGGCTTAGGGCGACGGTATAGAGTTTAGCTGTTAAAATTTGCGGAACTCAAGGACCCTAGTAAGCAAGAGTGAGAGAAACTGGATAGCTGGCTAAATCACGAAGGCCATTGTAGATTGGGTTAACATTTTTTAATTTTAGTGCAGTGGGAAATTAATGAAAGGCTTTAAGTAAATTAGTGACATAGTTCTGTTTCAGCTAGTGAAGGACTTGCATGTGGAACAAGAATGGAAGCAGGATGAGCAGTTAGAAGGCCATATTACTCATGATTTCACTCATGATTTGGCTCTCTGTTTGTCTGTTGTTGGTGTATAAGAATGCTTGTGATTTTTGTACATTGATTTTGTATCCTGAGACTTTGCTGAAGTTGCTTATCAGCTTAAGGAGATTTTGGGCTGAGACAATGGGGTTTTCCAGATACACAATCATGTCGTCTGCAAACAGGGACAATTTGACTTCCTCTTTTCCTAATTGAATACCCTTTATTTCCTTCTCCTGCCTAATTGCCCTGGCCAGAACTTCCAACTCTATGTTGAATAGGAGTGGTGAGAGAGGGCATCCCTGTCTTGTGCCAGTTTTCAAAGGGAATGCTTCCAGTTTTTGCCCATTCAGTATGATACTGGCTGTGGGTTTGTCATAGATAGCTCTTATTATTTTGAGATATGTCCCGTCAATACCTAATTTATTGAGAGTTTTTGGCATGAAGGGTTGTTGAATTTTGTCAAAGGCCTTTTCTGCATCTATTGAGATAATCATGTGGTTTTTGTCTTTGGTTCTGTTTATATGCTGGATTACCTTTATTGATTTGTGTATATTGAACCAGCCTTGCATCCCAGGGATGAAGCCCACTTGATCATGGTGGATCATGAGTGAACTCCCATTCACAATTGCTTCAAAGAGAATAAAATACCTAGGAATCCAACTTACAAGGGATGTGAAGGACCTCTTCAAGGAGAACGACAAACCACTGCTCAAGGAAATAAAAGAGGATACAAACAAATGGAAGAACATTCCATGCTCATGGGTAGGAAGAATCAATATCGTGAAAAGGTAATTTACAGATTCAATGCCATCCCCATTAAGCTACCAATGACTTTCTTCACAGAATTGGAAAAAACTACTTTGAAGTTCATATGGAACCAAAAAAGAGCCCGCATCGCCAAGTCAATCCTAAGCCAAAAGAACAAAACTGGAGGCATCACACTACCTGACTTCAAACTATACTACAAGGCTATAGTAACCAAAACAGCATGGTACTGGTACCAAAACAGACATATAGATCAATGGAACAGAACAGAGCCCTCAGAAATAACGCCGCATATCTACAACTATCTGATCTTTGACAAACCTCAGAAAAACAAGCAATGGGGAAAGGATTCTCTATTTAATAAATCGTGCTGGGAAAACTGGCTAGCCATATGTAGAAAGCTGAAACTGGATCCCTTCCTTATACCTTATACAAAAATTAATTCAAGATGGATTAAAGACTTAAATGTTAGACCTAAAACCATAAAAACCCTAGAAGAAAACCTAGGCATTACCATTCAGGACATAGGCATGGGCAAGGACTTCATGTCTAAAACACCAAAAGCAATGGCAACAAAAGCCAAAATTGACAAATGGGATCTAATTAAACTAAAGAGCTTCTGCACAGCAAAACAAACTACCATCAGAGTGAACAGGCAACCTACAAAATGGGAGAAAATTTTCGCAACCTACTCATCTGACAAAGGGCTAATATCCAGAATCTACAATGAACTCAAACAAATTTACAAGAAAAAAACAAACAACCCCATCAAAAAGTGGGTGAAGGACATGAACAGACACTTCTCAAAAAAAAGACATTTATGCAGCCAAAAAACACATGAAAAAATGCTCACCATCACTGGCCATCAGAGAAATGCAAATCAAAACCACAATGAGATACCATCTCACACCAGTTAGAATGGCAATCATTAAAAAGTCAGGAAACAACAGGTGCTGGAGAGGATGTGGAGAAATAGGAACACTTTTACACTGTTGGTGGGACTGTAAACTAGTTCAACCATTGTGGAAGTCAGTGTGGCGATTCCTCAGGGATCTAGAACTAGAAATACCATCTGACCCAGCCATCCCATTACTGGGTATATACCCAAAGGACTATAAATCATGCTGCTATAAAGACCCATGCACACGTAAGTTTATTGTGGCTGGCACTATTCACAAGAGCAAAGACTTGGAACCAACCCAAATGTCCAACAATGATAGACTGGATTAAGAAAATGTGGCACATATACACCATGGAATACTATGCAGCCATAAAAAATGATGAGTTCATGTCCTTTGTAGGGACATGGATGAAATTGGAAATCATCATTCTCAGTAAGCTATCGCAAGAACAAAAAACCAAACACCGCATATTCTCACTCATAGGTGGGAATTGAACAATGAGAACACATGGACACAGGAAGGGGAATATCACACTCTGGGGACTGTTGTGGGGTGGGGGGAGGGGGGAGAGATAGCATTGGGAGTTATACCTAATGCTAGGTGACGAGTTAGTGGGTGCAGCGCACCAGCATGGCACATGTATATATATGTAACTAACCTGCACATTGTGCGCATGTACCCTAAAACTTAAAGTATAATACTAATAAATTTAAAAAAAAGAAGGCCATATTAGGAGTTCTAGTGAACGTGATAGTTCTGAAAGCAAAATTATAATGGTAAAGATGGAAAAAATTAAGCAGAGTGAAGATACTACATTGCTTACAAAAGCCAGTTTTTTAAAAAAATACTCTACTGATGGTATTTGACCTCAAGATACTAAAATGCATCTTTTCAAAAAATATTAAGTGCATTACATGTACAGAAAGTAGTTTAAAGTAGTGCACTAAAAATAAATCTTATTTCTTTCTCTCAATTTTAATATTTCCTCTCAGGAATGTGCTAAATTGGTTCATGTCTTTATTAAAACTTCCTGCCTAAGAAGATGTTATCATCATCTTACGGACCCCTGAACGTAGAAGTTTGCATTGAAGAGTTCATATGCATCTCCAATTTATCAACTTTAACTTCATCTTAATTAAATCGAGATTTCTTTATTTTCCCCCTGCTGTTTTAATGAGAATATGTTCTGCTTTCTGAAATACAATAAAAATTATATGAACACAAATCCATTATAAACTCTCTAATTTTTAAAGGAAAGATACACTTTGATATTGTTTTCAAAAATAAAGCTCCTGTGAAGGAACATGAAACACAGCTATTTACATTCTTACCAGAAGAGTTTCAAATCAAAACGTTGTTTTCATTACTTCAACAAAGACTAGCAATTGATTCTGTCAGATTGTAACTGAAGTACCTACTGTGTGTCAAAATATTATTTTTCTCTTCTCAATTGGTAAAGCTAAAATAAAAAGAAATTTGGTAAAACTCCAATTTTCCATAGAAATTCTTATTGTTTATCCATTTTGTATTGGTTCTCATAAATGTTTCTTCCGTTTTACCCTTTCTTACTAAGAATATACATCCAAAAATAGTTCATTCCCTTAGAAGACAGAATACTGACATCTCAAGATGTTTTCATGATGGCAGTGGCTATAATGACCCGTATACTACAGAAATGTCCACATGGTTAGAAGCCATTGAGAGTACTGGTGGCAAGTAAAGAGCAAGTGTTTGGTCATGGAGAGGTAAGCACACCTGGATGTTCTTGGGTTAGATTCCAGGTGTCAAAGCAGGGTTAATTTCCACAACTTCTGTAACTCCTCAGAGTTTTAGGTCACAGAAAGGTAAATATAGTGATGTGAGTCAGTTTGAAAGATCTGTGTTCACTTCCAGGTGCTGACTGCTTCTGGAAAGGACTACCAAAATTGCAATTAACTAGAGGCTGTTACCAGATATGGACTAAATATAGCCTATAGGATGGCCCAAGAATGTCAATTACCAGAACAGAATAACAAAATACACCGAATTCTTACCTTTGTAATGTAATGGACAACTGGGTCTGATTATGGGCTATAGCCCATCTTCTAAGGTTACTTTGGTCTTGACACCTCCACAGCTCACCGAACCCTTCTGTGGTTTGGTAAGGAGGGACCCCAGATGTCCTGTCTAGCTGTTACTTGTGAACATCTATTTGGTATCCAGTTACTTCAAAAAAGCATAGTCTTACTTTTGAAAAACCTGTGCCACAATGTGTAACTTTAACATAGTCAGTATATTAGTAAAATAAAAGCTAAATTTTTGAGAACCAGGAAATTTGTTTTACATGCATAATGTCACTTACATTCACAATATCTTTGTACAATGAAGGAAAGACTGGAACTCAAGCAGTCTGAGTCCAGAACACAAACTCTGGAAAATGTACAGAGTGATGGACCAGTGGTTTGTTAGGCACACTGTTATTTTATCATCATCGTCGTTATAACTGTCAAGTAGTATGTGCCTATGCATTAAGCAATCAAAGCACAACTTTATGTTTGTCCTGTATCATCACTGTTAAATTTATTCAAGAGTTTAATCTCCTGCTTTTGGGAGAAAAAAATGAATGTGGTTTTGCACTCATACTTAGGTAACAGATAATCTTACAGTCATCATGAGTTATAAAAACAGAGCGCCTTACAGATTTACTGAAAATCTGTTCTGAAATTCCCTTGAGTTGCCTGGATGTCTTTTGCCTATGCTTGTAACTCTCCAAGGTTCCTACAAATCCAACATTCCTATTTGACTTCTTACTGCTAAGGTCCCTCTCCTCCTGTAATCACCTGTTAAATAGGACACTATAGACCCTATGTCAGCTCTTTCTCTCAAATATCTCATATCTGGTCTTTGGGAATCATACTTTATTTTCCTTGACATACTCTGATATATACAAGTAGAATACAACTCAGTCATCTCTATCCTGCTTTTTCAGGTTGCCTTAAACCAGCACTCCCCAACCTTTTTGGCACCAGGAACTGGTTTTGTAAGAGACATTTTTCCCACAGATGGAGTGGAGCTGGGTGGTATGGTTCTGAGATGAAACTGTTCCACTTCCACCACAAATCATCAGGCATTACATTCTCACAAGGGGGGTACAACCTAGATCCCTTGCATGCACAGTTCACAATAGGGTTTGCCCTCCTCTGAGAATCTAATGCCACTGCTGATCTTACAGGAGGTGGAGCTCAAGCAGTAATGCTCTCTGGCCTTCCACTCACCTCCTGTTGTGTGTCCTGGTTCCTAACAGGCCACAGACCAGTACCAGCTCATGGCCCAAGTGTTGGGTACCCCTGCTTTAAAGTCTTTTAGTCTCAGGGCATGCATCAGTCCACTGTATCTTCTAACTGCAGGGGACACCTTTCAGGGTCCTCAAGTGGGCTCATGGAACCGCACTTCTCCTTGAAAGGAAGGGAACAATCTCACCCCTGTCTCCACTAAAACACCTATAGAGGTTCCTCAAAGCAAAGAAATAGGTGTCCCCAAATAATTTTATTTGATAAATTCTGCCCCATTCTTTGCACTCTCTCCACTCTTTTATGTCTTGAAAATGAGCCAAGGCAATCCAGAGTCATAGAATCTATTCTCAGCCATTTCCTTAGTAAACCCAATTTATAGTGGTGCATCTCATTCTTTCTTTCATACTTGACATCAATTGCTATGGCATCAAATTAAAAAATAAAATAGTAGGAGTCCTAATCTAACATCCTAAATTATAAGTGAGCATCCACTATGTTGTAGACACAATGCTCCTTGTCCTTGGCACAATTTATAACCTACCCACTACACTTTTAGCTAAAATGAGATTAAGTGCCCTCTTCAGTGAACTATCACTTATCACTCACACACTAGACAGTATGTACTATGCTACTTGATAGGTCTTTTCACATGAATAGAACATAGTCCCTATCATCTAAAGAAATTACACACTAGCAAAACAATTAAAAAAGTAAAGAATATTTTAAATTACAAGAGATTAATATTATAACAGGAGATAACAAATGCTTTTGAAATATATAGAAAGTATACATCCCAGCATTGTAGCCAAGGGAAAATGATTGAGAGGAGGAAACTATATACAGAAAAGGTGTCCTGAAAAAGTATTGCCTATAGAATATATATGAATTGGGCAACAGGTGAAGAATGGGAAAAGAGCAAACCAGGCAGGGTATAGCAGACTCTGTTGCTTACAAACCCAATGTTCTTTCCCTTTCTTTTTCCCTCTTAACAAATTCCAGATTTTCTCAGACACCCACTCCTCCTGTATACACCATGTACCTCAGAAGAAGTAAATTTTATCCCCAGATTCAGGAGTGACTCTGATTGGTCTAAGATGGGGTTTCTCAATTATGGCACTTCTGACATTTGGTGCTGGATAATTCTGTGTTTAAGCAGGCAGCGGGAGAAGAGAAGCTGTCCCATATACTATAAAATGTATAGCAGCAGGGTGTTACCACCCACTAGATGACAGTAGCACCCAACACATTCCCCCAACAACCCACCCTGCACACCTCAACTTGTGACAACCAAAAATATCTTCAGACACTGATAAATGTCTGCTGGGGAGCAAAATATGTCCCCTCACCTCGAGTCACAGGTCCAAGGATAATTTCAATGGTTCTACAATGAGCATGTAACCAAACTCTGACTCTTCTCATTCTTCCTATCTCTGTTCTGTGTATTGCTGTGATGCCTGGAACTGCTACAGCCATCTTGCTTCAGCTTGAATAAAAAGGTAGTTAACAAAGATAATGGAAGAAAAGTAGAAAGAACCCAAGACCTTGATGATCTTGTTAAGTGGATTCTTTGTTGTAGGAATTGTCCTGAATGTCCTGATACATGAAATAATATATTTCTTGTCTAATACAGTTTGTTTTGAGGTTTTTACAAATTGCAGCACAGAGATGTTTAGCTGGTACAAGAAGAAACAGGCATGTGCCCCATTCTGAGATTAAGAGAGTAGGGTACAATTAAGGAACTTCAAGTAATTCAGTATGGCTGGTGTATGAAAACTTAAATGACTACATGAAGAAAGATCAAGCATATGACAGCGATTAAAGATGAAAATACTGTATGCAATGATAAGTAGTCGTTGGGAGATACTGAAGGTTTAAGTAGGATCAGAATTGGTTTTTAAAACACAGGTCAAGTTTTGAATGCCAGATGAGAAAAGCAAGACTGAAGTCAGAAATCAGAATTAGGAGGCAATTGCAGTAGTAAATGTGAGAATAGAAGGGGCTTTCTTTACTTCCACTGCACAAAAATAGTTTGCTTTTTAGTTTTTCTTCACTGCATTCAAAGTTAAATGATCAAATTTCTGCTTTCTCATCCTTCTGAAACAATGGTTTCTCATTTGAGGAACATGTCTCATTTATAGTTAGCTAATACACCACCAGTTAAAACCAAAAAGGATACTTCTATTTTTATACTTTCAAGTAAAACAGATTTCTACATACAGGAATCTGACTTTGATCTTTACAATTCTACCAATACAATAGTCTTTTTATCACACAATAATTATATCAAGACTTTCATAAAGCTAGAGTAACACCCATGTGGGCCTCTCATGCATAGTGACCATATGTAGGGAATGAGCTGTGAGATGAGAACAGGGTACAAACGCCGGGTCTTGTTCCAGATGGTTGAGTATGCTGAGGTCTACCTATTAGTTAAGTGGGATATTTTTACAGTCTATTTTCCCAATTAGTTATGGAGTTGTATGCAAAATCTTTAAATGGTTTAGAGCAGAACAACTTTTTGCCATAAAGTTAAATTAGGACTATTCAGAAGTTTCTACCATAAAGATTTGTTTATGAACTTTTTAAATATTAATTATTTAATTGACAAACAAAAATTATATGCACCTATGGAGTACAACATAATATTCTGAAATATGTATACAATAAAGAATGGCTAAATCAAGCTGATTAATATATGCATTACCTCACATACCTATCCTTATTGGTGATAACACAATATCTACTCTTGTAGTGATTTACAAGTATACTATACACTGTTAAATATCGTCACCATGTTATACAATAGATCCCTTGAACTTATTCTCCTAATGGAAATTTTGTATCCTTCAATCAACATTTCCCCAACCCACTCCCAACTCCTAGTTCCTGGTAACCACCATTCTACTCTTTGCTCCTATGAGTTCCACACTTTAAGATTCCACCTCTAAGTAAGATCATGCAGTATTTGTCTTTCTGTGCCTGGTTTATTTCACATAATATAAGATCCTCCAACTCCATCTATATGATCTCAAATTACAGAGTTTCTGTCTTTTTTAGGGCTGAATAGTATTCCATTGTGTATATATACCACATTTTCTTTATTCATTCATCTGCATAAGGACACTTAAGTTGTTTCTATCTCTTGTATATTGTGAATAATGCTGTAATGGATATAAGAGTGCAGATATCTCTTCAACATACTGATTTTAATTTCTTTGGATATATACCCAGAACTTGGGTTTATGAATCATATGGTAATTCTGTTTTTAGTTTTTTGAAGAACCTCCATATTGTTTTTCATAATGGCTCTACTAATTTCCATTCCCACCAACAATGTACAAGAGATCCCCTTTCTCCACATCATCAACACTTACTTCTAATCTGCTTAATGATAGCTGTTCTAACAGATGTGAGGTGATGGTTCGTGGTTTTGATCTGCATTACACTGATGATTAGTGATGTTGAGCATTGTTTTTCATTTGCCTGTTGGTAATTGCATGTCTGCCTTTGCCCATTTTCAATAGGGTTATTTGCTTTCTTGTTGTTGAGTTGTTTGAGCTTTTACATATTTTAGATACTAGGCTTTCATCACATGTAGAATTTGCAAATGTTTTCTCCAAATCTGTGGGCTGCCTCTTTACTCTGTTGGTTGTTTCCTTTGGCTTACAGAAACTTCTGGTTTAGTGTAATCTCATTTGTCTATTTTGATTTTTCTACCTGTGCTTTTGAGGTCATCTCCAAAAAATTATTGCCTAAAGCAAAGATTTTTAATACTTCGAGCAATGAGACTTAATGGAGGTTTTTCCCTTTTCTTTTAGTAGTTTTACAGCTTCAGAATTTTTAAGTTTGCAGTTCATTTTTAGTTGATTTCTGTATATGATATGAGATGATAGTCTAATTTTATTTCTCTGCATGTGAATATTGAGTTCTCCCAGCACCGTTTATTGAAGAAACTTTCCCTTCTCCACTGTGTGTCCTTGTTATCTTTATCAAAAATCAATTTTACTGTAACCCATAAATTTATTTCTGGGCTCTCAATTCTTCTCTAGTGGTCTATGTGTCTGTGTTTATGCCACTATGGTGCTGTTTTGGTTACTATAGCTTTGTAGTACATTTTGAGTTAGGTAGTTTGATGACCATATCTTTCTTTTTGGGTTTTTTGTTGTTTATTTGAAGGGATTTTTTGTTTTGTTTTGTTTTGCTCAAAATTGCTTTGACTGGTAGGGGTATGATGTGGTTTGGCTGTGTCTCCACCCAAATCTCATCTTGAATTCCCACGTGTTGTGCAAGGGACCTGGTGGGAGGTAATTGAATCATGGGGGGGCGGGTCTTTTCCATGCTGTTCTCATGATAGTGAATAAGTCTCATGAGATCTGATGATTTTAAAAATGGGAGTTTCCCTGCACAAGCTCTTTTTGCCTCCTGCCATCCATGTAAAATGTGACTTGCTCCTCCTTGCCTTCCACCATGATTGAGAGGCCTCCTCAGTCACTTGGAACTGTCAGTTCATTAAACCCTTTTTCCTGTATAAATTACCCAGTCTTTATCAGCAGTGTAAAAATGGACTGACACAGGGCATCTGTGGATTCCTACTAATTTTAGGATTTTTTTCTATTTATGTGAAAAATGTCATTGGAATTTTCATAGAAATTGCAATGAATCACTATCACTTTGGGTAGTATTGCCATTTTAACAATTTTAATTGTTCCAATTCATGAACACAGGATATGTTTCCATTTATTTGTGTCTTCAATTTCTTTTGTCAAAGATTAATAGTTTTCAGTGTATAGGTCTTTCACATCCTTGGTTAAATTTATTCCTAATTACAGATTCTCCTTAACTTAAGATGGGGTTACATCCCAATAAGCCAATCATAAATTAAAGATATTATAAATTAAAATGCATTTAATACTCCTAACCTATCGAAGAGAATAGCTTAGCCTTGTCTAACTTAAATGTGCTCAGAAGACATATATTAGCCTATAGTTGAACAAAATATCATTTAACACAAAGCCTATTTTATAATAAAGTGTCAAATATCTCATGTAATTTATTGAATATTATATGAAACGTGAAAAATAGAATGCTTGTATGGGTACTCAAAGTACAGTTTCTAGTGCATATGTATCACATTTGTAGCATTCTAAGGTTGAAAATTTATAAGTCAAACCATCTGAGGGAGCATCTGTATTTTATTTCTTTGTACCTATGGTAAATGAGGTTGATTTCTTGATTTTTTTTCAAGCAGTATGTTGTTAGTATATAGAAATGCTAGTAGTTTTTGTATGTTGGCTTTGCATATTACAAATTTACTGGATTTATTTATTAGTTCTAACAGATTTTGGTGGAGTTGTTAGGGTTTTTTATATATATATAATTTTGTCATCTGTAAAGACAACTTAACATCTTTCTTTGCAATGTGAATATGGTTGATTTCTTCGTCTTGGCTAACTGCTCTTTGAGGACTTCCAGTACTATGTTAAATAAAACTGATGAGAGTGGACTTTGTCTTGTTCCTATCTTAGAAGAAAAGCTTTCCATTTTTCATCATTGAATATAATGTTAGTTGTGTGCTTGTCATTTATGGCCTTCAGTATGTTCACGTGCATTCATTCTAATTTGTTGAAAACATTTTATTGGAACGTTGGATGCTGAATTTTGTGAAGTGCTTTTTTGTATCTACTGAGATGATCATATTGTTTTTGTCCTGAATTCTGCTATTATGGTTATCACATTGATTGATTTGCATGTGTTGATTTTCCTTGCATCTCTGGAATATATCCCAGCTGATCATGGTGAATGATCTTTTAATGTGTTGAATTCAGTTAGCTAGTATTTGGCTGAGGATTTTTACGTCTATTTTCATTAGAGATATTGGCCTGTTTCCTTTTCTTATAGTGTCCTTATCTGACTTTTGTATAAAGGAAAAGCTGGCTCAAAAAATGAGTTTAGAAGTTTTTTACTTCATTTTTAGAAAAGGCTGAGTAGAGGTTAGTATTAGTTCTTCAAATATTCAATATAATTCAATAGTGAAACAAGCAGGTGCTGGACTTTTCTCTGATGAGAGACTTTTTATTAGAGATTCAGTCTCCTTACTTGTTATTGGTTTGTTCAGATTTTGTAATTCTTCCTGAATCAGTTTTGGTATACTACATTTTTCTAGAAATTTATCCATTTCTTGTAGGTTATACAATTTGTGGGTGTATAATTGTTCATAGTTATCTCTTATAACCCTTTATATTTATGTGATATCAATTGAAAGGTCTCCCTTTTCATTTCTAGTTTTCATCTTTTATTTCTTCTTAGTCTAGCTAAAGATTTATTGATTTTGTCTCTGAAAGCAAACTCTTATTTTTGTTGATTTTATCTATTTTTTGTCTCTTTCATTTATTTTTACTCTGATCTTTCTTATTTCTTTTCTTCTAATAACCTTGGGCTTAGTTTTTTTTTTATAGGTCCCTAAGTGGTTATGCAAATTTTGATAGTAAATTGCTGATGGTAAAATTAAACATGCTGTACTAGGCTATCAGAAATATACTAATTTATAATTTTATTTATATCAGAGATAGGTTAGTCTATATATCTCTGGTACTGTTTTACATGGTATATTTGTGCAGGCACTTTTTCCTGCTGAAATTTGCTTTTATTTTCTTTCTCTCATAATGCTGATAACACTGAAATTCCACCCACAAATGTATCTTAGTTCATTTTAGAACCAATGTTATGGAAGTAAAAAAATGTATATTAGGAATTATTTAATACTTAATCTCTTTCCTCTCTTTAATCAAGAATGAAACTGAATAATTTACCATGTTAAAGAGGAAGTACCACGAAACTGTGATCAATATCTCTTTGATATTTAGTACCTTTTCATTGGCTTTTGTTTTGTTTTTGCTTTTGTGTTAAAACTGATGTACTGTTTGCAGCCCTTTTCTAATGTCCTAACTGACTTATTGATTTTATTCTGTAGTTTAAAAAATTAAAGCTGCTGCATTAACTGGCTTTTAAATTCATTTTTAGCTTTTGGCTGAAAGAGGTAACTGATATGTGTGTGCACCTACCCCATGGGAATGGCTAGAAAGAATGTCCAAAAGGGTTTGGTGATGGTTATATCAGACAGGGATACTCACATCAGAAGCATTTATGAAGAATGTCTGATGCAGACATATATGTGCATGTTTATAAGGATCTAATCTTTCACCAATGAGCAGGTGATGGGTGTAAGTAATGTTTTTAAATCCCTGTGTACCACAATGGAAACATGAATTATCCTGTTATCATAGTGCTCCAGAAAGCAAGGGACTTCTTAGATCATCTGTTACATCCTTTGAAAAATTTAGAATTAGTTCTTAGAGAAGGTCTTCCAGGGCTTGTTCAAAGTTTAGATTTCTTTGGCCATAAGCATTTCTCCATTTTCCATGTCACTGACTTTGATTAAGTAGCACTTCTAAAAATTATGCTACATTTATATTTGATCAACTTCATCTTATTAGTTCTAAATATTCAAAAGTAAAACCAATGTCCTTTAATTTTTTAAGATCTAAAGCTATCTTTTTAATTCAAAGACCTAAATCATAATTTTTAATATAAATAAATTAAGCAATTTATTTGCCCAAAAACCCATCATTGTTATTAAAAGTGTCTATACTTCTATCTTAAACATCCTACTATCCAAACTATGGTAGAATGTTTTTGTTTGTTTGTGAGCAAATTACTATTTTGATGTGGAAACACTAACATTTTTAAATATAAATTGATAGTTTCCCCACCCCACCCCACCCCCCAGAAAATGCTCACATCTTTGGAAAACTATTCCATTTCTGGTAGTCTATCCTAAGAAAATAATACAAAACAAGGGAAAGATCTATATTTCAAAGAGGAAAATGGAAAACAACCTAAATGTCTAGCAATGTGGGAATAGTTAATTAAGCTAGTTTTCCCTTTAATAAAACCTTATGGAAATTCTGCCTGTTCTATTCAGTACTGATGGCAAATCCTAGTATACAGTAGGCACTCAAGATGTATCTGTTGAATAAATAAATGAATGTTTCACCCATTAGCTTTATAATTAGGAACACTAACTAAATGGCAAAAATGCTTCTGATGCAAAGCACAGAATTTAGCAAAAATGTAGACATAGAAATATACCTATTATTTGGCTATACTCTTTCTTTCTCTTTTTCCCTTCCTGATGTCCATTTATTCTACTTCTTTTAGCCTTTGTAATCGCAAGAGCAAGCCATCTTAATTATACCAGGCAAAGGGGCTCTAGCTTATAACTGACATAGAACTCATGCTGTGGCAATGGTTTTAAAAAAGTATGTAGGTTTACCTTTAGCCTCAAAATGGAAAACATGTCATTTTTGAATACAAGTCTAACTTGAAAGGTCTTATAGCCAAAATAATATTGTTTATTTATTTATTTATTTTTTAAATTTTTATTATTATACCTTAAGTTTTAGGGTACATGTGCACAATGTGCAGGTTAGTTACATATGTATACATGTGCCATGCTGGTGCACTGCACCCACTAACTCGTCATCTAGCATCAGGTATATCTCCCAATGCTATCCCTCCCCCCTCCCCCACCCACAACAAGCCCCAGAGTGTGAGGTTCCCCTTCCTGTGTCCATGTGTTCTCATTGTTCAATTCCCACCTATGAGTGAGAATATGCAGTGTTTGGTTTTTTGTTCTTGCAATAGTTTACTGAGAATGATGATTTACAATTTCATCCATGTCCCTACAAAGGACATGAACTCATCCTTTTTTATGGCTGCAGAGTATTCCATGGTGTATATGTGCCACATTTTCTTAATCCAGTCTATCATTGTTGGACATTTGGGTTGGTTCCAAGTCTTTGCTATTGTGAATAATGCCGCAATAAACATACGTGTGCATGTGTCTTTATAGCAGCATGATTTATAGTCCTTTGGGTATATACCCAGTAATGGGATGGCTGGGTCAAATGGTATTTCTAGTTCTAGATCCCTGAGGAATCGCCACACTGACTTCCACAATGGTTGAACTAGTTTACAGTCCCACCAACAGTGTAAAAGTGTTCCTATTTCTCCACATCCTCTTCAGCACCTGTTGTTTCCTGACTTTTTAATGATTGCCATTCTAACTGGTGTGAGATGGTATCTCATTGTGGTTTTGATTTGCATTTCTCTGATGGCCAGTGATGGTGAGCATTTTTTGATGTGTTTTTTGGCTGCATAAATGTCTTCTTTTGAGAAGTGTCTGTTCATGTCCTTCGCCCACTTGTTGATGGGGTTGTTTGTTTTTTTCTTGTAAATTTGTTTGAGTTCATTGCATCGCCAAGTCAATCCTAAGCCAAAAGAACAAAGCTGGAGGCATCACACTACCTGACTTCAAACTATACTACAAGGCTACAGTAACCAAAACAGCATGGTACTGGTACCAAAACAGAGATATAGATCAATGGAACAGAACAGAGCCCTCAGAAATAACGCCGCATATCTACAACTATCTGATCTTTGACAAACCTGAGAAAAACAAGCAATGGGGAAAGGATTCCCTATTGAATAAATGGTGCTGGGAAAACTGGCTAGCCATATGTACAAAGCTGAAACTGGATCCCTTCCTTACACCTTATACAAAAATCAATTCAAGATGGATTAAAGACTTAAACATTAGACCTAAAACCATAAAAACCCTAGAAGAAAACCTAGGCTTTACCATTCAGGACATAGGCATGGGCAAGGACTTCATGTTTAAAACACCAAAAGCAATGGCAACCAAAGCCAAAACTGACAAATGGGATCTAATTAAACTAAAGAGCTTCTGCACAGCAAAAGAAACTACCATCAGAGTGAACAGGCAACCTACAAAATGGGAGAAAATTTTCGCAACCTACTCATCTGACAAAGGGCTAATATCCAGAATCTACAATGAACTCAAATAATATTTTTAATTAGAAAAATGTTTAAGAGTGATAAGTATAAAGATGATAAATAGAAACAATTATGACAAAAATTTTAAAAGTCAGATGAGGATTAAATTGGTACACAAAATGGACACTAAATTTGGGGTAGAAGCAGGAAAATAGATATTCAGTTATTGGCAAACATTTCTATAAAGAAAGCATTCACAATTTTTCACTCACCCAGGCCACATGCGTACCACATTGACAGAGAAGACTGTCCCAGAAACAACGTATTAAAATCCTTCTATTGTTTTAAAAGGTACATCATTTAGCAAAGAGGTTATTCATGATGTGAAATGAATACTTTATGTGTAGAAGTGGAGAGGACCTGATGGTGGAAGAAAGTCTGGGGCTAGATAAGGATATTTTGCAGTGATGTGACCTCATGTGTATAATAATGTTGCTTTTCTGTCATTACAATAAATCCTCACTAAACATCCTCGATAGGTTCTCAGAAATTGTAACATTAAGCAAAATGAAGTATAAGAAAAACGATTTCACCATAGCCTAATTGACGTCAACAAGAATTAAAGTTTCTATGGCATATTTTGGTCACAAAAATATCAACAAACTTCCACTTCTTTTTTTTTGGCGCAGTGGGTGGGGGTGGTGTGCGGTGGGGAGGCGGGTTTCACGTGGATTTTTTTTTTTTTTTTACTTTTTTAACATTTTATTTTAGGCTCGGGGATAAATGTGGAAGTTTGTTATATAGGTAAACTCATATCACAAGGGGTTTGTTATACAGATTACTTCATCACCCACTTACTAAGCCTAGTGCCTAATTGTTATTTTTTTCTAATCCTCTCCCTCCTCCCACCCTCCATTCTCAAGTAGGCCCCAGTGTATGCTGTTCCTCTCTTTGTATCTATGAGTTCTCATCATTTTTTCCCACTTCTGAGAATATGCTGTATTTGGTTTTCTGTTCCTGCATTAGTTTGCTAAGGATAATGGCATTCAGCTCCATCTGTGTTCCTACAAAAGACATAATCTCATTTTTTTATGGCTACATAATATTCCACAGTTTATATGTACCACATTTTCTTTATCTAATCTGTCATTGATGGGCATTTAGACTGATTCCATGTCTTTGCTATTGGGAATAGTACTGCAATGAACATTCATGTGCATGTATGTTTACGATATAATTACTTCTATTTCTCTAGGTATATATCCAGTAATGGGGACAGCAGGGTTGAATGGTTGTTCTATTATTAGCTCTTTGAGGAATCACCACACTGCTTCCCACAATGGTTGAACTAATTTACACTCCCACCAACAGTGTATAAGCATTCCTTTTTCTCTGGAGCATCACCAGCATCTGTTATTTTTTGACTTTTTAATAACAGTCTTCCTGACTGGTGTGAGATGCTATCTCATTGTGGTTTTGATTTGCCTTTCCCTAATAATCAGTGATATAGAGGTTTTTTCCCATATTCTTGTGGGCCACATGTATGTCTTATTTATAAAAGTGTTTGTTCATGTCCTTTTCCCACTTTTTAATGGGTTTTTTTGTTTCTTTCTTGTAAATTTATTTAAGTTCCTTATAGATGCTGGATATTACACCTTTGTCAGATGCATAGTTTGCAAAAATACTCTCCTGTTCTTTAGGTTGTCTGTTTACTCTGTTGGTAGTTTCTGCTGCAGTGCAGAAGCTTTTATATTTAATTAGATCTCATTTGTCAATTTTTACTTTTGTTGCAATTGCTTTCCATGTCTTCATCATGAAATCTTCACTCATTCCTCTGGCCAGAATAGTGTTGTCAAGTTTGTCTTCCAGGATTTTTATAGTTTTGGGTTTTATATTTAAGTTTTTAATTCATCTTGAGTTGATTTTTCTACGTGATGTAAGGAAGGGGTCTGGTTTCAAGCTTCTGCATATGGCTAGCTAGTTATCCCAGCACCACTTATTCAATAGGGAGTCCTTTCCCCATTGCTCATCAAGACCAAAACACTTCTAATATTAAACATTGAAATAAATATGGGCTACACATACATTTAAGAAATATTAATTTGAAATGAGTAAGATAACTATTTACCCAATCATTCCAGTTCAGGGTCTTGGGTGTCCAGTGCCTACCCCAGCAGCTCAGAGTACCAGGAAAGAACTAACTCTGGACAGGATGACATCCCATCACAGGGCACACAATCACACACATGCGCTTGCCCAGATGGGGACAATTTAATATGCCAATTCATCTAATGTGCACATGCACATCTTTGGGATACAGAAGGAAACCAAAGTAGCCAGAAAAAACCCATGTGGACATGGAAAGAACATGCAAACACCACACAGACAGTGGCTCCAGCCAGGAATCCATTTTTTTTCTCATCACTATACAAAACAGCATGTAACAAAATGACATTATTCAAGAACCTTCAGTGGATGTTTAGAATCGGAGATTTATAAGAAGAGAGTCCAGGTATCCTTAGCACACACAGCATGCTACCTGACATATTCTGAATTTCATCAATCCTAAGACTCCACAGAGAATAAACTGAATCATTATTTCATGTAATTGTAAGAAACAATAGTGCTAAAGATTTAATTATGGCATGCCATCACAGGTAAACAAAATTGTATAAATGTTACAATGTGGAGGGAAATGTATGTCTTAAAAGTTCATTATGGCAGTAGGAATTCCAGAAATATGTGTATGAACCACATACCATAGATATCCTTATAGTACTTCTAGACTTCTATTTTACTTTTTTGTTTGTTTTGGTTGGTAACAGCAAAGATACACTATATAATGTCCTCTAACTCCTCAAAGACCATTGAAATTATGCAAGTTCAAAGGTGAGAAGAATGATAGAGAGAATCTAGTCCATACGCTTACTCAATAAAAGTGAAAACTCAGGCTTATAGAGGTTAGATGACTTGTTGAAAGACCCAACTCTGTTACATCATGTGCCAATCAAAAAATTCCTAACTCAAAGGATACATGCTTGAGGGGATGGATACCCCATTCTCCATGAGATGTGCTTATTTCACATTGTGTGCCTATATCAAACATTTCATGTACCCCACAAATATATACACCTACTATGTACACATAAAAATTGAAAATAAAAATAATTTTTAATGCCTAAGACTAAAGCTTTTTTAAATAATTAACTTTTGGCACCAACAATTGGAATAACCCATGTCAAAGGATACTCATATTTATTAATAACTAAAACATATCTCTATTATTCTATTAAAATAGTACTATGAGTTATTAAATCAGAGATTTATTTCTTATTCTGTTTAATTATTACTTACATATTACCTGTCTCCATGTATAGGCCCTTTGTCAAATTTTCCTACAAACATGAAACATGACAGAATTAGATTGTACTATTCCAGTAGTGCCATGATTAAGGAATCATTTTATAAATAATGTATTTTCTTGTTTTTCCTCCCACTAAATATTCATTAAACCAAGCATCAGTATACTTACTCATGTTCCACCTATGTTTTAAAATTGACTATTTTGATTTATTATCATATAACTGTAGTCTAATAGTTTTATCTTAATTCTTTCCTCTGCTGACAGAAGTGGCCATATCTATAAACTAAGCAATTTGTTCACTAAGCTGTCAGCAGTGATGTAAAGATTCTTGCCAAGGGAAGTTTTAGGCACAGCTGTAGAAAATGCAAGTTTCATTTAAGTAAGTTTCATGAGTCTAAAACCACAAATTCCATTGAGATGAGTCTTTGGCCTTTGAATTTCATTTGGTATATCACACTCACACAGTTCAAAAAGAAACACCAAACTCTGGGGAGCCCATGAGTTTTGTAAGCCTTCTAGGAGTTGCTTATTTTACTCTATTTGGTTAATTCTACCTAAAAGAAAGAATTTATCTATAGGCCATCTTCAAAATAATGTACGCCTTGTGGGCAAGTCATTCCATGCTGTCACATTTTCATGCAAGTGAAAAGTGTTTAAGATAAATATCAAGAATTGTGTGAGAGGGAATATGCCTAACACCAGGAGTGGCTAAGAGATTGGTTCATTTGGCAAACGGCAGAAGTGCCAGTTGGCAGAAGTGGAGGAGGGAAATTTGTATGACAATTATAGAATTCTCTTCGATGATCTGGAAAAACTAAGATGTGTGAACTAAACATACTCCTGATAATCCTTTGTGTCATTTCCCATTTTATGATAAAATAAATTATTCTTTCATAATGTGTTTTTCTGTAAACATGATCTGCTTATAAAAGCTTTCCTTACTACAATGTTACCTAATTATTTGCCAGTTTGTATATTTTAATTTCCAAGATATGATAATCTGCATTTACTTGATACAGTGAGAGATAGGGAACTAATTTTTTTTTGTCCTGTATGATTATCCAGTTGTCAGGCTATTCTCTGAATAATCCAGACTTTCTTTACTAATTTGAAATGATATTTATAACATGAGCACACACAAAACCATTTTAGGAATCTCCATTATGTCCCATCTGTACCTTCAGTACCAGAAACACACTGTTTCAATATCATTATACTTGTTAGTAATATCTAGTTCAAATATTCACCTTAAGTTTCAGAAGAATTGGTTCTTCTCATATTGCATCTTCTCAGATAAAGTTTTGAATCATCTTGTCAATTTATAAAAATAGTCCTTTTGAAAATTTACTTGGAAATACCTTAAATTTGTACGTTAATTTAGTCCAAACTGCAATCTCATTTTTTGAAACATCTTTTATGGTATATTAAGGTTTTGTTAGATATATGTACTACTCAGTTAAGTTCATTTCTATATTTTTTCTAATATAAGTCAAATTTTCTCCACTATATTTTACAAATGGTTGTATATTATCAATAGGAAAGCTTATAAAGAATCTACTATGAACCAATAATTACACCAGGCACTGAAGATGGAAAAAAAGAGAAGAAAAAGGAGGAACAAGCAGAAGGAACAGTGCTAATTCAAGGAGCTTATGTTTAGGTGGGTGAAGCTAGCAAGTAAATTAATGATAAAATCAGATTGTTACTAATAAGGCATAAAACAGAGGGCATGATGGTGAGCTGCAACTGTCATGACCATCTATTCACCATATTTGCTGTCTATATAGGTTTTTATTTCCTGAAATAATTCAGTTGAATCATTCATATGAGAAAATTGGCTTATTCTAGCTAGTGATTAGGTACCATTTTTCTTGCCATAGAGAGGCTAATTACTTGCCCAATATTACTTCACTGAATTACTATGAATCTATTATGTACCTGACATTTTGGTAGGCAATAGGGATAAAATAGAGACTAAAAAATGATAAAATCATGTATTCACATAGTTTACAATATATCTAGTCAAATATAAAACACTTTTTTTGAAGACAATATTGCCTGGGCTCAAGCATATGAATATGAATGGTTACACACACACACACACACACACACACACACACATACACACACACAAACACACTATAAAGAAATAAAATGTCATATATAAGGAAATCATCTCACCTTCCTTTCAAGAACCTGTAACAAAGATATATTAACTATGATGATGTAGGCTGAATAATGTCCCTTGCTTCCCCTAAAACGTTTAGACATCCTAATCCCTGAAACCTGTAAATATGTTAATTTAAGTGGTAAAAAAAAAAAAAAAAGACTTTGCATTGGGATTAAGTTGTGGATTTTGGGATTGGGAGATTATTCTAGTTTATCTGAGTGGTCCCAATATAATCACAGGGCCCTTATAAAATAAAGGAGGTCACAGCCAGCGAGAAGACAATGTGACAACAAAAGCAGAGGAAGAGAAGATCTGATGGCAGGGGGAGGGGTCAGAGTGATGCAAGGAAGGGGCCAGAAGCCAATAAATGCAGATGGTATCTAGAATCTTTAAAAGGCAAGGAAATGGAATCTCTCCTAGTGTCTCCAGAAGGAGTACAGCTGGGTCAACCTATTTAAAACTTCAGACCTTTAGAACCCTAAGATTATAAATTTGAATTGTTTTAAGCCAGCCACCAAACGCATGGTAATTTGTTACAGCCATAATAGAAAACTTAATACAGCTGATAAGCTGATAGATTCACACTCCTCAGTATAACATTCACAGCTATTTCTCAAATAATCATAGTGCAACTTTTTAGCCTTATCTCTTATGGCAGCCTAAGTTGGTCCATTCAAAGCAGCAATTCAATCAGTGTCATCTCCTTTTGGCCTTCTATACATTTTCTTACTTAGCTCCAATTCTAGTCATGGACTATTTCCTTTTCTATGAAATTCATGCCCATTGCCTGCTTAAAGCCAAATCTCTATGTTCAATTTATTCCACCAATTTTAATCTCTCCCAGTAAAGTGGTATCTAAGTAGTACTTTAGCTTTATAAACCCAATATCATGCTCAGTAATAATTTTTATGTCATTTTAAGTATCCAATCTGCTGCTCTACTAGATTATAACCTTCAAAGGAACAGGGAATATATGTGCTTTTGGTTTTTAATCATTTTGGCAGGGCCTCCCAAATTCTCACATCATTGCGTGCACAGAAAATACTAGAATTTGCACAGCACACTTGAGTAAATGCCTGATGTTGTTCCTGGCCACATTTCTGGCTACCCCAGGACCTGTCCAAAGGCTCTGTTACTCAGAACATGGAAGCTGGGAAACCCTTCTAGGTACTTAGCACCATGCAACTCATTTAACTGGGGTTCAATATATGTTTGCTAACTTATCTTGTTAACCAGAAATAATAAAACTATTGGCATTTTTAAAAGCAGATATATATGGCTGTCAGAAAAAAACAGCAATACTCTATACTTTCATAGAACTATGATTTATAATGTGTTCAACACACATGCGTTTTAAGTTTATTTGACTATCACAAGAACCCTGTGAGATAAGAATGTAGGCATTATTACTGTCATTTTATAAATGAAGAAACTAAGACTTTCAGGGACAAATTACTTTCCAAAGCCGTCAAATAGAAAACCCAGGACTGGAAACTACACCTTCTAATCCCACATTTATTGGTTTATTTTTCCCATGATGATTTCAGGCCCTTAAAGCTAGTAATAGTGATTCTAAAACCCAGGTTAAAATTTCAGTGAACTCATTCATTTGAAATGGCTTTTGAACACAAACAAAACTTTTATGTTTCATAGTATGAGGCCACTTGGGTCTTTCTCCTAAGTGATAAAAATGATAAAACATGCCATTTTGTCAATTTCTGGTACTATTTAATGGTTTTTGTATTAGAACACAAAATAAATCTTAAAGGTAAAAATATCTTAGAATACAAGATTTTAAGTTTTACAGCTAACTTGCTGAGGCAGCAAATGGAAGCCCCATTGGGAAAGTACTACAAGGTAGATTAAGATAAGAGAATGACTCAAATAGAGAAACCATATGCATTATGAAAAATGCTTGGGGGTCTGCATGGCTGGAGGATAAAGAAGACATATACCTCTCCACCCTCAAGGAATATGAACAGCTGAATTCTTTTATTCTTATATTACCTATTGAAGTCAGTGAGTTCCTCCAGGAGGAATCATCAAGAAAGCTGCATACTTAGAGTGGATAGCAGTGAGCTATCTATTACTTCTCTTTTCAGACATAAAATGAAAAAAATGTAATTTATTTAAATTAGGGGGAGATAATATGGTAACTTACCATAAGCAATATGTGTGCCTACTTAAAAGAATAGCAGTATCATTCTGGGTGCCCTCCGGAGCCACATAAATGCAAAAGAAGAAAATAATTCACCATGGTCTTTGTTAATTCTCTCTGTCACTCAATTATTGTTAATTTAATAAGACCATTCCTTTAAATGAATGATTCTTCAGGAAGCATGAGTGTGGTAGGGAGGTTAGCTGTGTGCCAAAGATTAGAAAGCTTCATTTTCAGAGTTCTCCCTTCGTTCATTCCAACATACCTGGTTAAAGCTGTTTTCTGTACCTGCTATATTTCATGCTAGATTTTGTGAGTGATTACTTTTAACATGAAAATGACTCGATGAAGCAATAAGGAGGATGCTGGAAAGAAATTTGAGATTGACTTTGGAAGAGGATATTTGGCTGCGCCTCTTACTGGCTGTGTGATGTTGAGCAAGTTATTTAGCTGCCATTAAATCTTAGGTTCACATCTAGAAAATAGACGATAAAAAATCATACCTACCCACTGTATGGTTGTGAGATTCTTGCTTACAAGATGATTCATTTAAAGTGTTCACTGTAGTGTTTAGCACCCCTCAAACTTCCTCAGTCAGGGTTTCTCTGCTAAATTATTTTCAGAAAACAGATCTCTCCACGTTTTAAAACAGTACAATACCTTAGAGTTTGTGGATGAAAAAACTTCATTTTAGACCAGGGATTCAGTTGCAGTAGATATGTAATGCTATATATCAACTGAATTCCTGGGTCTAGTGTGTGTGTGTGTGTGTGTGTGTGTGTGTGTGTGTGTGTGAGACAGAAAGAGAGAGAGGTTAGTTAAGCAGTAGCTTATTGGAATCCACTTTTTGAAAATAATAATGACTAGCTAAAAAAACATGGATCAAAATAAGAACCTTAGGTTTAATATTTTTAACACAGATCAAAATTTATGTTTGAGCTTTTATTTATTCAGTGATAGAATAAAATATTGCTTTGTAGTAATACCTGCAGTTATAAAGAGATAGCTAGATAATCACTTTCTAATACAATATACATTTTTCACTCCCTAGTATTAAAGCATAAGCATTAATCCTTAAAATAAGACAATGGAATTCAAAAATATCAAGAGAAACAATAGCCCTCATTTATAAAGGATTTGTCATTACCTAGACAGTCTATCTTATTTAATCTCGTAACATTCCCATGAAACCATCACTATTATTACCTCTTTCTACACATGAGAAGGGGTTACTTTATTCACTGGATGTTTCACAGTTAGGGACTGGCAGAGCCCAAATTCAAACCGACGTCTAACTACAAAGATCTAATTCATAAGCACTATTGTCTGTTATCTCAAACATAAATACAAATTTAAAGCTAAAGGAAAAGATCATTTAAAAGTCATGAAGGACAATAGAGAGAAAATGGAGAATCAAACTCGAGAATCTATTCTGGCCTCTCCCAAAACAGTCTCACTAAAGTCACAGTGGAGTCGGATCAACTCAGCTCTAACTCCTAATAGCACTATGACCCTGCACAAGTCACTCCACCTTTTTGAGCCTAAATGTTCTCATGAGCCCAATGAGAACAGTTACTTCTTTTTGCAGTTGAGGTAAAGAAAATATGAATTCTATAGAGCCTGGTACATTGTAGGTGTTCGATAAACAGTAATTCTGGAGAATACTTCAAAATTTAATGTAATATTATGATATTCACAGAACTTTTACATTTTGGTAAGGAGACAAAAAATTTTATAAATACATTGTTGGGGTATATTTTTAATGATATCTGCTTGTATTAATGTTTATAAGTATTATTTCAGGTTAACACTACAGACAAGAAAAATTTCTAACTGTGTTTTGAAGAAATAGTGTAATTCTTTTGAGACAACCAACAAAGGCTCATAAAGCATGACATGCAGAGGGAAAAAGTTCTCTTCCAACCTGTATGCAGATGCCTCCATTCTGTTTCCCGCCATCATCAAAAACAAAAGCCACATTTCTGTGATGGTACTGAAGCAGAACAACCGTCACTGTATGGCAACAGTCTTGAGCTAGGAAGGATGCAACATGAGGAGAACAGCAAAAATGAGGAGCAAAAAGAGAAATCAACAAAACGCCATCTGCTTATAATATGTAGCTGGAACCAGCTGATATAAGCACATTTTTAAAGATGTGATGAAATTTTTCCTTGTGGTCTTTTAACCCTGAAAATGAATGTTCTGTGCAGGGATAGGATATTTGAGACCCAGGCCATCTTCACTAGCTGTTCTCTAAACACACAGGGCTGAAACTGAACAGTGATGGTACTTTAGCACCATGGTCTAGATTTATTCTGTAATACCATTACAAGAAATGTTATAATGCTGAAAAAGAAGTTTGAATCTTCTCATTTCTCATCCCCATCCATACCTAGTAATAAACACAAAACTGATTTGTAAAAATAGTATTTCTACCTATGTGTGAATATACATAAAAATATATTTCCTAATTCCAAAGCAAATAAAACTTTGGAAAATATCTATCAACCTAAGAGAATCACAAAAGAATTTAAAAAACAATTAGAAATGGAATTTTAAAAAGAAGCATCCAAATAAATTCCTTAAAAACTGTGGCAAACCGACAAAAAAAAAATCTACTCTCCAAAGTTTAGAAAATGAACATGTGGTCTTTTTCCCACGGCAAGAATATCTGGCATGTGAAAGTTATTTATATTAAAATCTTTGAGTGATCTCGTGTTTATTTTTTATGTTTAATTTATTTCAAGTGTTTTCAATAGGAGTTTCCTCAAACTACCATTAGAGGGCATGAAAGAATAACGTGCAGACCAAAGTCAAACAGCCCCCAAACATAACTCTGAAGAAAAGAGCTACCATTTATATTTGGTTTCAAAAGAAAACTTTACAAAACAATTAATAATTGCAATAATTTGTATGTAAGAAGTTTTAATGAAAACAGCCATCTATAAAGAAATAAAGGTGGTGCTGATAGTTATTTCATGTGTAAAAGACAGAAGCAAATAACTAAAGTTTTAAGAGCTATACCTTGATAATCTCAAAATTAGCCTTTTCCAGTTATCAATCATAGCAGACATGGTGAACAAATAAGAGAAATAAAGTAAGTAAGTAAGCAACTGAGGGGGGATTGGTGGGGGTCAGGGAGTATGAGAGAAACACACATAGAATGAGAGAAGGAAGATCTGATCTCCAACTTTTAACTATGAGATGTGAAAAAATATATATATTAAATAAAAAATTCAGGAATATATTTCTCTTTGAAAAGCATAGGATCAATTTTGTGTCTTCAAAGTCTACCCCTACCTAGCTGGCCTCTCTTTGGTTTTCTTACACAACTTCCTTCTTACCTAGGGGCAACGGCAACAAAAACTGGATCAAAGATGGAGTGGATTTCAAATATGCTAAAGTAAAACCTAAATCTCCCAATTCTTTAAATCACTTAATTCAAAGGATTTTAAGTGTATACTCTGTTCTTAAATGCCATGCTCAAAACATGCAAAATAAATGGATCCATATCCAATTAGGATTATATTGTCAAATAAATGTTAATAAAGCTAGTACCAACCTAGGTAATATATTTTTAGCTCATGGGAAAAAATTTACAGCTTACATTTCAGATCAATATAAAATTATTTCTTATATGGATGCCTCCTTTGCAGCAATCATTCTTACCTTTATTGAATTCCAGGATAAATTTACAGTATCAATTCCTTCCTTTAATTTACAAAATGATAAAATCCCAAGATTGCCTTCAAACAGAAGGAACACAGCCTCAATATGTTTCTATTGCACTATGAAGAATGTTAAGACTCCCTATAGAGCACTTTGAGTTAACTCCTATAAATTTTCTGCTTAAGTTTTCAAACAGGGGGAACTAGGGATATACACAAGAACATAAACTCACCTTTCAGTGATGATTCTGTCCTGGTCTATATTGCTGAAAGGCATAAATAAGGCCATAAAGGAATTGGAATTATACTAAACAGTATCTCAGACTCTGCACTCTGTTTGTAAACACAGACCTCTGGAAAGTGCACAGAGACAGATGGAAAAAATATTCTCAACTCTCTGAGATCAGAGGAAGGCACTTAGCAAGTCATCTACCCCATAGGACCCATTCTGACTGACTGAAAATGTATCTGAAAAAGTTCAACAGCTATAAATAAAATAGGTAGCAAACACATATGCTAGACACACCTCTTATTACTTACTTTAATTTTCTACTTGTATTATGTGAATAAAATCGTATAAAAGTTAAAACATTTTGCAATGTGATCCTTTGTCTTAACTTTTGCAATAAAAATTTAAGATATATCTTTGTTAGTAGTTTCTGTTTTTAAGTACAGAAAACCGGGCCAAGTAGCTAAGAGAAGATGAGGGGTTCCATTATATAGATTAGAAAATAAATAAAAACTTTCTTTCTATGATCCAAGTACAGCCTCACCTATAAGGTCCCTAAACTTCTGTGCTCATTTTTCTCATAGCTATTGTCATCAAGTATTATAATTGTATTTTTATTAATTTGTCTCCTCCTTAAGACTTTAAGTTATTTAATGGTAGAAACTGTATTTCAAGAACAGAAGGTGTCACAGGAAAATTTTTTGATACATGTTTGGTGTATTAATCTGTTGAGAAAAGACTCAACAGCCACTTAAAAATACCTTCAGGTCTATAATTTATAACTATGCTTATTTGCTGTATTTGACAGAATTCATTGAGCATCTATTAATATTATGTGCCAGAAACCATCATAGACACTGGGAACACAGCAACAAATAAGATGGCAAAGAGTTCCCCTTTTCTTGTGGAGCTGACCTTCTTTGGGAGTAGCCAATAAGAAAAAATGAACCTAAAAATAAATAAGGAAAGCAATAAGAACAGAATAAGTACTGGAAACATAAAAGAAGATGAACATGCATAGTCATAGTCAGGATTTCCTACCTTCATGCAAAAAATAAACCTTTTCTTGAGGAACATGAATAAAAGATAAATCTAGCCTACAGTGATGTAAGGGTGTGGTGCAAGGCCCAAAATTAACATTATGTGCTGCCTTGTTGTCTGAATCCACAAGGGTCTCAAGTAGCCTGAATTCTAGTTCTCTCCACTCTCCTTCTGCATATACAGTCCCTTAGGGGAACAACCCACTTTATCAAATGGACCAAATGCAGTTCCTGTTTATCCCTCAATAGCAAGTACCAATTCCCTGACAGCCCGTAGAATTATTCAAAGTAGCTAGTCACACCCTCCCACAGGAACCAAGGGACACCCCACCCTCTTACTACTACAAAACCAGCCTCCCACAACCCCCAGTTGTTCACTCTCTTCCCAAGTGCAATCCCCATGTGGCCATGCATGGTATGCGATGTCCTCCTTCCCCAAGCTGTGATTATATGGAATTAATAGTTAATAAAATATAACTAATGAATCTCACCTGGACCCAGTGTTGTGTGTAGTGTGTTCAGCCATCTCTACAATCCTAGCATAGGAATCCCTCCTTCACCAACAGGGTAAGAGGAGGCAATCAAACCAAAGTGTTCTATATATCTGGCCTGAAGTTACACACAGAAAGACAAGTACATTTTCATTGGAAGAACACGGACCTTGGACTCAGAGATAGCCTCTGAGGTTAAGTCCTTTCTTCTCAACCAAGAGTAACCATCTTAAAAACAGAGGTTATTGCCTTTAACACATTGCTTTGTATCTCTAACCTCCTGTGCTTAAGTAGATACCAAGGGCAAATCTTTTCACCTTTCTTCAGCCTCACTCAGGATGGTCCCAATCCTCATTTAGAAGTTTATTTCACAAAAAGTAATGTTTGAAAAATTTTCAGACTCATTGTAGATACAGAAGACATTCTGGTGTTTCTAACACAATGTCCACAATGGTTCATAGTACTTCATAAAGAGATGTTATAACACATCCTTGACATCTTGAATGGCTTCCTGTGACTATGCCTTTGTATACACCTTTTCCCCTTCCATCCCAAATTTTTTTTTTGTTTTTCAGCTTTTAAATCTTTATTTAATTCCATATAAATGAAAGTACATATGAATGCTATTATTTGAATAGTTATTTGGGCATAGACAAAATAATGGCAATTGTTCTTATTTTGGACAAAAAGTTGTTTTAAAGCAATACAGCATGTATATTATTTTGTTAAGTACATTTGGGCACTTCTTAAAATGATGGGTGAATTTA
The DNA here is from genome assembly GCF_000001405.40 of Homo sapiens. NCBI lineage: Eukaryota > Metazoa > Chordata > Mammalia > Primates > Hominidae > Homo > Homo sapiens. The sequence goes on from NC_000003.12 coordinate 147,123,645, forward strand.
GGAATAAATTATTTTTCGGCAAACTATTCCCAAAAGAAACCAGTGTGGAACAGTATTCTTATGAGTTTATTTTTGTGATAAAGTAAAAGGACATTTATACTTTTTTTCCCAAGGGTTTCACTTTTTTATTGATGCATAATAGATATATATTGTTTTGAGGTGAAACAACTTATTTCATGTGATAATTTATTACATTCATATAATTTGTAAAGATTGAATCCATGTACTTGGGGTATCCATCACCTTAAATATTTCCCTTTTCTTTTTGTTTTTAAAAAGAATTTCACATGATTTTATTCTATCTAATACTGTACTCCCTCCTCCAAATAACTGGATATTATCTACATGAAAATGTGGAAACTTCAATGAGGAAACTTTTACTTGTCCAAGTTGTCCTAAGCTCTTAAGACTGGAATTAATATGGCTCATTTAAGATTGGGGCAAATGAGAATTCAATAACCAAAACCTACAAACTGAAATTCTGAAGGGAATTTCTGGGTTACCACTCCAGTATCAGGAAAGGCACAGGCTCTGTGATTAATTTTCTTTTTATTGTTATTATTATTATTATACTTTTAATTCTATGGTACATGTGCACCATGTGCAGGTTTGTTACATATGTATACATGTGCCATGTTGGTGTGCTCCACCCATTATCTCACCATTTACATTGGGCATATCTACTAATGCTATCCCTCCCCCATTCCCCCACCCCATGACAGGCCCCAGTGTGTGATGTTCCCCACCCTGTGTTCAAGTGTTCTCATTCTTCAATTCCCACCTATGAGTGAGAACATGCAGTGTTTGGTTTTCTGTCCTTGCAATTGTTCGCTCAGAATGATGGTTTCCAGCTTCATCCATGTCCCTACAAAGGACATGAACTCATGCTTTTTTATGGCTGCATAGTATTCCATGGTGTATATGTGCCAAATTTTCTTTATCCAGTCTATCATTGGTGGACATTTGGGTTGGTTCCAAGTCTTGGCTATTGTGAATAGTGCCGCAATAAACATACGTGTGCATGTGTCTTTATAGCAGCATGATTTATAATCCTTTGGGTATATGTCCAGTAATGGGATGGCTGGATCAAATGCTATTTCTAGTTCTAGATTAGTTCTAGATCCTTGAGGAATCGCCACACTGTCTTCCACAATGGGTGAACTAGTTTACAGTCCCACCGACGGTGTAAAAGCATTCCTATTTCTCCACATCCTCTCCAGCATCTGTTGTTTCCTGACTTTTTAATGATCGCCATTCTAACTGGTGTGAGATGGTATCTCATTGTGGTTTTGATTTGCATTTCTCTGATGGCCAGTGATGATGAGCATTTTTTCATGTGATCATTGGCTGTATAAATGTCTTGAGAAGTGTCTGTTTATATCCTTTGCCTACTTTTTGGTGGGGTTGTTTGATTTTTTCTTGTAAATTTGTTTAAGTTCTTTATAGATTCTGGATATTAGCCCTTTGTCAGATGGGGATTGTAAAAATTTTCTCCCACTCGGTAGGTTGCCTGTTCACTCTGATGGTAGTTTCCTTTGCTGTGCAGAAGCTCTTTAGTTTAATTAGATCCCATTGGTCAATTTTCACTTTTGTTGCCATTGCTTTTGCTGTTTGAGTCGTGAAGTCCTTGCCCATGCCTATGTCCTGAATGGTATTGCCTAGGTTTCTTCTAGGTTTTTTATGGTTTTAGGTCTTACATTTAAGTCTTTAATCCATCTTGAATTAATTTTTTATAAGGTGTAAGGAAGGGATCCAGTTTCAGCTTTCTACATATGGCTAGCCAGTTTTCCCAGCACCATTTATTAAATAGGGAATCCTTTCCCCATTGCTTGTTTTTCTCAGGTTTGTCAAAGATCAGATGGTTGTAGATGTGTGGTATTATTTCTGAGGGCTCTATTCTGTTCCATTGGTCTAGCTCTCTGTTTTGGTACCAGTACCATGCTGTTTTGGTTACTGTAGCCTTGTAGCACAGTTTGAAGTCAGGTAGCATGATGCCTCCAGCTTTGTTCTTTTGGCTTAGGATTGTCTTGGCAATGAGGGCTCTTTTTTGGCTCCATATGAACTTTAAAGTAGTTTTTTCCAATTCTGTGAAGAAAGTCATTGGTAGCTTAATGGGGATGGCATTGAATCTATAAATTACCTTGGGCAGTATAGCCATTTTCACAATATTGATTCTTCCTACCCATGAGGGTTCTTCCATTTGTTTGTGTCCTCTTTTATTTAGTTGAGCAGTGGTTTGTAATTCTCCTTGAAGAGGTCCTTCACATCCCTTGTAAGTTGGATTCCTAGGTATTTTATTCTCTTTGTAGCAATTGTGAATGGGAGTTCATTCATGATTTGGCTCTCTGTTTGTCTGTTATTGGTGTGTAGGAATGCTTGTGATTTTTGCACATTGATTTTACATCCTGAGACTCTGCTGAAGTTGCTTATCAGCTTAAGGAGATTTTGGGCTGAGACGATGGAGTTTTCTAAATATACAATCATGTCATCTGCAAACAGGGACAATTTGACTTCCTCTTTCCCTAATTGAATACCCTTTCTTTCTTTCTGTTGCCTGGCTGCCCTGGCCAGAACTTCCAACACTATGTTGAATAGGAGTGGTGAGAGAGGGAATCTCTAGCTTGTGCCAGTTTTCAAGGGGAATGCTTTCAGTTTTTGCCCATTCAGTATGATGTGAGCTGTGGGTTTGTCAAAAATAGCTCTTATTATTTTGAGATACGTCCCTTCAATACCTAGTTTATTGAGAGTTTTTAGCATGAAGGGCTGTTGAATTTTGTCAAAGGCCTTTTCTGCATCTATTGAGATAATCATGTGGTTTTTGTTTTTGTTCTGCTTATATGCTGGATTACGTTTATTGATTTGCATATGTTGAACCAGCCTTGCATCCCAGGGATGAAGCCCACTTGATCATGGTGGATAAGCTTTTTGATGTGCTGCTGGATTAGGTTTGCCAGTATTTTATTGAGGATTTTTGCATCGATGGTCATCAGGGTTATTGGTCTAAAATCCTCTTTTTTTGTTCTGTCTCTGCCAGGCTTTGGTGTCAGGATGGTGTTGGCCTCATAAAATGAATTAGGGAGGATTCCCTCTTTTTCTATGGTTTGGAACAGTTTCAGAAGGAACGGTACCAGCTCTTCTTTGTACCTCTGGTAGAATTCGGCTGTGAATCTGTCTGGTCCTGGATTTTTTTTGGTTGGTAGGCTATTAAGTATTGCGTGAATTTCAGAACCTGTTATTGGTCTATTCAGGGATTCAACTTCTCCCTGGTTTAGTTTTGGGAGGGTGTATGTGTCCAGGAATGTATCCATTTCTTCTAGATTTTCTAGTTTATTTGCATAAAGGTGTTTATAATATTCTCTGATGGTAGTTTGCATTTCTGTGGGATTGGTGGTGATATCCCCTTTTTCATTTTTTATTGTGTGTATTTGATTCTTCTCTCTTTTCTTCTTTATTAGTCTTGCTAGTGGTCTATCAATTTTGCTGATCTTTTCAAAAACCCAGCTCCTGGATTCATTGATTTTTTGAAGGGTTTTTTTGTGTCTCTATCTCCTTCAGTTCTGCTCTGATCTTAGTTATTTCTTGCCTTCTGTTAGCTTTTGAATGTGTTTGCTCTTGCTTCTCTAGTTCTTTTAATTGTGTAGTTAGGGTGTCAATTTTAGATCTTTCCTACTTTCTCTTGTGGGCATTTAGTGCTATAAATTTCCCTCTACACACTACTTTAAATGTGTCCCAGAGATTCTGGTACGTTGTGTCTTTGTTCTTATTGGTTTCAAAGAATACCTTTATTTCTACCTTCATTTCGTTATGTATCCAGTAATCATTCAGGAACAGGTTGTTCAGTTTCCATGTAGTTGAGCAATTTTGAGTGAGTTTCTTAATCCTGAGTTCTAGTTTGATTGCACTGTGGTCTGAGAGACAGTTTGTTATAATTTCTGTTCCTTTACATTTGCTGAAGAGTGCTTTACTTCCAACTATGTGGTCAATTCTGGAATAAGTGTCATGTGGTGCTGAGAAGAATGTATATTCTGTTGATTTGGGGTGGAGAGTTCTGTAGATGTCTATTAGGTCTGCTTGGTGCAGAGCTGAGTTCAATTCCTAGATATCCTTGTTAACTTTCTGTCTCATTGATCTGTCTAATGTTGACAGTGGGGTGTTAAAGTCTCCCATTATTATTGTGTGGGAGTCTAAGTCTCTTTGTAGGTCTCTAAGGACTTGCTTTATGAATCTGGGTGCTCCTGTATTGGGTGCATATATATTTAGGATAGTTAGCTCTTCTCGTTGAATTGATCCCTTCACCATTACATAATCGTCTTCTTTGCCCCTTTTGATCTTTGTTGGTTTAAAGTCTGTTTTATCAGAGACTAGGATTGCAATCCCTGCTATTTTTTTGTTTTCCGTTTGCTTGGTAGATCTTCCTCCACCCCTTTATTTTGAGCCTATGTGTGTCTCTGTGCATGAGATGGGTCTCCTGAATACAGCACACTGATGGGTCTTTACTCTTTATCCAATTTGCCAGTCTGTGTCTTTTAATTGGAGCATTTAGCCCATTTACATTTAAGGTTAAGATTGTTATTTGTGAATTTGATCCTGTTATTATGATGTGAGCTGGTTATTTTGCTCATTAGTTGATGCAGTTTCTTCCTAGCATCAATGGTCTTTACAATTTGGCATGTTTTTTGCAGTGGCTGGTACCGATTGTTCCTTTCCATGTTTAGTGCTTCCTTCAGGAGTTCTTTTAGTGCAGGCCTGGTGGTGACAAAATCTCTTAGCATTTGTTTGTCTGTAAAAGATTTTATTTCTCCTTCACTTACGAAGCTTAGTTTGGCTGGATATGAAATTCTGGGTTGAAAATTCTTTTCTTTAAGAATGTTGAATATTGGCCCCCACTCTCTTCTGGCTTGTAGAGTTTCTTCCGAGAGATCAGCTGTTAGTCTGATGGGCTTCCCTTTGTGAGTAACCCAACCTTTCTCTCTGGCTGCCCTTAACACTTTTTCCTTCATTTCCACTTCGGTGGATCTGACAATTATGTGTCTTGGAGTTGCTCTTCTCAAGGAATATCTTTGTGGCGTTCTCTGTATTTCCTGAATTTGAATGTTGGCCTGCCTTGCTAGGTTGGGGAAGTTCTCCTAGATAATATCCTGAAGAGTGTTTTCCAAGTTGGTTCCATTCTCCCCGTCACTTTCAGGTACACCAATCAGACGTAGATTTGGTCTTTTCACATAGTCCCATGTTTCTTGGAGGCTGTGTTCATTTCTTTTTATTCTTTTTTTCTCTAAACTTCTCTTCTAGCTTCATTTCATTCATTTGATCTTCCATCACTGATACCCATTCTTCCACTTGATCAAATTGTCTACTTAAGCTTGTACATGTGTCCTGTAGTTCTCGTGCCATGGTTTTCAGCTTCATCAGGTCATTTAAGGACTTCTCTACATTGGTTATACTAGTTAGCCATTGGTCTAATCTTTTTTCAAGGTTTTTAGCTTCTTTGCGATGGGTTCAAACATCCTCCTTTAGCTCGGAGAAGTTTGTTATTACCGATCGTCTGAAGCCCTCTTCTCTCAACTCATCAAAGTCATTCTCCGTCCAGCTTTGTTCCGTTGCTGGTGAGGAGCTGCGTTCTTTTGGAGGAGAAGAAGCGCTCTGTTTTTTAGAATTTTCAGCTTTTCTGCTCTGGTTTCTCCCCATCTTTCTTTGCTGATGGTGACGTACCTATGGGGTTTTGGTGTGGATGTCCTTTCTGTTTCTTAGTTTTCCTTCTAACAGTCAGGACCTTCAGCTGCAGATCTGTTGGAGTTTGCTGGGTTTCCACTCCAGACCCTGTTTGCCTGGGTATCACCAGTGGAGACTGCAGAACGGCAGATGCTGCTGCCTGATCCTTCCTCTGGAAGCTTCGTCTCAGAGGGCCACCCCACCATGTTAGGTGTCAGTCGCCCCCTACTGGGAGGTGTCTACCAGTTAGGCTACTCGGGGGTCAGGGTCCCACTTGAGGAGGCAGTCTGTCTGTCCTAAGATCTCAAACTCCATGCTGGGAGAACCACTACTCACTTCAAAGCTGTCAGACAGGGACATTTAAGTCTATAGAAGTTTCTGCTGCCTTTTGTTCAGCTATGCCCTGCCCCCAGACGTGAAGTCTACAAAGGCAGGCAGGCCTCCTTGAGCTGTGGTGGGCTCCACCCAGGTAGAGCTTCCAGGCCGCTTTGTTTACCTACTCAAGCTTCAGCAACGGCAGACGCCCCTCCCCTAACCTCGTTGCCACCTCGAAGTTAGATCTGACTGCTGTGCTAGCAGTGAGTGAGGCTCCATGGGTGTGGGACCCTCTGAGGATGCGTGGGATATAATGTCCTGGTGTGCCGTTTGCTAAGGCCTTTGGAAACATGTAGTATTAGGGTGGGAGTGTCCCAATTTTCCAAGTACTGTCTGTCATGGCTTCCCTTTGCTAGGAAAGGGAATTCCCCAACTGCCTGTGCTTCCCAGGTGCGGTGATGCCCTGCCCTGCTCCATGGGCTTCACCCACTGTCTGACAAGCCCCTGTGAGATGAACATGGTACCTCAGTTGGAAATGCAGAAATCACCCGTCTTCTTCGTCACTTATGCTGGAAGCTGCAGACTGGAGCTGAACCTATTCAGCCATCTTGGAACCCCAAATTTTTTCTTTTATCAAAAACCTTCCTAGATTTTTCAAGATTGGAGAATTATTTCAATTATATGAATACCCATAATACCATGGCACATATCAGACATTTCTAGTTCACTAGCTTGTATTGATGTTTTTTTCTGTGGGCTTATGCCATCTCCCCAACCAAGAGTAAACACCTTAGTGGCAGAGATTATAGCCTTTAACATATGGCTTTGCATCACCATTGTCTTGTACATACATAAATACTCAGTAACCCCTTGTCAGTGAAATCGGTAAACATGTATCCTGCCTTTCTCCTCATTTTTGCTTATGCTGTAATAAAAACATTGTTTTAAAAAAAACTCCTTTAATTTTGCATCATCACAAAGATTTTTATAAGGGCATGACTCATAGCAGAAACATCTAAACAGATTCTAAAGTTTTGACATGAGGATTAAACATATTAAGGGCTGATTTTTGCTATTGTACTCTGTAGTTTTAGAATATTTTTATTTGAATAGAAAATTGAATTTATAAAAGTGGGCAGCAAAACACATTCAGAGCCATCATTTACTATCCGTAGGCAGGTTCTCAACCATCAAAGCTTCACTCTTCCACAGCATTAAAAGGCATGAAGCACAGCACAGCCCTACAGCAGTGATCCACCCTAGAGACTGTTGATTGATGGGATGGATTAAACAGACTCCCTAAAATGCCTCCAAAGCTATCAATTTAAAAAAAATAATAATAACAATGATAGGTACACTCTCAATCATTCAGAATTCTTCAGAAAATCTTTTATTTATAATTTATTCCATAGCATAAAATGTCTAACTGTAATTCAAATTTTATTCCTATTTATAAACACATCTATATAAAACCATTCTACTTTTTTAAATAATTTCAACTTTTATTTTGTATTCAGGGGGTATATGTGCAGGTTTGTTAACTGAGTATATTGTGTGATGCTAAGTTAAGGTACAATTGATCCTGTCACTCAAGTACTGAGCATAGTACCCACTACTATTTCAACCCTGTCCTCCTTCCTCCTTCCCCAATCTAGTAGTACCCAGTGACTACTTGAACCTATTTTAGATATTGACTATACATAAATGTCTGTAAAATATCTTTAGAATATCCAAAATATAACCAACTATCTTGTGGGTATATTTTAGCTGGATGTCATAATGCTTTACATATTTGAATATTAATACTTTCAAAGAGGGCAAGTATCCTAACATTTACTAAGGACTCACTAGTCTCTATTGTCTTACGTTTGGATTGATTTGATAACAGCCTTTCTCATCCACAGAGTTTTGACTCTAAAACGTATCTAGGAAGCAGACAGATACTGGAAAGTCAGATGTCCCGGATGCTAGTCCTGTCTCTAACTTCCTGTGTGAATTTGGGCAAATCATGTCCACTGAGAAGAGGTTGGGCTAATTGCTGACATTACTCTTAATAATGCATGACCCTACTATTAGGTCAGTGCAAAAGTAATTGCAGTTTTTGCCACCAACTGAATACATCCCTTATACTTTATTTGTGATACTTAGAATTTATTATAAAAATTTTAAAAAGACAGGAATTGGGCTTTCCACAATAATTGAACATCACTTACACTGCATTTTTATGAATCTTTGATAAATGTCTACTTTACTACAAAGCAGTTGTTGGCATGTCTCTCAATTTGAAGTGATTTGTGATATTTATAGGTTCACTTTATCACTCATTTATCATTTAACAGAATTTCCTTTTGTAATATTTCCTTTTATAATAATTCCTTTCCTTTTAAAAATAATATTTATCATTTAACGGAATTTCCTTTTCTTAGAGAAAAAGAAGTAAATAATGCATCATGTTTTAATATTATGTGATAATTTCTTTATTAAAATAGCAGTGTCATTCTAACTATGGCAGTATAAATTTTATGGCATTTTTTTTTTAACCACAGAAAGTCTTTAAATGAGAAGAAACATATTGGAATCACTTTAAACTTTTAGTAAGATTTCAAAGAGCCAGCCATAGGGTCCTGGTGGCATCCTTAGCACCATGGTGTGTAGAAAGCTGACTCTCATGCTGGTGCTCAGTGAATGCCAAGTCATCATAATAAGGTGCATTGCTGGAACGTGGCAGATGAATCTTCAGGAGGGACAGGCTCAGGAAGCATCTCAAAAGACTCATACTTGATACACTTTTCTATATGCTTTATTAAGCATTTTTATATTTTTTGAAAAAAATTCTACTGTAATTTCAAGTGTATTATAATTCCAGTCACTACTTGATACAATAAATATGTTTAAAATTTTAGTATTAAAATTTATGTCCTTAATTTATAGACTTTGTCAAGACTCCAAAAATAACTTCAATATATATTTGCATTTAAAAGTGAAATCCTCTGACAATGTCACACACAATTTTAAATCCAGAATTAAAAGTTTAATATAAAAATGTTAAGATATAGATTATATAATAGCAATAAGTATTTTTTTTTTTTGAGACAGGACCTTGCTCTGTTACCAAGTGTGGAGTTCTAGAGTGCAGAGGCACAATTATGGCTCACTACAGCCTTGACCTCCTGGGCTCAGGCCATCCTCCCTTTCACTTCAGCTTCCCAAGTAGCTGGGACTATAGGCATGCACCACTACAGCCAGCTAATTTTTTTAAATTTTGTAAAGATGAGATCTCTCTATGTTGCCCAGGCTGGTCTCAAACTTCTGGGCTCAAGGCATCCTCTTTCCAAAGTGCTGGGATTACATGTGTGAGCCACCATGTCTGGCAATAATCAGTCATTTTAGATTTAATTATAAAAGTTCTTTTAACTTTGGGAGGCCAAGGCCGGTGGATCACGAGGTCAGGAGATCGAGACCATCCTGGCTAACACGGTGAAACCCCGTCTCTACTAAAAATACAAAAACAAAATTAGCTGGGCATGGTGGTGGGCGCCTGTAGTCTCAGCTACTCAGGAGGCTGAGGCAGGAGAATGGTGTGAACCCGGGAGGCAGAGCTTGCAGTGAGCTGAGATCACGCCACTGCACTCCAGCCTGGGCAAAAGAGAGACTCTGTCTCAAAAAAAAAAAAAAAGTTGTTTTAATTGGATTTTCATGATGAAAAATAATACTTATATTAGAAAATTGAAATAAATTATTTGCTTCTATAGAAGACAATCAGTGACAACTGCTATGCTTAGAAATTTTATGACAGGGAAACTTCTACACAATTGTAATAACAAATTTAATGATCCTTTTACTCTCTTTATGTTTTTCTCTTTATTTTATTAAGAACAGATCCATATACAACTAAGTAATGTCAGCTAAAGTATGAGATAAAATATGTTAAAATGCAAATATTTAGGAAAGTCTGCCATCAAAGAGAAAAATAGGTATTTCAGTAGCATTTTTCTCATTGACAGTTCTAGTATTTATCAACTTGTAAAGATGTTTTCCCAAATTAAATAAAAACAATGATTTGTGCCAAAACAAAGAGTTTTACATACTCACAATCATTTCATTCTTCTAATTGTTTAACACTTGCTGACTACAATAACAGAATCCAGTACTCAGTAAGGGATAGAGCAGATGCCAATCCAATATTTATTTAGGAAACAACCCTAAGGTGATGACATTCTTAAAAAAAAATGCTTACAATAGTAATTGGGGGAAAAAAAACTATTGAGGACAATATATGGAAGAAACTAAAGAGTGAAAAAGAGTAAGGGGACTAGGAAGCAGGTGTTATCTCTGATAATGGTAAATCTTGCCTTGAACTACAATATAAAATAACTCTGAAACAATAAAATTATAGGAATATGGCAAAGAAACACAGGACAAATTCAATGCATTTCCTTGCTAGAACATTCATAGATGATAACATGCCTAAAGAGAGATCATTATGCATTCTTCCCAGAACAATACGTGTATAAAGGGATCTAATTCAATCTCAATTTTGTGTCCTTGAGGAAGAGAAGTCTCAGTATGGAGGTGTATTAGTTTATTTTCACACTGGTAATAAAGATGTACTTGAGACTGGGTAACTCATAAAAGAAAGAGGTTTAATTGACTCACAGTTCCACGTGGCTGGGGCAGCCTCACAATCATGGCAGAAGGCAAATGAGGAGCAAAGTCACGTTTTACATGGCAGCAGGCAAGACAACTTGTCTAAGGGAACTCCCCTTTATAAAACCATCAGATCTTGTGAGATTTATTCACTATCATGAGAACAGCACAAGAAAGATCCACCCCATGATTCAATTACCTTTCACTTGGTGCCCCCCACAACACATGGGAATTGTGGGAGCTACAGTTCAAGATGAGATTTGGGTGGACACAGAGCCAAACCATATCATTCCACCCTGGCCCCTCCCAAATCTCATATCCTTCCCAACAGTCCCCCAAATCTTAACTCATTTCAGCATTAACTCAAAAGTCCCCAGTCCAAAGTCTCAACTGAGAGAAAGCAAATCCCTCCCACCTATGAGCTTGTAAAATTAAAAGCAAGTTAGTTACTTCCCAGATACAACAGGGGTATAGGCAATGGATAAATACACCCATTCCAAATGGGAGAAATTGGCCAAAACAAAGGGGCTACTTTGTGCAGTCTGAGGACTTGGTACCGTGTGTCCCAGCCATGGCTAAAAGGGGCCAATGTAGAACCCAGGCCATTGCTTCAGAGAGTTCAGGTCCCAAGCCTTGGCATTTTACATGTGGTGTTGGATTTTGCAGTCCAAAATCCAGCTGGACAGTCAAATCTTAAAGCTACAAATGATCCCCTTTGACTCCATGTCTCACATCTAGGTCACACTGATGCAAGACGTGGGTTCCTATGGTCTTTGGCAGCTCTGCCACTGTGGCTTTGCAGAGTACAGGCCCCTCTCCTGGCTGTTTTCATGGGCTGGCATTGAGTTTCTTTGGATTTTCCAGGTCACAGTGCAAGCTGTCCATGGATCTACTATTCTGCAGTTTAAAAGACAGTGGCCCTTTTCTAATAGCTCCAATTTGCACCCCACATTTCCCTTCCACACTACCTAGCAGAGCTTCTCCATGAGGGCTCTGCCCCGGCAGCACACCTCTGCCTGGACATTCAGGTGTTTCCATGCATCCTCTGAAATCTAAGCAGAGATTCCAAAACCTCAATTCTTGATTTCTGTGCACCCACAAGCCCAACACCACATGTAAAATGCTAAGGTTTGGGACCTGAACTCTCTGAAGCAATGGCCTGGGTTCTACATTGGCCCCTTTTAGCCATGGCTGGGACACACGGTACCAAGTCCTCAGACTGCACAAAGCAGCGAGGTCCTGGGTCTGGCACATGAAACCATTTTTTTCCTCCTAGGCCTCCAGCTTGTGATGGGAGGGACTGCTGTGAAGACTTCAGACATGCACTGGAGACATTTTCCCCATTGTCTTGACTTAACATTTGACTTCTCGTTACTTATGCAAATTTCTGCAGCCAGCTTGAATTTCTCCTCAGAAAATGAGTTTTTCTTCTCTATCACATCGTCAGGCTACAAATTTTCCAAACTTTTATACTCTGCTTCCCTTTTAAACATGAGTTCCAATTCCAAACTGTAACTTCGTGAATACGTAAAACTGAATGTTTTTAACACCACCCAAGTCACCTCTTGAATGCTTTGAGGCTTAGAATTTTCTTCTACCAGATGCCTTAAGTCATCTCCCTCAAGTTCAAAGTTTCACATATCTCTACAGCAAGGGCAAAATGCCAAGATCTTTGCTAAAACATAGCAAGGGTCACCTTTGCTGCAGTTCCCAGCAAGTTCCTCACCTCCATCTGAGACCACTTCAGCGTGGACTTTACTGTCCATATCACTATCAGCATTTTGGTCAAAGCCATTCAAAAGGTTTCCAGAAATTTCCAAACTTTCCCACATCTTCCTGTCTTCTGAGCCCTCCAAACTGTTCCAACCTATGCCTGTTATTACAAAGTTCCAAAGTCACTTCTACATTTTTGGGTATCTTTACAGCAGCACCCCACTCTACAGGTACCAATTTACGCATTAGTATGTTCTCATGCTGCTAATAAAGACATACCTGAGTCTGGGTAATTCATTAAAAAAAAGGTTTAATGAACTCACAATTCCACAGGGCTGGGGAAGCCTCACAATCATGGCAGAAGGCAAAGGAGAAGTAGAGTCACGTCTTACATGCAGGCAGACAAGGGAGCTTGTGTAGGGGAACTCTCCTTTATAAAACCATCAGATCTGATGAGACTTATTCACTATCACAAGAAAGTCCCACTCCCATGATTCAATTACTTCCCACCACATCCCTCCCACAACACATGGGAATAATGGGAGCTACAATTCAAGATGAGATTTGGGTGGGGACACAGCCAAACAATATCAGGAAGTGAGGATTAAAATATAATATAGAGGAGATTATGCAAAAGAAATCTATAGTCCTGAATTTGAATACGAAATAACAATATGCATTCAAATGCAGAAGTATAATATCTGTGTGTGTGTGAGTCTGCTTGTGTGTATATGTATATAATATTCTAGCTCTCTTAACTAAAGGAATCTAGAAATAATAACTAACCAAGTTTTCCTAGTGCCCAGATAATGATCTTAAAATACCATTTCTTACTAAGAGAAACCAGGGCTTCTTGGAGAAATAGCTGGTTTCTGTTGTGGGAAAGAAAACATACAGATTAACCTGAAACATGGTCATATTAGATAAAGAAGAAACAGTAAGAGATTATTAGGTTCATTGCAAAAGAATTAAGGTGCCAACTTGAAGAAGGCCCCACTGGCCAATGATACAACTATGTGAGCTTCAAAAAAGAATAATAATTTTAGTTAAAATAAAAGTTTTGTTGTTGTTGTTGTTGTTTTTTTTTGAGACAGAGTCTTGCTCTGTAGCCCAGGCTGGAATGCAGTGGCGCTATCTCAGCTCACTGCAAGCTCCACCTCCCGGGTTCATGCCACTCTCCTGCCTCAGTCTCCCGAGTAGCTGGGACTACAGGCGCCCACCACCACACCCAGCTAATTTTGTTTTTGTATTTTTAGTAGAGACAGGGTTTCACCGTGTTAGCCAGGATGGTCGATCTCCTGACCTCGTGATCCGCCCTCCTCAGCCTCCCAAAGTGCTGGGATTACAGGCATGAGCCACTGCACCTGGCCAAAATGTTTTAATCTATAAGTTCACAGTGATTTTCTCTTAAATACTAATAAATCATCTTCTGAGAGTAAAAAGGAGTCAACTTATTATTTTGAAAGCTGATAACTAAAGGGAATTAATCAAGCATTTATCCTGACTTTCCTGAATGAACTGTCCTACTGAATAACAAAAGAGATAAGGGGAAGTATGCACTTTATCCCCTTAAGATTTGAAAAATAAAGGACAGAACTAGAATATAATTGTTTGCAACTACCAATGAATTAATAGACCTAGGCACTGAGCATCAATAGCAGCTAACATCAGAAAAAGAGAGAAAAACAGCATTCAATGCCTCCTAATGAAAGAAAACACAAAGTAATCTACTCTAAATCTGATTACGCCTCTGGATACAGCTACTGAGTTTCAGTGAATATAGAGACCAAAGGAATTTGTTTAATTACAGTCAGCATTTGCCCAGGTTCTTCAACAAATAAATTTTCATAAGAAAAAAGGACAAAGGGAGAAATTGTAGATTGAAAGAGACATAAAACGACATAATTTTTAATTAGTCAAGATTAAACTATAGTATCCAGAATGCACACTTGACTAATAAAAAAGGAAGTGAAGACTATAAAAGTCAACATAGTGGTTGCTTTTGAGAGAAGGTGGGGATTATGTTTGAGACATAACTGACGAGATTCTGAGGTGAGTGGCAAAGTTCTCTTTCTTGACCTGTGTGGTAGTTAACAAGATGTGTTGCTTTAAAACAGTTAATGAAGCCATACATTTGTGTAGCTTTCTGTATCTTGTTTATTTACAATAAAAGGGTGTTTACAAAAAGTTTTGGTGGTATAATTCCTACCTAATTTTAGAGTATAATGATACTATACTAAACAAAATAATAATAATTTTTAAAAAAAAACAGAAAAGCTTTACTTCTTTTAGAAGAAGAAAATAACTAAAATAACTTTATATGGTTTGGCTCTGTGTACCCACCCTAATCTCATCTCAAATTGTAGTTGAGGGAGGGAGGCGATTGGATCATGGGGGCAGTTTTCCCCATGCTGTTTTCATGATAGTGAAAGAGTTCTCATGAGATCTAATGGTTTTATAAATTTTTGGAAGCTCCTCCTCCAGGCTTCTGTCACCTGCTGCCATGTAAGACATGTCTGCTTTCCCGTCCACCATGATTGTAAGTTTCTTGAGGCCTCCCCAGCCATGTGGAACTGTGAGTCAATTAAACCTTTTTTTTTTTTTTAATAAATTACCCAGTCTCCGGCATTTTTATAGCAGTGTGAAAATGGTCTAATACATAAGTCATCATGATGAAATAAGTAAAATAAAGTCCAACATTTGTATTTGTTTTTGAAAGAAATATAGAGCTTACTTATGAAATAAAATGAAAACCACAAAATTCAATGTTGCTATAAAGACTGGTTAGTCAAAATCATTTAACAAGAATGTTGTGTTCATTGCCTATTTGGGAGCTCTTTTTGTATTATATGAGGCTGTTTATGTTTTTTATCACTTACTGAACTAAATGATCCTCTGCAAATAGAATATGTGATGTTTAAAATAATCTTAAAATGTTTTATATGGATTAAGAAAAAAAGAAAGCACTTCAACAATTGGAAAATCAAAATGTATAAATCAATACATAAGAAGCTTTTCTGCTTCAGTTAAATATATTTTGTTAAACCACATACAAGAGGATCTACGACTAAAATAAAGACCAAAAAATACTTATAAGTTAACCAATGGGCACCAGATGGTGATAGGCAACAGCTATTGTTTTCTGTTGATACAGATACTGGTTTAAAAGAAAACTTTGAAAAATGATACTTGTTTTGATTTAGCACAGTTTTACACATAATTTTGAATATTAACAGTATTTTATAGGTCTCAAAAACAGTGTATTGTTGAAATTTAGTAAGTGCTAACACCTGCAGCAAAATAACACAATACACTTCTAGGATTTTTAAAGAAAATAAATATCAGTTTTCTGAATTTGACCTCATAAAAATCTAATTATTCCAAACTTTCTATTTATATGAACACATAAGCAAAGTGTTTTATTTTAAAATCACAATCATGGCAACATTTGGCAAGCACATATAAGGGCTCACATTACAGTTAAAACAAAGAGGCAACTTTAAGCCCTTTAGGCTTTTGTAGCTAAGAGACCAAATAGGGAAAAATTTTAAATATGAAAGAATGAAGTTTGTTCTAAACAAATTACAATTATGTAAGATTTACGCAGCTCAAATTATTATTGGTTTCCTTTAAATCTAAAAGTGTGTGTGTGTGTGTGTGTGTAGTATGAATTTGTAAATTATATAGATAATGCATTTGGAATACATACTGCTTTAAGAATACTTCAAGGTAATTCTTTAATCTTTCTGGGATCTATGACATAATACATCCTAGGAATTTAACTATTTAAGTTTAAAAAGTATCATTGTTATTTTGCACATCACCCTAGTAACCATTTCAGGTATTTTTTTTTTTAATGACTTCACATCTGTTACAAAAGCCTCATGGCTAACAGTCATCTCACCATCTCCACACACTTCCAGATTTCCTTACTTTATCTGTTAATCTAATGTTCTTTAATGGCTTTCTTGCTATTTCCTTGCTTGAGAACCTAACTTTTTATTTTATTTTATTTTTTTAAGACCAAGTCTCAAAGTTGTCACCCGGTTTGGAGTGCAGTGGCACGATCTTGGCTCACTGCAACCTCTGATTCCTGGGTTTCAGCAATTCTCCTGCCTCAGCCTCCTAAGGCGTCTGCAACCATGCCTGGCTAATTACTATTATTATTATTATTTTTAGTAAAGACAGGGTTTCACCATGTTGGCCAGGCTAGTCTCAAACTCCTGACCTCAGGTGATTCACCCTCCTCAGCCTACCGAAGTGCTGGGGAGAATCTAAATTTTAAATACAAATTTGAAAACTTTTCAGTCATTCTTCACTCATCGTTTCAACATTCATCTCAGTGTTCCAAGCACTGACACA
The DNA here is from genome assembly GCF_000001405.40 of Homo sapiens. Classification (NCBI taxonomy): domain Eukaryota; kingdom Metazoa; phylum Chordata; class Mammalia; order Primates; family Hominidae; genus Homo; species Homo sapiens. The sequence goes on from NC_000003.12 coordinate 147,140,391, forward strand.
GGGATATAAAGATTAAATAGACTATTCAAATGGCAACAAAAAATAACAATGACAATATAATGTGGTGAGTATTCTGATGGTGCAGAGTGATATTATAGAATTGCAAAACCTAAGAACCTAGTCCATATTTGGGAGATAAGTGTGCTGGTAAGGCTGAAGGCAAGTCAAAGGACGCTTCTGATGAAATCAGAAAATGCCTGCACCTCTAAGAAATCATAATTTTATTCTGAAGATTTCAGGAGGTTAGTGAAATGTTTTAAACAAGGGAGTAACATGATCCAATTAACAATTTAGAAACATCACTAAAGCTACAATGTGGCAAATAAACTGAAGCGATCAAAACAGGAGACAGGAAGACCAGTAAGGAGGCTAATGCTGTAATTTAAAGAAGAAAAATTGTGAGACATAAACGAAGAAAATAATACTGGGAATAAGAAAAGAGAAAAGAGTCAAAAGGTAAGTAAAACAGAATTGTTAAGATTTTATTGCACATTAACCACAGAGATAAAAGAGACCCCAGGTTTTAACAATGTGTGAGCGTAAGGGTATGGGTTAACTGAGACAGTGAATAAAGGAGGAAAAGCATATTAGATGAGCATGAGCTCAGTTTGGAACACATCCAAATTACCTATGGAACAGTCAAGGAGAAATGTCTAATAGGAGACTAATCGCTCCTCCCTCTCTCTTCTCTCTGTCTGTCTCTTTCTCATAAATATATATATACATATATATATATATATATACATATATATACATATACATATTCATATATATATATGAAGAGTCATTGCAGTATGGTCCCTGAAATCATACAGTTAGAAACATTATTACTTAAAGTGGAAAAAAATCTAATCCCAAATGTACAGTAGGAGTAGTCAGAAAGATGAGAAGAAAGCCAAGAGAATATGAGACTATGATATCACATAAGCTCAGATAAATTAGTTTATAATAGTAAGGAGTGACCAGTGACCAACTGAGAAAAAATTCTTTAGAGACATCAATATAAAAACTGGAAAAGAAGAGTGACTATTTATTATCAGTGATTTTGGCAAGAGCTATTTTAATTGCCTGGTTGAAGAGGAAACCAGGTGGCAATAAATTTAAAAATGTATAGACAATTACAACATGAAAAGTGCAAATGTTGTCAACCCTTTCAAGGAGAGAGACAGGTCAACAACAGAAGGCAGATCGGTAACTTTGTCTAAGGAAGATATTTTTAAGCAGGAGCTATATCTGAGAATGTAGAGCCAATGGAGAGATAGAGCGGGAGAGAGGGATTAAATAAACAGGAGAGAGGAAGGAAATGATTAAGTTTCCTGATGAGTTAAGAGGAGATGGGATCTGCAGCTGAAGTTGGGAAAGAAGCATCAGAGAAAATGAAGATTATCTCTTTCACTAAAAATGCAGAAAGTGTAGTAAAAATGAATGTGTATAACAATATGGCAGTGATGGTTTCTTCTTCCCAATGCACTCTCACCAGGGAATAGAAAGAAATTAAAAGACATGTAGTAATTGTTCAGTTATAACTTTAGAAAAAGAAGCAAAAGTCACATCTCCTGGCATCTGTGTGCTGTGAAGTCAGAAAGTCAACCCTCAAAGACACTTGTAGACTTGCCAATAAATTAAATGAAACTATTCATGTAAATGGGTAAGAAATACATTTTAAAAGTTTGGTGTTGCTCAATTATGCTCACTCTACTATAAGCTATGCTTAAAATACTAACTTAGTAAAATAATCTCTTTGAATAATAGGATTACTCATTCAGTGTATGACATAGCAAAAGACACAAAGCAAAACTGGTCAGGTCCTGTGTAGAAAACTGCAAAAGATGAGAGAAATAAACTTGCTACAGGGAGCTAGGAAATGGCTTGATACCTAGTCAACATGATGTAGGAAGCCACTATGAGCACTGAAGTAAGAAAAAAAACATAAAATCCTTGTCATGTAGTAATAGGTAACAAGCTTTGAGTCTACATTAATATCTAACACTCTTCATCCTTGGGTGAATTCTTGGGCTTGAACAATGAGGCTGAATGATTTTTGAGACATAGGTTATAATCCCATGACTGTAGCTTTGAACATATATTTTTCATGTCAGGATCAGAGAAGCACCCTATTTGTAGCAGGACTTGTACTTTGGTTCTGGTAATATTCTATCTTCGTCCATTCCCGTACTCTGAAACAAGGCCATCTGGAGCTTTCTACCAATGGAAGAGAAGAAATGACAGCTAAGTGAGAAATGACTAAGGATAATCTGCGTTTCCCATCCCGACATTTAAGTTTCCTCCTTAAAGAATGTCTGAATGATTTGACTTTTCTCCCTCCAATACATAAAAACTGAGACATGGGTGGGGCGCAGTGGCTCACGCCTGTAATCCCAGCACTTTGGGAGGCCGAGGAGGGCGGATCATGAGGTCAGGAGTTCGAGACCAGCCTGACCAACAAGGTGAAACCCTATCTCTACTAAAAATACAAAAATTAGCCAGGCATGGTGGCATGCACCTGTAATCCCAGCTACTCAGGAGGCTGAGGCAGGAGAATTGCTTGAACCCGGAAGGCAGAAGTTACAATGAGCCAAGATAGCACCACTACACTCCAGCCTGGGGACAGAGCAAGACTCCCCCTCAAAAAAAAAAAAAAAAAAAAAAAAACACAGATCTACCATATGATCCAACAGTCTAATTTCTGGGCATATATCCAACTGAAAGGAAATCAGTATGTGGAAATGATACCTGCTGTGATTATATATATACATATACACACACACACACACACACACACAAAATCGAATAGTGTTCAGCCATAAAAGAATGAAATCCTGCCATACACAGCAACATGGATGATCCTGGAGGATATTATGTGAAGTGGAATAACACAGGCACAGAAAGATAAATACCATATATTCTCACAAACATGTGGAAGCTGAAAGTTGATCTCAAAGAAGCAGACAGTACAATAGTGGTTACCAGAGGCTGGAAAGAGTAGTGGGGGAAAGGGAATATGAAGAACTTGGTAAACCAAAACAAAATCACAGGTAGATAGGAAGAATAAGTTTAGTGTTTTGTAGCACTGTACAGTGACTATAATTAACAATAATTTTTGTATATTTTCAAATTGCTAGAAGAGAAGATTTTGAATGTCCCCAACACAAGGAAATAATAAATGTCTGAGGTCATAGATATGCTAATTATCCTGATTTGAACATTATATATTGTATACATATATTGAAATATCACATTGTACCCCATAAATATGTATAATTATTGTTTAAAAATAATAATAATAACAATTTTAAAAACCGAGACATTCAGAATAATCTAAAATTGGTTGATTAAATAGGGTTGACTTAATTTTTAAAATGGCCACAATGCATCTTTTCTTGGAAGTGTTTTCATTCTTATCTCAATGTTTAATTGAATAGGATAGAGACTTTCTATTTCAGTCATGAAAGAGTAAACATACTTTACCGTCTCTCACAACAAGTGGTATAAAATCTGGACAGAATGCATTGAACATCTATTTTAGGACTCTGAAATGTAAATAGTAGTAAGTACATTGGTGAAGAAGACCAAAATAAGAGATACCTTTAAAATGGCAATAAATTTACCTTATTTTTTCCTTTCTAGTATCTATCAGGCTGAGCTCAACATAATCTGAAACATGAAGTGGACACTACTGGCACAGACAGAGAGTTCTAAATCAAACTCTCTAATTTTGGTGTAAGGAATGAGGAAAGATCCTTTAATGCTCAGAGATGGTGGGAAAAGTTCTCTGTATTTTTGTTTATTTTTTTCCTCTTTTCCCTCATTCTCTCAAATGTAAGAAGTGGTGACGTTGACAGTGGTGCAAACCTGTAGTAGCCTAAAATTTTATTAAAAATAGACCTTTTTCTATTATCAGCATTATTTAAATGGAGCAAATTTCCTTTTTTGTTATTGTTCCTTCTCTGTCATTTTAAGACATGGCACAGTTATAGTAAGTGCACCAAAGAACAGGGTAAATAAAACATCAGCTTCCTGGTCAGAAAACCAAAAATGGGAGCCATAGGAACGAAAAGATACCAGGAGATTGTGCTAAAAGTTGGAAAAGGAGCGTCCAAGAGGAAATAAATCCCAAAAAAGGGTTATTTATAATCCAGGCTTACCCCTGAGCTGTACATGTGTGGATCTGATGCCATTCAGGGCACTAAGTACTTTGATAATTGAACTAACATATAAGGCTATAGCCTAGCTCTGACATTGGCTATGGGTGACACACATGAAAAAACCTGCAAAACACTACAAAGTCTTTAAAAACAGAATTTACAGTGAACCACAATTCACAGAGCCTCGATAGAATTTATGCCTTAAATGGAACCAGGTCAATCACCTGCAAAAAAAAAAAAAGGCAACATTTTATATAAGATTGAAATAAGACCTAAAATCCAGTAACACAATATTCAAAATATTCATGGTCCAATAAAAATGACTTGGCATACAAAGAATGAGTAGAATTCGAACTGGATTGATAAAACTCAATCAACAGACACCAACACAGGAAAAAAGACAGAAATTAGAATAATATACGAATCAGCTATTATGACTGTACTCCAAAGGCAATCACTCTAAACAAACAGAAAGACAGAGAAAATCAGCAAATGAATAGAAGGTATAGAAAACATACCAAGGGAAATTTTAGAATTGAAAACTACAGTTACTTAAATAAAACATCCACGTAATGGGCTCAGTAGCAGAAAAATATAACAGGAAAGTCAGTGGACTTTGAAAACAGATTAGTACAAAGTCAATGAAAAATTTAACAGAGGAAAGTCAGTGAACTTTGAAAACATATCAGTAGAAAGTGTTCAAGCTGAACAACAATAAGAAAAAACTCAAAAAAGAGACTGGGTCTGAGACTGTAAGATCTTACGAAAAAGTAAAATATGTGTTTTACTGAAGTTCCAGAAGGATACAAGATAGAGTAAAATCCAGATAAAAATATTTGAGGAAATAATTACTAACAAATTCCTAAATTTGCAAAACACATAAAGCTACATATTTGAGAATCTTGGTACATCCCAACAGAGTAAACCCAAAAAGCAAACACTAACCTATACATATTTTATTAAACTGCTGGAAACTGAAGACAGAAGAAAAATAGTCTTGAAAACAGCTTTTAAAATGACATATTAATGATAAGGAAATAAGGATTTGAGTAGCTTCAGAATTCACATCATAAATGGTAGCGATTAGAAGAATGTGGAACAATGTTTTTAAAGTGGTGAAAGGAAAAAAACCTCAAGCCAAAATTTTATATTCAGCAAAAACATCTTTCAGGAATAAATGGAAAAGTAGAAAAAAACTAAGATTTAGTCATCAGGCTTATTCTAAAAGAACTGCTCAATATAGATAGTTTTTCAGGCATAAGGGAAATGATGCCAGAAGAAAACTTGTAGTATCAAAAATAAAGTAAGAACAAATGGTATTTGTCTGCATAAATAGAATATTCTTCTCCTATTAAGTTTTTAAAATATGAAAGTAAATAGCTATCAAAAATGATATTATTTTTGAGGTTTTCATATATAGATGAAATACATAAAACAACTCCAATTTGGGGGAGAGCGAGTAAAGCACTTTACAGTAGTATTTTCTACATTTCGCTTCAAATGGTAAAATATTGATTCTAGTTAGTAAAAAGTTAAATTTCTATATTGTAACCCCTAGAACACCCATAAAAAATCAGTGATGATGATGATGATGATAGACAGATAGATAGATAGATAGACAGTAAAAAATACAATAGACAAATTTAAATGGAGTATTTTTTAAATGATTAAGTAACCCTAAAGGTGGCAGTAAAGAAGAAACAGAAGAATAAAAGTGGAGTGATCAAGCACAAGATAAAATTACAGACAAAATTTCAAATATATAAAATTACATTAAATCTAAATGGTCTGACTATATATAAATGTATAAAAGATCAATAGAATATTTTTAATGATCCAAAATGCTGTCTACAAGAAATTTACTTCAACTATAATACTAGAGGTAAATTAAAATTACAAGGAAGATAAAAAACTATACCATTTACGCTCAAATTCAAAGAAGCCAGAGTGAATAGATTAATGTCAGATAAAGTACACCTTGCAACAAAGGATTACCAGGGATAAGGATGGACATTACAAAATGACAAAAAGAGTCAATTCACCAAGGAGACATAAAAATCCTTTAGGTGGATGCACATGAAAACACAGCTTTAAAACACATGAAGCGAAAAAGTGCCAGAACTAAAAAGAGAAATGGGTAAATGCACAATGATAGGGACTTCAGGACACTTTTGTCAGCAACTAATAATATCAGCAAGAATATAGAAGAACTAGACAACACTACCAACCAAACAAATCTAAATGATATTTATATAACACTCCACCCAACAACAGCAGAAGAAACATTTGTTTCAAGTGTACATGAAATATTTACCAAGATAAATCATGCCCTGAGTCATAAAACAAATCTTAATGAGTTTAAAAGAATTTAAATCAAACCAAATATGTTCTCCAAACATAATAAACTAGATTAGAAATTAATAATGAGGGAATGGGAAGGTGACCAACTAGGTGCAGCCTGGAAGTTCCACTCCCAGGGAGAAAGACCAGGATTTCAACTCAACTAACATAATTTGAACAAATCATTGGAGAGAAAATGCCAAATGTGGCAGATGCTGAAGCTGAAGAGGAAGAAGTTATGAACAACATATGAGGTCCCTGAATGCCAAGGCTGGTTCTCACTCTGAATGGCTTCTGGGGAAGGGGTGAGTGAAGGGACTGAGGGACTTCCTACTCTTGCTGCGGGCCTCTGGGTTCTTAGCTTCAGGGAACCCCACGCTGCCCACAGATATTTGAGCTGATGTGGGGGATCTCCCCAGAGATTTGGCAGAAACAGAGCTACAGCAGGCAGGTAGCTGGGGATCTTTGTGTTGAGGACAGCTCCAGGGAGACTGGCCATAAGTGCACATTCCCCAAGTTTACCTATCTTCCTGAGAGCCTCTGGCCCCAGCTAACTGCCAGGGAAAAAGCAATGCTGGCTTCTCCGTGGGCCTAGGGCATGTCTGTTCTGCAGTCCTACCTGCCCACCAGCACTCCCCAGGCTCCTGCCTGAATGCCACACAGAACTGTGTTCACAGCACAACCCTGCTGCCCATCCTGGGTGCTTTGTTCCATCTGAGTGCTTTCTCGTAGCCCAGGAGCACTTCAGATCTTGCAGCACACCCAGAATCCTCAAAGAGGGAACCACAAAGAGGTCCTGGTATCCCAGGGCTGCAGCCCATGGCTCAGGAGTGCTAAGCAGGGATCTATGCCTGGCACTTACAGAGGAGGAGCCCACACTCAGAAAACTGAGAGAAATGAGCCTCATAGGTTTGCAAGCTGATGTAGACCTAGGCGTGCTTCCTTCCACAAGGCTTCCACACCACTAAGAATCCTAAAGACTCTGACAAAATGCTCTGAGAACTGATAAAAAACTTTAGTAAAGTTTCAGAATATAAAAATCAATGAGCAAAATTCAGTAGTATTTCTATACACAAATGATGGCTGGGCTTAGAGTGAAAATAAGAACACAATTACATTTATAATAGCCACAAAAGAAACTGAGACACCAAGGAATACAGCTTATCAAGGAGGTGAAATATCTCTACAAAGACTAAAAAACACTCCTGAAAGAAATCAAAAATGACAGAAATAAATAGAAAAACATTCCATGCTCATACAATGGAAGAATCATTATTGTAAAAATGGCCATACTACCCAAAGCAATTTAAAGATTAAATGCTATTCCTATCAAACTACTAATGTTATTTTTCACAGAATTTGAAAATAATTATCTTAAAATTCATGTGGAAAAAAAAGAGCCTGAATAGACAAAGCAATCCTAAGCAAAAAGAACAATGCTGGAGGCATCATACTACCTGACTTCAAACTACACTATAAAGCTATGATAACCAAAACAACATGGTACTCCTACAAAAACAGGCACATAGACCAATGGAACAGAATTTGAAACTCAGAAATGAAGCTGCACAGCTGAATAGCTGTATGCAGAAGATTGAAGCTGAATCCCTACCTTCCACCATATACAAAAAGTAACTTGAAATGGATCAAAGATTGAAACATAAGACCTCAAACTGTTAAAATCCTAGAAGACAACCAAGGAAATACTCTTTTCAACATCAGCATTGGCAAATAATTTTTGGCTAAGTCCTCAAAAGTAATTGTAACAAAAACGAAGATAGTGAAGTGAGACCTAATTAAGCTAAAGAGTTTCTGAACAGCAAAAGAAACTATCAACAGAGTAAACAGACAACCCATAGAACAGAAGAGAATTGCAAACTATGCATCCAACAAAGGCCTAATATCTGGAATCTACAGGGAAATTATATAAATCAACAAGAAAAAAAAATAACCCCCTTAAAAAAAGAGCAAAGGAGCTGAACAGGCAGTTTTCAAAAGATGACATACAAGCAGCTAACAAACATATGAAAAACTGCTCAGCATCATTAAACACCAAAGAAATACACATCAAAACCACAATGGAATACCATCTCACAGTAAACAAAATGACTATTATTAAAATGTTAAAAAACAGCAGATGCTGGTAAGGCTCCAGAGAAAAGGGAACACTTATATTCTGTTGGTAAGAATGTAAATTAGTTCAGTCACTGTGGAAAACAGTTCAGAGATTTCTCCAAGGAACTTTAAACAGGGCTACCATTCAGCCTAACAATCCCAATGCTGGGTATATACCCAAAGAAAAATAAATCATTCTTCCAAAAAGACACATGCACTCATATGTTCATTGCCACACTATTTATAATAGCAAAGAACATGGAATCAACTCGTGCCCATCAATTGTAGATTGGATAAAGAAAATGTGGTACAAATGCACCATGGAATACTACACAACCATAAAAAAAGAATGAAATCGTATTCTTTGGAGAAACATGGATGCAGGTGGAGGTCATAATTTTAAGTGGACTAATGAAGGTACAGAAAACCAAATATGGTATGTTCTCACTTACAAGTGGGAACTAAACACTGAGCACACATGGATGCAAATAAGGGAACAACAGACACTGCAGACTGCTACAGGGTAGAAGGTAAAAGTGGGGAATGAGTTGAAAAACTACCTATCTGGTATTGTACTCACTACCTGCTTGATGGGATCCATACCCCAAGCCTCAGCATCATGAAATATTCCCATGTAACAAACCTGCACATCTACCCCCGTATCTAAAATAAAAGTTGAAAATAAATAAATTGCTAGCCCCCAAAATAAAATGAATTAAATATTGTTATATTCACTCAATAGAGTATTATACAGCAATGAAATCAAATGAACAACATCCATAATATGGACAAAATATCCAAACATAATGTTGAGCAAAAAAAACCAGACACAAAATAACACACACTGATTTACTCCATTTACATAAAGTTTTAAATAGGCAAGTGTAACTGATTGTGATAACATTTAAAATAGTGATTACCTTTTCTTGATGAGGGGAGAGGAACGTTACGTGGTGCTCTCTTTCTCAATCTAGGTGACATCTACATGTATGTTCACTTTGTGAAAATTTACTAATGATTTGGGCACTTATATGTAGCATACATAAGGAAAATATATAGTACTTGCCCCCAAAATCATTTTATAGAAAATAAGTTTTTCTGCAATATATGACTAAATGAAAAAAGTTAGAAACAGCTTGTATATACAGCCAACAATCACTGAAAAAAAGCTCAACATCACTGATTATTTGAGAAATCAAAATCAAAACCCTAACAAGATAACATCTCACACCAGGCAGAATGGCTACTATTAAAAAGTCAAAAAATAACAGATGCTGGCAAGGTGGTGGGGAAAATGGAACACTTATACACTGTTGGTGGGAGTGTAAATTAGTTCAACTGTTGTGGAAGACAGTGTGGCAATTCGTCAAAGACCTAAAGACAGGCATTCCATTCAACATCTGGGTATATACTCAAAGGAATATAAATCGTTCTATTACAAAGACACATGCACATGTATGTTAACTGCAGAGCTATTTACAATAGCAAAGACATGGAATCAACCTAAATGCCCATCAATGATAGACTAGATAAAGAAAATGTGGTATACATACAACATAGAATACCATGCAGCCATAAAAAGAACGAGATCATGTCCTTTGCAGGGACATGGATGGAGCTGGAGATCATTATCCTTAGCAAACTAACACAGGAACAGAAAACCAAATACTGGACCGAGCGAGGTGGCTCACACCTGTAATCCCAGTACTTTGCCTGTAATCCCAGCACTTTGGGAGGCCGAGGCGGGCAGATCACGAGGTCAGGAGATCGAGACCATCCTGGCTAACACGGTGAAACCCCTGTCTCTACCGAAAATACAAAAAATTAGCCGGGCGTGGTAGCGGACTCCTGTAGTCCCAGCTACTCAGGAGGCTGAGGCAGGAGAATGGCGTGAACCCGGAACGCGGAGCTTGCAATGAGCCGAGATCGCGCCATTGCACGCCAGCCCAGGCGACAAAGCAAGACTCCGTCAAAACAAACAAACAACAAGAACAACAAAAAACAAATACTGCATGTTCTCACTTATAAGTGGGAGCTAAATGATGAGAACACATGGACACAGAGAGGAACAACACACACTGGGGTCCATCACAGGCTGGATGGTAGAAGGAGGGAGAAGATCAGGAAAAATAACTAATGGATACCAGGCTTAATACTGGGGTGATGAAATAACCTGTACGAAAAACTCCCATGACACACGTCTACCTATGTAACAAACCTGCACTTGCTGCACATGTACCCCTGAACTGAAAAGTTTAAAAAAAAAAAAGAAACAGCATCTATACTCTGATTCTAATTTGATGAAAAACACATATATAGATGTAGATATAGATTGTATATAGGTAGGGGTAAAGGTTAAATATAAATGTAGATGATATATTTATTGATATAGTAAAAACAACTGGAGGCACACATACTAAATTATTAATAGTTTTTATCTCTAGGTAATGAATAACTACTATAACTACTAATTTCATTACTTTGTTCTTTTCTGTTTTTCAATGTATTTTCTTTCAAATTTCTAAAATAAATTATAAAGTAAAGAAAAAAATTATAATGTAAAGATAAAAGCTCTGAACAGTTGGAAATTAAACAACACACTACTAAATAATATATGGATCAAAGAGGAAGACTTTGGAGAAAATAGAAAATATCTTAAACTGAACGATAAAGTTCAACACATAAAAATTTGTGAAATAACAATAAAGCAAGCCTTAGAGGGAAATTTATAGCATCAAATAATTATATTAGAAAGAAGAAAGGTTTTGAATCAATAACCTAAGCTTTCATGTTAAGGAAAAAGGAGAAAAACAAACCCAAGGCAAGCAGAAAAAAAGGAAACAATAAATATAACAGATATCAATAAAATGGAGAACAAAATACAATAGAGAATATTAGTGGAACCAAAATCTGGTTCTTTGAAAAGACAAAGTTGAAAAACCTTTAGCAAGCTTGACAAAGAAAAAAAAGATGCATGAATTAATATTTTTTATTTATTATTTCTTTTTAGAGACACAGTCTCACTCTCTTGCATCAGGCTGGAGTATACTGGCACAGTCACCTCACTACAGCATTAAAGTTTTGGGGTCAAGCAATCCTCCCATGTGAATTAATATTTAAACAGTATATCCATTAAGGAAATAATGAAATGTCCAGATTCTCACAGGTTTGAATTTTAAAACCCACAGATTACATTGTTTAAGAAAAAAATTATTTGAAAATCTTCTCTTGGGTTTTCGATGTTCACCTACAGGAAAAAAAAAAAAAAAAAAAAAAAAACCTTGTCCTGAGATTCATGTATCCCTCTTGTTTCCAAGTTACATGCTCCCTGAGACCCCTGGGAACAAAACTGGGCAAAGAGTAGATCATTTCTGTAAGGAGCCCCAGAACCTAAAGGAAAAAGTCTAGATTAGGGGCCAGCGCCACCAGTTAAGGTTAGGTTGATTGTGCCCTGCACAAGGCACTAATCAAAGAGCAGTGGATAGGAGCTGAAATTCAGAACAAGTTCACTCAACTTTCCATTGTCTGTATACACCCAGAGGGCGAAAAAAAAAAAAACCTTTTACCTAAGTCTCACAAGAGTGCCACTTAGTCACCAAGCCAATGAGGAAGTTCCTTTCTATTAGGTTGGTGCAAAAGTAATTGTGGTTTTGCCATTAAAACCGCAATTACTTTTGCACCAAGCTAATATTTCCAATTTGTTGAGTGGCTTCATCATGAAGTAGTGTTGGATTTTGTCAAATTGTCTTTTTTTCCACTTCCATTGAAATGATCGTGTGGGTTTCATCCTTTATTTCATTGATTTAGTGCATTGTATTGGTTGATCTTTGTATGTTGAACCAACATTGCATTTATAGAATAAGTCTAACTTATTCATTATTTATATATTTATATGCATGCAGAATTAGGTTTGCTAGTATTTCTGAGTCTTTCTACATTAATGTTTTTAAGATAAGTTTTTTCAGAGTTTTTTTCTCCTGTGATGTCTTTGTCTGGTTTGATATCTAAATAATAACGGCCTCACAGAAGAGTTGGGAAATGTTGTCTCCTCTTCTGTTCTTTGGAAGAGTTTGAGAAGCATAGGTGTTGATTCTTTTTTCTATCTGGTAGAAATCACCACTGAAGCAATCTTGACCTAGTCTTTTCTTTGTGAGAAGTTTATTATTTTTAAATTTCTAATTCTACCTCTTTAATAGTTATAAATCTATTCAGATGTTCTACTTATTCTTGAATCAGTTTCGGTAATTTGTGATTTTCTTTCCTATTATTTCAGAGAATAAGATTTTGGTTTTGTTGATTCTCTTTACTATTTTTCTTTTCTCCATTTTATTTACTTTCACTCTAATCTTTATTATTTCCCTCTTTCTGCTTGTTATGAGCTTCATTTGCTCTTATTTTTCTCTTTTCTTAAGATGAAAATATTATAGTACTGGATTGAAAACTTTATTGTTTTGTAATATAGGTGACAAGAGCCTGAAATACCTCTGTAAGCACAGCTTTATCCACATTCTATAAGTTTTGGATTTATTTTTATTCACCTCAAAGTATTTTCTCACTTTTATTGGGTTTTTTTTTTGACCCATTGATGATTTGGGACAATGCTATTTTATTTCCATAGAATTTGAACGGCTCCAGTATATATCTGAAATTCCAGAAGGGCATACACATGTACAGGACTTGAGCATGCCTAGGAAATATCTGAGAAGGCCATACTCACACCTCTAGCTTGAGATTCTGCACAATCCAGAAGTAAACGCTGATGCAGAGTTTTAAAGTACCCAAATGTTAAAGGCATGCCCCAACACACATAAGAAGCCTTCAGTAAAGGCTGGGATACTTACTGATTCATGGCATTTAAAAACCTGTGTCTGATCATTAGCTGACCACTAAGTTAAACAAGCAGAGACTTCTGTGAATGCATATTGAAAGGTGACAACATGCTGGCGGCCCTCGCTCGCTCTCAGCGCCTCCTCTGCTTGGATGTCTGCTCTGGCCACACTTGAAGAGCCCTTCAGCCCACCGCTGCACTATGGGAGCCCCTCTCTGGGCTGGCCGAGGCTGGAGCCCGCTCCATCTGCTTCCAGGGAGGTGTGGAGGGAGAGGCGGGGGCGGGAACCCAGGCTGTGCTCTGTGCTCACAGGGCCAGCACAAGTTCTGGGTGGGCGCGTGCTCTGCCAGCTGGCACTCGGAGCAGCTGGCCAGTGCCACCGCCTGGGGCAGTGAGGGACTTAGCACCTGGGCCAGCAGCTGCAGAGGGGGCACTGGGTCCCCCAACACTGCCAGCCCCCCAGCGCCGGGCTCGAATTCTCCCCGCGCCTCAGCCGCCTTCCCATGGGGCAGGGCTCGGGACCTGCAGCCTGCCATGCCCAACCTCCCTGGTGGTGGACGAGCCTCCCCGAAGGGCGCCACCCCCTGCTCCACAGCGCCCGGTCCCAATGACCACCCAAGGGCTGAGGAGTGCAGGTGTGCAGCGCTGCGGGACTGGCGAGCAGCTCCGCCCGTGGCCCTGGCTCAGGATCCACTAGGGGAAGCCAGCTGGGCTCCTGAGTCAGGTGGGGACTGGAGAAATTTTATGTCTAGCCAGAGGATTATATATGCACCAATCAGCACTCTGTGTCTAGCTCCGGGTTTGTGGATGCACCAATCAGCATCTGTACCTAGCTATCTGGTGGGGACTTCGAGAACTTTTAAGTCTAGCTAAAGGATTGTAAATACACCAGTCAGCACCCTGTGTCTAGCTCAAGGTTTGTAAACGCACCAATCAGCACCCTGTGTCTAGCGAGAGGTTTGTAAACGCACCAATCAGTGCTCTATGTCTAGCTCAGGGATTGTAAATACACCAATCAGCACCCTGTGTGTAGCTCAAGGTTTGTAAACACACCAATCAGTACTCTGTGTCTAGTTAATCTAGTGGGGACTTGGAGAACTTTTAGGTCTAGCTAGAGGATTGTAAATACACCAATCAGCACTCTGTGTCTAGCTCAGGCATTGTAAATGCACCAATCAGCACCCTGTCAAAACAGACCAATCAGCTCTCTGTAAAACGGACCAATCGCCTCTCTGTAAAATGGGCCAATCAGCAGGATGTGGGTGGGGTCAGATAAGGGAATGAAAACAGGCTGCCTGAGCCAGCAGCAGCAACGCCTGGGGTCCCCTTCCACACCTCAGAAGCTTTGTTCTTTTGATCTTTGCAATAAATCTTGCTGCTGCTCACTCTGTGGTTCCGCACTGCCTTTACGAGCTGTAACACTCACCGCAAAGGTCTGCAGTTTCACTCCTGAAGCCAGAGAGACCACGAACCCACCAGAAGGAAGAAACTCTGAACACGTCCGAACATCAGAAGGAACAAACTCCAGGCACACCATCTTTAAGAACTGTAACACTCACTGCGAGGGTGTGTGGCTTCATTCTTGAAGTCAGTGAGACCAAGAACCCACCAATTCCAGACACAATATGACAGTGAATAGGGAGCTGAGTGAAGCATTCAAGGAAAGTCACTAAACAAACAGCAACAATAGTAACAAATAGCAGCAACAGTAAACCCTGAGTGGAGGAAATCTCTTTTTGGTAGTTAGCACATTATATTATTTAAAATCTCCAGTTCTCCACAAAAAATATGACACATGCAAAGAAAAAGGAAATATTGCTCATATATGGATATAAAAAAGCGGTCAGTGGAAACTGCTCAGATGTTGGACTTATTAAAGACTTTAACTCTGCTATTATAACTATAACAAAAATTAAAGGATATGGTGTCTGAAGAATTTGAAAAGTATAAAAAAAGTCTCACCAAAAAAGTATAAATAACAATATAAAAATTATAGAAAATAATCAAATAGAAATTCTGGAACTGAAAAGTATAATAACTGAAATAAAAAATTTGCTAGCAAGGCCCAATAACAGATTTGAACTCCCATAAGAATCAGTGAAACTGAAGGTAAGTCAATTGTTTTTCAATGTTTAAAACTATTTCCATTTTTTTAAGTTTTGTTTTTGTTTTGTGGTGGTTTGTTTTTTTTCAACCTCTTGCTAACCTCAAGTGGCTCTGGGTAAGGTCAAGTAAAGACACGTCCTGGTAAATATAATACAGTACTGTATTTTAGAGGGTCTCCTCCAGGATGCTGCTAGATAGGTCAAGTAGTGACAATTCTTTGGGGATGAAGTTTGGAGATATTCCAAAGTCGTCTTACCCCTTTTCATGGCTGCTAATCTGATTGTTTTTACAGCTACTGTGCTTGCAAGCCTGTTCAATTCCAAGCCTAATAAAGAGATGAGGAGAGGGAGATGGGAACTGAGCAAGTTAAAATGCCAAGGAGCTCACTGTTCTTAGAGATTCAGCTACAAAAAAAAAAAAAAAAAAAAAAAGTCTTGGATTGTTGTAAGCCTTTCATTAATTTCCAGAGTTCTGAAACGTTGATTTTGACAAGTTTTACAATGATATGGAGGAATCAGATTTTCAAAAATCCTTACTCACCATTCCAGCAGGGCTTCTCTTCAAGTATAAGATTTTTGATAGAATGATTGGAAGTATTCTTTCCAAAGGAATGTCTCTCAATAAAGATGATGGGATTCTGGAAATGGCAAAAAAAAAAAAAAAAATAGAAAGCTGTCATGGGATTGAAGCCAATTCAGAGGGAAGCAGTGCAGGAGATGAATTGAGGTCAAGAGATGGAGGCTGGAAGACATTATTCAAAGACTGAATTTAATCTTATCTGAAGTCAGCATCCTACTGAACTTTTAATTTTTATAATCACTAAATTTCACTTTTCATAAGCCAATTTGAGTCATTTCTGTTACCAGAAAACAAG
Source organism: Homo sapiens (assembly GCF_000001405.40). NCBI lineage: Eukaryota > Metazoa > Chordata > Mammalia > Primates > Hominidae > Homo > Homo sapiens. Next base: position 147,156,799 of record NC_000003.12, read on the forward strand.
AGTTCCAATGGATATAACATTATATTTTATAGTGTCTCCTAAGAACACAGGTGAATCAAAATCAAATCAACTCAGCGATAATCTATCATGTGAGATACCTGATGGCTCTCCTATCTTTACTTTAATTGGGCGGAATGGATATCAATTTGGGAAAACACTAAAGACTGAAGTTAAAGTCAAGGAAATAGGTAAGATAGTCAAGGAAAAAATGTAGAGAAAAAAGCAAAGGTTAAACAAAACCTTGAGAAATGCCTATACTAAGTTTTAGAAGAAAGGAGAGAACCGAAAGATAATAGAGAAGGAACAAGAACATATGGAAAACAAAAGTTGGGGAGAGTTTCAATGTGAGCAACAATATTAAATGTTAATGTTGGTCAGATTAATGGCCAGGGAAGAAGCCATTCACTTTGTAGATAAAGGGCACAGTAACTTCTGCTAGAGTAATTTCAGTAAAAGAAGAAAAGCTACTTTGGAAGAAGGAAAATATAAACCTTGAGAATTTCACTGAATAAAGACGGATACCAGAGCCCAAAGCAGCATGTTTGACTCTCAATAGCTATTTGACCTCTGGATCACATTGTTCCCCCAGCATATCTGATTAAAATAAAGTAACTGAAAAGAATGCACAGGACAATGCAATATCTTCTAATAAGCTAGCCATTTATCTACTTCAGCAAAAATCCAAAATTGGGACCATAAACACAATAAAAGAAAATGGTCTGGTTTCCAAGCATAACACTTTTAACATATCTTACAGAGAGAAAAACTCATTTAGTTTTATTTAATGTTACTCTGACTGGCATTATCCAAGACATAAGTGAATGACTTTGAAGTTTGAAGGAAAAATGGAAATATCGATATGAAAGAGCTAGAATGACAAATGTGTGAGAAAGAATGCTATAAACTCCAGTACTCATGAATTAGGAGGAACAAAGGCATGTGGTCGAGCAAACTGAGAGGTGGTGAGGCATGGACAGCAGATGTAAGCTGGATATCATTTCACGTCCCTTTGCAGCTTCAGAGGAAAAGAGGAGATACAGAAGGATTGTTATGTCACATGACTAAACATCTCCCTAAATGCCAGTGGTTAAGAGCAGAAAAATCCACATAATGCTTTGGAATGAGAAGAAAGCACTTTAATAGCAGATTCCACCTCAGAGGATACATATTAATTCTGAGAGATTGTATAAGAAAAAGAAGACTTGACAGGAACCAACATTGGTTTTGTGAGTTGAAAATTACCAGGAAGACAAGATACAGAAAAGCTTTGTAAATCAGAACTAGAATTCTTCTGCTCTTCAAATTATAGGTCACAGAAATATTTGATTTAACCAGTCTCTAATGGTGCCAGCCTGTCAGCCTGAAGACTACTTACATGAGTTTCTTACAATGCAAAATAATAACGCTGTTAAAATTAAAAAGGTTTAAAATGCATTTCCTTTTGATGGGATTAAGAAAGTCCTAATATTTAGAAAAAGGAAATTAATATTAATTTTCTAAGAAGACTGACTTGCTTTAAATATATTTAAATAACAAAAGAACTACTTTTATCTTTATCTAAGAATTTAGGAAGGTGAATGGTGTGTGAAAAAATTGGTTTTTAATATTTGCAAGCATTTGATAAATTTTAAGAGGCTGTTTTTCCATGCTCTTTATTAATGTCCTTAAAGAATAATAGTAGAGGGTATAAAAATAGAAAGAAGGGAAGAAGGCAGGAAGAAAGGAAAAAAGGAAGAAAAGAAAGAGAGAGAAAGAAAGAAGGGAGGGAGGAAGGAAGGAAGAAAAGAAAGAGGAAGGAGAAAAAGGAAAAAAATCAACAGAGTGCTTACTTACTTTGCAAAATCTAAATTCATTGTCTGCTTTAAATATCATTATCATTTCCTTTTAGGAACTCTGATAGAAATCTTTGTTATTTATACTGTATGTGTACAGTGAAATAAAAAGATAATAGAAAATTGTGTGTACTATAAGGATTAAAAATGTCAAAGCCACTTAACCAGGTTTCCTGCCTTCTGCTTTTTCTGCCTGAGTTAGCTGGCAATAAAAGAATAAACAAGACAAATATTGTAAAATTGAATTGAGAGTAACCAATGTGAATAATGCTTTTATCTCAAGACATCTATTACCTGCCTGCCAGTACTATTTATATTAGCAAAGGCATTTTTTGTTGTTGTTGTTTTCCAAGTCTCCTTATCTGAGTAATCAACTGCAAATCTCTTTTTCAACTGGGAAACATTGGTCCCTATAAGGACAACTCTTTCAGGGTATCAGAGTATAACTTAATTACCTAGAAGTGACTTATAAATTATAGTTCTTAGACCCTGTAGCATTGCTTACCTTAGTCCATCTGTGTTGCTATAAAGGAATACCTGAGACTGGGTAATTTGTAAAGAAAAATGATTTATTTGGCTCTCGATTCTGCAGGCTGTACTGGAAGCATGATATAAACATCTGCTTTTGATGAGGGCTTCAAGAAGCTTCCATTCATGGCAGAAAGTGAAGGGAAGCCAGAATGTGCAGATCACATGGTGAGAAAGGAAACAAGAGGGCTTGCAGGTGCCAGACTCTTTTTAACAAGCAGCTCTCATGGGAGTTAATAGAGTGAGAAACAACTCACTCACTACTATGAGAAGGGTGCCAAGCTAGTCATGAGGGATTTGCATTCATGACCCAAACATCTCCCACCAGGTCCCACCTCCAACATTGAAGATCAAATTTCAACATGAAGCTTGGAGAGTAAAACAAACCGTATCCAAACCTTAGCAATGCATGTCTTGGTTTTTTTTTTTTTTTTTTTGGATGAGAATCACTTAAAACAGAAAAGAACCAATGTCTGCCCTAACCCCAAAATTTCTTTGTTATCTTGTGTATTATAAAAATGCAAGCTAGCTTTATACTCTGTTCCCACATTTGATTTTGTTCAAATGTAATTATTCTGTTTTAAAATATTGGCCGGGCGCAGTGGCTCACGCCTGTAATCCCAGCACTTTGGGAGGCCGAGACGGGCGGATCACGAGGTCAGGAGATCGAGACCATCCTGGCTAACACGGTGAAACCCCGTCTCTACTAAAAATACAAAAATTAGCCGGGCATGGTGGCGCGCGCCTGTAGTCCCAGCTACATGGGAGGCTGAGGCAGGAGAATGGCGTGAATCCGGGAGGCGGAGCTTGCAGTGAGTCGAGATTGCGCCACTGCACTCCAGCCTGGGCGACAGAGCGAAACTCCGTCTCAAAAAAAAAAAAAAATTTTTCCTCAGAGTAACATAAACACTCTCAGAAAACATTCCATTTTTATACTACAGTTTCCAGTGCCCAGGGCTACCTACCCCAGGGTGTAAAGAAAGAAGAGTATACACTCAATTTTACAGATCCCCATAAATAACTTACTTTTTTCTTTTCTTTCTTTTTTTTTTTGAGACAGTCTCGCACTGTTGCCCAGGCTGGAATGCAGTGGCGTAATCTCTGCTCACTGCAATCTCCACCTCCCGGGTTCATGCCATTCTCCTGCCTCAGCCTCCAGAGTATCGGGGACTACAGGCGCCCACCACCATGCCCGGCTAATTTTTTTTTGTATTTTTAGTAGAGACGGGGTTTCACCCTGTTAGCCAGGATGGTCTCATCTCCTAACCTCGTGATCCAACCGCCTTGGCTTCCCAAAATCCTGGGATTACAGGTGTGAGCCACTGCGCCCGGCCTAAGATAACTGACTTTAAAAAATAATTTAAGGTCTATAGTACAATATAGGCAAATATGAAATTTCACTGATGCTTTATGGATTTTTCTATAATGAAACTTTTTTTTTTTTTAGACGCAGTTTGCGCTTGTCGCCCAAGCTGGAGTGCAATGGCACGATCTCAGCTCACTGCAACCTCTATCTCCCAGGTTCAAGCTATTCTCCTGCCTCAGCTTCTTGAATAGCTGGGATTACAGGCGCCCACCACCATGCCCAGCTAATTTTTGTATTAGCTGGTTCCTCCATGTTTTGTATTAACATGGTTTCTCCATGTTGGCCAGGCTGGTCTCGAACTCCTTACCTCAGGTAATCCGCCTGCCTTGGCCTCCCAAAGTGCTGGGATTACAGGCGTGAGCCACCATGCCTGGCTATAATGAAACATTTTTGAAGATGATTATACCAGGTAAAAGAAACCTCATCTAAGAAGAATAAGTGGGTCAGAGAGAAGGAAGTCACTTCTTTAAATTAAACAATAAATGACATTTTTTAAACATGATAAATACCAGTTAAATTATTAGATTGCCTAAACTAAAAGAAGACAAGCAGGAAGCAGTCAAACATGAAAGTAATGTGCTGCAATCAAATTTGGATACTAATCTCTTGCAATAAATGTTCATGCAGGGCTCCCTCTGTTGAATCCTTTGCAGTCTACATACATTTCTTAATGAAGGACATGCAACCTCCCAATATTAAAGACATGCAAAGATTCATTAGGAAAGACTTTAAATTATCCAAGCAGATTTTCTCCCCAGTTGATGATTAATGTCATTAATCAACTGAAGGTTCCTTTGTAGTTCTACTAAACAGGTATATCTAGAAGCAAATGTGCATTGTTTTTAACAAGAGAAACACACATATTCCTGGATAATGAAGTGGAGGTATTTATTATGCATATTTATCATTTATGTTATCAGAAAAACAATTTTTTAAATCATTCAGAATTAAATTTTAGCAAACTCTTCTTTACTGCTTTGTGGTAGTAGCAAATCTTGTAATTAAGGTTCATGTATATAAGAAGTATTTAAAAAAGAGATTGACAGTCTAAGCATTCGTCAGTGTTTACCATTGCATTCCCTCAGTTTTCTTTTCCTCCATTTTTTTCTTCCATTTCTCTACCCCGCTTTCCTCCCCTGACACTTTTTATTCATTGCACATTCTTTTTCCTTGTCTCCTCCTGCTACTCCAGCTGATTTCATTCTCCTCCTTCCTAGTCCTTAACCTCCTGTACCTCAGGGAAGAAGATGTCATTTTAAGTTTTCCTATCAGTTCACAAATTTCCCCTTACACAGTTTCAGTTTCCTTAACCTTCATATGGAATATTCAACTCTTTCACCTCATCAGTTGCTTGTTTTCCCTTTTCCCTAAAATCTGAGGGACATGGTCCGACACACACCCTGGTAAATGCTAGAGTCACATACTCAATTCTAGATACAGCTTGGCTGAGTGGGAACTCACAGAAGCTGACCTCAGTAGTAGAGAGTTACTGTCCAGGGGAGTGAGGGACTGGTTAATAAGGGATTGTCATATGACATCACCCTGCTATTTTAGTTTCTACTGTCTGCTTGCTTCCTCATTTTAATTAGGCAAAAGTAATGAGCCTTTTGTTCTGCAGAATTGCTCTAAAAACTTCTTCAACAGAAGTCCTTCCGGCAAAGTAACATATGTTAATTATACATATTCCAAATTCAACGAGCTATCACTAGAAATGGGGAGAAACTGAGATTTTATCTCCTATTAAGTATTCAGTCCCTATTTCCTATCACCCATAGTAATACATAGGAAATCCTGGAGGCCTTTCATAGTAAAAATCCTATACTGAAATAATCATGTTGAGAATAGGAAAAATGAAATCTAAATCTCTTTATTCCCATGTAATCTTTAATACTGTTTGAGGATTGCATTGTGAGTTAGGTACAGGTGACATTAACATCCTCTAGATTTCTGTTTTCATGAACCCCAAAGCTAAATGAAGCCTCATCCTAAATTCCAAACTTACACACTAGATTCAGTTAAAACAGCCTAGAAAACTTATTAAGTGCTATCTAAAGGCTCAAGACAGAGAATTTGAATTTCACTGTCCTTTTCTTTTCTCTCATTTTGTTACACAGTGTTTAGCTAAGGCACATGACCCTTTAAACCATTATAAACAGTGAAGTCTCACAGTTATTTTAAATTATTTTTCCTCCTTTATTCATTTATAGCCCAAGGATTACAATGTTTTTAATGATACATTGCCATTCTGATTTATGTCACTGTGTGCTTTGGACTTAAACTATGTGATTCCATGCATTTTACTTTGTACTCTTTTGACTGCTGTTATGAAGAAGTAATGTTCTCAGGAAGTCTCTCATTGTAGCTCAGAGCCAATCATTACAGTTGAAAGCATCCAAGGTTTCAAATGATAATGTCAAAAGTGAATTACAGCTTTCAAAATAAAGTATTGTTGGGCTACATTGTGAAAGCAGTATATTTTTCAATCAAAGCTTTACAGTGATTTTCAATAGCATTTTCTGAAAAATTTTCAAGATATTAACTTTCCAAATATTTTCAGTAATTTCAGAGCTTTTGGATTTTTGCCATCCATTCTCACATGTCAGTTGAACTACCTATGAAACCAGTAAAAGCAAGCATAACCTAAAAGCCAAACTACTGGTACCTGGATCATGTTTATAACTTTTTATTTAATATCCATTATTTATGGGGTTATTTTGTCTTAAATTTTGATTACTGGGTATTAATGTATTAACTCTATTTTAATCAGTATAAACTAGATTAGCGAGAGATCAATGAAAAGCAACAGAAGAACCCCAAGATACTGACTATTCTTCATTTTACCTTGGTGCCTGCAAAATTTTTCACTTGTGTTTTAGAGAACCAGTATGCTTCAAGATAATCAACAGTGAAAGGGAATCAGTGCATATTGTTACTGATGGAAGGTATCCAAGTCACCAGCAACAAATTGTACAGATCTGTAGCAACCTCAATTCTTGCCTCCTCAGAAGAAATAATTTGACTGAGGGATGTAAGGCAGAAAAAGAGACTAAGGCAAGTTTCAGATCAGGAGTGGAAGTTTATTAAAAAGCTTTAGAGCAGGAGAAAATGGAAAGTACACTTGGAAGAGACCCAAGCAGGCACCGCGTAGGTCAAGTGCAACATTTAACCTAGATCCTAGGTCTTTATAGGCTGTTCCACTTTCCGCATCTTGCACCCCTTTCCCACGATTCTTCCCTTAGGGTGGGCTGCCTGCCTGCACAGTGGTCTCCTCATGCTTGGGAAGTGAGCACACACAGTGGGTTTTGGAAGTTGTGCACATGCTCATCTGAGACTTTCTTCCCTTTTCCGGTGGACTACCCCCAGGTGGTCATATTCTGCCATTTTGTCTCTTAATGTGCATGCCCAGGCTCACTCACCAAATACCTGAGATTTTATTGGAAGCCCTTTTTGCTTCTCCCTGCCGCCTGCATTCAATTAACACTTTAATGTTAACAGCTGTGGGCCATTAGGAGATTGTCTCTCCCTGGTGCCAGCTGCCAAATTATCATTTTTAGAGAGTCAATGTGATAATTGTTGAACCATCACTGATGATCGCCTGACATTCCTGGTGGACAGGGGAAGAGCCCTCTCCTGCCCCACTCATGCCTGTCTAACTACCTGTAAAAATATATCTGATTAAATGAAAAGGAATCATATCTTAGACTCTGAACTCTCAAGAATTTCTTCAAGTCTTGAGTTTGCATTGGAATAGCTATATGTCCATGCATGCCAAAAACAGGGACTATGTACTGGACAGATTATGAACTAACCTCAGAGGAGCAGGTCAGTTTTGCTATCAACTCATGAGCATTACCCTGACATCAATACTACTCAATGCTTAGTAATCTTAGTTTGTTTTTCCTCTTTACACTTATAATTTCATACTTTTTTCATTTTTCTGACTATCTAACTTTTACTTATCCCCTTACACTCAATAGAAGATCATGAAACATTCTTCATGAAGAAAATAAAAGCTATTAGATATGATGTTCTTTATCTTTCCACCTTACAAATATAGCTGAATTTGCACCTTTTTTCTCTTTTCTGAACAAAATGAGAGTGTCTGTACCCTGGATTCCTTCTCTACTATTTTAACTGAGTCCTCCTTTTGTTAATCACCCTCTCTTAAGCTCTTCAACTTCTATTCCTCTACTATATCCCTATTTCCTTCTTATTATTATCAACACATATATTAGTGCACTTCATTTTTCAAAAATTTTCTGTTAAATGCCCATCAATGATAGACTGGATAAAGAAAATGTGGCACATGTACACCATGGAATACTATGCACCCATTAAAAAAAATGAGATCATGTCCTTTGCAGGGACATGGATGGAGATGGAAGCTGTTATCCTCAGCAAACTAACACAGGAAAAGAAAATCATATACCACATATTCTCACTTATAAGTAGGAGCTGAGTAATGAAAACATATGAACACACGGGGAGGGGAGAACAACACACACTGGGGCCTGTCAGAGGGTGGGGGGTAGGAGGATGGAAGCATCAGGAAGAATAGTTAATGCAAGCTGGGCTTAATACATGGGTGATGGGATGACATGGGTAGCAAATCACCATGGCACACGTTTACCTATGTAACAAACCTGCAATTCCTGCACATGTACCCTGGAACTTAAAATAAAAGTTGGAAATGTAAAAAAAAATTGCTGTTGATCACTTCCCAGTGATCTACCTTTCTTCTCACCTTGAAAACCAGTTTTCCAAATAAAACCAAGTAAAACATTCAGTATCTTCTCCTCATCATTTTGTATTTCATTTATCGCTCACTCTAATGTGGGTTCCACCCCTAACACTACATGCAACTGTTCTGCTCTTGCTAAAAATGAAAATTATCTCTATGTTGCCTAACCCATAGATGATTTTCTTTCCTCACCCTATGTGAGTTCTATATTAGTTTCTTGGGACTTCCGTAACTAATTACCACAAACTGAGTGGCTCATAATGACAGAAATGAATTCTCTCACAGTTCAAGAGGGTAAAAGTCTGAAATCAAAGTGTCAGCAAGGTTTGGTCATTATGGAGGCATTGAGGAAGAAACCTCCCTATGCCTCTCTCCTAGCTTCTGGTGGTTCCCGGCAATCCTTGGTGTTCTTTGGCTTGTAGATACATCCATACAATCTCTGCCTATATCTTGGCTTCTTCTATGTTTTTGCTTGTACTCTTCTCTTCTTATAAGGATGCCACTTATAAGATTACTGGCTACCCAAATCTCTTCTGACTTCACTGGAACTTGATTACATCTACAAAGATCCTATTTCCAAATAAGGTAAAATTCGTAGGTATAGGGAGGCTGCAACTTGACCATATCTTTTTGAAGGATACAACTTAACTCACTATAACTTTTTACTAACATTCAACAAATTTGAAGCTCTTCTAGAATTATACTATTCTTTCTTGGCTTCTGGAACACTAAACTAACCTGGTTTCCTTTCTCACTCTTTGCCCCTCATTTAGGGATTCATTCTTCTATATCCAACCTCTATATTTTGGAGATCTTCAAAATTCAACACCAGGAATTCTCTTCTCCCTATACATTCACTACCTAGGCAATTACATCTTTGCCAAAATTTGAAAAAAATCTCACATTAGTATCCAGACATCTCTTGAGTTTCAGACTACTCTTTTCAATGCATATATGTCCTTCCTATTCAGTATCATGATATTGTTAAGACAATGTATCTAAAAGTAATCATTAATTTTCTAACCAAATTTGTTCCTTCTCATATCTTTGATTTCTCAATAAATTTCACTTTCATTAACTCAGATTTCCTTTAATGCTAGAAATCTTAAGTGGTTGACTTTTCCTTTTTGTTAGCCCCTTTCCCAATCCATCACAATTAAGTACCAAGTTAGTTGCTTTCACCTTTAATACGTATTTCAATTCCATTTATTTATCTCCATTTACCCAGGTATCAACTTAGTCTAAACCAAAAGCTTTTCTTATTTGGAGAACTGAAAAGCCTTGCTAAATGTTATTACTCTGTATTTTTATAATTATTTCTACAAGTCAGCTTAAACTTTGAAAAATAGAACATCAGAATAAAATTCCAAATCTCTTTCATAATCTTCATAAACTGTCCCCTGCCAACTTTCCCATACTCATTTCCCATCAGAATTTCTAAGACTTGTTCACTACATCTTGAACTCTTTCAGTCTTTCATAAATACAAAGCATATCACATCCTTTATACATGCCCTGCAACATACTTTATCCTCATTCTTCATCTGCCTAACTTCTATTACATACTCAAGTTTTGACTTAAATATCACTTTCTTAGTGAGGACTTTTATAATCATGTATAATTATGTGTATTGTTAATTCAGTACACTTAAAATCTAGTTGTTTAGCCACCTTCATCAATGATCTCAGCTAGATCTTCTGGATAACTCGCTGCAACTTCTACATCAGAACTTGCTGCTTCACCTTACACTTTTATGTTTTTGAAAGAGTTTCTTTCCTTAAACCTCATAAACCAAGTTCTGCTAGGTTCTACCTTTCTTCTGCAGCTTCCTCACCTCTCTCAGCCTTCATACAATTAGATAGAGTTAGGTACTTGCTTTGAATTAGGCTTTGGTCTAAAAAAGTATTGTGGCTGGTTAGTTGATCTATTCAGACCACTAAAACTTTCTCCAATGTCAGCAATAAAGCTGTTTCATTTTCTTATCATTTGTATGTTCACGGGAGAAGCTCTTTAAATTTCCTTCAGGAACTTTTCCGTTGGCTGTCTTGGTTTTCCACATGCCTTCTTCACTAAGCTTAGTTATTTCTAGCTTTTGATTTAAAGTGAGAGATGTGTGACTCTATTTATTTTTAACTTGAATATGTAGAGGCTATACTAGGGTTATTAATTGGCTAAATTTCAATATTGTTGTTTCTCAGAGCATAGGGAGGCCCAAAGAAAGAGAGAAAGACAAACGAATAGCCAGTTGGTGGAGCAGTCAGAACATGCAGAAGTATGAATTAATTTTGCCATCTTATGTGGGCACAATTCATGGTGCCCCAAAACAATTACATTAGTAACATCAAAGATCAATGATTACAGATCACCATAACAGAATAATTAAAAGTTTGAAATATATAAGAATTTCCTAATGTGAAACAGAGACACAAAGTTAGTGCATACTGTTAGAATAATGGCACTGATACACTTGCTTAATGCTGGGTTGTCAGAAAGCTTCGATTCATAAAAAATGCAGCACAATAAAATGAGGTATGCCTATGTATTAATTTGGCTATTTATAAATGTATTATTTTATTCTATATTATAAATAAATGTGTCATGTTTTAATTGTAAATATGTTATAATTCCTTACTAGCAGATATCCATGTGAAAAGAAAATCAAAATTCTAAAAGTGACATAGCCCTTAATTAACTATTTAGAGATTTCTATGAATAATCTTTTTCTTCTATTTCTGTCTAAAAAGCAAAATTTTGCTTTTAATAATAGATAAAATCAATGTATACCATTCAACATATGGTATCATATTTCTAATAGCATAGATTTAAAAAGTATAAGGGATTATTATGTAAAAAATAAAATATTATATTATCATATCTCTCTTTCAAGAAGACATTTGTCAGCAGTCTCCATTCTTTGTCTCTAAAACATACTACAATTTAAGCTGTGTAAATGCATTGTGCCCCAGTCTTTAACTGATGTCTTTTAAATTATAGCTATTATACCTTATTAACTATTATGTAAATCTTTTCTTTAAAAATATTCTTAATGTACCATGTCCATTAGTTTGTCAATGTGATTAAAACATATGAGAAGAAAGAAGAAGAAGAAGAAGAAGAAAAGGAGAAGGAGAAGGAGAAGAAGAGAGGAAGAAAGAGAAGGAGATGAAGAAGTGCAGAAGAAAAAGAAGTTGTTATTTTTCTATTTGGTTGCTATATGTGAGCAAAGAAATTGATTAGGCATTTCACTTTATTTAAGAGATATATCAGCACATAGAGTCACAGTCTGCCCTCATTTAGTCTTTTCATTTGTGATACTCCATATTACATGAGAGCATATCCATTTGAATCTCTTTAATATTCATGATCCTCTCACCAGCCTGAGCAAAAGAGCTAAAGCATTTGATAGCAATCTGAGGAACTTGATTAACAATGTACTAATCATCAGTACCATTGACCTGATTCAAAAATGTTTTTAATTCATCCATCACTTTTATAACCAAAGATGATTGCATTACTTTACCATTTTTTATTTAAATAAAACCCCATGAGCTGAAAATATCAAGCTATTTCTACTAAATGTACCTTGCAACCAATTTAATTTATTTTTAAACTAAGTTCTAAAGTGACCTATAATAACCAATTAGTACTTGAACACAGAAAACCAGAGCACAAGTGTCTCTTTAGTAAAATCAATTCACTTTGACTACAAATCACTAAATGTTAAATTATGTCAAAGAATTAATTTTGCAATAAATTATTACTATTGTTACAAAAATTCAACTAAAGAATATTACCAGGAATAATTATCCATATATCAAAATGCATTGAATGTAGAGTATGAACTATAATTACCCCCAATTGCTTATCATTCAAATGTTAATTGTAAGAATTTCATTTTTTTAGCCATAGCACTTCTTTTTAATTATCAAAAAACATTTCTAATGTATCATAAAAATATAGTACTGGCATAATACATTTAATAATTTCAAAGTATAAATATATACTAGACTATCACTTTTTGATTCAAATATTACTTATCATTATTAGGCTAATATAAATGATATAGGGATCTAGAAGTGCAACAACTTGCCTTTTGTGCCCAAATGTCACTGAAGACTGGATTTATTGGTGAGCTTGTGCAGGATCACATATTTTTAGGGAAAAAATACGTGATTCAATTACTGTGATATTGAATACATCTGAGAAAAATAACAATATCATTTTCCAGATGGATTGAAACATACCTTCATACTAACAGGCCAAGAATTAAGAATAAGCCAGGTGTGGTGGCTCACACCTGTAGTCCCAGCACTTTGGGAGGCTAAGGGTTACTTAAGGCCAGCAATTAAAGACCAACATGGACAACATAGCAAGACCCCATCTCTACCAGAAAAAAAAAAATTAGCCTGGCATGGTGGCACATGCCCGTAGTCCTAGCTACTCAGAAGGCTGAAGTGGGAAGATTGCTTGAGCCCAGGAGTTAGAGGTTACAGTGAGCAATGATCACTCCACTGCATTCCAGCCTGGGTAACAGAGTGAGACCCTGTCTCAAAAAAAAAAAAAAAGGAAGAAGATAAATAATTAGGTTGTTTCTTATGCACATCTGATTTTCAAATATACTATATTTAACATCATAAGCAATAACACAACTGTTGCAAATGTTGCAAAGTATTTCAGATTATACTTTTGCATTAGTTCAACATATTTTTATTCTCTAAATTATTTTTTCTGAAATTTGATCATAAAAACTATACACACACACACACACACACACACACACACACACACACACACAGATGTAGTGGCTGGGACACAGGGCACCAATTTTTCCCTCTTAGGCCTCCAGGTCTGTGATGGGAGGAGCTGCCAGGAAGCTCTCTGAAATGCCCTGGAGATATTTCTATAGAGACATGAGGTCTCGCTATGTTGCCTAGGCTGTTTTCAAACTCCTGAGCTCAAGTGATCTTCCTGACTTGGCCTACCAAAAGTACTAGGATTATAGGTGTGAGCCTGGCCAGAATATCAAATATTTTTAAAGTCATTATTTAGGGTGGCAAACTATTGAGAACATTATTATAACAGATTTTAATTTGCTTAAATGTATAGTCTAGCCTTCTTTGTGAGAATTTAAATTTTCAAATAGTTTAGTTATTGCATTAATTCCCTGGCAAAGTCTATATGTAATTGCATAAAAGTAAATACAACAAAATACTTAGTGAAGCAGATAATGTCTCTATACTAACTAGGGTCTGGCTATTCTGGGAATTATACCATTTGAGCCTATGTGGATTTAGCTTAAGAAATCAAATAGAGAAAATTTAAATAACTACTTTTAAGGTTATTTTCTCTCCTATTTCCAATTTAGTTATTTAAAATAAAAACCTTATGATAAATATTATTAAATTGATTTTAGTTTACGAATATGAATAACAAAATATTTTAATTTATAATTAGGAGTCTAAGTTTTTATTATAAATATTTCAATAACAAATATTGAACTTTTATTTTCAATACTTACAAAGCAATATATCTTTTAAATCTCTATAAGCATAAAAAACTTTTGAAAAAAGTTAAGTAATCTAAATAAGTTAATTTCCTTATATAACTGGATCTGCCAGATATAATAATTTGTATTATTATTTAAGACTGTGAGTTCTATCTTGCAGAGAACATCCTAGACAAAACATGTCCATCTGTGAACAAGCAAAGTGAAGATTATGAAAGCATTAGGATTACATTCTTCTTCTTTAAATATTTGTGTAAATGTTCGATGACTGGCCATTACAGATATGATGAATTTCTTCTTCATTTCCACATTATTTTATCCATAATAGTTAAAGATATATTAAGGAAAGAGAAGAAATTTTGCAAGTAACTCAATAATGTTTAATATTTTTCTACAATTGGACTAGGCTACTTAACTATGTGTGAATGGCAATACTGAACATTTCTATTAAAAACTCTACTTGTACATGAGCGGGATTGAGAAATGCAGATGAACGTTTTGTGAAAGATGCTTCTTCTAAACAATGAAAGTAGTTCTGCAAGCAAAGCCTCCTTGGTTTTCCCAAAATTGTTTTTCCATAATATGTAACTGCTTTGTGGACATTGAATGGAAGTAAAAATTTGAAATAGGTGCTTTGTACAAGTCCCCAAATACTATTTGCAAAAAGCTCTGCAAGGGTTTGTTATTGAATTGTTCTTTGATCAAATGATATGTGGTATTAACCAAGTTGGTAAAAAACTGTACACCCAGATGAATTTAAAAAAGAGAAATGAAATTTCAAATAGTTTAGCAGAATATTTTATTCTCAATGAAAAACAAAGTTGGTCAAAGCTAAAATGGAATGTTGGGGTTTCAACAAGTAATTCACGATTTCTCCTGTTGCTTTCCAAATATTTAGAAACAAAAATACACATGAGGTATACACTATATATGTGCAAGTGAGCATTAATTAAAAGACTACTGTTCCCCCTTTATGCAGAAGTATAAAAACCATCTATCTAGTCTAATGCTGGACATATATGTCTACTATGTCCATACAGTTCCAGTAGTAAAAATATCTACACCCAAGCAGAGAAAGAAAAAAGATATTTGTGTAAACCAAGCCTTAAAAAAATGGGCTCAATGTTATTTATCTGGCTAAAAAAAAATATTGGTACAGAATGAAATATAAGTTGATCTCCATGGGAGGAATAGTATGTGTAGCAATGTCTATAATTATTATTCATCTTGGAACTTTTTTATATAGGTAGGTCCCTTCAGATAAGAATTTAAATTATTCTTTTGATAAGATATATTCTCTCTTAAACTCACTGACAACAAGGTAATCCAAACCTCTGAGCTAAATTGGAAAAACACTGGACATATTTTTTTGTGGGAAGTTGAACAGCTTTCTGACTTGTACCTGTATTCACGGTGATGATATTTACATTACTCTTAAAGCTATGATTAATAGAGTCCATTTGTGATAACTAAAACAACCTTCGTTAAATTGAACATTTTAGTTTTAAGCAGCTTTGGGGCCATTCAGGTAAATACATCATAAGAGTTTATAATTAGTCTGACATTTCTAGACACAATCAACTTGCAGATTTGAATACTTGATTTACATATATAAATATCATCATGCACTGACAATTCACAATCTTCCTTTGGAAAATGTAACTCCTTCATAAGTCATTCTCAGGTGGATATTCATTTAACTCTACACACGCACACATTTGTGTCGTGGTGACATTCAGGAAATCTTTTCTTAATCACTAAAAAATATTGCTAAGCTATGTGTTTTCTCCCCTAGTAGTCTTACAGATCTTATGTGACTCTAGATATAAACTCTTCAAATCTCTGAAAAGGAAATTTAGCAAATTAATTCTATATTATAGGTTCCTTTTCCATATTTTTTAATATATTTTTAATTTTTCACAAAATACATATTCTTCATTAGTTTATACTAAGGTCTTTTAAAATCTGAGTATTCATACGCTACTTGTAAATGAACATAGAAGTAGTTTTCATTATGGCACTGAAGATACAGAATAGAATATCAAGGTCCTTATTCAAGTCCTAGAATATAAATTTATTTAGCGAAATAAATTTTTGGCAGAGAAACAAATGTGATGCTGGTATGTATTATTTTACTAACTGCCTGACATTATTTATAGTTATATTTTCATAAACCTCTTTAATTAAATGTCCAAAACATAGATGGAAACATTCTACCTGAAAAGTAACTAAGTCAGAGTAGGGAATGAAGAGAACTATCAAACAAAGTATAAAAATAAAACTCCAATACAATCGGATGGGTTGAAGTATACACTCACAGTAACTGATATGAAAAAATAAAAATGCATGCATCTCTTTAAAGAGCTATTGTACATAAACCATTCATTTTACATTATTTTAAGAAAGTGTTGCTTAAATGACAGTACTTTGTACAGTAAAATGTTTAAATTGAATAGATTTAATTTATGTCCAGCCAAATGTGTAGTTGTCAAGCATTTAATGCTGAAATATATTGCCTTAACAAATGTTATTTTAGAGCTGTTTGCCTTTTAAATTCTAACACTCTGTATATCTATTTGTCTAGCCGCCATCAAGGAGACTATTGTAGCTGGAGGCGTTGGTAGGAAGACGACTAAAGGGCTACATCATGTCAAACCCTCAAGTAGGAATTATTGCCTTTCTTGCCTCAGTTCCCAGCTGTATTATGTCACCAAATCACATCACAGTGTAATCAAAGATGAATAAAATATTTTTTTCTTTACCTTAAATGCTTTTTCTGTCAATTACAATCAAAGGACATGATTTTAAGTCTGTCAGTTTATGAGGCTCTTTCCTACTGATGACTAAAGCTGTAATCTGCTAAATATAAAACGAATAAGAAAAGTCTTAGAATGACTTTGCTATTAAGAAGAATTTTTTTTCTTCCCACAAGGGACAGAAAAGTAATTGGTCTTTAAAGGATGAAATCAAAGATGTTTTTTAAAAAATGATCGCTTTGGTTTTCTTCCTTTTATGCTTTCCCCTTCCTGTCTTAATGCTAAATCTTCATTCACAACACTGGTTTGTCTTTCTGAGAAAATATACATACTACTCTAATCAAAACTATATCACTCTTTATACATATATTATTAGTCCCTTGTTTTCATATGTTCCATAACTTTCTTTCCATATTACTCCAATTAGGAACCCTGTAATATTAACAGTAATTCTGCTATAACTCCAACTTCTAGGCAGGTTTCTGGCTTGATTACATTATTAACCATAAAAAAAAAAACATTTTCCCAGAATGATTTTAGCTTGGTAGTTGGGATTGCTTCCTTTGATCTTCTTAGTGTTATTTTACGATATGTTGCTTCTCATTTACACTACAAATGCTGGCAAAAATGAAAGTGGTATCTCTGCTAGCAATGCCTGATAAAATAAAATAACTGGTTCAGCAGTCTCTGCCAGCTGCTTTCATCGATGAAAATCAGGTTGTTTATAATGGAGGAGAAAGGCTTAGAATGTAAATGTTTGCCACCATGAGAAGCTTTAAGTAACTTTGTCATGAACTTCTGCCTCGTTTATCAATTAAATTTTTCTTATTTCTATATTTCATATTACCTAGGCATATATTTGTGCAATAAAGACACTCCCTGTGTGCCACACCAAATACCATTCTTGGGTGCTAATTTCTAGAACTACTCTTAAGTGATGTAAGAATAGAAATGTTATGCACACAATTTTAATTTATTACCTTCAGAATTTCTCATAAACCCTCTGGTTCTATTCTTGCCCTTTACCTTCATTGTTATTTATTCACCAAAGTGAGAAATGCATTATTAACTGTGTTCCCATGTTGTTTTAAGATGTTCCTATTCTTTAGAATTGGAAATAGGAAATCACAGACACCTGTTAGTATTTTTATGTCATTTACCACATTCACACACACACACACACACACACACACAGACACAAACGGAAATACCAGACTGAGAAAAAAGTATGGAATCAAGCGCTGCATATAATCTAATAGCAAATACAAATATTTAGTGCTATATCTTATTCCAGATGCCAGTAAATTCAAATCATTTGAAACAATATATCATACACTGAGAAACAGACTCAAGTTTCTTCAAAGTATTTTGATCAACAAATGACAAATTGCCCAAAGCATTACAAAAGAACCTTTTGAAAGAGGGACTCAAAACAGAGTTCTCCTTGTGATTTTTGTCCCTGGCAACGTGATCTTGAACTTAACCTCACAGTATTTTAGTTTCCAACATACATACCCCTAAAACAAGATGAGAATCAGGTTTCTACTAGCAGCCCCACTAGTTTCAAAAGGTAAAAGAAATCATACGATGTTAGAGCCACGAAAAACTCGTACATAACCTCGTGCAACCCTTGCCTTTATTTTACAAATGAAGAAATAAAGGGCCAACATGTTTATTGATAACTCAAGCCAGAAAGCTCTTTTATTTCACATGTTTAATGGACATTTCTTTTTATTATTTTGTATTTCCATCAGTTTTTGGTGAGCAGGTGGTGTTTGGTTACATGAGTTAAGTTTTTTAGTGGTGATTTGTGAAATTTTGGTGCACCCATCACCCAAGCAGTAATCACTGTACCCAATTTGTAGTCTTTTATCTTTCACCCTACTCTCACCCTTTCACCCAAGTCTCCGAAGTCCATTGTATCATTCTTATGCCTTTGCATCCTCATAGCTTAACTCCCACTTATGAGTGAAAACATAGCAATGTTTGGTTTTCCATTCTTCAGTTATTTCACTTAGAATAATGGTCTCCAACTCCACCCAGGTTGCTGCAAATGCCATTATTCTGTTACTTTTTATGGCTGAATAGTATTCTGTGGAATTGAGGGGTGGTTGTGGTGGTGGCTTATGGATACCTTCCTGGCTGTCATTTCAGGGGGTAGAGCTTTAATGGAGCTGGGTCCTGCCTTTGCGCTGAGGAGACCTCATTCCTGAGATCAGGCATGACCAAGTTAAGTGCCAGAACTACTGCAGGAACATACCAGGAAAGCAGAAAGAATATACAGACCCTTTGAAGGAAGCAGATTGCTTCTGCAGGACCCAGGAGACAACCCAAATACTGTGCTGCTATCCATAGCTGACAGACTGGAAAACAGTTCACATCACAGGACTCTGCGCAGACACCCACCAATCCCACCCTGGAAAATGGTAGCTCCACTGGGTGGCTAGATCCAGAAGAGAAATAACAATCACTAGAGTTTGGCTCTCAGGAAGCCACATCCCTAGGAAAAGGGGGAGAGCACTACATCAAGGGAGCACCCCATGGGATGAAAGAATCCAAACATCAACCTTTGAGCCCCAGACCTTTCCTTTGATATAGCCTATGCAAATGAGAAGGAACCAGAAAAAAAAATTCTGGTAATATGACAAAACAAGGTTCTTTAACACCCTCAAAAAAAAAATCACACTATTTCGGCTGGGTGTGGTGGCTCATGCCTGTAATCCCAGCACTTTGGGAGGCCGAGGCGGGTGGATCATGAGGTCAGGAGATCAAGACCATCCTGGCTAACATGGTAAAACCCAGTCTCTACTAAAATACAAAAAATTAGCCAGGCTTGGTGGCGGGCGCCTGTAGTCGCAGCTACTTGGGAGGCTGAGGCAGGAGAATGGCATGAACCCGGGAGGTGGAGCTTGTAGTGAGTGGAGATCACACCACTGCACTCCAGCCTAGGCAACAGAGCGGGACTCCGTCTAAAAAAAAAAAAAGAATGAACAAAGCCTCCAAGAATTTTGGGATTATGTTAAATCACCAAACCTAAGAATAACTGGCATTCCTAAGGAAGAAAAGAAATCTAAAAGTTTTGAAAACATATTTGGGGGAATAATTGAGGAAAACTTCCCCTGCCTTGCTAGAGATCTAGACATCCAAATACAAGAAGCTCAAAGAACACCCAGGAAATTCATTGCAAAAAGATCATCACCTAGGCACATAGTCATCAGGTTATCTAAAGTCAAGATGAAGGAAAGAATCTTAAGAGCTGTGAGGCAAAAGCAGGAGGTAACTTATAAAGGAAAACCTATCAGATTAACAGCAGATTTCTCAGCAGAAGCCCTACAAGCTAGAAGGGATTGGGGCCCAATCTCCAGTCTCCTTGAACAAAACAATTACCAGCCAAGAATTTTGTATCCAGCAAAACTAAGCTTCATAAATGAAGGAAAGGTACAGGTTTTTTCAGACAAACAAATGCTGAGAGAGTACACCACTACCAAGCCAGTGCTACAATAACTGCTAAAAGGAGCTGTAAATCTTGAAATAAATCCTCAAAATACCCCAAAACAGAAAGCTCTTACTAAACATGCTTAGTATCAAGGATTTTCTGATACATAGTACCTGAAAAAGTACAGCATCAAGCTTCACACTGAAATAAGATGTCTAGAAAAGCGACAGTGACTTTTTAAAGTAAACTTTAAGTACATAATATCTGAATATATTTTTCTTAAAAAACAAAATATTTCATATAGAACTAAAATTCCTTTGCAAACTCAAATTTTACTCTCCTTCATTCAACTCAACCCCATTCCATTAAAGAGAAAAACAATTGCATCAGAATAGGATTTTTCTTTCCAAATATTTTATGTGTGTTGATAGGTATATATATGTAGCCACTGGGGAAAAATACTATTGGCATGTGGGGGGATCTGAATGTGATCTCAAATATGGGCAATCTTAATAATGTATTGAAGACCAACATTGTGCTTATGACCTGATGGTAAGCAAAAGACACAGCATCTTGGCACAAAATCTTTAACAATGATATTAACAAAGATTGTCTTTATGCACGTGATCATTTGTTTTTCTCTGTACTACTGGATTCAAATTCTTTCTTAGTACTTTCTAATAGTAAGACTTTAAACAAATCATTTAAATTCTTTGAGAATCGGTATCCTTATCTATATATAGTGAAGGTGATTACTATCTCATTGAGTGTCTATAAAGACTAAATAAAATTAAATACCCAGGACACT
Source organism: Homo sapiens (assembly GCF_000001405.40). NCBI lineage: Eukaryota > Metazoa > Chordata > Mammalia > Primates > Hominidae > Homo > Homo sapiens. The sequence continues at coordinate 147,177,772 of NC_000003.12, forward strand.
GCCTGGAACATAGTATTTACTTGTATATCACTTATTATATTTGATTGTAATTAATTATCTTCCTTTCCCCTGGAAATGCTAATTATTTGAGGAATAATAAGACAATAAATTGTCTTTTCTATGTTCACCATTTTGAACAGTTCCTGTAATATATAGTACACATTGAAAAACTCTTGATTATCTGGCTATCTGGATGAACACATGGATTAGCAAATGTGTACACAGGTCAATTAAAGGGAGAGATGTAATTATTTGGAAAACTTAACCTATTTTCAAATAGCAAGGCCAAAATATTACTTTAATTTATCCTTAAATGTTTCATTTTATCAATATTTCAAAACTTTTTGTTCTTTATATATGCCATCTGCATGATATTCACCACACCAAGTATCACATGCACTGGTAGTTGTGAAACTTTATTCTGCCATATGAAAATGGTAATATTTGTATGACTTACTTGGGTGTACCAACCATGCTGCTCCAAATCAGAAATTAGGAAAGAGATTACAACTCTCCAGCCACACCTAGGCTCCCAGTGAGTTGGGGGGTAGAGGTGGGGGGTCACTAGTAACTAATTATGGCATATCAGCCTCACAAACAGGGAAGGAGGCTCTAAATACTCTGGTTTACTTAATATCATTTATTTAAAATGACTTTAAATATTATTTCTATAGTTAACCTTATCCTAGTAGTAATATCTGTGAAATATTTTGTTGTTTTTGTTATTTATTACTTGGGAGGCACATCCATGTCATTTCAGGGCCAGGAGGCTCTGTAGAGGTTCTCTGAAGGAGTCTTTCCATCTGGAATGTCCCTGGCCACTGTGTTAGTGGGAAGACACCATGGTGAACAACATATTGGTTATTAAAGACGTCTTCCTCCATTTGCACTGGATAAAGCAATCTCACAGTCATAATGAAAACCAAGGTTGTGAGGAAATGTGATCCTCTGTCTTACAAGAGACTGAAAAACAGCCCCAATGACTACTCCTTATTTTCTTTTACTTTTTTCTTATTGAATACAATCAAAAAGGCTTTAGCATAAGGGAGCATATTTGAATAATTACATATCAAAAATAATAATAAAATTCATTTTTATAAAAAGTATTCAAAATATAATAATGCTACTCAGCCTTTAAGTACAGAGGCAGAGAAAAGTTGGTGTAACTTGGCAATAAGACCCATGGCTGTTATTGCAATGTCAATACTGTACCTGGATTAGCTTTACTTCTCAGTGTTTCACCCAATGATCATTTACAAACTCTAAGTTAAATTTTTCAAAATTTTGTCTTCAACATAATCATGCATGAAAGCATGCAACCCGTTTTTTAAAGATAGCGTAACTCCATCAGCCAAGAGAGTGAGCTTATTCAAGCACAAGTGTGCTGCTGCTCCAGTGTATTTCATTGAGCCACAACCTATCTCTCAGTGGCAGATGCAGCTGCCCTGCAGTCCCATGGTGGGCATATCACAATCACAGCCATTTCACTGCATTAACCATGATATTGCTGCCTGTCCTCTGATAATCCCACATTGCAGAACCAGCACACTATATCTAAGCAATTTAGATATAGTATGTAGTGTAGGCCAGACTAGTCTGACTGATTAATAAAGTGTTAATTAACTGAAAAAGCCAAATAGGTTGGAGTTAAACAAATAGATGAAGTACAAGTTTCCTTTGAGGAAAAAATTACTATAAATAGAAATGTGTCAGGGTAATGTCTGTGATATTTTTTAAGTATCCAAATAGGATCCCACACAGAATTATGAAACAAAATTTCTGAATATTTTGTTGTGTTTTTTTTTTTGCTTTTCATTTGAATGTCTTAATATGTCTCTGTCTCATTCTGTGGAAATTATATAAAAGTAGCACATTCTCTATCCCACAGGCAGTGTCTGTACTGACAGGTGGCAGGTGGAAAGCATCTCTAAAAGTAATGTGCCCCTATATTTCTAAATGCCCTATGGCATACCTTGATGATACACAGTATGATATAAGAAATGTGCTCTAAATCTTCAATATGGCAGCCAATTTCCATTCTATACACTAAGCAGATATGAAGCATGGAGACCTGATGGAACATGCATCCTTCAACCTGGTAAATGCAGCTAGATTAACACAAATATTTAAAAACAGCCAATAATTATAGAAGTGTTACTTGCCATTGCATAATTATTTAATAAACCATATAAGATACAACTGTTACTCAGTCACAGAGGCCCTTTTCACACTGCACCATATGGCTAATGGCAGCAATTGCACATCACACCATACTGAGTATTCCTTCTCATCATACTGTATTGGCTACAGACTCAGTTTGCAGCTAATGTGTGTGTTAGCCTTTCACTGCATGTTTATTTTATGAGATGGTGGTGTCTGTTTTTGGTGTTGAGTCTAAAATAGTAAGCTACTATTTTAATACTTTAACTGCTAAGTTACCTCAATATTACTTTTCCAAGATGCATTTTTAAATATAAGTTTTGTTATATTTTGCCCAGCTGTAATTCCAAATTCTGGTCTTCTACATTTTGATAAGTGTCAACAGGGGAGGTCTATGTTTATTATAACATCACTGGTAGATGTAAAAAGCTAAATTCAATTATGTACTGGCATCACCTGAGAACATTTAATTGGTGGATTTCTTTTCTATATCTACTATAAGGTTGATAGCAAAACTCAGAGAGGCTCAAATAATTTAGTTACAGAAACTCTATCTTACACGTCCAGCCTCCAAGAACACCTCAGTGAGGCTTTTACAGCAAACTTTTTACTAAATATCAGCCCATGTTGGGATATTCCAGGCACATATCTTCAACATATTGTTTTTAAATGAACATGAATTGAGTAATGCCTATTTTTGGTTTTGAGGGTAAAAAAAGCAGGAAAAATGTCAGACTGAAAAGTTGCAAAAGTAACATCAATTTAATTTCCAAAAATAAAACCAAATATTGGGTGAACTTATTCAGATTTAACAATCATGTAAACTAATTCATTTTCAACTTTCATACCAGATGTTTTGGCACTGGTGTTAGATTCTAAAATGATTTGGATGGGAGAGATGAAATCATCCCTGGGAATAAGAAGACTAGCCATTGTATCTAAACAATTAAAAAAAATAGGAAGTGAAAAGTACATGATCAGCATCACACTATTTGCCTGGAAGTAAAAAGAAATATGAGAAATATGTTTTGTTTTATTTTGGGTTCTTAAAAAGATATAGTTTTAATTTCATATTAGGAAAACCTGTTTCTGGTTGACAAATTTTGTTTCTAAACATTAGAATGTTTCAAGTTAGAAAAAAAATGTTTACCCTCTTTGAATTTAATCAAATTTGTTAATGGCAGAAATTAGCATGACTAGTGCTTAGCAGAAAATCAAGATGATTACTCCTAACATGTCCCAGCTTTACAGAACCCAACGTGTTCATTTTGTATTTCAGCCAACATAATTTTGTAGCAATTTGGCTTCAACTATCTTTCAAGGATGAACAGAATAAAAGATTAAGTTTTCCTTGTTCAAAAAAGAATCATTTAAAAATGAGACAAATTTGATACGACTTTGGTTGGAAATATAACCTCCATGTTTATAAAAATTCACGTATAAAATCATGAAATTAGATGAACTAAGGCTTTCCGATTAGAAAACAAAAATTACTACTATAATCTTCCCAGATTCAACAGAGAATTCTTATTTTGTTCGGCAGCCTATTTGTTGGGTAAAATTTTGTGTTTGTGTGTTTCTTTATAATATATTCTAAAACTTAAATTATAAACAGAACTACAAATGGACCTTCGTTCACTCTGAGTTTGAGGTTAATAGCTGAATATGTGTTAAACCCTAGTTTTAAAAATAAAAATCACAAAAGACATCAATGCTATCCAACTATCAAAATTATCAATTTTGATTATTAAAGCACTTATTTCTTTCATAACTAATTTAACCTATTTCTACATTACACTTGTTATATTAAAAATGCATATATCTCTAATGAGACAACGTGTGACAAGAAAAATAAATAAATAATAAGAATGCATGTATCTCTATTCTAATTAATTTGTTTTTCAATACCATCAGCTTTGTTAGATAGAACATGTATTGCCTAATTTGTAGGTGGACAGTGGAAGCATGATTTATTAAGACTATGATCCTCTATTTTTATGAAGCTTGCTTATTCCTTTTTTGCCTTGCTATTAATCTGGCTATGAATGATTATTTTTCTTTTTTCGATAGCCAATGATGAGAAACAAAATGGGTAAGGATTGCCTTTATTATGTGTCAACTTTCTCTCTGGTTCTTTACTTCAAGGAATAAAAGAAATCTTTGGTTTGTTTTTCTTTTTCCCCCCAGTGAGCAAGAAGTGAGCCTGCAAAATCACATAGTACATAAAAGAAAGGCTTAGGTGATTTGTCATCAGGGACGATTAGCTTGCTTTAATTTCTCTGCTTTACAGATACTAAGAATAAAATTTCTGCTATAGCTAGAACAGTGCCCCAGCTGATTTAACTACCATAAATTCCTGCCACTTCACTGGGCTATGGGCTAAAATTTGTAAGGTCTGGCTCCTTGGCACCATATGATTTTATTATGCCTGATCTTATAGTGATGTGGGATATGCAAGGGCACCAGGATGTCCATAGTAAATAAGTTGTTTCAATGCACCTAATAGTACCCTGGTGCCAAGGAAGTGTTAATTTACTTCACATGAGTGAACAGTCTACTTCTAGACAGCAGTTTACCCACCCAGGCTCACCATAGGATTAGCCCATTACTAATAAGGCTTTTGCCTTTGTTCACTTCTACAATGAGTCCTGCCTTTGATACATCATTTTCAGAGCTATTGCTTTATAGTTCGGTGCATTGGTATCAAGATCTTTTTTTTTTTTAAACAGTACAGAATTAGGACTCATTTGAATGAGAAAAGTCATGAATTTAATGTATAACACAGGTAAAACTGACATGAATTTATTTGGTTGTTTCTCATTCTTCTCCCGGGTTCCTCAGGCATTTCCAATAAATGACACCCAGGGAAAGAATAGGCCCAACATGCTAAACTCTCTACTGACTACTATATACAAACACCCACAAATAAAAAAACTACTGAGCTTTAATTGCTTGTTAATAAGTTTTTTTAATTGACCTACTGTAGTTTGGTGTATTCTGTTATCTTTTGTTTGTTTTATCCAGAGGCCATGCTGTGATATCGCCTCAATGAACCAAAGACAGGGAAATACACAGCCTAGATATGTATAAACTAAAACAGTTGGCATTTCTCTCTCCTGATGATTTTTGTTCTTTGTAAAATCACTAAGAAATTTTTGAAAAAAAAGACTAGAAAAATAAAAATTGGAATAATAAAACCTTCATTTCTATGGATTATCTCACATCTTTGAACATATATTCCTAGTTCCTCAATCACATAATTGAAATATTTTATTTCTACATTTTGACAACAATATTTATAATCAAAGCAATACTCTTCTATGATGTTTTCAATGAATACATTTTTTTCAATAATTCAAAACAGTAAGTTTTGCATCTTTTTGGTGGGTGTGTATTTTAGAGAAAATTATTAGATTTTCTCAAGAACAGACACCAAAGTCAACAGGTTAAAATCATGTCAACAAACAAATTCTTCAGTGGGTTTCAAACAGAAAAATTACATTTTCTATCCACCTAAATTAGAGAAGCTATTTTATATAATAGTCTACTTCACAGGTAATATACTATATTTTACATTCGACACTGTGCCATATTTTATCTACATATTTTATTTGTGAATATTTCTACAGCAAACATTCATTCTCTGGGATATGTTTTTGCAACAACAGTATTAAGTGGGGAAAATGCACACTCTGTTTGAGATGGGGAAGATCCCCAACTGCGAGCAATGTTAAGAATGGAAATACATAAGATGTTACAATAAAGTAATAAAACTAATTTCCTTGTGTGGTTCATAAGCTAGCTCTAAAGTCAGTTCCATGAATGGCCTTCCAAAAATGTTCTCAACGGTGGCAAGACTATGAAAATCACCACCTCTCTTGAAGTCCAGTGTTAAAAGGTGCAATAATGAGTGTTAACATTTCTATACTTTTGTAAAAAGACATACCTTCTTAAAAGTTTTACCTTCTGAAGTCATTTCAGGTCTAATCTTTTTGTAATTCCATCAGAAACTTATAAAATTCTTTGAAATGCTTGAGAAAGCATTAAAGTTCCAAATATCTTCCACACAATTATTCACATTTTACATCGCATGTTATAACATTCTGGTGAAGTGAGGTTGCTTAAAGGGGTACATGTATTTTGTATATCTAACCTGAATGTAAGGAGATGAATAATTATTTTCTGTTAAGTATTTTAAGCAACTCGAGAAAGACATGTAATAAGATCCATCAAGAATTATCAATGAACCAAGGAGAATCTCAGTATGCAAGAAAGATCCCATTTCTTCCTGATTGCAATTTATGTACTCTAGTAACTTCAAATTGATAGTATATTAAAAATTCAAAGTATTATTCTATAGCGCTTTTGAATTTCAAGAGCTAAACCTTAAAACTTACTTGATACTAACCTAAGTTACATGCCTTGGGAAGGAGGCATGTAAAACACAAAACACTTTCTGTCATAGGAAGAAGACGGACCTCATTCAATGGTTTTTGACATTTGATAATAATTGCTTCTTCATCTGAAGATAAATAGTTCTCCCAAGTTTTTCACATCAGTTGCTGATAGTCACATAAGTTCTCCTTTTAATGCAAAAAAGCATTAGATGGTTTACAAAGTTAGAAAATAAAGCTTTTTGCTAATATCAAATATCAATAAAAGAATAATTACCTAGTCATTGCCCATATCAGTTAAGGACAAAAATCTATATATCAAGGCCTACATGTTTGATGCATCATGTCAGAGATGAAAGGAACTTTTCAAGTTATTAGCATGTCGTTTTACAAGTAGAAGAACCCAGGTCCAGAAAAGTACAGTGATTTACCCAACATCCACAGTAAATTAGTGAAAGAGCCAGAATGAAAACCCAGAATTATAAGCACACTGTGGAAAACTACAGTCTATTCTGTTTGCCAGTGCAAACAGAAGCCTCACTTATCAAAGTCCAGATTCTCCTCTTTGGAAGGGGCAGCTGGTCAGGGTCAGTTGCAGAGCCTCCTGGCCACTGATGAGTTTACTCATTACAAAATGATTTGAACTGTGGTCCCCAAAGGTACTAGCATGTGGACTGACACGGGCTACCAAAAACAAGCTCAGTGTGAGTAGTTGTGCAGTTTGGCTCTACACATTGGTAAATGACTAAAGAGTTGAAGACGAGTTGAACTCCAGCCCATGCTCAATGTGATGGTTAATTTTACATGTCAACTTGGCTGAACCATAGTGCCCAGATATTTTGTCATACATTATTCTGTGTGTTTCTCTGAACTTGTTCTTGTTTTATTGTTTTTGTTTTTGTTTTGTTTTGTTTTTATGAGATTAACATTTAAATTGATAAACTCTGAGAAAAGCAAATTATCCTCAATAATGTGGGTGGGTCTTGTTCAATATTGAAGGCTTAATGGAACAAAGTTTGAACTTCCCCAAGAAAGAAGAAATGCTACTCACAGGCTTCACCTCTAAAAGTTACTGCAACTTTTCCCTCAGTCTCCAACCCACAAACCCGCTACATTAGACTTTAGACCCACAAGTCCTCTATAATTGTGTGAGTCATTTTCTTAAAGTAAATCTGTTTCTCTCTCTCTTTTTGTTCTCTCTCTCTGTCTCTCCACATACATATATACATCCTGTAGCTCCTGGTGCTCTGGAGAAGCCTAATACAGCCTACTCAACATTCATGATGGAAGGTGTACTTTTCTCTAATCTTCATAGAAGTACTTATATGGGCTGGCAAAGTCCTGTCTTTCCTTGTCACTTATTTTTCATACCATGTCACTTATTTTTCATACCATAAATAGTAATAAGTTAAACACTAAGGATTCATTCTACTTAGTTCCTTGAAATTCATGTTTTAAATATTAACAAAACTTAAAACATGCCCCTGAAAGATGCCTGGAAATTCAGGGTCACCTTTGACACAACTAGACTTAAAAAAAAGAAACCAGAAGATACCATCAGGTGGTAAAACCTTTCTCATAGGCCCCAATTTCCTCCTCCATTGTGTAACTTTGACCTATGGTTTCCCTGTCCCCTTCTGACCCTGACCTCTTGAGTTGCTGATTGCTCTGCTCTCTGCAGTTTTGATACCTGTGTGACCCCTACATACAGGATTCTGTTTGTTTTCTATCCTTGGACTGGACTGGACTGTACCTCTAAATAGCTTGGTTACAAGAGCTCAACATAAAGGTCCTAATTCCTTCTCATGACAGAGCTAGGCCTTAGAATAGTGGAATTTGATATGTATTTATTAACTCATGTTACCCTAGCCGACTTTCTATAACAGTTCCTTAATAAACAAATCATTAACATGAATTTATTGCTAAATAAAGCATGTTGCCACTCTCCAAAAAGTAAAATATTACAATTAGAGTTCAGTAATATCTTGTACCATTTGCTTTTTCTATTTTGCGCGTTTTTTTTTTTTTTTTTTTTTTTTTTGAGACGGAGTCTCGCTCTGTCGCCCAGGCTGGAGTGCAGTGGCATGATCTCAGCTCACTGCAGCCTCTGCCTGCTAAGTTTAAGCAATTCTCCTGCCTCAGCCTCCCGAGTAGCTTGGATTGCAGGCGCCTACCACCACACCCGGCTAATTTTTGTATTTTTAGTAGAGACAGGGTTTTACCATGTTGGCCAGGCTGGTCTTGAACTCCTGAGCTCAAGCGATCCAGCTGCCTCGGCCTCCCAAAGTGCTGGGATTACAGGCATGAGCCACTGTGCCCGGCTGGCATTTTTTAAATTTTACTTTAAGTTCTTGGGTACATGTGCAGAACATGCAAGTTTGTTACATAGGCATACATGTGCCATGGTGGTTTGCTGCACCTATCAATCCATCATCTAAGTTTTAATCCCTGCAATGCATTAGGTATTTGTCCTAATGCTCTCCCTCCCCTTTTTTGAAGCATATTTTATATAAAGTTCTTTTCCTACCTTAAATTATATACCTTAAAATATTTTAAGTTTTAAGCCCTGCATGCATTAGGTATTTGTCCTAATGCTCTCCCTCCCCTTTTTTGGAGCATATTTTATATAAAGTTCTTTTCCTACCTTAAATTATATACCTTAAAATATATTAACTCAGTAAAAATAAGTTAGCTATATGCTTCTAATCAGTGTCACATAAATGGGGACTTCTTTAGCATAATCATGATAAAATTTCTAGTGAACAACCCCAAGGTAGAAGATCCCATTTTGTGGCATGCAATATGAGATCAGATAACTGAAGTATGCAGCACTGTACATGGCTCTGCCTGCCTCCCACAAAGAAATCGAGAATTTTAGCCAAGAAAGCAAACAACCTGCAATTTTTGGTAACTTTTTTTATTTTCTACATCATGAATATAAAATACTTTCATAAATATGTGTATATATATTTTAAAGGCTCTCCCAAGACAATATATGTAATATGATTTTGGTGGGGTTTGGCTTATTTACTGGTAGATGTGTGGCTGGAAAAATAAGCAAGCTTTTGAAACAAAGCCTTCTCCAGTTAAACACATAAATTATCCATGTTTAATGAAATACACCAGTTTCTCCTTTATAAGACCTTTCCTGACTGTCTGGATCTTAGACTTTGGATTTCAGGTCAATTACAGCCACTCTACTATCTTAGTTTGGTGCTTAATCTTTCAACTGTGATGTTATATTTCTATGTATACAATCTTATTTTATTTATTACTAGATTCTGAAATTTTTCAGGCAATAATTTTGTTTCCATGAATTTTTTGTATCTTATACATGGCATCTTCTAGTTGAACGACCAATATTTTCTTTATTGATTGAGGAGTGCTATCTTCTTTTTAGGTAATGCTGAACCTATAAGATGAGATCAGCTTTCTGTTTTAAAGATTGATAGGCAATACATAATTTAAATTGGATTTAGTTAAACTAAAAAAGATTCCATATCCGGTCTTCCAGAACTGCCAGTTTGACATTTTGGAGGATTAAAATACAAATCCAAGATGCTGACATCATCTATATTCACTCCCCTTGTGGCTCTTACGACAGCAAAGAACCAGAGCTGTTACAGATGAAACTAGCATTGGTGAACCAGATCTTTTACCTTTGTCAGCCAGCAGCACGCATTCAGTTTGTACTCTGATCTTAATGACTTTCATTCTGTAATAAGTTCCTAATATTCATTCTTTGTAAAGCATTCCACAATCAGTGTTCTCTTCATTTAACCCTCTGTTGTCACCCTCCGATCTTAAGCAATTGTGGAAGCTGACATTTTCTGTATCTTAATTTTAAAAGTGAAAAAAAAAACTACTGACAGTAAAGATATTCACTCTCACTCAAAAATATTTTGATACAAAGTATTGAAATTTCAGTTGCTGTTTGGGCACCATCTTCCCGTAGGATTTGTTAGGTAGATATTTCTATCTCCAAATCTACTCCAAAGTAGAAAGGGGAAACGTTGTCCAGATTTATCTATTATTTATTCATTAATTTAAAAAAATATTGACTATAAGCTATATACCAGGCACAGAGCATGTTCTGGAGAGAGAACTGTAAACAAGGTAGATTTAGTTCTAGTCCTCATAGGGCTACCAATAAGTGATAAAAATATATAAGTAGAGGTGTCTAAGCCTTGGAGACTTACAAAAAGTCATCTTCTGAGGCCACAACACATGCAAAATAATTACATGATACCTTGAATTAAGTTAACTACAGTAAAAAGTTCTAATAAGCATCAATCTTAATGAAACAAACATAACCATATGAGATTATGAAGCACAGCCTAGAAAAAACGTCCACTCATTCCACTTCATGGCAGAATCAGTACTAAAACTTGTTTTCTGACAGATTGCATTGCTTGATTAAACGAAACAATGTCATAGCCCAGAACAGTGTCAACTCAAATCCAGTTTAGTTATACACATTTCATTTCTCCTTTCTCTGTCTCTTCTAACTCACTCCAGCACTCTGCCTTTTCTGAAAAGAATAAATCACAGACAAGATAAGAGACAAAGATGGCATTGTTTTACTTATGGCTCAAGTCAAAGGGGACTTGCCCCTTGAATATTCCTGAATTTGGAGATATCTTTTATTTGATTTATTTTCTTTACATGTGATCAAAGAGAGAAAGCATAATGGCATCTATTTAGGAAGAAATTCTAACCATACAAAATAAATAGAATAAAACAGTGAGGTTTTTCTCTCTGGCTCACACATGTGAAACAATTCTAGGAAAAAAAAAAAGTAGTCTGCCTTCATTGCTCAAGAAAACCACTGACAAACTTTAAATAAATAAAGACTGCTGTTATTCACCTTAGAACATACCATGAAGTCACTCCTCAGAAATCACAAATCCAGATCTGTAGAAGGATCTCTTATGCATTAGAAGGCCCTAAATTGCCTCTTAAGAGTAAATTTCCTACGTGTCCATATTTTAAGTCAGAGCATTCCAGACACATACTCAAACTTAAGGCGAATATGTTGTGCCAGCTTCAAGTGAAAAAGTAAGAAACAACAAAACAAATTTCATCCGATACATACAGATTTACAAACTAGCATTTATCCCATAAGCATCTTTGTATCTGCCTCCTCAAAATTCTATTAAGTATAAACAAAGACTAGTTCAGAACGTCATATTTTAAAAGATGTAATTATTAATACATTCATAACTTAAAAGGAAATTGTAAACTCTTTGGCAACTTCTAAGTTAATAATTTTGTTGACAAAATAAGTCATAAATATTTTTTCTATTTTGTGGTGTTTTTTTAAATTGTGGTTTAAAAATAACATAAAATTTGCCATCTTAACCATTCTTAAATGTACAATATAGTAGTGTTCACTATATGCACATTGTTGGTCAATGGAGTCCTAGAAAATTTTCATCTTGCAAAACTTAAACTCAATGCCTACTGAATAACTCTCCTTTTTCCCCTGACCCAGCCACTAAAAACCACCATTCTACTTAGTTTCTAAGAGTCTGACTATGTTAGCTAAGAGTTTGACTATGTTAGGTACCTCATATGAGTGGAACATACAGAATTTATCTTTTTGTGATTGGCTTATTTCACCTACCATAATGTCTTCAAGAGTAATTCATGTGACAGAATTTTTTTATTTTTTAAGCCTGAATAATATTCCATTATATATGTATACACATATATGCAAATATATCATTGAGATGCTAATTTCAATTCTTTTGGATATATACTCAGAGTGAGATTGCTAGATGGTGTGGTAATTGTATTTTTAATTTTTATGAAGAACCACCATACTGTTTCCAAGAATGTAAAATGAATGCACCATTTTACATTCTTACCAACAATGTACAAGGGTTTCAATTTCTCCCCATCATTGTCATACTTGTTATTTTCTGTTGGTCTATTTTTTTTATAACGGTCCTCCTAAAGGGTGTGAAGTGATAACTCATTGTGGGTTTGATTTGCATATCCCTGATAATTAGGGATGTTAAGAATCTTTACATATTTTTGTTGGCCATTTACCTATATTCTTAATGTCTATTCAAGTCCTTTGTCTATTTTTTAACTAGGGTATTTGTTATTTTATTGCTCAGTTATAGAAGTTGTTTATATATTCTAGATATTAATACCATATCAGACATATGGTTTGCAAATATTTTCTCCCATTCCTTACACTGACTGTTCATGTTGTTGATTATTTCCTTTGTTGCCCAGAAGGTTTTAAGTTTGACCTGGTCTCATCTATCTATTTTTGTGCTTTTTTTGCCTATGCTTTTGGTGTCACATCCAAGAAATTATTGTTAAATTCAATGTTATGAAGATTCTCCCGTGTTTCCTTTTACGAATTTTGTATTTTTAGGTCTTATGTTTAGATCTTTAATCCATTTTGAGTTAACTCTTGTATATTGTGTAGGGTAAAGGTCCAGTTCATTCTTTTGCATATGAATATTCAATTTTCCCAATAGCATTTGTTGAAGAGACTATCCTTTCCCCACTGTGTATTCTTGGAAGCTTTGTCAAAGGTTATTTGACCATATATAAAAAATTTTTTTCTGGGGTCTTTATTTTGTTCCATTGGTCTATATGTCTGTTTTTATGCACGTGCCATACTGTTTTGATTACTGTGTCTTTCTAATATGTTTTGTATTATAAAGTGTGAGGCTTCTAGCTTTGTTTTTATTTCTCAAAATTGTTGTGGCTATTTAGATTTCTTTGGTATTTCATATTAATTGTAGTATTTTTTCTATTTCTACAAAAATGGAAATTTAAATTTTGATAGGGATTATTTTGAATATGTAGATTACTTTGGAGAGTGTGGATATTTCAACAATATTAAGTCTTTCACTCTATGAACATGAAATTTTTTCCCATTTATGTGTGACTTTTTAAATTTCTTTCAGCATTGTTTTCTAGTTTTCAGTGTACAAATCTTTTGCCTCTTTGGTTAAGTTTATCTCTAAGTGTTTTATTCTTTTTGATGCTATTGAATTTTTTTAATTTTTGCAGATTATTATTACTATATACAAACAGAATTAATTTTTTGCATTTTGGTTTTGTACCCTATAACTTTGCAAATGTGTTTATTACTTCTGACAGTTTTGGGGTTTTCTGAAATTTTTAGGATTTTCTACATATAAGATCATGTCACTGACAAACAGAACTTGGTTCTGTGTTTTAGTTTCTATTTCTTTGTTAATGTTCTAATTTTGTTCATGTATCATTTTCTTGATTGTTTAGCTTTCTGTCTGTATCCTCTGATACTTCATTCAGCTTCTTTAAAACAATTATTTTGAATTGTTTGTCAGGTAATTGATACATCATCTTTTCTTTCAGGTGGGTTTTTGAGATTTATTTTGTTCTTTCGGTTGGGTCATTTTTACCTATTTCTTTGTACGTGGTATTATTTTCTGGAATTTGTGCACTTGAAAAAACAGCCACCTCTCTCAATTTTCATGGTCTGGATTCTTATAGGGAAAACCCTTCACCAATCATCTTGATTAGAGAGCCTGAGGGTCTCTCAAGCTTTTTCTGGGAATCATGCATATAATTTCCCAATGGGAGAAGTTTCTTGTTTTATCAGGAACTTGTAATTTCTTGCTCCCTCTTGTGTATATCTGCAGTACTGCAAGTGCTCTGGTGCAACAAGCCCCTGAACTCTTGTCAGTGGCCCTGAGGCATCCAAAGTAGTTCAGTCCCATCAGTACCCCAAGTCAGGTGGGACAGAACCAGTCCACCAGGCAATCCCTGAAAAGACATAATGTTGGACACACATTTCACTCTTCACTTTCCAACCCAAGGGAGAAGCCACAGCTGGATATTCTCTTCTGATTGTGCCAAGCTGTGTTGGCATCTCTTTGGCATCTCTTTGTGGTACTGCAGCTTCTCTGGTACTGCAGCAAGCCACCAAGCTCTCTCTTTTTCTCAGTGACCTCCACACATCCTAGGTTTGGTCTCCCAATCAGACGAGACAGAAACTAGTTAGCACTCCCCATTAACATTCCCAATTAGACGAGACAGAAACTAGTTTCTCAGGTAGTCCCCCAAACGCTAGAATGTTAGACATATGTCTACTTCTACTTCCTTCCCAAGGAAGAAACTGTTAGTTGGGTGTCTACTTCCAATTGTGCTGAGCTGTACTTACTTGAGGGAAGGCTTACCATGGGTAAAATAAAATGCATTCTCTTCCCATTTCCATGTTGCTATTCTTACCTTAGAGCTCACCTGGGGGTACTGAGACTTTTTACTTGGTTTCTAGAGTTCTCCTAAGGGCTTTAAGGCTTTTGGACCATGTGTTGTTAAGCCAGAATTTTTGTGAAGGTATAAGGTCTGGAACTTCCTATTCTACCATCTTGCTGACATCACTATCATTGTATTTCCTAGTTTCATTTTTGTTTGAAAAATTTTAATAAGTATCATCTGCATACTAGTCCTAGGCTAAGTGTAGTAGAGCAAAGATAAATAACTTAGTGTTAGGATATTCATCATGGAATTCTATTGGTTTCTAAATTTTCTCAGGGGCAATTTGATTCTAGAATGACTACTAAGTCTTACACATATTTTTAAATTTAATTTATTTTTTAAATGTATAGTTACGATCTCCCTTAATTTACAGCTAGGTGTTCATTGTTTTTCAAATCTAAAATTTTAGAAGAAAAAAGATTTATAATAATTCCTAATAAAATAAATACAAAATACCATACATCATAACGTCAAACGATTTTATCTAATTTCTAATAACTTAAGCACTTTACATGTGTTATTACATAAACAAACTGAATTAGCAACAAGGTCACAGTAATGTTTTGTAGAGAAATCATGCATATTTCATCTGAATTGGGATTCCATTCTTATCAATTATTATATTTGATATTGTTAGATACAATTCTGGTACTATGCAATATGATATTAATAACAACTAAATTAATATAACTAAATAAGAAAATTTATATTTACATGGCCAGACACCTTCACCATCTGGTACTTTGTAATCAGTGGAAATAACATACCTATTGTTCTTTCATTTCAAAGTAATCATCGTAGAGCAGAATTTTATTCGGGGAAGGAATTGTTGTTCATTTGTTGTTTTTGTCTGTGTTTTGCCAGTTCCTGATTGCGATTTGATTTTTATGCCTTGTAATGGATACCTCTTGATGAAACTGCCTAGAGGCTCTCCTATTTGATGTTCCTCCTACCCAATCTTTGTGTAGTCATGTCATGGTTGTTCACTGGGCAGAATCAAATGAACAAAAAATAAACACCTAATCTAACCTGGACTTTCTCTATCTTGTAAGAATGTGTAACTGGAACTAAGAGACATTAATTTTAGACTTTAGGTTTATAATATGTAAGTTTATAACCCAGTTAAAAACAATATTAATCATATGAACTAAGAAGCACAGCATATTGATTTTCCAATAATTAAAAGTAAAATACATGAGGAAAAAAGGAAGCCAGACAAAGATTTGAGATAAAAAGCTTTGGGGGTTTCCAAATCCTTTATGAAGTCAACCTTTATTTCCACACTTGGGGTCTGTGAAGCCTCCCAGTAGCCTTATAATTATTTATTTTCTTTTTATTCAATGTAGGTCAAGTTGATTTCTGCTAAACTTAATTAACTCTTTGTATGCAAGTAATACTTCACTTTGAATAAGCATATTATCTATTCCAAGTGAATAAGCTAGATATTATGTAAACAGAAATAGTAAGTTTCAAATCGTCACTTTGATGTAAATAATGAATTCACCCTTTCTGGAAATCAGTTTATGCCTAGAAGGAAGTTAGTTCCAGGTAAGATCAAACCCAGTAATTTTTATAATAAAAATAACCTATAGTAACTTATTCAATTCTCGGTGGACTCCATCAACACAGTGCTGTTGGTGGAATCACCAATCTCCCCTGCTGACCATAGGCTGATCATAATATCACATAGAAAAGTATACTATTTAACTCAAGCAATGTTATGAACAGAACAGTTCTTGGTTGATTGTTCCATACACAGAGAGACCTTATCTTCCAGATATTAAAGGTCCTCTACCTAAATATGTTCCTCGAAATGAAACTTCAGCTCAAGTGAAAATTAACGATTCGTTAATAACATTGCCCAAAATGCAAGCTATCTTGCACTGTTCAGTGCCAGTCCTGCTTTTAACTGTAAGTTTCATAGGAAGAATATAACTCATCAGTTTGAGGAATTTCTCCCTCCCAGTAATTTAAAGGCTCCCCTACAGCTGGGGATGGAGCAGAGTAGGAAAGATTAGCTGTCATGAGATGAAAATTAGACTTTTTCTTCTCACAGTGCTAACGTCAGTGGCTTTCCTTGCTGGCAAAAACCTTTTCAACCTTATGATTAATTTTTATGTTTTAAGCAAAATGATCATCGTATGATGTCTTTTTTAATTGCTAGGTTAGATTTTGTCTTCAAACAAATCAAATTCCATTTAATAATAAATCAACTGGTCACTGGCTAGTTGCTTTCAGAATGACCAGTGTCTGTCAGTGTAATCAATCCATGTTACCTTACTTCATGCTTCAACTAAAGGACAAAGTTTTCTACTTTACCGAATCCAAAACAGGGTTTACTAAAGATTTTTCTATTACCAGCCAAAATCATCCTGATCCACTTCACCTCCCACTGCTTTCCCTTTTTCTGTTTACCCATCTTAGACTTCCCACTTCCTGCTCCCAAAATATTATGAGTATTACAACAAATACTGTCTGTTTGAGTGATCTTTCTATAGTCCCTGGTCTTCTTTAAGGAAAGTCAATATATAAAGCTCATAAAAATAGTTTAAAATAAAACGTACTTAGATGTAATAAACAAAGACTTTCATTGACTATAGAACTATGAAGCTAAAAACCTTTGCTTTGTGTTTATAAATCAAATTTTGGTTGGCACGGTGGCAGTATTTCTTGAATTCTATGCACACTTTTAATCGTTAAGCAGTGTGACCAAATGGCTTTTTTCTAGCATGTTTCCTGAATAAGGTGTCAATCAAACTGAAGGAAAATGTTTAATCTATGACATGGTCTATGGCCAGTTCAAGTTGACTTAATTTATCATCTTCTTAAGCTGGAGCTTTTAAATGTAGCCTAAGGACACAGTCCTAAGTTGTATAGCCCATATGGTGAAAGTATGGTTCTACTGCTATTAATATGTCATTGTTCATATCTTGTTGCAAAAGTAGCAGAACATAGAACATCTACAAACATAAAAGCACTGTTCTTGAGGAAATTCAGTTAGTCATCAGTTGTGTAAATGTGCAATTTGTTTTTACTATATAAACCTTGAAATGAGCCACACCCCAAAGGGTGCATCAAACCATCTGAAAGATAATGTACGGGTAAAAAATTCTACTGTGTGATTTTTCTTTTGAAATATCAGTTTAAAGATGTATATCAAGATGCATGCTTTAATCAGAATTTTAGATATCTGCATGACATTTAGAAAATATTTATGTAAATCTCATAATAATTACTGCCTGGAAATCAATTGAAAATGGACATTTATTTTCTGTGACATAGGGAAATTAAAGGAAATCTGGTGATCTGTAAATCTATTTCCTTCACCCAAATAGAACATCCCTCACAGTGTGCCAGCAAAGTTGATACATTTATTAAAGTGTTTCATGAAAAATAATATTCCATTGTCCAAGCCCATCATGTAGAGCAGTGCTTCTCAAATTTTAACATGCCTCAGAATAATCAGCAGGGTGATTCATAGATTGCTAAGCAACACCCTAGAGTTTCTTATTCAGTAGATCTTGGGCAAAAGCAAAGAATGAGCATTTTTAACAGGTTCTGAAGTAATGCTGGTGCTACTGTGCTGATGCTGGGACCACACTTTGAGGATTAAAGTTATAGGTAATAAATGAAACATCTAAGCTTAGCTGGTCCATATGCCTTGACATTTATCCCTATAAAATGGTCAAATACTAGGGAAAAAAAGTAACAGGAAAAAACGCTTTTCCATAAACTATCTTCCTATAAATCCATTCTAGAAATCTCATTGAGTCTGTAAAAGCAATACAGAAATTTCTAGTTAATGGTTTATAATATGGAGAATTGAGTTAAAACTGAATCATTTTGCAAAAAATATTTGTTTTCTAACAAGTCTTTTCTTCATCCTTCCCAGCAGAGTAATTAAATATCTTTAAACTTTCTCTTTAATCTGTAAAGAATCCTCTAATTCCTAACACATGATGTAACTCCAGGAAAAAAAAATTGAGAAAGTGAGTTAAGTGCTTAGAAGGAAAATTCAATCATATGCAGTTCTCAGCTATAGTAGAGATAAAATATTTATATTTCTTAATTACTCTAATTTTTTCAAAGAATGGAGATTTTTATGTATGCATACAATTTGACAATTTGAATTTTTATTCCTCACCCCATTGCCTTAAGGTCAAGTGAATATGTCTTTATTTTCATATGGTTTTTATCTTCTCCTGCAGATCCTGAAGGAGCTTTTAAGCATGCAGCCACTCTAAGCTCCCTGCCATCCAACTGGGAAGATACGAGCCAGACAGTCAATGGCCCTAAAGAGGGGAGTCTTGCTCAGCCTGGTGCACATCAGTTGGAGTGATAGTGTGTCCTATAAACAATAAGGGGAATTACTCCTGAGGGGAAAATAAGAAAAAGAAACCTAAGTAGATGTTTATACCAAAAATTAGTTATTTTATGGTAAGTGTTCTAAAGTCTCAGCTAGTAGGCATGAAGCCTTCACTAACTTGAGTGGCGATGTTTCTGATTTTGTGGTCATTTCAACTGAAGATGGTCTTGCATTTGTCTCTGTATTATCACTGAGGCAAAACTTTTCTTAGCAAATTAGTGGTACAACTAAAATTATAGGAGAAATTTGTAAACAACTTAAAACATTTGCTTAAACCCTCCCTACAGTATCACACATGTATCCATTTATAATCAACTCACAAATAATTCTTAGCCATCTATACTGACATGTCTTCTAAGGATTCCAACTAAGCCTTCTTAAAATTATAGTAAGTATGTTAGAATTTTGGAATGACATGAATTTTAAAAGAGTATATAATTCTGGTTGTTTTCTCCCAAGTTAGGCTAAGTTTCTCCCATGTTAGGCTAAGTTACCTAAGTTTCACTGTAAGAGCTACACAACAGAATCACAAATAAATTTCATTTTCCACTACCTCAACCTATTCTTATTGATACCTTCTTTGCTAGCATGAATGTCTTCAAGATGACTGTTTTCATTACCCTAACTAATATTTAGTTCATACTATCAGTGTTTCTTTTCTTGCAATACTATGAATGCTTCTTGGCTTTTTAGTAAATACAATGCAATTCAATGTGCATTTCTTTTTCATGAAAGTTTTCAAAATTTTTTGTTATAATTTTAATGTTTTATAACCAGTACCATAGTTATATATTATTTTAATTTAAAGAAAAACTTGAAATTCTATATTCTTAAAAAATATTGGACTTAAATACCCAAATTTTCATGACAAGAAAGAAGAACTGAAAATTATGAAGGATGCTGGCAGTACTTACTTAGTGTTAAGACTAGAGCTATAGTGGTGTCATTGTGAGAATGACTGACCTGAAACAACTAGCACTTTGAAAACCATATTCTAAACTAGTTTCATCCTCCATGTAGCACAGGTCACTTCAAAATTAGCATGTGATCTGTCCCATAAGTGTTGGCCTTACAAACAGAAAACCCAATGGTGTGTTTGTTTCATCCACTCTTCACCATAAGTAAAATGAGAACACATTCATCAATGTGCAAGTATTTCTAAATATTATATACACATGAAACTACAGACAAATTGCATGTACTGTTCACATGTTTAGATCTTCACTCTGTTTGTGACTGTTTTTAATCTTAACTATCCCCTGTGTCACAACAGACTACATGTCTAAAATGAGTAAGCTATTTTCTCTTGTAAATATATAAACATAAAACCTATGTGATGCTTAATAAATACTTCATCAACAATTTCTAGGCATACTTTAAGAATTATGAGAACTATCTCAGACTATTTAGAAAAAAAGTTCAAATGTCTATGAATCCTTCTTTTACATCAGGAATAGGAGGATTTTTAATTATATACTCTTTTTGGAGAAAAGTAGAGCTGGACATTTATGAGGAGACAATAAATGTAGTCTCTATAGAACTAAATTCTGTAATTATTAGAATAAAGAAATATTCATGAGTATTATATTCTTCCTTTTAACTTATAGAAAATAAATCTAATAAATATTCATAATTTTGAAGATCATATTATTATGTTACTCTAGAAGACTCACTACATTAACCTAAATGTTGATTCATATGTTTATAAGTTATGCTATTAAATAAAATAACTGACATTTTTTTCTTTTTAAAAAATCAAAATAATGATATAAAAATGAAATCTCCTTAACACTGCCTACAGAGGCCATATAAAGAACAATATCTACTGATGAGACTAGAAAAATATCAAATACTGTTTTTTCAACCTTGATGAGGAATAAACAGGATATTGGAGTGCCCAAATAGCAAAACTGATCTAACTTTAATCTTTTCTGTTGAAAAAAATTTAGTTCATTTCCTGCTTTTATTAACCTTTACTAATTTACTGAATATTAAATTTGTGAAGGCAGTGGCTCTATTAATTCATCTTTTTATTCCCAGTCTATAAAACAATACCATTTACACAGATATTCAACAGATGTTTGTCAAATTGTAATCCTCATAAAGATCAGATTAAACAAAAAATTAGTAGAAAGTAAATAAACAGGCAAGATGCATATCAGTATAGTCTCAATCAGGTACTAAGATGGCATTGTTAAAATCTATGAACAAAACACAAAATTAACACTTTTGTTGGGCTTTTAAGCTCACAATGACCTTGTCGAACTGCATATTATTGGGAATTATCTTTTATCACCATACAGTTCTCTCATTTCTTGTAATGTTTTTCCATTCCATATTTAGTTGAAACCAGTATGTCACTACTAAAATCAAAAGGTAAAGCATTGACCTTTACATGGTTAGAGATTTAAATAATATTCTTCTATAAGTATCTATTAGACAAGATTTACTTCATGCTATTTTCAATCAACTGTACAGACAGGCAGTATGTATATGAAATAAATTCCTCTATTCAAGCTAACAAAAAATATCTCATCTACATTTTGTTTATCCATGGAAAGAAACTGAGCATGTCCTCTGCAGTTTTACTACAGGTCATCTGAAGGGCAGCCCATGGATTCCTCTGATCCATGCAGACTTCCCAAGGGCCAAAGAACAAGGCCCGTTTGATCCAGCACCTGCTGTGAGCCCATCACTTGGATACTTTTGCTGCAAATTTTTACCAGACTGAACAGAGTAATATGTAAAGGGGGAAAAAAGCTCAAAGAGCAACAGGAAAATCAGCAGGAAATCAACAAAAAATATTATTAAGAGCACTGATCAATCATCTCAGCATTATTTTGCCCAATATGGTTGCACTTGCAATAGACCAGCAATTGGCTCCAGGACTGGTAAGTGTTCTTCACGTGTTTTATAGCTTAAAAGATCTCTGCTTGCTTCTTACATATGATCCAGGTACATAGCAAGAAATAACCATATTTACTAATCTTTCACTTCAAAACAGAGAATATTGTAAGCAACTGAAACTTGCACTTAGTAGAATAGTATCAGAGATTGAAAAGCAATTATAAGACAATTTTTTCTATCACTAGCACAGTAAGCAATTCAGTATTCCATAAGAGAGAGAAAAGAAGATCTATATTTCTAAATGTAGTTAAGAAATGGCTTTGGAGTTGGGGTTTATGAGTCAAATCTCATAGGAGAGATCAATCAAAAGTGAAACAAAGTCTAAGGTTGTTCTAATGTCCTTAGATTGATAGAAATCTGTACAAAATTATATTCTACCAACTTTTATAAATAACACCCAAATTTAAATAACTGCAAGTATAAAGATGATAAAGAGCAAAATCCTTGAGTAATTTTCAATTTATCTGTCTTAAGATGCAAGCTGCCTGACTCAGCTACAACAAAACCAATATGCACATACTGGAAAACTAGAAGCACCATCTGAAACAGAAGAGTAGAAAATGCCACAAGTAACTTCAAATACATTAACTACTCTTCTAGTCTTCTCAGATACATTTATCAAATTGGGTTTGCCAGTATTTATCTTCTGAACCATCAGAAAATACCTCAGCAAAGGCAACATCTCTAAGAACTCACAGTCTATGAAAGACTTAAGGCATATACACAAAGAGCAGTACAAGGAAGAATACTTGTGAGCACATTACTGCTGAACAAGGCAGCTTATAGAAGAAACAGTATTCGAGCTGGACCTTGAAGGGTGAGCAAGATTTCAAGAGGCAGGAATAGACATTTGCTTATTTTATAAACAGCAGTTACACTTAAACGTCATCTTTACTTCTTTGCATTCCTCAGCACTGAGTACAATGCCTTCACAAAATAGGCATTCAACATGTATGTATTTCTTACTGCTGATGCTATTTTCTTTTCTTTTCTTTCTCTCTCTCTCTTTTTTTTTTTTTTTTTTTTTTTTGAGACTGAGTCTCGCTCTATCACCCAGGCTGGAGTACAGTGGCGCGATCTCGGCCCACTGCAGCCTCTGCCTCCTGGGTTCAAGCGATTCTTGTTCCTCAGCCTCCTGAGTAGCTGGGATTACAGGCACCCGCCACCATGCCTGGCTAATTTTTGTATTTTCAGGAGAGACAGAGTTTCACCATGTTGGCCAGGCTGGTCTCGAACTCCTGACCTCAGATGATCCGCCCCCAGCTTGGCTTCCCAAAGTGCTGGAATTACAGGCTTGAGCCACCGTGCCTGGCCGATGCTATTTTCATATTGAAGAGTTATATTAATTTAATAATGTCTTGGCCTGGCATTCTTGAATATGCACAACCTCATTCCAACCTTTATTTTATCATATTACACAATACTTCCTGAAAGGGATAGGATAAAAGCTTTACTACTATTTCCATAATTTCAGGGGACATACCCATGACGTACACCAGTCAGAATTATCTTTATCACATCTTTGCTAATTAAACTTATATGCATCCTGAAGATCCAGTTTAATATCACCTCTTCCTGGAAGCCCAGACAGCAATTATCACTTCCTCATTTATACTCCTTATACATTTTTGTCTTTATAATTGTTCATTTCTTATATTAGATCTTTTGAAAATTAGGAACTAGATCTTTAATATATGGTTTTTTCCAAGGTGCCTCAATCTTACACATAGTAGTCACATAATAAATATTTTGATGTAATTTGTTCTAAAGTCCATATTACTATTTTTTAACACTTAAATTCCAAAGAAGATGTTATCTATGTTTAACAAAATAAAATAAAATCAGAAAAAAAAATTCACAATATTTTTATTAGCCAAAACAAATATTTCAGAAATATTTTGGGAGAGGGTTCAACTTTTATTTTAGAATCAGGGGGTGCATGTTCTGGTTATTACAAAGAGGCATATTGTGTGGTACTGAGGTTTTGAGTAGGAATGAATTCATCACCCAGGTAGTGAGCATAATCCTCAACAGGTAATTCTTCAACCCTTCCCCACTCCCTACCACCCCTCTCTTAAATTTTTCAGCGTCTGTTGTTCCTGTTTTTATGTACATGTGTAGATGAACATAAATGTGTAAATGTTTAGTTTGCATTTACAAGAATATATCACAAATATTAAAACTTAAATCTCTGTCACTCTCAAAATTCATCCATGTAGAACAGAAATCTCTTATTGAAAACTGCATGATAAAATATCAATATCTTTCTTGGATCTTATATAAAACTACATCTTCAAATAAAAAATAAAATATAGTCCTCGTAATTCGTTACTTTGGGGGCAAATAAAAATTATCCCTGGAAACAAAAACAAAATCCAATATTCATAGTAGAAGAAGCATTACTCTATAACCAGCTGTCACTCAACCCAGTCAAAGAGACTGACCACCGCTTGGTCAAATATCATTTTATCACCAATATCTAGTTAAACAGCTTTTCTTGCTATAAAATTCAGATATAATTCTATGTTACATTTAAGGTCTAAAGGCTTTGTGCATGAAAAAGAACAAAATTATAAACCTAATTCACAAAACTGTTCTGTATATGTAAATTAAACTAATAAAAACTAATAATCAACACTAAAATATATAAATCACATCAATAATTCAGCACATCAACTTCTTTTAAAGGCTTCAAGCTATTTTAAAATAGAAAAAAATAAATTATCACAATTATCCTAAAACTTATTGTTACACTTGGGTTTAAACTACCATTAAAATATTGGCATTGTAGATCTAACTTATTTTTTGGTACCTTTATACTTATATTTAGGCTGCACAATAATCAAAAAACACCCAAAAGGAAAAAGATAACATTACAGCTTATACAGCTTATTGGTTGGGACATGGAGATGGAGTGAGGCTTTCAAGATGATTCAGCCCTATGCCAATATTCTCCAATGATTCAGCCCTACGCCAATATTTTCCAAGCCAGACCTTTTTTTTGTTTTTGTTTTTTGTATAAGTCTAGGTTCATTTTCTAGGCCAATAGTATGTTTCCAGTTCTCTTTCAAAGAATTTTCAGGTTTTTAATATTTTGATGCCTTTTCCAAAATGATGTGTTCTTTGGTATTGACTCAATATCACTTTATTAGTAGTATGTTTATTTAATTTATAAGTGTCAAAATTAGTAAAAATTTAGTTTTAAGCTTCTCTTCAAAAAGCCCTGTTAAAACACACACACACACACACACACACACACACACACACACAGACACAGCAAAAACAAACAAACAAAAATTCTGGTTACTTTGAATGGAGAAGAATTATAGATCAAAATCTGGGTTCTAGATGAAATTAACTTTGTTCCAAACAATTTCTAGAGGGAGAGTAGATAATTACTTTGGGAACAGGTCTGAAAATTTTATTTATTTTTAAGGCCATGAGCTCACAATGATAGGTATGAGTTAGTGTTAGCATCACTAAACGATTTTTTCTTTAATAAAAATATTTTCATTTGCCTTTTCTACAATATACTTCAAATTTTAACCAATCACCAAAACTATAATTGTATCCTCTTTTCTTTTACAATTCTATGTGTTGCATGGACCATAATTCTTTAGCCATTTTATTAACATCACTAACTTTTTTGAGAAAGCATGCCTAATTGTATGACCAAATGAACTAAATTTGATATCATTATGGCACTGATTTGTACTTTCGTTGAAGCCTCTGCTACGACGAATTTTTTTGGACATTATTTTTCTTAATTAGCTTCCTGCTGACACAATACAAGGCTGCTTGCTCCCTAATCTATCTTCTCCATTGTCCTATCTTTCCCTCTTATCTACATCTTCAATTGGCCACTAATTCACTTCCTCTCAAGAAAAGAGCTACACAAATATTTTTACATTTTTTCTGAATTATGTAACATTAATTCTATATTACTTGTAAGATACAAATCATTCACATATAGAAAATGCTATATATTTTTTTCTAGGTCTAGTTCACTAGTTTCCAGCACAATGTTAAGATTGCACTGCCACTTAGCCACAACTAGTGACTTATTGGTGTATGGAAAAAGTGCCCAGTGCAATCTCATGGCCTCAACATTAATAATACCCTAAATTTTTAATACTTATAATCTCCAGGTGCACTGAAAATATAAATTTGCCTAAAGGAGTGAAGACATACCTAAACTTCTCTCAAGATTGGAAAAATATTCTTTTCAATTTGAAAAATAGCATATACTTGGCTAGCCAATATATGTATACATACTAGACAATCACATGTATAATGAACTTTCCTGTTAGATGAAAGTGAAATTTTATTGACCCTGACAATGCAGCAATTTATAAGATAAAAATTACAAGCCAATCCAATATTCAATGATAATTTTATTAAATAGTTGTATTTCAAAAAATCATCAAATAGAATTCACAAATTCTTCCAAATACATGTTGTAAAGATCATGGTCACCTTTATTCAACTGTTGATTTTGTTTGGTTAACTCAGGAAATAATCAGATGAAATTATTGGCTCAACCATTAACCTTCTGCTGCAGGATAATTAAGTAATCAGAGAGACCAAGGGGTTGGGGAGGAATTATTTAATTATTTAGGTGCACCGACCCAGATGGATTAACATCCAAAGGACTGAGTCCTGAAGAAGGGGTCAAGCTACCTTTTAGGCATTTCATGGGGTTGGGGGTGATCTGTGCAGGGGGAAGTGTATTACAGAAATGAGAAACAAAGACAGTTATTCAGTTAAGACATGCATTACATTATTTCTTACTTTTCAAGGAACAACATGTTTTACGACTTGAGATTATCTGTCTAGTGACCTTGCAGCTGCACAGCTAGAGAAACAGAGTCTTCACAATGCCTGGGAAAGGGATAAGGCTTACTAGCCACAGAGAGAAAAACAGGCAGTTAATTTTAAAGGACTCCAGCCCTTTCTCCTCCTCAAGGGGAATTGGGTTTTCTTACATACAACTGAGTATTTGCTTATACAGTTTTCAATTTCTTTTAATTCCTGTTCCACTTTTACATAAATTTATTTTCTGTTGTGCTAATTATCAATTTATCGCCTCTCAGTTCTAAATCCACCCTTCATTGCCCCTCTTGTAATACTGACACTAGATCTCATAAACATTTCTCCTTTGCCAACTGGGATGATACTAAGCTTTAACAACAGAGAGCACAGGAGGGCTGCTGCAGTAGGAAGGGGCTTCTATTTCTGGTTCTGGTGTTTTCCTTCCTTTTTGCTCTTGCAACTCTAAGCTGTGTAGGGGAGTCCCAAAGGATGCCACTCTCAGCCAGTTTCAGTGACATCCCCACATACAGCTTCCCAGCAACTCCAGCACCACGCACCACTGGCAGTCTTTCTGCTGAATTCCATTGGCACCACCACTGGTGGTTTCAGACCTTCATCCTTGGTTTGGTGCACCACAGTGAACTTGATTATTCAGTAAGCCACAGCTACGCTCCCTTTAGCAAGGTCTGACCCTCAGCTGTGGAGGTAGAGGTCTCTTCTTTCTTTGGCCAATTTAGGGTTCTATTCTAATGTTAAATTAAATTATGAATTATTTCCTCTTGGATGCACCATAGTACTATAAACACAACACAACAAAAACCGAATACTTCCTTGTAAACCCACTTCCTCTTAATGTATTTTCACATCAGTGAGTTTACCATTGAAGTATTACACGTGCTTTAAACACAGGAATCTTGTAAATGTCTTTTGCTCCTTTTTCTTCACATTCAACCTTTGTCACCCAGAATCTTTCTTTTTTTTCCCCCCTTCAACTTGTATTTTAAGTTCCAGGGTACATGTGCAGGACGTGCAGATTTGTTACATAGATAGACCTGTGCCATGGTGGTTTGCTGCACAGATCAACTCATCACCTAGTCATCAAGCCCAGCATACATTAGCTATTCATCCTGATGCTCTCCCTCCCCGACACCCCCTGATAGGCCTCAATGTGTGTTTTTCTCTCCCTCCACCGCTGTGTCCAACTGTTCTCATCATTCAGATCCCACTCATAAATGAGATCATGCAGTGTTTGGTTTTTTGTTCCTGCATTAGTTTGCTGAGGATAGTGGCTTCCAGTTCCATCCATGTTCCTGCAAAGGATATAATCTCATTCCTTTCTATGGCTGCATAGTATTCCATGATGTATACGTACCACATTTTCTCTACTCAGACTATCATTGATGAGCATTTGGGTTGATTCCATGTCTTTGCTATTGTGAACAGTGCTGCAATAAACATATATTTACATGTGTCTTTATAATAGAACCATTTATATTTCTTAGAGTATACACCCAATAATGGGATTGCTGGGTCAGATAGTATATCTGCTTCTAGATCTTTGAGGAATCACCACACCGTCTGCCACAATGGTTGAACTAATCTACTTATTCCCACTAACATTGTAAAAGTGTTCCTTTTTCTCTGCAAGTTCGCCAGCATCTGTTGTTTCCTGACTTTTTAATAATCGCCATTCTGACTGGCATGAGATGGTATTTCATTGTGGTTTCGATTGGCTTTTCTCTAATTGTCAGTGATGTTGAGCATTTTTTCATATGTTTGTTGGCCATATGAATGTCTTCTTTGAGAAGTGTCTGTTTATGTCTTTTGCCCACTTTTTAATGGGATTTTTTTTCTTGTAAATTTGTTTAAGTACCTTGTAGACTCTGTATATTAGACCTTTGTCAGAGAGATAGATTGCAAAATGTTTTTCCTATTTTGTAGTTGTCTGTTCACTCTGATGATAGTTTCTTTTGTTGTTCAGAAGCTCTTTAGTTAAGTTGGCTCCCATTTGTCAATTTTTGCTTTTGTTGCGATCGCTTTTAGCGTTTTTGTCATAAACTCTTTGTCCGTGCCTATGTCCTGAATGGTATTGCCTAGATTTTCTTCCAGGTTTTTATAATTTTGGGCTTTACATTTAAGTCCTTTATTCATCGAGTTAATTTTTGTATAAGATTTAAGGAAATTTTCTGCATATGGCTAGCCAGTTCTGCCAGCACCATTTATTAAAAAGGGAATCCTTTCCCTATGGCTTGTTTTTGTTAGGTTTGTCAAAGATCAGATTGTTGTAGGTGTGCAGTCTTACTTCTGAGTTCTCTATTCTGTTCCATTGGTCTGTGTATCTGTTTTTGTACCAGTACCATGCTGTTTCAGTTACTGCAGCCTTGTAGTATAGTTTGAAGTCAGGTAGCATGATGCCTCCAGCTTTGCTCTTTTTGCTCAGGATTGTCTTGGCTATCCTGGTTCTTTTTTGGTTCTATATGAATTTTAAAATAGTTTTTTTTTATAATTCTGTGAAGAATGTCAAAGGTAGTTTAATAAGAATAATGTTAAATCTATAAATTACTTTGGGCAGTATGGCCATTTTCATGATATTGATTCTTCCTATCTATGAGAATGGAATGTTTTTCCATTTGCTTGTGTCCTCTCTGATTTCCTTGAGCATTAGTTTGTACTTCTCCCTGAAGAGGTCCTTCACCTCCCTTGTTAGCTGTATTTGTAGATATTTTATTCTGTTTGTAGCAATTGTGAATAGGAGTTCATTCATGATCTGGCTCTCTGCTTGCCTGTTGTTGGTGTATAGAAATGATACCAATTTTTGCACATTTATTTTGTATCCTTAGAATTTGCTAAAGTTGCTTATCAGCTTAAGAAGCTTTTGGGCTGAGACAATGGGGTCTTCTAGATACAGGATCATGTCATCTGCAAACAAAGATAATTTGACTTCCTCTCTTCTTATTTAAATATGCTTTTTTTCTTTCTCTTGCCTAATTGTCCTGGCCAGAACTTCCAATACTATATTGAATAGGAGTGATGAGAGAGGGGATCCTTGTCTTGTACTGGTTTTTAAGGGGAATGCTTCCAGCTTCTGCCCATTTAGTATGTTACCGGCTGTAGGTTTGTCACATATGGCTCTTACTATTTTAAGGTATGTTTCTTCAATACATAGTTTATTGAGAGGTTTTAACATAAAGGGATGTTTAATTTTATCAGAGGCCTTTTCTGCATCTATTGAGATAATCATGTGGTTTTTTTCTTTAGTTCTGTTTATGTGATAAATTACAATTATTGATTCACATATGTTTAACCAACTTTGCATCCTGAGGATGAAGCCTGCTTGATTGTGGTGGATAAGTTTTTTCATGTGTGGCTGGATTCAGTTTGCCAGTGTTTTACTGAGGATTCGTGCATCAATGTTCATCAGGGATCCTGGCCTGAAGTTTTATTTTTTCTTGTATCTCTGCTAGGTTTTGGTATCAGGATGATGCTGGCATCATAAAATGAGTTAGCAAGGAGTCCTTCCTTCTCAGTTGTTAGGAATCATTTCAGAAGAAATGGTACCAGCTCCTCTTTGTACCTCCGGTAGAATTCAGCTGTAAATCTGTCTGGTCCTGGGCCTTTTTTTGTTTGGTAGGGTATTTATTTCTGTCTCAATTTTGGAACTTGTTGTTGATCTATTCAGGGATTCAATTTCTTTCTGGTTCAGTCTTGGGAGGGTGTGTGCATCCAGGAATTTATTCATTTCTTCTAAGTTTTCTAGTTTATTTGTGTAGAGGTCCTTATAGTATTCTCTGATGGTTGGTTGTATTTCTGTGGTGTAAGTGGTGATATCCCCTTTATCATTTTTTATTGTGTCTATTTGATCCTTCTCTCTTTTCTTCTTTATTAGTCTAGCTTGTAGCCTTATCTATTTTATTATTTTTTTCAAAAATTTAGCTCCTGGATTCATTGATTTTTTTTGAAAGGTTTTTTATGTCTCCATCTCCATCAGTTCCACCCTAATCTTGGTTATTTTTTGTCTTCTAATAGCTTTGGAGTTTGTTTGCTCTTGTTTCTCTAGGTCCTTTAGTCGTGTTGTTAGGTTGTTGATTTGAGAGGTCTTTCTAGCTTTTTGATGTGGGTATTTAGTGCTATACGTTTTCCTCATAACACTACTTTAGCTGCGTCCCAGAGATTCTGGCACGTTGTCTCTTTGTTCTCATTAGTTTCAAAGAACTTCTTGCTATCTGCCTTAATTTCATTATTTACCAAAAAGTCATTCAGGAGCAAGTTGTTCAATTTCCATGTAGTTGTGTCATTTTGAGTAAGTTTCTTAATTTTGAGTTCTAATTCACTTGTGCTGTGGTCTGAGAGGCTGCTTGCTATAATTTGTTTGTTATGACTTCAGTTCTTTTGCATTTGCTAAGGAGTGTTTTACTACCAATTATGTGACCAATTTTAGAGTAAGTGGTGATGAAAAGAATGTATATCCTGTTGTTTTTGGTGTTACCTATAATCTTTATAACCATTTTTTGAGGATGGCTTTTTCCTTCCATTCTCACTGTCAATACATTAATCATCCAGAAAGTGTCCCCTCTTCTTTCTCCCTTTGATTATTCATCTTAACTGGTTACTCACTGATTTCTCCTTATGACTTACCCCTTCCAATGCATTCTCCATATTCTCCACAGGACAGTGTCCTCTCCCATACAGCACTCACCTATCATCCTATATCCCATACTGCCTCTCATTTTAAGCCATACCCTAATGTTAGTTCTTTTGTACTCAGAAAAAGGGTTGAGCATGTTTTCTGGCATCTGTGATACTCTGGGTTCATGATCTTCTATCAGTATTTCTATTTATTTTCTCTCCATTATCTTTCTATTTCTCTGCCTTAGCCTTTAGTGATCTTCAGTTTACTATTTGTTTCAAGCATAAAATATATATTTACAAAAGTACCTTACCAATACCTGTATCAATATAACTATGCAGGGAAATATTTGAAGTTTCTTTTAAAAACCCATATAGCATTTACTTGATATAATTATGTTCTGATGACTATAATCTCAACAAAAAAATTTTCTAAGATCTATAGGGCGATATCTTTTCCATCATATATCCATAGAGTCTTCACTTTCATATAAAGAAGAAACCCTTAAAGTAGGGATGTAATATTAATAATCCATTATAGATTTCATGCTGTTGAGATTCTGTGAAAATTCAAGATAATTTTAAAATAATTAAGCATATGGGTTTTGAAATTTAAAAGTTTTGAGGATACAAGGGGCTTTCTACATACACCCTGTGTCAGATTTCTTAAGTTGTATACTTTTAATTACATACTTATATGTAAGATGGAAAAAAATATCTAATTTCTAGGTTACTTGTAAGAATTTAAATGAAACAATGTATATTTAATGCTTATCACAATTTCTAGCACCTAACAAGTATTCAGTAAAATGTAGCTGAAGCAATAATTTAGGATTTGTGTCTTTTTTTCTTTCTCTACTCTCAATTATCTCCTTTACATTTATTTTTTAAAAATAGCTTAACACTGAGAAAATAATGAAAACCTGAACAATTGCTAAGGAGGATGATGTATTCTTTGGGCATACAACAATGTAAATTTTGAAATACAACGTTTAGAACCCTTTTGTACAACCACCACTAATCATCTTGAAAGCACGCCAGGAGGAAGAGCAACATAAATTCAGATTAGTAGTCTAGTAGGATTCTTCCCTGGAAGTAGAGATATAGAAAGCAGAATTTTTTTAAGAAATGCCTTATAGAAAGGGGAGGAGCTGGAAATGGGAAATGTCTATACTATTTTTCAACCCCTAAATAGGCCAAATTCCAAAGGGACAAAGTTCCTGGAGTGAACAGGTTACTAGTACAGAAACAGATGGAAAGGAAGTGGAAAGCTGCTCCTGAAGAGAGGTTATTACACACATCTGTGTGATGATCACTCATTAAAAAAAAAATTCACTACAGAGTTTCTAAGTTCCCTGTTTATCTTGTTTGTCTTCTCTTAGTTTATTTATGTTTTTAAAAGAGTCAGTACAATAAATTGCTTGAAAAGAATCATCTTTAGTGGTTGAGGTAGCCCCCTCTGGTATTCTGAATATTAGATTTATAGGCACTCAGGTCTCTTTTTCATTACCCTTCCAAGGTCTCTCCATTTCAATTCCAGTTGTTCACATCCTGTTTCAAGAGACACCCTGTGGAGCTGATCACATGCAGGAGAGTCTGTTTAAAAGTCTTTTACTTATTAGGAAAATTCTCTTTCAGAATCCTGGCATCAGAGAAGACCCCAGGATCCCATGACCACAATAAATGTGCTGATCTTCCTCAGCACTCAAACTGGCCTTCCTCATTCCTTTCACTAATTCATCATTCCTTTCATTTTATAAATCAGAAGAAAGTTTCAAACCTCGATGCCACAAAGGAATGGTGGGTCAAATCTCTTGGTAATGCAATTTCATATTAATTTTGGAATTTCATTTTTTTCATTATGGTAAATCTATTTTTATGTGTTTGATCTTGCTATTCATAAGTAATGGCTTTTTTGTGTGTTGTCATCTTGCAAATAATGTTGTATCATTTTTGCCTACCCAACAGAATGTGTGATTAGAGCAAATCCAACAATTGACAGCCTACAGGTCAGATCCAGCTTATAATTATAACCTGTTTGACCCTCAGAATATTTTTAAATCCTTTGAGTTTGTTTCCAACATTTAAAAATCAGAATTTTATGGTGAATCTGAATGCCCCATTCTTGTGAAATAATGAAAGGCCTCCCAATATTACATTAACCTTTCTGCTTGAAAACAGTTGGCTAAAATCCTTTTAGACTGGGCTATGTTTTACAATACAACAAGCCTCCACCACTCTCTAATTCTCCCATCCCACTTCACTCATTTACATTCTCTCCCTCACCCCTTTCAGCACTTGTATTTGCAATCTCCTGGCACAAACACACACACAGAGATTATACCTGATGTCTAATGCGTATACATATTTTTCTCAAAATTTTAATCTCACATTTTTTTCTCTCAACAAATATTTCCTGCCCTAATTCAAAATCTGTTCAGTTCTACATGAAGATTATTGCCAAATTTTTAGTTTCGCTAGCATGCTTTCAAATGTAGCAGAACTCCAATGTCAGGCCAACCTAGAATTAATTCAGACATGTCTAGGTGTGCCCACCTTAATAGATGGTCATGGAAGTGATATGGTAGGATTCTTTTGCATGGAACTCTCAGAAGAAACATCCTGGGGGCCCGGGATAAGGGTCATTCTACAGGAAGCGTACGCCCAAAAACAAAATTGGAGTTGGAGTGAAGAAGTGATCCTTAGATAGCACCACTAAATTAAAGTGGTTTTGACCCAGCCCCCATTCACTTTTGCCTGGGTCCAAAGGAAAGTGAGGATTCTAAGTAGAAACTGCAAGACCTAGTTCTTTAAAAAATCTGTGTAAGACAATGTTGGTATATATAACACTGCTCTGTTTGCTCTCTGCCAGAGTGCAACCCCAGAAAATTATTACCTTATGTTGTTTTACTAAAACATGCTTGATTGTTAAAATATTTATTTTATTCAAAACATGAAAACAAGTGAACAGATGAAATCAAGTGAATATTTGCATAATCTTGAAAGTGGAGTTGGACACCAAAGAATGAGAAAGTAGAATGATCAATCTGACTCTATAGACTTTATGCATGGTAAACTATTTCAAACTTAAAACCTATTTGCAATACAGATGATGAGGTAAAAGTATCCTTAATATAGAAGGTGGTCTTATACATTCTTTAAACCAGTTAGAAGATTAGTAGAACAGTGAACAAGATCGTATGTTACTTATAAAATAGTCAAATATCTGAAAATATCTTAATAAATGTTTAATGTCATTCATTACTTTAAAACATATTTAAACTAAATATGAGACATTCTTTTTGACTATCATATTAGCAAATATGAAGAAATTATAATATCCTTATAAAACACTGTATGTGAAAATTGCCACAACCTTCCTGAAGGACAATTTGACACTAAGTATTTAAAAATGTTAATTTTCATATTCTTTAATTTGCAACACTTCTAAAAATGTATACTAAATGATAAAATAGAAATTTGGGCAAAGATGTATATACAGAAATGTTTATTGGAAGTTTAGTATTTTTAATAATAGAAAACTAAAATAAGAAGAAACCCTTTGTAAAAAAAGAATCGAATAAATAATTTGATATCCATATAGTTGGATATTATCCAGCTCTTTAAAAAAATTGTACAAGGAAATTTATTAACAGAGAGAAAAGTACAGAACATATTATTAGTGTAAAATATGTGGTAAACATACACAGACTTTTTAAAAAAAAAAAAAAGAAAGAATCTTTATGAAGAATATCACCAAAATGCTAAGAGTGGTCATGTGAATTTGGGACATTTAATTTTTTTACTTTAGTTCTTTCAGAGTCAGCTACATTTTGTAGGAGATAAAAAATTTGTAATTAGGGTGAAAAGCAAATTTTATTTCAAATGTTTATTAGATAAAGTAATGGTTGAGGAAGTGTATAGGCTAGTTCCAGACTTACATCAAAAGTGTTAATTAAAAATTGGACATTACAGCTATTATGGAAAGCAGTACGAAGGTTCTACCAAAAACTAAAAATAGAATTACTAAAAAATCCAGCAATCCATCCACTGGGTATATACCCAAAGGAAATGATGAACTCCTATGTTTCTTGCAGCATTATTCAATTGTTCACAACAGCCAAGATATGGAAACAACAAAAGTGTCCATTAATGGATAAAGAAATTGTGGCATATGGATTTATATATATGAATATATTCAACCTTAAAAAGAAAAGGATACTGCCATTTGCGGCAACATGGATGACTTGAATGACATTATAATAAGTGAAATAATCCAGATATTAAAAATATACTGCACGATCTCAATTATATGTGGAATCTGAGAAAAGTCGAATACATAGAAAGAGAGAGTAGAATGATGGTTGCCAGGTGTGGGGCAAGAAGGAGGAGGTTTACGG
Organism: Homo sapiens; assembly: GCF_000001405.40. Lineage (NCBI taxonomy): Eukaryota > Metazoa > Chordata > Mammalia > Primates > Hominidae > Homo > Homo sapiens. The sequence goes on from NC_000003.12 coordinate 147,213,708, forward strand.
AGTGGGGAGATGTAGGTCAAAGGGTACAAATGTGTAATTATCTATAAGTAATATGTCTAGAGATCTAACATACAGCATAAGGATTATAGTTAATATTGTATTGTATACTGAAAATTTGCTGACAGTAGATTTTAAGTGCTCTTACAACACACACACAAAGTAACTATGTGAGATGATGGATATGTTAAATTGCTTAACTGAACTAATTATTTGACTATTAACTATGCTTACAGTTAAACATCATGCATGACATGATGTTTTGACATACATATACATTTTTATATATAAAATAAAATAAATAAATGTAAAAACTTAAAATTTAAAAATTAAAAAAAAAAAGAAATTTGGGAGTGGGTCTGGGCAGGGGGTTCTGGAAGCACTGGTAGTCCACAGCAATGGTGGCAGGTTTTGAGTCATCTGGCAAGAAGGAGGGATCCAGTAGGGATAGAAATTCCTGGTAGACACAAAAATTTCTAGTGGAAAAGGTGGGCACACCCACTACAGACAGATGGCCTATCTTGAAAAATGACACCAGAGTAGGACCAGCAGAAATAGCAGGGATGCCAGGCAGATGCCTTTTGATAGTGCATCAGATTTTTTTTTAACTTTTATTTTAAGTTCAGGGTTACGTGTGCAGTTTTGTTACATACGTAAATGTGTGTCATGGGGCTTTGGTGTACAGATTATTTCATCACCCAGGTATTAAGCCTAGTACCCATTAGTTATTTTTCCTGATCCTCTCCCTTCTCCCACCCTCCACCTTCTGATAGGCCCCAGCGTGTGTTGTTCCCCTATAGGTGTCCACGTGTTCTCATCATTCAGCTCCCACTTAAAAGTGAGAACATGGAGTGTTTGGTTTTCTGTTCCTCCCTTAGTTTGCTAAGGATAATGGCCTCAGGCTTCATCCATGTCCCTGCAAAGAACATAATCTCATTCTTTTATATGGCTACATAGTATTCCACGGTGTATATGTACTGCATTTTCTTTATCCAGTCTATTGTTTATGGGCATTTGGGTTGATTCCATGTCTTTGCTGTTGTGAATGAACATATACGTCCATGCGTGTTTATGATAGAACAATTTATGTTCCTTTGGGTATACACCCAGTAATGGAATTGCTGGGTTGAATGGTATTTCTGTCTAGGTCTTTGAGGAATCACCATACTGTCTTCCTCAATGGTTGAACTAATTTACACTCCCACCAACGGGATATAAGTGTTTATTTTTCTCCACAACCTCACTAGTATTTATTATTTTTTTGTCTTTTTAACGATAACCATTCTGACTGGTGTGAGATTTGTGCTTTTGATTTAGTGCATCATATTTGATCATGAAAAATTTGGATTAGTGCTATGGAGACTTGTGGACATAATTGGGATACACTTTGCAAGGGCTAGAATCTTATATTAGTAAGTAAACACAGGAGACTTCAAATTATAGGTGATTTTTGTAGAAGTGGCCCCATATTTTGTAGCAGGCTGGAATGGCCTGATGAAATATGAATAGGTCCATTTCTCATGGTTCCAACAGTAATACCTATATTCATATATATTGCTCTTTTATCTGTATTCTGCGGACCCATGAAATACATTTTGCTAAAGTTTACTTCTGCTTCTGGATGAAACACAGAATTTAACTTTTATTTGATAACCTGGACGAACATTTCTGAAATACTAAGACCATTTTAGAAGGGCAAATGATAAATTAGTAGAATCAAAGCCATTTTTCTGTTTCAGACTATAATATTATGTTATTGTGTAAGTGTAGCCAAATCACTATAATTTTTTATCCTCTAAAACAGGGCAAAATAGACCTGTCTAAAGTTTTGAGAGCTTCTTGTAAATGCAGTTTTATAAAAGGTAAGATTTTGAGGGTACAATTAAATAGTATTCAAATGCAAAAGACTAGTAATTCAGCATTCCTCATGAACATTGTGGATTTAATTCCGGTAACATATGATTATTTCAACATATAAATACAGCTTTTTGAGTCTCAACCTGTATCTATGCAAACAAAATCCAAGTGATCATGTATATATTATAGTGCCATTTCTAAACCCCTGTCAATTTGTTGTTGTATATCTAATTAGCTGATTTTAAAAAGTGTCAATCACATTATTTGCTTTTAAGTATTTCAGAGGAGGAAAGAAAAGGAAAGAGAAACTAGATAATGCAAATGTGGCAAATCATGAGCATTGCTAAAACTGGATTGTGAACATATGGGAGTTCATTGTACTATTCAGTCTATTTTTGTATATGTTTGAAACTTTTCATAGTGAAAATAATTTATTAAGCCTTTTAAATGTTGATTCAGATATCATTTTTAACATCTTAATATACATTCATTCATATGTTAACATGTGCTTATTTTATATCATAGAGGAAACTTTAAATTAATCTCCTTCTCAGAAGGCAGAGGCCTCACTATGTTTCATCTCTAACTCAATTTTTTTAGATGCAGTGAAGGATATTGTTCATTCATATCCCCATCAATTTTAATAAACAAGCATATGACAAAAAAAAAACCTCCTGTGACCTCTAACGTATCCTGTTTCAAATGGGCCAGATCTGTGCCTCCATAGTCTTAGGAATAAAGTCCCTAACCTCAGTAATAATACAGTTATTGCTCACCAGCATTCTGAGATGCATTTAAGAAGTTTGTCTAGCATATGTTCTGGGTTTTCACAGTCTGAAAAACATGTTCTAAAGCCCATTCATTTGCATAAAAGGCTCAAAGATTAGATCACTATGATATTTCATAAATTACTATGTTCTCTAGTTGTCACAGATAGCTGTTGCACAGTCATTGGTTACCCTAAATGGAATCCAAATACCTCTTCCCTTATGGTACTCTGAGACTATGGTCCCACTACCCTTTGAGGTTTCAGCATTATTACTTCTGGTTTGCCCAGGGCAGTTGCAGTTTATGCCTTATTATTCCAGTACAATTATTAACACACCTCATTTCATTCAATCCAAATCATTTCCTATATTCAATGTAATTAACCAAACATGTATTCCTTTCCATATGTACCCTGAGATGTACATATGTACTCTTTTTTCCTCTTTGTACCTTTAAACATTGTTTACTTCAGTAGTAAGTACCCCATGCCTTAAATTGCCATTTTTAGAAAATATAATACAGCATTTCCAGTTAAGTTCGAATTTCAGATAAGCAATGGATAATGTTTTAGTATAAATATGTCCCATGCAATATTTGAGACATACCTATACCAAAATTATTCACAGCTTCTCTGAAATTCAAATTTAACTGAACATCTTACATTTCATTTGGCAACTCTATCGACACCTCAATCTATAGTTCAAGACCTAACTCAAATGCTTTGTCCAGTCTGAGACCTCGAGTGAAACCTTCTTACCTCCTTCCAGTGCTACCTCCCAGAGTATTTTAATTGTACCTCTCTTATGATACCAAGTGTTCTAACTAATGTCAAACCACTCATATACATATCTCCTGCATTTCTCTTCATGTGACTTGAGGACAATAGTTGAGCTTTACTTATTTTCCCCAGGCGCATTACAAATCACTTGTTGACCAATACTAGGAATCAATAGTTTGAACGTCTAAAAATAACTATGTTAGTAATCTTAGTTGGATTTGACAAATTCATAGATTAAAATTCCTCAGAATTGTTTTTCAAACCCTCTGATGCCTTAACAGTTTCTCACAAGAGCAACTGAATGATAATATCTGCTTCTTCATTCCAAAATTAAAAATATTGCTACTAGGTTCATTGATTGTAACAAATATACCACTCTGGTGTGGGATGTTGATAGTAGGAGAGACTGCGAGTGTATGGGGCAGGGAGTTTATGGGAACTACGCATATTTTCCAGTCAGTCTTGCTGTGAACCTAACACTGCTCTAAAAAATAAAGTTTATTTTTAATAATTAAAAAAGGTTGATTTGAATTAAGCTTTAAAAAATTCAGGTGCTATTAAAAATTTCCTAAATTCATGGATGTTAGCCAGGTGATACATAATGTATATATAATATATATATTATACAAAAAAATGCATATATATTATATATAATTATATATATAATTGACATTATAAAGGCTTTCAGTCCAATTTTTAAAACTACTTAAATCCAAGCTTAGTTTGGGAATAGCATACTCTTAAATATATATATATTTATTATATATAATAATATATGTAATATACATTATATATTATGAGTATGCTATTATATATATCATATATATGCTATATATATGAGTATGCTATTTCCAAACTAAGTTTATTATTTTATATTATTAATAATATATTATATAATATATTTTATATATAATATATATTTATACATTATATATTTATTATATATAATAATATATGTTTATACATTATATATTTATTATATATAATGTATAAACATATATTATTATATATAAAATATATTATATAATATATTATTAATAATATAAAATAAACTTAGTTTGGAAATAGCATACTCATATATATTTAATTTAATATATTATATATTAATATATATTTATTATATTAATATATTATATATTAATATATATTTATTATATTTAATATATGAGTATGCTTATATTTAATGCATTATATTTAATATATATGAGTATGCTATTTCCAAACTAAGCTCGGATTTAAGTAGCTTTATCTTAAAAATTGGACAGAAAGGCTTTATAATGTCAATTTTGCTTTATTTGGGCTATACATTTTTAAATTAACACAAAGCATATAAGCCCTTCATACACTAGTTTTCCGGTGGATAGCTGCCTTTCAATGTGCCATATTTAAAAAATATTGTCAGACTATCCTATTTGCTAAGAGCACTGAATTCAACGTAATTTTAATACCTAATTTTAGAACTATTTATTTTATTGTGTGTGTGTGTTTGTGTGTGCATGCGCACACACTGGAGAAACATAATCAAACCAGTTAATTATTGCTGATTTTCATAATTCTTCCAAAGGATAGAAATAATTACCTGTTAAACAATTTTCATAAAAATATATTTTACCATAAAATTATTATTTTTTGCATTTCTTTGGAATCACTCATTTTTTCATTGTTCAATAATTGACTACATTCATTAACTGAAGCTTTGTATTTGGATATTATTTTATAGCATATTGCAGTTTCCACGACAATAGTCTAAAAGGTACGCATTAAACATATTTGAAAACAGAAAAACAAGAATTATAAGTGCAAGCTAAAATGTTTTCTTACAGGAAACACTGAGTATTTGCAATGCTACATCAAATTGAAAACATAAATCGAACCCAGTTTTGGCTAAATGATATTGCCTTTCACTTTAAAGCAGTGTATCAGACCTTTAGTCACAGGTCGAATCAAGACATGCTAAAAGGGAAAACATCATTTCCATTTTGAGAAAAATTAAGTGGTCTGGTCTCCCCAGGGATGTCATCATCCTCCGCCAACGCACAGCTTTTAGGGTTGTGAAAGAAGTATATAGACCCCAGCCTAGTCAGCCAAATCAGTTGAATCAACCCCAGTAATCAGTGGGACACTGATGTCACAGCCAGACTACACTCAGAGGCACAAAGAAAATGCACTCTAAGGCCAAAGAAAGAATGCAAACACTACAGTATCTTTCAGACAGTAAGAGACTTAAACAAGATGTTTTTCTTAAATTCTATTGTTGCCATTGAAAGCCAGAATTTGGTACTGAGCTCCACATAGGGGGAGAGAATTGGATTTGATATAATTTTAAATAAATTATCTCTCTTACAAAACTGTAAATAAATACATGTACCATTGAAAACCATGATGGTAATTTTATATTTTACTAATAGTGTAATAGTGTAGTCTCCACAGATACTTCACCATGACAATTTGACAGCAGTGGTATTTTGCTAATTTCTAAATAAGTTGGAAGATAAAGTGATTCACAGTAAATATAATTGACCTTCCTCTCACCGCTGCATAAATAGTGTTTGTTATAAAAGTTTAAAAATCACATTTATGTATTAAATTATTAAAGCAAGTATAATGCTTCCACATTGTATTGTTTTGCAAGGGTTATCATGGAATCTTCACCATTTATCATACATGTACTTCTGTCTTTTTTCTACTCAGAAGCACAGCATGAAGAAACTTCATTTCACATTGAAACATCACTGTGTGGAACAGTGTGATGAAATGAGACACAGGAGGAGTTATACTCCGGTAAACAGTTGGTCTATGGGAATGATAGCATTTTATGCTGAGACTGATATATCAATTTTAAGTCCTAAGAGATGACTGATCTGAAAGCCAGAATGTCACTAGTGATAAACTATACGCATGTGAAAAATTACAGGTAACATAACGAGGCCTGCTGAGAGGCCTCTCACCCAGGCCTGTTTTACAAACCAACACTGAATGCAATGGGTCCTCCTCTAGTGAGGGTTCCGATTAATTGTTCCATATCGCTGGTAGACAAAAAGCGTTCACGTTGTCATGAACATCTAAAATATGCCACTAAATAATCTAAGTTCCGTGATGTAAATGTGACCGCAAATATATTTCAAAGCTAACATTTTTATATGCATACATTTTTATAAATAAAACAGAGATGGAGGTTTTAAGAGAAAACCGTTTCAACAATCTGAGAATAGAATTCACAACACTATACTTTTGGTTCAAATAAAAGAAGCAACACCTAGTTTTGTTTTATCCCACATTCCCAAGGTGCAAAGCATTTGTCACTGTATATATAAACTGTGGAACAATTTTGAAAGTATTTTGTGGATTAAAATAAGAGGTTCTGGAGTTATTTCTGGCAGCTATAGTCACCGGGTTATAAACTGACATTTAGCACACCATCAGAGTGAAAGATAAATGGTGGAATTATTATCTTTATTTTTTCTAACCTTAAACATTTAACCTCACATAAATATAGGGAATTGAGCAGAAGATCTGAACAGCTATAAAAAAATGACTCTGTATAGCCATGAGCAAGTTGTCAGTACCTCAGTTTTCTTATCTGTAAGATGGGAATAATACAGTCTTTCCTCAGAGCGTAGTGAGAATTAAATGGTACATGTCGAATGTTATGTAAGAATTTGCTGTTATTCATTATTATTTAGTATTTTATATTGCCATTGCAGGAATATGAGGAAATATATTCTTTCATAACTAATAGTTCTACAGTGACTGGACTAGTATAAACATAGATATACAGCAAATGCCATGGCCTGAAGATGAAAAATAAACACAACACAGTGGACTGCCCCTCATCAAAATCTAGGAGCATCTGATATCTAGGAGTAGGTATATAATTTAGAACCAGTTTCTTGTTTAGTTTTCATTTTCGAAATGTTTTCGTTATGAGCTAGTCATGAAAGTTCATTGACCTCAGTTTTCTTATCTAAAATGGGAACAAAACTGCCCTTCTCCCAAATATGCTGCAAACTGTAAATATGATGGCAATTCTGAAAAGCATAAGGAGATGTATTAAAATAGATTCTCTACCATATACCCATGTAATCTACAATCATTAATTATAATAAAATTCCTCCTTTGTCTATGTTATCACTTAGCTTCATAAAATGTAACTGCCTCATGAGAAATCCACTACTACCAGCCTTATTATGAAGACAACTGAGGAGGAAAATAACTTCAAAAGAAACTCTATAGATATTTCTGACACCTAATTAAAATGTATGACTACAACAAAGTCTTATAGAACAAAAAAAGTAAGCAATTCATCTTTTAAGTGTCTCATCAATAATTTGGTTTGCCTATTGAAGGGACTCAAAATATTAAGGTCCTTGTGAAAATCCTTGCAGTCAGGAACTAAATCGTTTAACATTTTCTCCCAGCCATGATCGTTGGCTTCCATCCTCAATGTACAATTCAGAGCAGCATTTATATATTTGTGTTTTTTTCTTTTTAATATATGCTGGCCTCCAATTTTCATGTTGTCAAAACTATTATTTTTTTCCTTGACAGTTTCATCAATTACTTTAGGTTTAAAAACTCCATCTTCATCCAGAAGTCAATTAATCATGTATATGTTCTTCATCTCATAATATGTTTTCATTTATTACCTAGAATTTATCTGGAATTTACTTTTTATAGGATATAGGAAAGAATCTCCCAGTCTGGACAACATAGTGAGACCTTGTCTCTACAAAAAAAAGAAAAAAATTAAAAATTAGCCTGGCATGGTGGTGCATGCCTGTATTTGTAGCTACAAGAGCTGCCACGAGGCTGAGGTGTGAGTATCTCTTGAACCCAGCTGTTTCGGGTTAAAGAGATCTATGATAGCACCACTGCACTCCAGCCCAAGCAACAGAATGAGACCCTGTCTCAAAGGAAAAAATAATCTAATTTATTTTTCCCAATAAGCCAACTGTTTATAAAATATTTATTGAAAAAATATTTTTAAATCAGCAAATAAATCTAACTTTTTTCAAGTTGAAGAATTGAAATGAATTGAGAGAATATGCTCCTGGGTGAGAACAGGTGCATAAAAGAGAAAAGTAATTTGGCAGGTGGAAATTTGGCAACAACAAAACTTGAGTTTAGAGCAAGAGACTAAATGAAAGAGCGGCAATGATAGAGAACTAGGAGTGCACCATAGTAGAGAATAGATGCTTTCCCTGCCAAATTTCACTTGGGCAGGACCAAGGAGGGGTCTGGAAATGAGTCTTGCTGGTGTTGTGACCCTGAGAAAGTTAGGAAAATGGAATGATCAATGACAGCTATCCAAAGCACTTGCCAGTTGATAAGCATAGATGGGGAGGGATGGTTAGTCACAGTAGTCAGCCCACATTTCACAATATTCATCTCATAATCTTGGCATAAAAGTAAAGAAAACAGATCTGCTAAGTAATCCTGCATAATCCATGCGCATTTAATACACAGAAGCTGAAAAAACACAGATAAACATAATTATTCATTTATCTATCTATTCTTGTCCTCAGTCCAAAGACTTAATGTAGATTCTACTTGTCCTACATACAAGAGATCAAAAAATGAACTCAAAAAAATGAAAACCTGCGTCATCTGTAATCCTATCTCCTGAAATACACACAGTTAATTGTTCTTAGCATTTGGCAACTGTTCTTCCAGCCTTTTATAAATATAATTGTTTTTATAAATATAGTATATCATTACATGATTTACAGAAATAAGAGAGAGACATAAAATGCAGTAATTGGAGAATAAAGTCAGAAAGGAAAAGATCAGGATAGGACCAAGAACTTGAAATGTGACTAAAACAAAAATAAAAAATATTTAGGCCACCTACTTCAGGTGGGATGCAAATTTTTTCAAAGCCTTCTGCCAGTCAAACTGAAAGGGAACTGTTATATATTCCAAAACTTCATTTAAAAAAATTTTTTCAGGAAAATGGAATTATACGTCTCTCCATTGTACTTAACATATGTTTAATACAGGCCTATAATATACATATTAATATGTTTCAAAATACTTGTCCTTTTCGGAAACACCTAATTGGGATGCAGCAAGAAATAAGCTTGTCAATAGAAAAAAAAAGTAAATTATTCTATGGTCCAGAATGTTTTACTTTCAATTTAAGAATCTGCCATCAGTTCAAAAGTGGAAAATTTTCTCATTTTTCTAAGAACGTGCAGAATACATCTACAATGTAGTGGAACTTCTAAGGGTTTGTAAATTTAAATGTCTATACAAAAGCCAGGCAGGAATCATAAATGATTGACTCTGAATCTGGCTTAAAACAATGGGATAGGGATTGCAGTGAATTCAAGAGTAGAAGCCCTGACTATATATATATATATATATATATATATATATATATATATATTTTTAAGTATGTATTTAGGTATGCATACTTTATGCATAAAGTATATGCATACTTTAATGTTTGACCTATTTGCTGGTCATACAAATTACATTTGCTTTTGGGGATCCACCTGTATGCAATCTGTATATACTTGGCTGTTGATTTTCTTTTAAGGTCTTTGCCTATCACTATCATCAACAAACATAATTCATTAATGCTGTTGCATGTGGAGCACTGTCCTGGTTACCAAATAATGCAGCTAACATAAGACACATCATATGTACTCTAGAGACATCATCACTTCATGCTTCATAAAAGTAATGCATGTTCAGAGAATTCAGAGGCTTTCTAAGTTTTAAGATATGAAAAACCTTTATAGATTTCATATTGGAAAAGCAGTAATAAGTATTATTTCCACTTGAAACCAGATTTTAGCTGTTAGAATAGATTTGGGGGTTTATTCTTGAGTAGAAAAGCAACAAAGATCATATATTTTAACCACCTGCATTTAAAAGTGGCAAAACCGATATGGAAAGTGGTAAAATAAGTAATTTAAGATGCACCAAGTAAATGGAAATATTACCTGCACTGTAGGATCTCTGGATTGTACTGTTGTCCATATTATGTTCTTAACATAGTTCTAAAGCATGTGTAACATCTATCTATAGTGAATTAGAACTAAATACTAAATCAAGGGATAGCTAATTTCCAAGTTTTTCAAGAATAGAATTGATACTACATTGATTTTTATTAAAATATGTATCAACTCCATGTTATATGAATTAAAGAAACACTATCGAAAAGAACAGAATAAGCAAAACCATTTCTGTTATATGTTCTTTTACTTTTAATTTTTAAATTAATATACAGCAAAATGACCATATTATGTACATTTGTATGAATTTTGCTACATGCTTAAATTTGTATAACTACTACCACCATCAGGACACAGAACATCTCATCAACCCCCAAACTCCCTTGCGCCACCTCTTTCTTTCTTTCTTTCTTTTTTTTTCTGTCATCAGGGTTCAGTTATATCTTTTATTACTTTTGATTCTACTGCAAGATCTAAAATTTAAGCCAGCATAAATGAGAAAAAGAAAGAGAAGGGAGTGATCTAATAGGGGAAAATGGAAATATCACAAACTAATATGAAGAAAGGATATGTTTCAACATGATAGAGTGTCAGTATTAACTGCCTATATTAATAAAGTTACAACTTTCTCCACACTCTATATAATTTCATCGTTTTTCAGTAAGTCAGAAAATTTCTAAGGCAGTTCACAAAGCATGTGTTTCTGAAATTATTGATTTTGTATTTTCTGTAAAGCCCCACATTGCTCTTGTGTGATCTGAACAGGCACCACCTCTTTCAACCACACTCTCTCCTCACTCTCAACCCCTGGTAAACACTGAGTTTTTTCTCTTGTCACTATAATTTTATCTTTTAGGAATGTTATATACTATGATTTGTTTATTCATTCACTCATTGAAGAAATGCTTTCTGCTTTGGTGACTATAAATACGATTGCTATAAAGAGTGGTGCATAGGTGTTTATGTGAGCATACGTTTCCATTTCTCTAGGGTAAACTCCGAGGAGTGGAATTGCTGGGTCATATGAGTGTAATATTATAGAACACTGTCAAACTATTTGCCAGAGTGGCTGCATCATTTGGCACTCTCACCAACAGTATGTAAGAGTTTTAGTAACTCTACATCCTTGCCAGTCCCTGGTGGTGTCAGGTTTGGGCTTTTCAATTAAAAAAATAATAATAATAATTATATGTATGTAGTGGTATCACATTGCAGTTTTATTTTGTATTTTCCTAATGACACTGAACATTTTTCATATGTTCATTAGCCTGCCATATGTCCTCTTTGGTGAAAAGTTTGTTCAGATAATTTGCCCACTTTTTAATCGGGCTGTTTGATTTCTTACTGATAAGTTTTAAGTGACCTTCTTATATTTTGGATACAAGTCATTTGTCTTATGTGTGATTTGCAGAAATCTCCCAGACTGTAACTTGTCCTTTCATTCTCTTAAAGTAGTGCCTTTAGCAGAATAAAAGTTAATTTTCATAGTCAAATTTATCTTTTTTTTCTTTTAAAGAACATGCTTTTAGTGTCATGGCTAAGCATTCTTTACCTAATCACAGTACAGGAAGATTTCTTTTTCTTTCCTTTTTTTCTTTTTTTTTGAGACAGTCTTGCTCTGTTGCCCAGGCTGGAGTGCAGTGAGCAATCTCAGCTCACCACAAACTCCGCCTCCCGGATTCTCCTGAGTAGCTGAGACTATAGGCATGCACCAACACACCTGGCTAATTTTTTGTGTGTGTGTGTGTGTTTGTGTGTGTGTGTGTGTGTGTGTGTGTGTGTGTGTATTTTTAGTAGAAACAGGGTTTTGCTATGTTGGCCAGCCTGGTCTCAAACTCCTGGCCTAAAGTAATCCGTCCTCCTCAGCCTCCCAAAGGGCTGGGATTACAGGCGTGAGCTACTGCACCTGGCCCATGAAGATTTCATTTCTCAAAAGAAAACATACTTTCTTTAAAAAGTTTTACAGTTTTATATTTAACATTTAGATCTATGATTCATTTTGAGTTATTTTACATAAAATAGGTGAGTTTTAAGTCAAGGTCTTATTACATATGGATGTCAAATTGTTTCAACATTATTTGTTGAAAATACTTGATTTGCCTATGTTCCTTTCTCAAATATTCTTTGGCTATGTTATGTTGGGCCTATTTCCAGAGTCTGTTCTGTTCCATTGATGTATACATCACTGATCTATACATCATACTGCTTTGATTACCCCTGATTTACAGTAAGTCTCAAAAAAGAACAATGTGATCTGTTTAATTTTTATTTTTGTTTTTCAAAATTACTTTGGCTACTCTGATACCTATGGTTTTCCACATAAATTTTAAATTCAGTTTGTTTATATCTATTTTTAAAATCCTAACATTTTAATTGCGTTAAATCTATAGATCAGGCTGGGCATGGTGGCTCACACCTGTAATCCCACCATTTTGAGAGGCTGAGGCAGGCGAATTTCTTGAGTCCAGGAGTTTGAGACCAGCCTACCCAACATGTCGAAACCCTATCTTTACAGAAAATAGAAAAATTAGCCAGGTATAGTGGTATGCCCCTGTAGTCTCAGCTACCTGGGAGGCTGAGATGAGAGGATCACCTGAGCCCAGGGAGATTCAAGCTGCAGTGAGCCATGATTGTGCCACTACACTCCAGCCTGGGAGACAAAGTGAGACCCTGTCTCAAATAATAAAATAAAATAAAGTATCTATAGATCTGGGGAGAAGTGATAGCACTACCAGGTTGTGAGGTTGTGTTTTCCAATTCATGAACATAGTATGTATCTCCATTTACTTAGGTAATTTTTTCATCAGCATCTTGTAATTTTTACCATTTAGACCCAATGCATTCTTTGTTACATTCATTTATAAGACTTCATTTGTGGGAGAGAGAGAGAGTATTGTAAATTTTACTTTTAAATTTGTGTTTAATAATATATGTCTATAAAATATGATTGAGTTTTGTGTGATGAACCTGTATCCAGGAACCTAGATCAATACATTTCTCAATTTTTAGGAGGGTTTTATGGGTTCCTTAGAATTTTCTATTAATATTTAGGATATCAAGATGTCTGAAAATAGGGACAGTTTTATTTATTCCTTTCCATTTTGCATGCCTTTTCACTCTTTCTCTTTCCTTATTGCATTAGTTAGGCTGTCTAGTAAAATGTTGAATAGGATAAGTTAGAGTGGATATCCTTACCTTGTTCCCAATCTGAAGAGAAAAGCAATTAATTTGTCACCATTAAGTATGATGTTAGATGTAGATTTTTTTGTATGTGCCTTTACCACATTGAAGAAGGTCCCTTCTATTCCTAATTTGCTGAAGACTTATTATGAATGAATTTTCTTAAATGCTTTTTCTGCACTGATGAGATAATCAGGTAATTCTACTTCTTAGACTGTTAATTTGATGGATTACATTTATTTATTTATTTTATTTATTATTAATATTATTATTATTATTTTGAGATGGAGTCTCGCTCTGTCACCCGGGCTGGAGTGGAATGGTGCAGTATTGGCTCACTGCAACCTCCGCCTCCCAGGTTCAAGTGATTCTCCTGCCTCAGCCTCCTGAGTAGCTGGGATTACAGGCATGTGCCACCATGCCCAGCTAATTTTTTGTATTTTTAGTAGAGACAGGGTTTCACCGTGTTAGCCAGGATGGTCTCAATCTCCTGACCTCGTGATCCACCAGCCTCGGCCTCCCAGAGTGCTGGGATTACAGGTGTGAGCCACCATGCCGGGCCTATTATTATTATTATTATTATTATTATTATTATTATTATACTTTAAGTTCTAGGGTACATGTGCACAACGTGCAGATTTGTTACATAGGTATACATGTGCCATGTTGGTTTGTTGCACCCATTAACTCGTCATTTATATTACATATTTCTCCTAATGCTATCCCTTCCCCTACCCCCCAGCCCATGACAGGCCCCTGAGTGTGATGTTCCCCGCCCTGTGTCCAAGTGTTCCCATTGTGCAATTCCCACTTACGAGTGAGATCATGCGATGTTTGGTTTTCTGTCCTTGTGATAGTTGGCTCAGAATGATGGTTTCCAGCTTCATCCATGTCCCTGCAAAGGACATGAACTCATCGTTTTTATGGCTGCATAGTATTCTATGATGTATATGTGCCACATTTTCTTAATCCAGTCTATCATTGATGGACATTTGGGTTGGTTCCAAGTCTTTGCTATTGTGACTATTGCCTCAATAAACATAACGTGTGCATGTTTCTTTATAGTAGCATGATTTATAATCCTTTGGGTATATACGCAGTAATGGGATTGCTGGGTCAAATGTTATTTCTAGTTCTAGATCCTTGAGGAATCGCCACATTGTCTTCCAAAATCATTGAACTAGTTTACACTCTCATCAACACTGTAAAAGTGTTCCTATTTCTCCACATCCTCTCCAGCATCTGCTGTTTCCTGCCTTTTTAATGATCACCATTCTAACTGGTGTGAGATGGTATCTCATTGCGGTTTTGATTCGCATTTCTCTGATGACCAGTGATGATGAGCATTTTTTCTGTCTGTTGGCTGCATAAATGTCTTCTTTTGAGAAGTTTCTGTTCATATCCTTTGCCCACTTTTTGATGGGGTTGTTTGATTTTTTTCTTGTAAATTTCTTTAACTTCTTTGTAGATTCTGGATATTAGTCCTTTGCCAGAACGGTAGATTGAAAAAATTTTCTCCCATTCTGTAGGTTGCCTGTTCACTCTGATGGTAATTTCTTTTGCTGTGCAGAAGCTCTTTAGTTTAATTGGATCCCATCTGTCAATTTTGGCTTTTGTTGCCATTGCTTTTGGTGTTTTAGTCATGAAGTCCTTACCTATGCCTATGTCCTGAATGGTATTGCCTAGGTTTTCTTCTAGGGTTTTTATGGTTTTAGGTCGAAAATTTAAGATTTTAATCCATCTTGAATTAATTTTTGTATAAGGCATAAGGAAGGGACCCAGTTTCAGCTTTCTACATATGGCTAGCCAGTTTTCCCAGCACCATTTATTAAATAGGGCATCCTTTCCCCATTTCTTGTTTTTGTCAGGTTTGACAAGGATCAGATGGTTGTAGATGTGTGATGTTATTTCTGAGGCCTCTGTTCTGTTCCTTTGGTCTATCTTCTGTTTTGGTACCAGTACCATGCTGTTATGGTTACTGTAGCCTTGTAGTATAGTTTGAAATCAGGTAGCATTTAAGACACAGTTTTGTTCTTGTTGCCCAGGCTGGAGTGCAGTGGCACAATCTTGGCTAACAGCAACCTCCGCCTCCTGGGTTCAAGTGATTCTCATGCTTCAGCCTCCCAAGTAGCTGAGATTATACAGGCACCCGCCACCACGCCCAGGTAATTTTTTTGTATTTTTAGTAGAGACAGAGTTTCACCATGTTGGCCAGGCTGGTCTCAAAATCCTGACTTCAGGTGGTCCGCCAGCCTCGGCCTCCCAAAGTCCTGGGATTACAGGCATGAGCCACTGCTCCCAGCTAAATTACACTGATTTATTTCTGAATACTGAACTGGCCTTGCATTCCTGGAATAAACCCTATTTAGATATATAATTTATATATATCTATATAAATCATATATATATATAAATTATATCTTATATATGTAATATATATCTATATATATCTATATCTATATATTATCTATATCTATATATAAAATATATCTTATATATATCTATATAAATTATATATCTAAATAATATATATCTATATTATTTATATGTGTATATATGTGTGTATATATATATTGCTGCATTAAGTATGTTTATGTCTATGTTCATGAGGGATATTAGTCTGTAATTTTTTTGTCTTCTGTATTTGTCTGATTTTGCAATCAGGTGAGGCACACCTGATTCTTATCAGGTGTTTCATAAAATGAGTTGTGATGTGTTTCTTTTTCTTAAGCATTATGGAAAAGACTGTGTAGAGTTAGTGTTATTTCTTATTTAAATGTTTGGTAGAATTTGTGAGTGAAATCATCTGGGCCTACAGATTTCTTTGTTGGAAAGTTTTTAACTAAGAATACAATTTCTTTCATTTTTATTGGACTATGTCTATTATACGTTTCATCTTGGGCAAATTTTGGTGGTTTGCAATTTTTGCGGAATTGGTTCTTTTCATCTAATTTGTCAAATTTATATGTGTAGGGTTGCCTGTAGTAACCCTTTATTTCCCTTTTAATATCTATTTGGTCTGTAGTAATATTTTCCTTTTTAATTCTCAATATTGGTAATTTATGTCTTCTCTAATTTATGAATTATGTAGATACATATTGTTGACTTTCCAAGTATTTGGACATTTTCTTTTATCTTTTATCTTCTTTTTTGATTTCAAGTCTAATTCCATATGATTAAAGGACATATTTTGATCTCATTTTTTTAAGTTGTTAAGGTTTATTTTAAACCCAAGATATGGTGTATTTTAATGAGTATCCATGTGCACTTAAAAAGAATACATATTCTGTTATGTTTGAATGAACTGTCCTATAAATATCAATAAGATCTAGTTGATCATCTGGAAAATGGTCTGGTTCACTTTTCTATACTTGCTGATTTTCTGTCTCAGAAAAACATGTTGGAGTTTCAAACTATAATTATAGATTTATTGATTTCTTCTTTCAGGTCTGTGAGTTTTTGCCTCAACAGAATTTAGAAGTTCTATTGTCAGAACTGTGCATTCAACAAAGGACTAATATACAGAACCTACAAGGAACTCAAACAACTTAACAAATAAAAGCAACTAACCACTTTAAAAAGTGGGAAAAGAACATGAACAGTCATTTCTCAAAAGAAAACATACTAGCAGCCAGCAAACATGTAAACAACTACCCATCACTTATTATTAGAGAAATGCAAATTAAAACTACAATGAGATACCATCTCACACTAGTCAGAATAATTACTACTAAAAAGTCAAAAAACAACAGATGTTGGTAAGGATGCAGAGAAAACGCTTATACACTGTTGATGAGAATGTAAATTAGCACAACATTTATGGAAAACAGTATGGAGACTTCTCACAAAACTAAAAATAAAACTACCATTTGACCCAGCAACCCCACTACCAGGTACCTAGCCAAAGAAAAAGAAATCGTTAAATCAAAAAGACATCTGCACTCGTATATTCATAGCAGCACTATTCACAATACAAAGGTCATGGAATTAACCTAAGTGTCCATCAGTGGATGACTGGATAAAGTGTATGTGGTATGTATACAGCATGGAATACTATGCAGCCATGAAAAAGAATTAAATTAGTTTTTTGCAGCAACATGGATGGAGCTGAAGGTCATTTTCCTATGTGAAACAACTCAGAAACAGAAAATCTAATACTGCATGTTCTCACTTAAAAGTGGGGACTAAATAGTGGGTACATATGGATGTATAAAGGGAAATAATAGACACTGGTGACTCCTAAAGCAGGGAGGATGAGAGGAGGTAAGGGCTGAAAAATTACCTATTGAGTACAATGTTCACTAATTGAGTGATGGGTACAATGGAAGCCTAAACCCCACCACTGCGATATATCCATGTAACAAACCTGCACATACCACCTGAATCTACAAAGATTCTAAAAAATTTAAAAATAAGTTATGTTATTAAATGAACTCACATTTAATACTGCTATAGCTTGTTCAACTGACATTTCTATCATTATGTAATGCCTCTCTTTATTGCTGGTAATTTCTTTGCCCTGATATTACTTTATCTGATATTAAATTACTCAGCTATCTTTTGATAAATGTTTGAATAGTATATCTTTTCTCTTTTCTTTTACTTTTACTCAACCTATATTATCACATTTAATTGTCAACCCAGAGTCTTATAGAGTAATATTCAAAATGTTCTGTATACAATCCAAAATTATTCACCATGTGAAAAACCAGAAATATCTCAACTCAAAAAGAGAAATACATTACCTGAAGTGATAAACAACCCAATTTTCCTGATTTTATCATCATACATCGTATACTTGTGTCACATGTACCCAATTAATACTTATAAATGTTATGTACCCATAAAAATTAAAAAGAAAAAAGAAAAAGACAATCAACAGATGCTGACTCTGTGATGTCGTCATTAAATTTGGGCTTCTGCCAACAAAAAAACAAATTCAGGTCAATAGAAAAAGCTGGCCAGGTGCAGTGGCTCACTCCTGTAATCTCAGCACTTTGGGAGGCCGAGGTGTGTGGATTACCTGAGGTCAGGAGTTCCAGACCAGCCTGGCCAACATGGTGAAACCCTGTCTCTACTAAAAATAAAAAAATTAGCCAGCATGGTGGCACATGCTTGTAATCCAAGCTACTCAAGAGGCTGAGGCAGGAGAATCGTTTGAGCCCAGGAGGTTGAGGTTGCAGTGAGCCAAGATCGTGCCACTGCACGCCAGCCTGGCTGACAGAGTGAGACTCTGTCTCAAAAAAAAAAAAAAGTAAAAGCTGAGTTCTAAATGAGTGAATTTTAAATGGACTATAAATGGTTTAAAATAAATATAAGAAAGAAAATAATAATGAGATATTAAAGTTTTAGAAGAGTTAACGAGCATGGTAACTTTAAGTTTGGTTTAGGAATAATCTGGTTTAGAAGTGGAAAAGTGGACAAGATAAATGCATCTCCTCTCCCTTTAGTTCCAGAATTATGGAACTCATTATTTTATCTCATTAACAATGAGATAAAAATTTTAATACTGTTCAAGATGGTGCAATATTTTTCTACATGTTGAAAGGGAGATATATGGAATATATACATACCACAATGAAACATTATTTTTAGACCCCTCTGAAATTTTACATTTTGGAGGTTCAAGAGACATTTGAGAATTTTATGAAAACCTTGTATTTCATTGCCAAAGAAAATAAAAAATATATATACCAATACCAAAATGTTCAAAATGTATAGACCCACTTCAGGAATCCATAGGTCGTGTATTGAGAATTCTCGATTTGATCATTGCCACTCAGATTTATTTTTTCCTAATGTTTTATTTAACCTATATTCTAGTGAAATAACTAAATTGCACATTAATTCCCATTCAAAATACAACTTTATTAAACTAAATAAAATTCAGCCACATGGCAAATGTGTTCTAGAAAAGAGTGATCATTTAAAAAGTTCACATATTTTATGTGATTTTCTTAATTGTTTTTCAATTATCTAAGTTAGATATTTCTTTCAATAGAGAAAATTCTTTTGTAATATCAATGAAATGTTCAAAAAAGGAATAATATATTATTTCTACAAAGAAATACTGGAAAAATTCAAAAGGTAAAAAGTCATACAAACCAAACAATATCTTTCATTTTGTTGAAGAGTAAATAAAAATTAAAATTAGAAATACAATATGAATGAATTCAATAACAGTAATACCTTTCAAATATGTGGAATTTGATGGGGCCATAACAGCATTCAGGAGTGATCTTTAGAACCAAAATACTTATTTTAGGAAAGAGGAAATAAATAAGCCAGAGAAAAAAGAAGTAGAAGATATTGATAAAGGCAAATTTAAAGGGCAATGATCTGATTCTGATGAGAAAAGCAATAAGAGCAGGAAGCAGCTCGCTCCCCCAGGATCCAGCAAGGCAGAGTCAGAAGAGCACCTCAGGGACCAGAGTGTGTACAAACATGACCTGACCAGGCAGAAGGAAGGAGCAAAGAAGGAGGAGAAATTACAGAAGTCAGAGAGCAAGATGAGGGTTTGGGATTTTTGTCAGGAGTTTCAGTGGGAAACTCTAGAAGGAAGGAAAAATGTCTCAATAGACTTTTAGAAATTTTTTGTTTGTTAGTTTTAAGGGCTATATATAATATCCACCGTGCCCTTTCATTGATAAAGAGCTATAATCTTAGGTCATCTGAAGCCAGCTCATTATTTCTTTGAATATAATATAGATGGACACCAAGTTTTAGGAAGTCTAGGTTTAGATATAGATGTACATGACTGGATGAAGAACTGCTAAGATACTCACCAAACTTAACACTGCAGTGATTAAACTCTGAAAAAGAGGATTAAAGTAGGCGAGGTGGTAGGTGAAACAGAAGAGATTCCTTATTTTACTCTTAACACTACACTATTCTTTAGACCTTTTACAATTACTATATATACACACATATATATATTTATTTATATAATTTTTAAATAAAGTGAATTTTAGCATTGTTTTTCAAAAAGTAATAAAATTTTTTCACTTCCCATTAGAGGTTTATAGAGTTAGTTCCTCCATATATCATTACAAAATTTGCTCAGTGTCCATATGTCATTCAATTATTTATTTATGCACTCCAATACAAAACTACAGTCTTGGTTCACAAGAAGATCACTTCATTGAGGAAACAGGAAATAAGGGGGTGCTTTGTTTTTATTTTTGTTTGGGGTGTGTTTTTTTAAATAGTCTAGTAGCATGTGCATGACATAATGGAAAATCTATATGAAGATTTAGAAAAGACATATTTGGTTCAGAATGCTATGGCTTGCTGTCATCCTTGTGGAAAACTTAATAGAGAAATTCTCTTGGACAGGGAGAAGGAAGAAAATTTGCTTAGAGAGAAAGGTGATAGAGATATTTGAAGGCAGGGAAGAAAATTATAGTAGACCAACCCAACTAGATTAGAAGCCCCATGGGAGGCCTAGGTTAGAAAATGAGGGTGAAAGTCGAGTGGGAAGAAGTTTTTGCCTTATTGGAAGATACACAATGTAGAAGTTAAGAGCTGTGGCTCTGGGGTTCCACAGACCAGAGTTCTTTTGTTTTTGTTTGTTTGCTTGGTTGGTTGCTTGGTTGGTTTTATTTTAAGTTCCTGGATACATGTGCAGAACATGCAGTTTGTTACATAGGTAAACATGTGCCATGGTGGTTTGCTGCACCAATCAACCCGTCACCTAGGTATTAAGCACTGCATGCATTAGCTATTTGTCCTGATGCTCTCCCTCCCCTTGCCCCACTGACAGGCCCCAGTATGTGTTGTTCCCCTCTCTGTGTCCATGTGTTCTCATTGTTCAGTTCCCAATTATGAGTGAGAACATGCAGTGTTTGGTTTTCTGTTCCTGTTTTAGTTTGCTGAGGATGTTGGCTTCCAGCTTCACCCATGTTCCTGCAAAAAAACACGATCTCATTCCTTTTTATGTCTGTATAGTATTCCATGGTGTATATGTACTACATTTTCTCTATCCAGTCTATCATTCACAGGCATTTGGGTTTGTTCCATGCCACAGACCAGAGTTTCTAATGCCACTCACCCCTCTATGGGCTAGGGCAGAGATCTCAACCTCCCTAATCCTCAAGAAAATGAAGATAATAGTAATACTAACCTCATAGAATTATCATAAAGATTAACATGAAAAGTACTTAAAGTACTTGGTAAAGTGATATGCAGTGACTTGAAAATGTGCATTATCTTTCACTATTATTGTTGCATGCATGGAGTTTACATATTGTCGAATCAGCCAGCATTTTTCAAGTTCTATTTTACAGAACACTAATTTTTAGGTATTAAATGGTTTCTACTCAAAGAGGAGAGCTCCTTAGGCAGAACATCTTGAGAAAATCTGAGTTGAACATTGTTACTAGAAACTTTAATTTGCTTGTAAGTGTTTCAGACAGCATATCCAAAACTTGTTTTGGAGATTTTGTTCTAGAGAAATTATGTTTCTCAGGGCACTTTTTGGAATATTCTACACTGGGAACATGCTAACTGCAATGAGAAAATATTGCAAGTCTTTAATCAGTAAAGTAGCATGAGGTGGAAAACAGTGTTCCTTTAGTTCTTGTTATCTTATACAGTTAGAAAATCAAAGCAAGATAAGTGAGAAGGATTTTGCAATAAGCCTGGCATTAAAAATCAAGAGCCTGGACTGACAGTATCTACCAGAGATTGTAAATAAAGGGACGCATACAAAACAACAAAGAGAAATGTATGCAGAACTTGGTGAATGGGTGGGGCAGGCATGAGGGGAAAAGAGGGTCAGGTAGAGTCAAAGACAATAACATAATTTCTACTCAAAGAAACTAGAAGAATGAGAATGCTATTGATAGAAAGAGGAAACTAAGAAAAACGAGATAACATTTTAAAAATGATATAAAGGGCCAGGCACGGTGGCTCACCCCTGTAATCCCAGCACTTTGGGAGGCCGGGGTGGGCAGACCACAAGGTCAAGAGATCGAGACCATCCTGGCCAGCATGGTGAAACCCCATCTCTACTAAAAATACAAAAATTAGCTGGGCGTGGTGGCGCATACCTGTAGTCCCAGCTACTCAGGAGACTGAGGCAGGAAAATCGCTGGAACCCTGGAGGAGGAGGTTGCAGTGAGCCAAGATCACGCCACTGCACTCCAGCCTGGGTGACAGAGTGAGACCCCCATCTCAAAAAAAAAAAAAAAAGATATAAAGTTAGAACTCTGGAATTTAGAATAACAGGATTTCCTCATGAAAATATGAAGAAGAAACCCACCAAAGAAAAACTGTCATATCTTGAAAAGATCAGGACTTTTGTGGCACAATGACTGCCACATAGTGGATGCTCAATAAGTAAACTAATTTAGGAAACTTAAGAGGAGTCAGCACAGATATGTTTGATAATCCTTGAAAGGAACAACTACCTAAGGGATGATTTAAACAGAAAAGTCCCCTTACCTCTGAAGTGAGAGAGGAGGAACCACAGGTAGGCAATGAAAGAGCTAGAGAGCTCTAGTCAATGAGAGAACTAGGAAGTAGGCAGAGATATAGGAGAAAGAAGAGTGAGGAGAGCCCAAGAATAAGAGCATTTTAAAAGAGAGAAAACAGCCAGCAGCAAAAGAGCAGAGAATTCATGGGAAGGTAAAGACATTGGCAAATTATAATTAGCAGCTTTTGATTTTGTCAGTTTCATGATGATAAATGCAAAATTTCAGGAGGTGACAGAGCATATACGATGTGAGTAAAGTGGAGCACTAGATAAAACAACAACAACAAACACGTGTATTAAATAAATGGAAATGGAGAAACAAAAGACTAGGTAGAAGTCGTGGTGAGCTACAAGGAAAGTCATCTCTCTATGTGAAAGAACTTTTATGTACATGAAATTACATAATTCAGAGGAAGGAACTGGAGATGCCAGAGGATTTGTCGCATAAAGTTGTAAAGGAGGTGAAATAGGAATGAAGTAACAAATTAGATGGAAGAGAGAGACGAGAGAAAACAGACATTTCCATGAGATGATTAACAAACACAACAAAAAACTGGCCTGGGGGATAAGTGTATAAAAAAAAAGAATAACTACTGAATAACTAAAGTATGAGAAAACGAATGGTTTTATCAATCCCTCTGTCAAGTATGGTCAGATTATTTTTGTTTGGGAAAGAAAGCAAATGGCAAGGCACTTAGTTTTTGAACTAAGTCATCAGAGAATAATGGGAAGTGAGCACAAGAAACAGAAATAGGGGAAAGCAGAACTGGAAAGAGGAGGAAAAAATAAGAAAAGGGAAAAGACCAAGATTTTGTAGCATAAAAAGACTGCATATATTTAATATTTTAAAAACATGATATAGTTTTAATCTATAAAATTACAACAGCTACTTATGTATATATACTTTTCTATCAAATTTGTGTTTCAACCACTCTATAGAAAAGCACATGAAGGACAAATTAAAAGCATTACTTTAACTGAAAGAAAAATAGACTTTGCAACTCATTACAAAGACAAAACATAAATAAAAAATACAAAGTGATTCAAAAACACAGTTTTCATAATAGACTCATAAGAATCCATTATGGACTATTAACCAAAGACTAAACTTTGGCAAGAGAATGGTCAAAAGAGGGCAACTAACTTTCACATAGTGCATCTCTATGATTGAAAGCAAATGGATGAAACAAAAAAGCATGAGATACTTTTTGTGAAAGTGGCAAGAATTTTGCAGTTGTGAACACCAATCAAAACTGTCTCATTTTTATTTTATTTTATTTTATTTTATTTTATTTTATTTTATAGAGCCAAAAGTCTGTCCTGGGAATCCTAATATGTTTCACGCATAGCTGGAAGTGTCTTTTCAACACTGTCTCACACATCCATAAAAAATCACATGGCTTCCTGTTCTACTTGCCAGCACCCACAATTATATTTTCATATGTCTGTGAGCCCTTAGATGTCAGAGACGGACACAGCCTCCATTCACTGAAGTCATATCACCTACAACAAGGCAAGTAGCACATGATAGTAAAGTTACGGCACATCAGGTTATGAACTTTAAGGATCTAGACTACTCCATCAGCAAGCATTTTCAACTATGAAACGCAGTCCATCACAATATTTTCAATAAAATTTCTGCAAAATTAGATGATAACAAGACCATGATATTTTAAATTGAATGAATTTGAAGATAGTTAAGAATTAGACTCCAAGTGGAATACTTTGTCACAAGCTATGAACACTACTGTTTAATGTACACTCATGCTCCATCTGCTTCTTTTTCCATTACTCGAATCTCCTAACCAGTTTCTCATGCACACGTTTCAGCTCCATGCTGTGTTTTCTATTTATTGAATACATTTCTCACTTTAACATTTTTCCACCTGAGCTGGCAGTGGTGGCTTTTATGGCTGTACACATGCAGGTCTCCCTAGATTATGAACTTCATATTTTTTCATTTGCCTCATGCTTCAGTTCTCTAGCTTAGTAGGCCTTAAAATGTGCAAATTGAGAAGTGTTTTGAGGCAGCCATTGCTATTCTAGGCCATCGACTTGTCATCAATTAGATTAAAACATTGGTTTACAAAAATAATGTTTTATCTTTACTTCATAAAAAATAAAACAGTTGCAAAAGGGAACCCAGCTGTGCTAAGAAGCAAATTACTTTATGTGGGCAAGCAAACATCTTCTGGTCAGGACTGAAATGTATTATTCAAGTCCATTTTACTACATCAGTTTTAAAGTAATGTGAATGTTATGTGTTGTTTCTAAGTAAAATAACGGGGTAGGGGAAGTTCGAAGAGTTTACTTGTTTTTGTTTCTTTTCTTTTTTCTCCAAGCATGCAGAAATTCATTTGGGTTCTTAAAAAGCATGTTATCTGAAGTTCCATAGGTAACAATACACACCCTGAATAATAACTAAAGTACTTATTTTCACAGTATCTTTAAATTCTGTATGAAAATGTTTGTAAGTAAATGAGTAAGAACCCAATCCACAATCCTGAGTTATGAAACATTGCAAAGTAGCCAAATATCCAAAAATTGTTCACTTTGATATATGTATTGATTTTAAAAAGAAGGAAGAAGGCAAGAGAGAAGAAATCACCAATATATTATTTTACTTATCAGTGAAATCAAAGGACTTTACATATTTAGATTCCAAAACAACCTATTGTGATAATTTCTTACCTAGAAAGGTTTCTATGAGCAGGTATTTTTATGTATCAAAATCCAAAGGGACAAAGATCATATTCTATTTCCATGAACAGGTGATTTCTTCTATTTTTCTCAGCATTATATGAATTTCCTTCTAATTATTGGTTGTTAGTACAATGACTAATTAAAAACATGTTTTTCTATCACAATCATTTTAATGCAAATGTGGGAGAGAATATTATCAAAAAGGCAGAAATGACAGAGCTAGTTGCCTCAGTGCAAAAGTAGCATTTATATTTCCTACTGGCAGATGCATTTGCCAAGAAATGTCTAATGTAATAAATTTAGAAACTTTAACCAGCATGGCAGATTTGTCCATTTTTGCTGTCAAACATTCACACTGGCACTTAACCCAAGCAGAAAGAGGCACATGACAAAGCTTATGATGAAAGATTCCAAAATCATTAATGCTTGTCAAATAAGATCTTTTACTGGCTCATGGAATGAACATACATACATATGTATTATATAGCTGATGGAATCAATATCACTATGTGATGAAAAGTCATCTTAGTATCTTGATTTCTAAAAGCAGGAAAGGGTAATCCTAGTATAGTTCGATTTTGCTGCTAAATATATTCCAGAAAGTTAAGTAAGGCATAAAATAGACAGGAATCAGCCCAATGCAGTCTAACCCTATCAAACATAGGTCAGTGCCATCATAGCAGCCAACAGAAATTTTTTCCAGAGGACCTGGTGAACAAGCTGGACACACAGAAAGCCTAGAATTGAGACAGAATTACACTGGCATTGTATAAATAATCTAACTGTGACCTATGGGGTTAAAACCTATAATTGGAGTGATACTTCAAAGCAATGACTACTTTTTCAATGCTATTTTGTGCAACCAGATAGGAAGCTGACTTCTTGGGGTTTTATTGGCCAGGAAAAGTACTGCAAAAGTGATATTTTCAACAGCTGCTGCTGCATTTGTGCTCTGACAAATTAGGGGCTAAATCAAAGCATTAAAGAACATCAAAGGCTTAATTTAATGCAAAAACAAGTACTCCAACTGGATCTACTTTACAGTGAATTAATAATGCAGATTTACACAGAATGTAGATGCTTTGTTTTATTAATGTTTAGAATTTTTGTTTGCAAAATATAAGATCCATAAGATTTCTTTTTTAACTATACAAAAAAGAGAAATAATAATTTGATGTGTTGAGTAAATTCTAGAAGTTTACCAAGTGATTGGCTATTTAAATTGAAATATGCATTGATTACTAAAACTAAGTATATATTGCCATGATTTAGTGACAGAATATATACACAATTGAACCACTGGGCTCAACTACAGTCTTATGCAATAATTTCCCTGGATGTCAAAAACTTATTCCTTATCTATGATGTTTATATAAGCAATATATACATACATGTACATACGCAACCCAAGCTGTATTGAGGATTCATGCATATTAAGTATACTTGTCTAACTTTCTTTTTACCAGCAGTTCTTTTCAAAGATGAAAAACATCTTGTGAGACATTTCATAGAAATTAAAACACAAATAAAATGCAGCTTTACAAATGCTACTCAGTGTTGATACGAACAAAAACAGATAACTCTAAGAACTGAAGATGTTGATTTTTTGTAACTCCATGGAAATATTCACCAATGTAAACTGTTCTTTCTACCTAGACTGGAACTTAACCTAAGTTTTAAAATAGATATTAGGGCATTTGGAAACTCATCCAAATGTGTTGGGCTATATTTATTGTATTTTTTTTCACTAAATTCTAAATATCATCTTAATCCAGGACTGCCCTATATCCCCAAGCATTATTTCAAAATATACAAATTCAAAAAGAAATGAGGCAGGCAGGTTTTTTCAGAAAATATCCCCATATTGTTACAAGACTGGCATAGAATTCCTTGTAGAAACAACAAATTCCAGATTTTCTCCTATGTTGGCATATTTGGTCATTTATGCAATTAATATTTAATACTGCCATGTTTCATTCAGTCCTTTAACAATATTTAAGATTATGCTTATTTAAAACCTTACTTTTTTCAAAAAAATGTTGATCACTAAATATATCATCTAAATTAATATTAATTTCTTACTTAGTCCAATGGGGCAGGGCATTAGAAGTAATTAGTGCTCATTTTTCCTTCAGGAAGAGAACAGATTCTGCCAACCCACTCTGCTGAAAACTACAAAAAAAATCTGAGCTCTGATGTAAACAGAATGCTCAGTTTGAAAATAGTGAATTTGTAGCTATTACATATTACAATAAACACCCCTTCCTCATTAATTTTACTGAAGTCTCCAGATGGGAAACAAAATATTAATTTTGTTCAAGCCCTAGGCATTGTTGACTGTTAAGGTACTCACTAAATCACTGATCTTATTCACATTAATATTAGATTTCTGCTATAAAAATTTAGGACCCTTGGGTATGGGGTTTAGTTTGTCATAAGTATAATTAATTGTTTTTAAAAATGATTAATTCATCAAAATAGCAAAAAAAAAATATTGAGCAGACAAGGCTCCTGAGCAAGCTAGCCTACCTTAAAGTCATGGTAATACTCATGAAATTATGCAAATTAATTGACTCTTCCAATGTTGCATAAAATGCTACTACTAGTACAATGCATGGAACATTAGGCTGTTCATCCAGCAAAAAAAAGGGGGGAGAAAAGTTGCATTTCAGAGGCTGGAATCTTCACAAGCAACGCCTCATGGTTGAGGATACTCACAACTACAATCTATTTTTCTACAAAGCAATTAGCTTTCAACCATTGCACACAGAACTTCTACTGTTTATTACAATTTTTTCCCCAAGCAACTGTCCAGAAAAATTCAGATATGTCTTGTGGGTTTTCCCTCCCCCTAATACAAAGAAAAGGAAGAGATTTTTATTATTCAAACATCGTAAAGAAAAAGTGATACATGTTCTAAAATTATTCAGAAATACCAGTTTTTACTGATAAAGGCTCATTTAAGGGCCCCAGAAAACATGATAACATATTGAAATTCTCAATGATTAACTTCATGGTGTCAATTCAGTTTACTTACTAAGACAGTAAGAATCAGTGTCAACAGCAAAATTAAAAGCAATGGCTTCAGAATAATTATCCTGTCCAAAAGTAAACTTAGAAGTCAATTTTAAAGACTAGAGGAAGAATAGCAAATTTAGAACATCATATATTACTGAATTTCTTAATATCATAAATGCATTCTTATTTTAAATGATCTCTAGCAAATGAGTGGTGTAATTCAGACATATTCAACAGTTAAAATTTTTAAATTAACGAAATTGTCCTATGAAGTTATCAGACTCACTTTAAGGAAATAACAGAATCTCCCATGTAAGATTTAGATCTGAATCAAAAAAGACTATATCCCCTGGTTTCTAACTGTGCTCTCCATTAGACAAATGAACTCATGTAATCAATTATTATGGTTTGCGGCAATAATTCCAGCCTTTGTCTAACAGACATGTATTAATTTTCAACTCTCCTCTATCAATAATATTACATTAACAAAGCACTGCTCTTACAATAAAATATCTTTTTCTCAAAGCTCTATTTCTTTAACTATTCTCATTTTTATAACCGTTTAAAACTACTTGATTATAAAATTAGAATAATTAATTTTTACATTATCATTTTATCTTAATTTTAAATTAATTACATTACTTTTATTGTCAGAAGTTCATGCTTTGATATAATTCTAGTGATATGCTTCTGAAGACCACATATTTGACTTACATTTAATGAGAAAATAAAGACATAATAGAGAGGGTGCTTCCAATAGCAACTAATCCTCTTCTTAAGACAATATGTAAACCTAGTTTAAAGACTTCTCAATGGTATAGACAAGAGTTTTCACAAATTTTTTTTAATCACAGATTTTAAAATGTGTTCTAAATGAACACAATTTTTAGGGGGGCTTGGCATTCCATGATACTATGGTAATTATCAGTACTTAAGTCATTTATTTACTTTTAAATGTGTATTAATCAGGCAGTGTTTCTAACCTTACCCTGTTCACGGTAAGGTTGTGTTGTAGAGGTTTCTAAAGAACTCTTGCAAGTAGATACTCCAGCAAAAAAAGTCAAAGTTCCCCACATTACTTTCCTATCTATACAAAAAAAAAATCAATATATTGAAAGTATAACCTGTGTTATCATTTTACTTTTTCCTATATTCATAATATGAAGCTTTGTAAAGCTAGAAAATCAGGACAACATAAACATGCAAACACACTCATTTCTCAAAAATATTACTATAGAAAGTATCTAACGACCAACATTGTGCTCAATGAGTACACTGGTTTGTGAAAATCAGAAAGTAATTAAAAGAAACACCCTTACTTCAAGTAATGATGACCTACCTATTGATGTAATTACACATTTCTGTCACCCAAGTATGTATTAATTTATGCACATTTATAACTATAGCCAGTACATCTTTTTACATAGTTCAACAATCCTCAGCTAGGAGCCTTGAGCTTATTGGCCCAATTAGGCAAACACTGGGTGGAAGCTGCTGCAGCTACTTTCATTACTATCCAGAGTTCATTGTGTGGATTCCAATTTTAATGTGCAGTTAAAAAATGGCTTAAGCTAATATATGCAAACAGGTGGCATGTTTTGCAATGTCCAAATATTACCCTCATCATCCCTTAGATGAGCCTTAATGAGCCTTTCTGCTCATTAAGAATCCCCAGGTCAGATTATTTCAAACTCTCATTAAGAACCCATCTTTCACATGTATACAAATAACCGTTAAAACTACGTGCCAAAGTTACCACAAAATGTCATGATTTCTCATATATACCATCTCCTCTAATTGTTTTTTCCAACAATTGTTTCTGTACTGTGAGCAGCAATTTTGGAAATACAGCAGGTAATAAAGCTGATTATCTGTACACTTGGAGGATTCTTAGAGAAAAACTGCTTAGATGAATGATTACTATTAGGAGAAATTACCAGATGCCATGAAAGGTCTATGAAACTTGGAAGTTGTAAAAATATTTTCACATTTGTTCATTCAAATAAAAGCATAAATGTCAACACACATCATAACAGTTGGCAGGACTACTCTTATTGTTTATCATGTGTTAATACTGTAATCAGGTCTACATTTGTTTGCATTTGAACTCTGCCACCAGCCTATGAGGTAGATATCTTTGCCTGTGTCTTACACATGAAGAAACCAAGGTGTAGAGAGAAGTCAAATATCTTGCTGTAGGGCCTCAGCCTCACAATTTTTAAGTAGCACAGCTAGAATTTCATATCCCCTGTCTGTTTCCAAAACTTGTTTCTTTATCTACTGACCTTTACTACTACCTCTGTCATTTTCACCAAGAAGCCTTGCTGGCCACCATTCCACATCCCAAATCAGTATAACTTCCCTGACCCTAGGCATTACTGTAGCACCTTACCAGTGACTTCATGTTCCTTGAAGGCAGGAAATTGGTTCTGCTTTTGTTTTTTGTAACACTGGCTCCTACTGTGTCCGGAATTGTGGGTTCTTGGTCTCACTGACTTCAAGAATGAAGCTGCGGACGCTCGCGGTGAGTGTTACAGTTCTTAAAGGCGGCGTGTCCGGAGTTGTTCGTTCCTCCCGGAGGGTTCGTGGTCTCGCTGGCTTCAGGAGTGAAACTGCAAACCTTCGCGGTGAGTGTTACAGCTCATAAGGGCACTGGGGACCCAAAGAGTGAGCAGCAGCAAGATTTATTGCAAACAGAGAAAGAACAAAGCTCCCACAGCGTGGGAAGGGACCGGAGCAGTTTGCCACTGCTGGCTCGGGCAGCCTGCTTTTATTCTCTTATCTGGCCCTGC
Source organism: Homo sapiens (assembly GCF_000001405.40). Taxonomy (NCBI): domain Eukaryota; kingdom Metazoa; phylum Chordata; class Mammalia; order Primates; family Hominidae; genus Homo; species Homo sapiens. The sequence continues at coordinate 147,245,238 of NC_000003.12, forward strand.
CCACATCCTGCTGATTGGTAGAGCCGAGTGGTCTGTTTTAACGGGGTGCTGATTGGTGCGTTTACAATCCCTGAGCTAGACACAAAAGTTCTCCATGTCCCCCCTAGATTAACTAGATACAGAGTGTGGACACAAAGGTTCTCCAAGTCCCCACCAGAGTAGAGTAGCTAGATAGAGAGTGTCAATTGGTGCATTCACAAACCCTGAGCTAGACACACGGTGCTGATTGATGTATTTACAATCCCTTAGCTAGACATAAAGGTTCTCCAAGTCCCCACCAGACTCTGGAGCACAGCTGGCTTCACCCAGTGGATCCTGCACCGGGGCTGCAGGTGGAGCTGCCTGCCAGACCCGCGCTGTGTGTGCGCCTGCACTCCTCAGCCCTTGGGTGGTCGATGGGACTGGGCGCCGTGGAGCAGGGGGCGGCGCTCGTCAGGGAGGCTCGCGCCGCACAGGAGCCCATGGAGGTGTAGGGAGGCTCAGGCATGGCAGGCTGCAGGTCCCGAGCCCTGCCCCGCGGGAAGGCAGCCAATGCCCGGCGAGAAATTGAGCACAGCAGCTGCTGGCCCAGGTGCTAAGCCTCTCACTGCCCGGGGCCCGTGGGGCCGGCCGGCCGCTCCGAGTGCGGGGTCCGCCGAGCCCACGCCCACCCGGAACTCGCAAGCACCGCGCAGCCCCGGTTCCCGTCCACGCCTCTCCCTCCACACCTCCCCGCAAGCTGAGGGACCCGGCTCCGACCTTGGCCAGCCCAGAAAGGGGCTCCCACAGTGCAGCAGCGGGCTGAAGTTCTCTCAAGTGCCTCCAAAGTGGGAGCCCAGGCAGAGGAGGCGCGGAGAGCGAGCGAGGGCTGTGAGGACTGCCAGCACGCTGTCACCTCTCATACCAGAGCATCTGGCATACAGTAAGTGCTCATAAAACATTAGAAAGAAAAGGATCTATAATAGAGGCCAGAATCAAATATTTGTCATTTTCAATATTAATATTCATTCTTTACAGCTCAAAAATATAGCCCAGAACATTTCTTTTATATTAAAAAGAAACGTAGCAACCTATCTTATCAGTTTTCATGAGCCACCAGAAATGTAAAGCCTTCCTGCCTCTTAAGAATCCCAGAACCTGGGAATGTTATATAGGTTTACCCAAACTAAGACAATTGACAGGTTCCACTTCCATAAAACTCTTCAAGGAAAGACAGTAGGAATCTGTCGATTCTGCCCTGGACGCTCTGGCACTAGAAAGTCCAAGTTTGTTTCAGAAGCAGCAACGTGTTATGGATTAACAATTCACATAAAAAAAAAAAAAGACCAAAAGCAACACATACTCAAAAACTTCATTTGCATTACAAATAGGTAACCTGCCATGGTATTTTGCTACCCCACTGACACGTTGCCAGGGAACAACAGAAAAATAAAAACCAGTGTGTCTACTCACAGGTGAAGAGCAGAGCTTGAATAAAGTGAAGCTGCTATTCAATCTGTTACTCAGTTCGCCACATAAACATACACGCACTCTCCTCCCCAGCCAGGAAGAGGAAGATGACAGGGGCTGCCACTTCCTTCTACTGGAGGTCCCCAGCATGGAGGGACCCTGAGGTTCTGCACATGCTGAAAAGAATGTTGAAAAAGGATGAAGTAAAGGAGGTAGTGGCATGGGAAAGAGTCACTGTAATTCTCATCCAGAGAAAAGACATTTTAAATCTAATAGCAGCACCCAAAAATAAAAGAGTGATAGTTGGTTGTAGCAACTGCCACCAGTAGATTTAGCTAGGCCAGAGAAGACTATGTCGAAGTGCCAAAGCAAACTCATTTAAGAAAACTCATTCAACAAACATGTATCAAATGTGCTATAATCTGGGTTACTTTTAAAGTCCATTGTTACGACTCGTGGCAGTTTGTGTTTGCTTTTGCTTCATCCCTGAATCTATTTGTAAAGGCAGTTATCATTCTCTCTGGTTAACTAATAAATTAGTTGTGTCTGAGAGGGCGGTGACTTGTCCAGGTTTACTCACTGGGTAAGTAGGAGACTTAAGACATCCAAAACTAAATTCAAATATAAATATAACTGAAAAGCCCTCATGTTCTCTGCATTCTGCCATATCGCCACATGAAATCTCAGTCCTCTAGCCACCATTTTCTAATTTCTAAATCGGATACACCATGTAGGATTGTATTTATTCTGTCTTTACTTACATACCCTTCCCTCTCTCTCTGGTTACCACCTGAACTCTATGAGACCTCCGCCTGCCCACACCACCTTTCCTGCGCTTCTTAACCCCAGGGGAATTATCTTTGAGAGCAAAAAAATATGCTGTCCTAGACAGTGCAACGGGAGACACCCTACATGCGTATATGATCACCAACTCTTCACATCACCCACCATTTCCTCTTCAATTAGCCAAACAATGAATCAGGAGCCAGAGCAAGCCTAGATTTCACTGAGAACCAAAGTCCCTTTCTAGTTCTTCCTAAAAAAGGAAGTATTTCCCCTACTACATAAACCAGCAACATTGGCACCATATTGTTAGGAATGAAGAATCTCAGCCTTCCAGACTTACAGAATCAGTAACTTTTTTCTGTACCCTAAGTGTAGGTTATTTGTATGAACATCATAGTTTAAAAAGCAATGGTGTCTAACTCAGGACCATTAGCAAGAAAGGACCCTCTGCCTCAGAAAGAGACTTGCACCAGCGATAGCTACCAGAAGGGTAAGCTTAGGTAGTTGACAAACCTATAAAAAGAGGAGGTGTATGGAATAATTGTTGTCCTTGGTTATTCTAATCAGATCACTGTGATACTGTGTTCTTGCTTACAAACCAGAAAAACAAGCATTCTGGATCTGAAATGTCATCCTATGCAATGGCTTCTTGCTGTGTTAATAGGCTAGAGGATTTCTTAGCTGTTTTCAAAATCCCTGGAAAATGTTTTCTTATAGCTGCTATTTGAGAAAGACATCAAGACCCCAATAGATTTTAGAATCAGATAGGCCTTTAGGAGAATGGGGACAATCCTGTAACAACTATGCAGGGGTGACATTTTACCAAGCCAAAGAACCTTCTGAGGCCTACAGACATACAAAATTTTATCTTTTATATGATATAAAATCTTTATTAGAATAAGAAATATGTGATTAAAATAGTTAGTAGATTTGAATGAATACTGATAGAAATGAACTCACTCCAAGTTTTTAAAGCAAACTCAAACTTACTAGACCAGAAACTACACTGAAGAGAGATAAAATAATTTCTATTATTGTATGAAGAGCTACTAAAATGTAATTTCTATCTTGAAATTATAATTTAGTAAAACAGATCAAATGATACATAAGGTTTGACTTTTTTACTACGTAAAGTCTGACTAGATGTTTGTTTTGGCTTTTAGTAAACAATATATTTTTCAAACATTATGTATCATATTTTTTCACAGTTAATTTTCTGGAAAAATAAAAGCTGTATATAGCTATATCTGTAATTTAAAGTGACTTCCAATTATGCCTAACACATCTTTTCCTGGATCTGTGTACACATTTCATGGTTAATTGGTTTTGGCTAGATACAGACATAGTAAGAATATCTTCCTATAGTAAACAATGACTTTTCAACATGCAGTTTATAAGGTCCAGATTGTCAGCAAATGAAAAAGAGGTAAACCCTATTATGACAAAACTAATTTCCACATAGGTTTGGCTAATACCATGAACAGACTTGCATTCCTTGAGTCATAATCACTATGTATTTAGTGAAGGCTGATTCATCAGTATTCGTCTATAACAAAAGGCATAATGCTCATAACCTATCGACAGCATTAACTAAATGTTTCTTGTACAATAAAATACACAAGACCGGGCGCGGTGGCTCACGCCTGTAATCCCAGCACTTTGGGAGGCCGAGGCCGGTGGATCATGAGGTCAGGAGATCGAGACCATCCTGGCTAACAAGGTGAAACCCCGTCTCTACTAAAAATACAAAAAATTAGCCGGGCGCGGTGGCGGGCGCCTGTAGTCCCAGCTACTCGGGAGGCTGAGGCAGGAGAATGGCGTGAACCCGGGAAGCGGAGCTTGCAGTGAGCCGAGATTGCGCCACTGCAGTCCGCAGTCCGGCCTGGGCGACAGAGCGAGACTCCGTCTCAAAAAAAAAAAAAAAAATACACAAGAGGAAAACGTGATAGAGAAGGAATAAAGGAGTTAAAGAGTACATTTTCTCAGGACTTGAACTTTAGAAAGACGAAAATTTACACCAAATACAACTTATTTGGATGATACTTTTCATGACACTCTGAAAAGTGTCCATTTCTTGCAGGGAAAAAAAATGTAATTAATATCCTGAATATGTATGTATATGAGCATAAACATAATTTCTAATATTTCTTAAGTGCTGAAAATGTGCCAGGCACTTTCCTAAGAACTTTACATATATTAGTGCATTTAATACTTACAAGGATACTATCAGATAAGAACTACTATTATTATTATCCTCTTTTTTTTTTTTTTTTTTTTTGAGACAGAGTCTCGCTCTGTCGCCCAGGCTAGAGTGCAGTGGCGCCATCTCGGCTCACTGCAATCTCCGCCTCCCGGGTTCACGCCATTCTCCTGCCTCAGCTGAGACTACAGGCGCCCGCCACGACGCCCGGCTAATTTTTTGTATTTTTAGTAGAGACAGGGTTTCACCGTGTTAGCCAGGATGGTCTCGATCTCCTGACCTTGTTATCTGCCCGCCTCGGCCTCCCAAAGTGCTGGGATTACAGGCGTGAGCCACTGCGCCCGGCCCCTTACTGTCCTCTTTTATAGATGAAAAAGCAGAGACCCAACCATGTTATGTGACTAGCCCGACGTCATCAAGAAGTAAGAAGTAGAACCAGAATTTGAGCAAAAGTCTGACTTTAGAGGCTGTACTCAAACACCCAACAACTGCCTCTCACTTGCAAGTGCAAAATATTTTAATGATTATTTCTTTTGCCTGTAATTTACAGGATTCCTATGTACTTTATTCCTAAAGTGGGTAGATTTAAATGGCTTATTCGTAAGAAAATTTTCTAAGATAAATATATTGTTGTTTCACATACACAGCAATTTAACTTGCTCTAGAATCTCTCCATGTATGCACATAAACTTGCACACATGTATACTCATATACTTCCAGCACATCATATATATAAGACAAAGAGAGAGAAAAAGCAAGCACACCTTTTCTGATTTGCATCAACAGATTAAAATATGCTTAAAGAATTTTTTAAGTTCCCTAATGATATTATTTTCTTCAAGAGTGAATTTAGTGCTTGCTATAGTCTGTATTAATCCTGTCCAAATCTATGATTATTTTTGTTTCCAGAAAGTTGTTAAGAAAATGGAAGCCAAGAAAATTAACAGCCAAGTTTCATTTCTTCATGAGATGAGAGAGAACAAATTAGATACAACAGAAACGTTAGATGGGGGATAGGGAGGTGTAATTATATTCACTTATTCAGTCTAAAATTCATCCTTATATATTTGATTCTGGGTTTATGGCTGCTTATGATTAGCTCAGGAGACTTGATAAAAGATTATTCTCTCAAAGACAAAGATTGCTAAGATACTACAAAGGAAGAATATTTTGCTAGTACATGCTAAAAGAATATTATCCTTATGACAAGGAAACACAACTGCTGAGACACTAATGAATTTCTGAAGCCATTGCTTTTCCTGTCTTCAAGTTAAGAGCAATAAATTGGAATGGTGAGATAGTTCATTTATCTCATGATGTTCAAAGGTAGCTGTCAAAGTGATTAAATTTTATATAAAAATATGAATGCCTGGCTAATTCCCATCTTAGTTGTAAATTGTTTAATAAATCTGTGTTGACTTTACCATTCTCAGTGATTACACAGAGACTCTTAGTAAACAGGATAGATTCTATATTAAAGAACTTTAAGGTGTATAAGTAAATCACATTGTATTAAATAGTATTCCTCTAACTTGTCTGATTTTTAGAATCACCTAGATTGCTTGTTTAACATACAGGCTTAGGAGTCCCTTCCCAGGCCTATTCAATCCAGGAAAGGTGTCTGTAAATGTATGCTTTAAGCAATGTTGCCAGGTGATTCTTAGGATTGAGGACATTTGGGAAACAAATTACATATTTGAATTCAACTTAAACCCTCTTTATATAATCAATTCTTGAGTGAGTTTGACACCATCTTTAGAAACAAGTACCTTCTGGAACTACGGAGGCTTATGTTGAGAAGTGACACTGCTAACTACTCAGTCATAAAAAGGAACGAAATAATGGCATTTGCAGCAACCTGGATGGAATTGGAGAGCATTATTCTAAGTGAAGCCTTAAGTAACTCAGGACTGGAAAACTAAACATCATATATTCTCACTCACGTGGGAGCTAAGCTATGAGGGCGCAAAGGCATAAGAATGATACAATGGACTTTAGGGACTCAGAGGAAAGGTTGGGAGAGGGGTGAGAGATAAAAGTACATATTGGGTACAGTGTACACTGCTCGGGTGATGGATGCACCAAAATCTCAGAAGTCACCACTAAAGAACTTATTCTTGTAGCCAAACAACACCTGTTCTCCAAAAACCTAATGAAATTTAAAAAAGAAGTGAGGCTGCTAAATATTTTTACTTATGTTTTGACAGGAATGTCAAATCAACTGAATCTCTGGAGTTCTACACTAGAACAAATAATAAAAGTTAAACATTTTCACCAACATAAAAGCTATGACTGCAAATGCTAACAATATTTCCTATCGCTTCTCTTCCACATTAGAATTTGAACACATTAAATAATTTTTACTAATATTAAAATTTAAATACATTAATTTTACTAATATGTAATTATAAGAATTCTTTAATATAAATAGATAATGTCAAAAGACATTAAATACTATTAATTTAGTATTCTGTACAAACAACAGCTCAAGATTTTATTTTTTAACCGTTTCCCCCTTTTATTCACTTTTTAAAACTCCTGCAAAATTCTGGCTGTTTCACCCCTAGAGTACGAATATCATGTACTGCCATGTTTAAATAAAATTAATTTTTCTATCAGAAAATGTTACCAGTTTTTTTCAACAGGTGGCTTTTTAATCTATCAAAAATTAGTACTGCTTTTCACATCTATGTCTTATACATATAAAATATATAGTATAGTATTATGGCTATAAACACTGTTATTGAACTCAGATTGTATGGAAAATCCCACAAATGTTTGTAAGTTGGGGGAGAGGAGAGAAATAATTAAATTGGATTTAAACTACACCATTTTCCATGCCAGCTTTTTAATTTGTTTGGAATTTATAGGGAAACAATATTTACAAACTTACTAGCTATAAAAGTAACATAAACATGGCTGCCTCATCTGAGATATAAATTTGTTTCTTGTTTATAAAGAAGTACCTGGAAATAAAAGACATTATAAGTCAAACTTTCCCATGTGCATAAACAAAATACTTGGTCTATTATCATTCTTTCCAAATAAATGATTAGCTTTAGAACAGAGGGCTTTGGGCTTTTTAGAACAGCTCAGTCATTTTTTACCTTCATGGAGGGTAACCTTGGGTTGGAGACATGGCACCCAGGTAAGATGTTAGCACTCCACTTAGAACAGAAAGCCATCTCTGTCCCTCTGTTTTATAAAATTGAAATGCACTGGATTGTAGAACTATATATATTATATCTCCTTTCTGTGAGGCCCACCAGGACACCCATGAAAAGAAGATGTATCTCAGTAGGATTTTCCTTGTAAAATATTTAAATGAAAAATTGAGCATTTTAGGGCTTTCACAATCATTCTTTTTCATCATGCAATAAAATATTCATACAACGCAAAAACACTGCAGTTGTAACAGCATTTTAATTTAAAAAATAAACAATACGATAGTGATTTCCAAGAATGCCATGCAATAGAATAAGAGAAATACCAAGAGGAGGAAAGGAAATTATATTTTTAATCTCTTGGAATTTAATATTTAACAAAGCTACCCTTCACTTTTATTTCAAACAAAAGCCTTTTTTATTAGAGAAATCAAGACAAATTTAGTAGGCACAGCACAGATTATTTACATGTTTTATAGGTTCTCAGTCTTGTAAAGTAGCATTGTCACTTTTATTACTTCATTCCTTTAGCTTATCACATGACTAAGTCTGCAAACCCAGAAAGACTTCTTCATTAACTTAAGAAGCAATTTGGATTACTTACTGAGTTTGGGTGCTGGAACATTTGATTATAAGAAGAGGTGGTGAAAATAGTTATATTAAAAGCTGAAAAAATATACAACAAAAATATTTTTAAAGTTTCTCAAAGGAAGTTCTTCAATATATATATTTTGTACTTTCTAATTGGCATTTATAGAAAGTATGTGTCTAAATATAACCATATAATGAAATTTTATAATGCAAACATTTAAAGCACATAGAATCAAATGTTAATGCATATTCATTCCCCATAGGGGAAGAGTAAGTAACTCATGGTCATAGAAATTGGATTTCAGGAAAATTAAGTCCACAGGTCACTATATAAGTAAAAGAAGAATTCATCTATTTCCTTTTTTAAAAATTACAGGCAACATCATTGTAGTATACATCAAGCAAAGGATATACATTGCTTTAATTAAAATTGGCAGTCATTTATAATGGTGATCCCTTTCAAAGGCCCTAACGTTCTTCAATTTAAATATATGTGCATGTGTATGTATATATATATATATATATATATATATATATATATATATATATATTTTCATGGTCATTTGAAGAAATATCAGTTACTTGGATGTTTACATTTTGTTTATGGAAATAATTTTTCTAGAATATATTATAAAATGCTAAGATCCTTAATGCTTCTTCACACAAGTAAAAACACATAAACAAGGGGCTACTGAAACACAGGGCATGAGGTTGCCTTTGATGTCACCCAACTTTACATTAAAATTAAATGTTAGAACTCTGTAGGAAGTAAGCATACTGGGTGTGCACAGGTTAACCTAAGAGCCAGGGTCAGGAGGAATTAAAGTCAGCAGGGGCCACCAGATGTTAGAGAACCCCAGGCATCATCTCCCAGTTGGTGATCTGCCTCTCTGGCCCCACCTTGTCCCAGCCTGTGTGCTTGAATCATAGCACTTCCCATTGCCCTCCTGACTCTGACTTCCAGGGTTCCTGACCTTAGTTTACCAAACTGGCTTTGCTCTGTGGTGAGCCTGACTTTGACCTGACAATCTGATTCTTATATTCTGTTCTGTTTCTAATCTTGCTTCCTGTTTGTTCTGTCTGCAGTATCCCAAGTCTTAATATATTTCCACAACAAAATCTTTACTCTTGACCACATTCTGTTTGATGCAATGGTATTTTTATGACTAGGCCTATACACTAGCCAATGTATCTATTCTATAATAAAAGAAATGGCCCTAGCCCGTCCTTTCATAAATTTTAGATTCCATGAATATGTCAAGGTTTCTAGATTTTTAAACTGTATATATACCTATACCTTTATAGTGTATAGACTTAGGTAGTTGGACTTGAATCAGCAAATTGAAGATACCAAAAGTTAAGTTTTGAAGAATGTTTTATTTTCTCTAACTACTAAGCCTGATAGAATCAACTGTGTATTTTCAAAACATGCATAAATAGCTTTGTTTTGTTTATCTTGAAATAGTAAACACATGTATAAAAAGAAAAGGTAGAAATGTTCTTTTTAATAAACAGACAAAATAAAATAATTTCATGTCGTGACATTCTTTCTAGAAATATGATGTGATATAGGATGAAGGTGTCACACTGTGAAATTTTAATTAAAGCATAGATAAAATTCCACTGCTGGGCCAAAATGTATAACTATCCCCACTTTGCCTATCAGTCAAAGTTTGTTTTCTAGTATAATTGCAAACTAAAAGTCTTTGTATTTTCTAACACATGTAATGAAAAAAATGTCCACTTACGGTTAAGTAACTGAACTGTGTAACTTTACTATAATCACATGAAACTGCGGTAACTGAGTAAATCAACTTCAACCACAAAAAAATCAGTCAGTAAGCCCTAGATGATTTTTACATATTCATCACTCCAAAATAAAAATTATTTATATTGATAAACTCCATGTAGGCCTATAAAGCCATTGCACATTACAGTACCTTCTGAGCAGCATTCTATAAATAACTGCAATTTAGAGAAGCTGACAAAATACAAAGTCCAGAAACAATCCATGCTTAAGTCATGTGACTTACTGTGTATCTCTTTGACAAATCTTAATTCAGAAAATTCAGGGCCCTAAACAGTGTGCCCTAACAGTCACACTGTCCACATATGCATGCCTGGGAGCCTAAGCACAGACAAGTAAATAAGATATTAAAAGGTGAAAAGACAAAGGATGATTTCAGAACAACTCTGAAGTATATTCTTAATATTTGTTTTCAAGTTACATAAGGAAAGAATTTTGTGAGAGACTAATATCTACTCCCCATTCTGATAAAATTGTGCTGTTTTGAAGCATTGCCTGAAAAACCTAAGCGGGTTTCACTGGTCCTCATAGTAGCTCCTAACTCTGGTATAAAAATCAAATTATATCTTTACCTCTTTCGACTCATTATTTTCTTTCTGAAAGTATAAACTCCCACAAATCTTGGGATGCTATTCTTAAAAGAGTCTTATTTGAAAGGAGGACATCACCACACTCTACTAGCAACTGAATAGAAGATGTGGTGAAATGCCTCCCACAGGAAACATGAGCTGTCATCAGCAAAGGAAAAGAGGGCTAGGATAATCTCTCACTTCAACTTGGCAGATATTTACTATACAGAGTAGAAGCTTATTATATTTGTTTGCTTAATATCTTGACTTAGTCCTAAATGGAATTTTTATGTTCAAGTAAGAAGGGACAAAATGGAAGAGAGGGGACCGAAAATGCACAGTTGCAAACAAAGAGATAATTTCCTCGAGAGAAAAATGACGGGGAGTCTTATTTCACCCCTTTTTGGGTCTCCTGGCTGCATGGCCTGACCTGCCTAAAATTGTCTGTAGGATACTCGAAGGGGTGACCTAATGTTTTATCCAATGTAACCAAGGTTATAGTTTAGTGTCAACCTGGTTTAAGAAATACTATCTTGAATGGACACGGAGCTGCTGTATGAATGACCTGGCTGAGGTGGTCTTTAAGAGGCTGATGGAGGAGCTAGAGGTTGTAGACAGAAGCTGCTGCAGGTCTCAAACAACCACATTGGGAACTTGAGAACGTGTGCCACAGCCCTTTGCGGGACTAGTCTGTGGTTTCTAGCACCTCCAAGGACCTGTCAGAAGAACCAATATTGAGGCCTTCACTTCACCTCACACCCCCACAGCACAATTTTGTTGCTATTTTTTTAATGCTTGTCTAGGAGTTAGAGAATGTTTAATGGGACAAATACATTAAAATGTAATTAAAGATAGAAGAAAAGCACATTCTCCAATGGGGGAAGGTGTGCTGCATCTACAGATGAAGCCAGTGAAAAATAAAATTCATTTTTTTCAGTATCATATACCTAAAGAAACCTCAGTGTTTTATTGTTTTTTTGTTTTTGTTTTTGTTTTTTTTTTCAGTTGCATTTATATCTGAAGAAACATTCCTTAAGCCTCCACTTGGGAGAAAGGTAAAAAAAAAAAAAAGATGCGGACTTGGTGCTCTGTAAATTGAGCTGGCCTGAAAAGAGTGAGACTATGCTACTGTAGCTGCTTTGATACCCACCAGCATTGTTTGCTTTCAACCATGTCGGCTTGGATAGTTGGCTATTTACAGCCTTCTGGCCATTGAGAGAAGTAGAATCTCTGCATTCTTTTAAAGCATCTCCATTTTCTAATAGTCACTATTTTATAGCTCTACAACTCTTTCTCCTTTTTCAACTACAATCAGCCCTTTCTCCCACTGGTTTCAATAAAAAATGAACTGGAGTAAAACTTACTATGTGGCTAGTAAATTCAAGGTAAAACATGCGTTTAGGGTAAGAAAAAATACCCACTAGGAGAGTAACCTGACTAAACTGGAGTAGTGAGGAAAATTGTAGAACAACTACAGTTAAACCTAAATTAAGCAACTTCTGTAGATTTTTTTTTTTACTTTCTTTCTAAAAAAAAAAGAGAGAGAGAGAATGCTTGTTTAATACAATGCTTGGCAACACTTTAGTTTTCTTCATAACCCTACAGAGAGATTTTATAATATTTAGCAGAAAAATCTAAGCTACAAGAATATAGTAGCTTTTTGGTTATGCTTAGTCCATTTCTTTTCAATTTAATATATTGGTGTATATATAATAACCCAAGTTCTAAATGTTAATGTATATGAATAGGTTTGTAAGTACTTGATCACAAAAGTCCCCTGCTTTTTCACCTATTTTTTGATACAACTATATAGTTTATGACCTACCTGTATTTACCTGAGGCATTTTCCCCTAATTTGATGACTAATGATAACTCTTTAAGTCAATCTCTTGTCACATACTGTAAATGAATTTAAGAAGTAAAAGTATTACTTATTTAATGGATACCATTTTAATTGTATATAAATCAATGTAAGTAAACAGCATTTTTGAGGCAGAAATGTTTTTCCGAAGAAAACAAGACAATTTATGATTGTGTATTCTGTCACATAGCTTAAAAACTGCAAGTTAACCAAATTACCATAGAGACTTTATTCTTAATTCTTCCCATCACCTAAGTGAATTATTAAGTCTGAGCCTTTCAGTTAGAGCTGCATTTCTTTCTAAATACCTTCCTACTTAGCAGCCTAAAGGGACCCATCACATCAGTAACACCTTCTATGCACTGTCGCGTCCCAGCTTGAACACACTAAACTCAGGGGCCTTTGAAATCTTTAAAGCCAATCATACATAAGACAGATTCTATATTGCAGGGCTGGCTGGCTACACTTCAGCACAAAACAATATTTCAAGCTTTCTGATATACATGTGTCACCTTTTTGTGACAAATAGCTAGTATTAATTAGGCACTAGACTTGGTGAGATTGCTGTTATTAACTGAGAGAAGATGGGTTGGATTTAATTGTGTGTGACATCAAAGTCAAGTGACTGATATTTCAAGCATCATTTAAAATGTTTGATATTGAAGTCATTGTATTCACATAAAGACTGTCTAAAAATATAAAGGAGACTGATGAGAAAAGAACTGAAATGCATTTGTACATCTATCTTATGAAGTGCATTTGATGTCATTTTACTGGTGTTTTTGACCCACATATGTAATATTTATTTGTTTAGCTGCATAAAATTTTCATTTCATAATGCAATTTAAACTTTTCAAAATTAACACTAAGCCAGATATCATGTTTATGGTGGTAACTGCTCTTAAAAAGGCAAGTTATCAATTTATATAAAATATGCTTTGATGTAAACAGAAAATATGAATAATGAGAAGTATTACTTTGATAAAAACGTCATGTTATCTATAAAAGACAAATTGAGTATACAAAAATGACTAATATGTATTTAAAACTTTTTAAACAAAAATTTCATTGAATTTTATAGAGAAATCAATTTTGCTGCACAAAATAAACTGAAATACTATTATTTGAATTATTCAACGATAACCAACTTTTGCTATGTTGTGTTAATACATGAAAAATGTAGGAGAGAATTATTATAAGTTAACATCAATCCAGTAAGTCCAATTGGTTGAAGTAAGGATGATCAAATATAAAAGTATCATAATAGTTTGTTTAATTACTTTCAGAACAAAGATTAAGATATTTATTTATTCAATACTTGACATAAAATACACAAGACAATTACATGAAAATCTGCTTAATTGAAATGTAAAATGTTGTAACAAAACATCCCTTGGGTATTGTTTTAAGAACAGAAATAGAATTCATGATAGCCAAAAGTTAATGTTATTTAACATATCACCAAATGCTATAAAAGGTGAAGAAAATATATTCAAATATAAAAATCTTGAGAGTTAGTAAACAGTGTTAAATCATTGCACTTGAATAATTTTTTCAGTTTTCTTGTTTTGTTAATCATATAGGTACGTCTTTATAAAATTTAGTCAAAAAGCTATGCTTAAATTTTTTAAGTACACTTTAGTTTTTGTATTATATATACAATTTTCTCTTTTTTTCTCAAAACACTCTGAATTCTTACAAAAATAATCATTATTAATCATTCTATTTTTTGACATATTCGATGAATGATCAAAAATATAACTGTAGAATAAAAGAGTGATTTTTATAAAAAGAAGTACTATAACATCATCTTTGGAATAAATTTTACCCCTCCAAAATTGTAATGTAGTGTTTTAAGATGATCATGAGCCCTTAATTCTTTAGATAAATAGTAAGATATGTGCATGTGCCTATGTATATTTATCAGTTTACATGTAGTAAGTTCCAGGAATAAACAAGAAGAAATCCATAACCTTTGCTTTCTCTGGACCTGATAAAATAATTGTAATTAAAAAGCCAAATTTACTAGACCATAAACCTAACCAGTGATTTTTTAAATAATATTAAGCATATGCCCTCTAAAATTCAAGATTTTAAAATAATATTAAGATAAAATAAGCCATGTATTAAAAATTATTCAGTACCAATTGTTACTTTGATTTAGTAAATTTATAACAAAAAAATTGTTTGGCAGCTGCATATTGACATATCGAAAATGCTGGTTTCAAATCCATATCCAACTCAGCCATTGTAACTACTTTAAATGTTATTTGTAAACTATAAAAAGGTATTCAAAAAGTACTATTAATATAAAAATCATAAGAAAAAGGATTACGCCTGTAATCCCAGCAGTTTGGGAGGCAGAGGTGGGTGGATCACCTGAGGTCAAGAGTTCGAGACCAGCCTGGCCAACATAGTGAAACCCCATCTCTACTGGAAATACAAAAAATTAACCGGGCATGGTGGTGGGCACCTGTAGTCCCAGCTACTCGGGAGGCTGAGGCAGGAGAATCGCTTGAACCCAGGAGGTGGAGGTTGTAGTGAGCCGAGATGGAGCCATTGCACTCCAGCCTGGACAACAAGAGCGAAACTCCATCAAAAAAAAAAAAAAAAAAAAAAAGGAAGAAAGGAAGGAAAAAAGGAAGGAAGGCAGGAAAAGGAAGAAAGAAAATTATAAGAATAACATTCTCTTTTTAACATAAAATTTTCTGGCTTCCAACAAGAACACTTCCGTTACAAATGAATCAAACTCACTTAATAGCTGTGCTCTAGATCCACCATAAAATAGGTAACAATCACGTTAACCTTCCTTCACATATCCTATTATTGTTCACAAAGTATTTTCATCTTCTTTTGTCTTACATTCACGTAAGCTTAAAGTAGGTAGAAATGTTTGTCTTTGAACTATGCATGAATTTTTTTTGTTCCATTACACCCCGCTCTCCTCCCCATCCCATTTTCTTCTTTGTTAAATGATTGGTGAGTAAAATTGTGCAAAACTATTAAAGAGAAATGGTAGTTTAATGTGGATCTGTTCCAAGTAAACCCATTTCAAACAGGGCCATCAGAACTTAACTCAGAGAAATACTTAATATGAGGGCCACCTGATGCAAATACACTGGGTTAGACTTTTCTGCACTCTTAAAATGTGGTTGTGGATTGGTTCTATTTCCCTTGTGTGCAGAGCAGGCCCAGGTCTAATGTGATTGGATGTTTTTTCTCTCTGTCTTTTCCAATGTATGTCACTGGTTTTCTTTATCAATGGCTGATTAGAGAGTATAGGTAAGGAAATCATGTTCAAAAGTTTGATCCATTCATGAACATAAGAATGCTCCTAAATCTCCCAAATATCTTATGGGATTTGTAGTGCTGTCATACAGTGAAGTAGTGGAAGGATCTGCCAATTCTTTCCGTCTATCAGATAGATAGATAGATAGATAGATAGATAGATAGATAGATAGATAGATAGATAGATAGAGATAGATAGATAGATAGATAGATAGATAGATAGATAGATAGATAGATGATAGATAAGCTTCTAAAATATGACATAAACCTAGGAGGCTAGAAAGTGATCAAGAAATGTCAGTCTGATCACTCTTGGAGGCAATAGAAGCCCATAAGACTTTCATTCTACCTTCACCTGGGCCAATAATTCTATCTGGCCCAGTCTCCTCCTCCTCTTTCATCTGTAGAAGGTTTATAAACCCTACAGAGATAGAGACTTGTCTTCTCCACCACTGTATACCCAGTGCCTAGAACAGACACATTCACATAGTAGATTCCCCATAAATATTTGTTTTGTTTTTAATCCCACAGATGGGAGATTAATGGTTTCATGTAGATTTGAAACACTATCACACTATGTTTACAAATCAATTTAGAAGTATCTAAGCTAAGGTTGAGGGAAAGGAATGTTGCTGTGGAAAATGATTCCCCAGAATTGATGTTCAGCCAGAATATAGCTCATATATAGAAGTATGTCTGTACTGATCATTATATGGAAATACATGCTAGTTGAAAAATATCTGCCCTCTGAGCCACCCTATCCTCAGTTATTCAGGCCAACTCTGCCTGGGGAGCCACAGGTGGGCACCTAGAGGGCACTGACCTGGTACCCTCTAGCCTGCCAAGCCTACCAGCCAACCCATCTTGGTTGCTGCTTGCCAGTCCCCATCTCAACCTTTTTCTCTGGTCAGAGCAGATCACAGCAGAATAGACAATGGCCCAACTGTGGCAATGGCACCCTCACAGGGAAATACCCAGTGCCCATCTGCACCCTTCGTCAACCAGGCTGTTGGCTCATACTGCCAAACAGTATTCCCCAAAAGTCACATCACAGGGTGCTCATTGATATCTGAGCTTCCACAGTTCACTGAATTAATCCTTAAATATTTTGAACAGCACTCCTAAGTAACACTGTGTGTATAAGACATTCATCTGTCAATGACAAAGACAAATAATAGAGAATTAGGACTGGAAGGGACCCAAGACACCATCTTATCTCAACTATTAATATCTCAAATTAGGAAGCTCAAGTTCAGAGAATTTTAGTAACTTGCTTAAATTTACATAGAAAATTACAAAAACGATAGTACTGAGGAATATATGTATGCATTTTCAAAATATTGTTATTTGAGTCTAAATTTTTTTAAATACAATTACTTATGAGAAGAACTATGAATAAATGCAAAACAGAAACACAAATTTCAGCAAACAACCAACAGCACTATGTCCTTTCAAATTCCCATAACAAATTTTTAGACAGGGAAAATTTATTACAAAACATGAGTGTTTTCTTAATATTATAACTTTTATTCTAAAAAGTTCAGGGCTACATATACAGGTAAACTTGCAACTCAGGGGTTTTGTGTACAGTCACCCAGGTACTAAACATAGTAGTCGACACTTATTTTTTTTTTCTGTTTTTTTCCCCGAACTCCTCCTTCCTCCCAATCTCCTCCCTAAATGTCTCACATTTATAATAAATATATATTTAATGGCATTCAAAATGAAGAAGTATGTGAAAATATCTAGGGAAGTCCCTGACATGTAATAGATGTTCAAAAATGTTAAATCAATTGCTAAACTATTAATTAATTTATTAATGAGGATTATGTCTTCTGAGGTGTTTTAGCTTTTATTTATACATGATGAATAAGCCAGAAAATCATATATTAATTCTAACCAAAGGTTCATTCTTCCTGTGTACCTATCCCTGATTCTAGGGCAGGGCACTGTCACCATCCAGACATCCTCTATCTTAAGATGAATGAGACAGGTGATAGATTCAATGTTACTCATCCCTAAAGAACCATGAGTTGGTTCCACTGCACCCCTGTCAAAGCTTGAGTCTAGAGAAAGGCTAAGAGACAGATGAGATTTCAGCTTCCATCCAAGAGGAAGGACATGTGAACTAAAATGGACTTCACCTCCAGTGAAGTCATTCATCTTATCACAAATAGGATTTATCTCTTAAAGGCTTGCTTCCCCTTACATTCTACTAAAAGAAAGAGGAGTAATTATATCTGTCTTAACCATCTTTATTTAATATTGCTAATTAAAATATGTGTGTGATAAAACAGTACAAAACTTATTAATTTTTATTTTGAAACAATATATTTTAACTTAGAACACACTGAATTTGTGAATCTAAACATTCAATATGACTCATTTCTAGCAAGCTAATTTTCATAATATTCTTTAGGAGGTTCCCCTTTAATCTGTGCCTTCAACGTTTCCTCCTTATATTTTTTACCAATAAAAGAATTATGGAAACTGTAATTTTAATAGAAAATATTTACTTAATGGTTGAACAATTCTATGAACCCATAGGTTAGAGACTATTTATGTTTGGTAGCTTGGATATTGACTAACATTTTAATGCAGGATACTCATAATTAAGAATATCAAACCTGCATTAAGGCTATCCTTAAGCATACCTCAAATTAATTTCCTCTCTTTGGGTCATCATTAACACAAAATTATTTTATCAAGCTCACTTGCTAAAATGGACTGGATTCATTGTTTTTACCATGTAAAACTACTCATTAAATAAATATTTATTGGGCAACACTGCAGCTATAACAGTAAATTAGACAGATAAATATCCTGTTTTACATGGAGTTCATATAGTGTGGGAAACAAGAATGTAAAAGTGAGCACAGAAATATACAAGTATAGATGATGACAAAGGCATTAAAAAAACTATTCTGGTGGAATTAAAAGACAGTGAGGCAACTAAAGTGTTTGGGAAAACCTTCTCCAAAAAGTTGATATTTAGGCTGTGTGCAAATTGACTCTAAGATGTCTACTATGGGAAAATCTTTGTGAAGAGAATGCCAAGCAAATGAAATAGCATATGCAAAGGCTTTAAGGAAGACACAATAGTTAAAGAAGCCAAGAAGACTATGGTGTTAGAGTATAGTGACAAATGAGCATGGAACGAAATGAAATGATTTAGAAGTCAATAGACATGAGATCATCAGGAGAGCTATGGCAAAGAGTCTGATTTTATGCTAAGTGCAATAGGAAGCCAGAGCTGAAGGTAGAGACCCACTTCTTCAGCTACCATCTTTGTCCAATACAACAGTAACCCAGATTAAATTCTCATCAGCAATAAGCTCTTCCGCACTGATCTTGTTATCTCTGCCTCATGGGGATTAATTACCATAGGGCTTCAGTTGCTCTGTAGGAAAGGTAGAGAACTGTCCACAGTCTGTGTGTGGAAACTATGTTTCAGGCAATATGACACCAGGCTGATTCAGTACCCAGGCAATAGCTTCTCTGATTGTTTCAATTTACTTCCAGTTCCCTAATTACCTTTTCTCATTGAAATGAAATATTAAGTCTAATATGAGCGTCTCAATTTTAATTTAATTTCTTAACCATTGTAATCTATTTATTATGTCATTCTATATTCTGAATTTCATGTTATATATTGCCAAATTTTATTTTTAAATTAATCTTTAGAAATATCAACATCAAAAGGTTTCAATAATATCTTCTCCAAGAAAAGCATGAGTTGACAAAATATTATTACAGAGGTTGAGCCAATGTGATGGCTCTTCCATTTCAGAAAGCCAAGGAATTATTTTTAAAGAGTAAAAAATGTGGGTAAGTATTTTTGTTGGGAAAAAAATAGTCTCCTTTTATGTTCTCTTACCATTCAGAACTCAATCACTAGAAAAGTTGCTCGGTATGAAAATATTTTAGAGTTCTAATTGCTGAGGGGGAACATTTATTAAGGTGCTTTTAATTTCTGAAGGAACATTGCTTATCAGGGTTTCTACATGTTTTTCTATCAGTAGTAATACAAAGGGGTCTTTCTTTGAGAAAGAGTTTCTGTAGTAGCAACATGCAAAGCATTTGTAGAGAGAAAAATAAGAGCCAAGGAAAGGCAGTATTACCAAGATCCTCAGAGACTATTACTATGTTATTGACAAAAAGTAGAAATTATGCCTTGAAAATTCTAATCAGGTTCTCCAAAAGGGAAACTTTTCTGTGCTTTCAGGACAGTGACATTTGGAACAATATATTCTTTTACATAATAGGATGACAAAAGCATGACTATCCACCTAAGAAATTATACTTCCCTGAATATGTGTGTTTTTTCCAAAATCTGTGTTTTACATTAAGAATGCTGTAAGATGAGGGTACTGCTGTCACTATAGACATGGCTATCACCTCAACTACCTTCACAGGCAGTGGCCTCTACAGAACTTTTGTAGTTTTACCAGAAAACTCTAATGTGGGTAAAATACCAAATATATATATATAATTTTGTTAAATTTAGGATAAGTTTATTTGTCATGTAGAAATAAATACTTTTTTATAAATCAGTTTTGCAGCTAGAAAAAGCCTTTTATTTCAAAGATGGGAAACAAGAGATGCCCTACTCATTGCATGAGCTAATGTAGCAGCCAGGCTCTACTAACAGTGGAAATTCTTTCCTCTTCACTGTAATTTTTCTGTGATTTTTGGGTAGCTTAGAAAGTTGTAGACCCAAAAACTGACTTATTTTATTACCTAAATAGAGAGAAAAGGAAGGTAGAGCAGAAGAGAAGGAAAGAATTCAAGTAGAAACTGCAGCTAATATATACCAATTTTTCAGCTAATAAAGAGAAAGAAGGTAATTTGAAAATATCTGCTTGGCAAACCAGAGTCCTCTTTAGGCTATTGCTGACTGTGAGCTGTCTTCTCCTCTCCAAAACACTGCCACACTAGCTAGCAAAAGTCTGGAAGATCATGAATGAATTTATGCAACAATTTCTGACACAGAAATAGTCCAGTATGGGGCCCTAGGATCTGGGTGAAGTTTCAGAATCTGATTCCTGTAACTCCCACTCATAGTTTGTTTCTAAAATCAATTACATGACCTTTGAGAATAAATAGGTTTAATGATGATATTTTACTCTATTAAGCTAAAAACTTCTTTTAACATTTATAATTTCTAAAACTGAGCCACCATAACATACTTGGCATGCAGCAAACCAAATAATGGGCATGCATTAGCTTTCATAGATGATGTCAATTAAGCACCTGATTATAAAATTGGGATTGCCTGCTTTGGAGAGCTGAATTTCTGAGTGCACAGTAGTTAGCTTCAAGTAAAAATATCTATGGTCATAAAAAAAGATTTAAAAACCATGAAAAGAATGTTTGTTCTATCTGGACTATCCTGAGATATAAAAGATATTTTCCTTCTCTTTCAGAAAGATGCAAAATAAAGTCATGTGGCCAAGGAACGTAGGGTATAGACCTTATTCATTTATAACACAGAAGGGATCCCTATGGTTTGGTATTTTGTGCTTTTTTAAGCATCTGCCTTGAAATTTTTATCACATAATTATGTAAAACAAACTATAATGCTTTGTAATATTTGCACTGGTGATTGTAACATCTTGCAATTCTGTACAATATAAGAACATCCAGTCTGTACATTCAGATTGAAATCTAAGGCAGTAAAAGAAAAACTCTCAAGTAGCACATACTAAATTTTTACATATGAGCCAAACTAAGATTTTAGAAGTGTCCTTGGACTTGAAAGTCTTATTTTCAGATTAACAAGTTTGACATACATACATATGCATACACACACACTTTATAAATCGTGCATTTTATAAAAATAACAACTGAAGATTCTTGAAAACTTCTAAGTTATGTATTTCAGTAAGTTTATGTCTATACCCATACATGTACAGCATACATAAACTGTAACACACATTCACACATTCAAATTAGCTTTGTTTTTTGAGGGAAGGGTAAATTTCATCTAAACATCCAGATATTATGCAATTTATTCACTTAATTCAGCCAACTGTATATCAACTGCAGCCTCAGTAGACTCAGTAGACTCTTTTAATGCTGTTGAATTTTGTTGGTTGCTCTTTTATTTTTATTTTTTAAATAACAATGTTCTCTAGTTATAAAAGTTATACTTACTAGATGCATAAAACTTAGAATATACAAAGACTCACCAAAAAATTTTCAAAACCCATAATCCTACTACCCAGAAACCACTACTGTTAATATTTGATGAATTTTTGATGTAGTATCATTTGGACTCTAATCCTACTATCCCAAGACCATCACTATACAACATTTTGATGTATGTACCTCCAGTCTTTTTTCGTAATATCCTTTAGCCTGTAGACAAGGTGCAAAGCAAGCTATATCCCTCAGGAACCAAAGCCATTAAACGCCAACTGACAGTGAGTAGCCTGCTTGTCAACAAGCCCTTTGGAAGGGCTTATGGTGCTAGTGATGCTCAGAGGTAGAATCACCTTCCCTGCCAGCCCAGCACAACTAGAGAAGAAAGCCTGGGACACTGCAACCTGTTCACCTGCCCGTCTACATGCAGAACTCACAGTGCTCAATTAATGTTGTATTTAAAAGGACAAAACCAAGATCTACCACCAAACTCCTGTGGAACCTCAAGTTACTTCGTGCCTCTGAGCCTTGGTCTGAGAAATGAGTCATTGCAGTTAAAGTGATATAATGCGTATAAATGCAGTACATGACACAGTACTGTAAAAATCTAAGGGAAAAAAATTAAAGTTGCTCCTAGTTATGCTATTTCCCAAGACATCACATATCAGTAGTGAAAAAAAAATCATTATTTTATACAGTAAAATATTCAAGTTAGAAAAGTATTTTTCACTTGGAAATATAAAGCTACTTACTACTGAATTTATTAATGTTCCACTTAAAAACATTTTTAATTTTTCTCAGCTTGTCATCATGCAAAAAGTTTTTCACCGTTATTGCAGACCATTAAATTACCCAATTGCACCTACTTTTCACTAATATGCATTGATTTATTAAAATAAATGTGGCTGAGTTCCCAGTGTATATACATTCAATGTGTAAAAGTGTGTAATCTTCCAAAGTAGAGTTTCTTCATGAGAAATAGCATCCTGATTTTATAATAAAATCCAAAGTGACAATCAGACATCATATGTAGAAATTTTATTTCTGGCTTGCAGGAAGTGTATCTATTCTATTTTTTTAATAAGCTTGAAAGCATGAGAAACCAAGGGATATTTTCCTATTTTATTCAAATTATATGAAACCATACATATGTATAATTATGCAATGCAGGGCTCATGGATACAAAGAATAATGATAGTCCTACACCCCTTTGTAGAAGTAAATGTCTAAATATTTTATCCTGTAAAATGTTCCACAGTACATGAAAAAAAATGAAACTCTTGCCATAGAATTTAGAACTAACATTTCTAGATTCTCAAATATATAAAATTTGCTATTATTTAGGATAAATCAAAATTTATCAAATATAAGCACTTTCATCTCTGCCTATCCACTTAGATAATATTGAGAATTTTCTTTAAAAACCTACTATAACTGATTCTAATATACTCTATTAAATATTGATTCAATTATTTTTAAAAATCTTACACTTAAAAAGATACTATAGCTATAGCTTCTTGTAAACCATCAAAAAAGAGATAACATGGTTTATAAAAATTATTCCAAATTATTTTTTAATTGGAAATAACTCAATTAATTTTATGAGTTTAACATGACCTTGATACCTAATAGGTTGAGAATGCTATAAAAAAGATAAATATTATAAAAAGATAAATACTATAAAAAGAAAGGTATTGAAAAATCTCACTGCAAAACATAGGTATGATAGAGGGCAGAACAAGATGGCAGAATACAAAGCTCCACCGATTGTCCCCCTCACAAGCACACCAAGTTAACAAGGACACCAAGTTAAGAATCTTCACAGAAAAAAAGACCTTCATAAGAAGTAAAAATTAAGTGAGCACTCATAGTGTCTGGTTTTAACTTCACACTGCTCAAAGAGGCACTGAAGAGATAGAAAGAAGAGTCTAGAATCGCCGACGCCACTCCTCCCTACTGCAGAGAGCTGCTGTGTGGTATGGAGAGCACCTCTGGGCACCAGGACAGGAAGAGCACAGCAATCGTGAGGCATTGAACTCAGTGCTGGCTTGTTAGAGCAGAAAGAAAAACGGGACCAAACTCAGCTGATGTCTGTGCACAGGGAGGATTTAAACCAGCCCTAGACAGAGGGGAATTGCTGATCTCAGTGATCCAAACTTGAGTGCCCACAAACCTTGCCACAGTAAGCTACAGCCTTCTGTGTCTCCAAGTAAACTTGAAAGACAGTCTAGGCCATAAGAATAGCAACTCATAGGCAAGTTCTAGTGCTGAATTAGGCCCAGACACAGTCAACTGATGGGGGGTGGGATGAGAAGACATACTGAAACACCAGCTGGACAGTTAAGGAAGTGTTGGCCTCACTCCTCCCCTAACCTCAGGCTGCACAGCTAGCTGCTCCAAGAGACCACTTCCTTCTGCTTGAGGAAAGGAGAGGGAAGAATGGGGAGGACTTTGTCTTGCTTCTAGGATACCACCCCAGCCATAGCATGATACAGCCCCAGTCAGAGTCATGAGGCCCTCAGTCCAAGTCCTACCTCCCAAATAACTTTCCTAGACAAACCCTGGGCCAGAAGGAAACTCACTGCCTTGAAGGAAAGGATCCAGTCCTGATAGCATTCATCAGCGGCTAACTGAAGAATCCTTGGGCCCTGAATAATCAGCAGCAACCCCCAGGTACTACATCGAGGGCCTTAGATGAACCTCTGAGACTTGCTGGCTTTAGGTGAGACTCGGCACATAACAAGTTCTGGTGGCTTCAGGGAAAAACTCCTTCTGCTTGAGAAAAACAGAGGGAAAAATAAAGGGGACTTTGTCTTGCACCTTAGGTACCAGCATGGCAACAGCAAAGTAGAGTACCAGGAAGGCTCCTGGGAGTCCCCAGTTGTATGACTTGGCTCTTGGATGGCATTTCTAGACTTGCCCTAGGCCAGAAGGGAGCCAACATCCTAGGTCAGGCAGCATTCATGAAAAACACATTTAAGAGACCCTGGGCCTTCAGGGTATATTGGCAGTAGTCCGGCAGTACTCTTCTTGGCCTGGGGTGGCAGTGACTACGGGGTGAGGCTCCTCTCCCTTTCGAAAGGGGAAGGAAGAGTGGGAAAGACTGTATAATTTCGTTTGAGTGCCAGCTTAGCCCCACTACAATAGAACATCAGGTTGACTTCTGAAGTTTTTGACTCTAGTCCCTGATTCCTAGACAGCACTCCTGG
Organism: Homo sapiens; assembly: GCF_000001405.40. Lineage (NCBI taxonomy): Eukaryota > Metazoa > Chordata > Mammalia > Primates > Hominidae > Homo > Homo sapiens. Next base: position 147,270,285 of record NC_000003.12, read on the forward strand.
AACCATCCAAGGGAAGGACACAGGTCTGGCTGGTTTTGCCACCTGTTGATTGGAGAACTCCAGGGCCTTGAGCAAACATAGGCAGTAACCAGGGATTCCTTATAGCAGTCCTTGGGCAAGACCCAGTGCTGTTCTGGCTTCAGGTCTGACCCAGTGGACAGTGGTGATGGCCAGAGGGGTACTTGGGTCACTCCACCCCCAGCTTTTAGGTGTCTCAGAACAGAGAAAGAGACTGTATTTTGGGAGAATGTAAGGGAAAGGACCAAGACAGTACCTCTACAAGTCTGCAAGAACCACAGCATTATTGGGCTGGGGGTGCCCCACAAAGCAGATACAACTTAGATCACAACACCTAAGTCTTTCCAAATATCTGAAAAGCCTTGCCAAGAAGAACATCTACAAATAAGCCCAGAGAGTGAAGACTACAATAACTATCTAACCCTTCAATGCTCTGACACTAAGGAATATCTACCAGCATCAACACCATCCAGGAAAACATGACCTCACCAAATAAACTAAATAAGGCACTAGGGACCAATCCAAAGGAAACAGACATATGTGACCTTTCAGAGAATTCAAAATACCTCTGTTGAAGAAACTCAATGAAATTCAAGACAACATGGGGAGGGAATTCAGAATTCTATCAGATAAATTTAACAAAGATATTGAAATTATTTAAAAAACTCAAGAAGATATTCTGGAGCTTAAAAATGAAGTTGGCATAGTAAAGAATACATCAGAGTCCTTTAATAGCAGAATGGATCAAGCAGAAGAAAGAATTAGTGAGCTTGAAGACAGGCTAATGGAAAATTCAGTCAGAGGAAACCAAAAAAAGAATAAAAAAAACAATGAAGCAAGCTTGCATGATGTAGAAAATAGCCTCAACAAGGGCAAATCTAAGAGTTATTGGCCTTGAAAAGGAGATAGAGAAAGAGATAGAGGTAGAAAGTTTATTCAAAGGGATAATGACAGAGAATATCCCAAACCTGGAGAAAGTTATCAATATTCAAGTATGAGAAGGGTTATAGAATACCAAGCAGATATAACTCAAAGAAGACTACCTCAAGGAACTTAATAATCAAATTACCAAATTCAAGGATAAAGAAAGGATTCTAAAAGCAGGAAAAGAAAAGAAACAAATAACATACAATGGAGCTCTTATACACCTGGCAGCAGACTTTTCAGTGGAAATCTTACAGGCGAGAAGAGAATGGTATGAAAAATTTAAAGTGCTGAAAGAAAAAAACTTAAGCTTGAATAGTATATCTGGTGAAAAGTATCCTTCAAACATGAAGAAGAAATAAAGACTTTCCAAGAAAAACAAAAGATTATGTGAGCTATTATGAGCAATAAATTTATATTATATTTATATTATATGTCAATAAATTGGAAAATCTGGAAGAAATTGACAAATACCTGGATGAATACAACCTACCAAAGTTGAATCAGGAAGAAGTCCAGAATCTGAACAGGCTAATAACAAGTAACAAGCTTGAAGCTGTAATAACATTTTTCCAGTAAAGAAAAGCCTGGGACCCAATGACTTCATTGCTAAATTCTACCAATTAAAGAACTAATATGAATCCTACTCAAACTGTTCCAAAAAATAAAGGAGGAGGAAGTACTTCCAAACTCATTCTACAAGGCCAGTATTACCCTGATACTAAAGCCAGACAAAGCCACATCAAAATCAGAAACCCACAGACCAATATATCTGATGAATATTGATGCAAACATTCTGAACAAAATACTAGCAAACCAAATTCAACAATACATTAGAAAGATCATTCATCATGACCAAGTGGGATTTATCCCTGAGATGCAAGGATGGTTCAACATACACAAGTTAATCAATGTGATACATCATATCAACAGAATGAAGTATAAAAACCATATGATCTTTTCAATTAATGCTGAAAAAGAATGTGATGAAATTCAACATCTCTTCATGATAAAACCCCTCAAAAAACTGGTATAGAAAAAACACACCTCAACATAATAAAAGTCACATACAACAGACCCACAGCTAATATCATACTAAATGGGGAAAACCTGAAAGCCTTTCCTCTAAGATCAGGAATGTGATGTGGATGTCCACTTTTACCACTGTTATTCAACATAGTACTGGAAGTCCTAGCTAAAGCAATCAGAAAAGAGAAAGATATAAAGGGCATCCAGTTTGGAAGGAAGGAAGACAAATTACCCTTGTTTGCAGATAATATGATCTTAAATTTGGGAAAACCTAAAGTTTCCACAAGAAAACTATTAGAACTGCTATACAAATTCAGTAAAATTGCAGGATACAAAATCAACATACAAAAATCAGTAACATTTCTATATGTCAACAGTGAACAATATGAAAAAGAAATCAAAAACTTATCTCATTTACAATATATGTACTACCACACATAAAATTAAATACCTGGGAATTTACTTAGCCAAAGTGAAAGATCTCTATAATAAAAACTAAAAAACACTGATTAAGGAAATTGAAGAGAACACAAAAAAAATGGAAAAATACTCCATGTTCATAGATTGGAAGAATCAATATTGTTAAAACGTTTATACTACCTTAAGCAATCTACAGATTCAATGCAATCCCTATCAAAATACCAATGACTTTCTTCACAGAAATAGAAAAACAATCCTAAAATTTATATGAAACCACAAAAAACCCAGAATAGCCAAAGCTATCCTAAGAAAAAAGAACAAAACTGGCAAAATCACATCATCTGACTTTAAATTATACTACAGAGCTATAGTAACCAAAACAGCATGGTACTGGCATAAAAACAGATACATAGACCTGTGGAACAAAATTGAGAACCCAGAAACAAATCTTCTGCACAGCAAAGGCTACAATCAACAAAGTGAAGAAAGAACACACAGAACAGGAGAAAATATTTGCAAACTACTACTCTGACAAGAGATTAATAACCAGAATATACAAGAAGCTCAAACAACTCTACAGGAAAAAAACAAACTAATAATCTAATCAAAAAATAGGCAAAAGATTGGAATAGACATTTCTCAAAAGAAGACATACAAATGGCGAACAGGCATATGAAAAGAAGCTCAACATTATTAATTATCAAAGAAATGCAAATCACTGCAATGAGATATTACCTCATCCCAGTTAAAATGGCTTATATCCAAAAGACAGCCAATAACAAATGCTGGCAAGGATATGGAGAAAAGGAAACTCTTGTGCACTGCTGGTGGGAATGTAAATTGGTACAGTCTGTATGGATGACAGTTTGGAGCTTTCTCAAAAAACTAAAAATCGAGCTATCATATGATCCAGCAATCCCACAGCTGGATATATACCCAAAAGAAAGGAAATCAGTACAACTAAGAAAAATCTTCACTCCTATGTTAGTGTCAACACTGTTTACAATAGCTAAGATTTGCAAGCATCCTAAGTGTCCATCAACAGATGAATGAATATAGAAAATGTTACGTGTGCACGATACTATTCAGCCTTAAAAAACATGAGATCCCGTCATTTGCAACAACATGTATGAAACTGGAGATCATTATATTAAGAGGAATAAGCCAAGCACAGAAAGACAAACATCACATACTCTTCCTTATTTGTGAGATCTAAAAATCAAATCAATTAAACTCATGGACATAGAGAATAGAAGGATGGTTACCAGAGGCTGGGAGGCATAGTGAGAGACTTGTGAGGAAGTGAGGATGGTTAATGGGTACGAAAAATAAAAAGAATGAATACGAAATACTATTTAATAGCACAATAGAGTGACTAAAGTCAATAACTTAATTGTACATTTTAAATAACTTAAAGAATATAATTGGATTATTTGTAATTCAAACAATAAATGATTGAGGGGATAGATATCCCAGTCTCCATGATGTGCTTATTTCACATTGCATGTCTGTATCAAAACATTCCATGTACCCCATAAAAATATACATCTACTATGTCCCTACAAAAATAAGTAAAAATTTTAAAAATAGATACAAATTTTTTAAATTATTAATAAATAAAAATTATGATTATGAAGTAAGATTTATACCAGGAAAGCAAGACAATTCTGCATCAGAAAAGCTATTAATATAATATAGCACATTGCCAAATTTAAATTATATAATCACCTCTATAGAAATATAACAAAAATAAGTAAAATGTAACAGTATGATACTTAACCTATTACTACATCATTAACAAAAATGTCATGGTAAATACAATAATGATAAATATTTAGAAGCATTGTCATTAAATTAAGGTAAAGCCAAGGATTCCCTCTATGACCCCTTCTGTTTTACTATATTATACATCTTAGCCAAAGCAAGAAGGCAAGAAAAAGAAATAAAATATAAGAATAAGGGAGTGTATAAAAAATTTACTTATAGATGATATTATTGTCTACTTAGATAATCCAGGAGAATCTACAAGTGGGGATGAGCTTTTAAAATACAGGAATAAATAATATTGCTGAATAATAACCCATAGAAATCAATATTGTGCCTATATACCAGTACTAACCAATTATAATATGTAATAGATCAAAGATGCTATTTATAATATCAGTAAAAACTCTAAGGTAACAAAAAATAAATCTTACAAAATTATATAAAACTTTCACAGAAAGAATTGCAATATAATGCAAAAAAAGTAAACAAATAAATGAAAAGAAATGCTGTGTTCATAAATGGAAGACTTACTGTTCTAAGTCTTACTTTTCATTCTCCCACAAATGAAACTTTAGTGTAATTTCAATCAAAACAGCAACAAGAAACATGATGAGCTTATCTAAAGTTTAGGTGATAATAACAAGATGTTAGGAATATAGTAAGATGACTTTGAAACAGAACAAAATTTGAGAAATTTCTCAACCATATATCAAGAATTTTACCAAGTTATAACAATAAGACAGGGTGATAATGACACAGGTATAGAAAAATTGACCAATAGTGTAAGATAAAGTGCTTACAAACAGACCTATTCATGTATCAATAAGCATTTCATATGTGACAGTTGTAATTTGCCAATATTTACAAAAATTGATGATATATATAATTATGAACATATGCAACCAAACTAAATTTCACAAGTGACGGAGAAATAAAGTCCTTTACAGACAAGCAAATACTGAAGGCTTTTGTCACCACTAGGCCTGCCTTACAAGAGCCCTTGAAGGCAGCATTAAATACGGAAAGGAAAAACTGGTACCAGCCACAGCAAAAACACACCAAAATATAAAGACCAATGACTATGAAGAAACTGCATCAACTAATGTGCAAAATAACCAGCTAGCATCATGATGACAGGATCAAATTCACACACAACAAAATTTATATAAATGGACTAAATGCCCCAATTAAAAGACAAAGACTGGCAAAGTGGATAAAGAGTAAAGACCCATCAGTGTGCTGTATTCAGGAGATCCATCTCACATGCAAATACACACACAGGCTCAAAATAAACGGATGGAGGAGTATTTACAAAGCAAATGAAAAGCAAAAAAAAAAAAAAAAAAGCAGGGGTTGTAATCCTAGTCTCTCATAAAACAAACTTTAACCAACAAAGATCAAAAAAGACAAAGAACGGCACTACATAGTGGTAAAGGAATCAATGCAACAAGAAGAGCTAACTATCCTAAATATATGTGCTCCCAATACAGGAGCACCTAGATTAATAAAACAAGTTCTTAGAGACCTACAAAGAGACTTAGACTCCCACCCAATAATAGTGGGAGACTTTAACACCCCACTGTCAATATTAGACAGATCAATTAGACAGAAAATTAACAAGGATATTCAGGACTTGAGCTCAGCTCTGGACCAAGCAGAGCTGATAGATACGTACAGAACTCTCCAGCCCAAATCAACAGAATATACTTTCTTCTCAGCACCACGTAGCACTTATTCTAAATTTGACCACATAATTGGAAGCAAAACACTCCTCAGCAAATGCAAAATAACAGAAATCATAACAAACACCCTCTCAGACCACAGTGCAATCAAATTAGAGCTCAGGATTAAGAAACTCACTCAAAACCACACAACTACATGGAAACTGAACAACCTGCTCCAGAATGACTACTGGGTAAATAATGAAATTAAGGCAGAAATAACAAAGTTCTTTGAAACCAATGAGAACAAAGAGACAATGTACCAGAATCTCTGGGACACAGCTAAAGCAGTGGTTAGAGGAAAATTTACAGCACTAAATGCCCACATCAGAAAGCAGGAAAGATCTAAAATCGACACCCTAACATCACCATTAAAAGAACTAGGGATGCAAGAGCAAACAAATTCAAAAGCTAGCAGAAGACAGGAAATAACCAAGATTAGAGCAGGACTAAAGGAGATAGAAACATGAAAAACCCTTCAGAAAGTCTACTTCTAAGTAGATACTCTAGAGAAAATATCACATACATGCACAAGGGTATAGATGTTTAAATTAATGATACAGCCTTTTGGCTGGAACCGTCATCTTCCAGTAATTTTGCCAAAATGACGAACACAAAGGGAAAGAGGAGAGGCACCCGATATATGTTCTGTAGGCCTTTTAGAAAGCATGGAGTTGTTCCCTTGGCCATGTGTGTGTGGATCAATAAGAATGGTTACTGTTCAAAAAAGAATGCCCCGCAAGTGTTACCATGGCAAAACTGGAAGAGTCTACAGTGTTACCCAGCATGCTTTTGGCATTGTTGTAAACAAACAGCAGCATGCTGTTGGTGTTGTAAACAAACAGTTAAGGACAAGATTCTTGCCAAGAGAATTAATGTGTGTATTGAGCACCTTAAGCACTCTAAGAGCCCGGATAGCTTGCTGAAACGCATGAAGGAAAATGATCAGAAAAAGAAAGAAGTCAAAGAGAAAAGTACCTGGGTTCAACTGAAGCTCCAGCCTGCTCCATCCAGAGAAGCACACTTTGTGAAACCAATGGGAAGGAGCCTGAGCTGCTGAAACCTATTCCCTATGAATTCATGGCATAGTAGGTGTTAAAAAAAAAAAGAAAGACTTCTGGACTGTAAAAAAAAAAAAAAATTAATGATACACTGGAATCAACATAAGTGTCCATAACATATAAATGAATCAATAAATTGTGGTTTATTCATACAATAAAATAATATTCATTATTCATCAGTTGGAATAAATAAACAATAGCAACATGAAACTATCTCAGAAACATTATATTGAGTCAAACTCTCATGTACTGCTTGTCGAAAGGAGAATAACGTTTTTGGAAAATAATTTCCTAACATAAGCAAGACTTTCAAATATATTTATGTTCTTTGACTCAAAAATTCTTCTTGAAATTGTTTATAACTGTATTATAAGGAATATGGAAAAAAACATAGGCACAAATATGTTCATCACTGCGTTATATATAACAAAAATAGTAGAAGAAATGTAAATTAAACATGGGAAATTGGTGAGCTAAATTATGCACAGACAAGTGGAAGAATACTATGTGTCCATTCAAAATAACATAATAAAGCTTATGATAAAATATAGAGAAAACACAGTGCAAAATTATTTTTCCAGGGCAATTGCTCTCAACATTAGGGATGACTTCCTAAATACATCACATAATTCAAGTCAACTATTCATATAGAAATAAACGTAAATGAAATGAGTAACTTAGAGAATATGTCATCTGTAGCCATGGTAGCATACTTTTACCATAAACTTCTTATGTTTTCAGCCTTATCACTCGTATTTCTCAGTGGTTATCTTCAAAATGACAACACTGGGTAAAAAAATCATGGTTGTTTGAATTTTTCATATTCTCACTCATATGTAGGAGCTAAAAAAAAAAAGTTAATCTCATAGATTTAGAGAACAGAATGTTAGTTACCAAAGACTTCAATGGGGGAAATGCATGAAGAGAGATTGGCAATGTGTACAAACATACAGTTAGATAGAAGGAGTAAGTTCTAACATTCAACTGAAAAGAAGAGTGACTATAGTTAACAACAAAGTATTGTATATTTCAAAATAGCTAGAGAGGTTTTGAAATGTTCCCGACACAGAGAAATAATAAATGTTCAAGGTGATGGATATTCCAAATGCCCTGACTTGATCATTACACTCTATTCATGTAACAAAATATCACATGTACCCCATAGATATGAAAAATATTATGTATTAGTTAAAAATAAATAATAAATAATTATGGTTGTTTGGTTTTCTTTGCAATACTTTATTCAGATCAAATTCTATTCCAGTATTATTAATTTTCAGGCCCATTTTTCAGGACCAAACCAACCCATCATTTAAGGAACACTTGATAGTGCTGTAAAATACTAGAAATATTTTAAATTATTAAAATTGGATACTAATAAAAATACAGCCCAATTGTTGCCAAAATCATTTACAGAATTTCTGATGTTTATAAACGATAGCATGCTTTATATGATCCTGGAAAAGACGGTGAGTATTTATTTTTGTGAGTTAAAATGACACTCTTCTAAAAACAACATACACCCAGTTTGTAATGTATTTGCCTGCCAGCTATAAAGTGGAAAATGATAGATTTTTATTTTTATGTTGGCAAGTTATTTAAATATAAAACCAAATCTAAATGATACATAAACCAAATCCTGAGTTTTATGCAGCAATCAAATTAACTTTAAAAATATTTAGTCATTTCCTTAATATAGTATTGTAATAACTGTCTATATGGCCCCCAAATAGGGACATCTGTGTCAACCCCCAGAATATGTAAATGTGACTTTATTTGGAAAAAAATTTTTGCAGATGTAATTAAGGATCTTGACATGAGATGACCCTAGATTATCCATATGAGTCCTAAATCCAATGATAAATGTCCTCATAAGAGATATACAAAGGAGAAACCCACACAGCAGAGTAGAAGGCAATGTCAAGACAGAGGTAGAGATTCGAGTACTGTAGCTACAAGCCAAGAAACATCCAAGAATGCCTGGAACAAGCAGAAACCGGAAATGGCAAGAATAAGAATATCCCATAGAGCATCTGGAGGAAACAGCCCGGCTGACACCAGGATTTTGAACTCCTGACCTCCAGAACTGTAGGAGAATCAATTTAATTGTTGTAATTTAATTGTTGTAATTTTAATAATTTTTGTTGTTCTAAACCACCAAGGTTGTGGTATCCTTTTAAAAAATAGGAACCAGCTTATTATGTTTCAAAACTTTATTTATTTATCTCAAAATAAATTACTCATTACAGAAGCAACAAGAAACTAATACTCCATTCTATAATTGTTCTTTTAAAAAAAAGCTTTTGATTTTTAATAGCAAATACATCCCTTTATAAATGTACACTAATCCTTGAGGGTCAGAATGAAAAACATACACAAAAATATACGTAGCAAAGAACTACCAAATCAATACCTGTTTTCATTATCAATTTTGATAAGGGTAATTTGTTATTCATTATAAAGTTCCAAAATAAGCTAGTTTCCACTTTTTAAAAGAATTTTAGCTTTAAAGCCTGAACACCCCTCAATATATATCTAATGATTAAATCTTCCCTACATAGTGAATTAAGCACATCAAATTCCTATGACAATTACAGGGTTTATTATTCAGCAAATTATCATTGTCATCATATCTACTAAAACTTAACAATATTAAGAAGTGATTTCATAGCATTCTAAATAAATGTTATACAGAAAAATACCATAAATTTTGCCTTTTATCCTTATGCATTTACTGAGAAGAGATGGAGGGCAGAGATAAATTTGTCTATTTGTGGCAGGAAAAAATCTCTGATGTTTTGCACATGTATCCCAGAACTTAAAGTAAAATTTTAAAAAAATCTCTGAAATATTTGTGCACATTTGCAATTCATCACATTTATCACCTACCACTATTAGACTCTCTCTGGCATCCTTGACATCTCTAAATAACATTTGAATTCCCAAAATTCTATCAAAGATTCAAATTATAAAAATTATTCTATTCACTAGAGCACCTAATGAGCATAAATTATTCTATTATGTACTATATATTACTTTTTAAAGATAATTTTTAAATAAATAACATAGATATACTGATTTTGACTCAGTTTTCTCAAAATTTCTCTAGACCAACATCACTCTCTCCCAACATTGTCGAAAGATTTCTTCAGAGGTACCATGACAACTTTTCACCAATACCGTTTGTAGAGTAGGCAAAAGGATGCATGACCAAACGAGTTTGCAGTTCTTGAGGCCTTGTCAGCTAACATGGTCTAAACCAACTTAAGGCTTCAGCCTACATCCACACTGGAATAATTCTACAAGCAAACTCCATTCACAACCCAGAGTTTAGCAAATCCTACCATGTGTGTTAATCTAGATAATTATTTTTCTCTATTCATATTTTTTTGCTATAGCATTAATAAAGTCAAGGAGGAGGATATAAAGATTAATGAGTATAAGAATAGCAGGAGAAGAATGCAGTAAATTGTCAAGAGACTATGGTAGCTAAAACCTTGATGGTCACAGTCAAGACGAGGAGCTGTGTCTAATAAATAAAAATGCTAACAAAAGCAAGAAACCCAATAAAAAAGAAAGGGAAGGACAGGAGAAAAGGAAGGAAGGAAAGGGAAGGAAAAGGAGGAGAAAAGGAAGGAAAGAAAGGGAAGGAAAAGGAGGAGAAAAGGAAGGAAAGAAAGGGAAGGAAAAGGAGGAGAAAGGAAGAAAGAAATTCTAAAATACGCATCCTCATGTAACTTTTTCTAATCATAAGCAAATTTTTCAAAAATTTACTGAGTACTCAGGGTCTCCACTCACCTCTCATTCACTAGTCAGGCCACTGCGATCTGGCTTCTACTTCATTATTCCACTAAAGTAACCACACCAGGGCCACGAATGATCTAACTGCTGAATCCAAATGGACTATTTCTAAATGTTTCCTTTCATGGTCTCACTATAGTGTTTGACTGCTTATCTTAACTTTCTGTCCTTTGCTTCTCCAACACTACCAGCTGCCTCTCTCCCACCATTACAAATAATTCATCATTTTAATGACGTAGGAACATCCTGATAACATATTATACTTCAGTGGAAAAAGCAAGCAGAATATATCTACTTTTTGCTATGTAAATATATTATAAATATATTAATATAGTAAATATACACATAGCAAAAGAGTCTAAGAAAGCATGAAATGTATTTTCTCTAGGTGATAATACGAGCAATCGTATTTTTTTATTTTTCAAAGCAACTTAATAAAGATCATTTTTAAGTGCATATGAAGCAATAATTAAAACACAAATACAAAAAGAGAGATGTCTCTTCACATCAAGATCTTCTTTCATACCAAATTAGAGTGATCTTTCCAAATATGTTGGACAATACCATTCTCAGGTATTTATCCAAGGGAAATGTATACATATATCTTTCAAAATATATAAGTGTAAGAATGTGAACAGCGGTATCAAATGTAAAAGCCTCCAAATGGGAAACTTCTGAAATGTTCGTCAACAGCAGAATGAATAAATAAGATGTGGTATATTCACTCAATGTAATACCAGAGAGCAATAAAAATGGACAAACTACAGCGACACTAATTAGTGTTTTTATTTTTTCACTGTTTTTAACTTTTTTAAAAAATACATAATGCAGATACACTATCTCATTGGATGGTCTAGTCAATAAAACAATTTTCGTAACACCAGTGGAAAAGTCTCAGAAACATCATGTTGAGTAAAAACGCCATATACGTATATACTGTAGATTCCCTGCATATGAAATACAAAAAGAGGCAAAATTAGCCCATGATACCAGAGTAGTGATCATCCTTGGGGATACATGGAACTGAAAGAGGACACACAAAGGCTTCTTAGGTGCTGGTTGTATTCTTTTATGATTTGCATGCTGTTTACATAGGCATATTCAGTTTGTAAACAGTCAAGATGTACATTTGTAATTTATGTTTTTTTCTGTATATGTTAGATTTCAATTAAGTTCCCAATTACTTAATTAAGAACCAGTGGTGTCTCTGAATGAGGAAGTATCACTACTATATTTCTGCATGGGTCACATTTTCCCCCATCAAAAATATCTGAATCCTGTTAAATATTGCTGCACTTCCTTTACAAAATAGTGAAAAGATAATGATCAATTCAAAGGCAAACTTTTGCAAGCAGACTTTTGATTTTTATTTCAAATCTAATTCCTGTGAATTACTTTTCCTCTGAAAAACCTGAGTACTGACATGTGTGTGCACAATAGAAGCAGAGTTCCATTCTCTGCAAATTTTCACTTTGTGCTATTATCTAACTTAATGCTGATGCACAGAAAATAGAAAAATACTTTTGAAATCCGTTGAGTCAGGATAACTAGGAACTTAGAGGACAATCAAAAACTAAAGGAAACACGTGTGTACTAGCAAAAAAAAAAATTACATATTAAGTTCTGAGTGGTCCCCTTAACAGCTGTGTGACTTTAGAGAGGTTTCACCTTTCTCAGTCTCAGTGTTGTCACCTGCAACGGACTCTTCACTAAAAGGACAAAACAACTTTGGGCATAGGAAATGTGTCTCAAAATAAAAATAGAATATTTCAAATGTGTTTTATAATTCACTTAAGTTAATAATGCTATGATATAATCAAATGTCTATATTTTATGGAAAACTACTCTGAGACCATACTTGCATAATTTGTCTTTGCATTATGTTATCTACATGTGTGTATGGTCACTTGTAAGTCCATACCCATACTTATATTAAATGGGGAAACTTTGAGAGTGCTACATTTAGTCATTCTGACATATTATTTGAGAAAAGGGAGAATGTTAATGTAATAGGTAAACTTTTTGCTCATATTAATAAAAATGATACTGAATCTCAACATTTTAGAAGGAACTCCGAATTTTTAATGAAACATTCAAGAATGGAATTCTCATTAACCTTGGACATCCTCCAGATGCTTCTTTGATAATATTAACTACCTTAAACACCATGTGGTTTCAGCCCACTGACCCATACAATACATGGTGTGAATGCATATGTGAAAGCTGAAATCAAAGTTTGGGAAAGGTGGGTTGCCCAAGTCAGATGAACCTCTACAGGCTCAATATTTTTGTTAGCCTTTGTTAAGTAAAGTTCACATCATGTTTTTTTTTTCCCTTTAGCTACTTATCCAGATGATAAAATTGTGTGTTCAATGTTGTCTTTAATTTTAAAGGCAGTTGAATTGTTTGGAATTGTCTGGATAACAGGAATCTAAAGCCCTACACTAAAAGTTTCTACAGTATTTTTGTAGCCGATGATGGACTTAATTAAAATAATATCAAGATTTTTAACTCTAAATTTATAATTAAAGATGAAATCTGCTCTACTCATTTAAATTTCAAGAAGCAGAAAAGCAAGGAAAGCCTCATAAAGACAGAAATTTTGTATGCTTTGTTCATTTCTGTATCTCCAGCACTCAATACAATGGTTGGCACATATAACAGTAGTGCTCAATAACTATTCATTGAATGAATGAATGAATGAATGAATGTTCCCCACTAGCAGACAGGGAAATTAACTTACATTGCCAAACCTTGCTTCGCCCACCAGATAACTCATAAAAAGTTTTTATATTATGTCCTTTTTCATTCTTTTATTTGCTGGCTTTCCTCTGGTAATTTCTAATATTTATCATTTGAAAGAATTTTCAGTTATTTGCTGTACCAATTGCTTTCATATAAAATATAATGCTCAGAACTAAAATCAGTTTCACAGCTGTGGTATAATCAAAAATGGTATAGCAATTATATTTCTTTACTTATTCCAGACATCATACGTTTAACTTTTAATTAAAATAATATTTAAATTATGCCAGTTTTGTTATTGATGAAAGCATTATAATTTTAGCTTATGTTGAAATTGAAGTCTATTAAACTCTTTTGACCAGGTATCACCAATACAAAAATACATTGAGGACTATATTAGAACACAAATGATAAATTTTACATTTATATCTATGATTTTAAAATTTCAGGTTTATCATTTCTACCTATTAAAATTTAAAAAAAAATTACAAGTGGTAAATATATTAGCCATCACTGTGGAGCAGTACCATACATACCTTAATCTAAAGCTCTTCCTTATAGCTAAATTATGCTCGTTTAAAGCAATTTTTCCTCTTAGAAACAATGGAAAGTTTGGCAGTTCCTAAATCACCAGGGCTATTACAACTGATCCCTAAATCCTTTCTTGATTTTAGCTACAACTGTAGGTGATGGGTGGGGGTCTATGCAGTGATATTTAAATTCAGGAGGTACAAGATCACACAGAAGAACAAAGAGAAAAATATGAACTAGGAAATGGGTAACATTCAAAAGGTTCTACCTACTAGAATTGAAGCTAGAAAAGGAAATTTTCTTCCAGCAATTCCTTGCATATGTGGTCTCTTCTCCTCATTCTTACCTTCCTTGAACCTCAAAAATAATGGAACATAAGGCCTACTGGTATGAATGAACACCAAGTCTTCCTTACTTAAATGCCTTTCTTATTCAAAGAGCCAGTTAAATTTTATGGAATGTGCTTATACTAACCATAAGATATTTTCTGAACTTCTTTTTTTTAACATAAAAACTCCTATGACACATTTTTATCTGAAGAATGTATCATGAGTTTAACACATCTACTTCATTTAAATTCATACACACACACACACACACACACTTAATTTTGGGTTCTAACCTCTGTATCATAGATTGATAGATACTTGAATTGTACATTTAGGGGGATTCTTAGTGTCTTCATACTTTTCTGCTTTCTTTGAAACAGTGAGCATTTAGAAAATAAGAACTGCATCTCAATGACACTAGAAGGTAGCTACTTAATTAATTCATTGTGATAATGAAGATAGTGGTGGTGGCAATTATAAAGTATAAGTTAATTAGCTATGTTCACAACAATTTTCATAAAGCAATATTTTAAGAAAAAATGCCACACATACACTTGTCAAACGTATTATTTGTAGTATTCATTATAATTGTCCAAAAAAGGGAAATGGTGAGCTATATCCTTAATCATGTAACAAATATTTGTTGAGCAGTAGTCTAGGCACTAAGGATAGAGAAGTAAAACACAAATGGCAAGTTGCTGTCTGCATAGTGCTGCCATTTCTTTCTTTCTTCCAGTTCCTCTTCCACTTGTTCTTCTCCTTCTTCTCTTCTTCTTCTCTTCCTCCTTCTTCTTCTCCCTCCTCTTCCTCTTTCTTCTCTTTTTCCTTTTCTTCCTCCTCCACATCTTCCTTTTTCTTCTTCTTTCTCTCAAGCATAGAAAAACATTATAAGCCCTATAGTCTACATCTAAATATAAAAATAACTGTAAGTGAATATTTGCCATTTGGAAGGCAAGGAGGAGCAAGTTATGTCTTACATGGATGGCAGCAGGCAAAGAGAGAGCTTCTGCAGGAAAACTCTCATTTTTTAAACTATCAGATTTCATGAGACTTATTCACTATCACAAGGAGAGCATGGAAAAAACCTGCCCCCATGATTCAGTCATCTCCCAATGGGTCCCTCTCACAACACATGGGAATTATGGAAGATACAAGATGAGATTTGGGTGGGGACACTGAGCCAAACCATATCATTCCACCCCTGGCCCCTCCCAAATCTCATATCTTCACATTTCAAAACTGATCATGCCTTCCAAACAGTCCCCCAAAGTCTTAACTCATTTCAGCATTAACTCACAAGTCCACAGTCCAAAGTCTCATCTGAGACAAGGCAAGTCCCTTCCATCTATGAGCCTGTAAAATCAAAAGCAAGTTAGTTACTTCCTAGATACAATGGGGGTACAGGCATTGGATAAATACAGCCATTCCAAATGGGAGAAATTGGTCAAAACAAAGGGGCTACAGTCCCCATGCAAGTCCAAAATCAAGCAGGGCAGTCAAATCTTAAAGCTCCAAAATGATCTCCTTTGACTCCATGTCTCACATCCAGGTCACACTGATGCAAGGGGTGGTTTCCCATGGTCTTGGGCAGCTCCACCCCTGTGGCTTTGCAGGATGCAGCCTCCCTCCTGGCTGCTTTCACCGGCTGGTGTTGAGTGTCTGCAGTTTTTCCAGGCAAACGGTGCAAGCAGTTGGTTGGTCTACCATTCTGGGGTCTGGAGGATGGTGGCCCTCTTCTCACAGCTGTACTAGGCAGTGCCCCAGTAGGGACCCTGTGTGGGGGCTCCAAACCCACATTTCCCTTCTGAACTGCCCTAGCAGAGGTTCTCCATGAGAGTCTCGCCCCTGCAACAACTTCTGCCTGGGCAACTAGGCATTTCCGTGCATCCTCTGAAATCTAGGCAGAGGTTCCCACACCCCAATTCTTGACTTCTATGCACTCGCAGGTTCAACACTATGTGGAAGCTGCCAAGCCTTGGGGTTTCCACCCCCTGAAGCCACAGCCACATCTCTGTGTTGGCCCCTTTCAGCCACAGCTGGAGCAGCTTGGATGCAGGGCACCAAGTCCCTAGGCTGCACACAGCACAGAGACCCTGGGCCTGGCCCATGAAACCACTTTTTCCTAGGCCTCCAGGCCTGTGATGGGAGGGGCTGCTATGAAGACCTCTGAGATGCCCTGGAGACATTTTTCCCAGTGTCTTGGGAATTGACATTCGGCTCCTCATTACTTTTGAAAATTTCTGCAGCTGGCTTGAACTTCTTCTCAGAAAATGGGATTTTCTTTTCTATCATGTTGTCAGGCTGCAAATTTTCCAAATTTTTATGCTTTGCATCCCTTATAAAACTGAATGCCTTTGACAGCACTCAAGCCACCTCTTGAATGCTTTGCTGCTTAGAAATTTCCTCCACCAAATACCATAAGTCATCTCTCTAAAGTTCAAAGTTCCACAAATCTTTAGGGCAGGGGCAAAATGCTGCCAGTCTTTCTGCTAAAACATAAAACAGTAACCTTTGCTCCAGTTCCCAAAAAGTTCCTCATCTCCATCTGAGACCACCTCAGCCTGGACCTTATTGTTCATATCACTATCAGTATTTCTGTCAAAGCCATTCAACAAGTCTCTAGGAAGTTCCAAACTTTCCCACATTTTCCTGTCTTCTTCTGAGCCCTCCAAACTGTTCCAATCTCTGCCTGTTACACAGTTGCAAAGTCACTTCCACATTTTTGGGTATCTTTTCAGCAACACTCCACTTCTGGTACCAATTTACTGTATTAGTTCATTTTCACACTGCTGATAAAGACATACCTGAGACTGGGCAATTTACAAAAGAAAGAGGTTTAATGGATTTACAGTTCCAGGTAGCTGAAGAGACCTCACAATCAGGATGGAAGGCAAGGAAGAGCAAGTCACGTCTTACATGGATGGCAGCAGACAGAGAGCTTGTGCAGGGAAACTCCCATTTTTAAAACCACCAGATCTCGTGAGACTTATTCACTATCACAAGAACAGCATGGGAAAGACTCGCCCCCATGATTCAGTTATCTCCCACTGGGTCCTTCCCACAACACGTAAGAATTATGGGAGCTACACAATGAGATTTGGGTAGGGACACAGAGCCAAACCATATCAACTTTCCTTCACATGTGAAATACTCTCGATTTGCTTAGGCCAACAAATACATATTTTTTTTCTGTTTAATATCACATATTTTACCATTTTTGCACATAAATGGGTCATGAATTTGTGTCATGGTAAAAATCCTTTTACCATTTCAAGGCTCACAAAATTAATGTCTGACATCATTTTCAGAATATATTTTAACTACACATGTTAAGTAAATTAATATAACATCACAAATCAACTAAAAGTATTTTATCACTGGAAATTCTAATTGTTCAATATGTGAATGTGTTTAAGGGTCAAACAGAGAGAACAACTTAAAAACACATTCAAGTCACTTAAAAATCCAAGCACAAATTGATCAAGAGATGACTGAGAGCAACATGTGCCAACAGAATGTGTTTTTAGTGGAAGTGGATTGTTTGGAAGAAGAGACTAGCTTCATGTGAACACTCCTGAGTGGCTGTTTTATTGAACTACACCTGGTATTTGTTGTTTTTTTTTTTCAGGTTGGCATTTATCTCATTTCCTGCATTATTCCATTTCCTTATTTCAGCATCTATGTTCCTTGCATTATATTCCTATATATTCCTATGTTAGGAAGAGAACAGGATATCTATATTTATAAAAAATAAAGAGGGCTGTCAGCTTTTTTCTCTAAGTCTATGGGAATTAATTATACTTTGAAATGGTTATAATGATATGCAAAAAGAGAAATTGAAATGTACCTTTTCAAATTCAAAAATAATCACCTTAGCATAGGAAAAGAAAGCTAATATATTGACATTGTGAGGTTTTTCTCACTTAAAATTATAGTACTCACACAGTTATTGAATAAAAAATAGGCTTCTAATACATTACTCTCAGAAAAGTTGTTTGTATTTATTCACTTGTATTTTGAGACAAAATATTTCTAATGTAAATATATTTTTAGTAAAACATGATTTTGAGTATATTAATTTTAAGAGTATAAATGCCAACATTATCTTACATTTTTCTGTAGCCAAGTTTATAGAGTTAGCTGATGATTCATTTTTTAATGTAATGCAATTTCAAAACAATACATACATAATGTTTTTTAAACAAATATCAAAGACATAATATATGTCTATATGAAGGTAAATGAAGTACAGGTGAATGATTGTTGAGATAAATAATCTAATACTATTACTATTACTTTGTTTACATAAATGAAATACAAGGTACTAAGATACCATAACATAAATTAATAACCACATTGGTGTTAATGATTTTTTTAACATTTTTTAATGCCTAGGCTTCTATGAAACACTGTGGCAACAGTGAGGAAACAGATGGTTAACTTAAGTGTCTTCAACTCATATTAAGGACACTATGCAAACTTCTAGTAGCTGCCACATGCATATATGAAGGAATCTAACTTATATGAATGCTGCCACATTTTTATTTTGATTGGAAGTTTAATAATTAGACTTGAGTGAATTAATAATGCCCATTCAAAACGACTCCCCATTTTTGTAGCCATCATATCACTGATTATGATAATGTGTTATAGAAAGAACACTGGATAAGAGAAATCGATAATATGAAGTTTTGTTCTAATTTTAAGTTCTATAACCTAAAAATCCTGTGACCAGGCCCTTATGATCAAGAAACACACATTTATGAAGATAAGGCATGAATAAATAAAATGCCTACCCAATACTATGAAGCAGCATACAAATTTAATAAATATAATAATTACACAGTTATGAGAAAAAGGAAAACTGGTCAGTGGTGAATGGAGAATGGCTTCAGTTGGATATTAAGAAAATCACATGAATTAGTTTTGGAGACAGAAATGAGAGAAAATTTTAAACTAATTGAGCATAATGAAAGAGGAATGAACAAGGTGTATAAGGAGTAGCTCACACAAGGACAACAGTGACATAGTTATTTCAAATTTGAGGAAACTTGGTGGATGCAGCATTTTAGGTTTCTTAGGATAAAAACCTAAGACCCAAAAAACATATGCTTGAATGCAGTAAATAACTGAATAAAAATGTGCAATTTAAAGATTAAATGAAGCAAATATTTAAAAATTAAGAAGTATTTATTTGCCAAGTTTATCTTCCTATGTATTAAAATCATTCACATTCCTTATTAATAAAAGCCAAGGGATCACATCACATATTTTATGTACTTTTCCCATTACTAGAATTAATGAGAAAGCAAATAAATTAATGAATCAAAATTCATTTAGAATTGAAAAGTTATTTGCTGCTCTGAAGAACAACTATAGTAAACAAGTCAAACAGTGGTGGGGTCTGTGGTGACCCTCTTTCTTGGAAGGATATTTCACAGTAAGTCGCTCTTTAACATCCTCTTCCAACATTTCTATTGCTGTAAGAAGCCAGCCAGAGAGCTAAATAAACCTGTACGACCTTATTAAGAATATCTCTAATAAGATGGCCCTGCTTTCAGACTTCTACACTTTGATGAGATACATAAAGGTTAAAATAATTTCTCTGGATAATGTTTTCCTCAGTAGTTATATAAACAAAGCAATAAAATTAGAGAGCATAGAAGAACATATTATTAAACTGCTAGTATAATTGTAATATCTATGAGCTTCATAATAGAAAACAAAGCATATTTTATAGCAAGAAAACAAAACCTATTAAAAGTTTACACACAAAAAGGTGGTAATTTTCATTCCTCAAGTATTTGGCCCATTTTTTCCTTAAAACATAATATGAATAACCAATTAAAATAAGAATTTCTTTTTAACACTATGTCTTAAACTATGTTTTGGTTTATCTCTGAAATATATATATCCTGTGATTCTTCTACTCACTGTTGCTAAAAACATACACATTGTAGAGGTAGAAGTAAGAGTTTCCTAGTTCCATCAAAATACTTTTTGGGATTTTAAAATGTGATTCAGACTTTGTAAAAATCCATTTTCAATTTTTACTTCAATATAATATTACTTTTTAAAATACACTCAAAAGTTCATGGTAATGTGACCTTAGGTTCAGATGAAGAGGTTACGTCAATGGCTATTTCTAGTTTATTCTTGACTTTGACCTACTTAAACTACATAGAGTGTTAATTCCTGGGAAGTTCCAAGAGTTCTAACAGAGTTTTATTAACAATAAATCTACATTAGATATATTATTTTAAACAAAAAGCACTTTGCTTTCTCTTATCATTAAACCCTCATATAGTTATAAGTTCATAATATTAAAAGATATAAATGTAAAAATCTAGTGAAGCTCTGGTTAAAACTTCATCATTAGTGCAAGTTATCATTGATTTGTTTTAAATGACATAAGCAAAATAATTACTTTTTGACTTAGGTAACAATATTTTTATTGCTTCTTTCCTATGACTGCAAAAATAATCTCAAAAATGGAAATTACCCTTAAATTTTATAAAATTCTCAGAGTGTAAACCCCTAAGCCTCTCCTCAACAACATACAGTATTCCTCTTGCCTTTATAGTCATAGTTTTGGTGTTCTCACTAAAAACACACTGCCCGTTTTTTAAAATGGAAAACTTTTAAAAATTCACTCTGGATTCTTTTTTCTTAATTAGTTGAACTTCCAACAAAGAAATAACAGCAATTTAAATCACTATTTCACTATCTTATTTTCTACCTTTATTGTCATATTTAATCACATATGTTAGTTTCAATACTTTTAAGTTAAATTTAGAAATATTTGAAATATTGGCATTCAGATAAGATCAACCTAAGAAGTATAAGCCAATCTGAGGTCTGGACAAAATGTTGTGAAAAGAGAAAACAAAGGAGTAACATCTGGAATTTTAAAAAGTGATAAATAGATGTCCTCTGTTAAGCATAACCTCTATATACTTACGTGGCTCACAGTGGGTGATTTCTATTTAAAATAGATTGTTTATTTTCTAATCATTATATTTCTAATACACATGCATGCTCTGCTTTTCTAAACTTGCTTGGACTATAACTTATTTATAGTAAAAAGTAATTCTTAACGATTTCAGACTTTTATTCAAAATTCACATTTCATGGTATTACATTAACTAGTTTGGTATACTGTGCAATACTTGTATTTACTTAACATTAATATATAATCTCAGGAACTTGGGTTACAGGAATATAACTAATATTGACTATTACAGTGCTTAACATGCTTAATTAAATAAATCTCTATTTGTAAAATAGGGGAAAATATGCGTGACTAGTACTGCAAATTTCAGTTTTAAGAGAAAATGGATGTATTTTCTACTAGCTCAAAGATACAAGGGAAAAATTTATCTTGTGTATTATCTAATAGGCCTTCCAGAACTAAAGACCACAGGAGGTAAGGCTAACAAAATTAATATGCAAAGAAGCTCAACACTGGGGACCTATAATTTTCTTGCAAATGGTTTCGCTTTAAGGATGAAACAACACAAGACAATACCAATTTCTTTCTTTTTTTGCAAATAGATGAAGCTTTAAGAAAAATTAACACATGACAGCAGGTGGGAAAAATCTAGACAAGTAGATATTCAAAGTAGGGAGAATCCAAATTTGATTTGCTTAACATTTTACAAACTAATTTAAATTCATTGGTATGTTTTTAAAAAAATCAACTTAGGTACATATATTTAATTCACGAGAAATTGGTGATCTGTCAGTCTTGAAGTAAAGATTTAGTAGACTTGGCTAGTCACTGTATGTTTTTGAACATGAGAGGGTCTACAAAAATAAGGAATTTATCATTTAAAATTTGTATTTATAATTTTATCTGTAATGAACATCTTATCTGTGATTACTTCACTCTTGATCCTTTCATTTAACATAATATTAATATGTTATTGATTGCAAATAACCTAGGTACGTTAGTAGACAAATAATCTATAAATCTATTTTAAGTATTCACTATACTCAGAGTTACCCATGGAAAATGATACATTAACATTTTAAACAAACAATGCCATTTTCATTGATCTTCAAATGCAGTAAATTTAAACTAAATAATTTCTTCTAGTTATAGAATTAGTAGTTTCCATACTTGTTCTTAATCAGTTAGCAATATATAGATGTTATCTGCCTTGTATTAAAAAGCTCACTATTATTAAAATTTTTAATGTATTCCTGCACCCCAGGAATATTTGGTTCTGCACTACTCCTATCAATTTAAAATAGTGTTGGACAGCCTTTGAAAATAACAAATCAGTATAATTAGAATTTTTTAAATCTGAGCTTTCAGTAGAAAAAAATGGTATGCTAGAGCAAATATCTTACTTCAACTTCCTCTCATAATTTCATTTTCTAATGTGTCCAAAAATGATTTGTTGTAACAATAACGCATACTAGTTTATATCCCAACAACACTGAAGGTATGGAACAAAATCACATGCATTTTGATTGGGAATTCTTGTGTGAATAAATGATTAGATTTAATTGGCTGATTTAGATATTAAAGACTAACGGAGCAAGTTTGAGGGTTTTGTTGTTTTAACAATTAGCTTAAAATAGTTGATACAGTTGATATCGAAATGTAATTGTATTTTTCTGGATGTAACAGAAAGAAATAATTTTACTACTTTGAGTAGCAGTTTTGAACTTCTTTCTTAAACACATCAGACATATTTTTACCTCTCAGTGATGAATTTATAATCAGAGATATTAATATATTAGATTAATGTAGTGTAATGTAGTGTAATGCTATGCTTTACAACAGTGTACTAAAAAAGTCTAAATGATTCATACCCCAGGGAAGAGTTGATGCTATCAATTTAAAGTGTTTAATATACATTTATTTAAATGTGAAGTTGCACTTTGCCTGAGGAATGAGTATTTAAATTGACAGCCTAATAAAATTCCTAAGTAATGTAGTCTTCCCCCCCATTTACTTATTAGTCATATTTTAAAATCATTCATTTAGAGACACCAGAAAAGCATGTGAACTAATTGTTAAGGGATATAATAATTGTTTAGGGAATTAAATGTTAATTCTATGGCTATCTTCTTTTTCATCATAAATATAGAGCTTTGATCTTCAGTCTTCTTAAGAGCAAATAAATTTCTGGATCAACAGTTCTACATAATGTTAATAATATATATAATTTATTTAAAATATTCTGGCTCTTCCTGTTCAGGGAACCATTCGTTTGGATCAAAGACTCCAATGAAACCAATGAATAAAAACAGCCAGAATATTTTAGCTAAGTAATGTTTCTAAGATTTAATAGATAAAAACTAATCCTCTTTTCCAGAAGCTTTTTAGTTAAAATTTCACACATTATTATGCCTTATTCTTTTCTCATAATTTGTGGTCCTTGAAAATTTTAATTATTGTAGACATTATAGAATTGAATTACTTTTCATGCAATCAAATTAGTTACATTAATTATTTGCTAGAGCTATAAATATGGAAATCTGGTAAAGAAAATCATTTTAGCTTTTCCAGGTAAATAATTAAAAATTCATTTTCCTTATGTTCTGAACAAAATGATAATTGTCCTAATAAGTACGTAGAAATTTTAAATAATTCATTAATAACATGTGTCGCTTGTAAGCCTTATTTTGCCTTCACCAAGAGTTACCTATTAGTCAACCACAATCTACTAAAGTGTCTGAAGTATCCACAGGCTGTATGTGGTAGGTTTCTACTCTATTTGTAACATATCAGCCTGAAGTCTAGTGGAGTTGCCATTGTGGAAGGGTTCCAACCAGTCATGGTGCTCTTCACATTTTCCATCGATTTGGCCCCTTTCTGGCCAGAAACTTAGACCACACATACACACAGTGTTACACAGAGGGTGTAATGCTAAACTTTCAGGGGTTGCTATATGGTAACCCCATCAAGTGATTTCAGCATTTAGAAGGATTTGCTTTGGCCTCACAGTGTTCTTTAAATTTCTCGATTTGCTTCCCTCTAAGTAGGCATGCTCTCTCTAGTTAGTTCATCACAAGCCTACCATCTCCTGTGGTCTTTTATTTGGCCCAATTCACACAGTGTCATAAGCAAGTAGATTTTCAATTTCTTATCCTTGCTTTGGCCTGACAAGGACCTCACAAAAAGATTGGATTATCCTGATTTAGAAAAAAGCCCCATTGTTTTTATTCCATTCTTACTAGTCACTTGCTTTATATTTTAAAATAATCCCCTGCTTCTTCCTAACCCTGAGGGTTGACACCAAATGAAAATAACTCTATTGTTATTAATCTGTAGTATACTTACAACAACCTGCTCAAAAGTGTAAAGCATAATGACTAGAATAAACCAAAAAAGATACTTACATGTGGAAATATCACTACCGCATAAGAATACAAAAATGAAACTTTAAGAGAGGTGTTATATGTCCATTATTTATCAAGCAGAACATTAAATTGTTAATAATAATTAACAACATTGTTATTTATTTGTTAGTAATTTAACAATGAACAATTTTTAATAATAATCATTTAATAACCATTTGTTTCTGTGCTGGAAGCAGTCAAATATTGTTCTCTAAATAAGGAAACTTTTTCATTATGAAACACCATAATATTGTGTACCACCAAAATTACATGATGTAGTTAATAAAATAAATTCAGTAATATCTTAAAGCTATATGTTTTTAAAATATTTTGCATACTTATAGAATCATAAGGAATAACTACAAATCATTTTAACACATTAAATTAAAGATGAAAAAATAACATATTAGCATATGCATGCTTGTATTATAGTAATTTAAATATTAACCTTTTCAAATCTTTGAAAGAAGTAATTTATGTCCATATATTACCTAGGTTAAACTTAATTATCTCTTAATCCTATTTAAATTATGAAGCATATTTCAAATTTGACTTCCACACAACAAAAATGTGTGTATGGAAATAAACAAACTTTTGTAAAGCTATATGAAAGTAATAAAGTGAGGAATATATTTTAATAAAAGTATATACTCTCAAAAATTTCATTATTTACCCATTTCAAAGAGAAGAAAGTGGCAGAATAAAAACATATTCATTCATACTAAAGAATGTAGTGCCCAAACGTCTTCCTGGAATCATTTAATATAAATTTAATATAAATGTGTTAATTCATGACAATATTGGGTTAAATAAATGTTGCTGTTAGTATAGTGTAATTTTCTTTTGTGATAAATGCCACTGACTTGCTGTTTACTTTTCAATTGATTTTATTTGCCAAATTATATACCAAACAGTCCCATGGGCTTACTGAATATATGAGAACTAACAATGAAAAATGTACATAGTTTTAGCACCAACTTTGTAAATTGCCTTAATAATAGCTGGTATCATGTAATAGTATTTTCAACCAGTACTTTTAATTTCTAGCTCATAAAGCCTTTTCATTGAACCCCAAGGGTGTAGCTATAAAAGTAAGATTTAATTTTGTATATAATGTGGCCTAAATTAGCTTTAAAGCAATAGGAGAAACATGCAGTTACAAAAGATAGGCTGAAATTATTATAATTTGATATGAATTTCTGTAACAAAATTAATTATTATTTCTGTTGTAACATAATTTGTAGTAAAAACAAGAATATGCAGAATATATATTTTATGTCTTATACTTTTAAAACTGTAACAAATGTGTGGAAAAACTTCATGGACATATAAGAGGAAACCAAAGGCCAAAAACATTTTTTCTCATACATTCAAGTGCCCAGGCAGTCATGAAAGCCAAAGATATTTGTGTAATGTGAACCTTCTTAGTCAAAATGTCTTCCCTACATTAATTTTCTGCTAATTATTTGCCATTGAGGCAAAACAAAGAAGGCTCAACATTGTTCTTTGGTACCTTATATTTATATATAAGGAATATAATTCTTTCTTATGTTTGAATCGTGCTTTACAATTGACAGTAAGTTCCTATTTGTGATTTCATCTTGTCCATGTGTGAATGTGTATAGCAAGTATTATTAGTATCTCCATTTCATTGATAAATAAGTTTCGTTTCTTGTCCAAGATTAATGCATTAAGATGATTAACTCATTTGCCAGGTACAACAGCATAATATTTCAATATATAGTAGCGTGCCAATAGGTCAAGGAAAAACTTCCGTGTATTTGTAGATTTGGATGGCCAATTTTAATGCACTATATTTCTTAAATGTCCCAGAGGAACTAATATCAATCACTAACAGTGTTTAAAGTCTTTTTAAAATGACCTGTAACATACATCTTTTTTTAAATTTCTAAAAGAAAAAAATTATTCAATAAGGCATGGCCATTCTTAGTAGGGTGAATAATAGCTATAAATATATCTACATACTATTTTAATATTTAATATTTGTGACCTATAGTTTTATATTCAAGAGAAATATTTAGTCTCTTTCTAAATAAATGTTGATCTTAAAAATAAGTGGAGAAAAATATAAAATGTAAATTTCTATTTTAAAATTACATTGAGGTTTTATTCCTTGTCTTTCTAAATTTTGAAGTTAATACATTTTATACTGTGTTTTGAAGTCTTGGCATATTTCTTTACAAGGATTTTTTTTAATAACATATAAGAAAGTATTGCTAAATCTAAAAACCCAGCACCTGAGTTTTAAAGTCAGCTAAAAAATATACCGATTAATTTAAGTAAGTAATTTTACATTTCAAGGTCTTGATTTCTGCAGCTTTTACATTAAATAATTAGGATATACAAATTCTAAGTGCAATAGCCAGCTCCAAAATTTATACAAATGTACAAGTAGGCTTACTTTTTTTCAAAGGTTTTTTTTTTCCTTTTCCAAAGGAAAAAACAAAGGATTGCTGCTTTTCTGTATTTATTACCTTAATCAATCCTTCCCCAAAAAGGAAATTGTCATATTATTTAACTCTTAATCAAATTTTGAAAATTAGTACACACAAAAATCAGTAATGGGAGAATAGTAAAATATCTGAAAGTATGTTTTAAAATGTTAACATTTAGCATACAGAGGAGGGAGTTTCCACCACAAAAATATTTAATTTCATTTTAATAAACACGGGAAATATTCAAATATTATTTATCTTAATATAAAATACCTATATTCAAATCTTATTTATTTTAACATAAAATATCTTGCTATGCTAATCATCTTGGTATCATAAAATGCAATATTTATTTTAAAATATAATATGAGAATATATAAAATTATTTTTTAAAGGTGGTCATTGTTGCTACATATACCAAAGCAGAGCTTGAGACCAGCACTGGCTTGTGGTTGTAGTCTCCGTCCTGTAGGAGACGTTCAGGATATGGCACCATAGCAGCGCATTGAAGCCCTGGCTGTGAGTTCACTGACTAAAAAGCCTGACATGGCATTAATTTATTACCAATCTGGGGGCTTTTCTTCCCCTTACTCTTTTTTTTTCAGGCATGTCTTTAACCGAACATTTAATTTGTTTAGTTGCTGTGATTATGCTTTGGTCACATTTGGCAATGGGAACGATCTGGAAAGCTTAGAGGGAATACATTATGGTGCCATAAATTTGAGATGGAACTATGTTTTTGTATTTCTGCCAGGAATATCAGACAGCAAGTTACTGTTTGAAAATCTGCTTTTTCAGTCTTCTCTGCTAATACAGGGGTGGGTGGTCCCAAGGTCATCTCATTCCATCCTCAAAAAGACAAACACTATTCCTGATGTGTCCTGCTTCTGTCTTTCCTCACGACCAAAAGGAAGAGATAGGATTCGAGTTCAAGGTTAGGAAGATATTCTATTACTGAATTGATTTTATAAATAAACTTGGAAGTTTTGTTTTTGTTTCCTCTTGCACCAACACAGATTTATCATCCCAGCTTTTTCTATTTAGAAACTCCGCTGCATAAGTTGCACATTCCACACCTGAAGTGGGAGGCCCACATTCTCCCCGCCCTAGACCGTGAAGAATGTGTTCCTGATCTGCATCTCATCCTGGCTTCCTGCAAGATAAAGAGGGATTCAGACATAAAGACTGGAAATTCCCATGAAGAGACAAAAACAAATGATGTGGTTCAAAGAAGTTGTTACAAGAAGAGATGCATTCCTGATGTTGTGCAAATGATTGTGAGCATTCTCTATCCTGCAGAAGTTTCCTAAGAGCAGTTACGTTTGCCAATTCAGTGTCTCCATGAGTTATCTGACTCACAAGTGTTTATTGTGAAAAGATATGTTGCCTGGCAACAGCTTTAACGTGGAGCAACTGACTTTTCTGCACTTCTAAAAAGATGTTTTATTCATTAGTTGCCTTCCTTTGCTTATTTGTATGGGTACACCCTCCCCTTCTGTATCAAATTCCACTTTCTGGTTGTGAATATCTCCCTGTGAGTCTATGCTAACCGTGCCATTGCTCGGCGTTTATACTTATCCACATTTGTATGATAAATACACAATGAAATGACTGAGAGGGCCATATCCTGCTATATGGGGAACAAGGAGCCATCCTTGAGAACTACACTAGGTTATATCAAAGATGCTCTTAAAACAGGAAACCAAAAACTACATGTTCTCACTTATAAGTGAGAGCTAAATATTGATTACTCATGAACATAAAGATGGCAACAATAGACATTGGAGACTACTAGAAAAGGAAGGGAGGAGTGGGGAAAGGGTTGAAAAACTATCAGGTACTATGCTCTCTACCTGGGTGATGGGATTGATCATACTCCAAACTTCAGCATCATGCAATATACCCATGTAACAAACATGCACAGGTAACCCCTGAATCTAAAATCAAAGTTGGAATTTTTAAAAATAAAAAGATACCCTTAGTATTTAAAGGTATTTTCTAAAATTCAGGCATTTATAGGTTGAGAGGGCTGTGATCAGTTCACTACTGGATTATATTCCAAATTTCTACTCATAACAATGAGCTTTGGGAATATGGAAAAAACATCAAATAATAGCCAATGAGGTGTTTTAGACTTCACTCAGCTATAAGCATTATTTTACCCATATTGGCATTATAGCCAACCCTTTTGTATCTCCTCCCTGTCCTCAAATTACAAAAGCAAGCTTGTCATTGAACCTACAGATCTAAAGTCTGAAAGAGCAACTCAGCCACCTAGGGAATGAATTAGACATTTGAGTCACAATCGTAAAATTTCCATCCTGAGATTATTTTGTCCAAGCCTTTTTTTTAAAAAGGAGACTAGAATCCCAGAACAGTTATAGCACTCTGCTGAAGTCACACAAGTGCTTAGTAACTCAAGTCGCAAAAGCATGGTCCCATGCTACACTTGCAACAACATAATGAGATCATCCTCCTTGTGATTTACCATCAGATATGAAAATATTGTTTCTGCAGACAGAATAACACTTGAGAAGAAGGAAATCTGGTCACAATGACTACCTGATATTGCAGCCTCTCTAATAGGAACAAGAGAGTCTACTGCTAGTAACATTCATTGTATAAAAACAAAAAGAAATAACATGTGCTTTCTTAGTAATTATCACATGCAAGCATCACTTTATCCCATTTAGGCTTCACAACACTAGGAGAGCTTTATCACCTTCAATTTACAAAATAAGACTTTAAATATTTAAGTAACATTTCATATGGCTAGCAAGTGACACAACTAGGATTTGTACCTAATCATTGAACTGTACCCTCTAAGAGCACAGAGTGAGCATGTAAATATAAATGTAAATAATTACATTTGACAGTGAGTATGCATCACCTAAAATAGTATGAAATTTAGAGTTGAAAAAGTTTTTTGACCCAATATATTTTCTTAATAATAATTTATTTGGCATATGATTTTTCCAAGCATTAATTGTGTTAAATGCTGAGAAACTCATTCATTCATTCAGCAAGTACATATCGTTCTCCTGCTGCTTGCAGGATACTACACCCAACAGCAAACATAACCATGAACGAGGGGGAGTTTGCATCCTATCTAGACTATGCTCGGTCTTCCAACGGAAATAGACAACCATAATGAGAGCTAGATGTTAGGAGAAATGATTCATATGCTGGGATTTGATTAGGATAAGTAGGAAGTAGCTAAGGCTCTGAGACAGAAAGGAGCTGAGTGTGTTTCAGGAACTGAAGAAGGTCATTTTGGCTAGAATGCAGGTATTGAGGGAGAGGACAGGACATGAGTCTGGGGAGGAGGAAGGAGCCAGATCACAATGGTCAAAGTAGGCCATGCCAAAGTTGCCAAGATGGTCTCTATTTTCATGGGAGATTACGGTCAAGCAAAAGCACGGAATTATTGACAACCACGTATTTTGTAGATGGCACTGGATAAATTAGTTTACAGTAGAGACCAATTTCTAAAAATATCTCATTACAAACGTGGTCTTTCCCCCCTTTTTGAGCATAGATCAGCAATCTGAACTATTAACTAACATTTCCAAAGGACTGGATGTCTAAGTCAATCTTGTTTTTCAGACACATATGTGTTTATCTCTATATGTGAAATAAATATGGTCTCATTTACAGTTCTTATAGTCTTTCCTATTGTAATTTTACTGCTCTACTAAACTATAAATTATGTTAAAGAAACCATATAACTGATGGAAAAATTATAAAATGTGAAATACAAATTAAGTTATGATCAAATAATAATTGCCTTATACTTAATGCTATTTTAAAAATAGAATATTATGTAAGTATACAAGATTTATTCATAATTTAAAAAATGAAATGAGTACCAACCAAATTTACAGGAAGTCATGAAAAGGAGTGGTCAGTTTGATAAACCTGTCAATATTAAACTAAAATAAGAGTTAAAATGGCATGTGTGTAAAGCATTGTATCTGTTTCTCTATGCTCAGTCATGTTCTTAACTTGGTTTAAGAACAACTGGCCGAGTGTGGGTGGCTCACGCCGGCTATCTCAGCACTTTGGGAGACCGAGGTGAGCAGATCACTTCAGGCCAGGAGTTCGAGAGCAGCCTGGCCAACATGGCGAAACCCCATGTCTACTACAAATACAAAAAAAAAAAAAAAAAAAAAAAATGATGGATGTGGTTCTGCACGCCTGTAGTCCCAGGGAATTGCTTGAACCTGGGAAGCAGAGGTTGCAGTGAGCAGAGTTCCCACCATTGCACCCCTGCCTGGGGGACGGGGGGACTGTCTCAAAAGAAAAAAAAAAGGGGGACAACTTACTTTAAAACTAAAAAATTAAGAGAAAAGCCATGGGTTATTGTTTTGTTTTTGTGCTACACAAAGAATAATGGTGTAGTTTTTATAACTGAAAAGTTGATTAAAAAGTGGACTGTATTCTAAATTCTTGATGAAAAACCAATTCAGAAATAATTGAATCCACATTTTCAGAAACCACTAAAAGCTGTTTGTAAACTATTCCCTAGTATTTGCATTCATAGTGGGATATTCAGACTATTTGAAATGCAAAATGTGGAATCAATATCTGACTTTAATGTACCATGTTAAACACTTTAATGTGGTTACTACATTTTAGACGGTTAAAATTAACAATGCCAGCACATCTATGAAAAAGATAGTCCTCATTTTCTCTTTTAAAACAAATAGCATTTTTGTACATATGTTTCATCATGTTTTTATGTTTTAGTAATTCAGATACAGAGCAAATTTTTCATTGGCATAATTTTTCATTACTGCAAATTGCAATGAAGGGTAAATGAAAAAAAAGAAACTAATTAGATTTTCTTCTCTAAGCCCTACCTTGCATACATATCATAACATACATATCACAGCGAAAGTCAATGAACTAGATAATTGCCCCAAATTAGGAGATTGTTCCTCTGCTGACATTTAAGTTTTGAATCTAATGGTTTCACTATTTAACTGACCTTTGCTGTACTAATTATTTGCTTTTATAGCATTAAATATTTTTTAAAGTCAGTGCATTGCTTAGTTAAGGAAAAAATGTAATATAATCAGCACTATTTTGATATGTAAACATCCAATAATACTGACAACAATCCTCAGTTTAAACCTACAAAACACTAAGTAGGAAACAGGAAAGAACAATGTTAACAAAAGCCCAATTTAGTAATTTGCTAATCTTTTATAGGTAGTAGTCAGCTTATAGTCACGTGTATATATGTCCATGCTTTCAACATATATTTTTGAAGAATCTGCACAAAACGAAAGCTATCTTGATACTACCTCAAGATGGCAAGTAGAACTAAGTCCAAGATGGTGTAGGGAGCAGGCAAAATAATAGCTAACACTTGTTTGTGCTTATTATGTGGCTGACACTTCTCTAAGCACTTTTCATTCACAGTCTCATTTATCAAATCCTCATAGCAGCCCTAATAAGGTAGGTAGCAATATTGCTATTATAATGTTCCTTTAGAGATGAAGAAACTGAAGTCAGAGAAGTTAACGTCCCAAAGCAGAACCCTTGAAGACACTGCTGCATTGCCTGCTTGCATGTAAAACAGAAGTTTTCAGCCATCTATTCTTTATTTTCTGAAAGCCTACACTGAAATATTTTTACATTTTGAAGTCCTTTTTGCCAGCTAATTTGCAAAAGTATCATTCTCCAGGTGCCTGCTACCAAAACAGTCTTCTTTTCAATATAACCATTCCCTGCTACTGTAAAATTTGAATACAAATCATCTGACATGCTATCTTGGTTGTTGTTTCACTTATCAGATACATTGCTAAGCTATAAAGAAGTGAAAAAAAAAAATGGTCCTGGAAGTTTCTTCTCTACAGGCACAACTGTGCAAGGTTTCAAGGAACCATGACTCAAAAATCAAAGCTTGCATAAATTGGATGAAGAAAAGCAACAAATGTCCTCAACAGCCCTCTTTATAGCCATAGAGTGTTCCCTACTGAGCCCTGAATACAGTGCTCTGGTGAGCTCTGAGGGGATTTATCCCGCAGGTAAAGGCAATTTTTAGGACTCCCTAGAGCTTCTACCAGAGATTCCTAACTGATCACTTGCACACCAACTCTCTTGGCAGGTGTAATTTTCAGTTTTCCCAAGTACTTAAGAACACTTAGAAATCAGGGGATTTCAGGCTGGGAGCGGTGGCTCACTCCTGTAATCCCAGCACTTTGGGAGGCCGAGACGGGCGGATCACGAGGTCAGGAGATCGAGACCATCTTGGATAACACGGTGAAACCCCGTCTCTACTAAAAAAATACAAAAAATGAGCCGGACGTGGTGGCGGGCGCCTGTAGTCCCAGCTACTCAGGAGGCTGAGGCAGGAGAATGGCATGAACCCAGGAGGCGGAGCTTGCAGTGAGCCAAGATCCTGCTGCTGCACTCCAGCCTGGGCAACAGGGCGAGACTCTGTCTCAAAAAAAAAAAAGAAGAAGAACAAGAAATCAGGGGATTTCACAGCGAATCTGGATTTAGTCTTCTCTTGAAAAATATTACCATCAGTCAAATTTGGGCAGACTCCCACATGACAATGATCAGCCTAGACTCGGCATTGTATCTTCAGCTGATTACTGTCCTCATCGCTATTGCGTCTGATGTAAGATCTTACATTACATCCTCTCATTTTACATAAGGACCATTTCCTGTGTTACCTGGGACTCCTCAGTCTAGACACGAGTTTGTGACCTTTGCCCTAATCCATGATTTCTTCCAGCCCTGAAATTCTGTTTAATAACAACAAACAAATAAACAACAACAACAACAAACCTGGGGCATCACTAATCCAAGTTTACGGATTTACTCAAGGTCCTCATTCTAGGACTAGTTGAGAACATAGTCAAAATTGATACTCGTATCTTCTGAAACCTAGGCTTTTGCTTTTTCCAACACACCTACTATTGCCTCTTATTTGCACAAGAATTGATCCGGTTCTAGACCAGTAAAATTGGGAAATACAGTTCCTGAAGCTATAAGGAAAGTTTATTTAGGCTCTTAGGGAGTAGGAAAACCTGGGAGTTGGATTAAGATTTGGGCAATGCGCAAGTGTTCTCATAAATCCTATTTACAGGCCGGGCGCAGCGACTCACTCCTGTAATCCCAGTACTTTGGGAGGCCGAGGCGGGCGGATCACAAGGTCAGGAGTTCGAGACCAGCCGGGCCAATATGGTGAAACCCCGTCTCTACTAAAAAATACAAAAAATTAGCCGGGTGTGGTGGCGCGGTGCCTGTAGTCCCAGCTACTCGGGAGGCTGAGGCAGGAGAATCGCTGGAACCCGGGAGGCAGAGGTTGTGGTGAGCCAAGATCGAGCATCTGCACTCCAGCCTAGGCTACAGAGCGAGACTCCGTCTCAAAATAAATAAATAAATAAATAAATAAATAAATATAAAAATAAAAAAAAATCGGTGTGGGGTAATAAAGAGGCAATACTCATATAGGTTGGGCTGGCTTCTATGACATCATCAGCTCCCTGTGTGGCCTGGAGTCCTCTGCATACAGAAGTGGCTGTAAGACTCTTTCCATTTCATAGTGTGATCATGGCTTCCCAGAACCCTCTAAGAAGCTGGGATATGCAGGCTTGAAATTGCACATCCAACTTAAGGCTAAAGCCAAGATAGGCCTAAAGGTCATCTCAAAAATTAAGAATATAACCTTTTCCAAATTTTTAATAATAAATTGCTCAGCAAGTGGATCCAGAAATTTAAAGAAAAACATTTTTAATTCCTCTGGAGGAATCATACAAACAATTTACAAATGACTTTAAAGTGTAAAATAATCTGGTAATTCTTTTCTCAGAAATCCTATTATTCAAACAGGATTTCACACTAATTAGTTATTCTTTTTATTCAGAAGCACCAGTCAGGCTAGAAAGTATTGGAAAAGAAACCAAATGTAAACAGTTCCTGGAAAAAAACTCTTTTTGTCTAAAAACCAACAGATTTATTCCAGTAATAAAAATTCCTACTCTTAAATGCATGCACATATTATTATACCCATATTAATTCAAATTAAGCTGAGTGTATGTATGTGCTTCTATAGCTTTATAACAAATAGAACACTACATTTTGATTTCTGTACAGACCAGGTAAATGAAAATAAAAGCCTTTATTTTTATTTATTCATTTAGTAATTTTCTAAATGCAGAACAAAAACCTAGATTTTCATTCCCTAAATGATTCATTATTAAATTGAGTTTGAAATCTGCAACACAAAGCTCTCAAATATTCCAGTGCTCTATAGAGAGGGCTCCAGCAAGCTGCACAATGTTGCTTAGTCTTTTTGTTTGGTTGAAGTGTAAGTGCAAAGCTGTTGACCTTCATGTTTTATAAATCATCTGGGTCTTCTCAAGGAAAGGCACTTGATTATTATTATTATTAATTTGTGAGGTAAACTTTCTGAAAACCTGTTGCTTTCTCTATCATAAGTCCTTTCTTCAAAAACATATTCTGTCTTTAAAACCTATAAAATATTGTCAACTGATTTAAAGTTAAGAAAGAATTTTTTTTTTCCTAAAGATATCTCACTGAAGAAAAATGTGAGGGGAAATGAGTCTTCCAGTCAACCTTTGGTCATATACCTCAGACATCTGTTTCTCATAAGCTAAACCTCCATATTTCACATATCCTGACTCCATTAAGTTATTATCTAAGAAAAAAATATAGGTTTTTTAGAATAAAATACATTGAGGTAATAACAACTAGTGGTTAAAACCATGGGCTTTAGAGTTAAACAGACATAGGCTCAAATCTCAATGCTCCCCTCAAACTGCCACTAAGTTTTCAACTTCTTTAAACCTTGGACTTTTGTGCATAAAATAAAGTGATAATATAAAGTATTCAGCATGTTACCTGTCACTGAAAGACACTCAGTAGATGGAGGTTTTATTGTTGTTTCCACACAATAGTCATACTACACAGAGTACTAGTAAGGCTATTATTA
Organism: Homo sapiens; assembly: GCF_000001405.40. NCBI lineage: Eukaryota > Metazoa > Chordata > Mammalia > Primates > Hominidae > Homo > Homo sapiens. The sequence continues at coordinate 147,306,417 of NC_000003.12, forward strand.
CCCATATTCTCATCTCACACAACTCTGGAAGAGGATAATCAAAAGTACATCAAGAAGGGTTACTCCCTCATGTGTTGTGTTGTGCATTAACCCTCCTATCAATTTACTCAATACTAAAACAAGTAGAAATGATGGGAAGAAGAAAACATACAAAGTTGAATACTCAGTCTCCAAAACAATGTGGTGGCCAATGCAAAACAATAGGAGTAAAGCAAAGCAAAAAAGAAATAATGGAAAAGGGAAAAAGAAAAGAAAAGTGCAAAAAGGAGGAAGCATGTAACATCCTTTGAGTTCATTCTATCTGGCTACTCTTCATAGTTAAATAAAGGCATAGCTCCCAGAAGCCATCATTGGATAGAAGAGTGATTGAGAGCAACACTACGGAGTGAAGAAGAGGGGAAAAGCTGGAATAAGCTGTGTGCACACACATACACTCACAGGTACCACCTGATTCTATCCAAAATTATGAATATTCATTTCTACATATGGATTTTAAAGAATATATATGTATACACACATCATGTATATTTTATTAGATATATATGAAAATATATATTAGGAGAGATATATATTATTTAAAATACAGATTAATAGATACAAAGAGATGGAGATAGATTACTCTTTTAAAATGGCGTGTTACCGCTTTTTCAATTATTTCTGTAGTCACAATACCCAGTTTTGTCACAAACACATCTGAAGATGAAAATGCTTCCTCTTTGGTAATGAAGAGTCATACTGATGTTCTTGAACATGAAGCTTTATCGATAGGCCCATTCAAATTTGACAAGAACCCTTCCACAGGTGACAAACAATTGTTACAGGTAAGGCAATCTTACTCGAGGTATACAACTTAATGTCAATAAAACTGTAGTTTTTGTTGTGCCATAAAGGCTTTTTTTCCTTTTTAAATGGTTGGTCTTTTGATTATTTATTTTTTTATTATTATTATTATACTTTAAGTTCTGAGGTACATGTGCAGAACATGCATGTTTGTTACATAGGTATACATGTGCCATGGTAGTTTGCTACACCCATCAACCTGTCATCTACATTAGGTATTTCTCCTAATGCTATCCCTCCCCTACTCCCCTGCCCCCCAACAGGCCCCAGTGTGTGATGTTTCTCTCCCTGTGTCCATGTGTTCTCATTGTTCACCTCCCGCTTATGAGTGAGAACATGTGGTGTTTGGTTTTCTGTTCCTGTGTTAGTTTGCTGAGAATGATGGTTTCCTGTGTCATCCATGTCCCTGCAAAGGACATTAACTCATCCTTTTTATTGCTGCATAGTATTCCGTGGTGTACATGTGCCACATTTTCTTTATCCAGTCTATCACTGATGGGCATTTGGGTTGGTTCCACATCTTTGCTATTGTGAGCAGTGCTGCAATAAACATGTGTGTGCATGTGTCTTTATAGTAGAATGATTTATAATCCTTTGGGTATATACCCAGTAATGGGATTGTTGAGTCAAATGGTATTTCTAGATCTAAATCCTTAAGGAATTGCCACACTGTATTCCACAATGTATGAACTAATTTACACTCCCACCAACAGTGTAAAAGCGTTCCTATTTCTCCACATCCTCTCCAGCATCTGTTGTTTCCTGACTTTTTAATGATTGTCTTTCTAACTGGCATGAGATGGTATCTCATCGTGGTTTTGATTTGCATCTCTTTAATGACCAGTGATCATGAGCTTTTATTCATGTTATTTTTGCAATCTATCCATCTAACAAAAGGCTAATATCCAGAATCTACAAAGAACTTAAACAAATTTACAAGAAAAAAACAAACAACCCCATCAAAAAGTGGGCAAAAGATATGAACAGACACTTCTCAAAAGAAGACATTTATGCAGCCAACAAACATGGTTGGTCTTTTTAAAGAATAATTCTTATTTATACATACATAATTATTAATTATAAAATTTATATATATATTTCTTATATATAAATATATATAATTACACATATAAAATAACATGCATATAAAAACTGAGGAATACTACCTAGCTAATAATAATTTTTCAACATAAGATACTGACTATATGATCATTTTGCATACATATATGAAATAAAATGAGAAAGTGGGGAAGGAAAAATACATTTTAGTGCTTAAATACCTCAAAATATATTACACATATGTACCCATAATTTTATACTAATTAATTTTAAATGTTATTATCTGTAATCCTATAAAACTAATCATGTGCTTTTATGCCTGCTTACTCTAGATCCTGCCACCTTGATCTTCCTGTTGAAATTCTATGCTCCCATCTAGGCCCAACTCATTTGCCACCAATTTCTAGAGTAATTCAGTCCTCCTTGCACTCCGATAGTACTTTGTTCCACCTCTCTTATAAACTTCCCTTTATTTTGTTTGCTCTTTAGTTATATACATATCAGTTTCCCACTCCTGAATGAAAAGATCCTTACTACCCTTGTTGAACCATCTTTAGCATCGTGTCTGACACAAACATTTATTTGATTTTACTGATGTAAAGTATAATTATTTATTTATTCTCCAAAAGATAGTCCTGATTTAGATCAAGAAATTACTCTCAGGTCCAAAAAATAATCCTTTGGGTGGGAGTGTAAATTGGAAGATGTCCCAACATTATTAAAAACCAGCATTCCTGGTTTTTAATATTTAGATGGATTTTTTTTATCAAGCTTTTATACACTCTGACCAAACTTAAAGAGGCAGGCAATGTGTTGAATTCATTCCAGAATATGAGTTTACAAGGAAGATTTTCTTGAAGTTCTCTGTGTACAGAATAACAGTTTTACCCATATTCTTGGTTCCATAAGCACATTAAAAATGTTTTTAAAAATAGTACTATTCTCTTTAAAGCACATTACAAAAACTTTCTGAAAGCAAATTAACTAGACATTTTCAAAAAGTAGTACAGAACAGTGTAAAACCAAAGGAGAATCATTATCTTTCTTACTCTTCTGAGTTCTTCACCTTGGTTTTACAAGCCATGGCCTGGAAAGCTTGCCTACTTGTCTTTACTTTCTATTTCTAAAGATAGTAGTTGGCTGGGCATAAACGCTCATGCCTCTAATCCCAACATTTTGGGAGGCAGAGGTTGGAGAGTTGCTTGAGCCCAGGAGTTTGAGACCAGCCTGGGAAACAATAGTGAGACCTCACCCCCCAACAAATATATATATATATTTTTAATTAGCTAGATATGGTTGTATGCACTTGTAGTCCTAGGTACTTGGGTGGCTGAGGTGGGAGGAGGATCACTTGAACCCAGGAGGTGAAGGCTGCAGTGAGCCGTGATCGCACCACTACACTCTAGCCTGGGCAACATAGTGAGAACACATTTCAAAAAAATAAAAAGTAAAGGTAATAGCAATTCATTTTAACCATTGCTTATTGAGTGGTTGCTATGTGCTAGACACTGTTCTGACTTAGTTCTTAGAACAACCTTATGAAGCAGATACTATTTTCTCTCCCATTTTACAAATAAGAAACTGAGGCATGGAGAGATGAGTCATTTCTCTAAGTCATATGGTTAGTTTATGGCAGAGAGAGGATTCACACTCATATCTGTCTGACTCTGGGTATGAACATTTAACCACTCCTCTACATTGCCTCCCACTGTGAATGCTTCATGTGCAGAAATTATGAAAAATAACCAGCTGTCTAAATAGTTGCATTATTTCATCTGCTCATTTTATCTTTTTACATGCATATGTCCATTTCTCCTATAGTAATTTTCAAAAGTGTGGACTGATTCTGACCAAATTTAGCAAAAGATCTATATATATTGAGTTCCCTTTGTTATTGTCTTAAAGTATTCAAGAAGAAAGTCAGGGCAGAGGAAATTTCTGTAGAGAGGAGGACAGCTGGTATGAACCTGAGTGCCTGAAAAAAAAATTGGTTTAAGATCAACTCTTAGGGTAAGAAAGAATCAGGTTGGGTATTGGCAGGTCAGACTGGCAGGGAGGCTGCTGAGTTCTTCTGCAATCCATCCATGTGAGGAAAGTCTGTGGGTCACACTGCACTAGTTGCAAGGATTAATAATTGTCCAAATTATTTTAACTCTAAGAATTGTAAGTAAAGTCTGGGATGAATTCTAAAGACCTTGTTTAAATATATTCTCCAGGGACTGTTATTTGAAGTGGAATTCAATTTTGACCAACCAAAACATTTTTTCTCCACTTATGAATGAAAGAACAAGGGCTGAAATCGGTGTTGAACACTATTATGAATATAAAATTTAATATTGCTCAGTAAAAGTGTAATCATTTTTCAGTGGTGTCTTAGCTAATTAGTACTTTAAAAAAATTTGTTTTCTAAATTATTATTTTTATTATATGAAATTATTCTCAAATTATTCATAAAATGACTAATATTTGAAATTGTAATTCGGTTGTACTGATACTACATAATTATTATTAAACATTAGATGTACAGATATAAATATGCATATACCTATTATGTCAAATTTGTTAATATTTCCATTTTTTTTAATGAGAGGTCTAGTATGAGTAAGGAAAATTTATTTTTAAACACAAATGAAAATTTGATTCAGACAATATTTCCGTAAGCTAGTCACCTTAAGCAAAGTACAAAACCTTATTTAAATGAGCAAATTACTTGCCTTATATAATGAAAAGGAATATTCTGCCATGTATTTGTACATTATTGAAACAACTTAAGGAACATTTAATTAAGAAAAAAATTAACGAAAAATTCAAGAATATTTTTGACTAGGACTTAGGACTGCCAATCAAATTTATAGTCCATCTGTGTTAGTTTCTCATATTCGTTGTCTAAGAGATAGTAAAGTAACAATTGCTGCTTTTACTATGTCAAGGCAGGTATGAGTAATATTTATAGACCATACACACTGTAAATATTATAGGGTTTACACTGCACCCAAGTGGATATCTTTATACTTGAATAGACCAGAGAATACTCATTTTTTCCCAAATGTATTTTTTTGTATTAGAGATAATGATACTATGCAAATTAGCAAGGCTTAATATTCTTACCAATATTTGGTGATTTGAAATCAGCCCTGGTTAACAGATGGCCCCATCATTCTGGAACATAATTGATATTCTTTTAGAAAATCTCAACAGAAAGGCCAATGGACATGTATTCCACCTGGTCCCTTGATAAATTGGCATTTTCAGATAGGAAACTTTCCCGACAACAGAGTTTATTAGCAAAATCCTGAATTTTATACTCACCAAAGGCAAATGTGTTCTTTTCAAATTTCCCCAGTGTTCTAATTTTTCATATCTTTAATTTTTTTAGCTTTGTATTTGTGTTGTTCTTTGAAATTGTTTTAAGATTGCTAAAAAATAAGTTTATCATGGTGTCTTACTCAGAAGTGAATTTTCTGACAAAGGCCAGCGAACTTAGTGAGATTCAGAGAGGAGAAAAAAAAAACAAAACTATGTAATCAAACCTGGTATGCACCCAAAGTTTAGACAAAGCAAATGGAGCCTGGCACACATGAAATGATTTCAACCACAAGAATTCGTATGGCTGTAATAGCATTTGTGGGATCATTGTATGACATGCATGCACACCTGTTAACTAGGAACACAATTTCACATTCAATGGCTGGCTCCTAAACAGAAACAGCTTGTGCTTCCCATTGACATGAACTGTCAAGACCAACCTTGCAAAGACACAGATATCCCAACAGTTCACTCTAACCACCAAGCATCACCTAGACTTCCTGGAATAAAGACCATCCCTGGGATCTTGAGAAAGCAAGAAAGCACAAGCCTTTCAGAGAAAGAGTGGCTGAGACCAGGTGTGATTGATGAGCCCTCTCATTTATACAATGAGATTCAAATCCAGGCTGAAATAACTAAGGTAATGAAAGAAAAAAAAAAACTAGTAAAGATTAATGAGTTTTAAGAACTGTACCCTCTGTTCTGAAACAAATGTGGTAGCATTATTGTTATCACTTCAAAAGGAAAGTCTTTTCTGTTTTTAATCTCAGAAATTTCTAATCTTTTTAAAATTTCAACTATAATGTTTTAAATTCAGTAGTCAAGATTTCACTGGAGGAAAACGTATATATACAAAAAGGTAAAATAATGATAGAAAAAATGCATACCTCTTCTACTAGGAGAAAGTCACATTTTAATGTCTTGGGCCATAAACATCACTATGTATGTAACTTTTAGCTACAATCAGTTGAGGTACAGACAATAAATTCTTCAACATTTGGCAATTGATTGAAGAGAAATACTCACAACATGAGCTACATAAACTCATTCTGTAAATGAGAATATTTTAAAAGATATTGACTACAGATGTTTCAAAGTAGAATTTAAGGTCTCACTGGGTGTCCCCAACTGGTGATCACTCTGTTGTAAGCTTAACTCTTTAGCAAGGTCGTTCAAATTTCTGTTTTCCCTTCTCAACTTTTCACCCTGCAAGCAGTCATTGTTACATTTCAACACTTCTTTACATCAAGCACCTAATATAAACTGGGAACAGCTGCAATTTCACTGCCCAGCCCTTTCTTCCACCCTTACAACATTTGTTCTGTTAATGTAGGTTAATTCTGCAAATAACACTTCTGTAAATTGTTCTTGCAAACTGCTACATCATTTATGTAAGGACTTCTGTGAACTTTGAAAAATTAATGCCTTTAATTTTGGTTGATGGCAACATCAGCAGAGCTCTGTAAATTGCACTTTAATGAGATTTTGCTACAGGGGATAATCTGCTACTGACAGAGGAACATCTTGAAAACATCTGTAGACCTATAATTTCTCTATGACGATTAGATCCCACCACAAGACTCCAAATACAAACCCCAAATAAAGAAGGAAAATGTAAAGTTCTAAATGAGAATACAACCTGTTCTTTAAAAGCAAGAGGCCCACTATGAAAAGTTTCATGCACTGAAAATAAATCATTTTTGGACTAATTAACATTTAGCTTTATTTAATTAAGAAAGACTATTAGTATCTCCACTGCTGTGCATCTGTATATAATGAAGCAAACAGCAGTAGGTATAAGATACCACTGAGGGATATGCCCAAGTAACCCAGCACTATAGGTGCAAAGGAATGTCTATTACTGTTAAGTAACTGACATCTGAGTCTTACTTTAATGTTGTCATAAATAAAAGGAAGATTTCCACAGATGCCTTCACATATGGTTTCTTATTTGTCTCTGATGGAGACTGGAAGTTGGATTAGATGCCAAAATTAAATGATTTAAATAGACAGCTGCATAATGGAAACTACTAAATAACACCTTATAAACAGTTTCTAATTATAGCAAGTCTAAATCACAGAAGGATGACACATTTTATTTTGCTAGAGCAAACATTACTTGTTGTTCTAATGCCATTACGTCTAATGCCCATAGTTATGTTACCTTAACATTCACTCTTGCTCATGTTTGTGAACACATACCCTCTTTAGAATGGTAGCTTTTGAAATCACAACTCATTTTCCCTAGTCAAACAGTACACTTGCAAAACAATCTGTTTAAATATATATCATATTTGCATAGGTTGAAATAAACAAAGTGACTTATATGTTACACTATATTCTCCACTTTCTATGCTGTGAAATTAATAGCTTCTTGTGAAAATATTGATTTTCAGACCATAATTTCCTATCTATAATGCTTATGTATATATGATTTTTCATAGGAAATAAATTAAGTAAAAACTGCAGAATTAAATAAGTGCCTAAAGAGACACAGAGAAACTGTCACTTTTGGAAAACTTAAATATACCAGCAGGCTTGTTTGCTGTTTTAATTGATCCTTGGAAACCTATATTGTATGTGTATTCTAAAACTTAAGTGATAAATAAGAACCATTTAAAAGATTCTCAAAACTGGATCTGAACAGCTTCACTTTGTAATAAATGAGGGAAGCTTATATTACTTCATTAGTAGAACCCAAGACAAATCACAGTTTTCATTCTTATGCTGTGTATAAAATGCAGCAGGAAGGGAGTGAAGTGGAAATGAGGTGGCGGTCTTGAAAGAAGATAAGAATACATCAGGAGTGGCCAGTAGATAGTTTTGCCTGTAAAATCTGAACAATCCAGAAGGAATGATGCTGCATGCACTGGGCATTAGGCATAAGCACCTATATCTTGCTTCTGCTCACTCCCTGACTGAGATTTGTGGGCGGGACGTTAGGGTCACCCCCAATACATATGGGTCAGCCCCTGGACCCCATTTTGAGCTTGAACTTTGGGCCAACATTAAGATTTCTCCTTCTCCTCCCTTTCTGAGATGTGTTTACTGGTCCTGCACCTAAATCCATTCATCAAAGACCCCATCCCTACATCTATTCATAAATATACTTAAGGAGTCCCTTATGTATAGCTAACCAAGTCATTCCTTTCAAAGACTGCAAGTGCAAATAAATACACAGTATTGTGGGTAGCCCTCACAAGAAATACTTCACCAGTTCCAGAAAGAAGGCATTTGGGGGAGTAATTCAGATAATTTAGATGATTAGGGTACACCTCTTAAGCAGTACTAGGTGCTCATCAACCTAATGAAAAACCTACAATCATAAAATTGAATATTATCTTTCCTTCTCAGGATTAAACTTTGTCAAAATATGACTTCCAAAGATAAAGAGGGTCCACTCAGTAACTAATGATATTGCAATGTTTATTACTTACTGCAATCTATTGTCTTTAAAAAGTCATCCTGGAAAAACAAGTATTGTCAATTATTTTCTGTATACAAATACAGATTCACAGAATAGGTCTATTAGGTCTATTAGGTCGGCTTGGTGCAGAGCTGTGTTCAATTCCTGGATATCCTTGTTAACTTTGTATCTCGATCTGTCTAATGTTGAGAGTGGGGTGTTAAAGTCTCCCATTATTATTGTGTGGGAGTCTAAGTCTCTTTGTAGGTCTCTAAGGACTTGCTTTATGAATCTGGGTGCTCCTGTATTGGGTGCATATATATTTAGGATAGTTAGCTCTTCTCGTTGAATTGATCCCTTCACCATTACATAATCGTCTTCTTTGCCCCTTTTGATCTTTGTTGGTTTAAAGTCTGTTTTATCAGAGACTAGGATTGCAACCCCTGCTTTTTTTTTGTTTTCCATTTGCTTGGTAGATCTTCCTCCATCCCTTTGAGGCTACATGTGTCTCTGCACATGAGATGGGTCACCTGAATACAGCACACTGATGGGTCTTGACTCTTTATTCAATTTGCCAGTCTGTGTCTTTCAATTGGAGCATTTAGCCCATTTACACTTAAGGTTAATATTGTTATGTGTGAATTTGATCCTGTCATTATGAGGTTAGCTGGTTATTTTGCTCATTAGTTGATGCAGTTTCTTCCTAGCATCAATGGTCTTTACAATTTGGCATGTTTTTGCAGTGGCTGGTACTGGTTGTTCCTTTCCATGTTTAGTGCTTCCTTCAGGAGCTCTTGTAAGACAGGCCTGGTGGTGACAAAATCGTTCAGCATTTACTTGTCTGTAAAGGATTTTATTTCTCCTTCACTTATGAAGCTTAGTTTGGCTGGAAATGAAATTCTGGGTTAAAAATTCTTTTCTTTAAGAATGTTGAATATTGGCCCCCACTCTCTTCTGGCTTGTAGAGTCTCTGCCAAGAGATCAGCTGTTAGTCTGATGGGCTTCCCTTTGTGGGTAACCTGACCTTTCTCTCTGGCTCCTTCATTTCAACTTTGGTGAATCTGACAATTATGTGTCTTGGACTTGCTCTTCTTGAGGAGTATCTTTGTGGCGTTCTCTGTATTTCCTGAATTTGAATGTTGGCCTGACTTGCTAGGTTGGGGAGGTTCTCCTGAATAATATCCTGAAGAGTGTTTTCCAACTTGGTTCCATTCTCCCTGTCACTTTCAGATACAGCAATCAGACATAGATTTGGTCTTTTCATATAGTCCCACATTTCTTGGAGGTTTTGTTCATTTCTTTTTACTCTTTTTTCTCTAAACTTCTCTTCTCACTTCATTTCATTCATTTGATCTTCAATCACTGATACCCTTTCTTCCACTTGATCAAATTGGCTACTGAAGCTTACGCATGCATCATGTAGTTCTCGTGCCATAGTTTTCAGCTCCATCAGGTCATTTAAGGTCTTCTCTTTGCTGTTAATTCTAGTTAGCCATTCGTCTAATCTTTTCTCAAGGATTTTAGCTGCTTTGCAATGGGTTCAAACATCCTCCTTTAGCTTGGAGAAGTTTGTTATTACCAGTCATCTGAAGCCTTCTTCTCTCAACTCGTCAAAGTCATTCTCCATCCAGCTTTGTTCTGTTGCTGGTGAGAAGCCGCGTTCCTTTGGAGAAGAAGAGGCACTCTGATTTTTAGAATTTTCAGCTTTTCTGCTCTGGTCTCTCCCCATCTTTGTGGTTTTATCTACCTTTGGTCTTTGATGATGGTGATGTACAGATGGGGTTTTGGTGTGGATGTCCGTTCTGTTTGTTTGTTTTCCTTCTAACAGTCAGGACCCTCAGCTGCAGGTCTGTTGGAGTTTGCTGGAGGTCCACTCCAGACCCTGTTTGTCTAGGTATCACCGGTGGAGGCTGCAGAACAGCAAATATTGCAGAACGACAAATGTTGCTGCCTGATCCTTCCTCTGGAAGCTTCATCTCAGAGGGGCACCAGGCTGTATGAGGTGTCAGTCGGCCCCTACTGGGAGGTGCCTCCCAGTTAGGCTACTCAGGGGTCAGGGACCCACTTGAGGAGGCAGTCTGTCTGTTCTCAGATCTCAAACTCTGTGCTGGGAGAACCACTACTCTCTTCAAAGCTGTCAGACAGGGACAATTAAGTCTGCAGAAGTTTCTGCTGCCTTTTTTTCAGCTATGTCCTGCCCCCAGTGGTGGAGTCCACAGAGGCAGGCAGGCCTCCTTGAGCTGTGGTGGGCTCCACCCAGTTCGAGCTTCCTGGCTGCTTTGTTTACCTACTCAAGCCTCAGCCATGGCGGACGCCCCTCCCCCAGCCTCACTGCTGCCTTGCAGTTCGACCTCAGACTGCTGTGCTAGCAATGAGCGAGGCTCCATGGGCATGGGACCCTCCGAGCCAGGCTCAGGATATAATCTCCTGGTATGCCCTTTGCTAAGACCATTGGAAAAGCACAGTATTAGGGTGGGAGTGTCCCGATTTTCCAGATACCATCTGTCACGGCTTCCCGTTGCTACGAAAGGGAATTCCCTGACCCCTTGCACTTCCCAGGTGAGGTGATGCCCTGCCCTCCTTCGGCTCATGCTCCATGGGCTGCACTCACTGTCTGACAAGCCCCAGTGAGATGAACCCAGTACCTCAGTAGGAAATGCAGAAATCACCCATCTTCTGTGTGGCTCACGCTGGGAGCTGTAGACTGGAGCTGTTCCTATTCGGCCATCTTGGAACCTCCCCCAGCAATGATTTTTTTTTAGAATGCTCAAGTCATTTTGTTTGCTGAATTTCTAGACAGCCAAAGAACAATATTGTGGGAGTTTTTTGAGAAAGCTTACCATGAGAGTGTTTTGAGAAAGTCAGCCAAAGGTTTAGCAGAAAAATGCCCAGGAAAACTTCACCAGAGAGTCCTTGTCCAATATGACAATGCTCTTGCTCACTTCTCTCATCAAACAAGGACATTTTCTGAGAGTTTCCATGGAAATCATTAGGAATCCACCTTATAGTCCTAATTTGGCTCCTTTTAACTTCTTTTTGATTCCTAACCTTAAAAAATCATAGAGGTTACCCATTTTTCCTTAGTTAATAATATATGTTTCAGTTCCCAGGACCCTCAGTTCTTTAGAGATGAACTAAATAGCTGGTATCATTGCTTACCAACAATTCCTTGGATAGAGATTATATTGAGAAATAAGGTTTATATTTTTAGGGGTGTTCTTCTTTTTATTTTCCTTTTTTCCTTTTTTTTTTTTTTTTACAGTCGCACTCTGTCACCCAGGGTGGAGTGCAGTGGTGCAGTCTCAGCTTACTACAACCTCTGCCTCCCAGCTTCAAGTGATTCTAGTGCCTCAGCCACCCAAGTAGCTGGGATTACAGGTCTTTGCCACCATGCCCAGCTAATTTTTGTATTTTTGGTATATAACAGGGTTTTGCCATGTTGGCCAGGCTGGTCTTGAACTCCTGGCCTCAAGTGATGTGCCTGCCTTGGCCTCCCAACTGCTGGGATTACAAGCCTGAGCCACCACACCTGGTCCATATTTTTAGTTTAGTTTTTACTTCCATTTTTTTCCACAAACTTTTTGAAGTCCCCTCTTTTTTTTGGTGGAGGGGAGAGTTTCACCCTTGTTGCCCAAGCTGGAGTGCAATGGCATGCTCTTGGCCAACTGTAACCTCTGCCTCCCAGGTTCAAGTGATTCTCCTGCCTCAGCTTTCCGAGAAGCTGGGATTACAGGTGCATGCAACCACACCTGGCTAATTGTTTGTATTTTTAGTAGAAAAAGGGTTTCTCCGTGTTAGCCAGGCTGGTCTTGAACTACTGACCTCAGGTCATCCACCTGCCTCAGACCCCAAAGTGCTGGGATTACAGGCGTGAGCCACCATGCCCGGCCAAAGTCCAGTGTTTATGTAAAGAAAAGACATACATATGTAGAAAAGTGTCAGTAAATATTAGTTTATTTTATTAGTTCCCTTTTCCTCTCTCAACTTCCCCCACTCCCTGGCCAATTGTTACCAGTTGCTATCTCCTTACCTAAAATGTTTCAATCAAGCAGCCGTGTCTTTTCACAAATAGTTTTCAGGACCAAGGAGAGATCTCACGAGCCCTTTTCCCCAAGATATATTAGTTCTGCTGTGCTAGGGGTTAGTACATTGATTGATTAAGTAAATATATTCTGAGGATCTGCATAGGCACTATGTTAAGTTATGGAGAAACAGCATTTTCAAAAACAGGTAAGTCCCAAAACTTGTGATGCTTATAATCCAGTGATGAACTAGACATTAAACAAAGCATTTGACTCCTAGCATTACCCACCAAAAGAAAGCCACACACAGATACCAAATAGATAGGTAAGATGACAAAATGTACGAAGTCCTATGAGAGGAATTCTTATCTAATCTTGGGGGGTTGCAGGGAGGAACTTGAAAGAGCAACTGTCCTGAGAGATTATATTTTTGCTGAGATCTCAGGGACGAATAAGAGATAATCGAATCATGCCAGGCATGGTGGCTCATGCCTGTAATCCCAGCACTTTGGAAGGCTGAGGAGGGAGGATCCACTGAGCCCAAGAGTTCAAGACCAGCCTAGGCAACAAAGTGAGATGCCCATCCCTACAAAAAAAAAAAATCAAAAACAGCTGAGCGCAGTGGCCCAAGCCTATATTTCCAGCTATTTGGGAAGCTGAGGCAGGAGGATCACTTGCGTTCAGGCATTTGAGGTTGCAGTGAGCCATGTTTGTACCATTGCACTCCAGCCTAGGTGATAGCATAAGATTCTGCCTCAAAAAGAAGAGGAAGAAATAATTGTGCAAAGAGAATGATTAAAGAATGCTCATAGCTGGGCACGGTGGCTCATGCCTATAATCCCAGCACTTTGGCAGGCTGAGGCAGGTGGATCACCTGAGGTCAGGAGTTCAAGACCAGCCTGGCCAACACGGTGAGACCCCATCTCTACTAAAAATACAAAATTAGCTGGGCATGGTGACACAAGCCTGTAATCCCAGCTACTCAGGAGGCAAGGCTGGAGAATCACTTGAACCCAGGAGGCAGAGGTTGCAGTGAGCTGGGATTGCGCCATTGCACTCCAGCCTGGGTGACAAGAGTGAAATTCTGTCTCAAAAAAAATGCTCCTGAAAAAGAAATATCTGATAAACTTTTTTAAAGGCCAGTGCAGCTGAACACAGTGGTGCTCACTTGTAGTCCCAGCTACTTGGGAGGCTGAGGCAGGAAGATTCCTTAATCCCAGAAGTTTGAGACCAGCTCATGCAACATCGTAAGACCCCATCTCTATATAAGAAACAAGAGACCAGTGCAACTAGTGTAGAGTTATGAAGGAGTAGCACAATGGAAGATGAGACGTAAGCAGACTCTTGCAAGTCATGCTATGAATATAGCATAAAGATAGAAGACTTGTAGATCTCCAGGTCATTACTTTTTACTTATTCTGGGTTTTTTTTTGGTGCATGTTAATTATTATTTTTAAATTGTAAGATCTGGCCACAATGGGCCTGCATTTCTATGTGAAGACAATAAATAACCATTTCACCAAGTACACAAAGCATGAGCTCTCCAGTTTGTCACAGTCTTAACTGGCCAATTTCACCCATATGCATTTTCTGCTCATCCCCTGTAGTCTTGTAAATTTGCAACCCTAGATTGTGTTTTCTGCTTTGTCTGTCAGATCCAGCCCTGATTTTGTGTCTCAATATGGAGAAGTCACTGCCTTTTTTCTTTGGGTTACATGATGATGACCAACTCCTTGAAAATATTTTCCAAGATAACAGTGTATCCCATACTTAGCAAAGTGTGCACAGCTACTCAATTTGTTATAATCCACTCGCCCAGTAGGAGGTTCTTGCTAATGTTTGTTCTACAAGATGTTTCCTTTTTTTTTTCATTCTTTTATTTTATTTTATTATTATTATACTTTAAGTTTTAGGGTACATGTGCACAATGTGCAGGTTAGTTACATGTGTATACATGTGCCATGCTGGTGTGCTGCACCCATTAACTCGTCATTTAGCATTAGGTATATCTCCTAATGCTATCTCTCCCCCCTCCCCACCCCACAACAGTCCCCAGAGTGTGATGTTCCCCTTCCTGTGTCCATGAGTTCTCATTGTTCAATTCCCACCTATGAGTGAGAATATGCGGTGTTTGGTTTTTTGTCCTTGCGATAGTTTACTGAGAATGATGATTTACAATTTCATCCATGTCCCTACAAAGGACATGAACTCATCATTTTTTATGGCTGCATAGTATTCCATGGTGTATATGTGCCACATTTTCTTAATCCAGTCTATCATTGTTGGACATTTGGGTTGGTTCCAAGTCTTTGTTATTGTGAATAGAGCCGCAATAAACATACGTGTACATGTGTCTTTATAGCAGCATGATTTATAGTCCTTTGGGTATATACCCAGTAATGGGATGGCTGGGTCAAATGTCTACCAGATGTTTTCTTTGGCCATACCCTCCAGACACTTCTTTCACCTCTCTGTGGACTTTTTTTTTTTCTTTAAGATGGAGCTTCATTCTTATTGCCCAGGCTGAAGTGCAATGGTGAGATCTCAGCTCACTGCAACCTCTGCCTCCCAGGTTCAAGTGATTCTCGTGCCTCAGCCTTCTGAGTAGCTGGAAAAACAGGCACGTGCTACCTCGCCTGGCTAATTTTTGTATTTTTAGTAGAGTCAAGGTTTTACCATGTTGGCCAGGTTAATCTCGAACTCCTGACCTCAGGTGATCCACCCCCTTCGGCCTCCCAAAGTGCTAGGATTACAGGTGTAAGCCACCGTGCCCGGCCTTCTCTGTGGACTTTAGTGTTATCAGTAGTTCAATAATATACCTATCACAGTCAAAAGATACAATTCCAAAACCTTGGTCTCTTCCCATCTGTCTTTTTCATCTTTCATTGAAAAGCCACTTCTCATATTATGTCAGATAGATTAGTTTCAAGCAGCACTCTTTTAAAATAATAACCAAACGTATATAGAGAGAATAAGTTTGTGACAAACCCTCAGTATTTGGGATTCAACTATCCAGATCCCTCAATTAACGAAACTTTTCTTAGTACTTTACTTATAAGAAAAAGAAGAAAATAAAAAGCAAAAAAGTTTCAAACATAAAGGTATATATTTCCATAGACAATCAAAGAATTCAATGTAGTCTCCTTAATTTTCTACATTCTTATGTGAACTGATATTCAATGAGAATTAATATACAGTATGGAGACTATAAGAGGTACTGCAAGTTCCTAGGTCATCAATCATATTCATTGCATTTCTCATATACCAAGAAAGGAAAGGTGCTGATTTGATGCCTTATGCATAGTAATAACCTGATATTTGATTAATAGAATTAAATGCAGGCTAGCATAGTTTAGAATTATGATGTTAAAATTAATTATAAAATTCATTTATCTGGTATATTCTATCATTTCTAGAGAAGTAGTGATTTTATTAGACATTGGATAATTCCTATTAAAGATATCAATAAGCTAGTAGAGATCACATAAATAGCATAATTGGAAGGCATTTGTTAAATAAAGGTTGCCAGAAGGATTTCCCTTAGAGATTAGTTGAAAGCACTTCCTGTTCTGGCAACGGCTGCGACATCTTTGCTGTACATCCCGTGCTGCACTTCTTAGCATCCTACTCACAATCCTTTTCCCTGTTTGCCAATGGTAATGGGCCTTTTCCTGACAGCATCCTAAGAGAAGCCCAAACTCCATCAGCTTTCTGTCCCCAGGCCATTGTGGTTAAAATTTGTATCACTGCAGTCTTTATCCATTTGCCCAGCAATCCTGAGGTAACTGCATTTTGAGATTCTTTTAACATTTGCCTTTTGCTAAAAAGAGCTTTGGCGGAAAAATTATCTCAAATAGCATAACGGATGTTTTCATCACTAAATTTTTTGGTAGTTTAAATTAAAATAAAAATGGTACACTTTGTGCATTGGCTTTCTTGTACTTAAGCCTTTAATGCCAGCTAAATAACAAAAGGGGCCATTAATGTAAAATTCAGCCTAAAGTCAATTGTATTACAAGCACTCTTAATACTTGTACATTCTTAATGTAACAAGAAGTCTGAAAGGCACTTAACTGAATACAGCTGTATGCAAATTTGCTTCAAACTCCTGAAGGTTAGAAACAGACATTATTTTAATCTTGAAAAATAAACCACTGAGTGTCTAGCATTTGGGTCTGTTAAACTCATCTACTAATGATTCCCCTATTAAACCATAATAAAGTGTTTGAAAGTTGATCCAGTCTTTTGCACATGGTAAACAAAGAGACTGGAACTACAGCAGGCCCTGCCAAAAACCAGTAAGAGGATTCTTTAATATATACATCCTCACACAGCTGTCATTCACCCCCACTGTATTATATATTTTGAGATAATTAAACAAAAATACATGACATTTATCTAAAACTCACAAATTTGCCTTCTGGGAATGTAGCACATTCTATAGTCTGATTCAGAAAGCTATTATCCAGTTGAAGGTGAACCAGGTTTTTACAGATGAAAGAATAAAATATTCACAAATAAAAATGTGGGTTGAGGTATAAAAGATTTGTCTTGTCACTTATAAGTGTGGTTCCACAAGGAAGCACACAAAATATTAGTAACACTATTATCATTTCCAAGCATACTACATTATGCTATCTATAGTTCTCAAGAAGAAAGCTAAGGCATAGATACATACATCTATAAACAAATTGTTTATTAAATCAAGATGGTTTTCTAAAATAAAATAAAGAAAAATCTCATTGGAAAATAGAAAGTAATTAATCATATCATAAAACAAAGAACAAGGGAGGGATCATTCGTTGTTTGGTGTGCTTACTGTACTTAAGCAAAATTACTAGAATATCTTGAATATTTTTTAAATGCTGCCAAGTTAGAGTTTATAATACCCTTAGATTCCTTTTTGATAAAGCTAACATATATTTTGGAATATAAATACCAAGCAAATAAACATCAAAATTAAACATTGCTACTATAGTGCCCAGTGTAATTATTATCATTTTATTCACTGAAAATTCAAATGCTTTTTAAAACAATTTATTTATTGGTCTTTTCTTGATTAATGTAAATAAAACCAAGTTATTTATCATTTATGGCCATATCCCAAAAAAAGAGCAAGAATGAAAGAATGAGAAAGAAAGAAAGAAAGAAAAAGAAAGAGAAGAAGTGAGGGAGGGAAAAAGAAGCTTTCATTTATTCAACAAATATTTAATTATAACCTACTATGTGTCAGGCATTATGTGAAATGCAAAGGATACAGTAATGAACAAAAATAGGCAAAAGTATTATCTTCCTAGATCTTATAGTTTAATTTGGGAGTCTGATATTAATTAGATAATGATAAAAAGTATACACAAATTATAACTGTGATATGTGCTACAAAGAGTTTTCTGTGAAAATGTATAATAAGAGGTTAGGTAAAGCATCCTGAAGGAGTAAAAGTAGAACTAAGATTTGAAGATTATCTGGGAGGCCTGCTAAGGAGTATTCCCTACAAAAGAACATGTGCAAAGGCCCTGTGGCCCTTTTGGAGATGGAAAAGAACTGAAATAATGGCATGGCTTGGAATTATGTTGCTAATGAGGCTTAGAGATGTAGGTCAAAGCCTGGCCACAGAGAGCCTTGTAGGTCTTGTTAAAGGTTTTGGTCTTTACCTCAAGAGCAATGTGAATCCATTGAGAACTATTTTAATCAGAAATTTGATATCACCAGATATGAATTTCAAAAGGAAATGTCTAGCTGAAATAAAAGGAACAAATTGAAAAGAGACAAGAATGAATATTAAAAGACCAGTTGAGACATTCCTCTCAGTGAGAGAGAATGGTGTCTTGGACTAGTTTGCTAGAGGTAAAAAGAAGATAAGTGGATATATTAGAGAAACATATTAGAAGTAACACTGATAGAAATTAATTTCAAATTGTGTATGGGGGTCAGGTTTCTGACAAGTATCATTAGATTAATGGTTTCATTGAGAATGAAAGAACTAGAAGAGGGGCAGCAAAGAAAATAATAAATTCTGTTTTGAACATGTTGAATTTGAGGCTCCCTTGAGACATTCTTAGTAGAAATGTCAGTTCAACATTGATCAACTAAAGTGTGTGTGTCAATATGTCTGTGTATGTGTGTATGTATGTGTGTGGGTAAAAAATGTTAATTCTTTGAGGACTACATAAATTAACCTTTCTATTCTATTCAGTGTCAGGCACTTTTGGAAGTATTAATAGGTAATAATATATTTATTAGTTTCCTACAAACTCCTCAGAGTTTAGTTTTTATGAAATTAGCTTTTAAAACAAGCTATTTCTAATACCTTCATTTCCTATGGCAGAAATTATAAAATTATGACATAAGAAATAAAAGAGAAAAAAAGGCACAAGCTTATTTAGGAACATATGAGGAGAGTAAGTTAACCAGAAATCTTAGCAGAGATACATGTGAACTAGTTACCTAAAATGAATATATCTCATGATCAGAGGAAGGGTAAGTAGTGGTGCAAAGTATATTCTCTTCACAATCCTGGATCTGGCTGCCAGCGACCAACCATAGATTTCTAGCACATTCTTCAACTTACTGACTGAAAAATTGAAATATACCAAATATACTGTCTATGTTGCATGTTAGAAAAATATAAAAATAAAGTAGTTTCAACAAGATAAAGTTTATTTCTCTCCATGTAGCTATCCAGAGAAGGCCATATAGGGATGGCAGGGGCTGCAGTCCACAAGGTCTGCCAGAAATGCAGGTTCTTTCTGTTGCATTGTTACACTAGCCTCAAAACTGCCTTTAGCTTATAATTGAAGAGGTCTACTTCATCCAACAGAAAGGGAGACAAGGCAAGTGGGGCACATGCGCATTCCTTTAAATATATGGAAGAGAATTGGAGTGCAGCACTTTTGCTTATACCCCTTAAGCTAGAATTGAATCATATGGCGACACCTAGCTACAAAGGCAAATGTAGTCCTTAGCTAAGCATATGTGTGGATATTTTGTTACTAAAGAAATAAGAATGTAGTTTGGTGGACAGGTAGTAGTGTCAGGCATAGTCAATATTCTAGATGACTCTGTCTCTAAAACCAATTCATTCATTAATTCAACAAAAATTCATTGAATGCTCACACACTGGAAAGAAGAGGACAACAAGACACCCTCCATCCTTAACTTCATGTAGCTAAAAGTCTATTAACATTGGGTAATAAGCTCAACAAAACCACATAAAAAGACATCTAACCCAGTTTTCAGGTAGAAGGTTCAGAAAAAGTCACCTCAATCAGAGAAAAATTAGATCTAAAGAATGAGTAAGGCTGGGGGCGGTGGCTCATGCCTGTAATCCCAGCACTTTGGGAGGCCGAGGCAGGTGGATCACCTGAGATTAGGATTTCGAGACCAGCCTGGTTAACATGGTGAAACTGCATCTCTACTAAAATTACAAAAATTAGCTGGGCGTGTTGGCGGGTGCCTGTAATCCCAGCTACTCAGGAGGCTGAGGTGGGAGAATCGCTTGAGCCGGGAGGCTGAGGTTGCAGTGAGCCAAGATCGCACCATTGCAGTCCAGCTTGCAAAAAAAAAAAAAAAAAAAAAAAAAAAAAAAAAAAAAAAAAAGTGGGGTGGGAGGACCAAAGCTCTGTAAATAATCTCTCATAAAGAAATAAATATGAAAGTTTATCATTTTATTAATGTAAGGTTTAGAAAGTGATAATTTTCTTATATATTTTAGATTTATCTTCTCCTAATTTTCTTAGAAGAATAAGAGAAACATGAGTAGTCTGGCATAGAGAAAAATGAATATTCCTACTGAAAAGGGCCTTTTGCTACACTATATAATAAATAAATAAGAACGTATTAAAATGTGAAATTTTATACTATTAGTAAAAATATTAAGATCCCAATAAGTTCTTTTAAAAAAATAAAAGTCACAAACAATTTATTTAAAATATGAATGGCATCAGATTTCTTACCATCAACATTGGAAACTAGAAAATGACAGTGCACTCTTGTTGAAATATGGAAATAATCTTCAACTAGAAATATATATCCAGTCTAAATAATAGTCAAATATAATGATAAAATAAAAGAATTTTTATACATGACATTTCCTAAATATATTTACTTTGGCCCATTTCTCAAGAACCTAGTGGAGAATATATTCTACCAAAATGGGGGTATGATTTCGGATTGAAGTAAATATGGGAATCAGAAACAGAGGACCCAAACATAAGAGATAAGTTATTTATTGGGAACATTTGACAGAGCTTTTGTACATCATGGGAAGATTTGGCTAGAAAAAACTAACAAATTTTAAAAGTAACACAGTTTAACTCCAGGAAAAATAAAAAGTTACATAATACAAAATGTAATCATCAGATACTATTTGGTGTATGAGAAAACAATATTTACATAGTGCAAATAATAAGGAAAATACAACATTTTGATAAATTGAAGGATGAGTAAAGGTAAAGTATTGTGTCTCCTCTGGCCAGATGAACAAAGAATCATCTTTCTGAAACTGTATCACTATCAGATTAATGCCCAACATACACACATCTTCCTCTATATGATAAACCCTATCTGGAGTGCTGAGAAACCATGACCCTTAACCTTCCTTCCTTTGGAGTCAGAAATCTCAACTTTCCTCTGTACTAGGTCTTAGCTGGTGGATAGTTCCATTAAAATTTTCTTTATCTACATTTTTCTGAGAATGTCTTTACTTCTATGTGAACTTACTTAGAAGAGAAGGGTAGATACCCTCTATCTTTATTTCCGGACGTTTAATATACTGTACATACAAAAGATTGTTGTTAAACAGATTGACACTGAAGCCAATTAACCTTTTGCTGATCTTACAGGGCTTAGTATTTGTTGCCCATTAGAACAAGAAGGGCAACAAACAAATGATTCAGAGGAACCAATGATTCAGGAGGAAGTGGGACAATGTCAGGGAAGAGCAAAGATGCTAAAAGACTGCAAGGAGAAGGGGCTTAAGAAAATAGATCTCCTGGAGGATGATGTCATAGGATACACCCCAAGAAACCACAGAGCTAAGAATCCTGTGAACTGACACTCTCAAAATCCTAACACCCTGTTAACTATGTATGGATTGGATTACATTACTGGAACCTGAAGAAAAGAACGGGAAAAATATTTTTCTGGATTTTGTGTATATGTTCCGCTAATTTTGTTGCGTTCTGCACTCTTCCTTCCTCCATAATATGAGATCAATGTCTGGGTTTCACTACTCGTTTTTCAGGTTTCCAATTAACTCCCACCTCTTCCAAAATACCCTCCATCCTATCTGCAGTTCTCATAGAGCTATCCGTCTGCTCCCTCCTTTAGCACTTCATTCTACATTAATCACTATATGATCACAATTTTTTTCACACAAATATATTATGAGCTTCTAATGTTTAAAAAAAAAGTCTTATGTTTCTGCATTTTCCACAACTATTAGTACAAAGCTAAGTGCCTTAAAGGAACTGAATAAATACTTTATTCCTTGTAGTTTTATGTTAATATACTAACACAACAACCTATCACATGCTTATGTACGTAAGCTGTGTGCAATCCGTTATAAATGTAATCTATCTTTATATCTATTTATCCCCTTGAGAAATTTATAATCTTCTGATTCTATCTTTAAAAAATTTTTAAGTTGTTAAATGTTTAGAAACTTTGTCAGCTGGTTGTTAAATAAAATCATTATTAAAAACTAAATTTTGTGTTAAAATATGTAGTATATTGAATATATTAAAATTACCTAAACTACTTTAAAAATAAAGATAATAAGTATTTAAAATCCTTCACTTTATATTAACCACACTTTACTATTATCTCGCTCTTTAGGTCTACTTTAAGT
The DNA here is from genome assembly GCF_000001405.40 of Homo sapiens. Taxonomy (NCBI): domain Eukaryota; kingdom Metazoa; phylum Chordata; class Mammalia; order Primates; family Hominidae; genus Homo; species Homo sapiens. The sequence goes on from NC_000003.12 coordinate 147,328,900, forward strand.
GACGTCACATTGGTAGCTTGAAAATGGTCTGAAACTGGTGGGAATACTTATACCATTAAATTTGAAAAATGTTACAAAACAAGCCTTATTATTGTGTTGATATTGTTGTCTACACTAATGTAGATTAAACTTAAAAATGTGCCATTTCTGTAGTCATTAAATTATGAGTAACTCAAAAATTGAAGAAATGTTCCTCCAATATTTGAAAACAATTATCCTATTCAGAAAAAAAGTAACATTATTAACTAACAAGTGAGTTTCAACATGTCTTAATTGGTTTGTTTTCTTACTATAAGCAAAAATATCAACCAGCATTCATATTGAAACTACATTCATTCACCAATGGCAACCACAGTTTGGATACAAGTAGAGTTCAACAAAAATTAAAGGCAGCACTCTGAGAATCAATTGGCTATATGGAATTTACAGTAAATAATATTGTATATTTTATTATTTTAAAACTGTTCACAGTACATTCTTTATATAATAGCATTTATAATATACATGTACATGTATATATACTTTTTTTCATTGAGCAAATTCTTAAACATCTGTCAGCCCACTACTGCCTAAGATAATTGTTTACAATGCATATTCCCAGGCCTCAATCCCACAAATTTCAAATAAGTGCTGCTATAGTAAGGCCCAGGAATCTCCTTATTAAACAACAACTTTTTTTCTACAGTGGAAGCCTAAAGTTTTTATTGAAGAAGAAGAGAAAAATAAGTGAAAGGAAATATATATTTTCTGAGTTGCGAAGAATTCTAGATATTAGCAGATACTTCCTTTAAGAAGATCCTTACTGATGAAACAGACCATATTCAATTATTGAGGAAGGAAACAACCTGTGTCCATAATTCTACACTGGGTATTATACTAAGCAAATCTATTTTGTAAATTAAAACTAAAAGATTTTTCTTCAAAAAATACTTGTTTCTTAAATTATTCATTTAACACTATCACTATAGTCAAAACCAATGAGGGAAATAAGAAGCCATTTTAGAACTATTCATGAAATATAGATATCAGTTATAGTTTTTCTTTCTTCTAAAAAACTAATATTATTGAAAACTGTCTTCAACTATAAAATGAATATTTGGCTCTGGGAATATTTCACTGAAGTGTTCTATATTCAGAATATCAAACTACAATTTGTACCACTGAAATTTATAAATTCCATGTTTGTAATTATCCTTTTAACATTTTATCACCATTTCTACCCCGTAATAGACAAATGAAACTTTTCTCTCCTAGTTTTATGACATAATATCTCTTTATTATAAGACCATCTAAATAACTTCATTTAATGACATGGGTTTTGAAAACATCATTTTAAGCCAAACAACTAAATATTTTTTATGAGCATGCCATTAAACATCCACTTAACTGATTTTATTCAATTCTGCTAATAATTTTTAAGGTGTTCACATACAATCCCTAGTTATTTCATTTTTTTATTATTCAACAGTTTCTGGAATATAAACTTTAAGAAAGGGATTGGATGCTGGCCCAGGAAGGCCAGCTGAAACACCAAAAGAGACCAGGTAAAGTATTCATACATTTATGAGAATGGTTAGTATGAAGAGATGTGCAGTTACTCATTATTTGCGTTAATTCACAACTATTTCCTCACCTGCCAAAAATTCAAATAGGCACATACCACACTTCTATATCCACGTTTGTACATTACCTATTTCCATGCATTGCACACTGGGACATACCCAAGTTATGTAGATGAGCCATAACATACTGGCCTTAATAGGGTTAGCTGTAACTACCTTTAAATGCCTGTATTCTTGCATTTTGTAACATATCTGAAAGTAAAAAGGAAGTTGCTTTATCAATTGAGAGGGAGAAATGAATGGTTTCAGACAACATTAGGCAGATCCTATTTTCTAGACATCCTCACTTCTGGGAGCCTGTGGAAATCAAAATATGATAAATCTTCATGTAGTCAAAGCCAAGCAGGTTCATCACTTTATCTGTCCTTAATATCTAATTCAAAAGTAACCAGCTACATTCACAGCAGGGCTTACAAGTAAATTAATTCAAAGCCCTTAGAAACCTTACAATAACCAGAATTAAACTTTCCTTGTCAGAAGCTTAACAATGCTAAAATTTTAAATTAAAATATCTTTTTGAAAGTTTTGAAATTAATAAATCTAATTCATTTGTGACACTAGAGACAATTTAAGTTTTTGTAATTAAATAATCTAAGGAAAACCTATTTGAATTTTTTTCTGAATGTCTTAAAAGTTAAAGAATCATGCTTAAAATGAAGTCTTAAGTTTTACACTCTTGATAAGTTGCTAGTATCTTAATCGTGATATTAATATACTTTCCGTCATTAAATTTTTAATATAATAAATGTAATAGCCCCTACATTTATTAGCTTAAAATCCTTTAATACACAATTAACTATACATAAGAAGAAGATAGTTAAACATTGTAAGTAGAATGTTTATTTGGAGCTTTAAATTATATATATTTAGGAGCCAGGTTTTTTGTTTTTGTTTTTTTAGTCCTAGAAATTCATAGATCACTTTTGCAATGTTAATTACTTGCAGTCAGTATAAAGAAAATCATCAAAATAATTAGCTATTTTCTTTTTAGTTTTATTCACCTACTTGCTAAAAAGAAAAGAGGGACTTTTGGAAATCCATGTACATAGAGAGCTTATCATATATTATATAATTAATTTTAAAATGTTTCAAATACACATTATCCAGTGTAAAATTTTGACCTGATAAGACATGTTTTCAACTTGTTGTTTGTTTAATGTTTGGGATATATTCTTAGAAATATATTTAAAATATTTTTGAATGAAATGAAGGTGTCTCCTCTTCTTACTATTGCCAAGCCTATGATTTACACACAGTTTAATTATTCAGATGTTTATTATGTTCTACATAATGAAATTTGGACCCTCATATTTTCTTCCTACATCCTAGATGCAGGCTGCAATTATAGCCACAGATATCTGTTTATTTGATGAATTTTGCTTCTTCTGCATAGTTTGATAAATATGGAAATAAGTCAAAACCTACTTTATATACAGTAATTAAAGTGAAAAATCTAGTCATGATGCAAATCCTTAATTGGACTCCAGGAGAGATATGCAGAATTTCTCTTTAATAATATGGGATGACTGGGGACAGAAAAACAAAGCACACTAAAATATGGTTTAGAAGCACAATTAATCACAAAACAGAAAACAACCAATTTAGCATAGCTCATTCAGTGACTCTCATGGCTCAGGTAATGTTCTTTTAATCATCTGGCTCTAATATTAAGGTTGTGTCATGTGCATCTGAAAAAAAATACAATATATATGCTGATCTTCAGTGTGAAACGTGTTCTTTGGTCTAATTTGTAAACAGAGCCCTTTCATAACAAAATGCTTAGACTACTTAATGACATGTAAGTGAATGATCAAAGTAGTACAAAATGCTTTTAACTGTGTCCTGTAAATATATTAATTCATTAGACCCCCCTCAAAAGAAAAACCTTCATTTCTCATGACAATTTGTTAGTTCTCGTGCAAATTTTGTTTGGTCCTAATAGGTAGAAACAACCAGCCAAGATATGTTTTAGGCTTATGACAAAATAAAGGATATACTTCTTAAGCAAAATTAAATTAACGTACCCTGGGATTGTGCAGATGTGGCTGGAAAACAAATTATATATACATTAAAAAAACACCTAAGGAAGACTATAAGTATTTGTTTTCATGTACAATACATGCATTTCTCTAATCAGCTGAAACTTAGCCATCGTTGTCCCCTAATTTGATTGTAAAGATATTATTCTCCATATAGGCTTTCGTAATATCTCATTAAGGGAATAATTACATGAACATGCTTTAACTAGAAGAAACTAAATTTACTGTGCTACTTTGTTTAAATAGAAATTCCATTATTCTGTTCTGTAGAAAATGCCTCAGCCCCACACTAAGCAAATGAGAGTACTGCTTTTGAATTTAGAAATGGTCCCTTCCCAAAGTTATCCTGAATTACCTAAGTACACCAAAATTACCTATGTGATTGCATCCTCAGAGGAGCAAAAAAGAAGCTTATGGCTTTATGCCTCACAAGCACTCAATGACATTATCACAAGGATCATTTTTCTGTTCCCCAGATGTGTTCATCAGGACAGACCATGACTACAGTCTCCATGCTGAGAGCAGCTGAAATCAGAGAGGCTTGATGTCCAGTATTCAAATCACTGCCAAACTCTTTCTAACCCAAGATGCCTACCTTCCCAAACAGATGAAAGGAACCAAAGACAACTGAGTTTAGATGGAGTCTTCTCCTGGCTTTCCCAATGACCTGACATCTCTATGAGATACTTGCCATAAAACTTACAGGCTACAGAGAGAATGCCCTTTGATGTCTTTTAATGACAGCGTGATGGCCTTTGATGTGGTCCCATGGCATACGTTTTAGTTTGCAAACTGAAGCACAGTTTAATAGCAAACAATTTCTACACGAGTCAAAGTAATATTGATGTTGCTCACCTCTAGAACACATGTTTACAACCAAGAAAGTGAAAAATGTATCTTATTTTGATATGTAGAATAAATGTGTGTGGATTTAATTATAACTTACCTGATATTACAAATATTCAAATGTACAGTGGAAAATGGATTCGTTGTGTAAATTTCACAATGGTCAGCATGCTTTACTTATAGAATATTAATAATAAGGTCCCAGTCCTTTCAGGTAAATACAGTAGATTCAGAAGTAAATGTGCTATATTTGACTCCTATATTCTCAATACATTTTCAGAAATACTTAAAAGAAGAACACATTTCCTTAATTACTGAATCTTTGGTTCTCCCCTTTCCATTATAATTAGAGATTTGTATTTGGCAAAAAGATTATTTATATTGTTTTCTCTTTTAATTTCTCACATTCCAATGTCATATGTTCATAATCTAAAATTCTGGAGACATTGGTTGCAGAATAAAGGTAAATCAATTCTTCTCCACACCTTTTGACAAATTAGTGATTTATTCTTCTCTGCAGTGCAAATTAAATGTGACTGCATAGCTGAACTTTTCCTCATGTGATCATCACAAGAAAAGGTAAAGTTAAAATAATATTTCTCAGCAGCCCTGGCAGACAAATTTCTAGCTCCATTAAATAGATGCTTTCAGATGACCTCAATTTCATCAGGTAAAATTAAAACTAAAATCCATTGAAAAATTATATCTACATTATTTAGGTAGTAATCAAATAATCCAGGGTAATTAGTTGTTAATTAATCTTCTAATTCATTTGCTACTTCAAAGAAAATTACTTCAATGGTTTCGTGTTGTTGAAGTTGCTTTATTACTAAGAAAGTCTAATATAGGTTTAATTTTAAACTACGTTAAGTAGAATTGCCTTGATATTCCATAACATTTGCAATATGATAGAACTCAAAAAGGCTATTAAGGTGAAATCATGTCCCTTAAAACTAAAAGAAATAAATAAAAAGTTATTTCTTAAAATTTTAGCCCATAGTGATGTATCCTTATTTAAAAAACATTTATTTGAGAGACTATTACAAATATATGTGTAACTTTGCATTTTACTAGCAGGTTTTTATTTTCATAACAAAAATTCTAAAAGTTTCAATCTAACTACCAGAGTGATTGTGTGATTAGTCATGCAACAACTCTTTTGTAAGTGTCTATAAATATTACAACCAGTCCAATGCTGGTTGTAATATTTAAAAATTTTTACAGACTAAAATTATGACACCTTTTAAAAAGTCCAACATTTACTGTCATCATTTCAAAAAAAAAGAAGAAGAAAAAAAGGAAAGAAGGAAGGAAGCAAGGTAAAGACAGAGGAAGAAATCACCAAAACAATGTTTTCTGGCATCTGAAAATTATACTGGCATTACAATGTGGAAACAAACTCAAATTTCTCATTGGAAATATATAGGCTTAACTGCATGTATTTATAGGTATCTAAATATGTAAAAATATAAAACCATTTTTTAATCTTGTGAAGCCTCAAAAATGCCTATAGTTTTTTATTCCTCTCTAAATGAAAAATCAACAAACCAGGCTTTTTAAACTCTGCTATTTTTAAGTAACTGTAGATTATTTATTTAATATTCCTTTATCATTTAAAATATCTTAAGAGCTTTCAAATATCAAAGGGAATGTATAAAACTACATAACATATAGTTAACATATAAAACTGTAATTATTATCTATAGCTCAATGTGTTTCATGTCAACAATAACTAACAAAATAGCCTTTACTCCTCTAACAGGTTACAAATGTATATGAGAGTGCCAAGCTTTCAAAGACAAATAAACACACTCTGTAAAGTATGACAATAGAGGGCTCTTGCAGTTTCATATCTGACAATAAAAATCTTTATTGTTCTCTGAAGGCATGTGTTTACAAAAGCTAAAGCAAGTATGCTTTTCACTTTCTCCCCTACCATCCCTGTCAATTTCATCACCCACAATAGGGATAATTAGGAAGAAATGTTAATTGTCTTATACATTTTAAAGCTATGCTTTTATACATTTTAAAGCTATACTTTTGGCAAAACTGAAGACTATTCGTCACTTGTCTTCAACATATTGCAAATTTTTTAAGTGAAATGCCTAATTTATATATTACCAAAAATCTTGATTAATAACTTTCAATTATTTCAATTTCTATTTCTTTCATATTTTATGAAATTATTTCAGTTATTATTTCAATTTCTATTTCTCTCATATTTTATCGTATAAATATATGCAAATTAGAAAAAAACTACTTTTCTTCATCATAGGATTATAATTCTACAGTGAGCAGTAGTTCTTTTCTGAAGAAACACACCATTAAAACTGGAAATATCTGTTAAGATTCCTAAATCTTACATAGGCAATTTTGCAAATATTCTCTAACCAAGTAGAATAATAAAGGTAATGTGCTTCCCCTGCCAAACAAAATATTCTGTAGTTCTGGGATGGAGTGTAAATTCAAGCCCTAGAATTTAAATCACTATTTTAGATAAAAACATTGTTCACAGCCTAAAAATGGCATTATAAACTATGCTGCTGTGAAGCTAAATTAAGTTTATTACATAAGGATGTAATATACACCTTGTGGTCATGAAATGATTAAAATTTCTACCTCCAGCTCTACAACCCAACAAGCAGACACACTCCTTGTATTCAAAAATCTACTCTTGGCCAGGTGCAGTGGCTTACACCTTTAATCCCAGCACTTTAGGAGGCTGAGGCGGGTGGATCACCTGAGGTCAGGGGTTCAAGACCAGCCTAGCCAACATAGTGAAAACCCGTCTCTACAAATACAAAAATACAAAAATTATCTCGGCATGGTGGCACATGCCTGTAGTCCCAGCTACTTGGGAGCCTGAGGCAGGAGAATCACTTGAACCTGGGAGGCGGAGGTTGCAGTGAGCCTAGATGGGGCAACTGCACTCCAGCCTGGGTGACAGAGTGACTCCATCTCAAAAAGAAAGAAAGAAAAAAAGTCTACTCTTGAAAGAATAACAATAAAACTAGCAAAACTTCCATGGCACTTGCTGAATGCCAAATACTGTACTAAGAGCATAAGACACCAAGTTATTTTGTCACTCATCCTTACACAACTCATTTCATTTGTGTACAATACGTGGAATAATTACACATTACCTAAAGGAGGAAACTGAGGCACAGAGAGGTTAAGTACCTTAGCTTAACTCACACAGTAAGCAAAAGTAACTATGAGACATTATTGATTTGGCTTCCTAAGTCAGATAAACAACATGGCCTTCTAAATAGCCCCCCTTAAATCTAGACCTTTCCAGCATCAACATCCTAAGGAAATGAGACAGACCTTGCCACAAGAGATAAAGAAAGTCAGGAAGAGATGGCCAGATAAATCTCAGCAAAAGGCAGCCAGCCTCCTACTCAGCTGGATGGCCTGAGAACAGCCCTTATTAAAGGAGAATGATCATAGAGCTTGAATCCTCCTTGATGCAGAAGTCCCCTAGAACCATGAGGAAATACCATGAGTGAAGATAGGGTACATGCCATGGGTCACCAAGTGGGGATGAGCACTGAAAACTTGGCCCACTAGATATGAAACCCGAGGTAAGTGAGGGCAGGAGAAGCTGCAGCTGCATGGACAAGCAATAACACAGAGGCCAATGTCCAGACTGACGACTGCATGAGAGAGACATTCTGTTAGGGAAATGAACACATTCAACAAAGAAGGGCAGAGGGAAACAAAGTTGTAAGGTTCGCACTGAGAACAACAAAGCCTTAGTTGTTGAACATTAATCTAAGGAGAAGGAAGCCGTAAAATCCAGCCTCAAAACCCATAGGAGAACAGATGAGGGCCAAAGGAACTGAAGGGTTATGAAAACAGTTGATAGAGCAGAAGGCAACAATTTAGCCCTCATCAGAAAACATTTACCCATTCCCCATTTGAGGACTGGTAATGTGGTCAGCAAAAGGGTCGCCTTGGCACAGTCTATAATTAATTGCAATATTTGATTTTATATTTAGTAAGTGGAATTAAGAGTTTTTTCACAGAGCCATTAGAGTTTTCTCTAGACAATACCTTTTTAATTGCAAGTTTAAGATCCTTAATACGGAGTTTGTCATGTTTAAATAGCTAAATACAGCTGGATCCTAACAAAACACTGGTCACTGGGCAGGTGTGCAGATAGAAATGTCATCACCCAGTTTGCGTATTTCTCCCAGACTGATGGACAATGTGAGAGAGACCAAACAGTGGCAACATCCTTGGTGCTTCGTGGCTTTATTGGGTAAATTATCAAGAAGTTCACTCTTTCTGTTTATTTTTCATTGAATATTGAAGTAGGTGGTATGTGCTATAAGAGGTGGGCATAATAATGTCACTTTGTTGATTCCAACTAAATAGATAATTTGTACAATATTGAGGTAATTGTTTTGAGCTTGAGGTATTGTTTCAGCTTAAATTACTTTGAGCATTTTCCTTCCCCCATATCCGTTCTCTCTGTTTTTTTCTTGTTTTCTTTTTGTCAAGCCCTTTTTATTTTTCTCACCCTAAAGTATCTCCCTCCTCTTAATGTGGTTCATATCAGACTGACAACCTCCCTCCCTGCACACCTGTGTCGATCAAAATGTAGTTTTCCACCACAAATTCTAAAATTGAGAGATGCTTTTGAGTTCATTAGAAGAAAATATGTGTGCCTTTCTCTTCTCCTCTGAAACTCTTTTAACTTACTTTTTTTTAATTATTATTTTTTAAAGCTCTAAATATATATAGAAAAGGATTTTGGCTCTTCTTTCCAGTTCAAATGTACATATAGAGGTATTTAGTATATCCCCTGAATTGAAGTAAGCTAATTTGAAAATCTACTTGAATCCTATCCAATTATAGATAGCATACTATAATACAATTTAAAGTATCTCTCCTATTGTACAAATCCTTCTGTTTAAAAAAAAAAGCAAACTGAGAGAAATGAATACAAATAAAAAGCATCATCTTTTTAAAATTCATTATATTTGCATTCCACCCCTATGTAGTCCTCATTATCTTTTTTTAGTTGATTCCTGTAGCCCTGTGCTCATTTTTTCAGTTTTCATAAAGGAATTTGTATTTCTTTCAATTACATATATTCCCAATGTTTTAGTTGCCCCTAACATTTTTCCAATGAAGGGCCACAAGTCATAGTTTTTTATGTTGTTTTGCTGCAGTTGACATTACAGTTAATGTCTTTGTCTAAACTGTTCATCATTATCCCCTAAGTCTTTGTTGTTGTTGTTGTTGAATTGTATTTTTTCATTCTCTTGAATACCTAATGTGTTGATATTATTTTCCAAGACTCTCATTATTTCTAGCATTCTACCCAGAGTAAAGAATGTATATTCTATTATTTTCTAAATTGCTTTTAAGCTATTTTTAGGAAAGTTTGAATAATTAGATGGCTATAATGCATGACTCTTTTTGATTGTCCAGGACAAATCAGTGCAAATACAGCTATTTTACACACATTATTGAAAATTAAGTTATTTCAAAGACTATATGTTTTTAAATTCTAAGAAAAATGATTTAAATACATATTTAAATATGAAAACAAAAAAGCCAAAAGTTATTCTACTTAGAGGAATGTCATATACTAAATATAAAACTTGGAGAATTTAGAATTCTTATGAAGTAAATCTTAAATTCATATTCTCTTCATCATTCTATTTTGTAGTACTTCTTTCAGAGAAGAACTAGCCAACCAGAGATGGCAATTTATAAAAATTTGTTATTTGTGGTTTCTATTTCGGCTTTTCCCTAGGCCTGAAAAAAAATATTTTAGGAATTACACCCCCAGTCTATATATGCCATTTGAATAACAAAACAAAATCATCAATACTTGTATTAAGCAAATAAAAAGGAGTATTAAAAAGATCTTTTGCATGTTTGTTAAATATAAAAAATATCATATATAATACCTGCTATATTTACATGGCCTTAAAATTCAAATCATAAAACTGTTAACAGATTTTTGCCCATTTTTAGGAGAGAGAAGGGGGTTGTGTGGAGAAATTATAATCTTGAATAAAAGAAATTTTTTAAAAGGTGGTTTCTAATTCCCTAACCTGTAACCAGGACATAATTCTAAACCTTAACATTCTATTCTCATGGAAAAGTTCATTAAAACTTATACCATAAATGAAAAATTATTCATTCATATATAATTTAATGTCATATTAAACAATAACTGCAGCCAAGCACAGTGGTATGCACCTAAAGTCCCAGCTACTTGGGAGGCTGAGGCCAGGGGATTGCTTTGAGCCTGGGAGTTGGAAGCCAGACTGGGCAACACAGTGAGACCCAGTCTCAGGGAAAAAAAAAAGTGTTTTAAAAAACTAAACTCCAGATTGTATTCAAGAGGAAAACGTGCAAAGAAATGTTTTCTATTGTAGCCACAAGTAGTACCAAATAAACACGGTACTCAATTTGATTTTACCAAACGTATATTTTTCTGCTTGCTCCCATTCCCAAAAAGTAACAGCCAGAGTGGTATAGCAGCCTCCGGTGTGCTTTTTGAATCATGGCAAAAGTTGCACTTCTGGCACACACACCACAGTTCCAAAACTAAAACCTGAAGACAATCACGATCAACTAGAGTAAATGTAAGGCGGGCACACAGAGCGGGGATAAGGGATACATGTTATGAAACAAAAGCAACTTTCTCATATAGAGCCAGCATCTTGACAACAGCTTGTCTCTCAGAACTATAGGTGTTATTAGGTTAAGAATACTGATTCACAGAGCAAGCATGCCCACCATTAGTAGGTTAATGTTTCACTTAGAAACAGTAATTTATTTTCTGCTTAAAGTTGGTTTTTGACAAATACTATAATATAATAGATTGTCTTAGTACATAGATGCGTATTAGTATAGGTGGAGGAGGCCCTGGGACAGAGCTAGTTTGATATTATACTCTGTAATATTTTAAATACTCAGCTAATGTTAGAAGTAATAAAGATACCTCTGTCTCTGTAGGAGATTTCAGAGAGAGAATCTTTTTAGGCGAGGTTTAAAAGGCAGAGATTTGATTTGAACTAGAATTGTTCGGTGTTCTGAATTCAGAGAGGTTGCCCTCCTGCTGTTTGAAACCGCACCAATTGGGAAACCTAGAAAAGAAGTTGCCAATCACTACCCAAACTGGTCAGCCTATTGGAGAAAGCCTGAGCCCAAGCCAAAAACCTTTAAAGTTACATACACCCAATTTTCAATGAAATTGTTTTCCTTTTAAAATTGCCTATCTAAATTACTATGGCACGCCTAACATTTAAATAATCATGAGAATAATTTCTATAAACTCCACACATAGCATTCTCATTCCTGGCATTGAAAATAGCTATGACTATAACCTCTTATCTCTGTCTTACAAAATTCAGATTGCTGGAGTGGTTGCCAAATCCTATGGTTAGGTTTAGATAGTGAGAAATAAAATGCACAAGCTATAAGTAATCAATGAGAGGTAGCTGCTCTTTCCAACTTTGTTTTATCATGCTTATTGATGAATTCTTATTTTTTATATTATTTTAAATGAAGACCTCACAAGAACACCTTCTCCATCAATTTCTTCTTACTTCATGGAAAATGATAATAAATCAAGAAACATAAATGACATCTCTGTGTCTCTTATATACATCTCTATATAAAATGACGTATCTATGATTTCATGATTTTGTTTAAAGCATTAGTAAGCTACTTAGCAGGGATTCTAGCTTAACTGCAGAGTGGCTGTTGAGATTGTTCAAAACCAAGCCTACATATTTGTCTGTAAGACTTTAAATTGATGAAGGCATAAATTCATACATTATCTTTCTGTATCAAGGATGCAAGAAAAGAGAACGGAATTTGAAAAGGTTAGAAAAGGGTAAGAGTAAAAAGGAGGTAACATAAAGATGGCATGAGGAAAACCAAAACGGCAATTAGTAGTTTACCTCCACCCTAGGAAGGTGAAATAGATAAGGAGAATTCTTCGTTGAAGTGATAAGCAAAAAAGTGAGAAGGTGGTAAAAGCTTTATTTACTGTATCATTATTACCCATAATCAGAAAATATTGTCCATGTGGCCAAAACAAATACATGTAGCAAAAATTCAAAAAACAAATGTATTTTATAAGTGTTAGCCTGATCTTCAAACTCCAGACTCCAATCTCCAAAGCATTATTTTAAGAAAGAAAGACGGTACTATAGGATTCAACTATAAGTGATTAGCCTTTAATTATATTACCATTATTCACTTTTCTCCTAAAATATACATAATTTTTCCAGACTTACGAAAACTCTTTTTCAGACTTATTAAACCTCTTTAATTGCTAATGTACTCACTTCCTACAATTTGCACTACATTACCCCAAATTTGTCCTCACTCTGCAGAAGTGCTTCATGAAGACTTCTATTGTTTGCCAAGAAACTAACCCTCAAGAACAGGCAGAGGTTCCTATACAAGTGCTAATGAGTGCTTGGCTTCCAAGCAGCAATCTCGCCACTGCAGCTCTCACACAACAGTGTTAATAAGTATTTAACGCCTTTAGGGAAGCCTCCTGGGTTGGGGACAAAGCACCCAAAAGAGGATGTTCTAATCCTCAACCCCAGTGGTTCTCAAACTCTGGCATGTTTGGCATGTTTCAAAATCACCCAGAGCACTTCCTTATATAGACATCAGGTGTCTTTACCAAAGATCCTGATGCTGTGGAGCTGAAACAGGGCCTGGGAAGCTGCATTTATGAGTCCATCATCACCTATGATCCTAATGCAGATAATTCATGGATAAGATTTACTCTGGACTGCCCCAGTTTTTTGCATACTATTTTGTCATGATTATTAACAGCAACTCCTTTTATCCTCAAAGTATCATGGTCTAGACATAGAGTATATAGCTGCCAACATTGGACCCAACTTTATAGAATCAATCATATGGACCACATTTTGGACTGCCCTATTCTACACTGTTTTTAAGAATAGGATGTAAATGGTCTTTACTGATCTACAGATCACTTTAGACCCTATCACAATTGTGCTCATTGATTTGACTATTTTTAATTCTACCATATACAGGTGTTGATCTAGGCCCTAGGATACAATAGCAAACAAAGCATGCGATCTATATTCTTTAAGATTTGTGAGGAGTAGGATAAGGGAAGCCATACATGTACAAAGACAATGTCAGATAGAAAATGCTGTGACAAAACTGAGACTAATTGAGATAGAGAATACCTGTGGGTTTGGAGCAAAAGAAACAGGGTGGTTGAGAAAGGCCTGGCTGAAGAGGTGAGCTCAAGAGCAAAAACCTTGAAGTATAATGGGTTGATTCATTTGATAAACAAAACACAAGTCAATGTGGTTTAGGAGTAGAGTGCAAGAAGGTGAGGGCCAGTCAGAAAAATAATCATCACCATAATGACAATTATGAACCAGGCATAGCTGTAAACCTTTATATACATTAATAGATTTAAAATTAACAATGATCTTATGAAGTAAGTACTATTGTCCCCATTTTACAGATGAGGAAATAAAGACCTGGAAGCTGAAAGAACTTGACCAAATACCCACATGTAGCACGTGATGAACCCAGGATTCACAGCTGGGAAATCTGGTTCCAAAGTTTGCGCTTTTAAAATATCTCTCGATGATAATAATAGTAGTGATGATAATAACTATAATTAATGCCAGCTAACCTTAAGTAAGAACTTACTATAGTACTCTTTTAGGTATATTTCAGGTATAATCTCATCTCATCATCACAAAAATTTCCTGAGGTAGGTACTATTATTTTCTCAATTTTACTTATGAGAAAAACTGAGGCACAAAGACAGACTTTTAACTTGCACACAGTCACGAGGCAGCAAGTATTAGAGCAGAAACACATCACAAAAAGCCTTGCAAACCATGAAAAATCATATTAAATTAGATGATCTGATGAAAAATGTGCCCCATGCACATTTTTACTCTTAGAGTCCAGATAATTTTCTAGTAAATTTTTCACCTTTAATACATCTTTTTTTTTTTTTTTTTTTTTGAGACAGGGTCTCTGTTGCCCAGGCTGGAGTGCAGTGGTGCGATCATGGCTCACTGCAGCCTTGACGCCCTTGGCTCAAGGGATCCTACCACCTCAGCCTCCTAAGTAGCTGGAACCACAGGTGCATGCCACGACACCTGACTATTTTTTGTATTTTTTGCAGAAGACAGGGTTTTACCATGTGGCCCAGGCTGGTCTCAAACTCCTGGGCTCAAGTGATCTACCTGTCTCAGCCTACCAAAGTACTGGGATTACAGGTATGAGCCATTGCGTGAGTCTATCTTTAATGTATCTTCAAAATCTACTTTCAGTATTAACTTGGGAGTCTCTTGCAAAGTGCTCAAAGTCTATTTTGCAACATCTAAATTCTTTTTTTATTCTGGAGCCATCATACTTCATGGTATTCCTGGTTCTTCCTTGGCACATTTCTGCCTTTCTACACTATAGCTACTAATTCTGTGCATTTACTTTCATTTTGCCACTTCACTTTGTATGGTTTCTGTCTCTTCCTTTTCACTTATGAAGACCAGATCTTTAGAATTTTATGGTTTAAATTAAACATTTATTGAAACCCTGCCCTTTGCAAAGGGCATAACAGGCCAGTTCTTGCAGGCTAGTTATTAAGTCTCCAAGTTATTAAGTCTTCCACTGCTGTGGAAGCTGATATGGCTGTGTGTCTCTAATGCAAGCCACGATGCAAGGAGTGCTCCTGGACTTATGTGTACTCCATCAGCTCACAAACTTCATCCCCACACTCCCACACCATCATCACCAAACACACAGTTTTCTCCACAAAAACCATTTTAGGTTATTATTTTGGACTTGCTTTTCCCTTTAAAGTTTTTCTTAAAACCATTCTAAAATAAACACCTGTATAAAATGCTAGGGCCAGGAGAGCCACTATAGTGAGTCTTCCACCCTTGAAGGAAGTGCTCTAGAAATGGTTAGAAAGAAAAGCAAATAGAGTTGGTTGGTATGTGCTAATTCCGGAATTTTTGCAGCCCTGGTAATTTTCTAACTCTGTTTACCTAAAAGATGTAGCCAATTATCTCATTAGCTTCCTCATTATCATTTCACAAATAAAAATTAGTCTGAAGCACAGAGAGGTTAAGTGACTTGTCTAAGATGCAAAAATCAAACGATAATATTAGAAACATCAAAGGACTGGAATAGATGAGCAGAACACCATCTCCTTATGAGAAAGTTATGTTAATCTTTATCAAATTATACAGAGCTATGAAAAGTGAGAGGAAATAGACCCTGAGAACAATTCCTAAAAGCAAAGCAGAAGACAGATCATACTTGATCTAATCAAAATCTAGCAAGTGTGCTGAAGAAATCATCCAGCTTTAATTTTTCAGAAACCATTAGTTATCAAATTAGATGGAAGATAAAAGAAAAAATTGCCTTTGGCTGAAACCTACTGCTAAATTTGGTCAATTTTGTTGTTTATCAGTGCATAAAGTCCTTGCATTTACCATTTGACAAATCTGGAGGAAAAAAAAAACACTTGCTGCAATCAGGTGAAGTAGGTTATTAATGGTTCTGAACAGATACACAGGATTGCCTCATCCTGAGGCAATTAAGGATTGGAAGAAAGTGTATTTAAAATCTCTGAGGACTCACTTCATTGGAACAGGTGGTCTTTCTACAATTGACATTGTTTGTATAATTCTGAATTGCTCAGTACATTTTTTTAAACAAGTCACTCATGAATTCAGAGGTCTTCCTTTTTTTTTTTTTAATTCCAGTTCAACAAGAAATAAACCAAAGAAAGCCAGAGATCTTACAAAAGAAAGATAGAGGCAAAAAGGTAATTTGCATTCTAACACTTCACACCGACAAGGTTGAAATAAAATTGAGACAAATTATTGAGAAATAAATTAAATAAATAGAAAACTTCCAGGTGACCTTTCAAGTTGAATCCCTGTACCACTTTGACTCTGGCAACCCTGTCTAATATTACTTGTCTGTCAAAGTTGCAAATCAAAGCATCTGTAATTTTTTTATTTTTTTTTGAGATGGAGTCTCACTCTGTTGCCCAGGCTGGAGTGCAGTGGTGTGATCTCAGGTCACTGCAACCTCTGCATCACAGATTCAAGTGATTCTCCTGCCTCAGCCTCCTGAGTAGCTGGGATTACAGGCACCCATCACAACGCCCAGCTAATTATTTGTATTTTTTAGTAGAGACGGGGTTTCACCATGTTGGCCAGGCTGGTCTTGAACTCGTGACTTCAGGTAATCCACCTGCCTCTGCCTCCCATAGTACTGGGATTACAGGCAAAGCATCTGTAAATTTTAAAGCCAAAAGTTCTTGGGAGGGAAAACACTGTTTCCCAGATACAAAAATGTAGGTGGACAGAGTTGAATTCAGCATGCAAGTTTCTATTTAAATGTTATTTCCTCCAAGAATCTTTCACTGGCCATCCCCCAACACACACATACATATTTACACAAGATTAGATTAGATTGTTGTAACTGATTTCTCAAAGTGACCTGCACTACCCTTATGCTAGCAGATGTCACACATTATTGCCGTTACTTGTATAATGTACTGTCTTTCCTTATATTGAAATGTAGTCATCTTCAAGAAATGAAATAGTTCAAACAATAAGGATATTTATTATCTACTTAACATAAAGATGGAGATGGGTGGATTAACATTGTCATCAAAAGATCTGCTTCTTTCTCCCCTTTTTCTCTGTCATTCTCAGCTAATCAGCTACTCCCTCATGGTCACAGGATGGCTGTAGTGTCTCTCCAGACAGACGTAGAGGGGAACCCTGCTTGAGTCTATTACTTACTGAATAAATAACCTAGTGTCCTGGTTTGAAGTTCCCTTTTACATCTATCTGGGCATAATTATTCCCCCTTTCATGCTCAAAAGTATTTCTATTTGAATGAGAAATTATATGGCCACTCTACCAATGTCCTGGGGTAAGTTTCTTCAATTCATTGAGCCTTCCATTTTCTTTATAAATGATGATGACACCTCTTGAATGGGGTGCATGTAAGAATTAAATAAGTGGGATTTTTTTATGTAGAGTGCCCAACATCTAGTTAATCCTGAATGGATGGTACCTCTTTAGATCAGATGCCTTAATGTTAAGGATGAACTGGAAGATGGAACTTGAGTGGTTACAGAAAAACATTCTAATTATTCAGGTACAAGAAATAAGTAAAAGGGGAGAGGAAACCAAGGGCAAACTGGTATTGAAGGACTTAAAGGCAAATTGGATGTGGGGACTGAAGGGAAGAGATGTGAAAAGAAAACTCCTTGATCGTGAGCCTGAAGGACTGAAAATTAGTGATCTTAATACATGAAACAGACTTGAAGGGGAGACGAAGGAGGGACAGAGGAGACTTTCAATTCTATTTTGGACATGTCCAGATTGACAAACCACACATTAAAAAATACATATCTTTGCTAGGAAACTGAAAATAGGGCGTATGAACTCAGGTTGGAGCCTGAGGCTGAAGATACAAATTTAAAAGTCACCTATATGCAGCTGGGTGCAGTGGCTCACGCCTGTAATCCCAGCAGTTTGGGAGGCTGAGGTGAATGGATCATCTGAGACTGGGAGTTCAAGACAAGCCTGGCCAATATGGTGAAACCCTGTCTCTACTAAAAATACAAAAATTAGCAGAGGTTGGGCATGGTGGCTCGTGACCATAATCCCAGCACTTTGAGAGGCCAAGGTGGGCAGATCACTTGAGGTCAGGAGTTCGAGACCAGCCTAACCAACGTGGTGAAATCCCATCTCTACCAAAAATATAAAAAGTTAGCCGGGTGTAAGGCCGGGCGCAGTGGCTCATGCCTGTAATCCCAGCACTTTAAGAGGCTGAGGTGGGTGGATCAACTGAGGTCAGGAATTCAAGACCAGCCTGGCCAGCGTGGTGAAACCCGTCTCTACTAAAAATACAAAAATTAGCCGGGTGTGGTGGTGGGCACCTGTAATCCCAGCTATTTGGGAGGCTGAGGTAGGAGAACTGCTTGAACCCGGGAGGCGGAGATTGCAGTGAGCCGAGATTGTGCTATTGCACTCCAGCATGGGCAACAGGAGCAAAACTCCATCTCAAAAAAAAAAAAAAAAAAAAAATTAGCTGGGTGTGGGGGTGCGCCCCTGTAATCCCAGGTCAGGAGGCTGAGAGAGGAGAATCACTTGAGCCCAGGAGGTGGAGGTTGTAGTGAGCTGAGATTGCGCCACCGTACTCCAGCCTTTGCAACAGAGTGAGACTCTGTCTCAAAAAAAACAAACAAAAAATAGCAGGGCGTGGTGGCTTATGCCTATAATCCCACCTACTTGGGAGGCTAGGGCAGGAGAATCGCTTGAGCCTGGGAGGCAGAGGTTGCAGTGAGCCGAGATCATGCCACTACATTCCAGCCTGGGTGACAGTGCGACTCTATGTCTAAATAAATAAATACATACATACATAAAATAAAAGTTACCTATATGCAATTTTTGAAGCTACAGAAAGAAATTGTGACTGGTACAGAGTATACAGGAAGAAGGCAAATAGCCGAAGGACAGAATCTTGGTAGGGGGACCTTTATTTAAAATTGGGAGTTAAAATATGGATTGAGCTACATATTAACAAGATATTTCAGATCCAAGGATCTGCTCTTGAGAACAAAAACAAAAAAGGTAGGTTCAGTACTCAGAAAACCATCTAATATGAATGCATAGATTCATTGTTTTTTCAACTTTCTACTGCATTCCACATAAAGCTTCGATCACATAGCGTTTGTATCAATGGATGCTGAAAAAAATAACTCAGTCCTCAACACGTGTAATGAATGCCTATATCCTTTTCAGAAATGTCTTTATTTTGGAGTTGTTCTGTCATTTGTGTTGCTATTGTCACCACTATCACATACCTAATACCTAATACAAAAGCACATGCAGTTATTCTTCATAGGAGGCTGAGCAACGTTCTCTCTGAAGTGGTGGGGAAAAGTTTATGCCTCCATCAGAGCATTACCAGGACCTCCTAACATCCTATTTTGTGATTCTAAGATTACAAATTGTGTTTTGTTTTCCCTAGAAAATATATTAGATACTTATTTGACTTTCACCAAAAGATATATCAGTATTAAGGTAATAAAATTAAGCACAATGTAATGCTAACTTCAGCTTGACTCTTATTTAACCCTCAATTTTCATTATTGTATATTCTTGTGTGAATCATGTTTAATTTTTTAATGTGTTTTCTTGTATTTGTAATAAAGTCAAGTGTTTATTTGCTAGTTTATATTTTTCACATAGACACTTACCAATTACTTTAATAACTATAATCCAATTCACTATACAATTTATTCACGTTTTCTGAAATACTATCCAGAATTTTACATCCTCCTGAAGGGGCCACTGGTCATCACAAACAGAATGAAATAATCTCTTTCTTTATCTTAATGCATTATCCCCACATCAAAATCAAAATCAAGTTAATCTTTCTGTTGCATAGAAAACTCCAGAATGTTTCCCCCTCTGTTCTGCAGTGTCCTGCTGGTACCAATATTGTTCACTGATTTTATTACCCCAACTTAATCCTGTATTGCTCAGCAAAAAGGAAAAAAAAATGCAATTAAAGTGTGCCAGCAACAATAGGGATATCTTTTCCCAGAAACAAATACTTTGGAAAATAGATTTCAATAGCTTCTAGATTATGGCACTATCATACCATTAGTCAGAAAGATCATTTTCAGTGAAACAGTGTCACAGACCAAGAGAGAGAGAGAGAGAGATGAAGAAAGCTGGTGACTCAGGAACACCAAAGCAAGATAACTGAAATCTTCAATCCCCAAAAGATCACGAAAGCCCCAAATATAGCTGTTAATATAAATAACATCATTGTAGGTTGGTATTAAGAAGGCCAGGCCAATTCTCAGCCTAACAAAGAGGATGTTTTCAGGAAAGCATACCAATTATTTTTCCAAATTTCCAGCCCTCAAAAAGTAGCAACAAATTTAGATTATACGATGGAGATGTAGGCAAATAACTGTCTACTAGACAAGAAGAAACAGCAAGCTATATACTCCAGATGGTTTCTGTTGGCTCATGAAAGTATTAGACTGCCAAAGCATCAAGATTATCAGCATTTACTTATTTCAGTTAATAAATCATTTCCCCATAGCTACTATAAATCCCATAATATTTAAAACTTTTTACGTAGCCATAATTTGATCAAATATTATTTGCTCTCAAAATTTCCCTGGAGGAGTTTCAGACCAGCCTGGGAAAGATGATAAGACCCCATCTCCCCAAAAAACTAAAAATTAGCCAAGCGTGGTAATGCACACCTGTAGTCCTATCAGGAGGATTCCTTGAGCCCAGGAGTTCTAGGCAGCAGTGAGCTATGATCATGCCACTTCCCTCCAACTTAGGCTACAGAGCATAACTTTGTCCCTTTTAAAAAATATCCCCTGGGGAAAGGACATAATTTGAGGTTGTTATCTTTTTCAGTTTGAAAAGCAGAAGTAGGACCAATATGTTATTTTCTACAATATATACAAAGTCAATCATAACAAAATTAGTTACAATGAACCTGGTGTTCGATAGATCGATAAGGTAACTATAATTAAGATTCATATATTGTACGTTTTAAAGTAGCTAGAATATAATAACAATTTGAATATTCCAAAAATAAAGAAAAGACAAACATTTAAGGTGATGGACATCCCAATTACACTGATTTGATTATATAAATGTATCAAATTATCATAGGTACTCCAAAATATGTAATATATATAATACATATCAATAAAAAAAAAACAAAACAAAAATGAGTTAAAATGAAATACAAGACAATCAAATTTTTTAGGTAACTGAAGAATATTTTGCTCCCTAAATAACATACAGACAAATAATATTGAACTACATATTTTAAGTTATGACTACTAAGTTTATAATATTTGTATAAGTTACTGCATGCTACATTGTGCTGTCGAGTGTCTGCCTGTTGCGTGGCTACTGTCCTCCAATCCCTACACACATGCATATTCTGGCACAAATATTCTTTCCTTGGACTTCTAATATGCTCCTTTCATGTATGTGTCTATGTCATATCAATTATTTCAGCCTCAGGCCTGCAACTTTAAAGAACGCAAGGGCTGACAGCCTCTTTTTCTCTCAAATAAGAGATTATGAAAATAATATCTTCCCATATGGTATCTACTGCACCCTTATTCCAACACTTCCAGAATATAATAGGTGTCTGGTGAGGGATTTGGTCCTGCCTTCCTAAGGCAATGCAATCCACAATCAGGACTTCATATAATGATATTTTCATTGAGAGCTTTTTGTTCAAAGGCAAGCACAGGTGCGATAAAATTGTGAGAGGAATAGATTTGCCTTTCGAAGAGCTAACAGTCATCAATAATGTGTATAGTCCCGCAAATAAAAGCTGGGTGGAGACCAGAAGACCTAGATGTCATCCTAGACTAGCTGCATTGATTTAGAGTCAGTTCATTTCCCTCGGCTTCATTTTCTTGATCTGTAAAACAAAGGATCTAAATGATATTTAGATATCCACCAGAGACAAGTCTCTCTCATACTGCATTCTACTCCCAAAGTTTTCTAGATTATGAGAAATCCTCTAGACTTTCATATTTTATTTTGGCTGGCCTTTGATGCCTATATTTCTCCCACTATACCTCTAAAGGTAAATGGGTCACCATAAAAAACCTACTAATTTTTGTTTAGGAAATGTTAATTTTATGAAAATTCTCTAAATGACTATTTTAATAGAATAAAATAATGGAAGTGTGTAATCCTCTCTGTGAGTGTAAAAACATTATTTTGATTATATGTGTCAATAGACCTGCTCAGAACAATTCTGTATGTGAAATAATTATGTGTTTTTAACTCTCAACACCATAGAAAATCAGGAAGATACTAGTTCTTCTAGAACTAAAAGGGATCCAGTGTTCTTTCAGAGACTACACAGAAGAGGTTTCGCTGACAGATTCATCATGACTAGAAAAGGTGGTGAAGTCTCCACCTAAAAAACAAATGGACAGCTAATAAAAGGCTCCCTGCTCCCAGGAACCCAGTTGGGTCGGCTATGCCCTCAGTTTTGCAGCACAGCATTTCACTGAAGCTTGGCACATGTTCTAGGGTGTCAGCTCCACCTCCAAAATATAATGCATCCAGTGTGAAATAAATATATCCCTGTAGCCAATAAGAATAAACTGCTCTTGGTGGTTTCTATTTTTATTTCATAGTTGTGTTACACCAAAAATCATGTTGTTTTAAAGATCTACTGAGTTGATTAGGACAGGAAAATAGTTAAGATGTTGTTGAAAATGAGGTAATTGTGAATAAATGTTGCCCACATTTACAAAAACACAAATTTATAAAACATATTTCCAGGCAGCTGCAATGTAACACTATGTTTTAAAATAAATATTAACGTTAAGCATGTAACTCAACAAATATCTCAAATGAAACTCTCTTACAGAAATATAATAAGATAGCAGAATATCTAAAATTTGAAGTACAATACCATCATTAGATAATGTGGCGTATTATATAAATTTTATTCCTTAGCAAATACTCTATCATTTGTTAGTTCGGTTAAGTAAGAAATTTTTAAGAATATGTTATTATAGGTATCTTTACTCTTGTATAAATAAACAACCTATAAAAAAGGTTTTAAATTACTATAAATTTGTTTTGATCTTGGGATATGTGTGTATACCTATGTGTATGGGGGTATACGTAAATACATATATAAAGCTAATATGTAAAAACCATATAGATTATTAGATTATTTCAATATAATTAATATTCATACTTTATGATGTAAAATGATGAAAACTTTTTTCTTGTACATTAGTTGATTAAGATCACATACTCAAATTTACAAAATAAGATTTGTTGATATTTAAAACAACAAATAATTACAGATAAACTTTTCCTTTGCGGAAAAAATTTATAATTAACTCCTCATCCTCTTCCCTAAGCATACCAGGATACTAAAACTTGCCTGAAATATTATTTGAGTCCACCAATTAAATAATTATGTGCAATTTTTACAATCTGACCAAACACAAATCAAAGCCCATACATATTTAGCAAACTTTATTATCTACATCATTCTTATGCCAGTGACTGTACTATGATTTAGTCTTAAAATCTTCATGAGAAAGAGGATATCTGAGCAAAAAAAAAAAAGTATATTTAAGAAGTAGGGAAAAAACTAGTTTTATGGGTCTTTTTACTTATTATAAAGTCATCTACATAAATAATCAAATAACGGTTTACTCACTTGTTTGAATATATAACTGTAATAATATAGGGAAAGAGGGAAAGTAGTTCAAGTATTAGACCATAAAGCAATTCAGACGTATTTAACTGATGGCAATAGAAAAAAATATTTAAAACATAGTATACTTCTAGGAATTAGGGCTTTTCTTTGAGATGAATATATCTTAATTTCATAAATGATGATCAAAGGTGGAATAAAACATTCATCAGGGTGAAGATTGTCAGCAATTTCTCTTAAGAATTTGGAATGATTTGAGTAAACAGGAAAAGGAATACAGAGATATTTAGGGGACAGTGATGGGCAATCAATGCAAATGTTTTACTTTATAGACTCAAACTATATAAGCAGCTCCTGCCAGTTTTTATAAAATCCTACATGTTAATTAAATGTGAGATTAGAACCATTTTTCCCATTTTAATTCTTACTCTAGAGGAAACACATATTATAGAGCCTTGTACTCACCTTTTGCAGATTTTACAAGTCCTGGGCACCTTGTCAGGGGCTACCCAAGGTTGCCTATGCCTTCAGCCAGGTGAGATTTTAAGAATTAACACTTTCTAAAATCACATACTCAGCTGATAGTTTATGTGGCCCTCATTTTCTCTGTTTCTATATATCTACCCTGTTCTTCCTACACTCCAATCTTTTTTCATATTTGTATTTATAATATATCTTTGGGGTATAATGTTGTTTGTCTATATGTCTGTATACACACAAGGGATTATCTGTATGCGTGCGTATAGGAAAATCGTCACTGAAAACCGCAGAGTTCACTTAATTGTGGGATTCATAATCCATTACTCAAAGCATCTTGACTATTTTCACTGAAACAAATGTGCTGATAAATAACTTTCCTGGAGAAAGAATGCCATTTAGGAACTTTGATCTCAGGAACTCACTTCAGAAGCATTTTACCTTTGCCAGCCCTTCACCCCATTTCTATCTCTGCTTCTAATACACTGGTTGCCTTCGGCTCCATGAATAAATAAATATATATAGGCCCTCTGGAGAAATGTTTGTGTACACCTTTAGCTAGTGTCCTGTGGAGTTTTTTAAGCCGGAGGGGATCAACTAATTGAATAGCAACGCATCTATTTTTTATAGAAAATATTTCTAACAATCTATAAGAACCTTCAGTTTTCTGTTCTAATACTAAATCCACTTCACCCTCAGCTCCTGTAAATTTCAAAGCCCATGTATTTTCTTCCAAAATTACTTAAATAGAAGGCTAGTATATTGTGAATTTTATCAATGTGAGAAAATATTTAAGAAGAGACTTAATGAGCCAATAGTGTGTTTTTCAATCATTTTATTACACAGCTTGCATATGAACTCTTGAGGTTTGAAGGTAATTACATTTTTTCCCAATAACATGATCCAAATATATGACTGCTGATCCTGAAAATACAATTTCAGTCCTAGGCAAATTAAAACAAATGGAAATAAATCAAAATCAACTCTTTGATTTTGAATAGGGAATCTACCTGTGAGGAGAACATCATAAATAACTGTTGCTGGATGATCAGCAGAGTGGTCCTTAGCAAACTGGTAAGAGAGGACACTCTGGTTAAAATTCCTAGCTTGCTTGCTTTCTTTCTTTCTTTCTTTCTTTCTTTCTTTCTTTCTTTCTTTCTTTCTTTCTTTCTGCTTACAAAATTACATACGAGATGAATTTAATTGAATCCTCATTTGGAAAATTAACCTAATTCTTCATTTAAGGATTATAGAGATCTTTACATTTTCTCATTTATTCCCAAACTTTGAGAACCTGTTTGATTACGATGATTTACTGTAACACTATTGAAACACACAAATGGCATTAATTTTCCAAAACTTTCTGTCTCCTCAAGGCACCCCGATAGCAGCGGAAGCTTTTCCAAGCAATTCCCTGGGGACATCTCAAGTTTTTTGCCTGAAGTGCAAACGAGTCATAACTATGAATCTTGGCAAAGTAACTTTGTTTCGACTCTTGGGGTTGTGGGGAACCCCTGTGTGTCCCTCTTTTCCCTCCCCCAACCCTTTCTTAAAATCTTGACATCCACTGGGAGGAAAAGTAGGTTAATTAGGCAGGAGTCTCTGGCTCGGCCCCCAACGGCGGTTTTCAGGTGGCTGAGAGACCCGCCGCCTTCCGAGCGCGAGTGATGAAAAGGGGAGGGAGGCCGCGCCGGGCGGGCCGGCCGCTCACAATGGAGCAATTATTTGTCTAAAGTTCCATCCTCTGCGGAGCTCCTTGCATAATTCAAACGTAATTAGGCAGACGGTGTTCCTTTTAAAGGCGTGACTTTGGGGGGTGGGAGGGATGCTTATTTACTTTGGGGCTTCTCTAGGATATCAGCTCCCGGTTGAGCTGAAAAATGATTACAGGCAGATTTGCACCATCTGCATGGAGAATTCAAAAAGTTTGTTCTCTTGCAAATCAAAACCTTTTCAACTTTTATCTCTCTTACCCGCTCCTTATCTGCAACCTGATGTCATAGACTCTCATTCAAAGACCGTTAGCTGAAAAAAAAAAAAAAAAAAAAAATCCTCCCGGGACTGTGCTCACGTGCCTAACAGTCCCAATGGTCGCCCTCGCCTTGATTTTTATTCCCCTCATTCAGCTACCATTATTTCCTGGTGGCCAGGACTAGGTCTGAGTCACGCCTTCTGCTCAGGTCTGGAGCTGGGTCGCAGAATCTCCGCCAATTTGGAGATTGGCCCTAAAAAGTCTCCATGCAGCGGGAAAGTTTGGGAGCAGAATCAAACTAAAAAAAGAAAAAACGAAACAAGCAAACAAACAAAAAAACAGCTTTGAGGTGAAGGGTTAGGCTTACCCGGTTGGGAGAAGGTTGGAGTGTTCTGTTTGTTTACCTATTTTATACGATTTTCTTATTTATATGGAGGTAGTGGAGGCGATGCCAGAGCGATGATCAAGAGAAGGGTTTAGAAATGGCACTATTAAGAAGATGCTTGTTTTTGCCTCAGTCAGCTACGGATGGAGCTCAAAAGGTTTCACTCAGCATCGTCCAAAATCGATTGTAAATACACACTCTAAATACATATACATATGTACCTCTAGATACATATTTAGCCTAGGACATATCACCTAATATACATTACACATCTGATATATTTATTGCCATACATTTGTATGTTCTTATAAATAGCATATACCACTTAATATTTATATATCATTTTATGTACTCTTTTAATACACAAAAATAAAATGAAAACTGTATCAACGTACTCCAAATACGGAGATACATATTAGTTATGGGAATATGTTAGGCGATGAATATTAAATTTTAGGATCTGCTTGGATGCTGAATTTCATGCCCTTTCACAAGTTGTTTAAAAGCTGTGGCCTCTCACCGGGAACCCAGCATATACATTCATCTCTTTCTTCCTTAAAAGCTCTAGCACTACCTGTTACTTCCAGAGCAATGGAAAAAAAGTTCTTGTTCAAACTATAGCCCCTAAGCCAATAGATGAAACTCGTAGTTTGGAGGAAGACTGCGACAGCTTAGGCCACCGGAAAATGACCCAGAAGTTCAACTTCTGCGCTCTCCGGGGAGGCTGGGTCAGAGCTCCAGCTCAAAAATGTCTTAAATCCGTTCGGGAAGATCATCTCGCACTGAGGCCATTTGACCTGGTGATACCAGGTTGTTAGTAACGCTTGATGTTTGGGGAGTTCGGCATATTTGACTCTCCCTGCGGCTCCTCCTCCTAGCCCACCCCCAGCCCCCAGATCTGGGCCCCTTGGAAACACTCTGGCCTCCGCAGAAAATTTTGAAGAAAATGCAAAGGGAGAACTAATATTGTTTTCCTATTATTCGATTTGCGTTCTCTGGGTTCTTAATTCCAGCCTTTCCTAGGTGCTATTCTGCGCCAAGAAGAGTTAGGTTTTGCCAAGCACTCCCACATCCAGGATTCTTGACCACACAGAGGGATTTAGAAAACAGAAAACTCGTTAATTTTGAGCGATTTTTTGGAAAAAAAGTTGGGTGGGAAGGGGACGGGTGCTGCACTAGGAAGAATCAAGAATGGACCGGCCTTGCCCCGATGCAATCGGCTTCCTAGGATGGGATGGGGGGTAGGGGATTGCATTTCTTTAACCCAGATCCACGTGCCTCCCCACCTGCCCCGGCGCTGGGCGGTTAATATTGTGCGAGTTCCTGAGCTGTACTGAGAACATATCCTAATGTCTATAGAAACTTGGTGGAAAGAATCTGATGAATGTGTCTAATTGGTTTTACTTGCCATCTATTCACAAGAAGTAAAGGTCCATCATTAGGCTTAATTGAGTTTTTTTTTTAAGTCGCTGCCTTTAATGATCATAGAAGCAGCTAAGTCCAACACCAGCATTTGCGTCATTTTAATTACCCTGTTTATTTGTTGCAGATATGGCAAAGTTATCCAATATTTCCCCACATCCCTTCCAACTAAAAGGGGAGCTCAGCAAGCTGGGCAGTCCCGCTTCCAACCCAGAGAGGGCGAGGGTAGCGCTTGGAATTTTGAGATTGGGCTGTCTGGCGCGGCTTCCAATTCCAGTCTTTTCCGCCAGGCGCGGCTCCAGTTTAGACCGCGGCGGTGGTCTAAATTCTTCGCCTAAGGAACCACCGCCTAAGGAACGATTTGCCATCGGATTTGTCCTCGGCAAATGTCTCACCAAGCTGTAGATGGATGAATGGATAGATACATGATAGGTAGATCGATCGATAGATAGTTAGAGAGGTAGACAGACGGATAGATCCCCGAAGCTTGCGGATAAATGTTCTGGAAAAAGCTGCTGAAAAGCTTCTACACAACCTTGTTTGGGGGACCATGGTCCCCAGGTAACCTGCCCACGGGATTCTACACTCACCGACACAAATAACGCTCTTGCCAAGTTCCCTCCCCAGCGGGCCAAAACCTGAGGCTCCCCCATTCATTCAAGAGTTTCTTTTTAATAAACTTACTGGTAGGTAGTTGGTTCATAGTTGCCCAACCCACTCCCTGCAGCAAATCACACACAAGAGCAAGCAGGCAATTAGAACCACTGTCAGAGTGCTTGAAAATCATCCATTCTTCACATTAATTAAGCTTTGACAACTGAAGTTTCTATGGATTGGGACCTCAAAACTTTCTCTCACTTGAATAGCAGGAACTTAGTAGCGTCTGCTACTCAAAATGTTAGCCCTCACTTCACCCTGGCTATTCTGTTGTTTTTTAAAAAAATTAAAAATAATTCGACCTCTTGAGCATTTTTGCACAGGGGGCAGGAGCTTGAGTTTTGAAACCTTTGTCAGAATCAATTCTCTTATTCAGGTGGGATCTGTGGATTTACTTTTTTCAGCAGCAACACCCTGATAGCATTTTAAATTTTTGGTATGATTTTTATCTCCCACCTTTCTAAATTTAGGAGTTCACTGCATAAGGCAAATCAGAGAGAAGCCACCTAAGCCAAATGACTGGTTTCATTCTTCAATGTTTGGCAGAGACTTGTAGATCAAAATGAAATCTTAAAAGTTTTTTTCTTTTTTCTTAAAAAAAGATAATAACAGAATTCATGCAAATGCCAAGAGGAGAGCAGCTAACAAATTATCTTCCAGAGCAAGGAGACAAGTGGCTATTTGGCAGGTGCCATTAGCCACAGCTCTGTACTTGGACACAGATCTGCACTGAAGCTGCTCAAGCTTGGCTCACTGAGGATGTGAAATGCCCTGTTGACTATGGGCTCAATGAGGGCCTAAATGGCCAGCCATAGGCAGCTGGTCCAAGCCTCCAACTTGGCTCCTTTAGCCATAATCCTGAGAACTGTGCCCCAAAACCCCTATGAAGTGGGAGCCACAGAGTCTGAAGCATGTATTTGGGCGAGGAAGGGTCTGGAAGGTGTAAAAGGTCTCACCTCAGGAGCCACTTCAGTACCCCATAGCCTGCTAGCTACTCTGTATTTAAATTTCAGCTTATCCACAGAACTCCAGGATGCAAAAGTCATTTCTCCCCAGTGAGTCCTGGCTCTGCGGTACAGGTTGAACTTGCTGGTCATTCTGAAAGAGTCTGAATCAGACAAAAGTAGCCTGAAACTCGGGCCTCACCTTCCCCACAGCCCCTTCACATTGCTTCCAGTGCGCTAACCTTGCTGGGAGGGGAATGTGGGAGTGGAGGTAAGAGCGGTGCGGGAGGAGAGAATCGGCAACGAGAGTGTTTGAATTGCAAGTTTCATCCTTAGGAGAAATACCAGAAGTAAAGAGCCTCCCAGGTGGTTGAATCCTTGGGGGCGTTTCTATAGGGCCCCCTGAGTGAGCCATCAAGACCCAAGACTATGCCACCCCAACCCCTTGGCTCAGGAAAATCATTGCCTCGTCCCTGTTCCTCCTTCTCTGTCATCGGACACACTCACTAACTTCTCCAAGACATACAATTTGGGACAAAAAAAATCTGGTTAACAAGATCATTCAATATCATTCTTGCTATCAGTTTTATTTCGATTTCCAACCCTCCTGTTATTTTGTCCTGTGCTTCTGTTCTTTCCACCTCCACTGGGAAGGGAGGTCTTTTTCCCTTTCTCCTCCTCCCGCCAGGTGCTGGAGTTTTTACACCGGTGCTTTGTTACTTAAGGAGAAAAACTGCCTGCATGGTGCAGGATGCTGAAGGGGAGACAGAAAGAGAAGGTCTGGCGGCCTGGGGGCGGCCATGCGTGTAGCCCTCCCCGGTATGTTTTTGTGCACAGAGTTGGCGCCAGGGCAGCGCCCCAGACCCCAGTCCTGGCTGGACAATAAATGACCGGACAGCTGCGGCCGCTACAAAGGAGCCCCTCGACCGCGTCGCTGTTTACTTAGTGTCGGGTCTGACCCCAGGGCTGCTTGCGGCCAGTACAGATGCTGATTCCACCCTGGGAACAGGCTTTCTGTCCTCCGTTCGCCGCGCTAGCCAGCACGTGTTTGCAAACAACTTAACTGACTTCTCGAATATTCATCTGCTGACGCTGGCTTTAGGGAAATTTGAGGGGAGACTCGCTGGGCAAAGACCCGAGGCCTCTGGAGGTTTGGCTCCCCACACGCAGGTCCCGTCCGCCTCGCTGATTATCTTTTCTTCTTTCCAGAGGAAGCGGATAGGCTTCAGCTTTAGAAAATTTATTGTTTTAATTTGCCAGCCGTAAGTACGGTCAGAAAGAAGCCGGACAACAGGCCCACAAGCCGCCCCGCAGACGCGCACGGGAACAAACACGAACACGTTGTGAGCCAGGCCAGAGAATTATCTTTGTGCACGTGGAGAAGACCTTCATCTGGGGCTGCTGCTGGTCTATTCCTTTCCGTGCACTTCTACTGACACACCCGAGCATCATGATACCTAACTCAACTCGACTTTAGGTTTAAAAAGAATTAAAATCACTAGGTAATCACATTACGAGTCAAAGGTCAATAAAACCCTCAACAGTTTAAAATAAGCTTTGCCCTCAAACTAGAAGTCACCTAGTCTTTCTTGTCAGTGTCTAAAACACATTTAGAGATGTATTGGTTTCTTAGATGTGCAAATTGAAAGGCTGTCTGGCAAGGAGATGTCTTACTTAACTAGACCACCGCCCCCCAACAGGAATGTCTCCCTCTTTGCGGCCTCTGTCTCAGAAGAGCTGCGAGGAACCCATGTCTGCAAAGACAGCTATTGGGGCTGACCCGAATTCCCCTGACCTAGGGCACTCTGTCCCCCACTCCAGTCCCCATCTGGGCCTGAAGATCCTGCTCTCTCCTCCCCATCCCAGAACTGCCACACAGAGCCTTTGATATTGTCCCAAGTTTAATTTGGTAAGGCAAGAAAACAACCTAATACCACTTCTCATCCCCTGATTTCAGAGAATCTAATTTTTCCTAACTGCCCCTACAGACTTGAAGGTAGGGGTGGGCTTTTCCACAAGCTCCTTCTATGAGTGGGGCTTGGCTGACACCTGTGCTGAGAATGCTGGAGAAGGTGGTTGGAAAACCAACTAGGACAGAGGAAGCTGAGCTCTTGGTGCCCCCCACTCCCTCTTTTATCCTCTTTATGACATTGTTCGCAATGACTGTCTAGTTTAGATATGACGAGACCAGCGCCTCCCTTGAAATGGAAACAGAGGACTGGATAAAGAAGAAAAAAGCACTTTGTAGTCTGCATCGTCCATCTTTAATTCAGAGACGCATCTCTACTCCAGGGAGCTCTGCCTTTGATCTCTTTGATTTTTTTATGCCAGATCTGTTATGGACTAAAATTCCTAGGTTTTCCATAGAAACATCTCCATTCCTTTGGGATATTGATGTTTTCTTCTTCCTGGGGGTTATGATATGGTAAATCAGATTCAGAAAAGGGACAATGCCAGCATTCATGGGCCTGGAGTGGGGTTTCTCTTGGCCTTCTCCCTCCCTCTCTCTCATATTCTCTCTTAGTCCCTCTCATTCATACAAATATTTCCTCCCTCCCTCTCTCTCTTTTTCTCCTCTCCTACTTTCCCTCCCCCCTCCTTCCTCCTTTCCTCCTCCTTTCTTTCCCTGCCTCATTTTCTCTCCGTTGTTCTCGGGGGAACCAAAATAGGGGTTGAGATTCTGGTCTCTACAAGCCTTTCAAGCGCCTTCAACTTTGGCGGCGGCAGCAGCAGGTTGCGTTGCCATGGATACTGTACTGTATGGCTGTGGCGGCGGCCACGGCGGCCGCAGCTCGAATCCCCTAAACAATGCCGAGCCAAGTGCAGGTTTCTCGCCCTTTTCCGTGCACTTTTCTCTTCTAATGGGGCTAGTGGCCTCAAATGGGAGATGCATCTTGACACGAAAACAATCCCTACCCCTCCTCTTCTCCCCCCCACCCCCGCTTTTCCTTCCTCCCTCCACGTCTTTGATCTATTAAAAATCAAAAGAACAAAGTCACAGAGGAAAGTTGAGTTTTGTTGTGACTGCCACTGCACAAAATGGAGCTCTTCAAACAGAGTGTGGTGGAACCGAGGTCTGACAATGCTGATCCAGGATTGGTTGTAGCTACAGGTCAAACTGGACAGCTCTATACAAGAGGACACAAATTATAACCAGGCCCGCCAAGGAGCAGCAAGCCTCTCCATCCCAAACTAACTATAGCTGGGAAATTCTGATAGCCAGAAATGCCTCCAGTCAGGCTCCAAGTGCAACGTGAGTGAGGGCTCTGAAGAGGCCCCCAGGTGAGGAGCCACAAGGACCCAGAGCTAGAATATCTGCTCAGTCTTAAATCATTTTACAGAGCCTGTGCGTGGCATTAGACCCCACCCAGATCTAGACAAGCTACAGCTTCCTCCACAGTGCTTGGCGCACAGCAGGTGTTCAATAAATAATCGCTGGTGGTTGTTGCTTCTGCACTGCCAAACCCTCCGCTAGGGGGCGCGAGAGGAGGTTTACCCAGAGAGAAGGGAGTGGGTAGACACTACAACTCCAGAAACAACAGCCACACTGTACCATAAAGGATGGTTAGATGGCTGGAAAAATAATGCCAAAGCAAACAGATACTGAATTCAACTTTTCTTTTCCAAAGGGACAGTAACATTAATATTATCATTATGGTCAGATGTCATTTGCCACAACTTATTGCTAGTGAGACCAACACTGAGCCGAAACATACATGAGCCATTTTCTCAGAACTAAGATCACTGTAAGATCCTCAACCTTCAGATGCTCAGAGCATTTCTTTAGATAATGTATTCAGCACCCACTACTTAAAAATAGTATCAATCATTATTGAACTGGTTGTGTCTGTGTCTACTATGCAGATCACATATTTATAGATTCATTTTGTCACATTGAATATTCTATTTAGACAACAAAAAAAAAACACAAGTAGATTTGAATTACATTCATTTTTATTTTAAGTCAATGGGAAATATGGATACTGCATACTTCAAAAATTTACTCAGTTTGGATTCGACATTTAGTATCCAATTTTTCGGCTACTTTTTCTATATTAAAAATAACCTTGGCAAAAGCTTCTATTCGAAATAAAATAAAAAATACAAAAAGGGATTGTAAAGTAAGAGAAAGAAAAGCAAACTCAACTTGAAAACCTTTCAATTCTGAACAACTGGATTGTATAGTGTAAAGCCTATCCCAACATTTTCTCAAGGAACTGGTGTGCTGATGATCCCCCAAACATTTTAATAATGTCCATAAACTTCAGAGGCTGAAGGACAGCAAGCAAAATGTGCTAACAAATGATAGACATTTGGCAAGATAAAATTTAAATATTTTTGTTTTTAAACCAGGAGAAAAACTATGAATTACCAGAAAATTCTAGTCATTTCTAAAACAAAATTGTAGAAGAGACATGTTAATGTAACTGTGTTTTTTTCTAAGCCATGTTTGAACAGTGTAATTATTTGTGATGTACAAAGAAAGGAGGAAAAAAATTAGAATGCAGAATTGTTGCTAGGGATTTGCAAACATCATGGAAAAAGTAGTACAAACCCTTGCCAAGATCCCAGAACTCTAATCTCTGGATCCTGATCTCCAAAGGAAGGCTAGAAAATTCTGCCTTGGCCTAAAAGTCTTGAGAAAATGAGATTGAAAACTGTTGATAAAATCAGCTGGGAGAAAAATATATAAATGTTCTTGGCCCAAGTGACCAGGATTAGTATTTAAAATTTATGTTGTTAAGTAAATTCAAATACAAAATCAAAGAAAACTTTTGTCTAGCAACATGACTGCTTATGGTATGTGTTCTCTTACTGGTTAAATGTACCATAGACATATCCACACGCACACACACAAGAAAGTTCCAGTTTGAAGAACTTGACCTTTTCTCTCTTATGTATTTTTTCCTTCATTTATTTACCTTTGCAGTTCCAAATAAATTTAGAAAACTACTCCCTAGACAATTGATAAGGCAGAATGTTAACTGGCCAAAAGTTTCTGGGCCACCTTTTAGCCCTCAGGGAGAATTGAAGGGAGATATCTGTGAGGTCTGGTCATAGGCACATGGAAAGGAAACAGGAAGTAACCATAGTAACCACTACCTAGGCTAGAAAAGGTGATTCTGTAGGGCCTGAGTGGTTCCATCCATTTTGAATGAAACTTAAATGCAAAGGCAGAGAGCAAGCCTACACACACACACACACACACACACACACACACACACACACAGATCCCGAGGCTCAAAAACAATAAACCTAAACAGAGTGACTAGCACTTTCAGTGACTCAAGACCCAGTCCCCTACAAATTCTAAACATCTTAGCTTCATTTTAAATGGTCAGCGAGAGCTTAGGAAAGGAGATGTCCTAGGCACAGTCTTCTTTCTTCCTCCCTTCCTCTCATAGAAAAAGCCCTAACCTTGTAGAATAAAACCTACTGTCAAAGTACCTTCTCATTTAGGACATTTTTAGGAAACTGTTCCCATCTATCCACTGAGTGTCATTCTCCTCTTGAACCTCTGAGTTCTATGGATCTCCCTGTGTCTTCTCACTGTACAAATAGAGTCACTTCCTCCTGCTGAACATTGCTCAAATTGCCTCAAAATGTGGTCCCAGCATCACCTGGGAACTTATTAGAAATGTAAATTCACATAAACTGTTAAAATGGGGCCAAGCAATTTCTAGTTATGTTTTATTTTGTTTGTTTTTAAACAAACTTTGGGTGATTCTAAACCTTGATCAAATTGGAGAATCTCCAGTTTAAAGAATCTTTCCTACCCACTCACCCTGCTAATGGAAATGTTGAATGTAGGAGTTTGTATCCCTGAAGACTGAAAACAAATCTGGGAGGAAAGACAAGGACAAGCCCTCTGAAGCTGAGGGCTGAGAACAGAGCAGCCAATGAGCGGCCCTGGCTTCCCATCCACACGTAGCCCAGCACTGGATCTAGGGGACAACTGTTTAGGTTCCCAGTCCCACTTTGCTGTGACTACGAGCCCTGGTGAGTGAAAAAAGTGAAAGGGAGATAGCCATGTGCTCTTCTCCAAAGAGAACTCCAGAGAGGGATATGCTGACACTCTGGTAGGGAAGAAAGTTATGGAAGGAAGAGTCAGAGGGGAAGACACTTGAGGCAAGGTTCTCCAACACAGACTGAGGAGTTCAGATACCACCCAGGAAAAGGCAGGGGGAGATGACTTGTGTGCCTGACTGGGAGTAGGAGTCTGAAGGTGAAGTATGTGTGGAAGGTATAGAGGATGTGAATATGGTGGGTGTAAGAGTTGGGGGGAAGGGATGCCTGGAGACACCTTGTGGGATATGAAGGCATGGGGAGGTGACTGATGTGAAAGAGTGAGTGAGGTTCTAATTGTGAGTGGGCAAGAAGAGTCTGGGGGCTTTGAGAGAATGTGTGAGAGTGTAGGCTGTGGAGATGAAGAGATTGGAGGTGGCAAATTGTCTGAGGGAAGTGAGGAGGATGAAGTAGATGTGAGGGATTTGTGGGATTCTGTGGAAGTGGAGGATGAGGAGTAGTAGGGGTTTAGAGGGGGAGATGGGTAGAAGAGAATATGAGGGGCTATGAGTGTGAGAAGGTGAGGTTTAAGAAGGGTTGACGGAGTATGGAAAGGTGAGGTGGTGTGAGACAGTAAAAGAGGGTGGGGGAAGGTGAGAGGAGGGTGGAGTGGGAGAAAGCAAGAGGGCTCCACAGTCTTCCAAGCTACTGACAAAGGGAGTGAAGGGTAAGGGAAATGGGGATCTGACATATGAATGAGGGTCAGGAGCTAAAAACAAAACAAAACAAATGAAAAACAAAAACAAAACAAACAAACAAACAAACAAACAGCATACTTATGACCCCTTGTTCCCTCACCAGACAGCTTTAGCTAAATCAGAGAATGAGCCCGAGTCCTGCTGAAGCACCTGGTACCTGCCAAATTCTCGCTCCCTGTGGGCATCAACTTCTGTGACTAAATTAAGGGGCTCCTGAAATGTCAGGTGCGAATGAAGTGTGGGAACTTTTCAGGTCTTCAGGCCCTGAACCCCTCTCTAAAGGCTGCAATGCTCCTTCCCCCTTCTTTAACTCTGAATTC
The DNA here is from genome assembly GCF_000001405.40 of Homo sapiens. Classification (NCBI taxonomy): domain Eukaryota; kingdom Metazoa; phylum Chordata; class Mammalia; order Primates; family Hominidae; genus Homo; species Homo sapiens. The sequence continues at coordinate 147,365,629 of NC_000003.12, forward strand.
ACAGTTTTTACACCAAAGAAGATTAAAATGGGGGCCCAGACTTCTCGAAATCCCAGATTTTCCAAGACTGCCCATAGGAAAGATTTCTAAGCATCAAGATCACAAATCTCACTTGCTTTCCAAAGCTTGGTGTGGCTTCTTCCAAATGCCCCTCTGGAATCCAGTCCCTGAACTATACTGCCTCAGCTTCTGCACTCTCTTTGTCAAGAGCAGGTGATTAGGGCAGGGTGGTGGTAGATGCAATAGGCATGGGAAATCAGAGCACAATTTATTGGTCAGAAGTTGTGAATCAAAACGGGGGATGAGAACTGTATTTCTCTGTACCAAGAAAGCCACCAGAGAATGACTGTTCTCTGAACCCCGACTCTAGCATGGCCTGCCTACTCATAGGCACAGACAAAGGACCTGGAAGTGGAATCTCTGGGCTATTCCAATTAAGTTCAGTACTTGCTAGTTAAATACACATGACTCCAAAGCATCTCTAAATTTTTACTTACAAAGTGGAGTTAAATTAATAGCAAATAATTGTTGAGGATTTTTAGAACAATACAAGCCTCATCTACATATATTAGGGGGAAATAACTACCTTGGAAGAAATACAATGCAAACAGGGTACTTCCTCTTGGCTCTCTCGGATAGTTCCAAGTCCTATAATCTGACTTTACTTCTTCACTTTAATTTCAATGCATAGTAAAAATGTAAAAACTTCACAGACTATAGTAGGTGTCATTTTATAATCCAGTCAGTAAGAATATTATTTATATAGAAGTTAATGTGTACTAGAGTCATCTAACAAATTTTACAGTTATGGTGTCTTGTAAGTGCAATCATTTTACCTTTAAGAAATATTAATTTTATATGCAAACAATTTTTCAATAGACAACTGTCACATACTCAACTCTTATAAGAATAAATCAATTACCTTAATTTTTCAATTATGAATATACTTATATTTTATAAAGTATAAAAATATTTTTTCCTCCTTTCTTCCTTATTTAATTTGTGTTATTTGTTTGAATAAGAACACTTCTGGCAATTGTGCTGTGTCTTTATTGATATCAATAAGTCACTATATGTTCTCTTGAACACTTCTAGGTAAAACCATTGACAGATTTCACAATATAAACATTTAATGGTATTTTTAGCTCTGGCCAAAAATATGCACAAACTCTATTAATAGATGTCTGTCAGCAAAAAATGGAACTAACCAACTTTTATCTTCAATTGTAGTTACTATAATTAAATGAATGGAGTAAGTACTTGAATTTTTGATGGATAGAATATATGTGAGATACGTTTTATATAATATGCAGATTTTTTTCTAATGATTTTTAAAAATGTTTCTGTTTCAAATTGTGCAAATTTGGAAATTTATTGAATTCCTAAGCTGATTTTTGTAACAACTAGATTTAAATCTAAGTCCCTTGTATTCATCATCATGGATTGTAGATTCTAGGTCCCAATTTACTCATAACCCTGAATAAACTTAACCCATCACAACCCCAGGTACAGGGAAGAAAAGGCTAGAAACATATTGCTGCCTTGCCTACACTATGTCACTGTAGGATATCCCAGAGAATAGAACCCTAATATTTGCCTTTCTATGTCTTTAATTCCTAAATTTTCTGAAGATTGTAGGATGTGGTACATAGCAAAGAGAAGAGAACATTTAGAATCATTTTATTTTAAAATAAAACAACTTTGAAAAAGCAGTTGTGCATACACTTAATAAAACGGACAAATACCCTCTGAGAATTGAAATATGATTTTTATGTATATTTAGTTGCCCATATTGCTGAACCTAAAGCCAAAATGCACAGACATTTAAGGTAGACGTTTTGCATCTACCTTAAAAAAGTGTTTTGAAGTAGTTCATACTTATTACATTGTTAAGTAAGTAAGAAATAAGAATAACTTAACAAATTATTTCTGTTAGTTAAGAAATTATTATGGAGATTATTGAAAAATGGAGAGAGTCCCCTTAATTTTATTCTAGGTGCTTGTTCATAAACGTATTATTTTTTTCATTCTAAGATTGATGTTTTTACCTTTCTGCTACTTTTGTGCTGTACCTAAAGTCAATGTGGAACATGGCTTTTAAACAAACTTTCTCCTACCCTGAAAGTCTCCATAGCCCAACAGAGAGAAGGCAAATTTTGCCCAGGGATCAAGAGAAAGGATTTCCAAGGGAGAACTGGTGAACCCTCCCTCTTCTCCACCTGAATACAGTTCATGGAAATCTGAAAAATACCTTGCAAATGTTTGGAGAAATCACAGTGGCTTTCAGACATTCAAATCTGCATTCCCAGACTGTGGCATGAGTTGGTGCTACCCTCGTCTACTGCATCCCTTGGACTGAAAGAAGTAAATACTCCTCTCTTTCAAGGGAATGAACCTCCCTGAAAGAATATTGAAAATATCCTCATTTTTCTTAATTTGCTCTCCCTGTCTTGGTAGTCCTGCCAACAGAATTGAGCCATGGAAATTGGTGAGGTTTTACCATGTTGCAGATAATGAAAGGAATGTGGAAAATTCTGATCTCAGCTAGAAACCACAGTTAAGGAAAGTTCATTTTGCTCCTATGTCAAAGTTCGGGAAAAGGCAGCCCAGTTATCTAAATAATTTCACATCTATAGTGAGAGGTTTAAAAGACTTAAACCAATTTTAGATTCTAAAAGGTGCTTTTCTCCTCCTGCTAAAGTATTTGGTTTTACTGAAGGAAGAGTTCAAAGCCATAAAGCTCAGTAATCGGGATAACTTCCCCCCAAGTTTCATGGGGTTTCCAGAGCACTGAGAGGCTGCTGGCTGGCCATGGCTCCTTTAGGAACAATAAATCCTCCAGAATCATATTCTAAACCTCCCCATTACCAGTTATCCTAATTATTAGTTTCTCACAGCTTTCTCCACTCTCCATCTCTCCTCTTCCTTCATCCACTCCCCATCTTTGTGGAAAAGCCATTTGTAAGAAAACTACATTCATGTGCCCTTTGATCAAACAAGAACCTTTTGACTCCCACAAACATAAACTTTCCTTCGCTATCAGTTATCTTACCGACTTTTTTGGCAAGAAAAAAAATGCCAGAGAGATACATGTATTCCTCATCTAAATCATCTCTCTCCTATTTAACCAGCAACTAGCAATCATCCGACATTAATTTATACAGTTTGTGCAAATACCTAAGCTATTTAAAAGGCTGCTCTGGGTCGTGTGTGGCAGGGAACATCTATCTGGTGAATAGGCAGTGTCACACGGTAGCATGCTCTCTTGTCAAGACCGATTGTGTTTTAGGCAAACATTTGCGCAAACATAAAGGCAAAGGTCAAGGACTGTTCAGTCCCAGTATGTGCTAATTCACCTAGCGAACCAATGGGGCAAAAGTTGCATTTTATATGCTCGCCCCCGCCAGACCCAAAGCAGGAGTCGCTCCTGCTAATGAACAAAATCGCCTCTGATCAGCTCCCTTGTCAATTTCTCTTCGGCTCTCTGATCCATTTCTCTGGGCTTCCTCAGAAATACAACTGGTAAAGACGTGTTTGCCAACATCTGGATCAGCTCCGCCCAATTTCTGGGGCAGCACATGTTTATTCCACGTTTCTGGTAGCAGAAAGCTAATAATAATAAATAAAATCTAGCTTGCTGCAGACGCTTGCAGGTACTCAAATGAAGGATTGCTCATTGCTGGCGTCTGAATATCCATGCCATGCAGAAAAACAATATTATTTAAACCTCAGAATCGAATCTCAAAGCTGCAGGTTAGTGGCAGGAAAGTGCATTTGTAACACACGTTTGTGGAAATGTGGTATGCGCGCGCACTGGGAGCCGCGTTTCTTTGGGACACTTCCCTACGTTCAGCGAATACAGGGCATCACTTTCCAGTGAAATATGCCTCCCCCACCAATATATCTACACCGTCTCCCACAGATAATGCCAGTTATTTTTCCAGCCCCTAAAAAAAAATACAAATGATTTCAAGTGGATGTCAACTTGAGCAACTCGGAAGTGGAATATTTTTAGGGTTAAACAAACGTGCGCACGCACCAACCGGTAGGGTTTACTCTGCATCAATAGTCATTTGGCAAGAACCAATGGCTGAGTTTTTGCAAATCGTCCATTTAAAGGAATAGTTTTTTTCCCTTGATAAACCCCAGAGTCGCAGCTGTGCGCATCCACAGGCAAGTAGTTTACACGTGCAAAATTCATTCCTGAGTCAGGCGAGCCACAGGCTCAGCTGCGGCGCGGTGCGGCGCTTGCCTGGGGCTAGAGAGTCCACGACTTGTTGCCTCTGCGACCCGAAAGCGGCTCTCCAAACCCTGGCCACTCAGAATTTGAGGGCCTCTGGGTCTATGATGACAGGGCTCTAGGAGAAAGCGCCTCTCTGTAGAACACCCACAAAAACAGAGCAAAGTCGCAGGAGGAAGTCATCCTAGGAGGGAGCTTGGAGTATTATTTCATTTCTTAAAAACAACAGAAAAACTCCCCACAGTGCATTTTCACTGCGTTCCAAAACCAAAGAGAAAACAGAAGAAAATATAACTTACCCCGACCTGCCACAATACTACATTTTGAGCGTCCTTTTAACACTTTGAGTCTTCCTTTAGTGTTGCAGCCTTTTCTTTCCTCTTGTCAGAAACCAACTTTCAAACTATCTGCGAAAAAATAATAAATTAAAAAAATAATAAAACCAGATCTTTTGTCATATCTTGCCGGCTAGAGTCTGCCTCAAAGACTTCTTACTTCTTTCTCTACCAAAATTTCCTACACACCACCTGGGCAGCTTCACAAGGCTTAAAGTTTGTGTGGTTTGTGTGAGCAAATGTGTGTGTGTGTGTGTGCTTGTGTGCGCGCGCGCGCGTGTGCGGATGTGGGCAGTTAGTTGCTTTTAAAAAGACATCGTTGTCCTTCAGAGTAATAAAAGTGTAGCCCCCATCTTTGGGTGTGGGGATTTTACATGCACTTCTCATTTCAGTTAACTTTTTTCGAGCTGAGAAAAGCTGCTAGCTTACTTTCGGGAGACTTTGCTCGTTATTCATCTGTTTAGTCGCCTCAGAGGCACAAAAGCGGATCTGCGGCGTTATGAAAAATGGCCTGGGCGCGGAGAATGTCACAGTGGTCGGCGTATTATTTTAGCCCTTCTTAAAAAAAAAAAAAAAAAAAAAAAAAAAAAAAAAAAAAAACTCAGGGAAAGTTTGCTTTTGATGAATTCAATAAAAGCAAAGCTGCAACGGAAGAGATTTTCAGCTAAAATTATACAGCATGGGGCAGAGTTTAAAACAGCCAGATGGCCAAAGGTAGAGGGACCCTCTCGGTTTCAAACCCCAGATATAGAATTCCACCGGCGAGCCTCTTAGTTTATTTAATCCCGCGTGTATCTTTTTTGTTTTCTTTCTTTCTTTTTTTTTTTTTTCAATTGATTTCCTAGCTCTTTTCTCCACCTCACTTTTGGTTTCCCACCCTAGAAGTTGCTGGTGAAACCCCATCTTGGGATTTGCAGAAGTCACTTTTCAATTTCCCCTTTGATAATAAAGTTAAACTTTCCAGCGCCAGCAGCCTGGAGTGAAGCGAACGCCTGAGGCGGTAGGCGGGTTCATTGCAGGCCACCATTCGGTTCCAGGTTCAAATCCCGCAGCCTTTGACCTCTCAGGCCACCTGTGGCTTTTGAATATAAGGACGAATATATTCATTCCAACCCCTCCCATTCCGTACCACAACTGGGGAAAACTAGAAGAGCCTGGTCACTCTCAACCTTGCCCCCTCATGGATCCTTCCCTCTCCTGTAATCGCAACTGCAGAGCCTTGTTATTCCCGGTAAATTCATCAGCACTTCTCCCCATAATTTTCTTAGGAATGAGGAACACACAAACTGAGGTGATCACCGTGGCTTCCCAGACTTTGGAATGGGAACTATGAAGTTAATCTGCATCCTATTTGAGCCATTTTCTTGGATTCGGATGTTGGCAAAGCAGAAAAAAGTGAGGAGGGGGGAGAGTGAGGTAAAGGAATTGGAAGCTTACTTCGAAAGTCTAAAGGAAGATCAAACTTATAGCCTGAGGCCCTTCCTTTGGAAAGGAAGGAAGGAGAAGAGGTTGGGTGGTGGGAGGGGTGGGGGGTGGGGGGTGGGCATTGGAAGCCACCCAGGATCCCACTTTTCAGCGCCAGCCCTGACGGGATTTAGTCTGGTGTGGGAGTTTGGCTACCACTTCCAGGAAGGCCTCCGAACGAACCCTACCCACATGTAAACACAGCTCTCCAGGCTAAGGAACAGTGTGGTAAGGGGCAAGTTTTCAAAAGGATTTGGCAATTTGAGGACCCTCAGCCCAGAAGACCACTCCTCCCCAATCACCCACTGGCAAGGATTTGGGGGTATGGTGGGAGCGGGGGCCAGAGAGATCCTGCAGGTTGAAGGTTAACATTGGGGTGACACTGGCTTCAAAGAACCTGCAGGAATGAAAGGGGAGGCAATCGCTCTGACCTGGATTTTCTGAGCCCCAGCCTTTCTACAGGGGACAGGCAGTCCAAAGAAAGAAAACAGTGGACCATTTGGCAGTGCACTACTCCAAGTGCCTGCTCTGCCACTTTCAGGCTGAGTGACCCCAGCAAAGTTTTTTAACCACTACCTCAACCCTCCATTTTCTCGTCTGTAAAATAGTCATGAAATAAAATCTGTTTCAAATCATTTTTTTGTTTGTTTTAAACAGGACTGTGAGTACAAAGCATTTCCAGCAAATCCACAGTAAATACTCGTGTGTTGTGGATGTTGCCACTGTTGTTGTTTTGATTATAAATGCTGAAGTAGATTTTGCTGAGATAATACCACAAAATATAGATTCCCAACGAGCGGTTCCTCGGACCCATGCCCTCACTCTTATTAGCTCTGAAGATTGAAAAGTGTCCAGGTTTGGACACCGAGAGCCCTTCCTGCACCTCTACCATTCTGGAATCAAATTCACAAGGTAAGAGCCTCTCCCCGACTGGGATCAAGCCCTCAAGCTGAGAGGCTCTCCCTGATCGTGTGAGACGCGACCCAGTCGGGTCTGGGCAACTCCCTCCTTCCCTTGCGCTGGGCTGCAGAGCCCCCTGGAATACCTGAGGATATCCCCAACCTGGTCTCTCAAAGATGCCCCGACACTGGAAGAAACCTTTAAAGATGGACTGGAGAAGCTCTTTTGGAAGACAAGGCGCTCACTTTTCCACTTTTGGGAAGTAAAATAAGAGAACCAGAGGAAGACGTCGCGGCGACTGAGGATCCCGCCAGCGCACCCAGCCTACTTCAAGTTCACATCTCAAGTCTTCCCACTCAAGTATTTTTTTGCAGAGAATGCCGGGAAGAAACCTCTTCTCCCAGGAGGACTGCTGGGGGTCTGGGTAGGGAGAGTTTGGTTCCTGAGTGGGAGTCGCCACCTCCAGCTGCTCCCAGACCTGAGAAAAGGAGGCACAACTGCAGCTCGGAACCCAAGGCACACCTTTAAAATACACTGCCAAAATTAATGACCTCATATTGTAGGACAAAGGAGCTAAAAAAAAAAAAAACCCACTATATTTGGGGCCGGCTTACTTCAACCAGCATTTAGTGACACGTAGAGGAGAGGTTCTTTAACCTCTCCTCTTGGAGTTCCCCCACTTATTTGTAATGTTTGAAGTTCAGAATGGTTGATCCCGGTTTCTACCAGAACTGAGGAGTCAGTGAGGACTAAACTCTCTGTCAATATTTTCCCAATCTTGACTGCCACAACGACTCCCAGGGTATCTCATGCCTCAGACTCAAAATGGAGCCCTGCCTGGCACCCAAGTTAGAAATTGAGCAGGTACTCAGCGTCCTCAAGGGAAGGGACTATCAAGAGTCTAACGCCACTAGCCCTGGCTTTGGACTCTCTCACCTGCCAGGGAAGCTAGGGGCAAGAGCTGCTTGCTTAGGCTGCAGCAGTCCATCTGCTGGCCACCCCACCCTTGCTGCTAAGGCTCCTGACCTTGTAGATGACGGAATTCCCAGGAAAGTGTTATCGGAATATTCACACCCTGAAGAATGGAGATAGGACAGAGAGAAATTCCTGGATAGAAATTCGTGTCTTGGTTGTTTGTAGATAAAGAAAATCCACTGGGTTTAAACTCGAAGGTTTCTGTAGTTTAAACTCAGAAAAACAATCTGTCTGTGCCCGACAGATATGTGTGGGAGTGGGGTGAAGCCGATTTAAATATCTGTGCTGTCAGATCCCTGAACTACTGAGCTGAAGATTTCTATGACTAATGAACTTTGCTTTGTGCTTTACAATTTTCATGAAACTATCAGAAACTATACCCACTTAAATACATGAGCAGTTTCATAAATCACAAATTGTGGTATATCCAAAGCACTCATTTGCTTCACCTCACCTTTTGTGGCTCTCCATTTGGACAACTGCAGTGGCCCCAAAAGTTTGCACAAGACAAATCATGTTCCCACTCCCAACCCACCATCTCTCTCTTAATTCTCACTTGTTTGTGGCTTTTTATGTTGGGCAGTATCAATGGAAAGGAACTTGGGCATTGGGTGGCTAACATTCCAGCCCACCAGAAGTGGGGTCTCAGCATTAATTGTCCCAATAAATTGAGATATACTGTGCATAATGCAATGGAGCAATATGGTTATAGTCCACATGTATGACTTAATTAAGCTATTTGCAACTTGATGTTGTAAGTCAATGGGTGTGCAAGTGGATTAACAATTGCTGGCTTCCTTATCCTCAGAATGGCACATAATTACTTTACTAGTGGTACATATCAATTTTTCATGATTGCGGAAGCCATGTCCCCTGCACCAGGAAGCCATTTATTAACTCTCCATTGTGTATTAAAAAAAAAGTAGTGTTTGGAAATATTTTGAAGTCCCTCCCAACATTTGAATAGGTTCTTATTGTGGCTTTTAATGGGCTGTTGTTTTATTCCTGATGTGTTTTTTATAAAGGGGCAAAGGCTAAACTCTAAGTCCTTGCTCTGAGAGGGAATGGGAGTTCTCCTCTTGCCTTCCATGCAGAGAATGCCTCTCCCCTATGCTCAATGCCAGGCTGGCAGAAGAGGATGTAGTGCACCAGAATAAAGGTATGCAGCTGAGCCACTGCCTCTAAAATTGTCTGGCCCCATCTCTCTCTATAGATAGATGATAGATAGATAGATAGATAGATAGATAGATAGATAGATAGATAGATAGATAGATATAGATAGATAGACAGGTAGATAGATAAATATATAGATAGATACAAAGACACACACTTCCTTCCGCTTAAAGATAAGTGAGGACTGGAAGTGGTCTGCTCCTTCCAGCACCCCTTTCCCAATTTCACCAATGCTACAATATCCCAAATGCTACAAAACTCCTCATGGTTGAGGCTTAGGAAAGCAAGATGTCTGGCAGCCCCACAGGGTAGTGTGTACTAACACGGGTTGATGAAATTTGCAAGAGAGCTAATAAAATTACCCAACCTGATGACAGAGACATTGACATTCCTACTTCCTGGGCTCCTTGCCCTTTGTTTAGAGTCAGATGGCTCCAAAACCCCAGCTCACTTCCACACTGTCTGGGGATGGGTGGCGACAATGTGCATTTGTTCCATGTGATTAGCTATTCAAATCTTAAGTCAAGGTTGATCATTTGACCTCTCTGGATTGAACTAAATTCATCACCTATAATTTTATTAAAAAGCCCAGTGGCCATCAATCATAATGAGAGCATAGGGAGCCAACATTTTCCAGGAAAATGTGTCAACTTCATGGGCACATGGTGCTTCCACCATCCCTTTTCTATCTTGAGTTGAGCAGGCATGTACCTGGGGTTTCTTCTGAGGATACAAGGTCAACGCAGCACCCAAAGTGTGGTGGCACTTGGGAGGAGGGTTTTTTTTATTGTTATTATTTTCCTTGACTGGATGAAATGGTGTCAGTTCTAAACTAGTTCCCTACCTTTGGACTAGTGAGATAATTTGGCAACTGTGTGTCCCAGCCTTAATCCAAATGATATTTCATATAATTTCAAAAGGTGAAATCAGGATCAGGGCTGCTCTTTACCATTTCTGATAATGCTGCTGTAAATCACTTTGAAATCACAGTATATCAGCTTGTACATATGCAGAAGTATTCATGTTATTGTCTGCTGGTGAAATAAATACAACAGCAGTTTCATTAAAAAATTTAAGAAGGGTAAAAATTTCCAGTGATCTTTTAAACCCAACTTGGCATTAATTCTTTAAAACTAAGGTTGCAGAGTCCCTGTTTTTAATGTTTCCTGGTCAAAGTCGATTTGTTCTTATACCTGAAGCAGGTGATGTTTCTGTAGAGACATCTGAATGACAGCGGGAGTGAAGGACAAATCTAATAAAGCCTAATAAAGCGTGAGCACCAAAATGTCATTAAACTTACAAAGATGAGACTCAAAATCACTAAAAAGGTAAATGTCTTCATTAGTCTGATCTCTGAAGACTGTCGAACATTTCATTAATTTATAATTTATGATTGTTTGACAAATATTGAAAAGTATGTAAATATGAGCAGGATAATGTATTTTCTGCGGGAGATGAGGAAATGACCCAAACTGTACATGCCTGCAAGATTACACACAGGACCTAGCTCTCTGTTATCAAACTGTGCCGCCCCTTTAGCCAACATATTGTGCAAGTGACAAGTGAAATAGTGCAGATAAACCAATGGTTTAAAACGTAATAAAGACAACAGCCATTTGCATTTTTTACATTTTATTACAAAGGTAATTTACTATGACACATTTCTGAATGTAATTTATGAAAACATGTTAAAGCAATTACATGGTGTATACAGCCCTCGGAGCTACAAAATTCAGATAAATAATAATATTATAGATCTTTAGAGACTTTCACTATTGAAAACATATCATAAAGGGAATCTTTTATTTAAAAAATGGTTTGTATAGAAGAAAATAATGACATTAAAATTAAAACTTAAGATAAAATCTTGAAGAACAATAGTAAATGAATACTATGTTTTGCTGGAGTTGCAAAATTAAATCTTCTTGATGACAATTTGCTTATTTCACAGGGTGTGTTATCAACAATTTTTTTTTCTTTTCTGGAATTGTTAGGTGCAAAGTATTAAAGGCTTCTTGGGAGGGAGATACACGATGAATGTATGTTTCCTTTTTCAAATTTGTGAGGTAATTCCTTCTCTCCATTTCTCTTTTCTAAAGTACAGGGCTGTGCTAACTTTGAAAAGTAAAAGATGTCATTATGATCAGTCCTGTGTGAACCAAACTTTCAAGCACACCAGCCTGTCAGGAGTTATCAAAATGGGAGAAAATTTCCTGGAGGAAGATGAAAGAAAAGTTGCATAATAAAGCATAAAATGAAAACTAGAAACATTTCATGTCTCCTCCCACTCCCCAGATCAAAATTTATATTGTAGTGGTTCCTTAATATGTTCTAAAACTGGTAGTGCATGATTAGATACTATAGATTCAGCCTCGAACTATTCTTAACAACTTTTTTTTTGAAAGGAGAGAATCTTTCTTTCTTCTGTGTTTATAGGTACAATACTTTTCTTAAACATTTTAGCTTTAAAAATCAATCCTAATGCAAGCCTGAAATGGGAACTTTTCCTGCCTATGGGGCACTGCCCTGAGTTTGTTTCGTAACCTTGAGATAATCTGCAGGGCCTTCTGTACCTTTATCTGAAATATCCCCTAGGGAACATTACCTGCTGTGACAGACTTAAAGCCACAACCCCCCTCCCACTTGTATTAAATCTCTTCAACCTAAGAAAACAGTCCCTAGACCCAACTTAGATCCAAATTGCAGTGGCATTGGAAGCGTGTGATAGTTGCACTGGCTTCTTCTCTTTCAGTTGGCTATCCTAGCAGCCCACAGTAACTGGCCTCCAAAGTTTCACCTTCCTCTGCCGTTCAAACATTCAACATCCTCAAGTGTGGGTGTGGATGCAAAGGCACTGGGGCCTTTGAAGCATGTCCGTGCCCATAGAGCCCATTCAGCTGCGAAAGGTGGGCCATCGCTAAAGTTGGACCATCGCTATGTTCAGGTAGCCAACTCTTTCTTTGAAAGAGTGGGCAGATGAGTCCCAGATCTACTGAACCGGACTCCTGAAGTCCTTACCATAGAATCTTGCTCTAACTTGCCTCTTTCTGCTGGGTGTTTTGCGACCCAGCTGGCCACGCTGCTCACGCTCCTATCACCCTCAGGCAAAGCTAGCGCCCCTCTCCCGTCAAGGATCAGGCAAGTCGGTATTGCTGGCGGACAGACAGGCAGCTTGAAGGGCTTGAGCTCCAAGATGCGATCACTGACCCCCTTTCTTGCCTTTCATTGGCGTGAGTCATCCTTCTATTTTGCATTAGAACCTATTCTCACATTACCACCAGGAATTGCCCCACCACCTATCCCTAGCCCAGGAGAGGCGGGGGCCTAAGTAAGTCTGAGAGCTCCTGACCCTAGGCGGGTCTCAAAGCCTCCCCCATTACCCTGCAAAGCTCTATCGGGCAAGGGGGTGGGCTGTGAGTTAGTTTCAACCAGGGTTAAAGTCAGTCCTCGGCTCCAGCCTTTGTCTCTCTTGGAATGTTTAGGGGCTGCATATGCTTTTGTGTTGCAAACAGCAAGCAGGATCCCCAGGAGTCCCTGACCCCGTGCCTTGGCTGGAGCGCCGTTTCCCTGGACGACTGTGGCTGGGATGGCCTCCCGGCAGTAATCTTGCGCAAACACCCTGCCACGCGCAAGGACGCCAGCTCAGACACGCAGCGCCCCGCGCATACAAAGGAATGTTCCCTCTTTAAAAAAATTAAAGAAAAAGAAAAGAAAGAAAGAGGAGGAGGAGGAGGATGGGGGAGAGGGAGAAGGAAGAGGAAAAAGGGGAAGGAGAAAAAGAAGGAGGGGCAAAAGAATAATAATAGATATGAGAATGCATTTCTCAGATGGTAAACTACCCACGAAGGGGGAAATGTAGTGGGGAGGAGTGTTGAGTAAAAAGAGAAGAGGAGAGGGGAAAATGATAACTGCTGAGGTGTCAACACCAATAGACAAATAATCTCCTAATAATAAACGAAACAATGAAATGGCTGCATTGTGTCCTATTAAGCTTTCCGTACATGACCCCATCTATACCTGCACCTCCATGCTTTGATGACTTATAGTATATGCAAAAGCAAACTTTCCCTCAGTGTTTTTTTTTTCTTCTTCCCCTCTACCTGTCAATCTTTTCCTTCCAAACAGTCAGATGGTTTTAAAAGAAGGAAAAAGAGAGGAAGAAAAAAACCCTTTACCATCATCACCACCCAAGAAATGATAAATAGCATCGCATAGCTAATCGCTGGAGGGCGCATTTACCAATTCATAATCATTTATTCTTGGTGATGTATGGCTCTTACTCCTAAATCTGAAAAGCTTCTATCTGAAGGTGTAAATAGCTTTTTTTTTCTTTCCTGCAGTAAACCTTCCTGCGTTAGCAGTGATTGATCTCATGTACAATTCGTCCCAGAGTGCTATTTTACAGGGGGAACACTAGCTTTTGGAGATTAACTGGGGAGTCTGTTACATATTAATGAAGCCTGGAGATATACTAACGTTTTGGTAATTTAGTTATTTGTGTCTATAGCTATCGTCGTTATTTTCTTTTAGACCCCTGCGGTTGCTATCCATCGAATTAAAAAGTAGTCCTTAGAATTTTTTTTCCACTGGCAACTACATGCCATTTAATGTGAAAAACAAATGTTGACTTCTCTCTTGAAGGAAGTGTGTTTCTTGGCAAGACATCAAAGTGTTTTATACTGTATTAGTGGGTTATGTTAGTTTTCTTACCCAGAGCCTGATCTAAAGTAATAACTAAGGAGGAAGAAAAAAGAAGGCTTAGACATCTCTATACTAGAAAAATTATTTGATCTTCTATGATAAAGGGAGGAAGTTAAAACGCTAGGAGAAAAGTGTTCTTGGCAAGAGGGTCCTTAAAACATGTGACAATCCAAACTGAATCAATGTTGGGAGTGGAGGTGAGGGAGGAGGAGCAGAGGTTGCTCATTGATTTGCAACCCGATAATTAATATCCCACCAAATGAGACATCAACGTCATTAATGCCTGTGTGTTCCTGGGGAGAGACTGTGAGTGAATTCCCATCAGGAATGAAAGCCAGATCCGACAGAGGTTGCTTCTCCGCCCAGTATAAAATGGTATTAATCCTTTGTTTTCCCGTAGGATTTTTATGGGGCGAGAGTTTTCCTAAAATACTCTGCGGCCTCCCACAAAAGATCTGGGGCATTGTCTGTGGGCAGGAAGCCCCTCCATATGCCCCCACAACTCCCTTGGCTCTTTGGAGAATGCAGGACTACAGCCAATTGAGGGCGTGGTGTGAAGTGGGAAGAAAAGTTTGCAAAACGCCATGATCAGAGTGCAGTGAGCGCCAGAACCTGCCTTGTGTAAGAAAGGTGGATCACTCCTTTCCACTTTCATGACATCCAGAAACTGCCTGATGAGTTCCAGTTAGTTCAGGGAATCTGCATCACATCTCTAAAAGACACATCCTCCCCTTGGTGCCTAGTATATGAGTCTTACCCCATTGCCCTTCTGACTGTCTACCTCCCCCACCCACTAAAAAGGGGGGCCCTCTGCATTCCCTTTTAAGGGGCCCTGTCGCCATCCTTCTCCCAGAAGCCCAGATCTGGAGCTCTGGAGAACTGGGGCCTTCTAGCCCAGTGTTTGCTTAGATGGAAGCCTCAAGAACCAACAGTCTTTCTGGAACCGTGAAACGCTGAAGCGTGATAGCGCCAGTTGGCCAGGACGCGCCCCTTTTGTTTTCGGGGGACGATTTATGTCCTTTATAAAAATGTGGTTTGGAAAAATAGAAAGGGCCTTGAAAACGTTGTTACAATGAAAAAGGGACAAATTAGAAGACATTTTCCGTGATCAAAGGAGAGCGGGAGAGAGCGCATGGGCATTCACAAAGCTTGACTTATTCACTTCCCTCCTTTGCAAGCCAGGGCAACAAGCGTGTCCCCCATTGACAAGGAGCCCTATTCAGACTGCAGGTGCGAAGTGGGCCGGCGCGCCCGACCACATTATGTCAAGGTTGTTGGAGATTAGTGTTCAGCCCTAATAACTAAAGCGCTTGATTTACATTGGAAAAAAGCCCCCTCAGCCGTGAAAACAAAATCTTTGAACGCGTGATCATTGCGAGGGCGGCTGATATCCTAATACGTGCATTGTTCTCGGCCTGGCCCAGGCGCGCCCCGGCCTCCTTAGGAAGGGCAAGGCCTGGGCTGCTGGCCGTGGACCAGGTCCCCAATCACACACCCTGTCAGGGTCTGAGAAGAAAAGGTGATGGGTGGGGCCTGCTTTAGTGAGGCCTAAGGAAGGCAGAGTGTGGTCTTCCCTGAGAGTCCCGATCTGGGATCCGAACTGTGGCAAAGCCTGAGACAGGAGAACAGTGGGGGCTGCAGGGCCTCCACAGGTCTAACACAGTCAAGTGTTCCAAGGCTGAGGCAGCTCCAGCTTTACTATGGTGGAACAGCTGGGGAACTTGCCTTGAAGTATTGTGAGTAAGAACAATTTTACTCACAGGTGAAGAACACTTCGGGGTAACCAGGGAGCTGAAAAACTTACAAAGGACTAATGCACCCCCACTGGGATTGGCTGCCTCCAAAACCACTGTGGAGTGTTCAGGCCAAATTTATTTCCTGCAAGAAGAGCCCACTTCAGAAAAGCCCAGAACAACCTGCATCCCAGGACTTGGGTGTTTTTTTAGATTTGTTTTTGTTGTTGTTTTTTGTTGTTGTTTTGAATTTTTTTCTGTTTCATTTTCTCAGGAATGGAGGGGTGGGGGTGTTCATTTTGGTCTTGGGTCTGTGTGCCCCTGTATGCCTATTTCAGGGCAGATTTTATTCCCTCATCTACTTTCTGTGCCTCCTAGACACCACCCTCCCCCACCCATGAGAAGGGATCCAGAGAACAAGAGATCTGTAGTTGGGACTGAAGAGCAGGCATTTCAGTATGGATATGTATCCATTCTATCCATTCTAACTGCAATATCTTTTGTGAAAGTGAAGCTATTAAGGCAATTTCCATAAGATCCGTCCTAGAAGAAAAGGTTCTGTGGGGACAAGGTGAGAAAGCTGTTAACTATTGTCTGGCCCTGAAAAGGTCGTAAGTCAGAGCCTCAGTAGCTGACCTGTCAGGGGAAGGTATAAAGGCTTTATTCATGCAGTTGCCGCAATGTTCTCAGCTCTCACAAAAGTGTTTTTATGATTCGATTTTCTTACCTCTTTTCTTAATTAAAAAGCTGAACCGTTAGAATAGCACCTGCATCGGTCCTGACAGTGCCTGCATACTAATTCCAGAGTCTTTACAGCTTGCAATTATAACATAAAATCAGAGATTCAATAAAACAGAAGGATTTTGCTCCCAAAGCCCTGCTAATCCCCTTTTAAAAGGGTCTGGTGAAATAATTCACAACAGTTTCCGGAAGTTGGATTACCATTCCTTTTTTTTTTTTTTTTTTTTTTTACTTTTTACAATGAAATGATAATTCACACTTTTAAAAAGGCTGTTTTTCTACAACAGGTTTTTATTTTATTTTTTTTTATAAAAGAAAGTTTGCCAGCCTTGGGGGCAATAGAAAACATTTCACTATAAATTTCTTACTCACTAAATGCAGTGGCAGGAAATGTAGGGAAAATTTTGTGGTATGTTTGAAACAATTTTATCAGGTGAAAATGGCTAAAGTGTGATGAGGAACAGCTTATGTGCATCAGGCAACTCACTTCTCTCAGAGGAAATAAACAAGCAAATCTTTTGGGGGAAGATGCCTATTTTTCATGGCTTAGAAATATGAACATTTTAGGAAAAACATTTTTCACCGAGATGCTGGGTGTACTCTTTAAAGGATTAATGAATACATTAATGAGTTCAAAAGCTAGAGGCCTCTGTTAAACCCTAAGTAAGACCTTGCAATGACACAAATCAAGGACCTTGAGGTGTCAGTAGTTTCTCTTTAGTTTTTGGCAAAGAATACTATTCTCATGTGGCTAATCCTGTCTTACATGGGCCAGCCTTCAGTCATAGACAAGGGAAAACCAAATCATCCTTCTGATAGCCTATATACATCATCTAATGTTGTTATTGGTGGATTATTTTTTCTTATTTTTGCAATTCTACAACTACATGTCACAGCTATGATGATAGGTAATTTTTAAATTTTGCTTTATTCTCTCTGCAGACATTTCCCAAGGCTGTTCAAGTTCAGGATCATGTACAGCTTTGCTCACCTTGTTTTGAATTGCTTTCCCTGCATTTTGGCTCACGTAGTCTACACTGGCTCTAAATGAGGGGGGGGTGGGGAAGAAGGCAGGACAAGTTTCAAAGTGCATCCTCATGGTCACATTTACACTAGATTGACCTGTACCCATGCCCTAAGGTACTTTTTTTCTTTCTCTTCTTATCCATGCAGTTGCTTTGGATGTTTGCAAAGCCACTGGGCAATTTGGACAATTCAGGGACAAAACTCAAAACCTCCTCAAAATGTCTACTGAATTTCTGTTTTTCCTGAATGACTTTGGGTTCTGAGCTCCAAAACATTCCTAGGAATCTCCCGCTTGTTTTTCTCATTGGAGATATTTGGGTGAAAAGGCAAACCTATCCTGATGCCTAGAAATGAAGTTGGTGAAGTACGTAATTTTGGGATCTTCAGTCACTTGTTGATCAAGATGTTATTAATTTTTCTGAAATGAGGATTTAGTAAGAAAAAAAATCATGATTGTGAAAAATGTCCTGATGCCTTCTTGGGAAAAATGTACTTTTTTGTGACTTTTGCCCAAACACCCTGTCCTCAGCCCCCTAGCTGCCTGCCCCCTCTCTCAACTCGCATTTTCCCACCTTACACACCCAAGACTTGAAAAGCCCAAACCGCAGAGGCTTATGATAAAATAAATTGACACAAGGCAGACTGAGCCATTGTGTTTACTGAAATGCCAGTCTTAACAAGTCATGGGGCGACATTAAGGCAATTGGTTTCTTCAGCTTCGTTCCTCACCAAAATAAACTCAATTCTCTCTAATTTTTCTTGTGCCTTTAAAAACTAATTTACGTTTTTGTCTCAGTGCCCGGGTGCCCTGGGCTCTGGAACTCTCAGAGAATAAACTTCTCAGAGAGTTAGTCTCAGAGAACAAAGTGACATTGGGGCTCTCAGCTATTCTTCGGATTGCCTGAAGGAGGTGCACGCTGCTATGGAGTTTAGGGCTCCTGAGGGCGCCACAGTTTCTGCTAGGGACTGAAAATATTCACCTGATTCAGTGAGGAGCTAGGGGAATGTTTCTGAAAGACAGAATACCAAGATAAGTAATAGTAATAACAACTAGCACTAGCAAGTACATTCTAAATGTTTAAAGGATTATCTTATTTAACACTCAAAACAAACTTGCAAAGGAGGTTCATTTTAATTTCATTTTACAGATGAAGGAACTGAAGCACAGAGACGTTTCATCATGTATCCAGGGGCACAGGGACAGTAGGTGTACAAGAGGGCAGACTGCCTCCTCTTATCCAAGATCTTTTCACCAGGCCAGCACAGTTTCTACCTGGTGCTCTAATTAGGAATAGCGAATAAAAGAGCAGGATGAGGTGTAGGGATCATTAGCCGACTAAAGCGCCCCCAAGCTTCCCTGAGCATTGTCAGTTCAGGGTTGGAGGCGGGTAACTTCCCCAGAAAGCAAATGAGATAATTCTAGGGTGAGGCTAGCCAAGGGCACTTGGGGACCAGTAAATTCAACCCTCTGTCAAAGGTTACACTATTCAACTCTGCCAAACAATAATGACTCAAAGGAAATCTCACCTCTCCTAGTGGCTGGGGCACTGAGGTGTCTAAGAGCACTTTCTCTTTCCTCTTCTACTGCCTCGCAATTAGAACTTGGAAGGTTCAAAGACAGGCCTTTGCTTCTCCAAAACTCTTTCGCGGAATGTCAAGGACAGCGGAGTCTCCCGGGCACCCTGTCTTTTCTCTGCATTCTAGGGAATGATTTAGGCCTCAACTCCTGGGCGCCCTCTCGTGCAAGGCTTTCCTGGGGGAATGGGAAGGTGTCGGTAGAAGGGCTGGTATCCTCTCTGGAGCCATGGGCAGGCACAGCTGTGAAGACTCCAGGCAGCAGGATTGAGCGGAGAGCTCCGAGCCCCAGAAAAGCCTTGACTGGAAGTCTCGAGTTCATTCCTAATCCCCACCTGCTCCTCACCACAATGCTCAGTCGGTTAAAGAGCTTTAATGAGTGCTGTTTCTCAAAGAGGCCGGGTCGAGGAGAGGCCCCTCTAACCTGTCCGCGAGACGGAGGAAGGGGGCCCTTTCGCGAAATGAACGGGAGGGGGCGCTAACTCCAGTGTTAATGCCCAGGGACCTCCTTTCTCAGGGACATGTCTTGGTTTCCCCTCATGGCCTCCTTTATCACACCTGCGCGTCTCTCGCGCGCCGGGATCCTTTCTCCCAACGTTTTACCCAGGACTGCAGCCCTTGCCCTACGAGTTGAGTCTCTAGTGTGTTATCTAAGGAGACCCAGCATTCCCACCCCAGGAGTCGTTGTCTTCCCACTCCATCCAGCCCCTTGCTCCAACCAAGCCCACGGGAACCAACTCCTCAGGAGTTAAAAAAAAAAAAAAGTGTCAGGCGAACTGCTCACTGAGGTGGCTCCTGAGCAGTAGGTGCAGAGGCAACAATGTATGCGGGTATCTAGAGGTCCAGTGACCACGCAGTGGAGGAGGGAAGATGGCTCTGGTGATTCATTTGAAATAAGTCTCCCAGTGGCTGGGCCAGATAAGAGTGTGCGTGCATCGGATGCTAAAACTCACCAGATATCTCAATCGGGGCCCAGGGAAGTGTCATGTGGGCTGTAGCCTCCCAGTCTTCAGGCATAGGCCTTCGCGCAGGTATCTGAATGGAGCCTTGAGGTCTGAGCAATCACTTCTCCCAGAGGGGGCAGGGTCCAGCTAGGAAGATCTCTGCGGCCAACTGTGCCTCAGACACTCCACCAGCGCTTACTCAGGTCTTACAGCCGAACTGTCCTGTCTTTTTCTTTCCTTGTTTTGATTCCCACCAGCTATTGGACTTTTCTCTGGGAATTCAGGGGTGGTTATTTGACGTTGCTCTGAGCTGGAAATGTAGAAAGGTAGCCTTTCCTGGCAGACACTGAGAGGATCCTTTCAACTTTTTCCATTCTATAAAGTATTAATAAATTGGTTGATGATGTCAGTGCCATTAGGGTGAAATTGAGATGAGAGAAGTCTTTCTCACAATGGCTGCTTTAGGGGGTCCCTCCATTTTGCTGTCCTGAGACTAGGCCCCCAGAGATATTTGTGTGAAGCGGTGAAGAAAGACTGAGGAGAGAATTGGAGGCTTCTGGAGGGCCTCGAATCTCGTCCAGGATGAAGAAACAATAACAGGACACCAGGATTCAAAAGAGGAAGAGAAACATCACATTATTTATTTCCAAAGAAAATAGCCAAATGCAGCGCCATGTACACAAAAGCCTTTGGAGGGAAAAGGAATCACAGATTTAATATCATTTACATTTATATATTTACAAGATCAAGCCATGGCTTTCAACTTTGTTGTTCATTCAACAATCACTTTCAGTCAAACAACTTTTATTTTCAAGTTAGTTCATAATTTAACTGACACTAAAGAGACAGATGATAAATCACAAACAGTGTGGGTAGAGAGGGTACAAATAGTCTAAAGATTTCAGCCAGGCTTTTGTGTATATGTGAATTATGATTACAAAATGTTTGCCTGTCTGTATAATTCACATTCATTGCAATTATTACATTTTCTCATAAATTAGCAATATAAACAAACATATGGAGACCTTCAGTTAACAAATAAAATCAATATCAGGAAGAACATTTTGCAGCAACTATAATAACAGCATGGGTTACAGCTTGGAAAAACTTCTTTACAAGCCATTTATTCAGCACACACAGAGTAGGGGGACCAGCACATCCTTATTTATTTAAACCACCTTTAAAACCACCACAGGAGTTTTGGGGAAACCTGAACTGGGTGAAAGTTTCTTTGCTGGGCACAATATAAAATGAACAACTTCACACGTGAATGAAGGGAAGGATGGGCATTTACATGCATTTTCGATCACTGTGTTGTAGACCAAACCTTCTAAACTTCAATTGCCAAGATTCTGAAGGAAACAGGAAATTAATAAAATATCTCTCTCCTTCAGCTATTCTCCTTCTTATTAACGGCAGAAAGGGCTTGTTGATTGCTGCTAGTGAGAAGAAACACACAATGGGTCTATTTTTAGCAGAGGTGGCTTTGAAGGAGCAGGAGATATTAACAATTGCTTGGCTGCATTCTTAAGTTCCAAGGATCCTGGGCAAGAATATTAGGAGCCTGAGGGGTACCCAAAGGAAACCCATCTATGTGACCCAACTTGGGCTGATTGAATGCAAACCAGAGCAGAAAGAAGCAGAAACACAATTATGGACTTAGGGTATGTATTCTGCTTGCACCCTCTCTGCATTCTTTTCCTCATGTCCCAAAGCTTGTCCCGAGGGCCCCCCAACTTCTGCATACTTCACCAGACCAGGCCCTGACCCTGATGTCTAGGCATTGCTTTTGTTTATCCCTTAGCAAGACTTAGACCTAAAGTTATGTATTGATGCAGTGTGTGGATATTGTTTTAAAAGAAGTTTGATTTTTATCTCTTTAGAAACGGTTTGAAACTAACGGGGCAGAGGGAGTTTGACAGAGAGGAGAACAAATCGCTGACAAAGAACCTTTTACGTTTCATCAGCGTTGTTAGGACGACAAGCAGGAATGTCTCAGATAATAACTCCCACTTCAAAGATTTCTCAGCTCAATAGAAAGCGGACCATCCTTTTTATTCAACCACAAGGACTGGCACTAAAGAAGACTCCACTGTTTGATTTTTTTTTTCACTGTGTTTATTTTTCCCCTATTCACTGGGGTACTTGGATAAAATAAACAACAAGACAATTAAGGGAACATGGACTTCTAACTTTCCTGCCATCTTCCCCACATCCCCTTGGCCTTGGGCTCTTGAGTTTGCATCTAGGACTAGTCCAGGCCTAAGGGTACCACACACCCTGCCTTAGAAAGAAACAAGTTTCAGGGGCCGCAAGAGACTTTTGGGATGGAAAGGAAGAAGAGTGGCACGGAAAGCCAGAGTGGAAATTCCCAAGGGCACAGTCTGAACTCCTCAGACTCCCCCAGGGTGGCTCCCTTCCCCCCAAGTCGCCATTAAATTTAAGCCTCCATCCTACTCAAGAGTCAGAAAGGCGATTTGCACAAAACTGAGCTTGGAATGCTCATTTGTTAAGCTTCGGAGGCTGCTTTAAAATCTTTCACTCCTGATCCTGGAGCCTCTTTGGGGTGCAGTCAAGATGCACAGAGTCCTTGTGCTCCTCCCTTTCCTGAAAGTGTCCCCTGCGCCAAAGCCTCCCACATCAGGGTGCAGAGTGAACCCCTAAACGTGGGCAAGTCGGGTTCTAGAAAGGAAGTATATACTGGAGAGCGCAGTGACAGTATTAAATGGCGTGAAAGCAAAGGTCAGCGCAAATGTATCTTAATAGAGTGTCTGTAGTGAAGTGTGCCGCCTTTGAAGCGGCCGCTCCCCGCGCGTATTTCCATGGCGAGCCTAACGCGGCATGCTGATGCACCGTCAAACTCACACTTTCAACCCCAAAACCCGACTCTTTGAACAACCCGAGCTTGATTAGACCTTTCTCCTTTTCTTTCCCCTCTTACAAACCATTTCCTCGCCTTTAGAAACTCGCCATCAAACCCAAACGCGCCCTCTGATCACCGCAGAAAGCAGAAACAAAGGGGGCTGAGCGGCGATTCAAGCGGCTCTTTTCTTCCTTCACATTATTATCCATTTTTATTATGATCGGGTACAAGTGCCCATTCGCGTGGGTTTTGTTTACCGGAAATTAAATGAAAATGATTTAGTCCGCGTCAAACAAAAATATATACTTGTATACACAAGAAAAAAGGTCTGTTAGACGTAAATATTATGTCCTTAATGAAAAGCCTGGACGGGCTCCAGGCTTGGCCTTTCAGGATTTCAGTGCGACTTGCACATTGCCATAGAAATCCTAACTTACCATGAAGATGCACCGTGGCGAAGAAACACTGCTTTGTGCGCGGGCCCTTTGATGTAGCAGGCGCGAGATGCGGGGCGCTCAGCTGCGCGGAGCGAGATTACCTTGCGAGCAACGCGGTGGACATCTGTAACAAGCAAATGAAAAATTAAAGGCGATTAGTGGCCGACCAAACATTTTGTTTTATTTCATTATTTTAGATTGAGATAGAAAGCAAAATGGGGAGCTTAGAAACAGAAGACAAAGAAAAAAGTCCTACTTCAGGAAGGGGGACTTTTTAAACATTGGCAGAAGCAGCAAGTTCCGCAAATGCCCTCTGCACCTTAGTGGTGGGGTTGGTGTTTCACTATGGGAAGGAGTTGTTTGTTGCCGACTGCCCGCGCTGGGTCAGGCAGCCTCTGGGCCCTATTGTATTAGGTGTAGGCAGGAATTTCAGTCCCCCTTTCTCAAGGACGGATTCACTAAAGGTGTATTTGGAAGACTGCATTTTTTATTTGGAGTCATGAAAATAGTTCCACTCCAGTTAGGATGTTATTTCATCTGATGAAAGTTGTGGGGGCTGCGGGCAGGAGTGCTAATTGTCTAATTGCGTCTGAAGAGGATAGAGCAGAAGAAAATTCATCAGTGGCAGGGCCAGGAATTGTTTGCTGGGCTCAGATTTTAAAATTGAGGTCTTTTGTGGGGCCCTCCCCAGAGAGAAAACCTACCTCCCTCCCCAATACACACACACTGATTTTCAAATTCTTAGGGAACTGAGATGAGTCTGCCAAAGCTTTATTATTTTATTTTCCTTTACTTCTTCAAGTCTTAGCTAGGATTTTGGGGCAGCCGCATTCTCCCTGCAGATGGGGGGAGGGGGGAAAAAGGACCTGATTTTTTTCCCTTTGGCCGCAATTGCAAAGGCCTTTCTCGCCCCCTCCTTCAACATCTGGTTCTTTTTTTCTGGGGACTTCATACGCAGCATATCAAATACACATTCAATCTAGACCCACTGGGTGTTTGCCTTTACAATATTTATTATTGTGGATCATTTCTCTAGTTCCTCCTACACCTTTTTAAAAATAAGACGAACATTGTGCAATTACTAACAAAGACCATCACCGAATTGACGCAATTCACCCAGACACGGCCGCCTAGGTCAGGTCTCTCCACTTTAGAGGCTTCGACTCAGTGACGTCATCAGCTCGCTCTACACCCGGAGCCCAAGCACCTACAAGACTACACAGGCAACGCCTCTACAGGGGTTGGGGTGGGAAAAAGGCCCGGGGAGGCCTCACAGCATTGAATCCTGAAGCCTCTCTGGTGTTCCTTTGTCTGTATTTCTTGTTGTTTTGAATTCACTCCCTACTCCAAGTATACAATGTATATTGAGTCTGTGGACGACAGGCAGATGTTTATCTGTGTGCCCAGGCCACTCCATAGGGGTGGAAGCGTCTAACCACCACCCACCCACCCCCTGCTGAAAAGACGATGAATCTCCCTTACCTCCTTTATAGAGGAGGTTGGAAAAATTAGGACTTGTGTGTTTTTTGTTTCAAAGGATACCTAGGGAAGGGGAAACCATAGGAAGGCAAAGAGGAAAGAAACTGGAGTCAAGAAAACGGCTCTGGAATTCCCTTTGCCCCCTTCCCTTGATCTGAACTTCTGAGGTTGGAATTAATGTGGGGGAGGGGAGGGTTAGAGTGGGGGTGGGAGCGGCCCAGTCCTCGAGAAAAATATTTCCCATTCTGCGAAGCATGCGGGAAATCTGTGGCTTTACTTTTGTCATCTGCAGTTGACAGGATTGCACATAAATTCTCCAACTTTTTTTTCCATCTCCCTGTCTCTTTTCGCCCCTAACCCTGGTTTTATGATACCCAGTCATGAAGGCGCGTGTGGGGGTGATGGTGCTGATTGTGACTACAGAATAAATAGGGGGACCATATTTATCTTCTAAAATAATGGACATTATATTAGCGTATTCAGTGAGCTCCAGCAACTATTACAGGTGGCCGGCCGGCCTTCCTTCCTTCCGCCCTCGCCCTCTTCATGCCTCAGAAACGTGGCCTACTCTGCATTCGGTGTGTGCGGAAGCAGCAATCACAGAGGCAGCCCTAATACCGGAGGCGGCGGCGGCAGCAGCAGGGCCAGGTGGTAGCTCGGGGCTGAGGATCGCGGCGGGGGCAGCCGCTATGGGGCCCAAGCCCTGACACACGTACCATTCGCTCAAGTCGGCGGTACGCGCCGCCACCGCCGCCGAGGAGGCCACCTGGGACTTGTGGCCGCAGTCCGACGAGGGCGACACGAGGGCAGACGGTGTAGCCGAATCGTAGCCAGAGCTGGGCGGCGGCGAGCGCCCGTGCACCTTCATGTGCTTACGCAGCGAGCTGGGGTGCGTGTAGCACTTGTCGCAGCCCCGCACCTTGCACGTGTATGGCTTGTCGCTAGTGTGCACGTGCGAATGCTTCTTACGGTCGCTGCTGTTGGCGAAGCGCCGCTCGCAGCCCTCGAACTCGCATCTGAAGGGCTTCTCGCCTGGCGGAGGCAACGCAGAGACATTAGTGCTTGTGGGTCGTGTTCCCGTCAGGTGCTTGCCACCCTCCCCCATTCGTCTCTCATTTTCTGGAAAAGAACTACAAAATATTTTCAGAAATCCCTTTCCACGGCGCCTCAGGTCGAGCACCCCTTTCCCTCGTGCAGAGAGCGCCCCCGGTGCCCTCTCTTGAACGCCTCCATCCCTCCCGCCTTCCTCCTCTGGGCTCATGGGGAGGGTATGGAGGAGGAGCGACAGTGACTCCATCTTAGTCGAGTTTCCATCCTCGAAAATCCTGATCCACTCGGGTTGTTTCCTCCAAATTTTCTCCACTTGGAACCAGAAGCACCTCTGCTCGGAAATACATTAACGGAGGAGCTCACAATATAGTTAACGGGGAAGCTCACATCTGCTCGATTTAAAGTTGCTGTTTCAGACTAACTTCTCTGCCGCTACCCCGCCCAGCCGTTCATCCCCCCCACCCACCCCCATCCTGGCCCAAATTGTTTCCTAAAGTAGGTTTTGCGCAAACGCCAAAGCGATGAAATAATTTAAGGATGCGCAGCCGATGCACATTGTGTGTGCATAAAGTGGATTCGTGCTGCAGGGAGAGGTATTCTGAGCAATGATTCACTTCAGAAGAGATTTTTACAGGAATGGAGCCCCCTCCCTCTTTCCTTCTACCCCCTGAGGGCAAACATTTAGCAGCATTCTTCAAATCTTGCCTAAACCTTCCGGGATCCCTCCAGATACGCTCGCCAGTAATAATATTTCATTACGCTGCTCCAGAGGCTTCCTGGAGACCGTGCTGTGGGCAGCTGGCCCTCCCAGTCCGCACTGACTTGCGATGTCGACCGGTCTGCCCAGACCACCCCCACCTGGCTGTCGGGCCTCTCGGTCCTAAGACGAGGGGTTGGCGCGGTAGGGTCCGCACAGGCCAAATGGGATCCGAGGTGTCTACCGCAACCACGCCCTTGAGCGCTGCGGCTTCGGGAAGAAAACAGCTGCTGCTGTCAGGCCAGGCCTGGCTCCGCAGCCCGGAGGGCCACCAGGCGGCTGGCATAGGCCGGGGAGGGGCTGGGATCGGTGGCTGCGATGCCCTGTAGAGCCGAGGGAAGGCGCGAGTGCACGTTAGAGTGACAATATTGGCCGGACCGAGCCCCAATCGGGGAGCTCACGGCCAGCTGAATTCGCTGACGTGTAGGAGAGGAAAGGACCCCGAGAACCCGGAAGCCTAGATTCCTGCCGGAGCTGCAAGTGCTGCGGAAATGGGGGAAGAAGGTTTCTGGGCGCTTTAAACAAATGGCTGCCTCCCAGCGCTCTGAGTTAAGGGACCGGCTACCTAGCGTCTAGCTGAGGAGGAAGACGCGCAGCTGGAGAACTGTTGCCTTTGTAGTTGCTTCTCCCGCCGCATCCAGGAAAAACAGGCGCTTTGGGGCTGGTTAGAACAAACAAAGCCCCAATTCCCGAGCCCTGTTGAGGCTCGGACAGAGAGGTTTGCGCACAACCTGCGCTTCTGCGCAATCAGCGGCTCCTGAGCCCGGGTCTCCGGCACCACCTGGTCGCTGGATTCCCACCCTACAGGAGCACAGCTAGTACACTGAACAGTCTGGAAGGTGTTGGCACCTGCCATTTCGCGGGACACTGGCACCATTTTATAAAACAGTGATAGAAAGATGCGGAATAAATCAGTGTTCCTATTTGCCCCCATTTTTATCTCCTCTGATTCCTGCCAGCATTTGCAAACCCAAAACTTTCTTCCTTCTTCTCTTTCAAAAAAAAAAAAAAAATTACAAAAAACATACAATTCAGGGCCTGCAAAAGAACCAAGGTTATTTTGAGAAAACAGAGGTGAAATGGAATTAGAATTTGGTGCCCCTCCCCAACAACCCCCACCCCCAACAAAAATCCCGCCAAACGCTTATCCGATCTCGTGAGCGCCTCACTGGACATTCACGTAAAACAAAAACAATTATTTCGCTCCAGACGAGGAGCAGAGGAGAAAACAGCAGTGCACTGAGTGATACCGGCAGCCGGGAAGTTCGCAGGCCCCTAGGAGGCCAGGTGAGGCCGCGCCCCAGCTTGCTCCGGAGCTGCAGGAGGCGCCCTGGTCTCTGCGCTTGACATCACCCCCGCCCCCCGCCAACACCCGGCCTCCAGTCCTTCCCCCTCCCTCCAGCTCCCTGCACTGCGCCCTGGGTGGGTGGGTGAATGTGAAGAGGCGGCGTTGGGCTAGGCCCCTGCAGCCCGCTCGGAGCGTCCTAGGCCCGGGGCTGCGCTGTGAAAGACCCAGATTCTCATCCCAGAGGCCCAGCAGTCCTGAAAGGCCTCCTCTCCGACCCTGAGCCGGGTCCGCCGAACAAAGTTCGGAAGCTCGGGCTAGCTGGGCCAGCGCCATTTTCTCGCACTTGTGGCTGGATCTGGTTGTCCCGGCGACTGCGCCCCGGCGCGGTCTCTTTTCCTCTACCTCGGATCCCCAGCACTGACTCGCCCTCAGACGCCGGGGAAGGTGTGGTGAGCTCCCGGCCCCGGCCGAGGGGTCCCTGGAGAGGAGCTGGGTGGCGGTGGCCAGGCCGAGCGCGGTTGCTGGCCCGCGCCTCCCTCCCCGAGGCACCATTGTTCCGGGATCGCTGTGACCGCCACAAAGTGAATCCTTTCGGTGCGGACAGTCGCCTTCAAAGCCAGGCCCCGGATTCAGGTCAGGGAGAATCTCAGCTCCTGAGAAATTTGCTCCTGTTTGCCGCTTCTGCTACTCGAGGAAATGAAACGCCATTAATATTTGAAAAGGCAATTATTTTCCTGTTGAATCGAGAACTGTCTTCATGAATAATTTGTAGTGAGGTCTATTGCCATTTGAGAAATATTTTTTTTCCCTCTCTCTCTCTCTCTCTCTCTCTCACTCTCTCTCTCTTCTTTTTATGACTAGGAGGGGGATTTGAGGGAAATGCCCGAGCAGGCCAGACTCTGTAGTTCGTTGTTGGTCGTGTTTGTTTGTTTGTTTGTTTTTGTTTGTTGTTTCCCCCACCCCCCACCGCTAATGAATCAGGACCGCGAACCGAAAGAACGCACAAAATTCTGTCCTGAAAACACGAAAACCTGAGCCAGCCGTGGCGCACTGAACTTGCTTCTCTGCTGTAGGTCGACTGTGCTAAGAATTTAACCATTTTCTGCTTCACAGAATTCAAACAGTGGGCCGGCAAAGAGCTGTAAAAGTTTGTTTGTTTAAAAAAAAAAAAAAAAAAACCCTGTCATTAAAGATGAGTTCCTTCTCCAGCTCAGGACTGCGAGTCTACCTTCCGGGTGTCCGCCGCCAGCTCCCGGAGTAGCAGGCCTGGGGCCAGGATTCCAGTGTGACCTACCGCCCCTTCCCGAAGCTAAAACCTCTGGTGAGGGGGTGAGATCCATGCGACATTGTGGGAAACCCTGAAAAGAACTCAGGGAAACCGTACACTTCCAGACAAGCTTTAGAAATAAAGTGCCAGGCTCCAAGTGGACTTTGGTCTGGTCTCCGCATGTGCCAGTGTCCGGGCCATGGACCTTCCCCGGGAAGGGAGAGTTTGGGGAGAAGATAGGCGTTAGAACAACTAGCCTTAGGAAGTTCTTTGACTCCAACAATTGTCGATGTTCCAGCAAGAATAGGGGCGAGTAAGGCAAGGCACCGGGCAGTAGGAGAAGTGGGGCACCAAGCTGGAATTCATTTTATTTTCTCCTGTCCCCACCAGTCCCCTTCTCCCGCCCCCAAAATGGGGGAGGGGAGAAGATGTTGATTTCTTAAACTTCCAGGGAGGAGGAGCGAGAAAACCCTAACTAAGGAGAGTACAAACAATGGCTGCTAAACTAATTAATGTAACTTCACAGGCTGTTCTGGAAGTGTGAAAACTTTCTCCTTGCAGTTGTATTAATTAGAGATGCTCTGGCCAGAGGAGTTCAATTTTGCAGGCTCTTGAACGATACTCCTTTTTTTCTGTTAACTAGAAGTAGCAGATGTAGTTGACACATGTCCCCATTTCCCTTAGCAGCTTGGTAAATGATATTTAAGGTGGATAGGTCTGTGCTAAAGCGAAAGTGAGGGTCCACCAAACATCCCTAGTGTCCGGCCACCAAGGCTCAAAAATACGTACAAAGTTAGCCCATTCGACCCCCAACTCCTAAAGAAGGCTCCAGGGCCTGGTAACCTCTCAGTCCAGGTGGGCCAGGTTATCAGGACTACAGGTGGAAGAGTTCTGCTGCGCAATTCCAAAGGGACAAGGAAAAAAGTTAGACAGCTGTTCTTATGTCTTTACGACTTTGGGGAACAATGCTGTTTTAAAATATCTTAAAATCAAACTCTTAAGCAGAGAGCACATGTTTGCACACACAGGGTCTTAGGCACGTTCACCCTTGTCCCCCCCAGAACAGAAATCCCGCACTATCCTCCCTACACACAGCCTCCGGAAACTTCTGTGATTCTAAGAATAGAAGCGCATAATTAATATTTTATGGCCTTGGCTCATGGAAACAACCCCAAAATATTTCCCCCTCCCCTCAGTTGGGACTTGAGGAAATCCAGACCCGAGGGCCTGCTTCCCCAGAGGGTCCGCACGCGACAGACAGCGCCGAATACTGACCTGTGTGAGTTCGTTTGTGTATTTTGAGATTTTCTGATCTAGCAAAGACCTTCCCACACCCCGGGAAAGGACAAGGGAAGGGCTTCTCGCCCGTGTGCACGCGGATGTGATTTACAAGTTTGTATTTGGCTTTGAAGGGCTTTCCCTGGCGCGGACACTCCTCCCAGAAGCAAATGTGGTTGGCCTGTTCCGGGCCGCCGACGTGCTCCACGGTGACGTGCGTGACCAGCTCGTGCATGGTGCTGAAAGTTTTGGAGCAGAGGCTCGGGGTCGCGGTGCCGTCGGCCGCCAGCCACTTGCAGATGAGCTCCTGTTTGATGGGCTGGCGCATGTAGCGGAAGAAAGCGCCAGGACCGTGGGGCGCAGCGAGGTTCACCGTCAGGTTCATGCCCCCGTAGCCATGCAGGGCTGCGGCAGCTGCCAGGGCGTCGCTGCGGGCCGCAGGCCCTGGCGGGAAGGGCTCCGGCCGCGCGTACATGTCTCCAGGGAGCCCCAGACGCAGGAGTCCATTCAAAGGACGGCTGGGGGAGGCCTGGGGAGGCTCCTCGTGGAGGCCCGGGAACACCGAGGGGCTGGAGGCGGCGGTGAGCTGGGGGCCATGGTGTCCAGAGCTGCTACCTGTTGTCGAAACAAATAGCGCGCATGAGAACGGGTGGCGTGGGCTGCGCGCTCTTCCCTGGGCCCCGGGGGGCAGGCCCAGCCCTGCCGCACTACGGCCTCTGCAGTCAGCCGTGGAACTCAGAGCCAGACAGCGCCAGCAGTGAACCCGGTGGACAGAGCAAGGCCAAACACCTCCGCCGCCATTGGGCCGAATTGCTGTTGGGCCAAGTCCCCCGCCGCGCCATGAGCTAGAGAGGGATGGTAGCGGCAGAGTAGATGTAAGGGGTAATGGAAGGCGCAGGGCTGAGTCTGTGGGTTGCTGGGGGTTCTGCTCCAGAGGGGTAGGAGCTGAGCCCCAAGCGCACTTTGGCGGCTAACACCCCGGGGCTCTCCGGGGCACGATGCCCTGCGGGGAGTGGAGGTGACAGAAATGATGATGTTGGAGGTGGTGGTGGTTCTGAAGCGCCCCAGCCATATATATTTTCAGTGCCCCGCTTGGCTAGGAGAGGGCGGCCGGCTGCTTGCCGACCCACGCTCCCCGGAGCTCCCTGTACCGGGCCGCTAACACCACTGCCACCTGACAGTGGGGAGGGGAAAGGAAAACCACACAAAAAAACTTCTGTAAAGTTTTTTTTTTCTTTCTTTCTTTCTCTTCTTCTTCCCAAGGTTTGGATTTGGGCGCGCCCACCCCCTTGGCTATTAATGCCTACGCGAAATCCTGCACACTACAGAAGTAGCAGCAGGGCGCGTTAGGAAGTCAATAGAGATTCAGGGCCGTGGCCTGGACCCACAGAGAGGAACAATCGCCTGGGTAGCCCATTGGCCCGCGGCCGGGTCCGACGTCAGTGATGACAGGTCCTGCCGCACGCGGTCGGTCTCTCTCTCTCTCTCTCACACTTCCCTGCTCCAACCGCCACCCCCTCACACACCTCTCCCCCAAACATATACCCTCTTTCCCTCCCTCACCCCACCCCCACAGCATCTCAAGCTTCCACTGCTCATGCGCTCTGACCCGGGCACAAATCCTTTTCTCTCCCCTTGAGCCTCCTCCCCCTCCTCTCCGGAAAGCTGAGTGGATCAGCTTTGACTCAGGGCTCCTGGAAGTACTCGGGGCTGGGTTATGCCACCATTCACCACAACTTTGGGGAGGCAGCATTGCGGGACCTCAGTCGGGGCTGATGGGCAGCATCGTGTGCGCAGAGATGGCGGTCTCGTTGGGCAGTTTGTCCCTGCAGCCTGCAAGAGGAGGGGGTCGGGATCGAAGGACCGAAGGAGGTTGCTGACTCAGGAGCCAGGAGCTGAGAAACTCCTAGGCTAGCAGCCGTTGAGCCTAATTTTATTTTCTGGCTTTCTCCGAAATGTCTCGTTTCCCTCATCTTTCTGGTCCTTTTCGTCTCTCTTATTTTCCCCAAAACGTCTACCTCACTTCGTCTTCCTTTCTCCTCCCCTCCCCCTCTCTTTCCTCTATACTCTCTTCCCATTTAGCCTTGCAGGCCCCTCCTCCCCGGTGTTGGAGAGCTCAAAGACGCGCGAAACTCAAGGATCTGGCCCTGACCAGGGACGGGATTAGGCGGGAAGTGGTGACGGCCTGAAAAGGCTGGGCTCGAACCCGTGCCTTCCTGAAAGGACTCTCCCCGCCACAAGTCACACCCACCCGCAGGCCTGCTGGCCAAAGAAACAAAGGAGTCGGGCGTGGATCCAGGAGAAACAGGTTTTCGCTCTCGGATCTCCCTGGGCAAATCAGGGATCCTGAGCGCTATACCCCGCAGTCGTACGGAGCCTCTGGGAAAGGGGATTTAAGGGTGACTTCCACTTTCAGCTTCGGCTACTTGTTGCCTGCGGTCCAAGCCTTCTCTGCTTCCTCCTACCTCGTCTTAGGCCTCTGTAGAAAGTGCACGCCGCGTTTCCCCTTCCAGGCTCTGAGAGGGCCTGCAGGCCCGTGGCCGCCTCCGACAAGATGCCTTCCAGTGCTAGGGGGGCCACTTTGGCGGGATGGGGGTCGGTTGGTTAAAAAAAACTTAAGTTCTGGCTCAGTCGAGTGTGGCAAAAGCCGAGGGTCGGGGGTTGGGGGGCTTTGGGGGCGAGCGGTAGTCCTTTGTCTGAGCCGACCGGCTAAGGTCAGCTGCGTCGTCCGGCGATTTAAAGGGCTGCTGGCCGGGACTCCTGCCTTGTCGCTGCAGCCGAAAATGCCAGTCTAAGTGCTTGGGCTTCCCTGGCGGCCATAAAAAGTGTCCCCCAAACAGAGAAAGGCTTGTATCTTTAAGAAAAGTTTTAAAGATTGAGTAAAATATCCCATACCCCTTAGCAGAGGCAAGAAATTTTGGCAGATACCAGCAATGCTGAATAGAAATTGACTGAACTGCCCCTCCTCCCATCCCCAGCACCAAGGACTATTCTTATACATTTCCTGGTCAGTAAATAAGGCCTTAAAAAATTTTTTTTTAAAATAATTAACTGATGTATAACAGTTGGCAGATTCTTTGAGACCTTCATTTAATGCATTGTTCCTCCCTTGGGTGCACTTTAGGGAGGGATTAACTTCCACAACAATTTCTCTCTACTTAGACACGTCCAGGTCTTTCTGCTCCTCCTACAGGAAGAGCTTGGATAACTCTACCAATAGATACTCCTCAGTATTTAAAAAAAAAAAATTAGAGAAGAGTATTTGACTGCCAGACCCCCACTCCCTACTCTCAAAACCAAGGGCTTCCACACAGCAGTTTTGTGACTAGACTCTCAGGATATGTCTCCCTGGCTTTCACTTTCTCCCATGGTTTACTCCTCCACCAACAGGCACCATCTCTCTGATCCTTCCCCTGCTCTGATCCTTCATCCAAGCAGTGGCATGGCCAGGTCTCCAGTGAAAGGTTTACACATCTCAATGAGTCATTTCACCTCCCAGGTGTATGTTGAATGATGCAATTGTCTAGGCAACTCTGGACTGAATCCATGAAGGACTCCAAAAAGCAAAACAAAAGCCAGAGTATGTTTTTACCTGAGACTCCTTGCCCAGTTGTTTTTACTATCCGCATCTTAACACCAAACTTGTTCAGCTTATGTGGTATTCAGGTTTAAGTGCAGGGGAACTTCTGCAATATTTCGGCAATTAAAATTTTTTTTCTCTGCTGGACCCTAGGTAATCTAAAACTAACAGTTCAGAATGTTTGTCAAACTCACTTTAGCTTTAAGACTCTGATTTGCAAAAACACGGATTTTTTTTTTTTTTTTTTTTGAGAGGGAGTCTCCCTCTGTCGCCCAGGCTGCAGTGCAATGGCGCCATCTTGGCTCAATGCAACCTCTGCCTCCCTGGTTCAAGCGATTCTTCCACCTCAGCCTCCCAAGTAGCTGGGATTACAGGCACCCAGCATCATGCCCAGCTAATTTTTGTATTTTTAGTAAAGACGGAGTTTCACCATGTTAGCCAGGCTGGTCTTGAACTCTTGACCTCAGGTGACCTGCCCACTTCGGCCTCCCACAGTGCTGGGATTACAGGCGTGAGCCACTGCACCCGGCCAGATTTCTTAATATATACACTGTGACCCCACCTCCATCAAAAGCTTTGAATAACAGTATGGACAGATAGGAGAAGAGGGGTTTTTAGTTGTTTCAGGCTGTGGAACCCTTAGGAAGCCTGGTGAGTCTGTTGAACTTCTAATAGTCCAGTATTTGCTGCACATATTCATCATAGAAGAAAACACTAACTTTCCAATAGAAGGTTGTGAAAATAAAGAGGCATTTTTTTCTCCTCCAAGTTTATGGGCCCTCTGGAATTCTAACCACTGACTCTCTGGACTCCAGGGTTAAGAAACAGAGGTTTTATACACATAGTCTGCTAGCATACTACACACTTTCTGTTAGTCACTTTGCCTTTGAAAAGCTTTGAACTTGTGTATGACTTTTTTGTGCCAGCAGCAAAAGGGCAAACACATCTGATTCAGCCAAAATCCTGGAGAGTAGGCTGGCCCCATGGAGCTCCTTCCCAGATGCAGCCTTCTCTTGAAAGCTGAAAACATCTGGACCCATTTTAGGTAGCTTCTTCTTGCTTGAGTAGCCAGGGGTCAGTAGACCTGCAGGTCACTGAGGTTGCCTGATCTTTGCAAGTTCCTTAGAGCTATATGGTCTATATGTTGGTTGGCTAAACCCAGCAATGGGACCAGACATTCTCCTCGAAGGACATTTCCCCAGAGACAGCAATAAGGGATTACATAAGGATCTTCAAGGTATATCTTTGAAATAAGCCCCAAAGCAGTATCCAGTTCAAGGTGATGGGGCATCAACAACTGAGAGGTATATTTTAGTCTTTAGAGAGATCATTTTGAGTCTTCCAGAGCCTGGGAAGCAGGGAACCCAGGCTACAGAGATTATCAATTGGGCTGGCTAAGGAATGGTGTCTCCTCAGTGCTCTTCAGATTTTTTTTCCAGAAACATCTCACTATACCTGCCCCCAACACCAAATGCTTGACTGAAACATTCTATTCCTACCCATGCCTGGAGATATAACATTGTTAAGTCTACTTTTCTGCTTCATTTGTAGAGAAAAAGAGTATCTCACAACCCACAGATCTTTAGCACATGTCAAAATGAAACACTGGAAGCTTGTTTTCTTGGGGACCTATTTGGAGCATATTCCACCACTAGACCCCAAATATCTCTTGATCTTCAGAGCCTCTGCAAACCAGTGCCCAGAATCATGCCCTAAGCACTTTTGCTCACCTACCCAGACGAATGCAGTGGCATAAACAAGTGATTTCCTAGTTCTTTTCTAGAAATAGAACATTTGGTGGCCCTACCATCTGCCAGAGCTCCTTAAATCACTGGTTTGAATGTCTGATCTCACTGCCTTGGAAAGAAAAAAAAATGGAGGATATTTCAGATCAACAGCTGGGCTATTTTTCCATTTTAATATTTTAAGCAATGCTAAATTAAATGATGATTGTTTATTGTAAGTTATGCCCAGATCAGGAGGTGGGCCTTACTCAGCTGAGGGCCACTGTATAGAACCTGGCTAGAAACAAGTCTTGTCATCTGAATGTTCTGCACTAAATCAATAGTCACTTGTTCAGTTCTTTCTTCCCTGTTTCTGGCCAGGTTGCCACCCTAAACAGAGGTAAATTTCTTTAGAGGCTAGTCACAAACAGACTTCAAGATTCCTACACAGGGAGTTTGCCTCTATTCTTATGCAAAGAAATAACATAAGCCCCAGGAGGCCATCCGTATTTCTAAGCCCAAATTGTGCAAAGGAGATGAGATCTGTTAGGATTTTGGCAATAAAAGAGGATATTCTTCTCCTCTGCTATGGAAATTTGAGTTTTAAACATCATTAATGGAACTGAGTATGGAAGAAAATATACTTGGATATGCTTTAATTTCCAAGCAAGGATTCTACAAAACATCCTGTGACAAAAGCTTAGGAAACATTGCTTTTGGGTCTTCCAAAACAGTATTAAAGAATCAAAACAACTGAATTTACATAACAACTCATACCTCTCTTGAGACTTTTGCCATTAAATCATCCCCAGATAATATAGAGAGCCATTTCCTGGGTTGTCTATTTGACTTTGGTTAGGAAGGTTCCTTTGTCTACCAATGAGGGAACATCTTTGGAGGCAACCATCAGCTAGTGATATAGTTGAAATGAGGAAAACTAGACGCCTGGAAGGGAAAATACCACCCTAAATCATATGCTTATTCTAAATGGAATATTAAATTAAATTCTTCACAATGAAGGTATTCCTGACAGAGCAGCTGTCAGTCACTCCCTGTTCAGACACCACATTGTGGGAACCTCGTCACTACCACATTGCAGAAGGCTGGTATCCCTGGTAAAGATGATGTATATCATGTAAACCCCATCATCCAGATCAAAGTCTGCTTCTTTCATGGAAGCCAATACATGTCAAACCTCATTCCAATCAAATTGTCTGGAAATGAATTCAAGATGAATATGTCACAGAATAACGTGACAGTGGAATTGCAGAAGGTCAGGGGTGGTTGTTTCAATGAGAGAATCGTCAAATATTAATTCTGGAACGTCCAGATGAGTAGGCATTGAGGGGGATTAGCTGGCTGCTGGTGGGACGTTGTGTCATTGATTTGTGTGCAAATGTATTGAACACTAAGGAGTTCTAAGTTTCATTTGAACTCAAGAAACTCCCCCCAAACTCTCAACCCAACATAAACAAAAGACAAAACAAAACTTCCTACTTAAAAAAAAAAAAGAAGAAGAAGAAGAAAAGAAACCAGCAAACCAATATTCAAAGGAGGATTTTAACTTACTTGACTCTTTAAGAGTGTTTCGGTAAAGCCGTAATCGTTTCCTCATCACCAAGGATGTCTTGTATCTCATTTTCTGACTTTGAGCCTGTTTGGGAAGAAAAGAGTGACAGTCACTAGTTAAACAATTTTACACGTCTGTGTGGCAACATCCTGTGGTTTGAATGTATGAATGAAAGAAGGAGTTGATCTGAAGATCTTTCGGTCTTTCTTTGACCATTTTCAAATTTTGAAGCTAAAGAAAAGGATTTTGCCGGGAACAGCCCATATTGCAAAATGATATATCTTTGGTGATAAAAACATTGAAAAATTATAATTTCCCAGCTAGGCTTTTATTTGAAACTCCTTTGTTGTTTTTTGCAAGCAGAAGTAATCTCTCTTTTAGTCAGTGCTCAAAAATCTGTAGCTTCCCAAATTTGAATTAATTGCGTAAGAAACCTTATTATTTTTCAGAAGTTTATTAACTGAAATTTAGTGAGGTGTGGTGGGGAGAGCCTACTGAACTCTGAGAGGTTAGCAGCTAAAATTTGATTTATAACTGTTGGAACCAAGAGGAGAGGAATTTCTTTGCAGGTTTTCAAATCCTGTTCTGCCTGTGGTGGTGCAGAATTCCTTAGCCTCACATTTCCCATACCCCAGACCCATTTGGGATTCATCACCGGTTGACTTTTTAAAGTTAATATAAAATTTGTCAGGTTAAAAAGGTATAATTTTAATCGTTTGGTTCAAATCATCCACATTTCATAGTTGAGAAGGGTAGAAATAACACCTCCCATAAGATATACACATTACTCATCAGATTCACTTTGTGACTAAAGTTACCAAGCCATTGGCCGCCT
Source organism: Homo sapiens (assembly GCF_000001405.40). Classification (NCBI taxonomy): domain Eukaryota; kingdom Metazoa; phylum Chordata; class Mammalia; order Primates; family Hominidae; genus Homo; species Homo sapiens. The sequence continues at coordinate 147,403,564 of NC_000003.12, forward strand.
TAAATACTTAAAGCCATCCTGAGGACCTCTGCATCTGTCAGGCAAGGCTGAGGCAGTTGAGCAGCCAGACAGAAGCATCTATCCGGCCCCCACCCTCAATTTGGCCTAGAAAGAAAAACAGTCATTGAAAAGGTCTCAGGCTGGACAAACACAGCAAGTCCTCTGTCAATGGGGATGTCTGCCCACAGAACAAGCAGTTGTTTAACTTGTTGAACCACAGGCCAAATCCAAGTGGGACTCTGTTATCTTAAACGGTATCCAGTTCTCTATGCACAAAGATCTCTCTCTCTCTCTCTCCCCCTCAACGTCCAACCAGAATTCCAACTGGCTTGGCGGCTTTTACCCTTCCATCTCCCCTCTTTTCTAGGTCCAGGCCTAGGAGGCAGGGGGGTAGACTCACCTTTTCCCAGAGGGTATTATTATTTTCAATTCTTTCTAACCAAAAGGCATTCTTCCCCAAAGGTAATAAGCTCCTTCCAGCACAAATCAGGAAAGAAAGGAGGCCTAACTTTGCATTCCTACAGAAGGGCGGCATGCTGGGCGTCCTCGCTCTGAAATTTCCTCATGGCAGGATGTCTGGCATGGAAAAGTCCTGGTTGGTTGGCAATAATAGAATTTACTCTTTTGCTTCTGGGGGAAATGGGTGTGAGGTTCCCTAGAGATCCCTGTCCACCCATAAGGCAGCCCCAACCCAACTTCTAAGAGGTCTGGATCACTTCTCTCCCAGGTCCTGTCAGCCTTTTGTGCACTACAGACCCATAGACATGCAAACAAATATTGCAGAGATTGGACTAGGGCAGGCAACAGGGACCTTAGGAGGCTCTCTGTAGCGTTTCCATCACACAGCCTACACAGGGAACTAGGGTAAACATCTCCTTTAGTTCAAACTCTGACACCACTTAGCAAACAAGCCAGTCATCTTGCTGAAAGAGAGGTGAGAGAATTTGGGAGCAATCCTGGGGCCCGTGGACCTGAGGTCCCAAACAACCACGGAATGTAGAAACTCAGTTTCGTTTTCCCCAAATGCTTGCTCCCCACATCAACCACGGCCTCCTAATTACCAGTCCATAGCACATCCTGGAGACTTTTTGGAATCTGCCCTCCTGGCCCCACCTTGAGAAGAGGAACGGGTGCCAGGGAGCTCCAGTGATTGATAGTGCCGGAGGAGAGCCAAGAAGGTGGGACAGTGGGTAGGTGCAAAAAGCACCATTTTTATTTGGGGGAGCCTCGGAAGCTGCAAATTGTGGGGCCGACCTAGCCGGCGCAGGACTACCCAAGGTCAGAGGTCAGCTGCAGCTAGAGACTTCAGTTCCCGAGCTGCTCCTTACTGACTAGCCGGCAGGCGCGGGAAAGGCATGCCCACCTCTCCGCTGCAACTTGTCCCTGGCGGGCGCAGAGCAAAAACCCTGAAAGCTGGCAGGGAGCTCTGAGCCAGAGAGGAAACTGGCCCCGGCCTTTGCCCGCTGCCTGATTTACTCATCTGCACCCTGCACCTTTCTGGCTCCCCTCCATTCGACCCTCAAGCGCCAGGAGTTTGCTGAGGCTGGGTTGTGCAGGGGCCTTTACTCATTCTCCTGTTCTCTAGAGGGAGAAGCTTGGGTTTCCCAGCTCGGGGCTGAAGTAAGTGTGGGCAGCATCCGGGTGCCCAGAATAGAGTTTGTATCAGTAGATCAGGCTGGGCATTTAGCCCTCCCTTTGAATCACCCCTCCCCCAACCTGCAGGCGGCTGAGACAGGAGAAAAAAGAGCAGCATGCAGTGGTGTGGGTCGCTGCGAGGACAATACTGTCGGAAAGCGGGGAAAACATGACCTTGGAATCCAAAGGGAGTTTCCTGAAGACGGTGACGGCCGAAGTGCAACCCTCCAAAAGCCCCTCCGCTTTCCTAAGACTTTGACATGGGCCATTCATCAACCCCAACTTTCAGATCCAACCTTTGAGCCAGTCCTAGCTTTCTTTCACAGCTCAGCTCTATTCCCTCCTCATTGGCCCCTAATTTCCAATGCCCCTGGGTCTAGGCTAGGGGCCAGAATCCTAGGAGCTGCGGCCTGCTCCCCAGAGAGCTAGTTGCTGCTCTTGTTCGCATTGGAGATAAAGAAAGCCAAGTCCCGAACCCACTGCTGGCCGCGCGCAGAGAGCAGATCCCAGCAGTCAGCTTCCTGAGGCAGGACCAGGGTGAGGGAGGGCAAGGAGCCGCCCTGAGGTGGACTCAGGCGGCATCTGCCGTCAGGTTGGGGCGGAGAAGTTCCATCGTCTTGCTGCCATCTGGGCTAACTTGGCGCTTTGACCCTGGAGAGGGGAAGCAGAGACTCTCCTAGCCACCCCCTTGGGGGCAGAGCAGAGATACCTCCTGTAAAGGCCCCCTCCCGGCACCCGCCTTGCTCATTTTTCGCGAGGGAAGCTCTGGGCCACGACTTCCATTCTTGTGCCCACGGTGGGGCACCCAGGCAATTCACAAGGAGAGAAGGGAAGGCAGGCAGGCAACAAACTGCTCCTGGTTCCTGTGCCAGTGGGAGCCCCATTTGTACCCCTTTTCCCTCCTCCTGGGAAGAAGGGATGGACTCATCCTCTGCGTTGCCCCTTTGCGGAAGGGCCCCCTCCTCCCCTTAGTGTCAGTGGGGTGGGGCCTTTATCCACGGTTGGGGGAGGGGGGTAGGATGAAGGAGGAGATGGGGCAGAAAGACTGGCTGGGCCTCTTCCCCCACTGGGGTTTGGGTGCCAGTGGTCCCCTTGAGGGTACTTGCTACCCGGTCGCTGGAGGTACAGTTCTCATCTGTCTGCCCCCTGGACTCACGCACTTACCCCACTCCACCTGTTGCCAGGATCGCCTCATTTCTGCACATCATTTCGGGGTGGCTGAGAGGGGACCACAAACCCCTCCAAGCCTCTCTTTTGTGGTTCCAGCGAGGCGGTCATCCTTCACTTCTCCTTTTCCAGCTTTCAGGAAGCAGTTAGGGAATGTATGATGAAGCAGAAATGAGCCGTCAGGATGATATTTTAATGGCTTATATGTCACGTTGGTGCATGTGGCTTTGAACTGGAGCCGTTCGCGTTTCCTGCAGAGAGCGCCGCAAATCCCACTTGATAACTTCTACAACCCACAACTTTTTTTTTTCTCACATTCACTCTTACCCTGTATATTTGGATGTGTTTCCTAAAAATACCCTCTTGTCAACGTCCCCGTTGGATTTTCCACGGACTGGAGAGGAGAAGACTGACTTTTCTTTTTTGAAGAATTATTTTCCCTCTCCCCCTCCCAACAGCTACCCTTCCCCCCTTAGGTCCCCTCCCTTGTTGTGTGTGTGTGTGTGCGCCCGCGTGTGTTTCCTGAAAGGCGGGCGAGGTGGGTTCAATATCTGTTCTCCCTAGTGAGAGGAATACAGCCTCTAGAGAAAACTTCTCCATACAGATGAGGTTTTCTAAACTCCAGGGGAAGCAGGATCCAACTTCCCCTTGTAGGTAAAAAGACTTAGTGCCTCCGATATATCTTTTTTTTTTCCAACCAAGTGTACAATAATTTTTAAAGATACCTCGGCCCTTTCTTTACCTCCACTCCTCATTCCATTCCACTCAAAGTTGGTGGGAAATGCTGGGCTGCTAGACTCAGACTTGTTGATGGGAACAGAACAATTAATTTTTTTTCCGAATTTATATTTCCCGGCACAAGCACAAATGCTCAGCCAGGTCCCTTCAGGCACCGGGAAATCATCCCGGATACCCAAGCCGACTTTTGAGCAAGCACAGCCCATGGAAAGGGCAGTCCCGCCGGCCAGCCCCAAGCGAGAATCTAGTTGGTGAGAAGACCAGAAAACCAGAAAGGCGAGGAGCGGCGGACGCTGACCCTGCCTTCCTCCAGCCCGTGCAGTCAGCGCTGGCGTCAGGGCAAAAAATATATTCATTTTCATTTTCCTCTCGCTGGGGCACGGTGAGTTTCCTAACCGGGCCGCCTATGAAAGGATGAGTTGAGGTTTCTTTGTTTGGAAAAAGAGTTTAGGGCTTTGATTCAGCTGCAAAGAAGCCAAATGAAGTTAGAAACAAAGGGTAAATTGAAGGATTCCGACTCTTGGCTTTTTGTGTTTTCCTTACTAGAAAATAATTAGACCTAATGAATATGCAGACGCTTCAGCTAAAGCCTCGGCCAGGACTGCTGGGTTTTAAACAGAGCTGCGGAGAAATGCAACCTTCGTCCCCACAACCCCCCGCATCCGCGTGCATTTTTTGAAATGCATAAATGTTGCTCGGCTTAATTGATTGAGTCACAGGGATTTTTTTTTCCTGCTTTTAAGTACCATACTCCCCTACCTTTCAACAATCATTTTAATATATAGTCAATGGCTCTTTGTGGAAGGGACAAAAAGAAACTACGCGCAGTTGTTGAATAGACTTTGCGCTAGGCAAAGACAGGTTAATCGAGGGCCGCATCGCGAAAACAAGCGAGTGTTGTATGTTTGCACTGAATCCAAATGTCTGCATTTTCCTAACTAAATCAAAGGGAGTGTTATTTCTTTTTCTGCTCACTCATCTGAAGGTAAGTAAATTTTCTCTGGCGATCAAAAGCCTGGTCGGCAACAAAGACCGCGCCCGCTTTTTCCACCGTCCTGGTGTGGCGAGTTGCGGAATTTCAATAACTGTGACAAGGGTGACTGATTTGTGAACTAGAAAAGGTTTGAATGTCACAAAATTTACATTGGTCCTATCTATTGGGGATTTAAATACCGAAAAAGTATTCGGGGATCTCTAGGGAGCTTTGGGCAGCCCAAGGGAACAATAGCGCGTTGGGAAATTTACAGTTTTACCTGAATGAAAGGGGCCCAAGTAGGGAACAGGAGTGAGGAGAGACAGGGTTAGCGGGGGCAGTCGAAGGAGACAACGGAAAGGCAGAAAACAGAAAAATAACGCAAGAGAGAGAAAAAGTAAAGGAAACTGGCAACAACGTTTCAAATTTGCCATTAAAAAATTCAAACCTCAATAACCTGGGAACTTAAGCGCTTTCATCCACCTGTGTGTGTGAGTGTGTGTGTGTGTGTGTTTTCGGGGAGGGGGGTGCGGTGGTGCCGGAAGTCTGATTAGATAAAAGCGAGAAATACAGAGGCTGCCGGTTACACTGAGAAATTACATTTTTTTGTAAAGAGAGCATAGTGCCCGTGTGCTCCCAAGATCTTAAATTATAAACAGGAGGGGGACAAAGCAAGAGGGAAACAAACTTCAAAAGGAGCAAATAACAAAAGCCTCTTTTGCTGCTCTTGAAGGGAGGGGGGAAGGGGGAAGAAAGAAAAGAAAGTTGCTGAATCGGGACATTCTGGAAGTGCCTTTGCTGTGTTTACTAGCCCCATCCCCGCCTGCTGCACCCGGAGACGTCTGAAGTCTCTAATCGCTCAGCGAAAAGTTGGTTTCGGGAAGGGCAGCGCCGGGGTGCGGGAGGGCAAAGGAGGAAGAGGAATGCATATGACTGTGAGAAGGAAAAGTAATCGTGGCAAAAAAAAAAAAAAAAAAAAAAAAAGAAAGAAAGAAAAGAAAAAAGAAAAAAAATTTCCGTGAGAAGAGGGAAAAAATTTGGCTAAAAAAAAAGTTGCTACTCCTGGCAGCCCTGGTTTGTCAAAAGGGGATGTCAAGCGCTTTACAATACCTGGGATTGATGAGGCGGGCGGGCCAATGAGCTGCGCGCGGCGCCTCGGCGCGCCCTCCGTTGGCGCGGCGGCTGAGGGCGGGGGGAATGCGGGCGCACCAATGGGCGCCAGCGTCGGCAGCACGTGACACCTCCCCCCTGCTCCCATTCATCAAGGGGGGGACGGTGTCGTCCTTTCAATTCATTTATCTGCAGGAATGATTGCTGCTATCAGTCTCGCGCTCACCGCCCGGCTGAGGAGGTGAAAGTTTCTCCCCAGGAAGATAAACCGCAAAAGACAATATTGTGCATGATTTGCGCCTTTTCTTTGGCTTTTTCTTTCTTTCTTCACCCCCCCACCCACTTTTTTTTTTTTTTTTTTCAAAAAGCAGAGAGGGAAAAACGGAGAGTGAAGGAGCGAGGAGGCGAGCGTGAGAGAAAGGAGAGAGAGAGAAAAGAAAGGGCGAGGGGCTAGTGGAGAAGTAAGGAGGGGCGCGCTGCGCGAGGCGGAGAGAGGGCGAAGCAGTCGCGGCACTGGCGCTCACATTCCTCTATGCTACAAATCCAGGAGGAAGTTTTTTTTTAGGGGGCTGAGATGCTCCATGCCTTTCCCCGGGCAGCCTTGACGCGCGGCCCTCTCGGCAGAGACTGAGCGGCGAGAAAGTGCGAGCCGGGCCGGCAGAATCTGCCTGGCGGGCGCTGGAGCCTGCGTTACTCGCGGCCCGCAGCCGTCCGGCTACTTTGCGTTTGGCCCGGCCAGCGCCCGGGCGCGCCGCGCCATTGCCTGCAGGCTAGGACTTCGCGAGGTGGGTCGACTCCCCCTCCCTCCTCCTCTTCTTCCTCCTCTTCCTCCTCCTCTTGTTCCTCCTCCTCCTCCCGATTTTCCCTCCTCGGCTGGCGAGGGTGGGGGGGGCGGGGGAGGCCGGGGCTCGCCCCGAGCAGCCACGATGCTCCTGGACGCCGGCCCCCAGTACCCAGCGATCGGCGTGACCACCTTTGGCGCGTCCCGCCACCACTCCGCGGGCGACGTGGCCGAACGAGACGTGGGCCTGGGCATCAACCCGTTCGCCGACGGCATGGGCGCCTTCAAGCTCAACCCCAGTTCGCACGAGCTGGCTTCGGCCGGCCAGACGGCCTTCACGTCGCAGGCGCCAGGCTACGCGGCTGCTGCGGCCCTGGGCCATCACCATCACCCGGGCCACGTCGGCTCCTATTCCAGCGCAGCCTTCAACTCCACGCGGGACTTTCTGTTCCGCAACCGGGGTTTTGGCGACGCGGCGGCGGCAGCCAGCGCACAGCACAGCCTCTTTGCTGCATCGGCCGGGGGCTTCGGGGGCCCACACGGCCACACGGACGCCGCGGGCCACCTCCTCTTCCCCGGGCTTCACGAGCAGGCTGCCGGCCACGCGTCGCCTAACGTGGTCAACGGGCAGATGAGGCTCGGCTTCTCGGGGGACATGTACCCGCGACCGGAGCAGTACGGCCAGGTGACCAGCCCGCGTTCGGAGCACTATGCTGCGCCGCAGCTGCACGGCTACGGGCCCATGAACGTGAACATGGCCGCGCATCACGGCGCCGGCGCCTTCTTCCGCTACATGCGCCAACCCATCAAGCAAGAGCTCATCTGCAAGTGGATCGAGCCCGAGCAGCTGGCCAACCCCAAAAAGTCGTGCAACAAAACTTTCAGCACCATGCACGAGCTAGTTACGCACGTCACCGTGGAGCACGTAGGTGGCCCGGAGCAGAGTAATCACATCTGCTTCTGGGAGGAGTGTCCGCGCGAGGGCAAGCCCTTCAAAGCCAAATACAAACTGGTTAACCACATCCGCGTGCACACGGGCGAGAAGCCCTTTCCCTGCCCCTTCCCTGGCTGTGGCAAGGTCTTCGCGCGCTCCGAGAATTTAAAGATCCACAAAAGGACGCACACAGGTACGGAAACAGCTGTAGGACCCCTACCCATTCCCACTTGGGCCTGGGACCCAAACCGAAAGTCAGCGGCCAGGTCGCACAAACGCAGCCTCGGTGGGATCCCGGGCGTCAGGTTCCGGCAGGCAGGCAGGGAAAGTGTGCGCTGATTTTTAGTTTCTGGCTTGAAATTATGGAAAACACACACACACACACAGGGCGGACGAGGAGGAGCTGGGTATATAGATTTTTTAAATGAGAAACAAAAAAGGTCGGAGAACAGGAAGCCAAACCTGGTTTGGCGGAGACCTTGGTGCTTTCGAAGCCGGAGAAAGTGGCTGGCTCCCGGCAGCCGCGGAGGCGCCAGCTGCTCAGGCTGCAGACAAATCTAAACCCTTGCTTGCTGCCAACATCTCTCTCCGTGCACTTCACTGAGGACTTTGCCAAAGGAAAGAGCTGAGGAAATTGAGGAGGCCGGGTTAAGGGCGTAGAAAGAAACAAAACAGAGACAGAAAGAATTGAGACAGAGTGGGGAAAGGAAATAATTTGGGATTGAGGAGGCTTTTGGAGCTTTATGCATATTTGAAGAGTTCAGTTTTAGTAGTGACTGGTTTTAAGAGTGGGTTTGAGGGGTGGAGAAAGTCCGAGGAAGGCAAGGAAGAACTTGTTGTCTATTAGACTCCATGAGGGTGTTTTCAAAACACCAGATTCCCCTCTTTGGCCTTTAAAAATAATCAAGACACAGGTCCGGAACAGTTAAAAAAAAAAAAAGTTCCCACGAGCTCAGGGTTGTAGCCTGGCATCAGACAAAACATTCTGGGCCCCCTGCCCCCAAGAGGCCGGGAACTGGGTCTCCTTTCCTATTCTGATTTTCCCGGGTGAGATCTGAGAACCATGCTTGAGACTTCGGGTTTAACGCCCGAGTCAGGGAAGAATTTGCGGCGTTGAGTTCTCTCCGGCCCAGATTACGCTATAAAATGTGAGTGTATGTAGGGAGTGGGGTGGGTTGGAGGAGGCGACCAGGGGATGCGGAGCGTCGGGGAGGGGGCAGGGGGAGGAGAGAAAAGCAATAGGGCAGGAGAATAAGCCGCAAACGTGAAAACTAGAAACCAGGAGCCAGGTGGAAGCAATCCGAAATCGTGTGTAGCTCTGGGTAATACGAGTTTCCAGATCTGATGCTAAAAACCGACTCCTCCTACTATTAATTTTTTTAAACATAAAAATAAAATGTAGATCCAATTGTATTAGGGATTACAATAGAGTTAAGATATTTATAATTCCACTGCAGATGTAAGAATTTATTGACGTTCCGGGTTTTTAAGCTTGCAAAGTGCTAATCCTGGGCTGCTGGCTTTTTGTTTTATTTTTTTTCTATTTGTTTAGTTTTTGAAAAACGGCCGCGGTATTTTTTTCTAATTAGACCCCTCTCATTCTACTTTGGCACCAGGGGAGAAGCCCTTCAAGTGCGAGTTTGAGGGCTGTGACCGGCGCTTCGCTAACAGCAGCGACCGCAAGAAGCACATGCACGTGCACACGAGCGACAAGCCCTATCTTTGCAAGATGTGCGACAAGTCCTACACGCATCCCAGTTCGCTGCGCAAACACATGAAGGTAATCGCCGCACTCTCGTCGCCCCCTTTGAGGCAGGAGCTCTCTTGGCTCTCGGCTTGGGGTCGGGCGGCGAGTGGCAGACAGGCGGTGGCGGGAGCCAGAGGAAGCGGGAAGGCAAAGGTTCCACTCAGTGGAACTGGGCAGAGAAGGTAGGGCGGGACCTGGAAAAGGGGATGGGAGTGTCCAAGGCCGTTTTAAATTTTTGGTTTAATAATAAAAGTTAAAAGAGGCGAGTATGAGCAAAGGCCGCCACTGAATTTGGCCCAGAGCTAGGGCTTTTGCAGGGGGTTGACGCTGCGGAAACTGCTGCCCTTGCAGCTGCCAGTGAGACGCAAGAATTGGACTCCTGCGCCCAGGCCTGAGCTCTGGCTCACCTAAACATGGACAAGCAAAGTTCAGGGAAAGAAAGTGCAGTCTCTGGCCTCATATCCAGTCTCCCTCTTCCCAGACCTATTTTTCTTTTGTGAGTCTTGGGGACCCTGACTTTCCCAGGAGCACGGTTTCTGCAGGCCTGTGCAGAGAAACCAAGCCCAAAGTCCCGCTGATCGGGCCTCACCTGTGTTCAGGGGGCTCCAAGGGGTCCAGGAGGAAGGGCACTCGCGGCCTTCGCCTCTCTAGTCGGCCGCCGCACTGGCTCTTTATGTCCGTAAAAACGCGACTTTATTCCTGCAGGTCCACGAATCCTCCTCGCAGGGCTCGCAGCCTTCGCCGGCCGCCAGCTCTGGCTACGAATCCTCCACGCCTCCCACCATCGTGTCTCCCTCCACAGACAACCCGACCACAAGCTCCTTATCGCCCTCCTCCTCCGCAGTCCACCACACAGCCGGCCACAGTGCGCTCTCTTCCAATTTTAACGAATGGTACGTTTAAAATCAGAAACAAAACATCGAACAAAACCCTATTTAAGAGACTGATCACACACGTATACACAACATTACTGAAAGAACCCTGCGAATCAAAACAACCCCCACACAGACCCCGCAATCCTTTTTTAAAAAATCTGCCAATAGACCCAGGACGAGTAAGAGAGGAAGCATCAACCTTTTAAAAATTTCCTTTCGCTTTCATTATTTTTCTTTTTTTGGCAAAGGCTTGGTACCCAAGGTGCGGTAGGGGGTCGAGGGGGAGGAGGCCACCTGACCAAATGCCGCCAACCCCGAGGGCCAGTTTCTTGTCGAATTGGTACGGGCTCTCTGGGGCTTCGGCTTCTTTTTTTCTTTGTTTTCTTGTAAATACAGAATTATTAGCTTAAAACTGTACTGTTGAATTCTGTAAATAGTTATATCTCGGTTGGAGCGGGTGGGTGGGATTGTGGCGTTGTGGTCTTTGCATTGGGGGAGGGGGGAGGGACCGGATGGGCGGGGGGAGGGGGAGGGGGAGGGGTGGGCGGCCGAAAGCCAACTGTTTGTACTGAATGGCAAGAATGTTCTAGTAAATGTGTACCAAAATGTGAATTACTTTGTACGATTACAGTCTCCACGTCGACCTAACCCAATATTATTGGTATTAATGTGCTTTTTTTGTATAAAGTGCAAACATTTCGTCCCAAAGTCTAAGTACTTTAGTGCAGTAAAATGTTGTTTCATGTCCTGTCAAGAATTCGTATAGTACGAGCCTGGATCTGCGTGTCAAACTGTTCCATTTGTTTATGTAAAGTGATATTAAAAAAGATATAAACTATAACTGTCCGTTACTTTTGGCAAAAGATACAACCACATAATGTATATAATTCCTAGTTTCCATATTTATCCGCATGTAAAGGGCCGGTTTATCCATGTTACAGCTCTTCAATATTTATGGCTAGAAGAACTCGTATGTACACTTTAGTTTCCAGAACTGTTTGGTAACCTTTCGTACCTTATTAAAGATTCTTAAATCTCCGTGATTGTGGTAGGAATTTCTTCTTCACCCACCAGCAACCTGCTGCCTCTTCTGCCAGTCTTAAAGGGTCTCCAGAAAAGCTCTCCAGTCTCCCTTGCCTTCCCTTTCTGTCACTGCAGGTCGTATAAACGTGATAAATGAATGCTACCCTGCTGGCTCTCCGAGAGAGTGTAATTAGTATTTATATCAAAATTTATGAAACAAATTTTCGGCCGCAGTATAATTTAAATGACCTTTGCAGATGTAGAATAACAACCATAAAAATAACAGGAATAGATTGCACAGGCGACATCAATATTAATGTAGACGAATTGTCAGAAGCTCAGGGGCTCGCTCTGCAACATTGCAAATGAACTTGCAGCCGAGGGTTCCGCTGCCCCCTAGATTAAATTCCCCGGGCTGAAACTGAGTTGCAGATTTACAATATCATATTTTAAATTGCTGTCTTCAATTAAACCATTTATGACCATAACTAATTTTCAGGATGTCGATGCATGCTTTTCCAGGCCTTCCTTCTTTGTACAAAAGTAAATGTCCATAAAGCGTTTCACTTATATTCTTCAAACATGATGCTAATTTAAATTAATTACTTCCTATGATATGTTATTATTCCTATGATTTTGCCACTGTTATTAGTTCTCTCAAAAATACATCTAGGGAAGAGGATTATTTTAAGTAATTTGATTATCTTTCTATCTCTTTTATTTATTTCTCATTTACTTAAGAAATTCGTTCCATTGGTTGGCATTGATACAGTAAATTTGTAAATGAGGAGACAATATAAAAAATCTAAATTACTTGTGCTTAATGACTGTAGCAGAATGCCTTTTCTCTAAATCAGATTGTCTTTCTTGCAGTTTAGTTTGATAGATTTGCAAGCTATGCTGCTTCCATGAAGTTAGCTGCGCTGGTAGGAACGCAGGCTTCTTTGTCTCTGGTTGTAGCTTGCATGATCGCCCCATTAGGCAGACAACGTAGCCGGAGATCACAAATCAGGCCCTTGGCTGTAGTTGCTAGTGTGTGGAGGTGCAGAGCAGGTGGCAGAAACTGACCTCACTGGGCAAGGGTGGCCATGGACCTGATTCTTTAATGCACTCTATGTGTTCAGGAAGCCACAGGCCATATTTGACTCTGAGAAAGAAAACAAGAGGAAAAACCCCACAAAGTATAACAACCCCTTAAGATACATCTATTTTAAAGTGAAATTAATTTTTCAGTTTATACCATTGGCCAATTACAAGATAAAAATGTTCAATTTCTTTAAGAATCCTTTGTTGACTTGTCTTTTCATCTCTTGCTATTTATATTTGTCACTGTTTCAACAAAGTCTTATTTGCTGAGGAAGGACTTTGCTGCACTTACTGTACCACATCAAACACTGGGGAGGGTGGTGTTTAACTTTTTAAAAAATGTTATTCTGATTATAACAATAATATTGGCTTTTTTCATGAAAAGAGCGCCACCTTGCAAGGTTTAGTGAGATTTATGGAAGTTGAATACCTAAGCAGGAATTGCTGCTAGCTCCAAAAATTTGCGAAGCAAAAGCTAGCCCCAATTGGTTTGGAAGTTTGAAACTGATTAACAGATTTGCATTTGAAGTGACTCCAGACATTAGGTCCAGACATTAGTTAAAAATAGAAAGAGGAATAAAGACATCTCTTCTCTCTAGAAAAGATAACACCACAATTAATAATCCTTCCCACTTTCATTGAGATCAGCTTGTCTGATAACCTGATATGAGTGTGATAATGATAAACATGATAATAGTGGTACTTTTGTAATTTTGCTGGTGCATTTAAGAAGATAGTAAATGATGAGTTCATCTTTTCTTCGAACATTCCTATTCCTAGATGTAGTTTACCTCAAATTGGGAATTATAACTGTCTAATTTTTGTTGTGTACCTGATGCCCCTTTTGCTTTAATACCACAGTGTAACAATTAAATATCACACTATGACATATGATTTAAGTAGGATATTTTAAAGATAAATTTTAGGGGTAAATGTTTACTTCAAAATGACTCCATATTTCAAATATCTGTTTAGACTGTGAAGGCCAAATAATTTTTAAGAAAACATTTGAAGAGTAGTGTGTTTGCATTTGTGAATAATCTTACTCACAGCAAGTAAACGTAATAAAAGCCAACATTTAAGCCAACCCTCCTGTGCATTCTCTTTTCCAACACCTATCACAAAGAAAAAGTCATTAATGATGTAGGTGGCCTAAAATAATCCTTCGAAGTTAAATGTAGTCTATTATTTTGCTGGTACCTTTAATATCTGCTTCTTGAGATGTATTCTTCATACTTTTTTTCATGGGCTATTAGGTTTTGAAATACATAAATGTGAACAGCAAAATATATTGTTAGACTCTCTTTAGCAGGAGCTGAAGATGCTGCAAATAGCTGTTTCCTGTGTGTAGCTTTAGATTCTGACTTAGGTAGAATGCTGTCCTGGTTCATTTTGCAATTGCATTGTATTCTGAATACTATCAAATGATTAGAACAGCTAACAAGTTATTAAAAAGTTATGTTGTGTCAACAGAAAATGCCTGAGTACAAGCAATCATATTTGAGAAATGAAGAGAAATGAGTTGTGGTATGTGTGTGTGTGCATTTGTAGAGCAAGCATATAAATATACAAGCACCATTTATATGGGGGCTAAGTAATTTCAAACATTTCAGATCCTTTGTTTTCTTCTTCAAAAGCTACCCCCAACTGCTTTAAGCGTTTGCAGCTGATGATTTTGATTTTTTAAAGTCAAGCATTCAAGTTAACCTTTAAAAAGCAAACCACCTCCAAAAGAAAGATGTAACCTTTCAATTGCCCCATCTGCTTATCTTTTTTTTTTCTTTCTTTCTTATTTTTTTTTTTTCCTGACAATGAAAGTAGCACTAACCTTCTTTGCTGATAGGCCTGGCATTTAGATGCTTTTATTGTGAAGTTTTCTCAGAACTTTTAAAGGGCTGGCCAGAGAATTATACCCTCAAGTACCTCACCTAGCCCCAAAAGCTTCCAGAAGTTTTCTTTTTGAGGCCAACATTAAATCAGTGTCTAGGACCCCTTGTGAGTCGGTGCTGTTGGAGTTGTTACCTGAGCATACTGCTTTTCAGGAAGTGAGTTGGAGAAGGCCCTAGACCTTAAAGAGAAGATTTAGTTTAAGATGTTATGAGGAGTTACTGCAGGTGGTCTGGCACACTCAAAATAAAGGAACTTGTGCCCTTGGCTGTGGACTAGATATAAAGACATCAGCTCTTACACATTCCCAAGTTACATTTCTTTTCTTTTTCCAACTTATAATACCGATTACAAATTTATCTCCTCCTCTCTAGGTACAGAGTTCTGGCTTCCTTGTAGCATCAAGTGTAGTTCTTAGAATCATGTGTTCGTATTTGTGGGGAAAAGCATTTTCATAAAGATAGTCACAGTTGATATCAACTGTTTTAGAATTATTGAAAATAGTGTTGGCAATGGAAAGATTGATCTTGTCTGTGCCGTCAAGCCGCTAAAGGTACAAGTTAGCCACGATAGTCTCTCTTTCGGCTTTTAACCACACTGTCCATCCTCTGTAATATGTACCATTTAAACTAGTTAGATATAGAAAGTAAGATTATTATGGGTAACCATATAGCAATTTTTAAAAAATGATAAGCACTATTTTGGGGCAAGAAATACAAAAAATGTTAACTTCTTATGTCACATTCAATCCTTTTCCTTAAAGTTTATTGCAAATACAATGGTGTAATAGGTGCAAAATATGAATAATGTTCTCCTTAAATCTATGCAAGGCTGGTTTGCTCCAGAGTCCCTTCCTTAGCAAGAGGAAACACATCAGGCCAAACCAGAGGCTATTTTTACTGTGGAAGCTGGGATCTGTCATCAGTTACTAAAGTTGATATCCACTTTAGAGTGAAGAACTAAAACAGTGTGAAGTTTCCAACTGATGTTATATACCAAAGGTGAGTTTTTAAAAAATCGGGTTTAGCTATCTAGAGTGGAAATATCACTTGGCAGTGAAGATGCCACAGACTGACATTGTGTCAACTGTCCACAATACTTTGGCTGCCTCTGATGGTTGTCAGACATCTCTGTAAGCATATCCAGGAAAATCCACCGGTTGTGAAAGTTACGCAGTGACATTTTCACCTATGGCACACACAAGAATCAACTATTGAGCGTGGGTATAAACATATTGGAATCACATCTTTAAAAACAACAATAGCAAGCAAACCCAAGCCGTCCGACCTTAGCAAACTTTAAAAAATTGTTATTTTACGTCTTTCTTTTGTGTAACAATGTCCATGAAGTTACAGTAAGCGGGAACACAAACGGTGAGAGAAGCTCGCATCGCGATTCCTTTTTAAACATTTTCCATTCATCCGCGAAAATGCTAGCCTCTGACTAAGAAAACTGAAAGTTGTGGAGAAAGGACAGGGGTGGGATGGAGTGCGTAAAGGGAAATTTTTGCATTGGTGGATTTATTGAAAGCATGGAAACAGTCTTCGGGGGTAGGTGTAGGGGGTGCAACAGCGAGACTTCCCCACAACACCTCCACCGAAGGCTGGGTCGTCAGCGTTTGAGGGACCCTCCCGCCACCCCGCAGCCTGGCGGGGCGCTTTCCAAATCGTCGCGGCAGGCTCTGGCCGGGCAGGGCGAGATGTGCGCATGCGCGGCCTGTGGCCCGAGGTTCCACGTGCTGATGAATATGCATGAGACTCCCCCGCCCTCGCGGGCTAGAGAGAGAACCAAGCAGAGGCTCCGGCCTGTGAAAGTCGCTGGCTAGGCTCCCAAAATAGTGCGGCGGGGTAGCTGCACGTGTTTGTTTTCAAACCGCGCTGGTTTAAGTGAGTTCACACTGCGGAGCCGACAGCAGAGGGTAGAGCAACCTGGGGCTGCTGCCATTGGAACGGCGAGTTGAGCGGGCCTGTCAGGGCCTCTCCGCCGAGGGCCGGGGGCTGCATGGTGCTCGAGCCCCAGCCGGCCACACCCCAGTGCATCGGGTGGCTGGGCTTCCAGTTTACACCGGGCCTACCAGGGAGGCCTTCTTCTCTTATCCTTTCCCAAGCCCGAGCTGCCGCCCCGGCTGTTCTCATATCCCTAGCCCCTCGGAGAAGACTTAGCCTACCCCTAGTCAGAGCTCAGGCCCCAGGTGACCGGGCAGCGGCTTGGGGGAGGTTCCCTAGGCCCTTCCCTCATCCCTTGCCCAGATCCAAGTCTGGGTGCCGGCTTGTCTTTGTCTTTCCGCCTCTCTCTCCCACTCTTTTCTCCTACTTCCTCTTGCTCTCTGGCATTTCCCCAGCCTCCCACCGCCCCATTTGAGATACTAGGAGCCATTTGCTTGAATGACTGTTCTAGGGTTTCCACTTGACCCTTTGCAAATAATACCAGTCAGCTTGCCTGTCTTGGAGTTGAAATGGTCCTGTTAAATCCAAACGTGCTTAGGTAGCGCAAACGTCGGGACTGGTGGAGGAACTGCCCTGGCCTAGAGACCAGAAAGGGTAGGGTTTGGTGAGAGACACCTGGGTTCAGTCGCTGGATTATTGCTTTCCTCTCTAGTGAAGTCCTTGGGGATCTGCATGGTATTTTGTGGCCAATGTGCTGACATTTCCAGAGTGAGCGTATAATCTTTCTAGGTGGAGTGGCCAACGCTTGTAAACAAAGGGGAGGGGCAACAGAGGGTCCCTGGGTCACTCTAACCTCTGACCGACTAACATCTACAGCCTTTGGGTGTTTTAGTAAGAATCCTGGGTCCCATAACATCAGAAGTGGTTGCCGACAGATTCCAATCCTACTCTAGATTTTTACTTTCATTTGAACAGGTAGACCCACTTTGTGGAGCTTATCATTTCATTTCCCTCACTGGGAACAGGATGCCTAGGTCAGTGCCGGGCTCACACTGCAGTCTATCCCAGGGCCAGTTCCATCTGTGCCAGTTTTGGAATACCGGGACCACAGTATCAGTTCACCCGACAACTACCACTCCCCAAGCCTTCAGCGTGGAACCTGAGGACGCAGGGAGGGAGGCTTTGGAAATGTTCCTGCCAGGACAGTGCCTTTTTTCCTACCCAAACTCCCGAGTCTCCGAGCTCAATAACGCAAGGATGGCTGAAGAGCGTCTGCTCCATGTCTCTTTGCCGGACTCAACGACCCTCACCCACTGCCACCGAGTGCTAGGCCCACAGAGGCCTGGCAGAAGCCACTCACCCCTCACTACTCATGACTAGGAAGAAAGTGGCCGGGGCATGAGGGTTCGAGTTCTGTCCTAGGTCCCGGAAGCCAGGGCTCCCAGCGTCTAGTCAGGGGCGCAGAAACCCTCGTTCCTCCAAACCCCCGCCACAGGGACCACTCCAGAAGAAACCCATTCGTGATTTGGGTCCCTTTGTGTTTGAGTATTGTGGGGAGTGGGCTATCTAGACTCTAAGGACTCCAAGCTAACGATGACCTGTGTGGGCCTTGCTCTGAACAGAAAACTCAAACTCAGCGTGGGTTCCCGCGTCTTCCCCAAAAGGCCAAGGCCCAAAGAACCCTTTTCATTTGGCGAGGGGCTTGAGGAAGGGAGGGGCTGGGGCGGGAGAGGGTCGGGGTCTGCAAGCCAGCGGCCCGGCGCAGCGGACTTGTCCGGCTGCTCAGCTTGGCAGCTAGCGTCCGTGCCGGCAACGCTGTTACCCTCTCCTGGGCTGGAGAGTGGGGACATCCCTTCCCCGCCCCTAGGCGTCCCTGGGGTCGGCGCCAGAGCCCGGGAGCGCCGGAGGCTCTGGCTGGATGGCGGCGAGGAGGGCTCTGAGTCCTCTCCCGGCCAGGCCGAGCTTAGTATGTGGAGGCGGCGGCGGGAGTGCGGGCATGGACCAAGGGAAGGGGGACACCCAAACCGCATTGGTGCCTTCCTTTCCCTCCACTCGCGCCGTAGACCTCCCCAAATTGCCCGTCTCCGGTATGACTGAATCTGTCTGCTGGCCTCTCAGCTACCAACTCTGCCCGAAATCTAGATCCCAGACCTGGTAAGTCGCGTTCCTCCCCTACCCCGCCCCGCCACCTTACTAGCGGACTCTGCCCGCGACAGCGTGCGCGCGCGTGGCCTGAGGCGCGCGCTGAGAAGTTGGGCTGATTTGGAACTGCTGCGCTAGTTCGGCCTCTGCCGCTGGGGTGTATACGTTTATACGCCGTACGCTCCAGGGTAGTCAGGAATGTCGCGGGGCTCCCCAGTGAGGCGGGAGCGAAAAGAGTGCAGGCCCACTCTTCTGGATCCTCTTGGCCCTGTTGACACCAAAGCCATCTTTTAAGAATAAGCTTTCTGCTGGTCTCTAAAAGGGGAAAGGGGCAGCGGGGGAAGAGAATTGTCCCTTTCCCTAAGCAGTTTCTAATCACTAAGGTCTTCAACAAAGTTTACTGGGCGGTTTCCATTTGAATGCTGTGAAATTGTTATTATTACTATTTTAAGTTAAGGTTTCTAAGAGTCACAGCTTCTCAAATATACGTGCCTCTTGAGGATGCTTCGACAATTACCTTGTCCACTAACTGCACTTCCTTCCCACTGGAAAAAATAAACTTAATTTTTCAGTAGTTGCCTTAGGTCACGTCGTTTACATGTCACTAATGTGAAGAAAGAAGTAAATAAAGAAAAACAACCTTGGCATTTCTAGTTGGAGCTCCGTGCGCTTTATTATTGAAATGTGAAAGATGGATTTTGGGGTGGGAGGGGGAGGTAGGGCCCTGGAAGAGGGCTTTTGAACCACGGTGCCCTGTTGCAAGGGGCTGACCTTTGGCTGACACGGCCACGGAGCGGGCAGTTCGTTAACGAGGATTTGATACATTAGACATTCGAGCTGGGCGTGTAAACCTACACTCTCAATCCAGATTTCGCTCAAATTAGTGTTCGAGGAAATGATCTTTCTAAGTCCTGAGGCTTAATCAAGTGTCAGGCAGTCCAATTTCTCCCTGAAAAGGGCAGCGAAGGACACCGGGTAAAAGACACATTCCTAGATCCTTAAAAGCAAAACAAAACAAAGCCCCCCAAATAAAAACGACAACCAACATACAAAACAAAGCAAAACAACAAAACAGAAACATTTTTTGAATAATTCCTAAAATCCTTTAAGTTGCCACTTTGAGGCAATGCTTATAAATAAGGTTAATCACCTCCTTTTAATGAATTCCGTTCTAAGAAATCCTAATACCAGTCAAGGCTGTGAAGACAGTGTCACAGTTACGACAATACTTTTTTTGAGATTCATATGTGTGTGTGTGTGTGTGTGTGTGTTGTGTGTGTCTGTGTGTTTCTGTTTTACTCGCTGGAGATACTAGAGTGTGACAATTTATATCCACCAGGCAGTGTGGCACATGGAAAGGGGATAGTCACAGGTTTTTAAAGCCTTTTGAAAGTAGATGCATCTCTATTTAATTTGGTTCGACTTATTCCCAGACTTTGGAGCTCAGAAAGGGAAGGCAGGCTGGCCACTAAGTCCCTGGTCTGGCGCTCAGCGGCTGAAACTGCAGCGTTTCGGCCTCACAGATGGGGCTGGAGTTGGAGACGTCGCTGCGGCCAGGACTGGGAGGCCACTTGCTTGGCGGGTGAGGCGGCTCACGCGGTATTTATTGACTGGCTCGGGAAACGTGTTCTTTTACTTACTTGTCATTAAAGTTCTAAGTTTTAAAAGCGCATTCCCAGAAAATGCTTTTATTCTCTTTCCCCCAGTAACAGAGCCCGCTAACTGCTTTCAACTGGAGAAGGGGAGAAATTCACTCCTGCACGAGTTCCCAGCTACTCTCTGGTGAAAGCGGGAGGGCGAAGCGAAATTGTGTTCTAGCTCTGAGCTCCGCAGCCCTCCAATGGCTGACTTCCTTCAGCTGCTGTCCTGGGGTGCCGATCGCTGCGGCAGACGCAATTTTCCGCACCTGCGTGTTGTTTTTTGCCGCCGGGTTTTGGCGGAGCCATGCAGGCGCGGTTCCTGGGACCCGAATTTATTCCAAGAGAAAACGCACAAAAATCAGTTGTGGTCTCAAATCTTTATTCAAGGAGTCTCTGCCTCCACTCCCCCCTGTCCTCCGGTTGTAGATGAAAAGGTGGAAAGTTAAACGAGAAAGGCAACCACTATCATGAAAAAAAGATACTCTCAGGATTCTAGGGAAGAGAAATTGTTCCCCAACAGCCTACGTTGAAGAAATCCCAAGAGGATAGGGCCCATGAGAGCTGCAGGATTTTTTCCAGAAGTAGTTCTGTAGACTCAGTCCCAAGCATGCGCCGATGGCTTCCCAAACTCGGGTCCCCCGACTCTTAGTACATGGGCAACTGCGGGTGATTGAACACACTTTTCTGGACGATAGAGGCCAAAGTCCCCCTTGGAAAATCAAACCTTTCCATAATCTTGATAACTCTCCAGTGTGGGAGGGTTGTAAAGGTGAGAAGAATGGAGAAAGAAAAAGCTGGAGAAGGATGGGAGAGTAAGGAAAGAGGGAAGACTGTGGTTAGTTAAGTGCGAGGTCGAGTTCATTTTCCCTCAGTGGCGGGTACCAGCACCAGCTCACGGATGAGAAACTCTCCGGGATTCCCAACTTCCAACTTGTGTCAAGCTAAAGTAGAAACGGTGGGTCCATTTCGTTTAAGGTCCACATTTTTGGAGTCAGTGGAAAACAGTATTACGCTGACCCATATAAGAGTGGAGGGAAGGAAGCACTCACTGTTCATAGACTTGCCCTGTTTCTCCCTGGCCCTTTTTTCTAGAACTTTCAACTCCGTTTTACCCCAGGAGCCTATACCGGGTTTGGGCCTCCAGACTCTGTCGCAGTCTGAGGTGCCTGTGAGTCCCCCGGAGCAGCAAACACTGGCATTCTAACTGCGACAGGACTTTCGAGCGAGTGCGAGGAAAGCCCCTTTCGACAGTTCTGAGGTTTTATCCGACCCTGCCCGGGACTCCCTCCCTGCATGCCCCCGGAGCTCCAGTCCGGGCCACCCGGGGGCTGCTGGGGACCTGACGCAGGCAGCTCCGCCACTGACGTCAGGGGCTGCTGGCGGCTGGAACCCGAGTCCAGGCCACAGGCGCCCGGCGTGGGCATCATTAATTATCAGGCACGAAATGTTGCAAAGAAAGCGCAAGCTATTCTGCTGGCAGCTGATACATATATATATATATCTTTTTCTTCTGGGAGGAGGCAGCGGGAAAGGAAAAGATAAAATTCAATAAGAAACAGTGATTTGGTTTCTTAAAGCATTGTTACTAAGTTCTCACCCTCCTCCCTCCAGGTCTGCCCCTTGGGTCCACTCTTTTGTAGGTATGAGCTCCGCACTTTCCACTTGGTTTGGGGGGATTCCTAGTGGAAGTGCCAATATTTGTTCTTGTGGGAACGGCATTGCTACAATTTCCTTGTAGATTCCAGCACAAGGGGCTGTCAGCCGAGGGGGTATTTGCTTCCTAAAGCTGGATTTATCTTGTTCATATCACCCCTTCCATTTGGTCAGATCCTTAGCCAATATCTGATATTATTATTGTTGTTATTAAGTAAAAAGGAAACAACAACCCCTCCCCATACCGACAAGGCCAAAAGAAATGAACAGTGAAATTCGGCATCAGGAACACAGCCTTTCATTTGTAACAGCAAAAGCATCTTTCCTTTTTTTTCTTTTGTTTTAAAAAGAATTATAATAAGTAGCTTAAAATAGAATTTTAGGCAGCAATAAAGTCTTCAAAATCACATTCGCTCTTGGTTCGAGTTCCAATGCATTTTCAAAATCCTTCTTCTGAGGATCATTGCCGAATAAATACAGGGCAGAGCAGGGTCATTGTGAAGTGAATTCTCTCTTGGGCTCTTCCTTGCAAAGTGAAAAAAAAAATGTCATTCATAACGGAATTCCACAGGTGATACTAAAGTGATTTGCTGGAAAAAGAACAAAGAGAAATTAGAATTAAACTTTAAAACCCACCCAAATTTAGATAATTTTTATATAAGTGGAAACAATGCTCTGCAAATTCTAATGGCTTGAATATTAGCTCATTTGTCATAACTAATTTCCTTGAAATTAACTAACTGAATTAAAAACTCCTCCTGGAAGAACCTGTGTATAAAAATAGAACTCACATGTGTCATTGCATATTGTCAGTAAATAGCAGTTCTTGAAAATATAAGATTATCTTTATAAGTATGCATGTAAATGTATTTGTCAGTATCTACAGGGTCAGAATAAAAAGCTGTTTAGTTATATTTTCTAGGAGGTACAAATATCCAGAAAAGTATGAAAAGTACTTATAGGGCAAACTGTTTAGTGTTTAATAGACAGAAAAATCATGAACTAAATTTTAATTTTCTTTTGGAAATTTCATATCACTGTAGATGGTCTTTTATCCAGAATTATGTTGGTGATGATTTTATTCTTAAATTAGTAATTTATTTTTAACCATTAATTACATGGTAAACACAACACATATATACTTATTTCTCAGAAATGTGTAATAATTATTTTATAAAACATGAGTGAAAAGGAAGCTCATTCTTATATAAAGTATAATCTATTTGTGGTATTTAAATCTTTATGAAGGTGAATTTTAGAAAGCTAAATTGGTCACAATAATACATGTATAAAATTTCATAAACATGCATCAATAAAATCACTCAGGAGTTGGTGTGTTAAGAGTATTAGAAAAAAAGAGATACCTGCACAAATATAAGAACAATGAAAATAAACCTCATTTGGGATAAATAAAAACAAGCAAAAGTTCAGGGTCCAAATTTTTTTCTTTAACAATGATTAACTATTTTTATGGCTTGTAATACTTAGACTTTTATTTTAAATTTCAAACATGTGTGTTAATGAGATTGAAAAATATTTGGAATTGAGGGCAACAGTTAATCAGCATTCAGTAACTTCAGTGCTGTGTTTCTATTTTATATACCACATCTTTCACATACTATAAATCTTTCTTGAGGGCTCTGCTATTTTTGGTACAGCAGGCTGAAATTTATGGGTCTAAGATATATTCCAGACTATGTGTATAACACTTTGGCCAGGAAAAAATCCCAGGAAATCCACTAGATTAAAAAATTCAGCTAATATTATTATAGTTTTCAAATCAATAAATATTTACAGATTTACACCAATAATTAAATGGAAGTGCCAAATTTTAATGTCATTATGTGTGTTTGTCTTCAAATAGGTGATTTGTACAATTTAGACAATATTTTATCAGGGTTATGTGATTTTTGATGATGTTTCAGTTATGATTTCACTCTCTGATCTGGTAAAGTCAGTTGATGTCCTTGGTTCTTAGCTTTTTTACTTGTGAACTTCAGTGCCCTGGACAAGAGGCTTTCTAAATTTTTATACAGTTCTGAGAGGAGTGATTTGGCTTACTGTTGCTTATAGATTTTTTAAAAAAACTTTTAAAGATAGAATTTTATTTGTAAAAACATTTAAATAAGGGTAGTCTACTTAATTGACTTGGGTATAAATGCAGTTAACTGACAAGTCATACTGTAAAACCTCATTGTTAAAATTTTTCTTTTTCTGAGAGTCTTGTTTCAGAAATAAGCACTCTATTAAACAAGGGAAAATACAGAAAACCTACCTTTCTCTCTTAATTTGAAAACAAAATACTGTCATAATGTTTTATTTATATGAATAATAATACATATTTTTCTGAATCGGGGATAGAATGTACCTACAAGATGGAAG
The DNA here is from genome assembly GCF_000001405.40 of Homo sapiens. Classification (NCBI taxonomy): domain Eukaryota; kingdom Metazoa; phylum Chordata; class Mammalia; order Primates; family Hominidae; genus Homo; species Homo sapiens. The sequence goes on from NC_000003.12 coordinate 147,427,223, forward strand.
CAATGTTAAATTCAATTGTTAAAAGGCGTGCATTTGGTACAGTGTGAAATTTAGGTTCTGGACATTGGTAAATAGATGTGAAATATGTTTGCTATATTCACTGAATGCTATACAAATCCCACTATGTTAAGTAATAAAAATAAGAAGAAAGCATAACAACTCTTCTACATATTCTCATTGCTGGATCAGTGTGAAGAGTGAAATATATTGAGTACATTATTCAACCTACAGGTTCTGCAGCTGTGGCTTGTTACCTATCAGCTGACTGCACCTGAATGGATTAATTGATTGATTAATTAATTAACTCAACAAACATTAAAGACAAATATGACCATTGTTATATAGGCTATGGCATTTCAAAAATAAATTCCAAATACTTTCTTCACTCCAGGAATTTAACAGAAGAGACATATATAATTAAACCATATACAAAGTAAAATATAGTATTTGCCATAAGAGAAGCATGCATAAACTTAGAATTTTTAAACTTTTTGCTTCCCTTTAGAAGATACTGGGTGTTACGTGCTCTTTTAAGTAAGAACAAAATGTATCCCAAACTTCTCCTTCATCCATCCCCTGTTCCCTTCCCCTTTTTGCCTCTTCCTCCTTCTCTTCTCCTCATCCTTGCTCTGGAACCTAAGGCAATATGAAATTTTTAAAAGGTGCTGTGAGCTTGCTGTCTGAATCCTCGCTAGGCCTCTGTCTTTTGGGGGCAGTTTTGTCGGCATACCCATCTGCAGTTAGCTAGCTTGGACTCCCATGATGGGCTTAGGCTCTGTGAGTGCCGGGCCCCAGGGCTGGTCAGAGCATTTTGCTCCCAGGATGTCCACTTCATGGTTGAAGGGTGTCAGATCAAGCAGAGATCAAGTTCTAACAACTCCAGAAAAGGATTTGAAAAAAAAAAGACACTGCTTGGCCATCAGAACACTTAAACTTTGCAGAATAGTACAGTATTCCTCCCCCTTTTATTACTTGTTAGATTTAAATACAGATTTCCTTGTCACTAACAAATAAGCCTTTTCTTACTTTTATTATAGTTTCGTTGTTCATTTTTATTCAGCTTAAAGTATTTACTATAAAAGTGTTGGGATACTGACAAATTTTTCATAAATTTTCAATTTATTCTGCAATATTAAGTCACATTTTTCCTTTCCCTGAGGCTGACTTGTTCTCTGGCAGTATTTTTAAAGAAAATTTTATGTCCTGCTTTTAACATCGATAGTAACCCTCATGAAACCAGGGAATAATTCATGTTCTCTGAAACTGGTTGCATTCAAATTCTATAAATTCCTGTTTTCACTCCTTTGTTGCTGTTCTTTGGTTCAATTGGAGAGTGGTGCAACATACAGCAGTTTGATTAGTACTTGCTAGCTGTTTAGATGAGTGGCTTTGGGCAGGAGCATTTGCAAAGAGTGTTTGAGTACTTTGTTTTGTGTATATTTTGTCATTTTCATGTGATTTATTTTCTCTTTATAAAAAATTTATTCTGAACAATTTTAAACATATACAAATATAGAGAGGAGTATAATAAACCTCTATCATCCAACTTCAACATTTATCAACTTATGGTCAATCTCATTTAGTTTATACTTCCTTTCACTATTCTCCTTCAAGATTATTTTGAAGCACATCCTAGATATTTATATGCAACTATTTATTATTTAACTGATATATAGTTAACAATTGTTACCAAGCAAATGGCTTTCAAAGACAACTAGTATGTTTTCTGAACACTGCCTGGTTTGAGGTTTTGCGTCATTATTCTCACTCCTTTTAACAAAGTGCTGCTTTCGATACCAGAGCCTTTATTAACCACTGGAATCAAGAAGCTCTGTAGCTCTCCAGAGGAAGAGGATAATTTAGTTGATTATCATTATAATCAATGAAAATGGAAGCTTCAAGTGGGAAATCTCATAATTCTCAGGGCCCAATAAGTATGGTAGAATAAAAATAATTCATTCAAAAGTTTCTGAGTGTAAGAAGATATGGTGACTAAGAATTTGTGGGGGCTTTTTGAAAAAAAAAATCATGTGAACTTGTACTGGTATAAAGAAAACTATGGTATGAAAAACTGTCACTGAAAACCACTGGATTTCAGCTTTGAACCACCTAGAGCAACCTCCCAATTATCAATAAAATAATTCATATGTTTATGCCTGTGATTTAGCTGTAATTTTTAAAAATTTCATTAAATTATATAAAACCATATGTTGTGGCTTTTTTTTTTTTTTAGAAAAAAAGCACTTATCTTTTAGAGATCTATGCTGAACTATTTATGGATGAAATGATATGATACCTGAAATTTGCCTCAAATAGGTGTAGGTGAAGAGGAAGTGAGTGAATGTAAGAAGAACCAAGATTTTCATTGCTGGGTGATGGGTACTTGGGAATTCATGACAGTATTTTCTCTTCTTCTGCATAGGCTTAAATTTTTTTCTTAAAAATTGTTAAATATGACATGTAAAGACAGGAAAAAATCCCCCTAAATGTTGACATATCCATTTATCTATCAGCAGAGAAGTCAGAAGTTTTAAAGAAAATATTTGAACTTTAAAATTAGAAGGGTATTAAGTTTGTTTCTCTCAACCTGGACAACCTGGATATGTAGTTCAACAAAGCAGTGAACCTCTCTCAATCTTGAATTTCACATGTATAAAAATTCTCCCTCTGGTTTAAATAGGGACTCATATTTCTCCAGGCCCCCTTATACATTACATATCAATTTCTAACACCTTGCAAGAAAAAGATATTGTTTAATAATTTAAACTTGCAGTTACTTGAATGTTTGTCATCTAATTGTTCTGACATATATGGAAATATCTAGTTGTTACATTCTGCTAGTGGTTGTTTTGTGCATTGATTATGACAAAACTTCTCTCAGTGTGTGGCAAAAATAATGATAGTTATAGATTTTAAAATGAGATTATTGCTATAGCATAATGCTGGGCCATTCACTTTCCTGGTGGAAAACGTGAACTTTTGGAGTTTGGAATTAACTCCTGCCTCATTGTTTCTTCTTCCGTAACATAGCTGACCTTTACACTTTATTTCCAGGCCATTCCTGCTGGAGTTTGAAAACACATTCACATCCTCAACTATAATTCATTATAAAATTTGGGATTAAATGATAATCTTTGGATTTGGGTTTTTATGATAGGCCTTTATTTTTAGTTTACATTTTTGTTCCCCATTTTATAACCAGATCTGAAATATGAGAGATGAGAACAAGCAAGTCCTACAAAGTGGCAAAATTATCTTTCTTCCAAAGTTTATCTGGCTCACAAAGTGTAATACTGTCTTAGTTTCCTTCCCTGAGCTTGCTATAACCAGCTTTTACTGCCTGAGACCCAAATCTCGTCTAAGGTCTATAGCCCTAGACCCTACCATGAGACTAGGACATTAGAAGCATCCTAGTTCTTTCCTCATTGGAGCTAGATCCTGGTCAACACATCTCCAGCAGCAGTGGTTCTTCTTACAGCACTTAGAAAAAGTGGCTTATCACTGTCTTATGCCTGCTGAAACAGAGCTTTGGTACCAAACTATATCTGAACATGCCCAGTTTGGCATCAAATTGACTGACCTTCCCTCGTCCATCCTTTGCACTCAAGTAAGCTTTCTCTAGACCAATGTTTCTCAGGACTTGCATCCAAATCACCTAGGAGGTGTTTGTTAAAAATTCCTGGGCATCACTTTAAGTCTAATAAACCAGAATGCCTGGGGTAGGGGTGGTGATCAGAAATCTGCATTTTAATAAGTTATATTTAATTTTTTTTTGAGACAGTCTTACTCCAGTCTCACAGGCTGGAGTGCAGTCAGCCTCGACTTCTCAGGCAATCATCCCACCTCAGCTTCCTGAGTAGCTGGGAGTACAGGTGCAACACCACATCTGGCTTTTTTTTTTTTGTATTTTTTAGTAGACACTGGGTTCGACCATGTTGCCCAGGTTGGTCTGAAACTCCTGGGCTCAAATGACCCACTTGCCCCAGCCTCCCAAAATGTTAGGATTACAGGCATGAGCCACTGCTCCTGGCCAAATGTTGTGCTTTAAAACTGCCTGATGCCTGTACTTTCTACAGTCTGAATTTTGTTAGACATTCAGAAAAAGCAAAACAAGACTGGTTGGGCTCTTAGCAAACAAAGCGGGTGGTCTCAAACATATTACTTGTACTATGGCCCTTACTGCAATCCATAGCCTTCTTTTTGATCTAGCATTAGAATGAGAACATGTACATGTTATTCATAATAATAATGTACATGAAAATGCCTCTAAATTTTTAAATTTTAAATTGATATATGATAATCATATATATATATGTGGTACATAGTGATGTTTCAATAGATATAGTGTATAGTGATCAGATCAGCGTAATTTTAGCATCTCCATCATTTCAATTCTTCTTGTTGCTATGTATCAATTCTTTGTGTTGGGAAAATTCAATATCCTCCTTCTAGCTATTTGAAACTATAAGTTATTGCTAACTACAGTCATTCTACAGTAGTATGGAATACTATAACTCTTTCCTCCTATCTAGCTGTAATTTTGTACCCTGTACAAGTCTTTCCCTATCCCTCCCTTCCCGCTACCATTATCAGCCTCTGGTAACTTGTGTTCTGCTTTTTACTTCTATGAGGGAAAGTGCCTTTAAAAAGTTAAAAAGCTAAAAAGGATCTTATAAATGCAACGTATTGCTTAACCGTCAGTTAATGAGCTCATAGTCTATTTTGGGACACTGTACAACTTGCTCCCTGAATATAGTACCAAGATAATGAAGAACATATTTTCTGCCCAAGAGAAACCCATAATGAAGATCACATGCACACATAATGTTACAAGAAAACAACTGGAAAGCAACATACCTGATTCATACCAAATATAATCTTTAGTTATATAATTCTGGGTGTCCTAGGAGATATAGAATAATTATGTATCAACACTCCCATCTGTTGGTGTATCTATCTATGACTCTCTTTATTCATCTCTTCCAAATATCTACTATTCGCCATCTCTGTATTTACCTGTTTTTAACATGAATGCAATGCAATTAGAATGTAAGCTCCATGAAGGTGAGGATTCTTGTCTGTTTTGTCCACTGATATATTTCCAGCATACCAAACATGACTGTTACATAATAGATACCCCATACATAATAGTTGATTGACTGACTGACCAAATGATTGACTGAATGAAGTTAATCAGGAAAGGCTCCCAAAAGATGATGAGTGAAAGGGAGACGTCACAGGTGCCTACAGATTGACTAGGAATGGTTACAAAGCTGGAGACCTGCAGGACTGTAAGACAGAACTGATCTTAGTAGTGACTATCTCTACATTTGACAGTTCCAGTCAGTCAGCTATGGGCAACTCAGTAACCAATGACTTTTGGTGGTAGTAATTGTGGTTATCTGGCTTATAGAAGGACTTTTTTTCTTTTAGATCCGAGACTGTTTTGAAGTGTGACTTAATTACATTTGGGGATGTAGGCATGGGAGGGATTTTCTGGATTGGGAATTTTCTTCCTCTAGGAATTGTGTCTGTTTGCATTCACATATACGCTGGATAGTGGCACATGTTTTTTAGCTCTGAATAGACGTGGTTTAATTGTAGCAGAGATTCCTTTGCAATTTCATTTTCCAGTCTATACAAGAAAATATTTTCTCTTAGAAGCTAAATGAGGGTAATCAGAGTTGAACAGCTACTGATCCTAAGCTACTTGCACACAGACGAGATTCTAAGTGCATCTTAAAAATACAATTTGGCAATCTTTTAATCTGTGTTATGTGTGAAATTTTTATTGTTGAAAACACTACTTGCACATATAGCAATTTAGTTTGTTGTCTGTATCCCAATACTGAAAAATGGTGATACCATGTGTGAGCATGTATTTTTAAACTGCAATATTCAATGTTTTATTCACATGTTTAACAAGCATTTATTAATGCTTCCTATGTGCCAGGACCTCTTCTAGGTTATGGAAATATAAAGATGAATAAGTCAAAATTCCTCATGGAGCTTATATTCTAGTAGGGTGATGGGTAACAACAAAAACACTGAAATGACAGAAAAAGTAACTTCAGATAGTCACAAGTGCTTTCCTTGAACTAAAACAGGGTGACGGGATAGAGAAGATTTTAGAGGGTGGAGAGGCTAGGGTAACCAGTCGTGACCTGCCTGAGAAGGCAACATTTGAGCTGAGACCTAAATGATGTAAAGGAGCCAGCCACGAAAAGAACAAGAGTAGGCGAGTCTAGCTGAGTAAAGAGAAAGGTAAAGGCCCTGGGGTGGGGGGCACCTAGCTTGGCATGTTAATGAAACCAGTCATTTATTCCTCTGAACAAATATTTGCTGAAAGCCTCTTTTGTGCTGAGTATAACATATTCTACTGGGGAAATATTGTGCTGGGGGAATGGTGATAAACAAAACAGCATCTTGGGTTTCAGGTCTCAAAGAACTTATGTTCTGGTGGGAAAGAAAGACAAGAAAAGAAAGAAAGAAAAAGAAACAAACAAGAAAAGTATTGGATACTGCTAAGTATAATACTGAGACAGAACAACATGATAGACATTTTTGGTTGGTTACCTTAACTTGAGAGGATAGAGAATGCCTTTCTGAGTAAGCAACCTGTACAATAGGAAGGTGGCAATATGTTCACACTAGTGTCACATACTGCCTTTGGATATTCCAGAGTCGGGGTTGGGACATAGTAAACTAGGCTGAGGATAATGTGTGACTCTGTGGAGCTACCTGTAACCCCCATTAATTTCTCTTCTACTTATGAACACATACGGGAATTTATAAATTATTTGAATTCATAGAAAGGGGGAAACAGCTAATAAATTTAGGTACTTCATTATTAGTAGTGAATTACATGCAAATCTACACACCAAGCATTTGGGATATTGAGGCTGAAAATAGTTGTTTTAATTGATGGGACAGTATGGCAGAATTAAGGGATTTCTGTTAGAGAATAGTTTTAATAGCAATTAACCTTAAAAAGACATAATGAGAGTAGTACAAATTAATATATATTTGAACAACTCTGCAAAGGCAAGAATCCACCTTGGTTTTGGCCTTCTCATACCTTTTGGTTAAAAGCCTGTATTCAGCATTGAGTACATTTTCTGGTATTTTGCATTTTTTTAACTGTTGGGGTATTGCCTTAGTTTATCCAGAGGAAAAGATATTGTGTATTTAAGTTAAGAATCTACTATCTCAAGGAATAAAATTCTACTTAAAGTAGTTTAAGTTGAAGGATTCTTATGAAAGGAAAGAACATGGACAGAAAACAAAATGTAGTTTCTACATGTGAATGACACTGAGAAGTAGGAGGCCATGGGCTTTCTGTCTCCACTCATCTGATGCATCTATGCTCCTGTTTTTCCTTTCATGTAAGCTTTATTTCCCTATCCACGGTCCCTTTATCTCTCCATAAATTCACCTGATATGTGGTATTGGTTGACCTTTGTTTCAAATTCATGTGGCCTATGGTTCTAGTCCTCACAGTTCTCTGACTGACTTAGTCCACACTGACCCAATTCTAAATTAAATTCCTGTGAAAGATAATCAGATTTTTCTTTTTCTTTTTTTTTTTGAGACGGAGTTTCACTCTTGTTGCCCAGGCTGGAGTGCAATGGTGCGATCTTGGCTCACCGCAACCTCCGCCTCCCAGGTTCAAGCAATTCTCCTGCCTCAGCCTCCCAAGTAGCTGGGATTACAGGCATGCACCACCACATCCTGCTAATTTTGTATTTTTAGTAGAGACAGGGTTTCTCCATGTTGAGGCTGGTCTCAAACTCCTGATCTCAGGTGATCCGCCCACCTTGGCCTCCCAAAGTGCTGGGCTTACAGGCGTGAGCCACTGCGCCCGGCCGATAATCAGATTTTCCACAGCTTGAATTAGATATATGCCCTGGTCCACAGGCATACTGTAATGTCATGCGTTATATTATCATTAACAAATAATAACTCCATTATATAAAAATAATTAATGACTATATCATATTTAAAAACTGAAAACAATAGAGGGATAAAGTATTTTGATAGTCTCTTTCACCCACTGCCAATCATGACCCATTTACCATTATTCTACTCCCAACCCTCCCTAAGCTAGACTTGGTTTGAAGACACACACACATGCTCCATAGAAAACATACAGTATCATATAAATTCACTTCTCTGTTTGATAAATATTAATTGAATGCACTGGAGATTCAACATTGAAAGAAATGAACAAAAATTCTTGCCTTCATGGAGCTTAAATTCTAGGGGAGGCAAACAGACATAAAATTAAATAAGTAAGGGCAGTCACACATTGCTTAACGATGGGGGTATGTTCTGAAAAATGCATCATTAGGCAATTTTGTTGTCTTACAAACATAATAGAGTGCATTTCCATAAACCTAGTTGGTATAGACTACTATACATGTAGGTTACATGGTAAAGCCTATTGCTTCTAGGCCACAAACCTGTATTAGCATGTTATTGTACTAAATATTGTAGGCAACTGTAATACAATGGTGAGTATTTGTGTATCTACACATATCTCAACCTAGAAAAGGTACAGTAAAAATACTGTATAAAAGACAAAAAGTGGTACATCTGTACATGGCACTTACCATGACTGGAGCTTTTCAGACTGTAAGTTGCTCTGGGTGAGTCAGTGAGGGAGTGGTGAGTGAATGTAAAGGCCTAGAACATTACTGTACACTAGTATAGGCTTTATAAATATTGTACACATAGGCTACACTAAATTTGTTAAAAAAACTTCCATAATATATTAACCTTACCTTACTGTAACTTTTTTACTTTATAAACTTTAAATTTTTTTAAAAAAATTTTGACTTCTTTTTGTAGTAACAGCTTAAAACACAAACACATTTCATAGCTGTATAAAAGTATTTTCTTTCTTTATATACTTATTCTACAAGCTTTTTTCTATTTTTAAAATATTTTATTTCTTTTTTACTTTTTGAACTTTTTTGTTAAAAGCTAAGATACAAACACACACATTAGCCTAGACCCACACAAGTTCAGGTTCATCAATATCACTGTCCTCCACCTCCACGTCTTGTCTTACTAGAAAGTCTTCAGGGGCAGTAACATGCACGGAACTGTCATCTCCTAATAACAATGCCTTCTTCTGGAATTCCTCCTGAACGACCTGTCTGATGCTGTTTCTAGTTAATATATATATATATTTGCAAGTAGAAGGAATACACTCTAAAATAACAAAAAAGGATAATATAGTAAATCTGTAAAACAGTAACATAGCCATTTATTATCATTACCAAGTATTATGTACCACACATAATTGTATGTGCTGTACAAGCATACCTCAATGATATTGAGGGTTAGGTTCCAGACCATTGCAATAAAGCAAATATCAAAATAAAGCACAACACATAAACGTTTTTGGTTTTCCAGTGCATATAAAATTTATGTTTACACTATACTAGTCTGTTAAGTGTGCGATAGTATTATGTGTTAGAAAACAATGTACATACTTTAATTAAAAATACTTTATGTCTAAAAATGCTAATGATTATCTGAGCCTCCAGCAAGTAATATATTTTTGTTGGTAGAGTGTCTTGCCTCAGTGTTGGTGGCTGTGGACTGATCAGGGTGATGGTTGCTGAAGGTTGGGGTGACTGCGGCAATTTTCTAAAATAAGATAATGAAATTTACTGCATCAATTAACACTTCCTTTTATGAGCCATTTTTGTATAGCACAAGATGGTGTTTAAAAGCATTTTATTTTATTTTTATTTATTTTATTTCTATTTTTTGAGACAGAGTCTAACTCTATTGCCCAGGAGTAGTGCAGTGGCATAATCACAGCTCACTGCACCCTTGACCTTCTGGGCTCACAATCCTCCCACCTCAGTCTCTCAAGTAGCTGGAACTACAGGCACACACAACCATGCCCAGCTAATTTTTAAAATTCTTAATAGAGATGGAATCTTGCTATGCTGCTCAGGCTGGTCTTGAGCTCCTGAGCTCAAGCAATCCTCCTGTCTCAGCCTCCCAAAGTGCTGGGATTACATGCGTGAGCCACCACTCCTGGCCATGAGCATTTTCCCACAGTAGAACTTCTTTCAGGATTGAAGTAAATCCTCTCAAACCCTGCCACTGCTTCATCAAATATATGTAATATTCTAAGCCCCTTGTCATTTCAACAATGTTCATCGCATCTTCACCAGGAATAGATACCCTTTCAAGAAACCACTTTCTTTGCTTATCCATAAAAAGCAAATCCTTATCCATTAAAAGCAAATCCTTATCCATTCAAGTTTTATAATGAGGCTGCAGCAATTCAATCACATCTTTAGGCTCCACTTCTAAATCTAGTTATCTTGCTATTTTTACCACATCTGCAGTGACTTCTTCCACTGAAGTCTTGAACCCTTGAAAGTCATCAATGAGGGCTGGAATCAACTTTTTCCAAACTCCTGTTAATGTTGATATTTTGACCACTCCATGAATCCAGGATGTTCTTTTTTTTTTTTTTTTTTTTTGAGATGGAGTTTCACTCTTGTTGCCCAGGCTGGATGTCATGGCCTGATCTCAGCTCACTGCAACCTCCGCCTGCCAATTTCAAGAGATTCTCCTGCCTCTACCTCCTGAGTAGTTGGGATTACAGGCATGTGCCACCGTATGTAGCAAATTTTGTATTTTTAGTAGAGATGGGGTTTCTCCATGTTGGTCAGGCTGGTCTCGAACTCCTGACCTCGGGTGATCCACCCGCCTTGGCCTCCCAAAGTGCTGGGATTACAGGTGTGAGCCACCGCACCCAGCCCAGGATGTTCTTAATAGCATCTAGAATGGTTTATCCTTTCCAGAAGGTTTTCAATTTGTTTTTTCCCAATCCATAAGCAGAATCCGTATTTGTGGTAGCTATAGACTTACAAAATGTATTTTTTAAATAATAAGATGTAAATGTATTTACTCATTGATCCATGGGCTACAGAACGGTTGCTGTATTAGCAAGCATGAAAACATTAATCTCCTGCATTTTAATTAGAGCTCTTGAGAGACTAGTTGCATTGTCAAAGACCAGTACTATTTAGTTCTAGAAGGAAATTAAAAGTGCTACTCCAGTAAATATACAAATCATAAGAAAGTGAAACAGCCTGATTTCTGATATGGAGAAAGACCTATTTTTTTTTTTTTTTTTCGGAGCAGTAGGTCTCAACAGTGAGTTTAAAGTATTTAGTAAACCATGTTCTAAACAGATGTGCTGTCACTCAGTCTTTCATCTTCCATTTATGCAGCGTAGGCAGAGTAGATTTAGCGTTAATTCTTAAGGGCCGTAGGATTTTTGAAATGACAAATGAGCATTGGCTTCAATTTAAAGTTACCATCTGCATTAGTCTCTAAGAAGAGAGTCAGGCTATCCTTTAAAGCTTTGAAGCTAGGCATTGACTTCTCTCTAGCTGTGAAAATCCTAGATGGCGTCTTCTTCCAATGGAAGGCTGTTCTTTCTACATTGAAAAATCTGGTGTTTAGTATAGTAACTTTTTGATCTTCTGGATAACTTGCTGCAGCTTCTACATCATCATTTGCTACTTCACCTTGCACTTTTATGTTATAGAGATGGCTTTTTCCTTTAAACCTCATAAACCAACCTCTGTTAGCTTTAAACTTTTCTTCTGTACTTTCTGACCTTTCTCAGCCTTCACAGAAATGAAGAAAATTAGGGCCTTAATCTGGATTAGGCTTGGGTTTAAGATAATGTTGTGGCTGATTTTATCTTCTATCCAGGCCACTAAAGCTTTCTCCATATCAGTAATAAGGCTGTTTCACTTTCTTATGATTTGTGTTTTCAGTGGAGTAGCAATTTTAATTTCCTTCTAGAATTTTTCCTTTGTATTCACAACTTGGCTGTTTAGCACAAGAGGCCTAGCTGTTGGCTTGGCTTTTGACAGCCTTCCTCGCTAAGCTTAATCATTTCTAGCTTTTGATTTAGTGAGAGATGTGTGACTCTTCCTTTCACTTGAACAGTTAGAAGTCATTGTATGATTATTAATTGTCGTAATTTTAATATTATTGTATCTCTGGGAATAGGGTGGTCCGAGGAGAGGGAGAGTGACTGGGGAATGGTTTGTTTGTGGAAAGTCAGAACACACACTTATTGATTGTTTGCTATCTTGTGTGGGCATGGTTTGTGGCACCCCCAAACAATTTCAATAGTAACATCCAAAATCTCTGATCACAGGCCACCATAATGGATATAATAATAATAATAAAACAGTTTTAAATATTGTGAGAATTACCAAGATGTGACACAGAGACACAAAGTGAGCACATGCTTTATGCAGGGTTGTCACAAACCTTCAATTTGTGAAAAAACAAAATATCTGTGAAAGGCAATAAAATGAGGTAGACCTATACTTTTTTTTTTTAGACGGAGTTTCACTCTTGTTGCCCAGACTGGAGTGCAATGGTATGATCTCAGCTCACCGCAACCTCTGCCTCACAAGTTCAAGCGATTCTCTTGCCTCAGCTTCCTGAGTAGCTGGGATTACAGGCATGCGTCACCACGTCCAGCTAATTTTGTATTTTTAGTAGAGAAGGTGTTTCTCCATGTTGGCCAGGCTGGTCTCAAACTCCTGACTTCAGGTGATCCACTGGCCTCAGCTTCCCGAAGTGCTGGGATTACAGGCATGAGCTACTGCACCTGGCAGACCTATACGTTTATACAACTGGCTGTGCAGTAGATTACACCAGCATTGCTACAAACATGTGAGTATTGTGTTATGCTACAATATTACAATGGCTAGACATCACTAGGTGATGGGGATGCTTCAACTTCATTATAATTTATGAGACCACTGTCATATATGTGGTCTTGTCATTGAAATATCATTATATGGCATATGACTGTATGTCACTATGGTACTTTGAAAAACTGTACATGCTGTGCAGAAAAATAAGTCATGAAGATATATAGGAAACAAAAGAGGTGGTTATAGGACAGTTCAATGTGAAGGTAATATTTGAGCCAAGACTTCCATCATAAGCAGAGGAAACAGCAAATGACCTGAATGCTCAGACAATATCAAGGAGTTCTATGAGTCTGAAGCATAGTGAACAAGGGAGGAAAAAGTAGGAGAGGTCAGAGTGATTAAGGGATTTGGAGAACTGGGGGAGAGAGAGAACTGATCATTTAGGTTCTTGTTAATAAGTGTAAGGACTTTGGATATTATCCTTGGTGAGGTAGAAGGCACTGCAAGGTTTTCAGCAAAGTAACTTGATCTGACATATTTCAAGTGGATTATTACGGCTTCTGTGTTGAGATGAGACTGAAGGAGCTAATGGCAGGCAGATGTTAGGAGGCTATGACAATGATTCAGGAAAGAGAGCTTAGTAAGTTTGACAAAGAAGTAGCAGAAAAAGTGGTAAACAGTCAAGATTCTGGAATGATTCTGAAGGTAGCATGCACAGTGATTTCTTATGGATTATATTTGGGATGTGAAAGAGAGAGGTCAAGGTTGACATGTTTTTGACCTTGACTAATTGGAAGAATAGAGTTTTCATTAACTGGCATATGGAAGATTGTGGAAGGGGAAGGTTTTGGGGGTGTGTATTAGGTGAAAATCAGAAACTCAGTTTTGGGGATGTCAAGTTAGTTGATGCCTTCAGATATTTATGTGGAGTAGTTGAACAGGCAGATGGATTTTTGAGCCATCTGCATAGTCACAGTATTTGAAGCCTTGAGGCTAAAAGAGACCACCAAAATTAATACATAGATAGAAGTTTAAGGCCTGAATCTTGGGCACTCAAACATTCAGAGGTCCTAAAGATATAAAAGAGCTAACAAGGAAGACTGAAAATATTGAGTGAAGAGAAGGAAAATCCAGGAGAGGGTTGTGTCCAGGAAGTCATATGAAGACAATGTCTCAAGAAGGAGGGAGTGATCAGCTGTGTCAATATTGATGGCAGGTCAATTCAGATGAAATAAGAGAGCTGATCATCCAATTCAGTAACAAGGATGTTAGTGACTGAACATGAACATGAATAAGGGAGATATGATCATGGAGATAAAGATGTCTTTGGAGGGGGTTTGAAAGGAGACAATAGGAAGAGAGGACTCTGAGATTGTGAGTATATACAGTGAATAAGTTAGTCACATTGGGTATCACGCAATTTTGTCACTGAACAATATGTCCTGAGATTCCTGCTGTTCTTTATAGCTCTAACTTATTTCTCTTAATCATTTCATAGTTTTTAATTGTATGAAGGAATACAAAGTGTTTAAGATGGGTGTCTAAATAGGTTTTAGCTCGTGTACTTTATCACCAAGAACTTCAATAACCCATACCCTAAAATACTAATATAAATGATGTTCAGTGGAAATCCAGAGATGCGGGTGAGGCTAAACATTTTGAATGGTCATACAGAGACAAATGTGGACACTAGCCTGGCTGCAGTGGAAATTTCATCATGGAAACCAGTAGGAACTAAAGTCTTCCAAACTGGCCTCTCTGATTCCTCTTTTCTCTGCATTAGGACCAACACTAAGAAGGCCAACAGTTCTTCACTTCACAAGATACATCAGTTCAGGTCACACAGACTTTTGCCAGAAATATGTGTATATATTTAAAACATTTAGGTCACTCTTATGAAACCTCCTGTACCTTTTTGATTCCTTTGTGCTAAAGATTTTTGTTGTTGTTGTTGCTCTGAGGTAGAATCTTGCTCTGCCACCCAGGCTGGAGTGCAGTGGTACAATCATAGCTCGCTACAGCCTGGACCTCCTAGGCTCAAGTGATCCTCTCATCTCAGCCTCCTAAGTAGGTGGGAATAAAGGTACGCACCACCACACCTGGCTAATTTTTTAAGTTTAAAAAAATTGTTTGTAGAGATGAGTTCTCACTGTGTTGCCCAGGCTGGTCTTGAACTCTTGGCCTCAAGCAATTCTCCTGCCGTGTGGTCTCCCAAAGTGCTGGGGTTACAGATGTGACCCATCATGCCTGGCCTATGCTAGAGACTGGAAGTCTTTTTTATATTAAAAAAAAAAAAAAAAGGAGCCTTGCTCTATGGCCCAGGCTGGAGTGCAGTGGTGCAAACCCAGCTTACTGCAACTTCCACCTCCTTGGTTCAAGCGATTCTCCTGCCTCAGGCTCCCAAGTAGCTGGAACTACAGGTGTGCATCACTAGGCCCAGCTAATTTTTGTATTTTAAGTAGGGATGGGGTTTGCATGTTGGCCAGGTTGTTCTCGAAATCCTGACCTCAAGTGATCCACCCGCCTCAGCCTTGCAAAGTGCTGGGGTTACAGGTATGAGCCACCGTGCCCAGCTGAAAGCCTTTTTTTTAGTTGTTGTTTGGACACCAGTGTCCATGATGAGCATCCTTGCTTTCCTATGCTATTCTCTCTACTGTCAAAACTATCTTATTTTGGAATGCTTTGTCATTGGAAACCCCATTTATTTCTGAACTCTTTTTTCAGAATGGAGCTCTCTCCCCAACCTTCCACATTGCACAGTTGCTTATGAGCCTTGTAATTAATAAAGATTTGCCAACAGTTGCACACCCATTGACATTCTGAGCTTATTGAAAAAAGTAGGTGAGCAGCCGTTATTGGGCCAGGGCCTCTAAGTGTATGTTGCCAGTGGGCTGTAGATTGGAACTGTGTATGTTGCCAATGGACTATAGATTGGCTGTTGTCATTTTTAGTAAGAGAGCTCTGAATTCATATAAATTCAGGCTAAATTTCCTTGGCAGTTATGAAACAATTTGAAATGTAGACAAATTAAAGATAAATTTTCAAATTGAATTACTTCCTCTGTTGGGTTTATTTAAACAATTGTAGTACAATATATACCCTACAAATCTTAAAAAATGCTCAAATTATTTGCTTGGACTTGTTGATTTATATTTCAAATTACTTATAAAATGACAGCTTCTACAGCCAGCCTCACTTTCATTGTGTCAATGCTCTTGGCATTGACACAATGATCTAGAATGAAGGTTGAAAACTCAGATGCCTGTAGGAGCCTAAGAAGGAAAATAAGCAAAGCTTCTCAGCGTTAGAAATCACTAGGGAGAGGTAAGAAGTGGGGAAAACCAGAGAGAGGATGCTGTGCTGCAGCCCGTTTTTGACACGTGACAATGCCCAACTAGCGCTAACACTCTCTCAAGTTTTTTAAGGGAAGATTTTAATATGATATCTTTCAGCTTGGAAACGTCAACTAACTCAAAGTTTTTTTTTTCTTTTCTTTTCTTTCTTTCTCTTTTTTTTTTTTTTTTTTTGCCCTCTGCCCAGTACATTGCAGGCCAAAACACACATACTTCTGTAGGCTAGATTCAATCCCCGGTAAGCAGTTTTCAACTTATATAGCACAGAAGGATCAATAATCATGACAATCATTTGAAACTAATTCTTCACAAAGACTTAAATAACAACTGGCTGCTAATGATCTAAATGTTGTCAATTCCAAGTTGTTCTGTACGTTTTCTGTTTTGTTAAAATGTTAAATCCTGGTACCCTGTTGTTTGAAACCTGATGGTTAAAAGTAGAATGACTATATATCCTAAACTGCTGAAGACAACCCTGGCTTAGGCTGATAGAAGTTAGAACTATTAATCCTGCTCCCTTTCATTCCCAACCTGTTCCAGCATGGACAGTCAATTATAAAGACATCTTAAATTGTCCTTTTTGTCTCTCTTCCTCATTTATTACTTAATTTCTTCTTTGTTCCATTTTAAAAACCTGTCATGGAGCATTTTAAATATAGAAAGGCAACTTGTAATTTTAGCACTTTGGGAGGCCAAGGCAGGAGGATTGTTTGAGCTCAGGAGTTTGAGACCAGCCTGGGCAACAAAATAAGACCCCCATCTCTACAAAAAATACAAAACAATTAGATGGGGGTGGTGGCATATGCCTGCAGACTCCTTCAGTCTCAGGAGGCTGAAGTGAGAGAACTGCTGGAGCCCAGGAGGTCAAGGCTGCGGTGAGCTATGATCATACCACTGCGACTCCAGCCCGAGTGACAGAGTAAGACCCTCCCTCAAAAAATAAAACAATAAATAAAAAAATTAAAAAACTGGATGAATAGTATAACAACCCCCATGTATTAATAGTTACTCAGCTTCAACAACTGTCAACTAATGGCCACTCATGTTTCTTTCATACTCTCACTCTACTCCCCATTCCTATATTATTATCAAGAAAATCCCAGGGTTGGTATCATTTCATCCATAATTTCTTATGCCCTTTAAATCAATTTTTTTGTAACAATCTACCATTGAACATTTAAATTTTAACCCACTGAATTTCAAACTGTCCTTATTTTTCCCAACACCTTGATTTCCTTTTAGCCTTTTTCCTTTCTTCACTGTCCACCAGGAGCCTGTGCTTTTATTCCCCAATCTTAGTACAGAGGCACTTCATGAGTATTTCTTGAGAACTGTTTAGAAGTTGTTAAATATTTGTTGCTGCTTAGGAGAATATCAAATAATATTTGTGACTAACAAGGACAAATAATTTTGAACTTTATTTTTTCTAGTCCTTCAACTGCATCTATCTTGTCAAATCTTGATTTGCTCATTGGGTTTTCTCTTGGATGATTTTTGGTGAATTTATATCATAGACATGTTATATACTTGGAAGATTCTTCCCAGATTCCAATTCTATGAAGATCTCTGTTATCTATTGTTACTTAGACATTTTTGGTTAGGTACATGTATTCTGGTAACTATGTCTTTTGAGAAACTGAGTTGCAAATAATCAGAGAAAACAAGCATGGTCTTTAAACTTGGAAAACATTTTCTTTTAACTTTTATTTTAGGTTTGGGAGTACATGTGAAGGTTTGTTGCATAGGTAAACACGTGTCACAGGAATTTGTTGTACATATTATTTCATCATCCAGGTATTAAGCCCAGTACCCACTATCTTTTCTGTTCCTCTCCCTCCTCCCACCCTCCACCCTCAAGTGGAGCCCAGTGTCTTTTGTTTCCTTCTTTGTTAAACTTGGATAACTTTTTTAAGAGCTCAAAATAATTTTATTGTGTTAGGGTTTCTTGGATTTTTGGATTAACTTTTGGATTAATTTTTTATATATATCTATGACTGCACTTTGTATAATACATGTATATATAATTTGATAATACAAATAATTGCTTCTTGAAATAAACCTGTTTATTAATTTATATTTTTTCTATTTGGGAACCCTGGGTAAAAAGTCTTACATTTCTACTACTCTTTGATTTCCTTCTATGTTTTATTTATATTTTTCTTTTCTAGAGATGATATTATTCAATAACTTATATTAGTATTTTCTCTTTTATTTAGTCTTACATTGTTTTTTTCTTTTCTTTATATGTTGGTAAGTCTCCACTTGCACTTCCTTCCCTCCCCCCTTATTCAATCTTCACACAGGTCCAACTTCAAAATTTTGTAAAAGCATATGCTATATGTAGCTTAATATTAAGAACTACACTTTAATCATTTCAAACCCCACTAAATTATTAAATGTATTCTTGATAAACATATATCTCTCATACTAGATTGAAAGCATCTTGAGACCAGAATCCCAATCTTTTATATCTCTGTGTCAATGTGTCAATATAGTTTAAATATGGTAGACTCTCCAAATAGCTGTTGACTTAAAATATACATAGGAAAAATTAAGTCTTATTTCTATGTACTTGCTCGCCATAATATAAATAAGTACATATGTGTTACAATTTTATACATAGTAAACATTTAAGATATTAGCAACATTAATAGCATTCTCAATAAATTACAGAAAAATTTTGGCCACAATTCCACCAATTTCATTTTACTGATTCTACTCAGTAAATAAAACTGTTTTTATTAATCCATTTTCCTTCCCAATCACTCCTTAACTATACAATTAGATAATTTCTGCACAGTTTAAAATATTAGCATTGCCATATTTTGCTTGTTTTAAAAATTAACTATATTGAAGTATAATATACATACAATAAAATAAACCCATTTTAAGTGCACATTTGCAAAAGTTTCATAAAGTTTTGACAAATTTATATACCTATGTAACAACCTTCACAATCAAGATATATAAAAACATTTCATCACTTTATTCTAATGAATTCTCTGAAACCCTGGATCCAGGCAAACCCTGATATGCTTTGTGTCACTAAATTAGTTTTGCCTTTTCTAGAGTTTTGTATCAATGCAAACATATAGTATGTATTATTTTGCAGATAGCTTCATTTGCTCCACATGATGTTGTTGTTTATTTCAGTATTTTATTCCTTTTTATTGCTGTGTAGTATTCAGTTGTATGAATATACAATTTGTTTCTCCATATATTTGTTGATGGCTGTTTGGGTTGTTTCCAGTTTTAAGTTGTTAGGAATAAATGTGCTACAGACATTTTGATACCAGTCTTTGTTGGATATCTATTTTCATGGGGGCGGGTAGATATTTAAGAGTTGAATTGTTGGTTGATATGGCAAGTATAAATTTAGTTTTGTGAAAACTACAAAAATGTACCATTTAAATTTTTCACCAGTACTGTAAGACAGTACCAGTTGCTTACATCCTCATATGGTATATGATTATTTTTATTTTTCCTTTTTATTTTTTATTTTTTTGAGATGGAGTCTTGCTCTGTCACCAGGCTGGAATGCAGTAGCACGATATCGGCTCACTGCAACCTTTGCCTCCCAGGTTCAAGGAATTCTCCTGCCTCAACCTCCGGAGTAGCTGGGACTACAGGTGCATGCCACCACGCCCAGCTAATTTTTGTATTTTTAGTAGAGACAGTGTTTCACCATGTTGGCCAGGATGGTCTCTATCTCTTGACATCATGAATCGTCCGCCTCAGCCTCCCAAAGTGCTGGTATTACAGTTGTGAGACACCACGCCCAGCATATTTTTCCTGTTTAATATCATTTTGTGGTGTTTTTTAGTTTTCATAATCCTTAAATACATTTGGAAAACACATACATATGTGTGTGTGTATATATATATTTAATTGAAAAAAGATATTACAAAGTAAAGGAATTATTCTTTTTCTAGTTATTGATACAAGTATCTGTAGCCTTACTGTACCCACAAATTTTTTGGCCAGGACAGACCTTGGGTAATATTTGGAAACAAGTAAAGATTTTGCTTCAAATCTCCTCTTTCCTCTTGGAGTTCATGTCTGTTGTCTGTACCTCATTATTCATATATATTCATATATATTTAAATATTAAAATAATATATTATAATAAACATAATATATTTAAATATATTCAACATGTTTAATATACCAATTATATATATTCAACATATTTTATATATATATCTATATGAAGATTAAAAGCTTCTTAATCCTGTGTTGTTTGAAGACTTATCCCTTCTATTTGTAAAGCTAGCCATGACAATGCATTTGTCATTTCTGGATTTTCTCTTGACTTTTGCAGGTGTCTTTTTCTAATCCTACAAGGAGTACAAGAAAGGACAAAATGCTGAGAGTGTGTGCATGCATGTGTGTGTGTGCCAACATGTGTTTTACTGCCCTGGGAAAAGGAGGTGTCTGTCTCCAATACCTTTATAGTATTCCACTGTGGGATCATTTGAGAATGAGTTTCCTACTTTTTGAACTTTACTAAATTATCTAGTCCTTGTACATCTCCTGCTTTGCCTGGCTAGGCAGATGGAGTGTAAGCTTGATGTGCTTCTCTGCCAGAGTGACCGTTCATTCTCCCAGGTGTTCTGAATTAGGTACTTTAGTCCTCAATCACTCAGTCACAATTCTTAGTCAGACTAGGTTACAGCCAAGTAGTCAGCCTCAGGGCATGGCCAAGTTCAAGTTCAGCTTATTAGTATCAACCTGGGCCATGTCTTTTGTTTCTGTTCTCATAGTTATGTTAGGAAACTGCAGAATTCAGGCTACTTTAAAAAATTTAACTGCCTTCTCCCCCCGAATTTTTACTTTGGAACAGCTAGAAAGGGTTGGAATTTAGAGTTAAACACACTCTCCTGTGTGCATATATGTAAGTATGATTGTACATATGCTTTCTTCACTTGTTCATTTATTTGCTGTTGAAAAAGAGATAAAGAGTATGATATAATTTTAAACAACACAAGAGAGTACAAAATTGAAAGTTAAGACCCTCTACTTTAGGTGTCTAAACTTCTTTCCCAAAGGCAACAACAGCTAGCATTTTCTTGTGTATCAATCCATAAATTTTATATTTACAATCAAAAATATATTTGTATTTATATACTTTAATTTATATCCTTTCCAAAGGCTCAGATGTATCTGGCTTATTTTCATGTAAAGTGTATCTTGGCTATTATTCCAAGATAGCACATGCATGTCTACCCTATTCTTTTTAAAAACTATGTTTGGCCACATAGTATTCTATTGCATGGATGTGCATACTTTATTTTTTATCTATTTATTTTTTATTAAGATAAATATTTATTTTTAGGTTTTGATTACACATTTTAAGATTCTTTTGTTGACAAATACAAATTGTATATATTTATGGTGTACAAAGTAATGTTTATATATACACACACACACATTGTGGAATGATTAAATCAAGCTAATTAACATATCCATCACCTCACAAACATAATTTTTTTTTTTTGCGGTGAGAACATTTAAAATTTATGCTCTTAGCAATTTTTAAATAAATTTACATACTTTATTGAAAAAAATATCCTATGAACAACCTTATTTTCAGTTAAAAAACTTTTTTTCCTACTAAAGATAATACTACAGTGAGCATTCATACCGATGTATGAAGATAATTATTGGAGACATTCCTAAAGTTGATTGTTGCCTCTAAGCATTTTCATTTTTATAGTTATTGCCAAATTCTCCTTTAATGAAGTTGCTTCAATGTACTCTTTCACTAACAACATTTGAAAGTGCCTGGTTTCAGACTACATACTGTCAAACTTTTCAATCTTTGCAGACAAAATCATTCTTCTTCTATAAATAGGAAGCAAATAATCTTCCTTTTTTCATTCTTCTGCCACCATTAATTTTCTTGGTTTTAACACAGAATAAGATATTGAATTTTATAACTTATTAGAGTTAACCATAACTTTCAAATGTTGATGATGTAATCACTCCTTATAAGGGAGAACAAGGTGTTTCTCTGGGCCTGCTTTCAATTTCCATGCTTCGATCTCTCTTTGCTTTAACTCTGCCCACATGCTGGTATGTGGCAGTATTAATTAGGCATTCTGTTTTTTGAATCTCATGTAGAATGTTCATCCAATTCATTTATTACAAAATTAAAAAAAAAAGAATGAACACAGCCATTAGAGATGTTGCAAATAATTTGAGTTAAATGTAAATGTAGAAAGAAAATAGGGAAACTACTATTAAGCACACCTTACCCTCTGCAATGGAATACAATACAGATTTACAATGTCAATTATTTCCACCATGTATCTTTTTAAGAGTTGAGAGATTTGAAATATGAATATGTCAGGTATTTAAATACTAAGTTACCTAAAAATGTACTTTATTAAAATATCATTATGCATATTTTAAAGTTAAAACTCTGTGCTATGTAGATGTAGGGGTAAAATTCCCATTTATTGTCCACTGAATGTGAGGGAAATTGGATTTGTCAGGAAGCTGATTGATATCTGGAAGTGTTTTGTTTTCAGCGACTGGCACTGCCGAGTTACAACCATCTATCATCTAACAGGTAATTAGTCAGATTTCTCATCATGAGCCTTCAATCCTGCTGTTTTATTATTGAAATACCACAAACCAGCAGGCAATTTGAATGCAGATAAAGTTCTCTGTCATGGTCTTAAGGACAAAGACAACATTTTGCAATTCAGCAGTAGTGAGTTTGAATGAAAGTCACCGAAATGTAAGTGTGGGTCTTATAAAAAAATAAATATGAAAAATTTAATTTGATACTCCATTTGTCCTCCATAGTGACAACTGAGAAACTTGCTGTTTATAAAAGCAACCTAGTGTTCTAATATAAATTTGCTTTATTATAACATTTTACAATTTGAAAGTTAAGCGAAGAAACACATTGCATGGAAAATAAAGTTAGATAAAATAAAATAAATGAACTAGGTCTTGAATAGCTTTTATTCATTTTCCAAGGTATTTTGAGATGATGGATGAAAATAATTTATATTTAACAGTAGCTAAGAATATGAAAATTTTACTCCTCTTAGAATTATTTCTAATAAGAAAGTTTAGATATTAAAATAATTGGAAACTAAAGATGAATTATTTGTTTGCTTTTACACATGCTTTGTATTAGATAAGCTTGCTTCTGAAGTTGGGGCTAACACACTTTTGAGGCCTTCTTGTATGGTTTATGGATCTCAGACAGCTGATTTATGTTATTGGCATCCCAACAAGAATGGTAACTTCATAACACTGACTGTTATTTTCTTGACTTAATTCAAAATCATATATTATCTTTCTGAAAAATAGATCTCAGAATACTTCAGCTTTCCCAAAAGTCACAGGACACCATAGTCATTACCGCTTGATGAAGTATAAATATAATGTCTCTTTCTTCAAAATTTAGTGTCAGAATAAATACACTTACATGCTTTCTCAAACCTAAGTTAAATAATAATTTTCTTTAATCCAAACATATTAAATATGTAGCACATATACATTAAAATTAACCAGATCAAGCAGTATTTTAATTCAGTTGCTTAATTACATCTTCTGGTGAATAATAGGTTTTACCAGAAAAAAAATTTTAGACTACTTGAAAACGATGGTGTAATACATTTTTCTTACAGTATCTTTATTAAAGATACATCAATGTACACATATATCTTTGTATTTTTACAATAGCATTAACTTTGGTTCTACCATTAACATTTTATAAGATCTTTTCCTATGAAAACAAATACCAATTTACTGTAATCATGGTTACTTACAGTATCTAAATCCATTATTGTAAAAAGGCAAACCTGTGATAGGCATCACATGGAGAATAAAAAATTAAGAGACTAATTGTAATATTAAATAAGCAATCTTGTTATATAGATACATGTAATATTGCATGTTGCATGTATTGTTACTCAGAGTAGAAAGAACATGTGAGAAGTTTCCTAACTTGGATAAGAACATCACAAATTTCTATTCTCACACAAAATGCCAATTTACTAGTTCCCTGAAGATTTTACTTAGATAACTGTTATGCAACACCAAATAAACACAAGCTGAATTTCTGTTTATTAACACAATTTAAGTCTAATTCCAAGCTTTTACAGGCTTGGCCCATGGTACATAAGCGTACTGAGTTTTATTTCTGGTTTTACAAGAATGGAAATTTTAGATGTCTATATTGATCACTTGACTACACTGCAGTATATTAACAGTAGCGAATAATAACCAAGATTTGTTGAGTGGCAGGTGATACACTTAGCACTTTAGGCTTACTTGCTTAACTTCTCATGTGTGAGCTACTATTATTCTCATTTTTCAAGAAACACAAATTATTTTTTACACACACAGTTGTACTTTTGGGGGTATATGGGAGGCAATCTGGCATATTGGGAAAAAACCATGAATTTTGTTGCCAGAAAGACCTAGGTAAAAATATCTTTATTTCACCAGTTACTAAGAGGGTATGTCCTAGAGTGAATTTCTTGACCACTCTAAACCTTAGTTTTCACCTTTATAAAATGGGGATTGATGAGATCATCTTTTCCAGCTATTCTGTGTGTCTGGTGTATGCAGTTACTGGACAACATGCTCCCTTCCCATATGCCCCTATTTCTTCCCATCTGAAAGCTGCATAAGCTCTTCTGACTCATACTTCAGCAAGTTGAGACATAGCAATATAACAAGAAACTTTATCTGAGTTATTTGGCTTAATTTAACTGGGATAAGTTATAGTCAATAAATTCTTTAATCTCAGGTGTACTTTACTAAGTGAATTAGCTTATATTCATGAGTTTTTGGGAAGATTATCTAATAAACGAAGATTGTAACATACCTGCCTATAAGAATGATTGAAATGGTTGGTAGTATGTAACGATATATGTCTTCAATGCTTGGTCCTAGTATATTTGCCTTAGTATTTCTTAATAACTATATTCCTTAAAGTGTGTTCTGTGAATCAATAAAGTTAGAATCATCTGAGGTGCTGAATAAAAATTCAGATTTCTGGGCCCTACTCAGAATGGGAAGAGTAGACTGATTACCTCCGGGACATGGTGATTGAGTTGGGTTTTGAAAGATGTGTAGAATTTCACCCTGGAGACACAGGTGGTTGAGGGCAAAAAGGACCTTCCAAGCAAAAGGAACTGTAGATTAAAATATACAATTATGAGAGGTGAATTTTGAAGGAGTGCTTTTATATACTGTTCTTTGAAAATATAAGTTGTCGGCCGGGCGTTGTGGCTCGCGCCTGTAATCCCAGCACTTTGGGAGGCCAAGGCGGGTGGATCAGCTGACGTCAAGAGATCGAGACCATCTTGGCCAACATGGTGAAACCCTGTCTCTACTAAAAATACAAAAATTAGCTGGGCATGGTGGAGCGTGCCTGTTGTCCCAGCTATTCAGGAGGCTGAGGCAGGAGAATCACTTGAATAGGGGAGGTGGAGGTTGCAGTGAGCCAAGATCGCACCACTGCATTCCAGCCTGGTGATAGAGCGAGACTCCATCTCAAAAAAAAAAAAAAAAAAAAAAAAAAAGAAAGAAAGAAAAGAAAAAGAAAATATAAGTTTTTACAGACTTTTTGGAAGCTTAATGGGTAGTGTTACAATGAATTTGTACAAATATTCGACCCCGCCTTTCCACTTTTTGATATATATTCTAGGGAAACCCTCATATAGATGTATATGTTTTAGGAAACAATTTACATTTTTACTCATCAAGGGAATAATGGATGAATAACTTATAGTGCCTTGACTTACTTATTTTTCAAATATTTATTTATATTTATTATTATTGATATCTGTGAGTAGCTAGCATGTGTCAGGCACTCTTCTAGGCACTGAAGATAAAGCATTGAACTAAACAAAGAAAAACATCTGCCCTTGGGAGCTTACATTCTAGTAGGTGGGATATAGGCAAGAAACAAAATTTTAAAAAGTAAAGTACTAAGAAAAATGGTAATAAATATTATGGAGAAAAAGACAACAGGAAATGCAGAGTCAAGGTAGGGACATGTGAAAGGTGGTTTGCAATTTTAAATAGTATGATCAGGGAGGACTCAATCAGAAGGTAACCTTTGAACAAATCCCTAAAGGATGAGAGGGAAGCAATCTTGTGGATATTTGGAGAAAAAGCATCTACTTTTAGTTCAAGTAAGTGCAAAGATCCTGTGGTGAAAACATGCCTGGTGGTTTGTGGAACAGCAAGGAGGCCATCTAACTTAGTAAAGTGAGCAAAAAGGTAATTTTGCGGGTAAGGCTTGTAGGTGTTGTGAGGACTTTGGCTCTAACTTTGAATGAGGGGGAGCTATTGCAGAGTTTTGAGCAGAAGACTGATGTGTCTGCTTTATTATTATTATTTTAGATGGGGTCTTGTTTCATTGCCCAGGCTAGAGTACAGTGGAGTGATCATAGCTCACTGCAGCCTTGACCTCCCATGCTCAAGCCATCCTCCCACCTCAGCCTCCCAAGTAGCTGGAACTGAAGGCACACGCCACCACACCCAGCTAATTTTTAAGAATTTTTAGTAGAGATGGGGTCTCTCTACACTGCCCAGGCTGATCTTGAACTCTTGGGCCCATGGAATCCTCCTGCCTTGGATTCACAAAGTGTTGGGATTACAGGCATGAGCTACCATGCCCAGCTTTATGTTTTAATAGAATCATGTTGATGCTGTGTAGAGAACGCACTAAAGGGAGGGCACGGGTGGAAGCAGGGGAAGCAGTTGGGAGGCTATTGTAAATAACCAAGTAAGAATGATTGTAGCTGTGACCAGAGCTGTGAAGGTTGATGTGAAAAGAGCTTGGATGCTGGATGTACATATATGGAAGATAGGGCCACCAGTATTTCCTGACAGATAAATAGGATGTGGAAAGAGAGACAGAAAAAAGTAGGACAGAATTCCAAGGGCGTTAGCCTGATCAACAAGGAGAGCAAGTGAGTGGCTGGCTGGGAGGAAGGTCAGAAGTACAGATTTAGACATAGTGTGTCTGAGATGTCTATTAGACATCTTATTAGGATAGGCATTTTTATATGTGAGTCTGCAGTTCAGGGGAAAGGTCTGGACCAAAGACGTAATCCTGAGAACCGTTAGTGTGTGAATGGCATTTAAAGGCATGAGATAGACAAGATCTCCAGGGTTTCCAGATGAAGGAGATTCCTAGGGATTCCAGGATTTGTAGTAATATTTGGAAATTAAGAAGAATAAGGGACATGATAGCATCTTATAATACTAACTAGCCAACACATATAGATTTTATGTTGTATATCACACACTGTTCTAAAAGATTTTCATTTAAACCTTTCATACAAAACCCTATGAGAGAGATAATATTATCATTATTCCCATCTTCCAGATGAAAAAAACTGAGAGAGGAACTGGAGTGACTTGCCTGGGGTAACATAGGTGATAAAGGGGCAGAATTGGGGTTTAACTCTTGGCCATTTGTTCTCAACCACAGACGAGATGAAGTGAAAAATAAGCTTCAGAATAATGTTCAGCATAATATAAATATAAAGACCTAAAAAAGGTCATTTATTTCTGTATACGAATGCATATAAAAATAATTGCAAAGGAATGATCTGGACATATACATGTTGCACAAGAATTGTTTGGGGTGGCTCAAGGAGGTTTCAAATGTGTTAGTGGTATTAGTTGCATCTTTTGAGAAATGAAGAACTACTGGCGTATGCCTCAGTTTCCTGATACACAGTGTTTGCTTATTCCTACCCACTTCATTACTCTTAAACCTTAGTAGATTCTCACTTAAAAAGGTTCCTGGACATGAATTAGAAAAATAATGCTTAGGGATATTGCCTAATCTTAGAAACTATTGGACAAATCAAGTTCCATATTTTTTAAATATAATTTTACTACAAGAAGATTCCATCAAAATGAAATTTGTCACAATAGACTTTAGGTTGCATAAGGCAGCATGTATCACTTGCTACATATTCACTAATTTGGATTGGTAATACCTGCCTACAGTATAAATAATTTTCACAAATGAGTTTTTGGATTGTACTTCAGTGTGCTCTATTATGCTAATATTTCAAATATCTTTTGAAGGAAAATACTAACTCAATCAAAGAATGTCTCTTTAAAAACTTGCCCATGCAAATATCCTTGATTATTAATTCATTGAATCATAAATAAAATATAAGTTAAATTAATTTTGACTTTGCATTCAGTTTCATCTTAAGGCCACATTCTGCCCTTTTGCGTACCAGCTGATGTCCCCGGGAAAGGTTTGCATCTGTTT